>NC_000003.12:75010000-76260000 GCF_000001405.40 Homo sapiens
TGTGAGCTGGTCTCAGTCCACTCCTGCTCCTCCCTTCTGTACTCTAGCCCATCTGGCTCCAGGAACATAATGAGCTGCATCCTCTATTGAAGGCTTCATCCTCTATTGAAGGCTTCTCTCTTCCCTACACGCCCTTCTTCTTCTCTTTTCCAACTGCTACTAGGAGGTACACGAATGTCACTTTCTCCATGAAAGCTTCTCCAGTATCTCCTCTTATCCTTGCTAGCCTGATCTTTCACTTTATTTACTCCTATCTAATATCTTCCCATTCCTATTCCCTCTTCCTGGTAACCCATTCCTCATTTATTTGAGAGATGTAATATGATACAAAAACCAAAGCCACATGAGTTGCCTTGGCCAATAGGACATTAGTAAACGTGACACAAGCAGAAGTTCAAAAAGCACTTGCCTACTTGTCCCCTCTTGCTGGTGGACACTCTTCTACTACCTCTATTTCTGGTTGACCTGCACAGAATGAATGGCCACATCAATCAGAAATACACCATCCTAGCTAATGGCCCTCATATCAACCACCCTCTAGCCTTCTAGCTAACTGCAGCCACATGCGTAACTTCAGGAGAGACAAGCAGAAGACCATTCCCACTGAATAGTTCCAATTTGCTGATTTATAGAACCACAAGCAAATCAAATGATTATTGTTTAAGCTACTCAGTTTTGAAGTACTTTTTATGATGCTGCAATAGATGACTATCACTATTAGCTGCATAATTTCTCAGACTTGTTTTCTTTTGTATAAAATGAAGAATCTCAACCCCTGTTGATTTGGTCCAAATGACATAGTGTACAATATCCTAACCCTGGAGGTACAGCACCTAGATGAACACAATCTGGATTTATCCTTGGCTCCATCATGCACTAACTGGGTTTCCTCTTTCTGATTTCCTTAAAATATCAATATATTTTACAATCTATGCATCTCCATTTTCTCATGTGTAAAAATGTATAAAATAAATAAAATGTGCCCGTGTACCAGTTCGGATTCTTCTGCTGCAAATCCCAGAAAACCTGGTTTAAATTTGCTTAAAGAAACTAGGACTATGACTCAGTTAAATAGGAATATGACTCAGTTAAATGGAAATATGGCTCCCTTCTGGATTCTGGAGTTTAAACATCATTAGAATGTTGTCTCTCTCAATCTATCAACTACTCTCCTACACGCTAGTATCATTGTCAGTCTCCACCAGGTGTCAAGATGACTGCCGGCACTTCTGTATCTAGAACATTTCAGGTCATTCAGTGAAAAAGGAAAGACTCTCAGCAACATCTACACAATTTTATTGTTTGATTATGTTGTGTGCCTATCACATGGCCAGAAGTAACAGAGTTTTGGTTGTCTAAACCTGAGTTATTTTCTTAATCTTGGACCTCAGGTTAGGACTTAACCACTGAAGGCAGAGAGGCTAGTGGTGGGGGACAGGGTTATTATCCAGAGGAATATCAAAGTATCATTACATGGAGAAGGCTGATATAAACAATGAATACCCCTGCCATTTATCTCATAGAGAATAGTTGAACTAAACACACATGTGCATGCACTCATGAATGTGTGCATGTGCATGCACACACATACACACACAGTGTATAACTGGTGAAACAAGGTTGAATATGGTCAGGGGATTGTATCAATGTTAACTTCCTGATTTGATATTGCACTGTATTTATAGAAGATAGTAGCACTGGGAGGACTGGGTAAAGCATATACAGAGTTTCTCTGTATTATTTCTTACAACTACATGTAAATCTACAATTATCTCAAAATTAAAAATTAAAAAAGCACTGAGTAAGGTATCTGACACATAGTTAATCATTATTTGAATTCTAAAGTAACTAACACCTTTCTTTGAAAACACAAACTTACTTTTAATCTCCTCTAAGCATCCTGGTTTCCCCAGTAGGAACTGATTTTTCTTTTCTCTAGGACTCCGATATACTTTGAATGTTTGCCTTTCCAAATCTCATACTGAAATGTGATTCCCAATGTTGAAGGCAGAGCCTGGTGGGAAGTATTCGGGCCATGTGGACGATCCCTAATGAGTGGCTTGGTGCCCACCCTGTGGTAATGAGTTAATGCGAGATCCAGTTCTTAGAGACTGGGACCTCCCCCTGACGCTTGCTCCTTCTCTCACCATGTGACATGCCTGCTCCCCCTTCTTCGTCCACCATGAGCAAAAGCTCCATGGGGACTTACAAGAAGCCTAGCAGATGCTGATGCCATTCTTGTACAGCCTGCAGAACCATGAGCTAAATAAACATATTTTCTTTGTAAATTACCCAACCTCATATATTCCTTTATAGCAATGCAAAACAGACTAATACAGACTCTATTTCAAGGAATGTCACTATCACACTGATCAGGAACAGCTGGGTATCAGAGTTCCTCATTTAGGTCTAGGTCTCAATACATCATGAAGACCTGAAAGGCAAGGGGCATCTTATTTTTATTTATTCGTGCTTTCATTCATTCATTTATTCACTTGTATTTTGTATCTATCCATATCACTCAGACTTTTCCCATATTAGACTTTCAGTAGTAGAATGTTAAGGTTTGATATTCACGTGAGCACCTATTTGTCATGA
This sequence comes from Homo sapiens, assembly GCF_000001405.40. NCBI lineage: Eukaryota > Metazoa > Chordata > Mammalia > Primates > Hominidae > Homo > Homo sapiens. The sequence goes on from NC_000003.12 coordinate 75,012,599, forward strand.
TTTTAGTGATTGTCAAAGCATGTTTACATTAGACATGTTTCTTAATTTTACTTATATCAGAACTATTGCATATTGGCTAATATTTTTCTAAATTGAATTGTCTTTGGGAGTTTTCTTATCTGTGTTGAAAGAGACTCTGAAGATAGGAGATAGGTACTAAGAAAGGGTTTTATTTTACAGGCGCCTGGGGATCCGAGATTAGCTCTTGAATGATCATCACAGCAGAGCTTCAATTCTCTTTTTATTTAGGTGTTGTGGGTTTCTGTCATAGAGATTTTAAGTAGAAAGGAGTTCATGATCTCCTCTAAGGAGTTTGTGATTCAAAGGAATTTTTGCAAGTGATGGGGAAAAAAAAAGCCAAGTGAGTTTTTTAATAGAGGATTACTCTCCCAGAAGTCGACTATAATTCTCATATCTATAGGTTCCTTGCCCATGGCTGAGTGAACAGATAATAGCCTGTTTAGAAACGTTTGCCTTTGTTCAGTGAAGGGCATTCTGTCCTCCCACTATTCAGCCTTTTTTTAGTTCATCACGCCCACCAAATAAGAGTGATGCCAAGTCCACAAATAGAAAGCAAGACCATTAACATATCAAGCACTTCCAAGATCAAAATACTGCATACAGCATGTGTGTTTTAATGAAAATCTAGAAGCAGAGGCAGCTGAAGTCCGCATTGTGTGAGTTTCCAAGATAAAAGTGTAATTTCAAAGAGAATAGAAACTTTTAACACTCAAAGTAAAAATTGCTTCTTACATTTAGTGCCAATTAGTTTTCCATGTTACAGTATATATCATTGCCAAACTACTTTTCCTCCTGAATTTCCTTTTGCCTAGGGGAATCTACCTGCTATGGCCTGGCTCCTGCTATAAACTGTCTTGGAAGTTGGTCATTTCATTTATTTGGAACCCATTCCTCTTGGTGACTGGTGTTTATGATGGCCTTATCTGTTACCCTTTGGTTTTGCATTTCTTTGGTTGATGGCTTTGAAGCTAATGTTATTGATCATCGTGCTACCACAGCTCATCATCCTGGGAAAAATGAGGTTACTGACTTCATTTCCTTTTGTCCAGCATATGCTTTGATGAGCTCATATATTTCTTCCCCTTTCTTTAGTGTTTCCTTTTTCTGCTCACCTTCCTGACATCTTTCATAGAGATGAAGGGAAATACAATCTCAAACACAAAGGGTTAGGGGATTACAAAAGAAAGGGAAAATTTTAAGGCTTGAGAGTTTCATCATATGTCCAAGCAAAGAACTGCATTAGTTTTCTATTGCTGTGTAAAAAATTTCTATAAACTTAGCACTTTAAATCAAGATGCATGTATTATTGCACAGTTTCCCTGAGTAAAGGGTTCAGGCGTGACTTAACTGGATCCTCTACTCAGGGTCTCAGAGAACTTAAATCAAGATGTGGGCCTGGGGTCCCTCTCAGCTGAGGATCAGGATCCTCTGCAAAGCTCACTCAGGAAATTGGCAGAAATCAGTTCCATGTGGGTTTAAGGCTGAGGACCTCAGCTCAGGCCCAGCCAGTACCATCTCCCTTTTGATTAATTCAGATTCAGTTGATCAGTAGCCTAACCACAGGAATGCTATCTCATCATATTTCCAGGTTTCACCCACTGTTATGGGAAGGGAGTTTTGCAAGGGCGTAGGTCATCCAGGATCATCTTGGAATTCCACCTACCACAGGGGAAACACCTGTCTTGTTCATTACTCCCTAGTTTTCAGAACTGTAAGTGGCACATAGCATGCAAACAATAAAAATTTACTGAAAAAGTAATCACTCTCCTCATTTTCTGAATTACCACAATAATTAAAATTTCAAGTCCATTGTTACTGATTACTTGACTTACAGATGAATCATTCCACTGACAAGTCTTCCAGTTTCCGATGGTGGCTTAGTATAAATATTTGATGCTCTAACACAGAGCAGCTTAAACTAGTTGATGTCTGAAATGATTGGTTAGTACATTTTTTAGATTCTTTTCTTTTTAAAGAGAGAAAGCCATGGTTACTTTTCATTCTCTAAAACTAGCACCCATCTTCGAGTGCAGATTTAGCTGTTGAACCACTAGAGAAATAGGCATGATTTTATATGCTCAATTCTCTAGTTTTTACATGTTTGCATGCTGGCTGCTGATAGGTACACCATGTTTTTGAAAGCTGCCTCAGTATCTCCTCGTGCTTCCTTCTTTCTTAAGGCTGATAGCTCAGCATGTAGGGACTAGTTTCTGCTTTTATAAATTACAGAAGGAGTCATGTCCTGAGCTCTATTTCAGGATTTTCATAGTGCTGTGAGGTATGGACTTGATTTTACAAGAATAGCTAAGGAGAAAGATCAAATTGGGAAACAGATAATTCTTTTAGTGAGAGGTGCTTAGGGGACACATGAATACATACATATTTTTTCATATTCAAATATATATTTTATACACGATATATATAGTTTACATTATATATATTCAATATGAATATATTTCATATTTCCATATATTTTCATAGAGATAATTTATATACATGTGTGAGTGCATTTGTTAGTGTGTTGCACAATTCAGTAGAAGTATGAGTCTCCCAAAATATTTAAGAATTAAGTTAGAACCTAGAAATAAATCGTTTACTGAGGCTTTTAATATAAATATAGACAATTTGGGTAATGCCAGGCCACCTGACTGAAGGAAGAGTTCTCATGCCTTTAGAGACCTTTATCAACCTTTTCAGGCCAGATTGACATCTTTCTGGAGGCAGTTGCAGTGTGTACAATTAGAAACCCCCTGAGCCACCAAATTACATTATCTTGGTAAATCACTTAGCCTCCTAAAACCTGAGATTCCCCATCTGTGAAACAGGAGACAGTAATAGCATTACAGTCATGCATCACTTAATGAAGGGGATGTACGCTGAGAAAAGCATCATTAGGTGACTTCCTTGTCATGCAACCATCACAGAGTGTCCTTACACAAACCTAGATCGTGTAGCCTAGTCTGCACCTGCACTATAGTGTATGGCCTATTGCTTCTAGCATACAAACTTGCACAGCAAGTGACTGTACTGAATATGGCAGGCAGTTCTAAGACTGTGGCATTTGTGTTTTTAAACACAGAAAAGGTGCCGTAAAAACATTGCACTATAATCTTATGAGACCACCATTGTATATGCGGTTGGTCACTGGCTGAAATGTCATTATGGGGCACTTGACTATACTTCCTTAAGAAGGTAGTTGTAAGAATTAAGTTAGAGCACAAGTGTATGTTAAGTGCTTAGAGCTTAAGCTCTTTAAGCTTGAGATTCCCACTTCTAGCTCAAGGTGAGTCATCAAATAAGTGTTTGTAATTACTTATTGTTGTTAGGATAGAAGCACTTTGTAAGTTAAAAATCTCTTTACAAATATATGGGTATATTCCTAATATAGTAAAGAAAAAGAACATTACAAAAAATAACAACCCATCTGATTTATTTGATTTTAACATGTTCTATTTAGAGCATCTAACAAAGACTGAGTGGATTCAAGCTCTGCACTGCATCTCACATATACTCATATCCTGCCATCTGCATTACCAAGCCCTAGTCCAGCCACCAGTGTTTCTTGTTTTAGGAATAACATTCAAAGGAGCTCAACAAAGCATATCAGGAATGCAAAATTGGGCCCCAACTCACTAAAATGGCCTGAAGCTCTTTTAGATCTTCAAATGGCCAGAATCTTTCTATCTTTCTTGTCACATGGTGGTACCTCTACTGCCTGACTGCTGGCCTGAAAAATCTTTCTCTCTCTCTCTCTCTCCACACACACACACGCACACGCACATGCACACACACAGCACCTATTTTTCTGGTTACCTATTTCTCATTCTTTGAGAAGACTTCTCTGATGGTTCCTCATCCCCCAATACCTCAGGTCCCCCTTAAATATAACCTCGTAGCACGCAGTGCTTCCATTTTTTATCACATTTATAATTTTACTCAAAAACTTAATTGTACATCCATCCTCTTTAAACCACCACCACCTTTTCCACAATCTCTGCTGGAGCTTTCCAAAGAATGACATTAAATGACTCACATTTGCAACATGGCTTTACTTCTTTTCTTTTCATCCCAGCTGATTGATTTAGAGCAGCTCTGTTAATCAAACATCTTTAAACCTCAATTATAGCTATTCCCAAGTTCCCAGAAAATAAGGAGTTTTTTGTTTTTGTTTTTTCACACATTAGGTGCTTAAAGATGTATTGAAATAATGAATAAATGAAAACAAATCAGAATCAATTCAATGATGGCTTCATGAACTCCAGATTAAAATGAAATATTTGCCACTATAGTCCCCAAGTTCTTTGCAGCCTTATTAATTGACAAGTACTCATTTACATGTGTTTCAAATAGTAGAACAGAAAAGAAAAAGGAAAAGTCTCTTAGAATCTTTGATCTCTAAATTGTTTACCAGTTCAAGGAAGAGTCATGAGAAGATTTCAAAGATCAGCAGTCATTTCATAATAAAGATTCAATTTTAACTTCAAAGAGTGAAAGTCAAGAATGCAAAAATCTCCAAGCCCCCTTCTAGTAATAATTTTTTTCTAGATTATATTAAAAATCTGGCTATGTTTCATAGACTGGAGATGACACCTTCAAAACTGGTGGTGGCTTTCTCAGGCCAGTCAACAAAGAAACACTTTAACATTTTCTTTTAACTTGTTTGCTTCCCTACAAAATATAACAAAACAGAGTGAAAACTGAATTTCTTAAATAATCCTGAGAATTTCAGCCTACATTAATCTGAAAACTAGATGGAGAGTTACAAAATCAGGAACTTGCTAAAGCATTTTATAATACAAAATTATCAACCTACAAATATTTTATTCACCATTCATGGTTCAAACTTGAACATAAGTAAGCACTAGCATAGTTATTTACTATCTCTATAGTTTCATTATGTGAAGTAAGAATAATAGTAGCATCTACCTCATAGGATTTGTAATGAGAAATTGATAAGTTATTAGCAAAATTAAATAATTTTGACAAGTATCTAGCACATAGCAAGCCTTTACTTAATGTTAGCATCAAACTGGAGTTCTAAAAGCTAGAGGTCTATAGTTCAGGATCTGGGAGTATGTATTCCAATAGGAGTTGTTAATACTTTCTTTTCTAAAATTTCATGTGCAGCAGTTTCATTCAAACTGCTGATTGTATTAGCATATGTTTTATTAGTAATCATGTGACCATATCCTATGAAAGTTAAATTATAAGTGAAATCAGACACTTTAAATCTATGACCCTTCTGCCAATCTCAGCTGGAACTCTCTGAGGCAGGTGGGCTTTGCAGAATCAGAGGTAGCATGGTCCAGCACTTAGAGGCACTGCCCCTAAACCTGTGCTCCCTGTGTTTTATCTACTACCTATTTGACATTGAACAAGTCATTTAGCTTATCTGCATTTCAGGTTTCCTCTTTTAAAAATTAGATTTAAAATAATAGTAATATCATCTACCACTTAAAATTAATATGAAGATTCAATGAGTCTGACATTCGTAAACATTTGAACAGCACTTCATATTTATGTGCTATATTAAGTGTTTTTTAATAATAATGAAAATGTCTGTTTTACACAAACATTCCTGCAGCTAAATCTCTCCAAAAACAACTGTCTTAGTAGCAAATAGGAATAATGCTTTACCGTTTTGGCGCATAAAATCTAAAATTTAGAGATGTGAATGTGTGTCAGGTCTCTTTAGAAACCATTGTGTATATCAAAGGGTACAACCGGACTGTTCAAGAAAGAAGATTAAGATGGAAAATTCAAATTATCTGTCCTTATAATGGTCACTTCACCTCTTCCAAGGCTCCCACTAAGAAGGGTGGCCACCGTGCTTTCAAGTCTGAAGGTGATGGATTTCATGGCAAGGTTTTGGGAATTGTTATGATATTAGAACTTAGAAAACCTTGAAGAAAGGGGTTCTCCTTGAATTAGACTGGGAATGAGCTTTGCCTGATTCTCCTGGTGTGAGTATTGCATTTAATCATAAAATGCCATATCATCTCAACCATCTACTTCTTAATTTATAGTACCCAGGATCCTTGGGGACATGGCTAAGATCAAAAGAGAATGGGGTCCTGGAAATTGTGAAATCTTGAAAAAGTTTCTTTCTAGTCTCTCCTTATGCATTTCTTTCTCTCTCTAGCCCTCCCTACCTCCACAGCTCCCCACACTTTTGTAGCTGTTCATACTGCAGCTTGTAGATTCTAAATTCTCCCTTAGAATTAGAGACCCATTGAAACCAAACAATGAGGAATGGGGTAGAAAAGGCACATATATATATATATATATATATATATATATATAAATCTGTATATACACACACAGTATTACACACACACACACACACACAAATACATATAGATGCTTGCAGCCTCATTTGTTTTGTTCTTCTTCCTCTTCATTAATTTAGGCTCTGGATACATTCATCAGTTCTTATCTTCAAAATACATCAATTTTCATAAATACAAAGAGAAGTACAATCATCATTCCTTTTCTTTCATTTGATTCTGAAGAAAATTTTGCCTAATTCAAAGTAAGAAATAAAAGACTATTGTTGAACAATACTAATGAAAGGGGGTCAGATTATGAAACAGATATTATTCCAGTTCAAAGGCATTTCATTTATGAGAAATTGCATAACATTTACATTTTTGAGAAATTGCCATATTAAGTCAATATCTATTTGCTGCACTTAAAAAATGCAGGTTTAACTGAAAGTTAATACCAGCTCCGAGTCACTATATTAGTAATTGCTCACGTCTTTTAGGTGATTTACCATTGCTAGGTACTCTTCTGCAAGCTTTTCAGGCTCTTTCTCATTCAGTCCGCACAACTAACTGAAGTAGGCAATAGGTGATATTGCTTAGGAGGGCAGTTGATTTTATTAGAGAATTTTGTAGGTTAAGAGTTAAGTACAAAAATGTTGTATAAATAATAAAAGTTTTAAAAATCAAATGTGTGACTATGTAGATATGCACACACATATATGAATTTGGGTTTATATTTTCACAGAAACAAATTCTGACAAATTAGTGACATCAAGTAGTAGACCATGCAGCAAGATTTTTTTTAAGCCACAAATAAAATGAATTCCAATAAAGGATGGGGCAATACACATTCTTGTGAGCTTTACTCAAAACAAATTTAAATGTAGTTTGAGATTAGATGACCAAGAGTAGATTACATGAGCAAGATTGGTCAGGGAAAGGCTTGGAGTCAGGGAACAAAGGGGCTGTAATAAAACTGTGTGCCCAAGAGGCTATTGGGCATAGTACTTGCCTATCCATTTTCCGGATGCTGCTGTGGGATCCAGTAAAAATAAATCAATAGTTCCTGGATGCACCTTGTCTCACAACTCAGGCAGGTCATTATTTTTACTGCATGGAAAAAAGAGAGTGAGAAACGGTTCACTATCTTGCTAACTTTTGTGAATTGACTTGGGTTGCCTGCCATTGTGATAACTTTTAGTTTCAGTTGATTTGTGCCCTGATGCTGCTAAGGAGGTTCAGTGTTGCCCTGGGGAAGATGGCTCAAAAGGAAGGATTATGATTTTCTTCAGTTTGAGTAAACCAAGCTTGGTGCAGTGGTTCTCCACCTTGGTTTCACATTAGAATTACCAAGGGAGTTTTACAAAGTACTATGTCTGGGATCTAACCTTCTAAGTTTCTGACTTAGCTAAGAAAGAATTAAAGTTAAGGAAGAATTCATGAGGCAAGTGCATGAGAACAGGACACAGACACATGGAGTCAGGCTCAAAAAAGCCATGCTGGCTGTACACTTTCCTACTCTGTGTGCAGCTAGCTTTTTTATCCCCACCCCACCAGAACAGGACTCATTCCCTAAGCAGGATTAGACTGGGGCCTTTCAAGGAGAGCTGAGGCCAAACAAATGGGAGATTTGGATTGTGGCAAGAGGCTACATGTCATCCTTATCCCAAGATGATTCTTGATAGGAGGAAAAGTGTTAGAAATGTTCCGAAATTGTAACTTCAGTATTTGAAAGGAAATGATAAATTTAAAAGTGTTTTCTCATAAGGATATGTCACAGTTAAAAACAAGAGGTTAATGTGTGTAGTAGAGAAGAACAGTTAGCATATTCATTAATCAAAGTCCTGTTTACCTATCTGCTTGTGAAGGATATTTATTCATTTACTTAAGTTCGATAACAGATGTTGTTTTGTGACAATGTTGATGTTCTCTGACTACCTGCTTGAAAATCTAAGACTTGTAAAACGCACACTTTAAAAATTAATCTCTTTTTATAATTACAAGATTAATAGTCTCAACGTAAAATTATACAGGAAAGGAACTAAAATATATATCTAATGTTTCACTGATCATCTCTGTTAAAATACTGGTTTATTTTCCTTTATGTTTACTGTGTGAGAATGTGAGTTTTTGTGTGTGTATGTGTGTGTATTTACAAAAACTGTAAAGTCTGAATCTTCTGATATTACTAGTATTTATAGTTTTGACTCTTCCTTTTATTAACTTCATTATATCATGGCCATCTCCTTACCTTATCACATATTATTTATGGGATAATTTTGAATGACTGTATAGTATTTTGCTTTTTTGGTTATACCATACTGTATGTAAATAAATCCCTGTCATGGAATATTTGATTATAAAATTAGGATTTTTATTAGTATAGCATTCCAATACACATCATAGAACATCACTGATTTCTGACTTTTGTTTTCCTTCAGTACAAATTCATAAAGATGGAACACTTTAAATATTTAGGGGATTTAAAGCTATTTATTCATGCTGTCAAATTGCTCTCCAGGAAAATTGTACCAGTTTACATTCAAGGTATTTATAAGAATGCCATTCTGCTGCACCATTTCAGCACTGGACAATGCTGTATGTTAAACATTTGTCAATTTGATTCAAAGTCTACTGCCAAGGACAATTACATAACCTTGCATGTCTCCACTTTATTATTTATAAAATAATGCTAATAATAGTATCTACCCTATAAAGTTGTTGAATTAAGGTTGCTGATACATGTGAAGAGTTTAGAACTGTGCCTTCCCACAGAGTAAGTATTCAATAAAGATTAGCTCAAATTCTGAGTGGCAAAAAAAATGGCATCTTATTATAATTCACATCTGTTTTGTTTACCAATAAGTGAGATTTTTCACATGCTTAGCTATGTGTGTTTCTTCTTTCTTAAATCACCTGTTAAGGTCATTTCTCCTTTTTCTCCTGCAGTTTCATCCTATTCTATCCACTTATAAAGCTTATTGCACATGAACGATAATATATTCCCATAATGTTTCAATTATTTCCTTAACTTCTATTTTCTGTTAACAAAAATGATAAACATTTAATGTTAACATTGTTAATTGTTTGAACTTTATCCTAAGAATATAGGGAAGAAACTGATGCTATTATTACTCAGCAGAAATCCACAAACAAGTCTGCCAAATATTCAAGGCTGTTTCACATAACATATGTACACAAATGCTCTGGATTTGTGTGTAAGTGTTGAAAGTATTCCATATGCCTTAACATGTTGTGCCATCACTGTTATTTTTAAATTCCTAAATAGCCTTTAGTTACATTTATTTTAATCAAAATTAGTAACTAAATAATTCTGGGACTGCTGCTTAATTTCCAAGCAGTTGGCAAATGTTTAAACCTTTGTTACTAAGTTTTATTTTTATTGTCTTGTAATCAGAAACTATGAGCTTTATGATTTATACTTTTGGGGAAATTTGCTTTCCCTTGTGGCCTGGAATATGTTTAAAGTTTCTAATGTTCCTTGAACGTATAAAAATATTATGTATTATCAACCAACCCAAATGTCCAACAATGATAGACGGGATTAAGAAAATGTGGCACATATACACCATGGAATACTATGCAGCCATAAAAAATGATGAGTTCATGTCCTTTGTAGGGACATGGATGAAGCTGGAAACCATCATTCTCAGCAAACTATCGCAAGGACAAAAAACCAAACACCACATGTTCTCACTCATAGGTGAGAACTGAACAATGAGAACACATGGACACAGGAACGGGAACATCATACACTGGGGGGTGTTGTGGGGTGGGGGAAGTGGGGAGGGATAGCATTAGGAGATATACCCAATGCTAAATCACGAGTTGATGGGTGCAGCACACCAACATGGCACATGCATACATATGTAACAAACCTGCACATTGTGCACATGTACCCTAAAACTTAAATTATAATAATAATAAAATAAAATAATTTTAAAAATTGTGTATTATCTTTTTCAAAGTGTTTATTTTACTGTATGTATATTTTAAAATTTGTATAAATTTAAGGAGTACAAGTACAATTTTGTTACATGGATGCATTGTGTAGAGGTGAAGTCTGGGCTTATAGGGTATTCATCAGGTGAATAAGTATACATTATACCCATTAGGAATTTCTCATCATCCACCCCTCTCTGACTCGACCTCTATGCTTCCAAGTTTCCAGTGTCTATCATTTCATACTCTATGCCCATGTGTACACATTATTTAGCTCCCACTTATGAGGGAGAACATGTAGTATTTGCCTGTCTCTTTCTAAGTTGTTCCACTTAAGAAAATGGCCTCCAGTTCCATCCATGTTGCTGCAAAACAAATGTTTTCATTCTTCTTGTGGCTGAATAGTATTTTATCTTGTATATATACAACATTTTCTTTATCCAGTCATCTGTTATGTAGTAGTTTATTCAAATACTCTGTGTCATTTTTAATGTTGATGGAGCAGAGAAAGGAGATCCAAATTACAAAATAAATATGCCTGAGCCCTGTCGACTTCACATTCTCAACTCAAGGATTAGTCAACATCTATTAGATTTATGGGGTTCGGAGTAGAATTAGGATGAAGTGATGAATATTTAGGAAAAACCATCAAACAAGCCTGCTGTGATCTCCATATCTTACCCTGCCCTATGGAGAAGCACAGTGCTAGAATTCTGTTTATTCTGGTCTTCTTGATCTGGCACTGCAAGTGCTGAGGTGAAATCTCACAGTGATTGCTTTGTAGATAGGATTATTTGCCTTCCAAATATCAATGGCTTTTCCTTCATTGAAAGATCTAAGATCTAACTCTTCCTTTATTCAGTCCGTGTAGTCTGGATAGGGCTGTACCTCCAACCTTTATGTTATACCAAGAACCTAAACTTCATTTCCATACACAACCCCTGTTCTTTCTCTTTACCTTGCCTTGTTCCTGCTTTTAATTTTGGATCACCTTTTCTAGATTCACGATTTTAGCTGACTAATTTAAGTGTATTCTTTATTATTCAAATCAGGTGTCAGCTTCTCAGGTATGTCTTTCCTGATAATCTAGTATAGGAAGGGTTGTGAGCAAAAATGCTCTTTTCTCCAGTTTATCACTGAGCTTCCACATAGTGTTATAATTGTAGATTTATGTGTCTATCTACCTCAATGTACTGTAAGCAATGTTGTAGCATCAATTATACATTCTATACATTCCATGACACATAATGGATACTCAATTAATGTTTGCTGAATAATTATAATTTTTTCAAAAAAGGAAATTAAGAAGAAAGAAAAGAACAAAGAAAATGGAGATTAGCTACTTGGAGATACTAATTTTACTCATCAATGTGTTCCCTCCTACTGGCAGAGTGTCTGGCACAAGGAATGAATTCCATAAATATTTATTAAAGGAATGAATTGGTCTGCAGACTTTTTTTTTTAATACTTTAAGTTCTGAGATACATGTGCAGAATGTGTAGGTTTGTTACATAGGTATACACATGCCATTGTGGTTTGCTGCCCCCATCAACTCATCATCTACATTAGGTATTTCTCCTAATGCTATTCCTCCCCTAGCCCCACACCCACCGACAGGCCCCAGTGTGTGATGTTCCCCTCCCCGTGTGTCCATGTGTTCTCATTGTTCAACTCCCACTTATGAGTGAGAACATGCGATGTTTGGCTTTCTGTTCTTGTGTTAGTTCGCTGAGAATGAAGCTGGAAACCATTATTCTGCAGACTTTTAAGCAAAACCAGTTTTATACTGGGAGATGACTTAGGGTTCTTTTTGGTTGTTGCTGTTTTCAGGTTTTTTGTTTGTTTGTTTTGTTGTTATTGTTAACTTTCTTCCAGATCTGTTTTGATGATCAACCATGTCTTTCTACCTGTTTGCAAAATGGTAATTTTCAGTGAAATTTTTCTCATTTTCTCAAGGCTTTGAATTACAAATTTGTTTCCACTGCCACTGTGCCATCACGATTCTTCCAAAACCAGAGAAGATACTCTCAACTTCCGGTTTTGCTTTCTATTGCACACAAATCTTGATCTCCATTCCAAGCTTCAGTTTGAGTTTTATAGCAGTTCAATGAATCTACTGTCTTGTGTAAAATATGCTGCACCTTAAGAAGGAAATGTACACAATCAACAGGCTTCATTTTGAATGGGAAAAGATGTGCTTAATCTTAGCATCTCCCCAAAATGAAATGTAATGATATAGACTCAATAGCCAAGAATGAAAGTGAAATGGTTGAACATGGAAGCCAACACTTCTAAATGGATTGGCTTTTTTTTTTTATTGTGTGCTGCACATTTTTATCAAGGGAATTTGATAATTATAAACTGCAACAATAATGAGGTTTTGAATATTCATAGGCAATTAAAATGCCTCTGTGCATTTTAGCAGTGCCCTGTGGAAGTGTTACTCATTTTTAGAAATAACTGGGCTGTAATAATCAAATTCCCAAATATTCTGTTAAGAATAGAGCAGGGAAAACCTAATTTAGTAATGTTTTTATGTACTAGATAGGTTGATACTTGACTTACTCAAGGTTACTGTTATTATGCTTAATTTTGGGCAATTGGGGTGATGTTGACATAACATATGCCTAGAGCATTTTACATTCTTGGAGGTCACAGATAAGACTTGCATGTAAAAAAATACCCATGTTCAATTTTACAGACCTCCCAACTTTGAATTGGCTTGGAATCAGGAGAGCACTTTTAATTTTGCATGATGTGTCAGACATTGGCTAGCTCTCACCACACCAGCCTCCTCTTCTTCTGGAGGATACAGGAAAGCAACACTTCCAGCCTAGTTTTCAGTGGAGTATAGCCATCTTGAAGTTGTAAGTGACAGAATGGTCTCAAGAATGAGGCATTCCACTTCCAGTCTGGTTCATAAAAATCTCCCACTTATGGTCCTCTTTGTGCTTTTCCCTTCTGGGGGAAGATAGCCAAGCCACAGGATGGCAGAGCCACAAAGTGAGAGGAGACTGGAGTCCCTAAATTCCTGCCTGAAAGAAAGTCACTTAACTAAAATACTCTCAATGGATGGTCACAACACTGAAGTAAACATTCATTGTGCCTCTGAAATTTAAGAGTCTCTTTATTATAGTAGCTAGCATTGGCCTAACACTTGAAGGGTGGAGAGGTAAATTATAGATGCAGGCTTTTTGCCAGCCATATCTGTAATAATGCATGTAGTTTCAGCTAGAGTGACTTTTTGAATTATTCTGTCATTGCATATTTGAAAAAGTTTTAGTTTGGTATCTTTGACAAAATCAATTTTACTTAATATAAACATATATGTTTCATTTTAATTCATTGACTTGGCCTCTTCATTTTTGGTTCATTTTAGGGTTGTGGTGAAAATTTAAGAGCCATTCCATTAATGAACTTATTTCCTCAGTGATTGCTTTTCTTGTAATTATTCCTTTATTTATTAATTCATTTGCCATTTCACAATTGCTATAATCTGAATGTTTGTGTCCCCTCAAAATTTGATATGTTTAAATCTAGTCTCCAATGCAATAGTATTAAGAGATGAGGACTTTGGGAGGCAATTAGGTCATGAAGGCTCTGCCCTCATGAATGAGATTGGTGTTCTTATAGAAGATGCCTCAGAAAGCTGTCTTGCCTCTTCCACCATGTGAAGACACATAGAAAATGCTATCTGTGAGGAACGAGCCCATACCAGACACCAAATCTGCAGGCACCTTGATCTTGGACTTCCAATCGTTATAACTGTGAGCAATGCATTTCTGTTATTTATAAATTGCCCAGGCTCAGGTATGTTTTATAGTAGCCCAAACAGAAAACAATATATTTGAATGGTTCTTACATGCCAGGCTCTATAATGAAGTTATAAAACCAACAATATATAACACAGATAGGGTCTTTGCCCTCACAGAGCTTGTAGTCTAGTTAAAGAGGAAGACATTACATGACTCATAAACATTTAGTGTCTTAGTCTGTTTCCTATTGCTATAAGAGAATACCCCATGCTGGGTAATTTATAAAGAAAATAATTTATTTCTTATAGTTTTGGAGCCTGATATGTCCAAAGTGAAGGGGCTACATCTAGTTAGGGGTTTCTTACTATATCAAAACATGACAGAGGGTATCACACGGTGAGAGGGAAAGAGCATGCCAACTCCAGTGTCTCTTCCTCTTCTTGTAAAGCCACCCCAGTCCCATCATGGTGTCCTCACCCTGGTGACCTTATCTAATCCTAATTAATTCCTAAAGGCCAAACCTCCAAATGCCATCAACCTATGAATTTGGGGATTAAGTTTCCAATACATGGAATTTGAGGGAGCGACTCAAACCATAGCATTTGGCATAATAACAAATGATGTGAAAGAAAAATCTAGTGAACTGGGGGATGTCACCTAATGGAAGCCTAATCTAGCAATACTCGTGGGTGATGTCAGAAAGGCTTCCAAATCAAAAGGTATTTAATCTGAGACCTGAAGGCAGAGTCACCTCCTTACCTAGTCAGAGAGGGAGAGAGATGCAAGAAAAGTATTACAGGCTGTATTAGTCTGTTGTCATGCTGTTCATAAAGACATACCCAAGACTGAGTAATTTATAAAGGAAAGAGGTTTAATTGACTCACAGTTCCACATGGCTAGGGAGAAACCACAATCATGGTAGAAGGCAAATAAGGAGAAAAGTCATGTCTTACATGGCGGTGGGCAAGAGAGCTTGTGCAGGGGAACTCCCATCTATAAAACCGTCAGATCTCATGATACTTATTCAGTACCATAAGAATAGTACGGGGGAAACTGCCTCAATGATTCAATTATCTCCACATGGTCCTGCCCTTGACACATGGGAATTATTACAATTCAAGGTGAGATTTGGGTGGGGACACAGCCAAACCACATCATTCCACCCCTGGCCCCTCCCAAATCTCATGTCTTTACATTTCAAAATCAGTCATGGCTTCCCAAGAGTCCCCCAAAGTCTTAACTCATTTCAACATTAACTCAAAAGTCCGCAGTCCAAAGTCTCATCTGAGATAAGGCAAATCCCTTCTTCCTATGAGGCTGCAAAATCAAAAGTAGGTTAGTTATTTCCTAGATACAAGAAGGGTACAGGCATTGGGTAAATACATCTGTTGCTAATGGAAGAAATTGGCCAAAACAAGGGCCTACATGCCCCATGCAAGTCCAAAATCCAATAGGACCATCACTAAACCTTAAAGTTCCAAAATGATCTCCTTTGACTCTGTGTCTTACATCCAAGCCATACTGATGCAAGATGGGAGCTCCCATGGCCTTGGGCAGCTTTGCCTCTGTGGCTTTGCAGCTTTGCAGGATATAGCTCCCCTCCTGGCAGTTTTTTTTTTTGTTTTTTTTTTGTTTTGTTTTTTTTTTTTAGCATCTGTGGCTTTTTCAGTCACATGGTGCAACTTGTTGGTGGATCTACCATTCTGGGGTCTGGAGGATGGTGGCCTTCTTCTCACAGCTCCACCTTGCAGTGTCCCACTGGGGACTCTGTGTGGGGGCTCTGACCCCACATTCAGGTCAAAGGAACAGCATATGCAAAGGCCTTAGTATTAGTAACAAGAGCTAGCATTTATTGTGTGCTTGGTAGGAATTGCTCTAACTTCTTTTAATGTTTATTTCATTGAAATTCTCGCACAAAGTCTAATGCATGAATAATATTACTATCTCTATTAGAAAATAAAGTTATCATTGGAATGAAGTGCAGAGTGATTAGAGCATTTGGAGAGAGACTAATGGGGGTAAAAAAGGCTGGCGAGGCCAGGCATGGTGGCTCATGCCTGTAATCCCAGCACTTTGGGAGGCCAAGGCAGGCAGATCATGAGGTCAGGAGTTCAAGACCAGCCTGGCCAAGAGACCAGCCCGGCCGACATAGTGAAACCTCATCTCTACTAAAAATACAAAAATTAGCCAGGCATGGTGGTGGGAGCCTGTAATCTTAGCTACCTGGGAGGCTGAGGCAGGAGAATTGGTTGAACCTGGGAGGCGGAGGTTGCAAAGAGCCGAGATCATGCCATTGTACTCCAGCCTGGGCAACAGAGCATGACTCCAACTCAAAAAAAAAAAAAAAAAAAAAGAAAAGAAAAGAGAGAAGAAAGAAAGAAAGAAAGGGCATATTTTAAGCAGGACAGTTTGACACAAACACTGTTTTTAATAGCCTTCTACTCTCTTGTGGAATACAGACAATTAGAGGAAATAAATATAATTCACTGTAAATTAACAAATTATTTTTTGATTGATGGATGGATGGATTCATTGACTGATATTTTTATAGAACTGGCTGCTGGCCCAGAATTATAATAGGCACTTTGGGATATACAGAGTAAGAATAAAACTTTTGTCTTTTTGCTCAAGGAGAAAACTCCTTCTTGCCTCCAACCTGTAAGAATTGACTATTATCTGATTTCAGGAACTAACAAGTAAAGCCTCCTGTATCAGTTTTCTATTACCAAGTAACAAGTAACCACAAACTCAGTGGTTTAAAACAACACAAACTTATTATCTCACCATTTTCATGAATCTAGGTATAGCTTAACAGTATCATCTGCTCAGTCTCCTCTCACAGGCCAAAATGAAGGTGTCAGTCAGGGATGTGGTTTCAACTGAGGCATGGCCTTCTCAGATCACTGGCTGTTGGCAGAATTCAGTTCCTATAGATGTTGGACTGAGTCCTTTCACTCCTAGAAACTGCTTATCCCTGGCACATGGCCCAATTCACAACATAGTAGCTTGTTTCTCCAAGCCTAGGAGAAGACACTATCTCCAGTCTGCTAGGAAGGAGTCTTGTATAAAGAAATGTAATCACAGGAGCAACTATACTATCATTATATCCTAATCAAGGGAATGACTCACTTGTCACAGTCAGGACTGGGGCATATATCCCAGTGTGTGTACCTAATGAGGTAGGAATCTAATAGATAATCTTAGAATTAAGCCTGCTGCACTTGAGCAGGAAGATGGGTTGGTCATCTGTAAAGTATAGAAAAATTGATCTTGAGAGAAACAATTAAAATTGTCCATATGGTCATTTGAATATTCTTTAGAAAAGAATGGATCCTGCTGTCTTCCAGGCATTTAGAATCTCTAGTGACCATATATCCTAATTTGCCTTGGATAATCCTGACACTTACTGCCCTAGTGTAGTTGTAACAGTGTTCTCTTCAACTCTCAAAGATATCTCAGTCTGGATGATAAATTTTATTGCAACATATTTATGGCCCTATTGTAAAAAAGGAATAACAAAGCCATTAGAGCCTGATGCCATTCAATATTTGTGTAATTCCCCTTGTTCTGATTCCAGGGTTCACTAAGCAAAGTTCTAATAATTTGAATTCTGTGTAGCATGGGTACAGGGAGAAAATGCTGGTTGGACTAACATCAAAGTCAGCTCCACTCAATGCTCGTCTTTCTCATTATGAATTAATTAGCAGACTTCCTGATTTATAAACTTCAATCTCTTATGAGTGATGAGAGTAAAACAATTTCTTCAATACTGATCAATTTCAGGATTCTGAGCAGTCTGAGGATGCAATACCCAAAGTTGAGGATGATAATGTGATGTTGGATGAAGAACTCATCACGTTTAACGCTTCTCTACAAAGCTGTATTTTCAAACCACTGACCTTTAGCAGATTCATCCTGACCACTCTGTATGGGTCTTTATTACAAACACCTCCAGGTGGATAGATAGTAAGGGGTGGCAGAGATAAGTAGAGACTCACATTGTTAGAGAAGTCAAGGCAGGTCTTCCAGAGGAGAGGTGTAATATGAACTAAACCACAAAGATGAGGTGAGTTTGGATGAAGAGGCAGAAAAATGTATTAAGGTTACTTTATATGCTTCAGCAACCCACCATTTTTTTTTTATCAGCTGAGAGTTTTCAGTTAGCTAGAATAGGGGAGAAATTATTCCATAAACAGTGTTTTGCTTTCCACCTTGCTGGGGTTTGAATGATCTCTCCAAAACTCATGTTTAAATTTAATTGCCATTGTGAGGGTATTGAAAGCTGGAACAAGTAAGAGGTGATTAGGCCATGAGGTCTCTGGCCTCATGTGTAGACTAATGTCATTAGTGCAGGAATGGGTTCCTGATAAAAGTGAGTTCAGTCTCCTCTAGCCCACTCTTACTCTTTCATGAGCTCTTTTATCCTTCTGCCTTCTACCATTGGATGATGCAGCACAAAGGCCCTAGCCAGATGTGGGCAGCCTCCTGGACCTTGGACTTCCCAGCCTCCAGAAATTAAAGAAATATATATATTTTAAAAATACCCAGTCTGGAGTATTCTGTTATAGCAACACAAAACAAACTAAGACACACCCTACTACCATGTTCAACAGAGAGACTGTCTCCTCTCCTTAGCCAAAGATTAACTTCAGACGTTGATAGTAAGAAGTTATGACTCTAAGATCTTGTGAGATATAAATATTTATTGAGCACCACTGTGAAGCAGATGCTGGGCTATGCAATGGTTCAGAATGGTGGGAGTGCAGTGGTGGGAACACAATGGTGCAGAAGACCATTGCATTCTCAGGTCTTACAGCCTGCAGAGGAAGACAAGCAGGAAAAAGGCACAGATGAGCAGTTATATAATGGAGTCATAGGATGCTGCAGAGACACATATAAGTAGACGTGCTTTAGAGAAGTCTAGCCAGAGGAAGTGACATCTTTGTGGAAACCTGAGCAAAATTTGTCAAAGAAAAAGGGAGGTGAGTGTTTTTGAAACAAAGATTTACAAAGGTCAGAAGAAAATCAGAAATTTTAGGAAATTATTTAATATATTTAAAGTGTTAAGAGGGGAGCCAAGGTTAAAGAGGTAAACAGAGAGCTGAGGACATTTTAGGTCCATTCAGGGATTTGAACTTGACCGTAAGAACAATAGGGAGCAGCTGAACAGTTCCTGCAGCACATACCTGTGATGCTAGCCCTACAAAACCTTAAAATGCCTCTGAGTCTGTTTTGGTAGTGGGAATGATGGCAAGGTGGTGATCAGGACAGTTTCATACCTATATACAGTATTGTGAATTCTATGGGAATATTACACTGGCATTTGCAAAGATATTTATGTTTTTCAGAAGTTAATTCACAAAGAACTTTTTGCTTTATGACAAAAGAGATGCAATAGCATCGGGGGAAAAACACTGATAGAAGGGCATTTCCTAGACATAATCCTGTTTTCTACTCCATGTGGGTAGTACTGGCTTTGTTTTGGTAACCTCTAGTCTTTACTTCTATCTTCCAAGCGGGTTTTGTACTGTTCATTAGTATTTATTCATTTGTGAGCATTATGTTTTATATTATTTAGATAAATCATATGTTTCTTTTGTTGTTTTCCCCACGTTAAGTATAAAAGACAGTCTTAAGATCTTTCTGTTAGTTAATGATTGAGGGAGTTATACAATACTTCAGTGCTTTCCAATAACCATCCTGAATTTGCTCCTCTTATGTGTCTGCCTTGGGTATTTTTCATTCATCCATCCATGCATTTCTGTTTACAAAAACTATGTATCACCTGTATGTTCTCTGTTTTTGAAGTCATTATTATTTTGCATTGGGAAGAGAAAGATCTCCATAGTAACAGTCTCTTCCCTAATGTCTATCGGTAGTGTTTAATAATTATAAAAATCTTCCCAACATGAAAATAGCTCCTCAAATTAAATTCAAGCAGAGTCCGGTCAGCATTCAGAGGAAATAGCTTCATTACAATGAATGGAGAATTGGGCCCAGAAAACTCAAAAGCATGTCAAATATTTAAATGTTTCTTTGCAATTTCAATGCTGTCTGGGAAAGGGTGAAATCATTCTGACAATTTTTGAAGACTCAGTAATGAAAATGGTGCTTACGACCCTCAAAGCATCTAAAGCATGAACACAATGAGGAGAACAGAGTTCCTTGTGTTGTTATTCACAGGTGTTTTATGTAGGACTGGCAGCTTACTCTACCACAGAGTAACTTTCTGACCCTTTTTTTGCTGTCATCATAACTAGCATAAATGATATTTTTATGGGAAGTGAACCACTGAAATTTTCATGAAGACAAGTTAAAAGGAGACAAGTTTTGCAAGGAAATAAATCTACAAATGATAAATTCTTCAGTAGTCTTTCCCTGGAAATGTTAGAGATGTTCTGTACCAATTATACTTTAATAATTTAAGAAGTGTCTATCCTCTCTTCACTAACTAATGCTTACCCTAGCAATTTCAGGTCCCACTGCCAGAATACATTATTACAAAGTGATATTTTCCCTTCTGAAGAGACACATAGCCAGCCCAAAAGCTGTAAGTGCAAATCAAAGGCTCCTCTCTCAGAAAAAGGGGAAATCTCTCCAATTACCTTAAATTGGAAGAAAAAACTCTCAAGAAAAAGGCATTAAGAGAAAATGGCCTTTACTCTGCTATCTCAATATAAAATTCTGCCATTTTCGGCTTAACTGCTTCACTGGCCCCCAGACTAGATCAACATACCCAAAACAGCAGGCAACAATAAGTTAATAGTCCTTGGTCCCAATGTGAGGAAATAGGGAGAGAAAGGAATGACTTGTGAGCTATTCTCAAGCTGTAAGACATTAACAACTGAGAAAGCGATTTTAGTGTACAGCCTGATTCATATTATTTGTTTTGGGCCTGAATCAGTTCTACATTTTTCTTATATACTTATAATATTTTCCTATATAAGTAATCATTCTATGTATTTACCCTGGACATATATTTCTCTTAGATAATAAGGTGTTTATTCTTTGCTACAATCATTTTGGATCTTATATAAGCATCCATCAAAAATGAGAAAAAGACATTATTAGAGTATGTGATTATGGCTTTGACTTAACCTTTCAATGACTCAATGTCCTTCTCTGAAAACTAAGAGTAATTAATAATAATGCCTTTATCAGGAGGTAAATGAGTTAATACACATAAAGCCTTTAGATGATGGTATGGGACACAGAAAGGCCCCTGTACACTAGCTATTATTATCTAAATCAAAATGCCCTCTTACTATTTTTTCTTAGTATGTATTCATAGCACCAATAAAGCTTGCTTAATCTAATAATGAAATTTAGCATAAAGCGAAGTCTGACTTTCTTTTTCTTGTTGTTACTTCCTGCCAGAATGCTTTACAAATTAGGCAGGGGCTGAAGTGGGAAGGATAAAGGACTGATAATCACAAAGCCACGATCTGCATCTTGCCATTACTACTAGCCAGCTATGTTAACTTGTGCTACTCCCTCACACATCAGTACTCAGTTTCCCTTTATGTAAAATAAGACATAAATGGCTCTTGTTCTGTATTGGCATTTGCTAGTCATGATGTACCAGATGCTAAAAAAGACCACATGCAGAAGATGTTCTTACTTGACAAACTCACTCCCTACTAATCTGTTTTTACCTCGTTTTTTTGTTTTACCTTGCTATGAGAAGAAAAATCCACAATCAGGGAAAACACAGCAGATACTTAGCAACTCAACAGGGATTAATTTCTTTTACATATTATGATACATTTTTCACATGACACAATGTTACGTTTTTCGTGGATGTCCCACCATGTGGTAAATGATTATAACGTCATTGCTGATGTTTGAAAGATTATGACTGATAAGGTAAGCCTTATGCTTTCATATTTCTTTTATTTCTACTTCACTCTCCTTATAAATAATTCATAGAACAAAATTACTGTCCCAGAAAAATACAGTCTGTTTCATCAGCCCTTTCACACTTTATTGATCAGTGCATATAATTTTTAGTACATATCCATGGAATTTAGAAATCTAGCCTTTTCCTTTGTTCCATGGTACTTTAGAGGCATATTTTTCTATCCAAATAATTGTATTTATAAACTCTATACTATGAAAACATTGTTCCTATTTATACTATTTATATTGTAAATCTTTTTGATATTAAGGACAACTTTCATTCAACTGCTATAAAATTTTTAAAAATAGCTATCATTTATTAGGTACTTACAAGTGATCTCAGTCATATCTCATTTTTTTTTGTTTTGGTCTTTATAACAATACTGTGAGGTAAGTATTATGTCTATTATATGTTAAGAAACTAAGCTCATAGATATTAAATAATTTTTCCAAGGAACCTAAAGAGTTAGTGCTGGATTCAGAATTTAAATTCTCTGAGTGTTCAGATACCAGAGCTCATGTTTCGACTATGAGACATGGTGTCCCTTGTTGAATGGGGCTAGCCCAAAAGAATGGTCAGGATCCCAGCCCAGGCTGCTGAAATCTGTTTCTATTATGCCATTCCTTTAGCAATTGATGATATTTAGATCTTTACAGGACCCTTCCAACATGATCCTCTTAAAAGTATCTAGCAGATAAGAGGATCCATTTTGTATTGTCTAACAAAAGAATCTATCTAGACCTTATCTGGATTTTCCATCTCATTTTGACTAAGGATATCCTTTTGGTTGGAAGCTGAGGGTGGTGGTGACAAGCACCAAGAGAGTGGGAAGAGGAATGCAACACTGTCTGTTAATCAGTGGGCAAATAGGTGCCCCAGGCAAAGGATCACATCCTTGAAATAGGAAATGTCAGAATGTTACAAAAGCATGAGAAAAATGTCCTAAGAGTAGGAATGGTGGAATTGAACAATTTAAGAAGGAGGAAGGAGAAGGCAAGAAAATAAGAGAAACTAAACAAAGCAGTTTGAAGCCATAAAAAAAAGACAACAAAATTAAAATTCTTTCTTTCAATTTTGTCTTAATTACCTTTTATTTTCTGTTTCAACAGAGGTACTTTATAGAGTAAAAAGTATTAGAATATGTCAAGTGTATATATAGTTGACATATTCTAATATAATGTAATATATATATACTCGACATATTCTAATACTTATTTTATATATATGTCTTTATATAAATATTTTAAGATTGTGGGAAAAAAATAGTCTTTAGAGCGATGGATATTTTTACTACAAAGGGGACTGGAAAATACCCTGCCACCTTTTTTAAAAAAGAAAAAAAAAGTCTTAAGTTGAATTTGATGTTTCGGCTCATTTCTTTCTTTAGTAATCATTTTATATATTCCACAAATTACACCGTTTAATATAATGTTCATTAAAAACATTTCAATTTCAATCAAGTCCTAGAAAACATTGTAGACCCCCCCTCGCACTCTTTAAAACATATCCACATGGAATTTTCTAAATGCAATATGTTGGAACTTTCCACAATCATCGAAAGATAAAAAGTGAATATTTAGTGAAAAGATTGACATTTTTAGAAATTATTAAGAAATATTAAACATTTTATAAAATGATAACCTTATATTTAATAAAAATAATGTCTTTATTGCTGTATAGTTATATATTACCAATGCTATCCATCAGGACAGAAAATCTGTAAATAAAATTTCCTATACTGGCAAACTCAAATACTCATTAAGTCAATGAATTGATTAATTAAAATATAGCCATATCAAGATAATCTTTATATTTATAGTCTGCAACTTCTCTCATAAGAGATATAGAATGATGCAATACAATTTGTATTTAATTTTGTTTTTTTTCTTTTAATTTTAATTTTAGATTCAGGGGGTACATGTGCAGGTTTCTTACAAGGCTATATCGCCTGATGCTGAAGTTTGAGCCTCTATTGATTCCATCACCTGGTAGTGAACATAGTACCCAATAGGAAGATTTTCAGCCCTTGTTCTCCACCCTTTTTTCCTCCTTTTGCAGTCCCTAGTGTCTGTTGTTCTCATCTTTATGTCTGTGTGTACCCAAGGTTTAGCTCCCGCCTATAAGTGAGAACATGTGATATTTGGTTTTCCCTTTCTGTGTTAATTTCCTTAGGATAGTGTCCTCCAGCGGCATCCATGTTGTTGCAAAAGATATAATTTCATTCTTATTTATGGCTGAATAGTATTCCATGGTGTATATGTACCACATTTTATTTATCCAGTCCACCATTGGAAGGCACCTAGGTTGATTCCAGGTTTTTGCTACTGTGAATATTGCCGCAGTAAACACATGCATACAGATGTCTTTTTGGTAGAATGATTTATTTTCCATTGAGTATACACCCAGTAATGGGAATGTTGGGCCAAATGGTAGTTCTGTTTTAAATTCTTTAAGAAATCTCCAAACTGCTTTCCACAGTGTCTGAACTAATTTACATTCCCACCAACAGCACATAAGTATTACCTTTTCTCCACAGCCTCACTAACATCTGCTGATTTTTGACTTTTTAATAATAACCATTCTAACTGGTGAGAGACAGTATCTTACTGTGGTTTTGATTTCCTTTTCTCTAATGATTAGTAATGATGAGCATTTTTTCATGTGTTTCTTGGCCACCTGTGTGACTTTTTTTGAGAGGAAGCCTGTTCATATCCTAGATGCTGGACATTAGCCCTTTCTCAGACGCATAGTTAGCAAATATTTTGTCCCATTCTCTAGGTGTCTGTTTACACTGTTGATAGTTTCTTTTGCTGTGTGGATGGTCTTTAGTTTCATTAGGTCCCACTTGTCAATTTTTGTTTTTATTGTGATTGCTTTTGAAGATGTAGTGATAAATTCTTTGCCTAAACCAATGTCCAGAAAGATATTTCCTAGGTTTTCTTCTAGGGATTTTATAGTTTGAGATCTTGTGTTTATATCTTTAATCCATCTCAAGTCAATTTTTGTATATGGTGAAAAGTGGGGATCCAGTTTCATTTTTCTGGATATGGCTAGCCTGCTATGCCAGTACCATTTATTGAAAAGGGATCCCTTTCCCCATTGCTTATTTTTGTCAACTTCATCAAAGATCATATGGCTGTAGGTGTGTAGCTTTTCTTCTGGGTGTTCTGTTCCATCCCATTGGTCTACGTGTCTATTTTTGTACCGGTATCATGTTGTTTTGGTTACTGTAGCCTTATATTATAGTTTGAAGTTGGGTGGTGTGAGGACTCTAACTTTATTCATTTTGCTTAGCATTACTTTGGCTATTCAAGCTCTTTTTTGGTTCCACATGAATTTTAGAATAGTTTTTTTCTAACTCTGTGAGAAATGACATTGGTAGTTTGATAGGAATAGCATTGAATCTACAGATTGCTTTGGGCAGTATGGATAGTTAAAGGATTTTCAATATCTTTTAAACAAATGGGCATGGAATGTTTTCCCCTTTGTTTCAGTCAGATATGATTTCTTTCAGCAACGTTTTGTACCTCTCCTTGTAGAGATCTTTCACCTTCTCGGTGAGACATATTCCTAGATTTCTTTTTGTACGTGTGGCTGTTGTAAATGGGATTGTATTCTAGATTTGGCTCGCAGCTGGAACGTTATTGGTGTATAGAAACGCAACTGATTTGTTTTTTCTTCTAAAAAAAAATGGCATACATGTGCAGAACATACAGGTTTGTTCCATAGATATACATGTGCCATGGTGATTTGCTGTACCTATTAACCCATCCTCTATGTTCCCTCCCCTCACCCCCACCCCCTAACAGGCCCTGGTGTGTGCTGTTCCCCTCTCTGTATCCACGTGTTCTCAATGTTCAACTCCCGCTTATGAGTGAGAACATGTGGTGTTTGGTTTTCTGTTCCTGTGTTAGTTTTCTGAGGATGATGGCTTCCAGCTTCATCCATGTCCTTGCAAAAGACATGGTTTCATTCCTTTTTATGGCTTCATAGTATTTCATCATGTATATGTACGACATGTTTTTTTATCCAGTCTGTCACTGATGGGCATTTGGGTTGGTTCCATGTCATTGCTATTATAAATAATGCTGCAATAAATATTCGTGTGCATGTGTCTTTATAGTAGAATGATTTGTATTTCTTTGGGTATATACCAAGTAATGGAATTGCTGGGTCAAATGGTGTTTCTGGTTCTAGATCTTTAAGGAATCGTCACACTGTCTTCCACAAAAGTTGAACTAATTTACATTCCCACCAACAGAGTAAAAGTTTTCCTATTTCTCCACAGTCTTGCCAACATCTATTGTTTTCTGACTTTTTAATAATGGCCATTCTGACTGGCATGAGATGGTATCTCATTGTGGTTTTGATTTGCATTTCTCTGATGATCAGAGATGTTGAGCTTTTTTTCATGTTTTTTGGCCATGTAAATGCCTTCTCTTGAGAAGTGTCTGCTCATATCCTCTGTCCATTTTGTGAGGAGGTTTTGTGTTTTTCTCTTGTAAATACGTTTAAATTCCTTTTAAATTCTGGATATTAGACCTTTGTCAGATGGGTAGATTGCAGAAATTTTCTCCCATTCTGTAGGTTGCATGTTCACTCTGATGATAGTTGCTTTTGCTGTGCAGAAGCTCTTTAGTTCAATTACATCCCATTTGTTAATTTTGGCTTTTGTTCCAATTGCTTTTGGTGTTTGCATCATGAAGTCTTTGCCAGTGCCTACATCCTGAATGGTATTGCCCAGATTTTCTTCTACAGTTTTTATGGTTTTGAGTTTTACATTTAAGTCTTTGCTCCATCTTGAGCTAATTTTTATATAAGGTGTAAGGAAGTGGTCCAGTTTCAGTTCTCTGCATATGGCTATCCAGTTTTCCCAGCACCATTAACTGAATAGGAGATCCTTTCCCCATTGCTTGCTTTTGTCAGGTTTGTTGAAGATTAGATGGTTGTAGATGTGTGGTGTTATTTCTGAGGTCTCTATTCTGCTCCATTGGTTTATATGTCTGTTTTGGTACCAGTACCATGCTGTTTTGGTTACTGTAGCCTTGTGAAACGCTACTGATTTTTGTACATTGACTTTGTATCCTGAGACTCCTGAAGTTGTTTATCAAATATAGGAAACTTTGTTGGAGTCTTTAGGGTTTTCTAGGTCTAGAATCATATTGTTAGTGAAAAGAGGTAATTTGACTTCCTCTTTTCCTATTTGGATACCTTACATTTCTTTCTTTTACTTGATTGTTCTGGCTAGGACTTCCAATACTATGTTGAATATGAGTGGTAAGAGTGAGCATCCTTCTCTTATTTCAGCTCTTTAGGGAAGTGCTTCCAACTTTTGCCTTTTCAGTATGATATTGACTGTGTGTTTGTCATAGATGGCTCTTATTATTTTGAGGTATGCTCTTTTGATACCTAGTTTGTTGGAGGTTTTTATCATTAAGTAATATTGGATTTTGTTGAATGCTTTTTCTATTTCTGTTGAGACGATCATAAGGTTTTTGTTTAAAATTCTGTTTATGTGGTGAAACACATTCATTGATTTGCATACGTTGAATCAATTTTGCATCCAGGGAATAAAGCCTACTTGATCATGGGGGATTAATTTTTGATGTCCTACTGGATTCGGTTTGCAGGTATTTTGGTGAGAATTTTTGAGACTATGTTCATCAGGGATATTGGCCTACAGTTTTCTTTTTTCATTGTGACTTTGCCAGATTTTGGTGTTAAGAAGATACTGCTTTTGTAGAATGAGTTGTAGGGGAATCACTTCTTTTCGATTTTTTGGAATAGTTTCAGGAGGATTGGAAAGACCTCTTCTCTGTACATCTGGTAGAATTTGACTGTGAATCCATCTGAGCTGGGGATTCTTTTGTTTGGTAGGCTTTTTGAATTACTGATTCAATTTCAGAACTTGTTTTTGGTCTGTTCAGAGTTTTGATTTCTTCCTGATTCAATCTTGGGAGGTTGTGTATTTCCAGGAATTTATACATTACCTCTAATTTTTCTAGTTTGTACAAATGAGTGTGTTCATAACATTTTCTGAGGATCTTTTGTATTTCTGTGGGATTGATTGTAATATCACCTTTGTCATTTATGATTGTGCTTATTTGGATCTTCTCTCTTTTTGTCTTTGTTAATCTAGTTAGTGCTCGATCAATCTTGTTTATCCTTTCAAAACACCAGTTTTTCATTTCATTGATTCCTTGTATGGTTTTTCAGGTCTCAATTTTGTCTAGTTCTGCTCTGATTTTAGTTATTCCTTTTCTTCTGCTATCTTTGGGATTTGTTTTTATTTTTCTAATTCCTTTGTTGAAATGGTAGATTGTTAATTTGAGCTCTTTATTTCTTCTTGATGTAGGTGTTTAATGCTAAAAACTTTCCTCTTAGCACTGCTTTTGCTGCATCCTGGAGATTTTCGTATGCTATGTCTCTGTTTTCATTTGTTTCAGTGAATTTTTTGATTTCTGCCTGATTCATTGTTAACCTAAAAGGCATTAAGGAGCACATTGTTTAGTTTTCATATAATTGTGTTGTTTCGAGAGTTCCTCTTGGTATTTATTTCTATTTTTATTGCATTGTCATCTGAGAGAGTTATTCATTGTATGATTTCACTTTTTTTAAAATTTATCAAGTTTTGCTTTATGACCCCACATGTGGTCAGTCTTAGAGTACATTCCATGTGCAGATGAGAAGAATGTATATTCTGTGGTTGTTGAGTGGAGTAATCAGTAGATGCTATTAAATCCAGTTTACCGAGTGTAGAATTTATATCCAGAATTTCTTTCTTAGTTTTCTGCTTTGATGATCTGTCTAATGCTGTCAGTGAGTTGTTGAAGTCCTCTACTATTATTGTGTGGCTAAGTCTTTTCCTAGGTCTAGAAGTACTTGTTTTATTAATCTGGATGCTCCATTGTTGGGTGTGTATATATTTAAGATAGTGAAGTCTTCTTGTTGAACTGAATGCTTTATCATTATGTAATGGCCTTATTTGTCTTTTTTAAAGTCTGTTTTATTCTGTGCAAGAATAATGATGCCTGTTTTTTTTTACTTTCCATGTTTGTGATAGATCTTTCTCCATTCCTTTATGTTGAACCTATGGGTGTCATTACAGGTGAGATGGGTCTCCTGAAGACAGCAGAAGGTTGAATCTTGTTGTTGTTGTTTTTGTTTTGTTTTTTTCAATCCAAGTGCCACTTTGTGTCCTTTAAGTGGAGGATTTAGACAGTTTACATGTTTACATTCAAGGTTAATACAAATATGTGAATTTTTGTTCCTTTTGCAGAGTTGTTGACTTGTTGCTTTTTAGTCTTGATTATGTAGTTGCTTTGTAGGGTCTGTGGTCAAAGTGCTTATGTGTGTTTTTGTGGTAGCAGATAGTATTCTTTTGTTTCCATGTTACAACTCCCTTAAGCTCTTGTAAGACCAGTCTAGTGGTAACAAATTCCTTTATTGATTGCTTATCTGGGAAAGATTTTATTTGTCCTTTGCTTATGATGTTTAGTTTAGCGATATATGAAATTCTTGGTTAGTATTTCTTTTCTTTAAGAATGCTAAAAATAGATCCGCACTCTTTTGTGTCTTGTAAGGTTTCTGCTGAGAAGTCCACTGTTAGCTTGATAGGGTTCCCTTTTCAGTGATATGGCTCTTTTGTCTAGCTGCCTTTAAGACTTTTTTCTTTCATGTTGACCTTGAAAAGTCTGTTGGCTAGGAACATTGGGGCTGGTCATTTCGTATAGCTTCTTACAAGGGTTCTCTGAATTTCTTGTATTTGCAGGGTGACCTTTCTAGAGGGATTGTGGAAATTTTTGTGGGCTATATCCTCAAATATGTTTTCCAAATTGCTTAGTCTCTCTTCTCTCTCAGGAATGCCAAAGAATTGTAGGTTTGGTTGTTTTACATAATCCCATATTTTTCAGAGGCTTTGTTCTTTTTTAATTTTTTTTTTTTTATATTTTTGACTGACTGGGTTGATTCGTAGGACTGGTCTTCAAGCTCTGAAATTCTTTCCTCTGCTTTGTCTACTCTATCGTTAAGCTTCCAATTGTATTTCAAAATTTTATTAGTAAATTTTTCAATTCTAGTAGTTCAGTTTGGTTCTTTCTTAATAAAGCTATTTAATCTTTCAAATGTCGTGTTGTTTTTCTGGCTTCCTTGGAGTGTATTTCAACTTTCTGTTGGATCTCGTTGAGTTTCCTTGCCATCCAGATTCTGAATTCTATGGCTGTCATTTCAGAATTTGAATCTGATTAGGAGCCTTTACTAAAGAACCAATACAAACATTTGTAGGTAATGAAATACCATGACTTTTTGAATTTCCAGAGTTCTTGCACTGATTCCTTCTTGTCTGAGGGAGCTAGTGCTTCTTTTACTTTTTGAATTTACTGTTGTTTGCATGAGGCTTTTTGTTTTTATATTCTTTTCTTCCCTAGAGGTTTTGGGTGTGGTGTATGTTGTGTATACTTGATTGGCTTTTTTTTCTGGGAACTGTCAGAAGGCCAAGGCTCAGTATGGGTTCCTTGGTTGTAGATTGGTTTTACAAGTGTTTGTTGAGGCAATGTATTTTTGTTTGGTAGTGAAACTCAGGTTGCAGTCCAGTAGATGGTGCTTAAGAGTAAGGGTAAACAGAGTGAGGCTCATACTCAGCATCCTGTGGTGGATTTGTATTTCAATGCCTCTGCAGCAGTGCTGTAGGGAGAGGAAGTGTGCAGCAAGAGATCACTCCCTTACCAAGTCCCTTCTTGGGCCTTGATGGTATCCCCTTCAACTACTGGTAGCACGCACATTTTCTTTTCCGCAAGGGGGGACATTGGG
Organism: Homo sapiens; assembly: GCF_000001405.40. NCBI lineage: Eukaryota > Metazoa > Chordata > Mammalia > Primates > Hominidae > Homo > Homo sapiens. The sequence goes on from NC_000003.12 coordinate 75,043,312, forward strand.
AGACTATGCTCCCTACTCCCTTAGGGGGCAGTCTGAGCTGAGGGTTAGGCCACCAGGATGCCTGCAATTCCCCAGGGACCTGCTGGTCCCCTGGGCTCACCAAAGTCAGCATGGGTTGTGGGGTATGTCTGTGGATGATCTAGTGATGAAGTGCATAAAGGGCAGAGGATCGTCAGGCAAGGCAGTGGTGCCATGAGTGTGTGATATGGTTTGGCTGTGTCCCCACCCAAAATCTCTTCTTGAATTGTAATCCCCATAGTCCCCATGTGTCATGGGAGGCACCCAGTAGGAAGTGATTGGATCATGGAGGCAGTTTCCCCCATACTGTTCTCATGATAGTGAGTTCTCACAAGATCTGATGGTTTTATAAGCATCTGGCATTTCCACTGCCTGCACGCACTCTGTGAAGAAGGTGCCTGCTTCTCCTTTGCCTTCCACATTGATTGTAAGTTTTCTGAGGCTTCCCCAGCAATGCAAAACTGTGAGTCAGTTGAACCTTTCTCCTTTATAAATTACCCAGTCTCAGGTATTTCTTCATAGGAGTGTGAGAATAATCCAATACAGTGTGCAACCATATGGGGCCCACATTCTGGGGTTTTTCAGCCCAGCAGATTGCTGTGGAGCTCTCCCAGCTCATGATCCCCCAGCCCGGCAGGTCTTCCTCTGGTGTCCTCCTTGATAGCAGACCCGACCAGTTAGGCTTCTCCCAAGCCATTTTCACCCAAATTGTTGAGCCACTGCAGATGTTTCAGACCACAGGGCTCACTGGGGGAAAAATCACAGCTGGCTATAAGGTCACATCCTTCCTAGAAATGTCTTGTGAAGAGAGGACACCCATCTCCTGTGCCATCACATGAACCTGTGCCACACTCTTCCTTGTATTCTGAGATTGGGGGCTCCTACCCTGCTAGAGCTCAGGCCACAGATCCCAGCTTCATACCCTTGAGTGGTGTCTGTGAGTCCTGGTTAGTTGGGACCAGGCCTGCAGATCTGTTCTCTGGCCCCTCAAGGTCAAGCACTGGCTGTTGAACTGCTCCCAGTCAAGCACTGGGGTAGTGAACTGCTCCGAGGCAACCAGCAAAACACTCAGATGGCTCAGTGGAGGCTGTGCTGTAGGCACCCTCCCACAAAGAGGAGCAGGCAGGCAAGGGAACATCTACATCTGGATTGGATGCACCCCAGTCCTGTGGCAATGGCAGCCATGGTCTCTCCTGGCCTGGCAGACAGCAGAAGCTGCAGCCACTTCGTGCAAGATGGACAGCCTTGGGGAATGGGTACCTAAGATTATGTCTTTCTGTAGCTGTACCATGTAGCAAAATCTTTTGGGGTCTGCGCTGGTTTGAGCTGTGTCTTTGTCTGTTCTCTAGGCAACTCCTCCTGCCAGTTCAAAGGCTTGAGGGGCCTGGGAATTCCTGTAGGCAGGATCCCAGAAGTCCACAATGGGAGTGGTACCCTGGAGTTCCTTCTCTCAACCCTATCTTGGATCCAGTGCAGGACTGGGGTCAGTCTTGGCATCCAGCAGCTCTGAGTAGGCTTCCCAGCTTCTTCCTCCTCCAGCTACAGTGTCTGTGTTGCCTCTCTATTGATTTTCAGTACTTTCTCTTAAAAGATTGGTTTGAAGTGTAACAGTTTACTCGATATTTTTATTCCTCTCCATGGCAGAGGCATTTTCTGGCTGTGTCTAATCAGCCATTTTGCCTGGAATCTTGTATTTCATTTTGAAGTGAGCAATAACAGGATTGCAGTATGTTTTGTTCAAATTTAGCAATTTTTTTCCCTTTTCTTTCTTCTTAGTATTTTATTAGTTCTTCAGATATGTCTCTTTGTAAGTTTTTTAAACATTAGAATAATACAGAGGCTAATCTTCAATGAATAGACATTTTATTTATGTATTAGCATCACTAGATTTCTGTGTTTTTAATAAGGATTTTTACAACTTCCAGAAAAAATAAATATTAGATTAGTTGTTACATGAGGTCACGTATTCAATATAAAAAAGGCTTATTTTGTTGCATTTACATTTTAAACCTTGGAAATAGAGTGGTTAAAAAACAGTCCAGTTTTTGCATAAGCTTGAAGACTCATGATGCAAGACAAACTTTCTATCAGGTTAATCTTTTATAGAGTCAGTTTGGTATTCTATTTGCATCTCTTCAGAATCTATTATGGATATAGAAGAATTTACCCATTCTTTCATGGAATTCATGTCATACAATAACTTGCAGTTGGTTGTGGAAGCTCAAAAGTTTCAAACCTAGATGGAGATTGTTAACCTTTGCCAAACTTATTTTCTTGGGGGCAGGAGAGAATTAAGATGAGCTTTGTGCATGTTTTTTTTTCTCCTCTCCTCTCCTACCCTAGTGATGAGGGCGAGGGGAAGGGATTGAAGAAGTGATTTCCAAGCCAGTGACTAGAGAAAATATCTCTACAAACTGAATGTCACATATAATCTGCCAACCCACATATCATCATCGCTCGGGTTATGGGAAGAGTATAATTGATTTTAACAGGATCTAAGGCTTTAATCATGTTACTGACAACCACAGGTTTCACAGATTGCATAATACATTGTGATCATGATGGTTGACTTATAATGACAAGGTTCTAGAACATCTATATATATATGAAATTTTAAGTAACATTATTTGATAATCCAATGCACAGCTGTTGATATTAATTTCATTCAGTCCCTTCTTTTTCAAACCAATCCAATTATTTTGGTATTGTTACAGCCCATGGACCCACGCGTGTTTACTTTCTCAGTGACTTGATTGAGTGAATATGAGAAGAGCGGGTTATAAAAGTTTTGTTACTTTTGCTACTCAAAGGGTGGGCCATGGACCAGCAGCATCAGTAATACTGATGCTGAAGTGCAGTAGCCTAGGCTGTGCCCCAAGTGTACTAAATTAGAATCCTAACTTAACAGAATCTACAAAAAATTCTCATTCACTTTAAAGTTAGAAAAATACTAAAATAGAGCAGTAGGTCTTAGCTTCAGCTATAAATTATAATCACCTGGGAAAATTTTAATAATTATGTCTGTGCCTCACTTCTGACCATTTAAATGGAATTCTCTGAGGTGGGGGTCTGGGCATTGTTAAGCTAACTATTAATAAATATAGCCTGAGAAGGACTCCATATTTCTATGTTTGAGTCCTTGTGGACAAACTGCAACCTAACTTAATAGGTAAAAAGATTGAAGTATTTAACTGTAACAATAGCTGAGTCTTGGCCAATCCCAGCAGCCGTACTTCAAACACTCATTTACTGCTGAGTGTTCAAACTGTGTTCAAATAAGGTAAGTACTGAGCTGTGACCAATCCAGTTGTTTTTGTGCCTCACTTCCAATTTCTGTACATCACTTTCCTTTTTATGTCTATAATCTTCTTCAACCATGTGGCTGTGCTGGATCTGCTGTGATTCTGGGGGCTGCGTGATTCACTCAATTAAACTTCCTTAAATTTAATTCAGCTGAAGTTTTTCTTTTAACAACATCAAATTAAAAAAAAAAACTCTCTGTATAATTTAAATGCACAGCAAAGAGCGAAAGCTACTGTACCTAAACAAATGGCTTTCTCTGTTAAATATTTATTGCAGCTCTATTGTATGCCAGTCACTCCCAAGAGGGATACTGCAATGAATACGGAACACAGAGCTTCTGGCCTCATGGAACTTACAGTCTAATGAGGCATAAGCTATTACACAGCAACAAAGAAAACAATAAAATTATTTGATGACTTCATATTATTATGAGTGGTATGTAAACTCGGGGGGAAACACTTAAGACTAAGAAAGTTACTACTGTGTACATAGTGAAGAATGGGAATGGAGCAGGAGGATGTTGGCAATTTTGGAAGATTGTAAGTCTGGGAAAGGAACACTGGAAATAGTTCAGTACGTAGTACCCTGCTCAAGGGACTCAAGCTCAGTGTGTACACCCCACTGAATGTGTCGTATAGCCAACCTAGTGAGGGGCTACATGCACCTAGGGTGTGTTAGAGGGAACTCTTCCTAATTAATCTTTCCTGAAAATGTATCTTCTGTTAAATTCATCAGGCTGGAGGTCAGCATTATTTCCTAATTTGCATTAAGGCATTGTACAAATCTGCAATAGCTCTACTCCCAAACTTCTCTGGTCCTTCCTCCCAAACTATTTCTTGTTGGGGCCAAGAGATATTATAGCAATAGTGTAGTACTTGGGTATAAAGCTGTGCAAGATGAGGGTGAGCAGAACTTTTTAAAGAACCTTCAACACCTGGTCGAAGTTTTAGATTTACCCTAAGGGCAAGAGAAAACCATTGATTCACCCTTTACATTCCAATTAAACTCTGATTTACATTCTCAAAGACCTGACAGACCTGTTGAGATTGGATTAGAGTAGGTTGAAGTGGTAAATTGAATAGATGAGGAAAACTTGTAAAAAGTCAATTACAATAATTCAAGGGAGAGAGGATGATATCCTGGCCTAGAGCAGTCATAGGAGATACAGTAGGAATTCAAGATACAGCTTTAAACAGGGTGAGGTCTTATCTAAACAAATCAAGAACTCCTTACTGAAATTCATCAACCTCCAATACTAGTGGAATCTGAGGCCAGAAATATGAATCCAAAATTCAGGAGGAATAAAAATTTGAAAATAGTTTTGGCCTCACTGGAAAGTCTGAGCAAGAAAACTTCTCAATATATGTTAATTCCCACTTTTCCCTTAGGAAATATTACCACACACGACGAGCTTTTCTTTTGTTTTCTTTTTAAATCATTACTTGGATTGGTACTTTCAGACTTTTCTTAGGAAACTGTATATGGATATGAGAGGGCCAAAATGTAAGACATTGCTTACTCCCTTCACTGGTCAGTGTAGTACAGTGAGTAAGGAAAAGGTGTGTGATGAGGTTAGACAAGATTTTAAAGAGCCTGGACACCTTGTTAAGGGAAGCTATTGTATAATTTGGGAGAAGATGGGGCCCATCATGAGTATGCTATCCAGGCAACCCATGAAACACAGAAGGAGCCGTACCAGGGGTCTCCATTTCTGATGGGAATAGAACTTCTCTCATTAATTTTCTCTTACATCCTGAAATTAAGGCACTAATTAAACAATACTGTCTGCAAAGATGTAAATGTTACAGTCTCACCAAGGCACCAAAATGTTACAGTCTCACCATTGCATCACAATATAGCAGTCGCTCATTGTTTGAGGTATCACCTGGAGTTCTTTGTCCCATGGCCATGAAAATTAAGGAGCATGGACACCAAGAGTGAGGTTGGAGTGAAAGTTTAATAAGCAAAAGAAGAAAGTTCACCACCATGGAGAAGGGGCCCAAAAGAGAGTTGCCATTTTTACAGTTGAATACAAGGGCCTTTATAAGAAAACCGTGAGGGCTGAGTGTCTCATTTCTATAAGGCGCAGATTTCTAGTAGCTCCACCATGTGCTCCTAATGTGCGTGACAGCCCTTAGGTTAGGCTATTCCATACTGCTTTGTTCCCCTTACTGCACATGTGTCAGGGGATGGAATTTTCTATTGCAGGCATGTCTGGGCAAGTTACTTGGGTAGGCCTTTCTTATTTGTGTGGCTGTGGGCATGTCTTAGGCAGGCCCTCCTGTGCAAGTTCCCTTATCTATGCCTGCAGCTTGATTTTTCTTTTGTTTGAAAGAATTCAACCAAGGACCCACTCTAACTGTCTCCCTGACTGGTTTCTTCCTTTCTTCTCTCATAAAGAAACATATTGTCCTTTTTTCCTCTCCACTTTTCCCTACTGCCAAGGAAATTTTTATAACCTCATCCATGTTTTCGTTCTTCTCTTTATCCACAAGCACATAAATATCAATATCAACTTAATGTCTACCTTTTCCTTTTTTAGGTTCCTCATTCTCCATATAAATAATTTTCTAATCAAAAAGTAAGTTGCTTATACCAACTAAGGACTTTGTTTTTCAAAATTACAGTAGAACATGTATACTAAATTAAATCATGGCTGAACATTTTTCTGTCGTTTATACATTTCTTTGTCCCTGGAAGTCCCAAGGAAATGAAATCGAATACTTATTTCCCATTTAATATTTCTTTGCTTCTCAGTCCCTTGAAGAGTGAACTGAATTTTATTGTAAACATGATAATTACCGTGAGAATTAGAATTTTTAAAGGAAATCTCTGTGGTTTTAACTCATGGTATAAATTACTACTATAACATTCCATATTAAAAATCAACATTTACACATAGAATTAAAAACTCCTGTGGGATTATTCTGCTGAAAAGGCAAACAGATGATCGTTCAAGCAAAACTGAAGCATGAAGTGTGGACAATATATTTTCAAGTTGGATATAAAAAGACCAGTTGGCAGTTGCTTTGAAAGTACGGACATCATCATAAGAGAGTGAAACATTGTTCCCTGTCATAGCGTAATGTCAGATTTCAAACAGGCCTTCCCAGTTGCTTTACTGTTTTTTCAATCTCCACTTCACCACATTTAAGCCTCATGGGTGAGAACTTAGTCATCTGTAAACTTGTGAAATACTTCAAGTGTAGTTTTATCTTCACTGTGAATAAAAAGAATAGGGGAATTTCGAGTTTGAAGTTTTAAGGTAATTTAGAAAATACATATCTTTCCAAGGCCCGTAGTGTAAAATAGGGTGGGTACATGGTTTGGGATGACAGAAAGAGCTTTATTACCTGGATGTGCTCAGAAAATATATCATGACAGTTGATTTGTTGCTGCTGTTCTTTCCTTCTTTTTATTTCTTCACAATAATACAGTTGTCTTGGTTACAGTGCTTTTTGTTTCTAGCAAAACTTACTGCTTGAAAGAGAAATGAAAGGGAGTGGTGCACAAACTGATAAAACTTTGGTTAATGGACTTTTAAGAGAGATAAGTAACACAATCTCTCATGTATGTATAGCAGGGAAGATAGGCTTTGAAGATATAAAGACCTGAGTTCAGGTCTTTTTCTAGCTACCATTTTTTTTTTCTTTCCAACTTTTATTTTAGGTTTGGGAGTACGTGTGCAGGTTTGTCACATGTAAATTGCATGTCATGGCAATTTGATATACACATTATCTGTCACCCAGGTAATAAGCATAAATTCATGAAGTCAGAAACAGAGTCTCACTATGTTGCCCAGGCTGGTCTCCAACTCCTGGGCTCAAGTGATCTTCCTGCCTTGGCCTCCCAAAATGCTGGGATTACTGGCATGAACCACTACACATAACCTATAGCTACTATTTTTTAAAATCCAGGCCATGTCAACTTCTCTTTACTCCAGTGGTCTCATTTGTTCAATAAGAATAATATGATCATTGAAATGTCTAGATTTCATAATATGCAGCTGTTTGTCTCTATATTTACACACATAAAAAGCTCAGAAAGTAGATAAACTATGCATCCATTAAATTAAAAATTACTCTGTGCTAAAAAGAAATGAGCTATCAAGCCATAAACAGATATAGAGGAAACTTAAATGCATATTACTAAGTGAAACAAGTCAATCTGAAAAGGTTACATACTGTTTGATTCTAACTATATGACATTCTGGAAAAGGCGGGAAGACAACAAAAAGATTAGTAGTTGCCAGGGACTGAGGGGAGGGCGAGATGAGTAGGCAAGATTACAGAGATTCTTAGGACAGAGAAAATACCCTGTATTGGACTATTATGATAGATACATGTCATTATAGATTTGTCTACCCCGTAAAATGTACAACACCGAGAGTAAACCCCAATGTAAACTATGGGCTTTGGATGATAATGATGTGTGAATATAGGTTCAATTGTATCAAATACACCACTCTGGTTCAGAATGTTGATAGTAAAGGAGGTTGTGCATGTGTGGGGAGAGTGGATACAAGGGGACCCTCTGTATTTTCCATTCAATTTTGCTGTGAACCTAAAACTACTCTATAAGTGACTTTTATTAACCTTAAAAAAGTTCAAAAAGGCAACCAGCACATAATAAGCACTAACATCTATTTGCTATTATTGCTATTAGACATGTGTGGATTTAAGTTGGTAAACATAATCTCCATTGAAGAATGTAGCAAATAATAGAAAGATAGTTTGTATTCTTTATTTATGGTTTTTTTGAAAGAGACACAGAAAGGAGGGAACGGAAAATGAGCAATGAGGGAATGAGAGAGGGAAAGAAAGAGGGAGAAAGAGATAGAAATTGGTTTACCCCATGCTTCACTTCTCTGAATTTAGAAAATTCTTCAACTTCGATCCTTTTATGCTGACGGTAATGTAGGTAACAGTCAGTTGAGTAAATTGCCTTCATCTGTAGTGTCGGGCCTGTTCTCTTTCCAAAACTATGCCCCAAATTTAAAGTCTGGAGTCTCTGACTCTGTTTCTTAGTTTTCTTGTTGCTGCTCATGTTGCCTTCATTGTCTTGAATGTGGAATCCCTATATTTCTGTCTGACTTCCACAGACCTCTCTTACCTTCTTTGTCCTTACAGCTTTAGAGCAAATCTTTCAAATGTTAACTTCCTGGAAAAGGTTAGGTACTGAACACTGGTAGGTAATTGGTCCTTTGGGCAGATTAAGTCTATACAGGGTAAAGGGAATGATAGAAGAAAACTCCTCTCATTGAGTTAAAGAGGACAAAATGGGGGCAATGGATGGAAGAGATTTCTTCTTACTTATTATCTATATCATGTGGAAGGAAGTTAGAAAATATCTGAATGATGGTTAATATAAAATACTTCCATGAATGTCAAAAATCATTTACTTTCAAAGTTGCCTTGGGACTAGAATACAATTTAAAAATTTAAACATCTCTTATTCTTTCTTAAGTTTCTAAATGTGTCTTTATTACCATTATTATCTGAAGTAAGACTGCTCCAATTAGAACAAATATTTATTTAAAAATTACTACCTGCAAGGTTTCATGCTTTGTACTGTTGGTCTTGTGTAGAGACACAGGACATAACTACTATGATAATTCCCATTTGGCAGATGTAAAAATTGAGTTTAGAGGTAAAATAACTGATCTGAAGCCTCTCAATAATTACATGGTGGTACCAGGATACAGACTCAAATTCTAACTGCAAAGAGAGCCTCTTAATCATACTGTCACACTTTCCCACTGGGGACTTTGAAGAAATTGTTCTAAATTTTAGACAAGAGGGGTAAAAAGGACTTATATAACAACTTGATTCATCAAAATGAAGAGTAACTCTAGCCAGCAACGTTTCCTTTGAAAAACTACCAGGAAATTGACAAGTATCAATTCAATACCTTGTTAACAGTTCCCATGTAATATCACCGCTTGACATGATATTGACTTGCTTTTTATCATGTTTGAGCTCCAACTGAGAGTTTTGAAATGTTGAAATAACATCATCATATGGATAATTACTAGATGTGCTATTTTTGCAACTGTTTTGAAGATAAATAATTAGATGCAATGTACCACTTACTTGTTTTATTTGTCTTTGATCTTGCTTTGTAGGTCTTATAAAAAATTAAATGAAAATGCACTGTTAAAAACCCACAGAACAGATCATAAGTTTTCAACAAATAAATATTCAGGGGAGTGCCTTTGACGTATATCCCTGAATTAGAGAAAATAATCGTTGGACAATACCATAGTGCTTAAGAATGTGGGGACTTAGACCAGATTGCCTCTCCTTTTATCGATACTCTTTGTAAGATAATTTTTGTTGTCCCTCCCATCAAAAGGTAGGGTCTGTTTCTCCATCCATTGAACCTGGGCTGGCCTTGTGATTGGCTTTGTCAAAAGGAAAGTTGTGACACTCTGGTCTTCCATGCTTCCTCTTATTCTTTCAGTAACCTACCCCTGCAGCCATGAGAACAAGCCTGGGCTACCTTGCTAAAGGGTGAGACCTCATGTGGAGCAAAAAAGAGCCATCCTAACAGAACTTTCTTAGACAGGTGAGCTCCCAGCTCACTTGGCAGTTGACCATAGAGACATGAGGGAAACCAACAAAAATTAGCCAAACCTGATTAAAAGAATCATTGAGCTGAGCCCAGCCCAAATGGACAACCCACAGCATCATGAAGTAAATAAATGGTTATTATTTTATGCCTTTAAGATTTGAGTGGGGTGGGGGATAGTTGTTTCTTAGCAAACTGGATACATCTGGGTTCAACTCCCAGTTCCAACACTTATTGCATGTGTGAAGACAGGCTGTTTAATTAACTTTCCCATGACAGATTTCTCATCTATAAAATGGGGATAATGTGGTGATGATTGATGCTGTTCTCAGATATTTCCGTTTTCCACCTTTGGGTACTTAGTAGATTTCATCATCACCCAGGCTCTGTGCAATTAGATGTGGCCATGTGACTTGCTTTGACCAACTAAATGTCAGTTGAAAGTCTTTAAAGGCACCGGTGAAATATAAACCATTTCTTTCCCCTACAATGGCAGTGTTTCAGATGGGGAAGGTTTTGTCCTAGAGCAAGGAAAACATGCTTTAAGAACCCCATTTTGACCCACAATGAACACTAAAAATTTGGGGTTGTTTATTACCACTGTAAATTCTAGCCTGTATGATTGGTACAAACATTAATAGTACAGTGTGACCATATATATAAACCTCTAAGCACGATGCTTGGCACATCTAAAGTATTTAATGTTAAGAAATATTACTGCCCTTGGATTAAAAAAAAAATCTTTGAGAGATAGGATGTAAAGGTTTCTTTTAAAACAATAATTATCTTCTTAACTGATATTCATGCACCACTTTAATATCATCCTACAATAAATCAGTGCTTAAAACTTTGTTTATCTGGTCACCGTACCAAGAAAATACAGTATAATTGGAGCTTAATATTGTTTGCTTTATCTTCAATTCTATAAACTTAATACAATATTAGTTCTTCCATTTTTAACTACAAAATAATTTAAAATTATCTGAGACTTGAGGATTATAATTAATATATAGTTATAATATTATCCCAGGGTTTTAGATTAGATTTTAATTTATCACTGTCACCAGGCTGTAAGCACTTCAGAAAGATCTGGGTATGAAGATGAATGCTTATTGCACATTTATTTAAGTATTTGAGAAGATAAGCCATCAACAGGCTACCCCAATTTACACAAAGGTCTAGCCTGCATTGCATGTAAAGCCTCACTGTCAAATATCTGACTTGTGAAAAACAGGTGTATGCTGTGAAGCTGTGTATTAATGGGTTGTGATTGCAAGGAGACAAAATTTGGTTCAGTAAGGGAAAAAAATGATCTAAGTAATAAAACTCTGTGATAGTGGAGGGAAAGGTAGTTTAAATCAGCATTCTCAGCTGGGGGAAATTTTGTTTCTAGGAGGCATTTGGCAATGTTTGGAGACATTTTGATGGTCACCACTCAGTGGGAGGTTTTGCTGTCAGCATCTAGTGAGTAAACGTCAGGGCTGCTACTGACATCATCCAATGCACGGGAAAGCGCCACACACACAGGATTAGTGGGTCCTAATGTCATTATTTCTGCCCTTGAGAAAACCCAAGCTGGAGCCTAGGATCTGACCCTGAATATGTTTAAGTGAAAGCTGTTGGAAATGCTAGCTGGTTCTCGAATTGAGTATAAAGCCCCTTTCAATACAGGGACAACAACAACAGTAATATGTGAATCACTGGAGATTTGTTATGTTGTAAGCAAAATCAGTTATGTCATTTCATTCTCACAACACTAGGGTTCTCTAATTCTTTCATTTTATGGATTTTCATGATTACTGAGACTAGAGGGCCAGAAGTTTGCAAAAAATCATATTAGTAGGGGTTTCTGTGGTTTTCTGTGCATTCCCTTTGTTTTTGGTGTATTTTTCTGACAGGACAGTCATTGTCCTCTTCCCTGATAATGCAAGAGGCACACACAGACCAGAGAAGCTGTGGCCCAAAGGAGATATTTTCTAACATTGGCATTATTGACCTAGCACTGTAGGGCAGAGGAGAGGTGGACAAGGCTTGACGAAAGCTCTTTATAGTTTCTAGGTAACTGGTGTGGAACTGATGGGATCATACAGCCTGTTTGTCCTGAAATGGGATGTTCAGGTCACTTTTCCATTGGCTGCGTTATAAGATAAATAGGCCTGTCCTCATGTCCTCCAAACCTACTTCTTACTTTGTGATGTTAAGTGTGCCAGACTCTAAACTGATTAGTCTTCTTCTCTTACTCTGTTGCCAATTGGGTGCTACAAAACATGAAGAGAATAAAGAGATGGGGAGTGAGATGTCATTTGGGAGGGAAGACATCAGAATTCAGCCTGAAGAAACAAAAGGAGAAAAATAAAATGATCAGTTTAACACACATGTACTAAGCACATACTGTGTGCCAGTTTCTGTGTTAGGTTCTGGGGATAGGTTAGGAAAGGGATAAGATGAAGTCTTGTCCACAGGAATGTAGCCAAATTAGTATCTTATTTGCTTGGGTGACAGACACATAATGAGACATGTTTGTTATTTCATTCAACAAACATTTAATGAGTTCCTACTATGTGCCAAGCATAGCCCTAGGCACAGATGTATAGCCCAGAATTAGACAGACATGGTCACTGCTATCATAAAGCTTATGCCATGTGGTAAGTAAAGTGAGAGAGGTAAACCCAGGGTGTTAGAGAAGCACAAATATAATTCTTCAATCTAAACTGAGGGTGGAGTATGGGAGGGAGTAAGATAAGGCAGGCTGTCGGGGGCAGATGTTGACCAAGAACAAATTTTGTACACTAAGAAATAACCTGGTGGAAAACAAAAAAACAAAAAACATGGAATCAGATTTCAGGCAGAGGAAACTTGAATAAGTTTGGATGTGTGAAATGACATGGTGCCCATGGGGTAGCTACTATGAGTTTAGGAATTGCAAAACTCAAAAGTGGAAGTTGAAGAAAGATAGAAATGTGAAGAAAGATAGAAATGTAAAGATTGGTTGGGGTCAAATTTTTGCTATGTATTAAGATAGTGAGGCTGGGAACTGTGGCTCATGCCTGCAATCTCAGCACTTTGGGAGGCCAGGGCTGGAGGATCACTTGAGGCTAGGAGTTCAAGACCAGCCTGGGCAACATAGTGAGACCCTGTATGTACAATGGCAAAATTAGCCTGGTGTGGTGGCACACATAGTCCCAGCTTCTAAGGAGTCTGATGTAGGGTGATCTCTTTAACCCAGGAGGTTAAGACTGCAGTAGCCACGACTGGGTCGCTGCACTCTAGCTTAAGTGACAGAGTAAGATGCTGTCTCAAAAATAAAAAAGAAACAAAGATAGATGGATGGAAAGGAAAGCAGGAAGGCAGAGGGAGAAGAAAAAGAGAAATAAGAAAGCAAAAAGAAGGAAAGAAAGAGAAAGAAAAACAGAAAGACAGAAGGAGAGAAAGAAAGAAAGAGAAAGAAAGAAAGAAGAAAGAAAAGAAAGAAAGAAAAAAAAGAAAGAAAGAAAAGAAAGAAAGAAGGAAGGAAGGAAGGAAAAGCTAGATGGTGATTCAGTCATAATAAAAGAAAAGATTGAGATATGGGAGTCACACTTAGGAGTTTATTACTGTTGAGTCGAAGAATTGAGTACTGGATTGAAACACGGTTATTAAGAATAGAAAGAGATAGAATTTCTAGAAACATTAAGAAGGCAAAATTCGTACCTTGTCTTGGTCATTTAGATTTGTGGTGATAGGGTGCAATTGAACTTTTCTATCTTCGTTTCCTTCTGTGGTATATCTTTCCTTTCTCTTTCCTTACTTATCATTTCAAATTTTAAAGCAAAATAAGTTACAAACATTAAAAGAGTCAAAAGTACTCTTGTACTTCCTCCCAACCCCACCTAGATTTATATATATTATGCAAACGTCCAAAGTAGTCTTGGGCTAGGAGCTCTAATGCATAATTATTTCAATGGAATCATAAGGCAGCAAACAGTTCTTTTTATAAATAGCAATGTTCAATGTACATTGAAATTAATAAATCCATAACTGTGATATTAATTTTCCATATTTGAGTTTCTGACTTTAAAAAAGTGCTTCAACAATGAGAAAGTTTCACCTAGAGCTTGTGCAGTATATTCAATTTTCGTGAAACATAAGTCTTATGGGAAATCAGGCATGTCAGAAAATTTTCCTGTAGGTAATAGAAATAAAACTTGTCATCGTTTTGAAATACATCAAACATTAACACATAACAAAGAGTTCCAGGAAAGGATAGATATAACAAAATGGCTAGCATACATTAACCTATTGAACATTGTCTATGATAATTAGGTATTTTCATGACTGATAAATTTTTGCAGTTTTAAGGGTCAAGTTGGGCCCAGTTGTAGCTGAACTATTTTTGACATTTAGTAACCAGCAGCCCATTTTTATAATTGTAAATATGTTTTAAAATATAGAATGGCAACAATTAAGGCGCACAATATTTGTTTTAAATTTCAGTAGTGATATTAAGCCTGCCGTAACTAAAAACTCATTCCAGATACTACAAAGTTATATTTCTTACAAAGGCAAATTAAGAATTTGTATAGACTTGACAAGAAAACAAGTTGAGAAGGTCAAAATATTTTCTGGGGCTCTCTGAATTTATTTTGACTTTTCTAGTTACTTAGAATAGTTTTGAGAAGAATGCCTATAAGTACTGTAGAAAGTTGATAAAATGTATGATATATGTAGGCTTACTTTACATGCTTTCCCTCCTTAGCCTCTTACATGCACTGAATTCAGTTTTTCCTAGTGTTATTTTCCATTTGAGATTTTTTTTTTTTGGCTGTGATTATCACTGTTCCAGGTCTCTACATCTACAACAGATCATTTTAGTTAGAAACAATCTGATACCCTTCTGATTCCAGTAATCAGATCCTAATAATTTAGTGAGTTCCAGACATTAACTAGGGAGTGACTTAGTAACCTACTAGCAATGTTATGGCAATTTAGCTTTTGAAGTTTAAAAAACCCTCTATGATTAACACTTTTGTCTCATAGTAATTCATAAATCTGTTTCATATGTTGAATATCATTCATTCATTAGACAATAGTTACTGAATGAACTGAGCATATATAATTTGTCCTTTATATACATTTTTAAATGATTGATATGAAACAAATGTAGAAAATTTGTATTATCCAAGGTTGTATTGTATTTGGGGTTAGCCAAAGTAAAAATAAGCAGGTAATAAACAAGAAAGTAACTTTGAGTTTCATGGGCTCAGCACTGTGCTAAGCACAGAGAAAGATCAAAAACATATAAACCATGAACTATTTCTTCATAGAACTTAGGATCTCTTTGTGAAAGGAGACTTCACATATGTAGTAACTAGCTCACAATAGCAAATACTATTTAGATGCATCCTCACTATGGAGTTTCAAGACGGAAAGCAGATTCGTGTAAAAGGATTGTATCCCACTCATAACTGCTTTTGGTTTAGTTTGCACAGTAGTAATATTCCTAGAGTTTCCTGACAATACTGTCTACTATTACTAGACCCATATTTTCTTATGGCAATTAGCTGGTGCAAATTAATGTATCCTTCAGAATAAGCATGTGCTTCTCAGGTTATCACAGTCTCCACCACTCCCTGTTGTCCTGCTGACACATGTGTTGAGCATCAGTGGCTAGTGATCATCCTTACTGTGCTACTGCTTCTCTCATGCAGTGTGTCTCCAACAGAAGTACAAGGGAATTTAAGTAATTGACAGAGCTTTGTGTTTTAGATTAAAATGAGAGCTGGTTTCTGGGGAGAAATTAAAGAATAATCCTACATGCTTAATATTCAAAAGTAAGATTTTATCTAATTTATGTTGCCCATTTTACTCTTATGTGTCTTGTCCCTAAGGCCATTTGATTTTTAACCATTAAAGTAGAAAAAAATTCCTGGATTTTCAAGTAGTTGGAGAAAATTTATGGGCAAAATATAAGTCAAGCATGACCTTGATGAATGATGTAGTCAGCTATTATATAAGAATACAGATATAGCAAAGAAGATTCAACATGTGAAAGACAAGACAATGAAGCAATTAGTGTAGTGTGCTTGCTGTTTGTAGGAAGACTCACCTAGCGTAAGTAGATGAGTCATAAAAGTAGTAGTAGCAACTTTTAATGGGCTCTCCAGGGGAGTGTGGATTAAGGTTAAAGAGTTTTGTAGCTCATATAACTATATGGAGTTGGAACCTGAGATTCCAGTCATTAAGAAACCACTGCCAAGAAATCAACAGTGAAGTTACCTGATGAGTACAGCACTTAGAGAAGACCATGATCCAGCAGTATCAGGATGAATTACACAGGAACCCAGATTATAATCAGGGGAACTTCATGGTCTGGAGAGCATTGGAATAATTTAGATGTGATGTGATAAGTTTAGATTTGAATAGTGGTAGGAAATATGTACAAAATGTGCCCTTTAGGAGAAACATTTAAAGAAAGGAGCAAAATGAGACAGATACAGAGACATATGCCTGGCCAATGCCTCAAGTTTCTTAGCACAAAAGAGGGAATAGAAAGCAAGCAAAGGAGATAGAGAATTATAGAGAAATAGGGAAGAAAATAAGGTCAACCTGTGTCTAGGAAGCCAAGAAAGGAGTGAATTTCAAACGAGAGAGAGGTGATCAATAATGAGAACATATTTTAGACAGGTAAAGAGTGAAAATGCAATCAAATATATCCTTGTGCATTTGAAGTCACATCTGTGGTCAATTTCTCCTGGAGGGTAAATAACTCTCAGGGTACTGGCTAGGTTCTCTCAGAAGTGCTATAATCCTTTCAAGTTATTGAGCTAACTCTTTCTTCATTGTGTTAGTCATGGACCAAAAGAAGCCCATTAACCTAAAAGGTTAATCTGCTTTAAGAATCATTTTCCAGCTGCAGTGTATAAAGAATATACTAATTAAAGAAAGCACTTGTTGTACAGCACCAAAAATGCAAGGCGATTAGGAAAGTGAGAGTTCATTGGAGGCTAGAATTGTCAGAGGAGATTTACTCAAAGATGCTGAATTGGAACTGGATTTCAGAAATGAAGACACTGTGAAAGAGTAATTATAGTGTAGCCTTAGTGTGCTTGACTTTAGTTATTGGTGAAGAAGAATAAAGGGAAAATAGAAAAACAAAGTTATATTATTACGTTTTTCTGATACTTTCTCCTGGTGTTGCTAAGATTTGATATTATCTACAAAAGTTGAGAGTGGTTTTGTTGTTTATCTGACTTCACTAATCGTGAAACTTTATCTCCCACCAGCATGTCTCCAATCTATTGCTGAATTTTCCAGTATGAGAAGAAAAAATTTTGTCATCTAATAACTATCCTGTGCTTTCCAATACAGTAGTCACTAGTCACATGTGACTATTAACAATTAAGATAAAACTAAATAAAATATAAAATTCACTTTCACAGTGACAGTAGCCACATTTCTATTACTCAGTAGCTACATGTGGCTACTATATTGATTGTCATAGGATGATCTTAGACATACAAACATTTCCATCATCAGAGAAAGTCCTATTGAATGGCACAGAGAAACTAACAACATTCTGTAGTGGCTGCCCTGTGGTGGAGGATGGTTGATTTTGCTTATAAGAACAAGCTTGTAAGAATGAGATTACAGGAATAATTTATGTTCTGGGATACTAGCGAGTTTATGTAATCATTGATTTGTTTATAAATTCAATAAATATATACTGAGAGCTCACCTGCATCAGGCAGTGTGTTTGACTTTGGGAAGCAGTAGTTACCTCCAACATGGATACATTCACGTCATTTAGGGAGCTTCACGTTTAATGGGGGAGACACATTTTAACTATATTATCACTCAAACAAATGTAAAATTACAATTGTAGTATAAAAGTAAGTATATGGTTCCAGGAGAAGATGATTATTTTCCCTAATAGGGAATTCCTTCCCTATAGATGGATGTGAGATAAAAATCTGAAGGTCAAATGGGACTGTGCTAGATAAGAAAGAATTATATGGTAGGAGGACTAGAGAGGTAGGAAGGAGACTATTTTAAACAGAAAACAAAATGTATAAAATCTTTATAGAAAATGAGAGCAAGATACATTGAATAGGCTGAAAGAGGGCCTTTCCCTGGTTACTTTATTTTACTCGAATCCTGTAAAAGTTGGTCTCAGAAGTACAAATAGAATTTAAATTACACATCCCATTCAGTTTATTAAGAAGTATTTGTTTTTTAAATAAAAATTAAAACACTGGATATAGTGACTTTATCTTTTCCTAGAACAACATTAAGACTGAAGTTCCACCAGCAGTATCTGATGGGTAAACAAGGCAACATATGTTGTTGATCCATAAATTATTTGAAGAAATGGACACTCCTCAGCAATTAAATTAATCCCTTCCTTTACTAAGGCTTTTTTCTCATTGTGTTCATCTCTTTACCAACTTGGCCCAAATCAGTCTTTCTACAAAAGATCATCCAATTTCAAGTCCTTTTAAATTACTATGATCATCAATGAGGAAATAACCCACATGGAACACACTCTGGAATGGAAAAACACATTTATAGTAATAATACAAAATCTGCACTGTGAAATTAGGGTATAATGCTAGAATTACCGTGTTTAACCTCCTATTCTTTGTAGTAGAAAGTCACAAAGACATAGCGTGCTACAAACCCATCTACACAGGGTTTCCACTGTTGCTCAGGCAAATAAAATGCAGCTCTTGGTAAAAGAGTAAAGGTGACATTGGGACTTGTTCAAAGCAAAAGCAAAATTGTATTGCACCAGTTGCTCACAAAACATCCTTTAAAGAACAAAGGGGTTTTCAGCTGCTCAGTCACTGGGATTAAATTAACATGACATTGTAGGCTCTCTTTTGGGATATGCGATGCACCCTGTATGGTGATAGAAAAACACAATTGGCACTATAAATTTTGAGGCTGCATTGAGATTCAAGGCATACAACAAAACCAAGATTTTTGTGCTGTTATTGAAGTGACTTGATATTCTACTTTGGAAATGTTTAGTGTCAGAATTGTAATATACTCAAAAAGAATCTCAGACTTAGAAGTCACCTTGTCTTTGCCAATCCCCACCCGCATCCCACTCCTTGATTCCTTCCTAAACAGCTTCATCAAGTATTTGTGCTCTGAAAATTATTTTTCCACAGTTAATGGTGTCACTATTGGATTCCTTATAAATGCATTAGTAAATCAGTAGACTACCTATATGTGGTCTGTATCTTTATTACACAGGGAATGGGAAGAATAAGTCTTTTGCTTTAAGCATACAATATTTTACACAAATACATAAATATTATATCATATTTTAGCATGTTTTCTCACACACACACACACACACACACACACACACACACACCACTTACCTTTGTTTTTAGGTTAATTCTTCTTTTTCCCATCCTCTCTCTTTTATTGTATCAGCCATGCCAACATGAGAATCCATGATAACAATGTAGTACGTATCATCCCAATTCAATTGCATGCTGCTATGGTTTGAATGCTTTTATCCCTAGCAAAATTCTTGTTGAAACTTGATCTCTAATTCAATAGTATTAAGAGGTAGGGACATTAGGAGGTGAATAGTTCATGAAGGCTCCTCCTTTACAAATGAGATTAAAGCACTTTAAATTATTATTTTTATTTTTCTGTAAGTTATTTGGGTACAGGTGATATTTGGTAACATGAGTAAGTTACTAAAGAGTGGTGATTTGTGAGATTTTGGTGCACCCATCACCTGAGCAGTGTACACTGCACCATATTTGTAGTCTTTTATTCTTCAGCCACCCCATTCTTCCCCAGAAGTCCCCAAAGTCCACTGTGTCATTTTTATGCCTTTGTGTTCTCATAGCTTAGCTCCCACATATTAGTGAGAATATACGATGTTTGGTTTTCCATTCCTGAGTTACTTCACTTAGAATAATCGTCTCCAATCTCATCCAGGTCACTGCAAATGCTGTTAATTTATTTCTTTTTATGGCTGAGTAGTATTCCATTGTATATAAATATACCACAGCTTTTTTATCCATTCGTTGATTGATGGCATTTGGGTTGGTTCCACAATTTTGCAATTGTGAATTGTTCTGATATAAACATGTGTGTACAAGTAACTTTTTCATATAATGACTAGATTGCTGGATCAAATGGTAGTTCTATTTTTAGGTCTTTAAGGAATCTCCACACTGTTTTCCATAGTGGCTGTACTAGTTCACATTCCCATCAGCGGTGCAGAAGTGTTCCCTGATCACCACATCCATGCCAACATCTACTATATTTTGATTTTTTGATTATGGCCATTCTTGCAGGAGTAAGGTGGTATCGGATTTTGGTTGCGATTTGCATTTCTCTGATCCTTAGTGATGTTGAGCATTTTTTCATATGTTTGTTGGCCATTTGTATATCTTATTTTGATACTTGTGTATTCATGTCTTTAGCCCACTTTTTGATGGGATTGTTTGTTTTTTTCTTGCTGATTTGCTTGAGTTAATTGTAGATTCTGGATATCAGTCCTTTGTTAGATGTACAGATTGTGAAGATTTTCTCCCACTCTGTGGGTTGTCTGTTTACTCTGCTGACTGTTCCTTTTGCAGTACAAAAGCTCTTTTGTTTAATTAAGTCTCAAGTATTTATTGTTGTTTATACTGCATTTGCTTTGGGGTTCTTGGTCATAGAATCCTTGCTGAAGCCAATGTCTAGAAGGGTTTCTCCAATATTATCTTCTAGAATTTTTATAGTCGTATAGTTTTGCATCTTAGATTTAAGTCCTTAATCTACCTTGAGTTAATTTTTTGTATAAGGTGAGAGATAAGGATCCAGTTTCATTCTCCTATATGTGGCTAGACAATTATCCCAGCACCATTTGTTGAAAAGGGCGTCTTTTCCCCACTTTATGTTTTTGTTTGCTTTGCCAAAGATCAGTTGACTATAAATATTTGGGTTTATTTCTTGTTTCTCTATTCTGTTCTATTGGCCTATGTGCCTATTTTTCTACCAGTACTATGGTGTTTTTGGTGACTATGGCTTTATAGTATAGTTTGAAATCAGGTAGTGTGATGCCTCCAGATTTCTTCTTTTTCCTTAGTCTTGCTTTGGCTCTGTAGGCTCTTTTTTGGTTCCATATGAATTTTAGAATTGTTTTTTCTAATTCTGTGAAGAATGATGGTGGTATTTTGAAGTGGATTGCACTGAATTTGTAGATTGCGTTTGGCAGTATAGTCATTTTCACAATATTGATCCTACTTACCCATGAGCATGGGATGTGTTTCTATATGTTTGTATTGTCTATGATTTCTTTTAGCAGTGTTTTGTAGTTTTCCTTGTAGAGGTCTCTCACCTCCTTGGTTAGGTATATTCCAAAGTATTTTTTTTTTTTGCAGCTATTGTAAAAGTGGTTGAGTTCTTGATTATATTCTCTGCTTGGTCGCTGTTGGCATATAGAAGAGCTACTGATTTGTGTACATTAAACTTGTATCAGAAAACCTTGCTGAATTCTTTTATTAGTTCTAGGAGCTTTCTGGTGGACCTTTAGGGTTTTCAGGGTAAATGATCATATTGTCAGCAAACAGTGACAGTTTGACTTCCTTTTTACCAATTTGGATGTCCTTCATTTCATTCTCTTGAGTGATTGCTCTGGCTAGGACTTCCAGTACTATGTCGAAGAGGAGTGGTGAAAGTGGGCATTCTTGTCTTTTCCAGAGGGAATGCTTTCAACACTTCCCCATTCAGAATTATGTTGGTTGTGGGTTTGTCATAGATGGCTTGTATTACATTGAGGTATTTCCCTTGTATGCTGATTTTGCTGAGAGTTTTAATCATAAGGAGATGTTGGATTTTGTCAAATGCTTTTTTTTCATCTATTTAGATGATCATGTGATTTTTGTTTTTAATTCTGTTTATGTGATGTATCACATTTATTGATTTGAGTATGTTAAATCATCCCTGCATCCCTGGTATGAAACCCACTTGATCACGGTGGATTATCTTTTTGATATGTTGTTGGACTTGGTTAGCTAGTATTTTGTTTTTTTTTGTTGTTGTTGTTGTTTTTTTTTTTTTTTTTTTTTTTTTTTTTTTTTTTTTTGAGACGGAGTCTCGCTCTGTCGCCCAGGCTGGAGTGCAGTGGCGGGATCTCGGCTCACTGCAAGCTCCGCCTCCCGGGTTCACGCCATTCTCCTGCCTCAGCCTCCCAAGTAGCTAGGACTACAGGCGCCCGCCACTACGCCCGGCTATTTTTTGTAGTTTTAGTAGAGACGGGGTTTCACCGTTTTAGCCGGGATGGTCTCGATCTCCTGACCTCGTGATCCGCCCGCCTCGGCCTCCCAAAGTGCTGGGATTACAGGCGTGAGCCACCGCGCCCGGCCAGCTAGTATTTTGTTAAGGATATTAGCATCTATGTTCATCAGGGATCTCGGTCTGTAGTTTTCTTTTCTGGCTATTCCCTTTCCTGTTTTTGGCATTAGGGTGATGCTGGCTTCATAGAATGAATTAGGGAGGGTCCTTTCTCCATCTTGTGTAATAGTGCTGAAAAGATTGATATGAATTCTCCTTTGAATATGTAGTAGAATTCTGCTGTGACTCCATCTGGCCCTGGGCTTTTTTTTTTATGGTAATTTTTAAATTACAATTTCAATCTCCCTGGTTGTTATTGGTCTGTTCTGGGTATCTAATTCTTCCTGATTTAAGATAGGAGGGTTGTATTTTTCCAGGACTTTATCTATCTCTTCTAGGTTTTCCAGTTTACATGGATAAACATATTCCTAGCAGCCTTGAATGATCTTTTGTATTTCAGGGGTGTCAGTTGTAGTATCTCCTGTTTTCATCCTTAATGAGATTATTTGGATTTTCTCTCTTCTTTTTTGGTTAATTTGCTAACGATCTATCAATTTTATTTATCTTTTCAAAGAATCAGCTTTTAGTTTCATTTATCTTTTATTTTTTTTGTTTAAATTTCATGTAGTTTTGCTCTGATTTGGCTATTTCCTTTCTTTTGCTGGGTTTGGGTTTGGTTTGTTTTTGTTTCCCCAGTTCCTTGAGGTGTGACCTTAAATTGTCAATTTGTGCTCTTTTGGTCTTTTTTTTTTTTTTTTAGTTTTGTATTTATTTATTTATTTTTATTATTATATTTTAACTTCTAGGGTACATGTGCACAAGGTGCAGGTTTGTTACATATGTATACATGTGCCATGTTGGTGTGCCGCACCCATTAACTCGTCCTTTACATTAGGTATATCTCCTAATGCTATTCCCCCCCTGCCCCCACCCCATGACAGGCCCCAGTGTGTGATGTTCCCCTTCCTGTGTCCAGGTATTCTTATTATTCAATTCCCACCTATGAATGAGAACATGTAGTGTTTGGTTTTCTGTCCTTGTGATAGTTTGCTGAGAATGATGTTTGGTCTTTTTGATGTAGGTGTTTAGGGCTACGAACTTTCCTCTTGGCACTGCCTTTGCTGTCTCCCAGAGGTTTTGATAGGTTGTGTTACTGTTGTCGTTCAGTTTGAAGAATTTTTAAATTTCCATCTTGATTTCATTTTTGACCCAATGCTCATTCAGGAGTAGGTTATTTAATTTCCATGTATTTGCATACTTTTGAAGGTTACTTTTGGGGTTAATTTCTAGGTTTATTCCACTGTGGTCTGAGAGAGTGCTTGATATAATTTCAATTTTCTTAAATTTATTGAGGCCCATTTTATGGCCTATCATATGGTCTATCTTCGAGAAAGTTCCATATGCTCTTGAATAGAATGTGTATTCTGCAGTTGTTTGATGAAATGTTCTATACATATTTGTTAAGTCCACTTGTTCCAAGGTTTAGTTTAAATCCATTGTTTCTTTGTTGACTTTCTGTCTTGATGACCTGTCTAGTGTTTTCTGTGGAGTACTGAAGTCCCTCACTATTATTGTGTTGCTGTCTATCTCATTTCTTTTTTTTTTTTTTTTTTTTGAGACGGAGTCTCGCTCTGTCGCCCAGGCTGGAGTGCAGTGGTGGGATCTCGGCTCACTGCAAGCTCTGCCTCCCGGGTTCACGCCATTCTCCTGCCTCAGCCTCCCAAGTAGCTGGGACTACAGGCGCCCGCCACTACGCCCGGCTAATTTTTTTTGTATTTTTAGTAGAGACGGGGTTTCACCGTTTTAGCCGGGATGGTCTCGATCTCCTGACCTCGTGATCCGCCCGCCTCGGCCTCCCAAAGTGCTGGGATTACAGGCATGAGCCACCGCGCCCGGCCCTATCTCATTTCTTAGGTCTATTAGTAATTGTTTTATAAATTTAGGAGTTCCAGTGTTAGGTGCATATATGTTTAGGACTGTGATGTTTTCCTGTTGGACAAGGCCTTTTACCATTATATAATGACCCTCTTTGTCTCTTTCAACTGCGGTTGCTTTAAAGTTTGTTTTGTCTGATATAAGAATAGCTACCCCGCTCACATTTCATGTCCATTTGCATGAAATGCCTTTTTCCACCCCTGTACTTTAAGTTTATGTGATTCCTTATTAGGCGAGTCTCCTGAAGGCAGTAGATAGTTGGTTCATGAGTTCTTATCCTTTCTGTGGTTCCACATCTTTTAAGTAGAGCATTTAGGCCATTTACATTCAATGTTAGTATTGGGATGCGGGGTACCATTGCATTCATTATGCTATTTGCAATCTGTGTACTTTGTTTTTGTTTTTTGTTTTTGCTTTTTAACTTGTATTTTTGTTTTATAGGTCTGGTGTGATTTATGCTTTAAAGAAGTTCTGTTTTGATGTGTTTCCAGGATTTCTTTCAAGATTTAGAGCTCCTTTTAGCGTTCTTGTAGTCGTGGCTTGGTAGTGGCAAATTCTCTCAGCATTTGTTTGTCTGAAAAAGAATGTATCTTTCCTTCATAAATGATGCTTAGTTTCACTGGATACAAAATTCTTGGCTGATAATTGTTTTGTTTGAGGATGCTGAAGATAGGGCCCCAATCCCTTCTAGCTTATAGGGTTTCTGCTGAGAAATCTGCTGTTAATTTGATAGATTTTCCTTTATAGGTTACCCAGTGCTTCTGTCTCACAGCTCTTAAGATCCTTTCCTTCATCTTAACTTTGGATAACCTGATGACAATGAGCCTAGGTGATGATCTTTTTATGATGAATTTTCCAGGTGTTCTTTGTGTTTCTTATATTTGGATGTCTAGATCTCTAGCAAGTCTGGGGAAGTTTTCCTCTATTATTCCCCCAAATATGTTTTCCAAACTTTTAGAATTCTCTTCTCCTTCAGGAACATGGATTATTCTTTGGTTTGGTCATTTAACATATTCCCAGATTTCTTTTAGGCTTTGTTCATATTTTCTTATTCTTTTTTCTTTGTTTCTGTTGGATTGGGTTAAATCGATGACCTTGTCTTTGAGCTCTGAATTTCTTTCTTCTACTTGTTCAGTTATATTTCTGAGACTTTCTGGAGCATTTTGCGTTTCTTTGTGTCCAATATTTCATGCATTTTTAATTGTTTTCTCTTTAAGCTTATTTCCCTGAATATTTTTCCCTTCACCTCTTGTATCATTTTTTTGGATTCTTGCATTGGGCTTTGACTTTTCCTGGTGCCTCCCTGATTAGTTTAATAACTAATCTCCTGAATTCTTTTCCAGGTAAATCAGGGATTTCTTCTTGGTTTGGATCCATTGCTGGTGAGCTAGTGTGATTTTTGGGGGGTTTTAAAGAGCCTTGTTTTGTCATATTACCAGGGTTGGTTTACTGGTTCCTTCTCATTTGGGTAGGCTCTGTCAGAGGGAAGGTTTGGGACTTAAGGCTGTTGTTCAAATTCTTTTGTCCCGTGGGGTGTACCCTTGATGTAGTACTCTCCCCTTTTTCTTATGGATGTGGCTTCCTGTGAGCTGAACTGCAGTGATTGTTGTCTTTCTTCTGGTTCTAGCCATGCAGTGAGTCTGCCCGGTTCTGAGCTGGTACTGGGGGCTCTCTGCAGAGTCCGATGTGAACTGTTTATGATCTCTCAGCCATGGATACCAGTGCCTGTTCCAGTGGAGGTGCACAGGGGTGCAATGGACTCCATGAGGGCTCTTAACTTTGGTGGTTTAATGCTCTATTTTTGTGCTGGTTGGCTTCCTACTGGGAGATGGTGCTTTCCAGAGAGAATCATCTGTGGTAGTATGGAGAGGAACTGGTGGTGGTTGAGTCCCTAGAACTCCCAAGATTATGTGTCCTTTGTCTTCAGCTACCAGGGTGGGTAGGGAAGGACCATCAGGTGGGGGAAAGGCTAGGCGTGTCTGAGCTCAGACTTTCCTTGGGTGGGTCTTGATGTAACAGCTGTGAAGATGGGGGTGAGGTGCCCAGGTCAACAGAGTTGTGTACCTAGGAGAATTATGGCTGCCTTTGCTGAGTCATGCAGGTTGTCAGGGAATTAGGGGAAAGCTGGCAGTCACAGGCCTCACGCAGCTCCCATGCAAACCAAAGGGCTGGTCTCACACCCACCTTGTCCCTCCTAATAGCCCTGCATCTGTTTCCAGGTGGTAGACAAGCTGGGCTTGAGAACTTGCCCCCGGCTACCTGCCTCCCAGCTGTGAAAGAAAGGGGCTTGGTTCTTCTCCCTCTGTGGAGCCTGCACACCGTATTTACACCCTGCCCTGATTTCTGGCCAGGAGTTCTGGTCCATTCAATTGTTACAAAATTCAGCTGGAGATTTCCCTCTCCCTGTGGTGTTCCCCGCCACCCCCTGCTCCTCTGGCTGCCCTCCCAGTGGATCCCTGTGGTGCCAGGCAGGAATGGCATGCTTAGGGACACAGCAAGCTCTCAGGGCCTTGCTCTTCCTTCCTGTACCCCTGTATTTCACTTGGCTGTCTAAATTGACTTGGCTTCAGGTAAGATCGGAAATTTCTCTTGCAGACTGACCTTCAGTTTTTCCAGTGTAGGTGTGTGTTCTGGGAAGGAGGCTCTTCCTTTCCCATTTCTGCTGTTGGGGCATTTACAGTATTTGGGGTGTCTCCCGGGTCCTTCAAGATCAGTCTGCTTCCCATAGAGGGCCTATGGGTCCTCTTGGGATTTCTGGTTTATTTTTGCAGTCAGTGTGAAGCTAAAATTCACAATGCAAGCCCCCGCATGCTGCTCTGTTCCTCTGTCTGAGCTGCAATCTAGTCCTGCCTCCTGTCCACCATGATGAACTTAAGCCTCTAAAGCACTTTAAAAAGAGGCTTTACATAGCAATAGGCCCCTTTTCTGCCCTTTCACCTTCCACCATGAGGACATGTTTGCTCCTTCTGCCATGTGAGGATGCAGCAAGAAGGCCATCACCAGACACCACATGCTGGTACCTTGATTTTAGACTTCTCAGCCTCCAGAATTTAAGAGATAAATTTCTATTACTTATAAATTACCCAGAATTTGGTATTTTGTTACAACAGTACAGACTAAGACACACACATGCTCAATTTAACTGTATACAGACATTTAGATACACACATACAAGTGTATGTATATGTATATTCGTGTGTTCATATATGTACGTATATATACACACACATATATATTGGTGTATATTTTTGTGTCTACCTGTGTGTGCATACATTGGTTACTATTCTATGAAAATGATATTAAATTATACATAATTTTCTGCATCTTGATTTTTTTAGTTAAAAAGTGTTATTTCTTAAAACTGCCTTATATTGATCCTATGGAATAACTAGAAAAATGTCTAATACCTGTTTCAAATGGCAGTATTTATTGTCCATGAAAATGTAGGATGTCATTTCATTTATACCAATATGGGAGATTAGATTGTTTTATAAATTTCTTTTGGTACAGAATGCCAAAATATGCTAGATAAAATGTTATATAATGGTATTTTTTCATGCGTAGATAAGCTGACAATAAAATAAAGTGACTACTCAGAGACCAGAAATGACAAGAAAACAGAGTAAATGAGCACTGAGGAAGTGTCATCTGTTTATGAATGATCTCAAGCCTGGGTTTTAATGGGCCACAATCACAGAAAATAGGAACAAAGACAGATTCCTACAGAAAAATATGTCGTTATGAAGATGATGTACTCAGAGAGTAAACTAGAAAATGTCTTGTTGCCCAACAGATTATGAATATATATTTGTGCCTATCTTGGCAATGTCTTCTCTGCTAATTCCTAAAGAAAAATCAGGAAGCATGTACATTTCTGGATATGCATATTAGTTGTGAAAACCCAAGCAGAAATTTAGTTTTAAGTAGTTACAGACTAAAACTCATGAATACCTAACAGAAGCAAACACAAATTGTTTCTAAGAGGATGCACTGGCTGGCCATGGTGGCTCACGTCTGTAATCCCAGCAGTTTGGGAGGCCAAAGTGGGTGGATCACTTGAGGCCAGGAGTTTGAGACCAGCTGGCCAACATGATGAAACCCCTTCTGTACTAAAAATACAAAAAAATGTAGACGGGAATGGTGGCATGCACCCATAGTCCCAGCCACTCGGGAGGCTGAGGCAGAAGAATCACTTGAACCCGGGAGGTGGAGGTTGCAGTGAGCCAAGATCGTGCCACTACATTCCAGCCAGGGAGACAGACAGACTCCATCTTAATTTTACAAAAAAAAAAAAAAAAAAAAAAGAATGCATCATTATTAACCCAAACTTCTAAAGAACCTGCAGATAGACTTCCAACAAATATGAGTTCACAAATAAATAGGTAAGTAATAGACAAGGAAATAAGCCATTCTGAAAATCAGCAGAAACAATTGGATCAGTCCCACAAAAAGTGTAGCTGATAGAATGTTAAATATAGACTATAAAGTAATCATGTTTAATATTTTTAAAAATGTAAAAGATGATATCTAAAAAGTAAATCTTACACTATGAAAAATGACCAGAGATGTTTGATGAAAAGAAGGAAGGAAAGAAGGAAGGAAGGAAGGGATGAAGGAAAATAAATCTAAATATAATAAAACACAAAACTCAGTGAATATCTATCACATTTAACACAGTTAGATAAACAATTTTTTAACCAGCAAATGGATCTGAATTACCCAGGATAGATTTTAGTGATAAAAAATGTAAAATTTGAAAAGGAGGTTGAGACCTAGAGTACAGAATAATAACAATTTCCAAGATAAGTCAATTGGAGTTCCAGAAGGAAGAAATGATAGTAAAACCATACTGAAAGAGAAATTGTCAAGAAGACCAAAATTAGATAAAGGGATATAAATTCTTAAATTCCCAAAGTCTCAAATATTAAACAGGACAAATAAAAATAAATCCACACCTAGGCAAATCAGAAGGAACATGCCGAAACCTAATGACCAGAAAAAAAAAGTTTTAAAGGATCTCGTTAACAGAGACAGATGACTTTAAAAAAGCTAAAAACAACAGACAATTTGCTTTTTACAAGCAAAACTGAAAGGTGAAAAACAGTGGAATAATGTCATGGTGATGAGAGAAAATAACTGTCAACTTCAAATTCCACATCTAGTGAAAGCCTCCATTAAGAAGCAGTGCAAAATAACATTTTCAGATAAACCATACTAAAAAATACTACCAATAGACCCTTGCTGAAGCAACTTTTAAAGAATACATTTCAGTAGGAAGGGAATAATTCATAGGAAAAAGGCGAGATACATAAAAGAATGAAAAGTAAAATAAGAAAAGTCCGAGTAAATATCAGCAAACATTGACTACATAAAACAATTTCAAAAAGTGTTTATTTCAGAGGTTTAAATATTCGAGATTGCACTAAATTTTTAGAAATTAATTAAAACAATAATAAAATATATAAAAACTTGTGATGTAACTAAAGCAGTACTTGGATTAAAATTACTGTTTTAATGCTTATATTAACAAAGAAAAATACTGCAGTAAATAAATTAACCACTCATCTTTATAGAAAAAAAAAAGGAACAATACCAGCATAATCTTAAAGAGCAGAAGTTAATGAGAAATAGAAGGCAATCTAGAGAGTAAATGCAAAAACAAAAGTTGTACTTTGAAATGTTTGATACAGTTAACAAGCTTTGTAGGATATAATCAAGAAAGAAAGAAAAAAAGGAGGAAGAAATAAACAATATCCAGAATAAAGAGAAAGTTGTATATACAAATGCATCGATAATTAAGTGATCACTATAAGATAAGATATTATATCATTATATTCTAGGACTATGGTTAACAGGCCTCTCACATTCTACATATATTGCGAGTAACAGACATTTTTTGTTTCTGCCTATCTTTATTTTTTAGAACAGTTTTAGCTTTACAGCAAAATTGAATGGATGGTTCAGAGGCTCCCTGCGTGCTTTCCCTCCCTCTTCATCATTTATTATTAACATCTTTCATTAGAGTGATACATTTCTTACAATTAACAAACCAATATTAATCCATTATTATTAACTAAAGTCCACAGTTTACATGGTTTCATTCTTTGTGATGTACAGTTCTATGGATTCTGAAAAATGCGTGTCATGGAATATACAGAATAGTTTCACTGCCCTATTATCTGTACTTCATCAATTCATCCCCAGCCTTCCATCAAATTCCTGAAAATCACTGACTTTTTTGCTATTTCTATAGTTTTACCTTTTCCAGAATTTCATATAGTTGTATTCACACAGATTGGTGCCTTTCACTTAGCAATACGCATTTAAAGTTTCTACAGGTCTTTTCATGCCTTGATAGCTCATTTCATTTGGTGGCTGAATAATCTTCTATTGTGTGGATGTACCACAGTTTGTGTATCCATTCATGTATTGAAAAGTTATCTTGTTTGCTTTCAGTTGGGGGCATTTACAGATAAAGTTGCTATAAATATTCATAAGCACGTTTTTGTGTGGATATAAATTTTCCACTAATTGGGTAAATATCTAGGAGCACACACAATTACTATATTATATGTTAAGAACGTATTTAGCTTTGTAACCAATTGACAAACTGTCTTTCAAGTGGCTATACCATTTTATATTTTCACCATCACTGAATGAGAATTTCTGTTGTTCCCATTCTTGCCAGCATTTGGTATTATCACTAGTTTTTATTTTAGCTTTTGTGATAGATGAGTACTGATATTTCTTTGTGGTATCAATTTGCATTTTCTTAATGGTAAAGAGATTGAACATCTTTTTAAGTGGTTATTCGCCATTTGTATACCCTTATCAGTGAATTGTCTGTTCATGTCTTCTGCCCATTTTCTAATCAGATTGTTAGTTTTTTTAACCCTGACTTTTGAGAATTCTTTATGCATTGTAGATATTAGTCCTGTGTCAAATATTATTTTCTGCTATGTTATCTTGTACTAGTTTTACAGTTTTGCATTTTACATTTAAGTCTATAATCCATTTTGAGTTAATTTTTGTCAAAGCAGGAAAATCTGTGTTTAGATTTGTTTTGTTTTGTTTTTTGCCTATAGATGTCCAATTATTTCAGCACCATTTGTTGAAAAGACTACCTATTCTCCATCTAATTGCCTTTGTTCCGCTGTCAAAGATCAGTTGATATTTGTGTGGGTCTAATTCTGGGCTCTCTATTCTGCTCCATTGACATATTTGTCTATTATTTTGTCATTATCACAGTGTCTTGATTACTACAGCTTTACATTAATCTTGAAGTTAGGTAGTGTCAGTCCTCTGACTTTGTTGTTCTTCTGTATTGTGCTGGCTATGCTGGATCTGTTGCCTTTTCATGTGAGCTTTGGAATCACTCTGTCAATATCAACAAAATCATTTTCTGGGATTTTGAATGAGATTGAGTTGAATCAGTAAGAGAAGTTGGGGAGAACTGGGATACTAACACTACTGAGTCTTCCTATCTGTAAACATGAAATGTATCTCCACACACTTAGATCTTGAATTTATTTCATCTGAGTTTTGTACTTTTTCCTCATATAGATTCTGTACATATTTTGCTTGATTCATGCCTAAGTATTTCATTTTAGGAGTGTTAATGCAAATGTTCTTGTGTTTTTAAATTTCAAATTTTAATTGTTCTTCTATTGTACACAGAAAAGCAATTGATTTTGTATGTTAATCTTGTATCCTGAAATCTTGCTATAATTGCTTATTGGTTCCAGGAGGGTTTTTTTTTATTTTGTCTGGATTTTCTACATAGACAATCATATCATTTGTGGAAAAAAGACAATTTTATTTATTCCTTCCCAAACTGAACACATTTCTTATTGTAGTAACTAGGACACCTATTAATTTTGAATAAAAGTGCTGACAGGGAAAAAACTTTCTGTTCCTGATTATAAGGGGAATGCATCTGATTTCCCACCATTGAGTATGAGCTTAGCCATAGATGTTCTTTATCAAGTTAAAGAATTTCCTTTATATTTCTAATTTGTTGGTAGTTTTTAATATCATGAATCAATGTTGGATTGTCTCAAAGGCTTTTTCTGCTTCTATTGATGTGAGCGTATGATTTTTTCTTCCTTCACCTGCTGAGGTAGATTACACTAGGTGATTTTTAAAATGTTGAACCAGCCTTGCATGTCTGAAATAAATACTACTTTGTCATGGATACAATTATTTTTATAAATTATTGGATTCAATTTATAAGTATTTTGTTGACCAGTTTTGCAATTATGCTCATGAGAGATGTATGACTGTCGTTTTCCTTTCTTGGAATGTTTGTCTAGTTTTGGTATCAGAGTAATGCTGGTCTCATAAAATTAGAAAGTGTTCAATTTTCTCCTATATTCTGAAAGATTGTAGAGAATTGTATATTTCTTTCTTAAATGTTCGGTAATATTCACCAATGTAATTATCTGGGCCTAGTGCTTTCTTTTTTGAAAGGTTACTAATTATTACATTTTTGAAAACCAGATATAGGCCTATTGAAATTTTGCATTTCTCCTTGCATGGGTTTGATAGTTTGTATCTTTCAAGGAATTGGCCCATTTTCTATCATTTATCAAATTTGTGGGAATACAGTTGTTCATATTTGTCATTTTAATGTCCATGAGATTGGTATTGATGACCACTCTTTTGTTTTTGACATCTGTGATTTATAATTTGTGTCTTCCTTCCTTTTTTCTTGGCTAGCCTGTCTGTAGGTTTATCATTTTCATTCAACTTTTCAAACAACTAGCTTTTGGTTTCATTGATTTTCTCTGTTCATTTCCTATTTGAAATTTCATTGATTTCTGCACTGATTTTTATTACTTCTTTTCTTCTGCAGGACTATATTGCTCTCTTTTTCTCTAGTTTCTTAAGGTGGAAGCTTAGATTATCAGTTTAGATCTTTATTCTTTTCTAAAATACACATTCAATGCTATAAATTATTGTGTAAACACTGCTTTCCCACAAATCTTGAAAAGTAGTATTTCATTTAGTTCAAAATATTTTTAATTACACTAGAGACCCCCCTTTTTTTCCTATTTGTTATTTTAAAGTGTATTTAATCTCCAAATATTTTAGGATTTTTCTAGCTATCTTTCTGTTATTGGTTTCTATTTCAATTCTACTGGGTTCTGAGTGTCTTTTCTTTTAAATTTGTTAAAATATGTTTTATGAAACAGCATCTGGTCTATCTTGGCGAATGTTCCGTGTTAACTTGAGCAGAATGTGCACTCTGCTGTTGTTGGATGAATTATTCTTTAGATGTCAATTAGATCCAATTTACTAATGATGCTGTCCTTACCTGTGTTTTTCCTGCTGGATCTGTCAATTACTGATAGAGGGGTGTTGATGTCTTTAACTATAATAGTGAGTTTGTCTATTTCTTCTTGAAGCTCTATTATTTTTTTGCCACACATACTTTGATGCTTTGTTGTTACGCATGCGTGTATTAAGGATTATTTTGTCTTTAGGGAATTGACCTCCTAGTCATTATGTAATGCTACTCTTTATCCCTGATAGTTTCATTACTCTGAAGTCTGCTTTCTATAAAATTAATAGAGCTACTCCAGCTTTCTTTCGATTATTGCTAGTATATCTTTTTTCATCTCTTTATTTTGGTCCCTGTGTGTCTTTATATTCAAAATGGGTCTTATTTAGAAAACATATAGTGGGGTTTTGCTGTTTGCGAGGGCAGTCTGTCTTTTAATTAGAGTATTTGAATCATTCACATTTAAAGTGTTATTTGTATAGTTGGATTAATACCATGTTTGTAACTATTTTCTATTTGTTGTACTTGTTCTTCATTTCTTTTCTTTTTTAAAACTTCCCTTCTACTTAGGCCTTCTCTGGTTTTAATAGAGTATTTTTTGTGATTTCCTTTTCTTCATTAGCATATCAATATACTTTTTTCTAAAAAATGTTATTGTTTTCCCTAAAGTCTGCATTATACACTTGTAACTAATCTAAGACCACTTTAAAATAAAACTATACTACTCACATGTAATGCAAGTATCTCCTAACAGAGTATTCTTAATTCTTCCTTCTTGTTTTGTAACATTGTTTCATTTATTTCACTTTTACATATCTTATAATTACCCAATAAATTTTTACTAGTATTACTTTGAAATAAATGATTAGATCAATTTAAATAAAAAGAAAATATTTTGTTTTTTCTCTTCATTTGTTTCTGCCCCATTGTTCTCCCTGTCTTTATGCAGATCTCAGTTTGTAACCTATATCATTTTCCTTCTCTCTAACTTCTTTTAACATTTCTTGTAAGGCAGATCACCTTGTAAGAAATTCCCCAACCTTCAGTTTTTATTTGTGGTTAAAAAAGAAGTCTTTGTTTTTCTTTCCTTTGGAAGATGATTTTGCTGAATAAAAACTTCTAAGTTGGTAGGATTTTTTTCTCTCAACTCTAAAACTTTCACTCCAGTCTCATTCTGGTTGCATTGTTTCTGACATATCTTGTGAACTTTGAAAGACTTTCCTTGCCTTTTAAATTTTCTTCCTTCATGTAAGACAGGGAGGCTACAGGGGGCTAGAGTTTTCTAACTGTCCTTCTCCCAGGCCTGATAAGGCTCTAGTAAAGTGATTTTTTCATAGAGGATAGGTTTTTATTATGGAAAATGCTCTGTAAGTATTTTAAACCAATTACTTTTCCCCTGGGAGTATTTCAAATGGTTACTTTTCCTTCTGCTCAAAACATAAGGAAATTTTTCTCCAATCTGTACAGTGAGAATGTGTTTCTGGAGGTGAAACATATGAAAATATGATTATCCCTTAATACTGGGCCCCCAGAATTTCCTAACTCTCAAGCTAACCTCTGATTGGCCTCCATCAATTCATCACAGTGCAATTTAATTGTTCCTACTGCTTACTGATTCTAGTGACTTCTCTCCCAATAAGCTGTGAGATACTATGCTCATCTGCCTTTCTGTATTTCAGTGTGATGGTTTGCCTGATAGCCTCAATTTTCTGATAGGTCCAAGAAAAGTCATTGACTTTTAGCCTGATCAGCTTTTTTCTTGTGAGAATGATTGTCATGACTTTGAAGTCCTCTACATGTTACAGCTGTAACCAGAAGTACATACAATCTTTCAAGGATGTATGATGATTCATAGCAAACAAACTAATTTAGAGAGAGAAAGCTTTTCTCTTCAAGGCAAAATATGGCTTTGCTTACAGCTTTGGAAGATGGAGATAATGTCTCTCACTCATACAAAGGTCAGGCATTCTTTGCTCATTACAAAAGATTTGGGTTTTTAAATTCAGAATTTGTTTTTTATATTGTAACCCACTTCTTGAATAGGTGTCACCTGGCCCTTATGTTTGCCCTGTGAGAATTGGGGTTTGGGAAGCCAGCACCAAAATGCTGATATTCTGACTTTTGCTATTGCTGTGATTAAAAAAAAAAATCTGTCCTTTGTCTCTGATTCAGTTCTTATGTATTCTGCTGGAATCTATGAAACTCTGGTTGGCTAACTTTTTATCTTGGAAGTTAGGTAAACTGTCAGATCCTTCTCAATTCTTCACATATTATGCCAATACATTTGCAAGCATTATTGAAAGGGAAACATGACCAAAAACTACAGTCATCCCTTGGTATCTACAGAGGTTAAGTTCCAGCAATCCCAGCACACACCAAAATCCAGATATTCAAGTCCCTCATATAAAATGGCATAGTATTTGCATATAGTGTACACACATCCACCTGTGTGTTTGTATGTGTGTTTGTGTGTATTTTTTTACTCAGCAAATATTTATTGAGCTCCAATTATAGCTCAGGCATGTGGAATAACAACAGCAGACACATAAAAATTATATTTTGGATTATATTTTAGATAGTAGAAACCACAGTAAAATGGAAAAGATTTAGTTATTCATTCTGTCAGTGTTTATTAAGCCCTACTGTGTGCCAGGCATTTTGATGAATGTTGGGGATTTTTGATTGAATAAGCCGGCTTTTGCTCTTAAATTACTTGCAGACTACTGAGAGATATACAAGTAGACATAGAAATCAAATGCCAAGTGGCATATAGAGGGGTCTTTTCTTTTCTTTTCTTTTTTAGAATAGGGGCCTTTTAAAATTATTATTATATTTTAAGTTCTAGGGTACATGTGCACAACGTGCAGGTTTGTTCTTTTCAAAGTGCTGACAGTGTCTCTAATTCTGCCTGGGAGAATCAGGGAGGGCTTCACAGAGGAGTCTTCTGTATATTTTTAATCACTTCTAGGTTACTTGTAATACTTAATATGATATAAATGCTATGTAAATAGTTGTTATACTGTTTTGTTTCTTTATTTGTATTTTTTTAAATATTTGTGATTTGAGGTTGGTTGAATCCACGGGATGTATAACTTACTGATATGGAGGGCTAAGTGTATATTCTTATATAGCCAAAACTCATTCAGGGAGAAACTAAAAAAAATAGAATTAACTATTTAAAAAATTATCATGAAAGAAACATCAGGTTTGTTTTTTTTTAGGCAACTTTTACCAAATAGTCAGTGAGGAGATAATTCCAACTTTATACAATTCTTTTTTCAGAGAATCAAGATTTCCACTCTTTTAGGATGTTACGTTAGCCTTGATAAACAAAATCAATGTGACAAATAATTATAATAACAAAAAATTCTATATGGGGAAAACAAATTATCCAGAATCTAATTTTCAGCACAGATACAAAAGTTTTCAATAACTGAATTCAGAAATATATAAAGAGGGTATACATCTTGACCAATTTAAATTTTATCCAGTAATAGAAGGTTAATTCTGCATTATCTATTTCTCAAAATTCCATAATGAAAAAAGAAAAATAAGATAACCATATCAATAGATTTAAAAAAATTGAATGAAATTTAATGACCATTTATGATTAAAATATCTTTTATATAGTGAATTTAAACAAATTCTTACTAAAGTTATCCACAAAAAAGCATCATTTTCAAAGAGGAAGCATAAAGCATTCACATTAAACATCAAGATCAAGACAAAGATGCATATTACTAACATTTTCATTCACTGTAAAATGGAAGTTCTAGGCAGCACAAATGGTTAAGAAAAAAAAAAACAAGAAAAAACAAAATAAAATTCATATGGAACCACAAAAGCCAAATCAATCCAGAGAAAGTAGAACAGAGATGGAGGCATCATATTTCCTAATTTCAAGATATATTACAAAGCTAAAGTAAACAAGATGTTATAGTACTGACATACAGACTAATGGAACAGAATCGTGAGCCCAGGAACAAATCAATACACATACGGTCATCTGATCTTCATCAAGGGATCTAAGAATATCTAATAGGGAAATGATAGTCCCTTCAACAAATTGTGTTAGAAAAACTGGATATCCACATGCAAAAGAATGAAATTAGACACTTTATTTTACACCAGACATAAAAATCAACTCAAAATGCATCAAAGACATAAATATAAGACTGAAACTATAAACTTCATAGAAGAAAACACAAAGTCTTCATGACATTGGTCTTGGGAATGATTTCGTAATTCTGACACCAAAAGTTCAGGCAACAAAAGCAAAAATAATCAAGTGGGACTATATCACACTAAAAAGCTTATGCACAGCAAAGGTGACAATCAGCAGAGTGAAAAGGCAACCTATAAAATGGAAGAAAATATTTGCAAACCATATATCTGATTGGGGGTTAATATCCAAAATATATAAGGAAGTCCTACACAGCTCAATAGCACAAAAGCTAACAAGCCAATTGAAAAATGGGCTAAGGACTTGAACAAATATTTATCCAAATAAGACTTACAGAGTTATATGAAATAATGCCCAACATTACTAATGTCAGGGAAATGCAAATCAAAATCACAATGAGATATCACCTCACACTTGTCAAGATGGCTATTATAAAAAAGCAACAGAAGACAAGAGTTAGAGAGGACGTAGAGAGATTGGAACCCTATTTGCTCCACTCTTGGTAAAATGTAAAATAGTGGAGCCACTATGGAAAACAGTGTGGAGTTTCCTCAAAAATTAAAAATAGAACCATATAACCCAGCAATTCCATTTTCAGGTATTTATCCAAAATAATTAAAATCAGCACCTCAAAGAAGACTTAGTACTCTCATACTCATAACAGCACTATTTACAATAGCCAAGAAATTAAAACAATGTAAATGTCAGAAATGAATGGATTTTTTAAAAATGTGTTGTACACATATGCAATGGGATATTATTCAGCCTTGAAAAAGAAGGAAATTCTGCAATAAGTGATAACATGTATGAACCTTGAGGGCATTATGCTAAGTAGAATTAGCCAGTCACAGAAAGACAAATACTGCGTGATTTAACTGTAGGAAGTATTTAAACAGTCAAGTTCATAAAATCAAAGAATAGAATGGTGATTTCCAGGGGCTGGAGAAAAGGGGAAAATGGGATGTTACTAATGAAAGGGCATAAAATTTTAGTCAAGCAAGACAATAATCTCTAGTGATCTGCCATACAACATTGTACCTATGGTAAACAATACTGTCTTGTGCAGGTAAAAATTTGTTAGGAGGGTAGATCTGGTGTTAATTGTTCATACCACAATTTTTAAAAAATGTACTATAAAGCAAATACAAATAGTAGCCAACACTCTGGGATAAGATATGTGTGACTATGTATAAATACACAGATATGTGTGTGTATGTAAAATACACATGATATATATAATAAATATACATGCAAAATGAATCATGTATTTAAAAACTTCTCAGTTGGGCATAGTCACACGTGCTTGTATTCCCCTGCCCTACTTGTAAGGCTGAGGTGGGAGGATCTTTTGAGCCCAGGAGTTCATGGCTGCAGTTAGTTCTGATCATGCAACTACTCTCAGTCTGGGTGACAGAGCAAGACTTCATCTCTAAAAATCAATCAATAAGTAAGTAAAAATAAACAAATAAAAATTCTCTGACAAATCGAAAAGGAAGAAGATTTAAAAGCACACATAACAGACAACATGAATTACCAATAATGACTTAAACACATGGTTGATCTTATTAGTAATAACTGTAATGCAAATTAAAACAGCAATGTTACATTTTATATCCTCAAGATTGGCAAACATGCCAAAAGTTGTAAAATATGACAGTATTAGTATAGATAAAAATGAGGAACAAAGAACACTCATCCTCAAATTGTGCATATTCAAAATTTACTTGTCAAGCAATTTGAAATTATCCAGTAAAGCAATAATGCATGCACCCTCAGAGCCAGCAATTTCATTTCTTAGCATGAACACTGAGGAATCTCTTCTGTATGTGTACCAGAAAACATGCACAAGAACCTTCATAGATGTCTTTTTTGTAGTCCTTGTTTGAGAAATAATCCAAACATACATCTGCAGTAAAATTTTCATATAAACTGTGACATATTCACACAATGGAATACAGTATCACAATACAAGTGAATGAACACAGTCTACAGGCATCAACATGGATAGGTCTCACAAATTTAATTTCAATGAAAAGAAGCAAGTGGTAAAAATATGCATATATCGTGCTGTCTTCTATGTAAACTTCAAAAAATGTTTTGCGTAAATTGCAAACCTAAGCAATATATTTCAGTACGTATACTATATCAGTGACCCAATAATGTTTTAAAAGGAAAGAAAGTGATAGACACAAAATGTTGCAGTGTTTCTCTCTGTCATAGAAGGATGAGGTAGAGGAAAGCGAGTGGGGGAGGAGCAGAGTGGGCTTCAAAGTTGTTGATGCTTTATTTCTTAAATAAGGTGGTAAGGACATGAATGCGTGTTTTGGTCATTATTCTTTGAAGCATGCAAACACATACATCCTTTTTAATGAACAATTCATATCTTAGTAAGTAGTAAAAAAAGAAATTTGTTAAAGAATTCAAAGAAAATTATTATTCCTTTCTTCCTTCCCACCTGTCTTTCCTCTTCTTCATCCCAAAACTTCCTTCTTTGTCAAACAATGCATTCAAATCTTTTTCAGTCAACTAAAACTTTAAACCTCTCTAAAAAATCTACAGTAAATATGAAGACTTTTTACATTTATTGGACTCTAATAATTTTTTTGTTATTAAATGTGTCTTCTTCCTCCTGGGTGGCTGCCGTTAGTCGTGGAGAGTTAGGACAGGTTCCTTAGGCACTCCCTCTAGCAGGCTGCAGCCTGGATGCTAGTACTTCCCAATGGACTGCAATGGATGTGATGGACATATCAGCGCTGGTGGGGGTGACCCTTGCAGTCTCTGTGGCTGCATGTGAGCCTAGGTGACCTAGGGCTGGGTGGTAGAGGGAAAGCTATGTGGCAGCCTGCCAACTGGGGCCAAAGCTAAACAGCTAGGATTTAAAGCTTTAAATGGGAATAACAAGTAATGTTTACGATGAAACGAAAGTAAATAAGTCACCTCTAACCTCTCCCAGCTGTTTTCTCAGGAGAGTGTCCATATTAAATTTACATGCTCTCCCAACTGTGATTGCCCTTCAGTTACAAGAGCTTCAGTTCCAAGGGTTGAAAGTGGAGAATTCCCAGGTCTGAGAATAGCAAAGAGTTCATTCCTTTTAGGACATTCTCACTGATGTTCTTTCTCTTTTCAAACTCTATGAAGATGGAATCATCCTTCCTTCAGTACTAACAGTTTTTCTGTTTTGTGGTCAATGTGATTCACAAGAACCTCTAAAGTAACAAATGAAATAAGCCAGGGGCATGGAAAAGATAACTTTTATATCGGTCTGGGATTGGCTATGAGCTCTAATATTTTCACTGGAGGGAGTTTCATTTTCCAAAAGGAAAAAAAAATGGTCTGCGACTTGTGAGAAAAGCCTCATGACAACTGGTCAAGGTGGTCATACACATTTTAGAGAATGGAGGTTGTAGATGGAATTCTTGTTGATGAGAGCTGGGGAGATGGCCAATGTTACTGATGCATTTGCACGAGCCACATCAGTGATTCCATTAGGAGTTCTTGGAGACTGAGAAAGTGCTACTCTTTCTTCATACTTTTTAAATGAATGACTTAATCTCATGGGAATATTGGGTAGTTGCTAAGTATTCTAGGATCTACAGTTATGGTCAGTCTGCCATGCTTTAAAAGAAGAGGGGTTAGAGAACTTATAGGAAATGTTTCACAAGCTAGGTGATTCAGGTTTTGTGGTGTTTGCAACACTCGTGGTCATTGTGTCCCTGATTATTAATCTCTATAGTGGGACTTTGCCATGGACAGATAAATGTTCTTGTGTATATAACCATTGACTCTGTAATTGGAGCATTTTCAGTCTTCTGTGTGAAGGGCTTAGGCATTGCTATTAAAGAGTTGTCGCCTGGACTTTGACGTGCCCTGACATGATTTCGCTGCTGAGCTTTGTTGTCTGTGTGAGCCCACAGATTAATTACCTAAATAAGGCCCTGAATATATTCAACAATTTTATAGTGACTCCAATACATGAAGTATTTTTTACAACATTAGTTTTAACTTGTTCAGCTATTCTTTTTAAGCCATGTCAAGGTATGTCTGTTGATAATGTCATTGATACTTTGAGTGGCTTTTTATAATCATTGTGGGGATATTCTTGTTGCAAGCCTTTAGAGATGTCAGCTTTAATTTAGCAAGTCTGCCTCTGCCTATCCTAAAAGGCGAAAAAGAAAGGAATAGCAACCTCTCTAATATCTAAAGTTTTTAATAATAATGAAGAAGGCTTAACCTGTGGAATTGAACAACATACTGGTGAAAATAACTCCTGAATACATGGAAATCATGGAACTCAGGCAGCTTTTTAAGAAAAATCTAATTAAAAGGTTATCCCATAAAAAGTAGATGATTGTATTATTTTCATCTCATTGTCCATCCTATTAGATCTGGTTGGATATTGATTCTTACATGATGTTGAAAGCAAATCAAGGGCATACTTATTGATGCTATGAATACTATGAATATATGTGGTACCATTCAGAATTCTGAAAGACAGTCCCAAATGTTGGATTTCTGAAAGATAAAATCCCTCAAATCTCCTAACATCTAAAATTCTAAACATCACAGTCCAAAAGATTAAAATATGAATGTTGAAATCTTGAAAGTTGAATTCTGGAGAAAGGATGAGTGGGTTTGGAGTTATACAAGGTAGCTTCATCATATCAGTTTCACCATGTTAGGTGGAACTATTACTTTGTTATTTTCCTTATTGGAAATTAAGTATGATGGAGGGAGATGTATACAGGTGCCAAGTTGAGAAGATGTAAATTTGTGGACTTAATTTTAAGTGTCAACTTGACTGGATTAAGGAATACCTAGAAACCTTATATAGTATTATTTGGGGTGTGTCTGTGAGGGTGGGTCCGATGGAGATTAGTATGTGAGTCTGAGTGAAGTAAGTGGGAAAGATCTGCCCTCAATGTTTTGAGTGTTTCTGGGATCACAGAAGGAGAGAAAACACAGGCAAAACATACAAGAAATCTTCCCTGATAAATTATTCAATCATATGTGACTTCTGCCTATTCACGCATAGTGCCAGGCTTGCCCTCAAAAAATGCCCTTCAAGACAAATGTGGTGGCTTGCGCCTGTAGTCCTAGCTGCTCCAGAGGCTGAGGCAGGAGAATTGCTTGAGCCCAGATCAAGGCTGTAGTGTGCTACGGTTGCACCTGTGAATAGCCACTGCTCTTCATCCTCCAACCTGGGCCACATAGAGAGACCCTGTCTCTAAAAGAACAAGACAAACAAATACCCTTTGTCAGAGGATTAAAAAAAACTTTAAAGCTCAGAGACCTTCTGAAGCAAAGACATTTGATGATATAGAGGTTCCTCCAATGTTACAAAACACATCAAATGGCGACCTATTCTTGGTAAGGAATTAGACTGTTGAAGAAGGTAGACTTTGTATTTACCACTAAATCTAACTTAGAAAAGCTAGTGCATGCTGCATTCACTTTTGCTAATGGATGGCACTTTCAAAACTGTTGCTGTTTTTTTAAATCAACTATATAAGTGATATCTCTGTTGGATCGAGAAATTGTAGAACTTATCATCTCATTTACATATGAATGACTAGGAAAAATGTGAAGCACTTTATAAATGTTTGTTTGAAGATTTGGTGGACAGTGCAGAGGAAAATAGATTTCAGTTGAATTCCCAAATCATGATGACAGATGTGAAAGTAGG
This sequence comes from Homo sapiens, assembly GCF_000001405.40. Taxonomy (NCBI): domain Eukaryota; kingdom Metazoa; phylum Chordata; class Mammalia; order Primates; family Hominidae; genus Homo; species Homo sapiens. Next base: position 75,086,614 of record NC_000003.12, read on the forward strand.
TTTGAGCTAGCTTCTAAAAGTGAATTTTGAACCAATCATCAGTAATTATGCTGCCTTCTTTAGGCAAATGTGATTTTAATTCATTAAAAGTTCCCAGAATTTCATCAGCTGGAAGAAATGCCAATGCAGAAAACTGATGCATTGTTACACTGAAGTATTCACTGTTGCCATATTGCATGGCCAATCCACTAATTCAAATTTTCCAACAAATGCATGGGGCTGAATGGAAAAAACAAAAAACAAACTTTATTGGTAACAACTTTTATGAACTACCTCCATATAATTGCCCATAATATATTTCTGTAATACATGTTCTCATATTTCAAATTTTTTATTTTTTTGTTTTTTTCCCACTATTTTAAATTGTCATCATTATTTTCTGTAGTTTGCAATGGTACGTATTTTGTCTTCGAATAATTTCTAATACTTGGGGTACAAATTGTTTAAAGACTTTTAGAGAGTTCTAATTTATCCCATGCGTTTTTTTTTTTTTTTTTTTTGCAAATTTGACTCTATAAAGGGAATGATCTTAACGTTTACTTTGTGTGTAAGCATTGTGTATCTATGTAAAAATATTGAAGATTCCTCAATAAATGAAGAGATGTCCTTTTGTAATTCCGCATTTATGAAAGATAGAATTTCTTGAGATCTCAGCTCTTTGGGTGACTGCATATGCAGCGGTGGCCCATTATGTTTTTTGATCCATCTCATCAAAAGACAATGACAGTATTTCAGATGATCACAGTTATAGAGCTAGGAGCACACAATTACCAACCACAGTGATATGTATTTATACCTCCTGCCTTTTGATCCATTTCTTTATGAATATGGTTTGACTACTCATAACTGTCATACCCGTGGGACTGACATTAGTATACCTGAGTGTTTATGCCAGCAAAAATATGTATATTATTATTGCCTTTTTTATGTGTCAAGTGGCCTATGACATATTCTGCTGTGTCTTTAAATGTCTCTCAAATAAATCTCCTTTTAAAAATTAAAATAAATGTCTTTGAAAGAATTTTTAAAATTATTTCTTTCCAGAATTATATTTTCAGGATTTTGATCATTTGGAATTGTGATTTTCAGGATTTTGGAACTTAGGGATTTTTATCCTTCAGGATTTTAACATTGGAGATTGTATCTTTCAGGATTATGGCCCAAACTCAAATATTTCTTGACAAGTTCTGGCCTGAAGTAGTTTTCACATATGCAACATTTGATTCATTGAACTTCTTCGGCTTTATTTTTTCAACAAGTATTAGAGTTTCCTGCTACCAAATCCACAGATCCACTTCTCAGTGATATCCTGACAAACTTTCTATCCCTGAAAATGTATACTCAATTTCTTATAGAACAACAATGTCATTATCACACCTAAGAAAGTTAATAACAATGTCTGGGCATTTTAAAATATTACTCAAAACACTGATCAGCTATAATGACAGATTAAAAGAGAAATAAATCTGCCAAAACAGCTGTAAATACACCTTGCCTCACAATTGCTGGATAATAATAATTTTATATTGAATAATATTTGTTACCTATATGTCACTGTTTTCCTGTCAAGTTTCTATTTTCACAAGAAGAAAATTTCTTTTTCTCTTTGGAAAGTAAAATCTATTTGGCTTTTACTCAAATGGCTATCAGAGTGTGTGCTACGGAGACAGGTGTGGGGTACTGGAGTGAGGAGAGAATGAGAATGCCACTGGACATGAGGATATGCCAATTACGATGATGAACAAGGTTTTTCTTAAAAGCTAGTTTGATATATTATTTTTATGTGGATCTTTTAACAATTGAAATATGTCAACGAATAATAGGATACAATTTTCTTTCATATCATATTTCACGTTTCGTCTTTTGCCATTTACATGTTGAAGGTCATAGACATGGTAAAGGGTTTTAAATGAAAATTAAAAGTATTTTCCTGCAGATCACTTAGGCTAGTGAAAATACTGCTTGTATTGCTTTTGGAAGCACTGATCAACTGAAATTCGAAGTACTTTATTACATTGTGATTTACAGTGCATTCTTTCTACAACCATTATTGCTCATGGTTATTTACTTTGCAGGTGATAATGTTCTTGGATGAAAGATGTTTGATTATAATTCGAATACCTCTTCTTTCAAATTTATATGCCAATCAAAATGCTTTATTAGTACAGGGTGTTATGTCAATCAGTCCTTCTTTCTGATTATTTTCAAATTTTAATATAAAAATTTTTACATAAATGCATTTGAATAAATATCCATATTTTAAAATCATAAATATTTTTATAACACCTCTGATTAATTTTTATATACATGTGAAGTATTTTCAACAAACTAACCTGAAATTGAAACATTTTTTAAAACTTTTAAAATGGCATTTTTTTCTAAATTATTGTCAATTTTAGACATCTGGCTCAAATAATTCACAAACTTTCTTTGCATGATAAATTTATTTTTACCTTAATTCCTTTTCAAGCTCTCAGGGCATGACTTACAACGCTTTTTAAAGTAACTCAGTTCATTTTCTAGACTCTTTTAGAAGTGCCCTTTAATTTTATGAAACGGGTCTTTCAGTATGGTACCTTCTTAATTAGAACACCAGTCATCACATAAAATATCACCTTTCTTCCCCCTCAGTGAAATCTTGAATTACAATGATTGCTTTGTGACTGCTGCAGTTTAAATACTTGCTGCTTCTACCAACAATTCCAAGACCCTTGTAGAGAGCGGAGAATTGATTTTACCACTGCATTTTCAGCATGTTCTCAATCGCAAATGATTGTTTCTTTCATAGATGATATTTAATATTATGATTCTATTATCGAATTACTAATTGGTTCCTAATTGATTCTTCTTCATCTTCTTGCCAACTCACCTCTCACAATGTTAACAGTCTTGTTTATTCTGGATTTTGGGAAAGTTCAGTTGAGATGTACAATATCACTTTTCTCAAAACTCAAATGTTAATTCTAGGAAAGTCTTAAAAGTAGATCATTACACTTGGTTTAATTCCTGAACATCTGGATATTCAATGTATATTCTTTAGAAGACACAATTAATGCTAAATGTAAGACATTTCATAATGTAGTTTTTATTTAGTTATAAAAAGTATCCAATATTTTCTATGGCATTTTTTAAAGAAAACCCAGTGAATCAGAATTTCCAAAAAGAGCATCAGTAAACCAGGTATACTGCCTCTCTTAAAATAAACTGCATGGATGTTTGAGTATTTAAATAAATTCTGACTTCTGGTCAGCAGGGCACAAAAATGTTGTGCTTCAGTCATGTCCTGAAGATCAAATATGAAATAAAACACATTTTGAGAAGACAGCTTGCAACAAAATATAAATAAAGTAGAACAAACCTTTCACTGGTGTAAAAACCAATGCAGTCACCACTTGAGCAAACATTTGGGCAAAAGACAGGTTTGTTCTATTTGAGGAAATTGGCCTAATGCCTCAGCTAGCAGAGCAAGTCACTAAGGAATTGAATACTGCCTTTGGCTGACATATCAAGCATTAAATAAAAAAAGAAACCGTCTAATCAAATTTAGCCGAACCCTTCTCTAGACGCTAAAAAATTTCATCTATTAAATCTGCTCTTCTTGAACACTTTAAAGATATTTCCTGAGAGAAAGCTGCATCCTGGGCTGAGGCTGAGTGCTTCAATATGGATCTGAGAGAGTTGATATGTATGCAAAAACCTCAAATGTTTCCTTATCTTTAGGACCGTCTACCATCTTGTTTCAGTTGCTTCTCCTTAAATCCACCAATTTTACATATTCATGGAATGGACTATATTCTATATATGTCATCTCGGGTGTCCCCACAACACTGTCACTATGCTGCTAGTATTGTTTCAAATATCCATGAACTTCCATCTATGTTATATACAAATAAAAAGCATAAGTGCTTTGAAGCAGTGGGAATGCCAAATCTGAAACCATCGCATGGCCCCAATTGTGTGTACTTGAAATTCAAGTTTGAAGGCCCAAAGTGGCCATCAAATCAGCACTCAATTTTTGTTAGGGCAGTAATCAACCTCAATGAGAATGTGACAAATCAATGCTGTAAGTCAGAAATAATCAAGCTCCAAATTCCTGGTACTCCAATGTTATGCAATTGATTTTCCCATACATTTTGTTTGTTTTTCTTTTTTAAACTCTATCTTTGCATGTAGCATAATTTCATTGAGCAAAGCTCTTTGCTACTAAGAACTTTACCTAGGGTTTAGGGCTAATGGGAAAGTAGGGTGGAAAGTGCCAAGGAATATGCACCCAAATTTGCACATATCCCTTTTCTTAGAGTAGAAATGGTAGTGTTATTAGAGCTTAGTTCTTGGGCACATACAGAGTAGATGAAGGTCCTCAGGTAATAATTTCTAATTTAACCACTCAATGTTCTTACAAGGACTCACCCCCTCACATATCCTTTCTGGTACCATTAAAAAAGTTTTCTTCATGCTCTACTCTATTTATTTGTTTCCAATGTATGTTGTAACAAATTACCACAATCTTAGTGACTTAAAATGACATACATTCATTCTTTCATAGCTCTAAAGGTCAAAAGTCTAGAATAACTTTTACTGGGCCTAGGGGAGTGTATTAGTTCATTCTCATGCTTCTATAGAGAAATATCTGAGACTGGGTAATTTATAAAGAAAAAGGTTTAACTGACTCAGTTCTGCATGGCTTGGGAGGCCTCAGGAAACTTACAATCGTAGCGGAAGGCACCTTTTCACAGGATGGGAGGAGAGAGAATGAGAGCTGAGTGAAGGGGGAAACCCCTTATAAAACCATTAGATGTCATGAGAACTCACTCACTATTAAGAGGACAGTATAGGGTAAACTACCCCCATGATTCAGTTGTCTCCACCTTGTCCTGCCCTTGACATGTGGGAATTATAACAATTCAAGGTGACATTCCGGTGGGGATACAGAGTCAAACCATATCAGAGAGAATCTATCTTTGTCTGTTCCAGCTCCTAAACTGCATTTCTTGACCCATAGATCCTTCCTCCATCTTCCTCCATTTCAAGATGCAGCAGTGCAGCATCTGGCTTTAGTCTTAATATTGACTTAATCTTCTGTAGTCAAATCTCTCTCTGATTATCTCTTTAAAAACAACTTTATTAATTTTATTTCATTGTGGTAAGTACGCTTAACATAAGATCTACCTTATTAATGCGTTTTTAAGTGTACAATACAGTATTGTTGGCTATAGTTACCATGTTGTATAGCAGATCTTTAGAACATATTCACCTTGCTTGATTAAAACTTTATGTCAATTGGTTTATAACACCCCACCACTCCCCCTGGTCCCTGGCAACCACCATTTCAGTCTTTGATTTTATTTTTATTTATTTATTTATTTTTTTTTTATTATACTTTAAGTTTTAGGGTACATGTGCACATTGTGCATGTTAGTTACATATGTATACATGTGCCGTGCTGGTGCGCTGCACCCACTAACTCGTCATCTAGCATTAGGTATATCTCCCAATGCTATCCCTCCCCCCTCCCCCCACCCCACACCCCACAACAGTCCCCAGAGTGTGATGTTCCCCTTCCTGTGTCCATGTGATCTCATTGTTCAATTGCCACCTATGAGTGAGAATATGCGGTGTTTGGTTTTTTGTTCTTGCGATAGTTTACTGAGAATGATGATTTCCAATTTCATCCATGTCCCTACAAAGGACATGAACTCATCATTTTTTATGGCTGCATAGTATTCCATGGTGTATATGTGCCACATTTTCTTAATCCAGTCTATCATTGTTGGACATTTGGGTTGGTTCCAAGTCTTTGCTATTGTGAATAATGCCGCAATAAACATACGTGTGCATGTGTCTTTATAGCAGCATGATTTATAGTCATTTGGGTATATACCCAGTAATGGGATGGCTGGGTCAAATGGTATTTCTAGTTCTAGATCCCTGAGGAATCGCCACACTGACTTCCACAATGGTTGAACTAGTTTACAGTCCCACCAACAGTGTCAAAGTGTTCCTGTTTCTCCACATCCTCTCCAGCATCTGTTGTTTCCTGACTTTTTAATGATTGCCATTCTAACTGGTGTGAGATGGTATCTCATAGTGGTTTTGATTTGCATTTCTCTGATGGCCAGTGATGATGAGCATCTTTTCATGTGTTTTTTGGCTGCATAAATGTCTTCTTTTGAGAAGTGTCTGTTCATGTCCTTCGCCCACTTTTTGATGGGGTTGTCTGTTTTTTTCTTGTAAATTTGTTTGAGTTCATTGTAGATTCTGGATATTAGCCCTTTGTCAGATGAGTAGGTTGCGAAAATTTTCTCCCATTTTGTAGGTTTCCTGTTCACTCTGATGGTAGTTTCTTTTGCTGTGCAGAAGCTCTTTAGTTTAATTAGATCCCATTTGTCAATTTTGGCTTTTGTTGCCATTGCTTTTGGTGTTTTAGACATGAAGTCCTTGCCCATGCCTATGTCCTGAATGGTAATGCCTAGGTTTTCTTCTAGGGTTTTTATGGTTTTAGGTCTAACGTTTAAATCTTTAATCCATCTTGAATTGATTTTTGTATAAGGTGTAAGGAAGGGATCCAGTTTCAGCTTTCTACATATGGCTCGCCAGTTTTCCCAGCACCATTTATTAAATAGGGAATCCTTTCCCCATTGCTTGTTTTTCTCAGGTTTGTCAAAGATCAGATAGTTGTAGGTATGCAGCGTTATTTCTGAGGGCTCTGTTCTGTTCCATTGATCTATATCTCTGTTTTGGTACCAGTACCATGCTGTTTTGGTTACTGTAGCCTTGTAGTATAGTTTGAAGTCAGGTAGTGTGATGCCTCCAGCTTTGTTCTTTTGGCTTAGGATTGACTTGGCGATGCGGGATCTTGTTTGGTTCCATATGAACTTTAAAGTAGTTTTTTCCAATTCTGTGAAGAAAGTCATTGGTAGCTTGATGGGGATGGCATTGAATCTGTAAATTACCTTGGGCAGTATGGCCATTTTCACGATATTGATTCTTCCTACCCATGAGCATGGAATGTTCTTCCATTTGTTTGTATCCTCTTTTATTTCTTTGAGCAGTGGTTTGTAGTTCTCCTTGAAGAGGTCCTTCACATCCCTTGTAAGTTGGATTCCTAGGTATTTTATTCTCTTTGAAGCAATTGTGAATGGGAGTTCACTCATGATTTGGCTCTCTGTTTGTGTGTTGTTGGTGTATAAGAATGCTTGTGATTTTTGCACATTGATTTTGTATCCTGAGACTTTGCTGAAGTTGCTTATCAGCTTAAGGAGATTTTGGGCTGAGACAATGGGGTTTTCTAGATATACAATCATGTCGTCTGCAAACAGGGACAATTTGACTTCCTCTTTTCCTAATTGAATACCCTTTATTTCCTTCTCCTGCCTAATTGCCCTGGCCAGAACTTCCAACACTATGTTGAATAGGAGTGGTGAAAGAGGGCATCCCTGTCTTGTGCCAGTTTTCAAAGGGAATGCTTCCAGTTTTTGCCCATTCAGTATGATATTGGCTGTGGATTTGTCATAGATAGTTCTTATTATTTTGAAATACGTCCCATCAATACCTAATTTATTGAGAGTTTTTAGCATGAAGAGTTGTTGAATTTTGTCAAAGGCTTTTTCTGCATCTATTAAGATAATCATGTGGTTTTTGTCTTTGGCTCTGTTTATATGCTGGATTACATTTATTGATTTGCGTATATTGAACCAGCCTTGCATCCCAGGGATGAAGCCCACTTGATCATGGTGGATAAGCTTTTTGATGTGCTGCTGGATTCGGTTTGCCAGTATTTTATTGAGGATTTTTGCATCAATGTTCATCAAGGATATTGGTCTAAAATTCTCTTTTTTGGTTGTGTCTCTGCCCGGCTTTGGTATCAGAATGATGCTGGCCTCATAAAATGAGTTAGGGAGGATTCCCTCTTTTTCTGTTGATTGGAATAGTTTCAGAAGGAATGGTACCAGTTCCTCCTGGTACCTCTGGTAGAATTCGGCTGTGAATCCATCTGGTCCTGGACTCTTTTTGGTTGGTAAACTATTGATTATTGCCACAATTTCAGAGCCTGTTATTGCTCTATTCAGAGATGGAACTTCTTCCTGGTTTAGTCTTTGGAGAGTGTATGTGTTGAGGAATTTATCCATTTCTTCTAGATTTCCCAGTTTATTTGCATAGAGGTGTTTGTAGTATTCTCTGATGGTAGTTTGTATTTCTGTGGCATCGGTGGTGATATCCCCTTTATCATTTTTTATTGTGTCTATTTGATTCTTCTCTCTTTTTTTCTTTATTAGTCTTGCTAGCAGTCTATCAATTTTGTTGATCCTTTCAAAAAACCAGCTCCTGGATTCATTGATTTTTTGAAGGGTTTTTTGTGTCTCTATTTCCTTCAGTTCTGCTCTGATTTTAGTTATTTCTTGCCTTCTGCTAGCTTTTGAATGTGTTTACTCTTGCTTTTCTAGTTCTTTTAATTGTGATGTTAGGGTGTCAATTTTGGATCTTTCCTGCTTTCTCTTGTGGGCATTTAGTGCTATAAATTTCCCTCTACACACTGCTTTGAATGCGTCCCAGAGATTCTGGTATGTCGTGTCTTTGTTCTCGTTGGTTTCAAAGAACATCTTTATTTCTGCCTTCATTTCGTTATGTACCCAGTAGTCATTCAGGAGCAGGTTGTTCAGTTTCCATGTAGTTGAGCGGTTTTGAGTGAGATTCTTAATCCTGAGTTCTAGTTTAATTGCACTGTGGTCTGAGAGATAGTTTGTTATAATTTCTGTTCTTTTACATTTGCTGAGGAGAGCTTTACTTCCAAGTATGTGGTCAATTTTGGAATAGGTGTGGTGTGGTGCTGAAAAAAATGTATATTCTGTTGATTTGGGGTGGAGAGTTCTGTAGATGTCTATTAGGTCCGCTTGGTGCAGAGCTGAGTTCAATTCCTGGGTATCCTTGTTGACTTTCTGTCTCGTTGATCTGTCTAATGTTGACGGTGGGGTCTTAAAGTCTCCCATTATTAATGTGTGGGAGTCTAAGTCTCTTTGTAGGTCACTCAGGACTTGCTTTATGAATCTGGGTGCTCCTGTATTGGGTGCATATATATTTAGGATAGTTAGCTCTTCTTGTTGAATTGATCCCTTTACCATTATGTAATGGCCTTCTTTGTCTCTTTTGATCTTTGTTGGTTTAAAGTCTGTTTTATCAGAGACTAGGATTGCAACCCCTGCCTTTTTTTGTTTTCCATTTGCTTGGTAGATCTTCCTCCATCCTTTTATTTTGAGCCTATGTGTGTCTCTGCACGTGAGATGGGTTTCCTGAATACAGCACACTGATGGGTCTTGACTCTTTATCCAATTTGCCAGTCTGTGTCTTTTAATTGGAGAATTTAGTCCATTTACATTTAAAGTTAATATTGTTATGTGGGAATGTGATCCTGTCATTATGATGTTAGCTGGTGATTTTGCTCGTTAGTTGACACAGTTTCTTCCTAGTCTCGATGGTCTTTACATTTTGGCATGATTTTGCAGCAGGTGGTACCAGTTGTTCCTTTCCATGTTTAGTGCTTCCTTCAGGAGCTCTTTTAGGGCAGGCCTGGTGGTGACAAAATCTCTCAGCATTTGCTTGTCTGTAAAGTATTTAATGTCTCCTTCACTTATGAAGCTTAGTTTGGCTGGATATGAAATTCTGGGTTGAAAATTCTTTTCTTTAAGAATGTTGAATATTGGCCCCCACTCTCTTCTGGCTTGTAGGGTTTCTGCCAAGAGATCTGCTGTTAGTCTGATGGGCTTCCCTTTGAGGGTAACCGGACCTTTCTCTCTGGCTGCCCTTAACATTTTTTCCTTCATTTCAACTTTGGTGAGTCTGACAATTATGTGTCTTGGAGTTGCTCTTCTCGAGGAGAATCTTTGTGGCGTTCTCTGTATTTCCTGAATCTGAATGTTGGCCTGCCTTGCTAGATTGGGGAAGTTCTCCTGGATAATATCCTGCAGAGTGTTTTCCAACTTGGTTCCATTCTCCCCATCACTTTCAGGTACACCAATCAGACGTAGATTTGGTCTTTTCACATAGTCCCATATTTCTTGGAGGCTTTGCTCATTTCTTTTTATTCTTTTTTCTCTAAACTTCCCTTCTCGCTTCATTTCATTCATTTCATCTTCCATTGCTGATATACCCTTTCTTCCAGTTGATCGCATCGGCTCCTGAGGCTTCTGCATTCTTCACGTAGTTCTCTAGCCTTGGTTTTCAGTTCCATCAGCTCCTTTAAGCACTTCTCTGTATTGGTTATTCTAGTTATACATTCTTCTAAATTTTTTTCAAAGTTTTCAAGTTCTTTGCCTTTGGTTTTAATGTCCTCCCGTAGCTCAGAGTAATTTGATCGTCTGAAGCCTTCTTTTCTCAGCTCGTCAAAGTCATTCTCCATCCAGCTTTGTTCCGTTGCTAGTGAGGAACTGTGTTCCTTTGGAGGAGGAGAGGTGCTCTGCGTTTTAGAGTTTCCAGTTTTTCTGTTCTGTTTTTTCCCCATCTTTGTGGTTTTATCTACTTTTGGTCTTTGATGATGGTGATGTACAGATGGGTTTTTGGTGTGGATGTCCTTTCTGTTTGTTAGTTTTCCTTCTAACAGCCAGGACCCTCAGCTGCAGGTCTGTTGGAATACCCTGTCTTGTGAGGTGTCAGTGTGCCCCTGCTGGAGGGTGCCTCCCAGTTAGGCTGCTCGGGGGTCAGGGGTCAGGGACCCACTTGAGGAGGCAGTCTGCCGGTTCTCAGATCTCCAGCTGCGTGCTGGGAGAACCACTGCTCTCTTCAAAGCTGTCAGACAGGGACATTTAAGTCTGCAGAGGTTACTGCTGTCTTTTTGTTTTTCTGTGCCGTGCCCCCAGAGGTGGAGCCTACAGTGGCAGGCAGGCCTCCTTGAGCTGTGGTGGGCTCCACCCAGTTCGAGCTTCCCAGCTGCTTTGTTTACCTAAGCAAGCCTGGGCAATGGTGGGCACCCCTCCCCCAGCCTCGCTGCCGCCTTGCAGTTTGATCTCAGACTGCTGGGCTTGCAGTGAGCGAGATTCCGTGGGCGTAGGACCCTCCGAGCCAGGTGTGGGATATAGTCTCGTGGTGCGCCGTTTTTTAAGCCAGTCTGAAAAGCGCAATATTCGGGTGGGAGTGATCCGATTTTCCAGGTGTGTCCGTCACCCCTTTCTTTGACTCGGAAAGGGAACTCCCTGACCCCTTGCGCTTCCCAGGTGAGGCAATGCCTCGTCCTGCTTGGGCTCGCGCACAGTGCATGCACCCACTGACCTGCGCCCACTGTCTGGCACTCCCTAGGGAGATGAACCTGGTACCTCAGATGGAAATGCAGAAATCACCTGTCTTCTGCGTTGCTCACGCTGGGAGCTGTAGACTGGAGCTGTTCCTATTCGGCCATCTTGGCTCCTCCTCCCAGTCTTTGATTTTATAAACTTGACTGATTTGTATACCACATTTAAGTGGAATCATGCAATATTTCTCTTTGGATTATTGGCTTAATTCACTTAGCACAATGTCCTCATCTTTCATTCATGTTGTCTCATATTACAGAATTTCCTTCTATTTTAAGACTGAATGTTACATGATACACACACACACACACACACACACACACACACACACATATACTATAATTTTCTTTTTCCATTCATCTGTTCGTGGATATTTAGATTTTTTCCCCCATCTTGGCTATTGGATATAGTGCCACTATGACATAGGAGTGCTAATATCTCTTTGAGATCCTGCTTTTAATTCTTTTAAATAAAGAATACCCAGAAGTGAGATTTCTGTGTCATGCAATAGTTCTATTATTAATTTTTTGAAGGACCTCCATACTGTTTTCCATAGTGGTATAAATGTTCCAATTTCTCAACATGGTCTCCAGTGCTTGTTTTCTTTGGGGTTTTAAAAAAATAGCCATCCTAACAGTTGTGAGGTAATATCTGGTTGTGATTTTTTAATTTTCCCTTTTTGTGGGTACATAGCAGGTGTATATTTTATGGAATACATGAGATATTTTGATAAAGGCTATAATGCATAACAATCACGTCACGGTAATGAGATATTTGTTACCTCAAGCATTTATCCTTTGTGTTACAAACGATCCAATTATACTCTTTTATTTTAAGATATACAGTAAATTAGTGTTGACTGTACTTACCCTGTTGTACTATCAAATACTAGATTTTATTCATTCTAGCTAACTGTACTTTTGAATCAATTATCATCCCCACTTCTCCCTGAGTCCCTTCCCAGCCTCTGGTAGCCATCATTATATTATCTGTCTCCATGTGTTCAATTGTTTTAATTTTTAGCTCACACAAGTAAGTGAGAAGAGGTGAAGTTTGTATTTCTGTGCCTGTCGTATTTTATTTAACATAATGTCCTTCCTCAAGTTCCATTATTGCTGCAAATGACAGGATCTCATTCTTTTTCATGACTGCATAGTACTCCATTGGGTTTTTGTGTTTATGCACACACTGTCTTTATCCAGTCATCTGTTGATAGACACTTAGGTTGCTTCCAACTCTTAGCTATTGTGAATACTACTACCACAAACATGGGAGTGCAGATATCTCTTCAATATGCTGATTTTGCTTCTTTTGGGTATATACCTAGCAGTGAGATTTCTGGGTCATATTTTAGTTCTATATTTAGTTTTTTGAGGAACCTCCAAACTATTCTCCATAGTGGCTATACTAATTTACATTCCCACCAACAATGTACGAGGGTTCCGTTTTCTCCACATCCTTGCTAGCGTTTATTATTACCTGTCTTTTGGATAAAAGCCATTTTAACTGGGATAAAATGGTATCTCACTGTAGTTTTGATTTGCATTTCTCTGATGATCAGTGATGTTGAGCACTTTTTTATATTACTGTTTGCCATTTGCATGTCTTCTTTTGAGAAATGTCTATTTAGATCTTTTGCCCATTTTTTAATCAAATTATTTGAGTTTTTCCTGTTGAGTTGTTTGAGCTCCTTATATATTCAGGTTATTAATCCTTTGTCAGATGGTTAGTTTGCATATATTTTTTTCCTATTGTGTGGTTTGACTCTTCACTTCGTTGATTGTTTCATTTGCTTTGCAGAAGATTTTAACTTGATCTGATCGCATTTGTCCATTTTTGCCTTGGTGGCCTGTGCTTGTGGGGAATTACTCAAGAAATTTTGTCCAGAGCAATGTCCTGGAGAGTTTTCCCAATGTTTTCTTTTAATAAATTCATAGACTGTGGTCTTAGATTTAAATCCTTAATCCATTTTGAGTTGATTTTTGTGTATGGCTAGAGATAGTGTTCTAATTTTATTCTTCTGCCTGTGGATATCCTATTTTCTCAGCACTGTCTTTTCCCCAGAGAAGAGACTGTCTTTTCCCAGTGTATGTTCTTGGCACATTTGTCAAAAATGAGTTCACTGTAGATATATGGATTTGTTTCTGGGTTTTCTGTTCTGTTCTATTGACCTCTGTATCTTTTTATGCTAGTACCATGCTGTTTTGTTTACTATTGCATAATTTGAAGTCAGGTAATGTGATTCCTCAAGTTCTTTCTTTTGGCTCAAGATACCTTTTGTTTTCTGGGCCTTTTGGGGTTATATAGAAATTTTAGAATGTTTTTTCCATTTATGTGAAAAATGTAATGGGTGTTTTGATAGAAATTGCATTAGATTTGTAGATTGTTTTTGGTAGCATGAATATTTTCACAATATTAATTATTCCAATCCATAAACATGGATTATCTTTCCATTTTCTTGTGTTCTCTTTAATTTATTGCATTAATATTTTATAGTTTTCATTGTAGAGAGCTTTCTTTCCTTAGGTTCAGTTTAGTGCTGGATATTTTATTTTGTCTATAGCTATTGTACATAGGATTACATTCTTGATTTTCAAATTGTGTGATGTTAACATATATTAATTTGTATATGTTTTTTAATCCTGCAACTTTACTGAATTTATCAGTTCTAATAGTTTTTTGGTGGAGTCTTTAGGTTTGTCCAATTATAAGATCATATTACCTGCAAACAAGTATAATTTGTCTTTTTCCTTTCCAATTTGGATGCCGTTTATTTCATTCTCTTGTTTGATTGCTCTAGCTATGGCTTCTAATAATACGTTGAATAACAGTGGTGAAAGTGGACATTCTTGTCTTACCCAAATGATACGGTTTGGGTTCGTGTCCCCGCACAAATATCATGTTGAATTGTAATCCCCAGTGTTGGAAAAGGGGCCTGGTGGAAGAAGGGACTGATTTCCCCCTTGCCATTCTCATGATAGTGAGTGATTTCTCACAAGATCTGGTTGTTTGTGAAAGTGTGTAGCACCTCCTACTTCTCTCTTTCTCCTTCTCTAGCCATGTAGGACATGCCTGCTTCCCTTTTGCCTTCCGCCATGATGGTAAGTTTCCTGAGGCTGCCCCAGTCAGGCTTCTTGTACAGCCTGTGGAACTATGAGTCAACCCATTTTCTTAATAAATTACCTAGTCTCGGGTAGTTCTTTATAGCAATGGGAGAACAGACTAATACACAGATCTTAGAGAAAAGGCTTTCAGGTTTTCCCCACTTACAATATTAGCTGTGGGTCTGTTATATACGGCTTTTATTATGTTGATGTATGTTCCTTCTATAACCTATTTTTTGAGGGTTTTTAGCTCATGGTGAATGCTGCCAGGCCTAGGTCTTCCCCTTCAAGGCAGTGACCTCCACTTCACCCCAGGGGAGGTACAGAAATGTCATCCAGAAGCCAAGCCCTGAAATTAGGGACCCCAGGAGCATGCTTGGTGCTCTACCTCACTGTGACCAAGCTGGTACCCAAGCTGCAAGACTAAATCCCCTTTACTCCTTCCACTCCTTTACTCAAGCAAAAGAAACCTCTCCCTGTAACCACAACAGCTGAGAATGTGCTGGGTCACACCTGAAACCACGGCCCACAGCAAGTACCACCTGGCCACCACGTGCTGATTATTCAAGGCCCAAGGTTTCTTTTATTCAGGAAGTGGTAAATCCTGACAAGGTGAGGTGATTACCTTCAAAACAATAGGTTGCTTTCTGGCCTTGGGTGTATCTAGAAATACCCTCTGGGAGCTAGGTCCTGGAATGAGGACTTCAGGACTCTGCCCGCTGCCCTATTCTACTGTGGCTGAGTAAGTTGTAAGACAAAGTTCGCTGTACTATTGTCCTTTCCTCATGCGGAAGGAGGGAGCCTCTCTTGGAACTGTGAGCTGCCTGCACTGCCCGCGGTTGGGGGAGGGGCGATGCAAGCACTCACTCACTTGGCTACTCCTGGCTAGTGTCTTGCTAGTTTGCGCGCACCCCAAATTCTCCGGCTCTGAGCCCAGCACAGCAGAGCACTTTAGCTGCTGCTTGTAGGGCTTGTTAGAACTCAGCTTCTGACTACTGGAATGGGTGATTTGCCTCTGTCTAGGGCTTTTCTAAATGCTCCCTCCATGGGCTCCAGCTAAGCTGTGCCCCATGTTGCTTTCTGCTGTGAGAGGCAGCAATTAGTTCCAATGCAAAGTGCCACAATCACTGCACTCTCCCTCACTGAAGTGCACAGATTTTCTCTGTGCCACATAGCCACTGCCAGGGGATAAAGGAGGGGTGGGGTTAGTAATTCAAGACTGTCTTTCCAATCCTTTTCAGTGCCTGTTTCCTTAATATAATGTTAAAACCAGGTACTGTGATCACTCACCTAATTTTTGGTTCTTATGAAAATGCTTTTTTGTGTGGATGGTTGTTCAATTTGGTGTTCCTGTGAGGGAGACGATTGCTGCAGGCTTCTATTTGGTCATCTTGCTCTGCCTCTTCCCTCTCATTGTGATTTTGACTTGCATTTCCCTGATGATTAGTGACATTGAGCATTGTTTATATACTTGAGACCATTTGTATATCTTCTTTGGGGAATGTTCGCTCAAATCTCTAGCCCATTTTTAAATTAGATTATTAGTTTTCTGTTATTCCCTTGTAGGAATTAAAAAAATACTTTGGAGACTAATCCTTTACCAGATATATGGTTTACAAATACTTTCTTCCATTTAATAGGCTAACTTTTCACTCTGCTTATTGTCTTCTTTGTTGTGTAGTAGCTTTTTAGTTTGATGTAATCTCATTAGTCTGTTTTTGCTTTTGTTGCCTGAGCTATCAATATCATATTCATGGAATTGTTGCCAAGATTAATGTCATGAAGTTTTTTCCCTGTGTTTACTTTGATAAATTTTACAATTTCAGATGTTACATTTATGTCATGAGTTTATTTTGAATTAATTTTTGTGTGTGGTATGAGAACACAGTACAACTTTTTTGCATGTGGATGTCCAGGTATTTTTGCATGCATATATTCCCAACACCATTTGTTAAAGAAATGATCTTTCCCCATTATGTATTATTGGCATTCTTATTGACGATCAGTTGAGCCTATATGCATTAATTTGTTTCTGGGCTATTTTGTTTCAATGGTTTATGTGTTTGTCTTTATGCCAATACTATACTGTTTTGATTACTTTAGCTTTATAACATATTTTGAAAATAGGAAGTGTGATGCCTCCAGTTTTTTTTTGAAAAAATCAATATTTATTTGGTATACAAAGTTACAGTTAGACAGGAAGAGTAATTCCTGTTGTTTTATTACACAATATTGTGACTATAGCACATAACAACATAGTGTATATTTCAAGATCGTTAGAAGATTTTGAATCTTATCACAAAGATGTGAAAATGATTTAAAGTGATGAATATGGTAATTACTCCACTTTGATCATTGTACAATGTATGCATGCATTGAAACATCACATCGTACTCCATATATATGTGCAATTATTATGTGTCAATTATAAATTTAAAGGTTAATTTAAAAAAATAAAATGCCTTGGAAAATGAATACAGAGATAGAAAGCAAACACCACGTAAAGATGTTCTTAAAAAGTAAATGAATGAATGAATAAAGAAACAGAAACTGCATGAGAGAGAAAAGAGATATTTGGCTATTTCTAGTCTTTTGTGGTTTCATATAAATTTCAGAATTGTCTTTTCTATTTCTGTAAAAAAATGCCATAGGGATTTTGAGGAGGATTTCATTGAATTTGTAAATAATTTTGGAAAGTATGAACATTTTAACAATGCTAAGCCTTCCAATCAATGAACACAGAATGTCTTTCCATTTGTGTTTTCCTTAATTTCTCTCATCAATGTTTTGTAGTTTTCTGCACATAAGTCTTTTGCTTTTTTAGTTGTTTTATTTTTAAGTGTTTTATTCATTATCATGCTACTGTAAATGGAATTGTTTTCTTAGTTCCCTTTCAGATAGTTTGTTCTTTGCGTGTAGAAATATTTCTGAGTTTTGTATGTTGACTTTGTATCCTAACTTTATTGAATTTCTTTATTAGGTCTAATAGTGTTTAAGTGGAGTTTTTAGGGTTTTCTATTTATGGTGTCATTTCATCTGCAAACAGAGATAATTCTACTTTTTCCTTTCAAAATTTGATTTATTTTGTTCCTTCTTTTTGCTTACTTGCTCTGGCTAAGACTTTCAGTAATATGTTGAATAAAAGTGGAAAGAGTGGGAATAATTGACTTTCTCCTGATTTTAGAGGAAAAGCTTTCAGTTTTTCACCAGAGTATGATGTTTATTACGGGCTTTTATCTATGGCCTTTGTTATATTGAGGTAGTTTTTACTATTCCTAGTTTGTTGAGGGTTTTAACAGTTTTAACAAATTGTTATTATTTAACAGTTTGTTAAATTTTGTCAAATGTTTTTTCTTCATCTGTTAAGACAATAATCTGTTTTTACCTTTTACTGTGTTAATGTGCTGCATTACATTGATTTTCATATGGTGAACCATCCTTGCATCCCAGGGATAATCCTACTTAGTCATAGTATATGACCCTTTTAATGTACTGTTGAATTTTGTTTGCTAGTATTTTTTGAGAATTTTCGCACGTACATTAGTCCTCCCTTACATGAGGTTTCACTTTCTGCGATTTCAGTTACCCATGGCCAACCATGGCCCAAAGATATTAATGGAAAATTCCAGATATAAGTAATTGATGAATTTTAACGTGTGTGTCATTCTGAGTAGTGTGATACCTGTGCCGACCTGCTCCATCCTACCTGGGACATCCATCATTCCTGTTTTCAAGGTAACCATGCAGTGTATGCTACTTGCCTGTTAGTTATCAATATTATCTGCTCCTGACATCCTAACATAAGGATCATCATGGCTCAGTGATCCAGGATCACCTCAATCAGATGTTCCTCCTTCTGACATATCATCAGAAGGTCAATAGTAGCCTAACACTAAGTCACAATGCCTACACCATTCACCTTACTCATCTCATCATGGAGGCATTTTATCATCTCACATCATCATAAGAAGGGTGAGAACAGAACAATAAGATGATTTGAGAGAGAGGCCACATTTATACAACGTTTAATATAGTACATTGTTATAACTGTTTTATTTTATTATTTGTTATTGTTGTTCATCTTCACCTCTTACTATACCTAATTTATAATTTAAACTTTATCACAGGTATGTATGTACAGGAAAAAAAATTATATATAAAAAAGAACTCTCTCTGTATAGTTCATTTATATATATAATGTCATACATAAAATGAACTGTATATATATATATATATGCATAGTCCAGAACTATCTGCAGTTTCACACAGGGACTCTTGGAATATATCCCTTGTGGATAAGGGGGAGGTACTATATATTGGTCAGGGATATCAGTCTGTAATTTTCTTTTGTTGTAGCGTTTTGTCTGGTTTAGTATCAGAACAATGCTGGTCTCACAAAATGAATTTGGAAGTGTTACCTCCTCTGTAATTCCTTTAAAGAATTTGAGAGGGCTTGGCATTAATTCTCTACATATTTGGTATAATTCACCGCTGAAGCCATCTGGTTCTGGGATTTTCTTTGCTGAAACGGTTTTGATTACTTATGTAACCTCCATGTTAGTTACAGGTCTGTCCAGATTTTCTTTTTCTTCATGATTCAGTCTTAGTCAATTGTATGTTTCTAGAGAACATTTCATTTTTTCTAGGATTTCCAGCTTATTGGCTTATGATTGTTCCTAGTACCTCTGCCTCCCTGTTATAAGAATGCTTGTGATAAAATTCAGGGCCCACTGAGGTAATACATGATAACCTCTTCATCATCAGATCCTTAGCTTAATCACATCTGCGAAGCAACTTTGATTTATAAGGTAACATTCATAGGTTCCAGAGATTAGGACTTGAGTACTTCAGGAGCCAGTTTTAAGCCTAAATACTCTACTATGCTTTTTGTTAAAAAAAAAGAAAAAAATTAAACTGAATGGAAGTGATAGAAATCCAGTTAGAGTTTTCTAAATCAAAAATGGAATTGATTACAAAGAGATGGGAAATGACAAATACTCACTGCCCTGGAAGGGACCTGGGGATAACTAGAATCAGAGAGATGAACAATGTCAGAGCACTTCATCTCTTCTTGTTTCTTTCTACACATCTTTATTTTTAAAAATAACCTCCCTCTCTGTCTCTCTCAACCACTGTCTCATCCTCTCTCTGTCACTATCTCTATCTCTAGCTCTCCGTAGAGTGGTTATCTCTGCTTCTCTGGCCCACAGGTTGCCAATTTTCCTGAGGTTTGCTCAATGGGGTAACGTGACTGCTGAGAAACTGACATACATGTCTATCAATCCAAAGTTCAGAAATTGCAGGAAAGAAGCTATTGTTTAGCTTAATACAAGTGATATTTCTTGGACTAATCAATTCCAGCATTAAGGAAGGGTCCCATTTAACAAAACTGGTCCTTCTTCAGCCATTTGGAAAGGCAAAGGAAGCATAAAGGGGCAGTAACTAGAAAAGTGGCAAGATAAGTTGCTGGGCAAACATTGTCATAGGTGTCCTCTGCAACTTTATTCCTGGGGAAAAAAAAGATCCTTTCTCATGCGGTTAGATGGGGTGGAGAAAATACTGTGCAATTGATAACAGGATTTCACATAAAATTATTCTTCAACTATCTAGAAAATAATCAAAATTATTATTTTTAATAAATGAGGATAGTAAGGTTTAGAAATGTTATTATATATAGCTTGTAAAAGTTGGCTAACATGAATTATCCAGCTCTAAGATTATTATTCCTTCCTTCAAGTAACTGCATTACAGTTGAAATAGTACTAGACTAAGAGTTAGAAGACCTGGGCTTATGTCTTGCCTCTGCGATTTATTAGGAACCATCTTTAAAAAGTTATTTAAGTGTCCATAGCTCAGTTTCTTTCCTCTAAAATGGGGATAAAAATTCCTAACCCAGAGGGTCATGTTTTCAAGTTTAAAAGGGATAATTTAAGTAAAAGTCCTTTCATAATTGCTATTTTATTTTTTTAAAACCTAAATAAATGTCAGATAACCTTTCTCTGATTATTTGTTGTCATTTCTCTCATTTGAACTATTTTTAGAAAGGATTAAAGTAGAGTTTGTTACTAAGGCTAGTATTCACTAAGAATTGAAATCTGATGAAAAGTTTCAGTTTGACTGTCGATGATCAAGATATGTCCTCCTACTTATTGGATTATAAAAGATAACATTTTCCAGGAATAGGAACCACTCCTAGAGGTTGAGGTGGCAGGGAACATTCTCAAAGATCCCAACTTCTGGATGAAATCCAGAAGAATCTCCTTGATTCGACCTGTGTATACTTTATACTATCCTTAAATGAAATTTTTTCAATGATTTTTTTCTTGCCAGAAGGGAAAATCAGCCTCTCTGTGTAATAGAACCATTGGCAGCAATGATTTGAGAGCAAAATGGTATGTGGGGAATAAGAAGGCAAGAGTCAGCATCTGAAGTATTATGATAAAAAGATAATGTAGGTAATGTTTTATTAACAATACCAAAATGCATGACTCTTCATTTAATGGAAATTTTAAACCAGCATGGGGATATTTCTCTACAAAATAAACATTAGCCACACTGCTTACTGAAGATACTTCCCTCTGCTCTCTTTGTAGCATGTGTACTTTGGATATATAAACTGAGAAGTTTAAGAATAACCTTGAATGTGGGACTAATTAATATACTTTAGGCTGGGTGTGCTTGTGGGAAATATTTTATAAAATTATAAAAGTTAAAATTACTGAAAGACATGAAAATTTATCCCCCAGGGTTGAAAGTAAGTACCACAACTAGTAGCTTTTAAAAAGCTTTTTGTTACATGTTTCCTTTGAATTCTCTCTATATATTCAAATAACATTATTATTATTATTATTATTTTTCTCATAAAGGCAACTATAATTGCTGTTTCATTAAACCTGCCAGCTATGTTTTCTTGTCCGGTGAAGTTGTGTCAGTTTAAATCACATGCATTCTTTCCACAGGAAAAAAATAAATAAAAGTTTAAAAGTTTTCTAAAGTGATTACTTAAATTGTTAAATAAAAGTAATAAGAAAAAAATCCAATCAATATTAATAAACGTATGTATTAGTCAATTATAGCACTGCTATAAAGAAATACTTGTGGCCAGGCATGGTGGCTCATGTCTGTAATCCAAACACTTTGGGAGGCCGATGCGGGCAGATCACTTGAGGTCAGGAGTTCAAGACCAGCTCGACCAACATGGCAAAACCCCGTCTCTACTAAAAATATGAAAAAGAAAAAATTAGGCTGGTGTGCTGGCACATGCCTGTAGTCTCAGCTAGGCTAAGGCATGAGAATTGCTTGAACCTGGGAGGTAGAGGTTGTAGTGAGCAGAGATCATGCCATTGTACTCCCTTCTGGGCGACAGAGTGAGATTGTGTCCAAAGAAGAAGGAGGAGAAGGAGAAGCCCAAGGAGAGAGAAGGGGAAGGGGAAGGGGAAGGGGAAGGGGACACTTGAAACTGGGTAATTTATAAAGAAAAGAGATTTAGTTGGCTTATGGTTGTGCAATCTATACAGGCCTCAGGAAACTTACAATCATTGTGGAAGGGGAAGCAGGCACATCTTACATGGCCACAGCAGGAGGAAGAGAGAGAAGGGGAGGTGCTACACACTTTTAAACAACCAGATCTTATGAGAACTCACTAACTAACAGGCGAACAGCAAAGGGGAAATCTGCCCCAATGATCCAATTACCTCCAACATTAGGGATTACAATTTGACATGAGATTTGGATGGGGACACAAATCCAAACCATATTAATGTATAAATTTTTAAAAGACAAAACTTAAAATATTGAAGGTACTTAATAATTTTACAAACTCATAATATTGAGAAAAAGCTTGGGCTCATTTACACATTTTAAAATATCTGGCTGGAAAAAAATAAAATAAGTTAACATTTAAAATGTTAATTACCTCTATATTTGGCATCTTGAAAAATAGTATATTTAAACAACTGACTTGCTTATTCATTTTTCATTCAATTGGTTTGTTCTGTTGTAGACACTAAATTTTTGTAAAAGAAAATATTTTAAAATATATTAATGCAATGAGGTAGCCCTCATATACTACTGATGGGAATGTCGAATCCTTTGATTTATCATATCAACTTTTAAGAATCACTTGTGGAGCTTTTAATTCCAGACCAAATGAAAAAAGTGCATTCCACCGCATTCCTCTTGCTGACTGTGGCTAAAAATCTTGACAAAATACATAAGGCAAATCTGAGGAGACTCAAGGAGGTGAAGAGAAGGATGCCAACTGGCCTCAGGACTTGAGCAATTAGCAAGTAGTGAGTTTCCTGGGATTTTTTTTATGCCTCCAGTATATCTCAGTCTGGGTGCTAGAAAAGCTTGCCGCCCAGAAACCCTAAAGGATGTGCAGCCAGTGCAACAAGAAAAGTCTCCACTCTCTCACCAAGGATCAAAAAAAAAAAAAAAAAAGAGTAGAGCTGAAGAGCAGAACCTTTTGACTAAATCCACCCTACTCCAGGCGAACACCAGAAAGAAAGCAATGGCCCTGCCCATTCACACAGTGGGTGCTGTAGAGACCATAGGGCAGAGCCTTATCAACAATCCCTGCCCTAGCCTTTCTGTACCATATTGAAGGAAACCTTTTTGCAGTTTCTCTGTCCTTATCTTAACTAGACTACTATTTATCCCATCCAATGAGAATTTCTTTTGATACCTATGTTTTTCATTGCTCTAAGTGTTTATTAAACAGACCTGGTCTTTTTAAATAATGTCTTTTAAAATGAACAATATTTATTTTTTTCTTTTTGAAATATCCTGTTAAATGAATGTTAGGTACTTTATAATTTTTGTCTGTGAGCTTGTCTTCAGCCAGAAGTAATCTTTTGTGTTTGTGTTCCTCATGGCTGGGGTATGAAAGCAAGCATACCTATGACATTCTCTCAGAATGTCATTTATTTTAGTTTTTATTTCCTGGCCATTAGAGTTCAGGCAGATCACCTGGATCTAATAAAAATTTAGCTGATTTAAGATTGTTGGGTTTCATGGGAAACCCTGCAGCTTCTCCTTTGTGGCAGGCTCTGAAGTCTAGTATTTGTCTTCTCAGCATGTTGAACTGCTGAAATTTTACCTTTGCTTTTAAATAGCTATTTTCTTCTGGTTTAGTTTTCTTTCTTCTTTTCTTTTCTTTTTGCTTTATGTTGGTGAATATTTGCATGAAATATATTTCTATCATATTGCTCTCAACCTTTCTGTGCATTTATATTGAAGGTGTTTCTCAGAAGCTGTATGGCTAGAGTTTTTTCTAGCATAATATGGTATTTTTCTCTAATGCATAATATGATCATATTTATCTCCTTAGTTTTAATTTTACCATGCAATATTATCTTCAAATGCAAACTACATGTCACATAATTATGTTATAAAGCAAAAATGAATACCTCTAAGCCCATCACACAATGAAGTACCAGAACATCACCTAATACATTTGAAACTATTTTTATGCCCTTTCCTGATCCCATCTCTTTGCCGCTCCTCACTCTTTTATTTCTTCAGTAATGGCATATATGGAATATTTAACTGAGTTATGGCACTAGACATCTCTTATATTTAAAAGCAGTCTGAGAAATTTCAATTCTGTCTTAGCATATTAGTTAGGATAATGTTTCAAATTTTTACATGAAGGCTTTCCATGAGAAATTTCCAAAAATTTCTCAAAATGGTTTTGTATTTCCCTTTACATTGTTAAGGTACCATCTACTTAGAAATTAAAAGGAAATAAATAATTTATAAATGTTTCCAAGGTACACCACAAAAAGAAGTTTTTTATAAGCTCTTTAGATAGTATATTTTAAGCCATTCATGATATTAATATGAATAGAGCAATTTTTAAAAAGATACATATTCCAGCTTGGTTAAGACATGAGTAGTATTCTCTCAGCCATTTTTTTTAAACTCTAGCAGTTGCCGTGGCAACCAGCTGCACTCAGGTATAACCTGACAGCACCACCCCTAGCTGTATTTAGTATTTTTCTTGCTTTCTACCCTGGGTGTTTTCTATTGCTTCTTACAGTGATGTCAGTAAGAAAACCACTCAACTATTCTGAAGTGTTCAAAATCAGGCAGTATGAGGTAGTTAGTGCTCCCTGGGATAACTCTTGACCAATGGGGTCTAGAAACTAGTGGATAAATACTTTATTCCTTCCCTTGGATGGACAATTCTAAGGTGAATTTTAAATGAATCACCGAGGTATCTCCACTGGGAACGAGCCCGGTTGCACGCTGTAGTTCGATATGCAAACTTATATTGCCTCTCACTCATTCCCAGTTTTACTTTTCCATCTCCCCTGTCCTTTTCCTTGGGATCACTTCCCCAAACAAGCAATCATCACATGATCCCTTGTCTCTGGTTCTGCTTTTATGGGGACCATAGTGGAACTTAGGCCAAGACACAGCTCATATGAATCATTTTCATAGTCTCCTAAATATTTTAAATACAAGTACATTGCTTTGACAAATTTGAAAATGTATGGTTAGTAACTACCGGGGATGGCTTGAATCTTTATAATGAAATAAGTTGCTGTAGCAGTTGTCTAAATAGTAATTAATCTATTTGTGTATGTGTGTGTTCTAGCATTGTCTTAATGCAAGGTAGTCAATAAAACTATATCAAATTTGTAAAAGTGCAATATTTTCATTAAGCTAATATTTATTGAAAAATTACTCTCTGCTCTGCTGTGTCAAGTATGGAAGTTAAATATATCAAAGACATGGCCACCACCTTCGAATTTTATTACTTAATGGGAAACACTTGCCAATCAGCCAGGGATTCTAATCCAGTGTGATAGGTATCCTCATGATGATATGGGATGTTATGGGATCACTGAGGAAACATACACATGGGTATTAGACAGGGTTTATGAAAGAAAAGGATACTTTGGTGAAGTTATAAAAGGAAATGATAATAATAAGAGCACGTATTTATTCAGAGTTTGCTAAGTGCTGGTAGGTGATAATAATTTACCTGCATTATTTGGTTTACTAACAACAACCTGATATATGGCATCTATTAACATCCCCATTGGCAGGTGTAGAGAGACTTAGTTCAAAGGCTTTCCCAAATATGAGTAAGAATTAGCTGAGCAGAGAAAGAGGAATGGAATGACAAATACAGGAAGAGACTATAAAAAAGATATAAAAGCTTGAGAAAACGTGCTACTGAGGGGAACCTAATGTAGTCTGTTCTTAAGGTTATACCCCGGGGGTATACCAGGAGTGGAGGAAGAGGGAAAACCAGGATCCAGATCATAAATGGTCATGTATATAATATTAAGTAGCTTGAAAGAAATGGAAATCTTCTGAAAGATATTGAGCAGGATATTACCTGATCTGATTTGTGTTTTAGGGGAAAAAAATCACCCTTTAATGAATTACAAAGACGCAAGACAAGATTCCATAAGACACAGTTATTTGTGTGTTTTTTTCCCATGTATTAACCTATTTTCGCTCAGTCCCAGACCTATACTCTATCTGTTTCTTTGTGATACTGGACTTAGGATGCTGAAAACTATAATTCTTTTTTTTTTTTTTCCAGCTGGTTCCCTGTTAGGTTTTCCAGTAGAGAAACAGAGTCTGACATGCAGGAAGAGTTAAAAGTGGCTTGTTACCTCCTGCTTTGTTCCTTTTAGTGTTGTCTTCTCAGCAATGGACCTTCACCCTGGCAGAAACAGTTTGTTACAGTCTCTAGCTTGTGTCATTGCTTTCAGAAACCAGGCTTCTCATGATGAAGACTGAAATTAAGGCAGAGGCAGCAGATGCTCTATGTCAATTTTCTATGAAGAAATTATATAAATCTCTTTTCTTGTAAGTTATTAAGAAAGATAATTAAATTTTTAGAAATCCAATAGCCAGTAATGCAACCTGAATGAAGTTTATAACATCTTAGTCATTGGACATATAGGTAAGCTATTTTACAAATTCGTTTACTCACATATACATTCATTCATTTAAAATGATTTGTTGGCCGGGTGCAGTGGCTCACACCTGCAATCCCAGCACTTTGGGAGGCCAAGGCAGGTGGATCACCTGAGGTCAGGAGTTCAAAACCAGCCTGGCCAGTATGGTGAAACCCTGTCTCTACTAAAAATACAAAAATTAGCCAGGCGTGGTGGCAGGTGCCTGTAATCCCAGCTAATTGGGAAGCGCAGGCAGAGGAATCACTTCAACCTGGGAGGCGGAAGATGCGTTGAGCTGATATTGTGCCATTGCACTCCAGCCTGGGCAACAGAGTGAGACTCCATCTCAAAAAAATAAAACAAATAAAATAAAATAAAATAAAATGATTTGTTGCAGCCTTCAATGTGCCAGAGCACTTAGGTTGTGTGGATACAGCCGTTAATAGACAGAAAATAGTCCTTCTCTTGTGCAGCTTATGTTTCAATGCACAGAAAGGCAAAGAAACCAATAAGCAAATTTATAAATAAAATAATATACTCCCATATAGGAAAAAATGTTATGACAATAATGAAAGAGGGAAATAGGATAAACTGTGTATCAGATGGGAAAGTGTTTGGCTGCAAGCTACAAAATAAATGCAATTAAATCATAAGGATATTTATGGTTTACTTTATAAGACATTGGTAGGTAATTAGCCTCGGGGATGTTCTGAGAGCTTAGCAATGCCATCAGATTCAAGCTATTGCTAACTTTTAGCTTCATCCTTTTTGTGTGTGTTAGCCACTGGTTCTCATACATGTTCACTTCTGGCTACACAATGGCTCCCATACCTGTAAACAACACATTCTCATGCAGGATGTAAAGAAGAAATAAAAAGGCAGAGGCAAAAATCTAGGTGAGAGTCTTTGCTTGGGTGGTTGAACCAACAGGACTGGTTGAAGGATAAGCTATATCTGTGTGTTTGTGTTTGTACTGTGTGTGTGTCTGTTTTGTTTAAAAATGAGTATACATAAATATATTCAGAATTCTTTCTTGATTTTCAGATGATTTTAATAATTTTAGTGTATTTTTGCAAAAATAAAAAACAAAACAAAAAACAAAATAGCATTAGCCTGACACTTGATTCTTTTCCTCTAAAAGACTATGAAATAGCTGTTGAATCATAGAAGATTAAAGGTGTTAATAATCCTCCAAAGATATGATTACTATACTGCTAGTGGTGACATTCGACTTTATATGTGTGCTGAAGAAATTGGCAAAACCCCAAGTCTGACAATTCACTTCCATATGTGAGCTCTCCACTGTAAGAGGTATGGCTATCCCCAGCAAAATGACCTTTTGGTCCTGATTATCTGGATAACCTTGAGTTTGTAGATGAATAGTTTTTCAGCATACTGTCTTTCTGGAAATGGGTATAATTAAACTTGTCACTCAAGAGTACCGTATGATTTAATCACTCAATATTAAGTAAAGCTCTTTGAGATCTTTAAGCAAAGGATCCTATGCAATTGCAGAATATCATTACAAAGATACAACTTTAGCATCTTGCTGATCTCTGAGAAATTATATACAGAGACCATTTCTAATAACCAGAGAAAGCGACCCTGTAAATTGTAGTATTTATAAAGCATTTCAATATACATTAAATAAATTTTAAGGGCATTTAATTAAGTTATAAATTGGGCCATTAATAAAAATACCATTTAACAATTTGTCTCTGGCAATGGATAGCATTAAAGCTCTTTAGATAGGTTGTTTATTTAGAAATAGCATCATATGCACATTTCATTTAATAGTGATTCATTCCACAATAATATTTGGAAAATTTGAAACATGTCAATCTTCTACATCTTTTGGAGTGAATTCATTGTCTTGTACCTCCAAATAAATCTCTATTTTTATTTATTGGTACACATATGTAGGGATTCTAAACATATATCTGTAAATCTCACAATTGAAACATTTAAAGCCAAAGGCTATAGTTTATTTTAATAAAATATTAGAATAGTCTAGCAAATATTTATTTCTTGAAGTACTTGAGAGAAACCTCACCAGGGATAGAAAACCCTACCCAAGATCAAAGACTGTGGGGGAAAGGAAAGAAAACACTGGTGAATGGCAATGATTCCTTACTTCTTCCCTAAACCACATGGCTTCCCTGTATGCTAACAGCATTCATAATGATTTCCGCAGGCTTTGAAAGCTTAATAAGAGTACAACCATATTTTATGTCTATGGTGAGTAAGTAGCTTTATGTACACAGATGATTACAAATGTATCATTTCTAACCTCTATTTCAAGAGAAAAATATAACTTTTTTCCTGGCAATTTGAAGAGCTGTGTTGTATAGTGAATTACAATAAAAAGTTGAAGTACAAAAACATATCTCTTACTAATGCTTCCATGAACCATGCTGTTTCTCAGTGAGTGTTTGACATTTTTGTATCTATGGTACATAGATATTCTACAAGGCTAGACACTGGGGAAAAATATACTCAGTAGGTGTTGCACATATATTCTCTAGTCTGTTTATAAAGAGAAGTGACATAGTAATATTATATCTTGCTGTAGTAATAAAAACACATTTACACATTTACATCAGAACTGTTCAGGATAATGGTCATCACTTGTGTATATCAGCCCTGACACTTTTGTCAATTTATTTATATTGGAGACTTTGATAGATGGAATAGGGCATTAGTTCTCATTATTCATTCAATTTTTGCTCAAAGACATTTAAAATCACATCATGTGCCAGCAATATCTATGTCCTGAGGATTCTGAAAGTTATACACCTCAGCTCAGTGAGTTTGTAGTCATATGGAAAGAAAGGTAATTGATCAATTATGCCCCATAATTTGAATAAATAATCAAGAAAATGAGAACAAAATATTAGAAATTTCAAAAAATTAAAAGGAAAAAATGCAGTCACATCTGTCCCTGTATTTTTCGAAAACAAGAATGTCTATTCAGCAAAAATAGGAAAAAAAATCAGCTATAATCTTATCACTAGACCAAAACTATGTTGACCTGAGTAGATATTTCAAAAAATATAAAATCTTATCAAATTTGGGGCTATTTCTTATTCTTCATATCAAATCTTGCAAAATTCTAATTATTGGCTTGCATTTGGCACACGGACATATTTTGTTTCTTCCACACTTTGTTGAATAGCAATAAAATGTTTTTTAAAAATTCCTTGTCAACAAAATTCTCATAAAAGTTAAAACTTCTAACTATACTTCTCAGACAATTCCAAACCTATATTTCCTATGGCAACAATCTGCTGGAGTTGATCAATATCCACAGCAGATTCCCACTGCCCCGCATGCCTCCCTGTTATCTCCCTAACCTGGTTCACTCCACTCACTGACATTCTCTATGTAGGCCTTGGAGATGCCTGTGTTTGGGACCTCCAGTTTATAGAAAACTGCCAGTTGTTTCCAGATGTTCTCTCTGTTGCACTCTATCTATGCTGGAGAATTATACATTTCAATTTTTATTCAGGTGTTTTGATGTCCTAACAATTGTTACCGTGTATTGGGCATTATCTATGTCAGGGGGTCAATAAATGTTATCCATTAAGGAACAGATAGTAAACATTTTACTATCTGTTTTGGCTTTGTGGGTCATTGGGCCTCTGTCACAACTAGTCAACTCTGTGAAAGAAACTATAAACAAATCGTAAATGATGGGTGCAGTTGTGTTCCTAATTAAACTTTACTGAATGGATGCTGAAATTTGAATTTCATATAATTTTCACATGTCACAAAAATCTCATCCTTTTATCTCTTTCCAATCATTTTCAAATGTAAAAGCCATTTTGTTATAGACTGAATGTGTCCTCCCAAAATTCATATGTTGAATCCTTAACTCCCAATGTAACTGTATTGGGAGACAGGGCTTTTAGGAGTTAATTAAGATTAAATTAGGTCATAGGGTGTAGTGCTAATTTGATAGTATTGGTGGATTTGTAAGAAGAAAGAGAGAGATTCCTTTCTGTAAGCTAGGAAGAAAGACCTCACTAGGACCCAATCAGCTAGCAGCTTGATCTTCTCACCTCCAGAACTGTAAGAACATAATCATCTGTTGTTTAAGCCACCCAGTCTATGGTACTTTGTTATGGCAGTTAGCATGAGTGGACTAAGACATTCTTTGCTTGCAGACCATACAGAACAGGTGGTAGGCTGAATTTGGCCTGTGGGCTTTAGTTTCCCAAGCCCTTGTCTAGGTGCCAGTATTCTATTTGCTATTCCTCATAATCTTAGTAATAATATATATATTTTTTTCATTTTACAGTGAGAAAGGTAGAACTTAACTAATACTGTAAATTTAGTCAATGTTGAGCCACATCTGAGAGAGAGAAACTGGGTCTTTTTTCTCCTGAAAACTGTGAGTTTTTAGGTCAGAACACAGTGGATACCTTTAAGAATAAATTATGCAGCCAGTTAAATTGTTACATATCGGTTAAAAGATAGTATGAACTAAAAGTCCTTACTAATAATGTCTAAATCTCCATTCTCTTCCATTCTTTGCTTTCCAGGTAGCATTCTGATGTGTTTAGTTGTTTCCCAGAAGCATAGAAAGAAAAGCTCTTTTAAATCAAGAGTTTTTCTATATTTCTTCTTGGCAAACTTGGCCATGGTAGAATGACTTGCTAAAAAGATAGCCCAGGCATGCTGCTGGGTTTGAATTCTCTGTAGAAATGACTGCTTATTTTTAATTATTTCAGCCCATTTGTAATGTGTATGAGTGTGCATTGTTTACATATGGAGAACTTAATCCTTCAGAGGTAGTAGTTTTAACAGTGGGAGTAGGAACGGGAATTAGTGGACCTGCAACTTCCCTATCCTATTACCAATACTTGTTCAAGGATTTTATGGAAACCTTGGAAGACATTGCCCAAGTATCATCAACATACAAAATCGGATTATTTGGCAGCAGTTGCTTTACACAATAGAAGGGGACTGGATCTCCTACTAATGAAAAAAGTGGCTTATATCTTTTTCTAGAAACATTAAAATGCTCTTTTTTTTTGTTTGTTTTTTTGGTTTTTTTTTTTTTGTCAACCAATCCAGATTAGTAAGGAATGCCACCCAGAAATTAGATGTCTGGGCCTCCAAAATACAACAACAGCTGTCTGAGCCATGGGGCTCCTGGAGAAGGGCACTAATTTGGGTTTCATGGCTCCTTCCCTTGGCTGGCCCATTATTAATGATTATACTTGCCTTGGTTTTTGGACTGTTTGTTAAGTCTTACCCAAATTCATTTCCTCTTACCTAGAGACCATCAAGCTTCAGATGATTATGTGACATGGTTTCTAGCCAGTTCCAGGTGAAGACACCACCCCAGGCCATCAAGAAGCTACCCTGTCACCACTGGACAGAGCAAGGAGAGAGTTCCGTGAGCCCCAGTGGGTAGGGACTGCACCCCAAATTCAAGTCAGCATAAAGCAGTTACAGAAAAAAAGACCATCAGTCCCTATGCCTCCCATAAAGATATATGAGAATCTTGTCTCTCAGGGGGGACATGAGGCAGGACAAGAATGTCTGGAGGCAGGAAGCCTAAGGCCAATTCCCACTGACTTCCTGGAGCTCAATCCAAAGGAAAACCCCACTGGATTAGTCCATTTTCATGCTGCTGATAAAGACATACCTGAGACTGGGCAATTTACAAAAGAAAGCGATTTAATGGACATACAGTTCCACGTGGCTGGGAAGGCCTCACAATCATGGTGGAAGGTGAAAGGCATTTCTCACATAGTGGCAGACAAGAGAAGAGAGCTTGTGCAGCGAAACTCCTGCTTTTAAAACCATCAGATCTTGTGAGACTCGTTCACTATCATGAGAACAGCACAGGAGGGAACCACCTCCATAATTCAATCACCTTCCACCAGGATCCTCCTATGATGCATGGGAATTACAGGAGTTGCAATTCAAGTTGAGATTTGGGTGGGGACACAGCTAAACCACACCATCAATCTCTCCATAACAAAAGGATCAGAAACTACTCCTTTTATACTGCGTTGCAGATGAAAAATGGAAAGTACCTCTGAATGGTTCCCTCCCACAATCAGTCAGACTAGTCACAGGCCAAGTCTTCTTTTACATTGGGTGTAACCAAGTAACCAAAGGGAAACTTTTAGAGGGTATTGAAACCCCAGAAAATGTTTCAAGGGGTGCTCTTTGCCACTTGCTCAATCCTGCTCCCACTCTGTTGCAGTGTAATTTCATTTCAATAAATTTGTGCTTTCATTGCTTTTTTCTTTCATTGCTTTGTTTGTTCATTTTGTCAAACTCTTTGTTCAAAACGCCAAGAACATGGATGACTCATCGTCAAGACCCTCCACCGGTTAACTGTCTTAGTCATAACCTTCATGATTCCTTCAATGCTGAAATCTTCCAATACAACTCAATTAAGAATCCATCTCACATGATGCTCAGGAAAAGCACTAAACAAAACCCATACTCTTTACTGTGGAGCCCATCACCAATATCATGACAAAGAAAACAATTGTTTCTAATATTCCTTTGTCCACAGTGTATCAGGAAAGGATAATAGACATGAGCCAAGCTTTCTCACTTACTACTCCAGAGCCAACACCAAGTAACCACTGTTTGGAAGAAAAAAGTAGAATTATTTTTGAAGTTTTCTGTTTTATCATGAATCAAACCAGCTGGCCTGTTTATTTCTCATAGATAATCCAAAGAAATCAACAACCCACTTCAGCAGTGTCAGCTGTGCTTTTTTAACAGTTATAGAGGGTGGAGTTTCCCTTTTATCCCTTCTCCCTGAACACTGAACACCTCTGCTTCTCATGAAAGGGGAGAACTTTTGCTAATTGCCAAGTTGCCTGGATTAGCCAGTCCCCAAAAGGAGTCAATAGTTTTGCAACAAATGATTGTATTTCTTTTTTAAAAATATTCCTTTTTTTTAAAAATTATTATTATACTTTAAGTTTTAGGGAACATGTGCACATTGTGCAGGTTAGTTACATATGTATACATGTACCATGCTGGTGTGCTGCACCCACTAACTCGTCATCTAGCATTAGGTATATCTCCCAATGCTATCTCTCCCCCTGCCACCCCACAACAGTCCCCAGAGTGTGATGTTCCCCTTCCTGTGTCCATGTGATCTCATTGTTCAATTCCCACCTATGAGTGAGAATATGCGGTGTTTGGTTTTTTGTTCTTGCGATAGTTTACTGAGAATGATGGTTTCCAATTTCATCCATGTCCCTACAAAGGACATGAACTCATCATTTTTTATGGCTGCATAGTATTCCATGGTGTATATGTGCCACATTTTCTTAATCCAGTCTATCATTGTTGGACATTTGGGTTGGTTCCAAGTCTTTGCTATTGTGAATAATGCCGCAATAAACATACGTGTGCATGTGTCTTTATAGCAGCATGATTTATAGTCATTTGGGTATATACCCAGTAATGGGATGGCTGGGTCAAATGGTATTTCTAGTTCTAGATCCCTGAGGAATCGCCACACTGACTTCCACAATGGTTGAACTAGTTTACAGTCCCACCAACAGTGTAAAAGTGTTCCTATTTCTCCACATCCTCTCCAGCACCTGTTGTTTCCTGACTTTTTAATGATTGCCATTCTAACTGGTGTGAGATGGTATCTCATTGTGGTTTTGATTTGCATTTCTCTGATGGCCAGTGATGGTGAGCATCTTTTCATGTGTTTTTTGGCTGCATAAATGTCTTCTTTTGAGAAGTGTCTGTTCATGTCCTTCGCCCACTTTTTGATGGGGTTGTTTGTTTTTTTCTTGTAAATTTGTGTGAGTTCATTGTAGATTCTGGATATTAGCCCTTTGTCAGATGAGTAGGTTGCAAAAATTTTCTCCCATTTTGTAGGTTGCCTGTTCACTCTGATGGTAGTTTCTTTTGCTGTGCAGAAGCTCTTTAGTTTAATTAGATCCCATTTGTCAATTTTGTCTTTTGTTGCCATTGCTTTTGGTGTTTTAGATATGAAGTCCTTGCCCATGCCTATGTCCTGAATGGTAATGCCTAAGTTTTCTTCTAGGGTTTTTATGGTTTTAGGTCTAACGTTTAAGTCTTTAATCCATCTTGAATTGATTTTTGTATAAGGTGTGAGGAAGGGATCCAGTTTCAGCTTTCTACATATGGCTAGCCAGTTTTCCCAGCACCATTTATTAAATAGGGAATCATTTCCCCATTGCTTGTTTTTCTCAGGTTTGTCAAAGATCAGATAGTTGTAGATATGGGGCGTTATTTCTGAGGGCTCTGTTCTGTTCCATTGATCTATATTTCTGTTTTGGTACCAGTATCATGCTGTTTTGGTTACTGTAGCCTTGTAGTATAGTTTGAAGTCAGGTAGTGTGATGCCTCCAGCTTTGTTCTTTTGGCTTAGGATTGACTTGGCGATGTGGGCTCTTTTTTGATTCCATATGAACTTTAAAGTAGTTTTTTCCTATTCTGTGAAGAAAGTCATTGGTAGCTTGATGGGGATGGCATTGAATCTGTAAATTACCTTGGGCAGTATGGCCATTTTCATGATATTGATTCTTCCTACCCATGAGCATGGAATGTTCTTCCATTTGTTTGTATCCTCTTTTATTTCCTTGAGCAGCAGTTTGTAGTTCTCCTTGAAGAGGTCCTTCACATCCCTTGTAAGTTGGATTTGTAGGTATTTTATTCTCTTTGAAGCAATTGTGAATGGGAGTTCACTCATGATTTAGCTCTCTGTTTGTCTGTTGTTGGTGTATAGGAATGCTTGTGATTTTTGCACATTGATTTTGTATCCTGAGACTTTGCTGAAGTTGCTTATCAGCTTAAGGAGATTTTGGGCTGAGACAATGGGGTTTTCTAGATATACAATCATGTCATCTGCAAACAGGGACAATTTGACTTCCTCTTTTCCTAATTGAATACCCTTTATTTCCTTCTCCTGCCTAATTGCCCTGGCCAGAACTTCCAACACTATGTTGAATAGGAGTGGTGAGAGAGGGCATCCCTGTCTTGTGCCAGTTTTCAAAGGGAATGCTTCCAGTTTTTGCCCATTCAGTATGATATTGGCTGTGGGTTTGTCATAGATAGCTCTTATTATTTTGAAATATGTTCCATCAATACCTAATTTGTTGAGAGTTTTTAGCATGAAAGGTTGTTGAATTTTGTCAAAGGCCTTTTCTGCATCTATTGAGATAATCATGTGGTTTTTGTCTTTGGCTCTGTTTATATGCTGGATTACATTTATTGATTTGCATATATTGAACCAGCCTTGCATCCCAGGGATGAAGCCCACTTGATCATGGTGGATAAGCTTTTTGATGTGCTGCTGGATTCGGTTTGCCAGTATTTTATTGAGGATTTTTGCATCAATGTTCATCAAGGATATTGGTCTAAAATCCTCTTTTTTGGTTGTGTCTCTGCCCAGCTTTGGTATCAGAATGATGCTGGCCTCATAAAATGAGTTAGGGAGGATTCCCTCTTTTTCTATTCATTGGAATAGTTTCAGAAGGAATGGTACCAGTTCCTCCTTGCACCTCTGATAGAATTCGGCTGTGAATCCATCTGGTCCTGGACTCTTTTTGGTTGGTAAGCTATTGATTATTGCCACAATTTCAGCTCCTGTTATTGGTCTATTCAGAGATTCAACTTCTTCCTGGTTTAGTCTTGGGATAGTGTATGTGTCGAGGAATTTATCCATTTCTTCTAGATTTTCTAGGTTATTTGCATAGAGGTGTTTGTAGTATTCTCTGATGGTAGTTTGTATTTCTGTGGGATCGGTGGTGATATCCCCTTTATCATTTTTTATTGCATCTATTTGATTCTTCTCTCTTTTTTTCTTTATTAGTCTTGATAGCAGTCTATCAATTTTGTTGATCCTTTCAAAAAACCAGCTCCTGGATTCATTAATTTTTTGAAGGGTTTTTTGTGTCTCTATTTCCTTCAGTTCTGCTCTGATTTTAGTTATTTCTTGCCTTCTGCTAGCTTTTGAATGTGTTTGCTCTTGCTTTTCTAGTTCTTTTAATTGTGATGTTAGGGTGTCAATTTTGGATCTTTCCTGCTTTCTCTTGTGGGCATTTAGTGCTATAAATTTCCCTCTACACAGTGCTTTGAATGCGTCCCAGAGATTCTGGTATGTCGTGTCTTTGTTCTCGTTGGTTTCAAAGAACATCTTTATTTCTGCCTTCATTTCGTTATGTACCCAGTAGTCATTCAGGAGCAGGTTGTTCAGTTTCCATGTAGTTGAGCGGTTTTGAGTGAGATTCTTAATCCTGAGTTCTAGTTTGATTGCACTGTAGTCTGAGAGATAGTTTGTTATAATTTCTGTTCTTTTACATTTGCTGAG
The DNA here is from genome assembly GCF_000001405.40 of Homo sapiens. NCBI lineage: Eukaryota > Metazoa > Chordata > Mammalia > Primates > Hominidae > Homo > Homo sapiens. The sequence goes on from NC_000003.12 coordinate 75,123,257, forward strand.
GAGAGCTTTACTTCCAAGTATGTGGTCAATTTTGGAATAGGTGTGGTGTGGTGCTGAGAAAAATGTATATTCTGTTGATTTGGGGTGGAGAGTTCTGTAGATGTCTATTAGGTCCGCTTGGTGCAGAGCTGAGTTCAATTCCTGGGTATCCTTGTTGACTTTCTGTCTCATTGATCTGTCTAATGTTGACAGTGGGGTGTTAAAGTCTCCCATTATTAATGTGTGGAAGTCTAAGTCTCTTTGTAGGTCACTCAGGACTTGCTTTATGAATCTGGGTGCTCCTATATTGGGTGCATATATATTTAGGATAGTTAGCTCTTCTTGTTGAATTGATCCCTTTACCATTATGTAATGGCCTTCTTTGTCTCTTTTGATCTTTGTTGGTTTAAAGTCTGTTTTATCAGAGACTAGGATTGCAACCCCTGCCTTTTTTTGTTTTCCATTTGCTTGGTAGATCTTCCTCCATCCTTTTATTTTGAGCCTATGTGTGTCTCTGCATGTGAGATGGGTCTCCTGAATACAGCAATCTGATGGGTCTTGACTCTTTATCCAATTTGCCAGTCTGTGTCTTTTAATTGGAGCATTTAGTCCATTTACATTTAAAATTAATAGTTTTATGTGTGAATTTGATCCTGTCATTATGATGTTAGCTGGTTATTTTGCTCATTAGTTGATGCAGTTTCTTTCTAGTCTCGATGGTCTTTACATTTTGGCATGATTTTGCAGCGGCTGGTACCGGTTTTTCCTTTTCATGTTTAGCACTTCCTTCAGGAGCTCTTTTAGGCCAGGCCTGGTGGTGACAAAATCTCTCAGCATTTGCTTGTCTGTAAAGTATTTTATTTCTCCTTCACTTATGAAGCTTAGTTTGGCTGGATATGAAATTCTGGGTTGAAAATTCTTTTCTTTAAGAATGTTGAATATTGGCCCCCACTCTCTTCTGGCTTGTAGGGTTTCAACCGAGAGATCTGCTGTTAGTCTAATGGGCTTCCCTTTGAGGGTAACCCGACCTTTCTCTCTGGCTGCCCTTAACATTTTTTCCTTCATTTCAACTTTGGTGAATCTGACAATTATGTGTCTTGGAGTTGCTCTTCTCGAGGAGTACCTTTGTGGCATTCTCTGTATTTCCTGAATCTGAACGTTGGCCTGCCCTGCTAGATTGGTGAAATTCTCCTGGATAATATCCTGCAGAGTGTTTTCCAACTTGGTTCCATTCTCCCCATCACTTTCAGGTACACCAATCAGACGTAGATTTGGTCTTTTCACATAGTCCCATATTTCTTGGAGGCTTTACTCATTTCTTTTTACTCTTTTTTCTCTAAACTTTCCTTCTCACTTCATTTCATTCATTTCATCTTCTATTGCTGATACCCTTTCTTCCAGTTGATCGCATCAGCTCCTGAGGCTTCTGCATTCTTCATGTAGTTCTCTAGCCTTGGTTTTCAGCTCCATCAGCTCCTTTAAGCACTTCTCTGTATTGGTTATTCTAGTTATACATTCTTCTAAATTTTTTTCAAAGTTTTCAACTTCTTTGCCTTTGGTTTGAATGTCCTCCCATAGCTCAGAGTAATTTGATCGTCTGAAGCCTTCTTCTCTCAGCTCGTCAAAGTCATTCTCCATGCAGCTTTGTTCCATTGCTGGTGAGCAGCTGCATTCCTTTGGAGGAGGAGAGGTGCTCTGCGTTTTAGAGTTTCCAGTTTTTCTGTTCTGTTTTTTCCCCATCTTTGTGGTTTTATCTACTTTTGGTCTTTGATGATGGTGATGTACAGATGGGTTTTTGGTGTGGATGTCCTTTCTGTTTGTTAGTTTTCCTTCTAACAGCCAGGACCCTCAGCTGCAGGTCTGTTGGAATACCCCGCCTTGTGAGGTGTCAGTGTGCCCCTGCTGGAGGGTGCCTCCCAGTTAGGCTGCTCGGAGGTCAGGGGTCAGGGACCCACTTGAGGAGGCAGTCTGCCGGTTCTCAGATCTCCAGCTGCGTGCTGGGAGAACCACTGCTCTCTTCAAAGCTGTCAGACAGGGACATTTAAGTCTGCAGAGGTTACTGCTGTCTTTTTGTTTTTCTGTGCCCTGACCCCAGAGGTGGAGCCTACAGTGGCAGGCAGGCCTCCTTGAGCTGTGGTGGGCTCCACCCAGTTCGAGCTTCCCAGCTGCTTTGTTTACCTAAGCAAGCCTGGGCAATGGCGGGCGCCCCTCCCCCAGCCTTGCTGCCACCTTGCAGTTTGATCTCAGACTGCTGGGCTTGCAGTGAGCGAGATTCCGTGGGCGTAGGACCCTCCGAGCCAGGTGTGGGATATAGTCTCGTGGTGCGCCGTTTTTTAAGCCGGTCTGAAAAGCGCAATATTCGGGTGGGAGTGATCTGATTTTCCAGGTGCATCCGTCACCCCTTTCTTTGACTCGGAAAGGGAACTCCCTGACCCCTTGCGCTTCCCAGGTGAGGCAATGCCTCGCCCTGCTTCGACTTGCGCATGGTGCGCGCACCCACTGACCTGCGCCCACTGTCTGGCACTCCCTAGTGAGATGAACCCAGTACCTCAGGAAGAAATGCAGAAATCACCCTTCTTCTGTGTCGCTCAGGCTGGGAGCTGTAGACCAGAGCTGTTCCTATTTGGCCATCTTGGCTCCTCCCCCTAAAAAATATTCTTAAAATGCTTCATAAAGAATAATCGGATAGCCTCTTAAGAGTAGAACTCTATCTGTGGGTTCACGTCATTCTTGACTCAAAGAAGTAAATGGAAAAGCTGCTTTCAATAAGACACTTGAAATTTATTTACACTAAAGCTTCTCAGATTTATATTAAGTCAGGGTTTGAGTGATAGAAGGTGGTTTTCAATGTAAAGTGATTGAAAAATTGGTCAGAACTTGTAAATCATTTCATAGCAACATATCTGTGTTGTTAGGCAGAATGTTTGTCCAGGTTTGTGTAATGAGACTGCTTTTCCCGTAGCAAGTCTAACAATGTGTTGGAAAGGCCCAGAAAAGGAAAAGATTATTCTCAACCTGCCATAAGACTTTTATTTCCAATAGGAGTTTAATAAACACTGGAAGCAGAAAAATCACTCACTAGCAGCTCAAGGATATCTACAGTGTCTGCCCTGATATTTGTACTCATAGCTGAATAACAGCTGGTAATGAAGTGGCAAGAAATGATGGCTAATGAGTTATAATATCAATGCCCAGTAATGCAAAGTTAAGCATAAGCTATGGTGCAATGAGGTCAGGAAACACAGGTAGAGAATGGGGCCAAAATGGATGGATTTCCTAGATAGAGTGTTAATGAAAGTAAAATAATAAATACATAAAAACAAGATATAGTTGAGTGTGTATGATAGAATCCCCCTTATATATAAATAATACACACAATATTTTGTTTCTATTTTATGCTAACACAGTCATGCATCACACAATTACATTTCATTCAATGATGAACCACATATACAATGCTTGTCCCACAAGATTATAATGGAACTGAAAAATGTCTATTGCCAAGTGACACTGTAGCTGTTGCAATGTCTTAGTGCAGTGCATTAATCATGTCTTTGTGGTGATACTGCTGTAAACAAATCCACTGCACTGCCAATCCTGTAAAAGTATACTGCATACAATTATGTACAGTACATAATACTTGATAATAATAATGATACTATGTTTCTGGTTTATGTATTTACTATATCTTAAATACTATTGCATTTAGATTAATAGAGTTATTTTAGAATGTTTTCTCTCCATTTATTTAAAAAAAAAGTTAAATGAAAAACAACCCTAGGCAGATCCTTCAGGAGGTATTCCAAAGGAAGACATTGTTACCACAGATGACAACTCCATAGGTGTTATTGACCTTAAAGACCTTCCAATGGGACCAGATGTGGCGGTGGAAGATGGTGATATTAACCATCTTGATTCTGTGTAGACCTAGGCTAATATGTGTCTTTATGTCTTGATTTATAACAAAAATGTTTAAAAAGTAAAAAAAAAAGTTTATGTAGGAGAAAGATTATAGAATAAGCATACAAAGAAAGAAAATATTTTTGTGCAGCTCCACAATGTGTTTGGGTCTTTAGCTAAATGCTATTACAAAACCATCTAAAAGTTTAAAAAAATTTAAAGTTCAGAGATAAAAAAGTTACAATAAGCTAAGATTAATTTATTATTTAAAAAAGACAATTAAAAATAAATTCAGTGTAGCCTAAGTGTACAGTATCTAGAAAGGCTATAATAGCGTATGATAATGTCCTCCACCTCACATTCACTCCCTACTCACTGACTCACCCAGAGCAACTTATAGTACTGCAAGCTCCATTTGTAGTAAGTTCCCTATACAAGTGTGCTATATTTTAACTTTATATCATATTTTTACTGTACCTTTTCTATGTTAGATATGTTTAAAAACACAAATATTTACTATTATTTTGCAATTGCCTATAGTATTCAGTACAGTCACATGCTGTACAGGTTTGTTGCCTAGGAGCAATAGATTCTGCCGTATAGCCTAGGTGTGTAGTAGGCTATCCCACCTAGGTTTGTGTAAGTACACTCTATTATGTTCACATAATAATGAAATTGTCTAATGATGAGTTTCTCAGAATGTATCCTCATTGTTAAGTAACATATGACTGTATATGTAAATGAATTTATGTATATTTAATTATATGATATAATTATATATTTAATAAATATCTGTTCCATAATATAATTAATAAAATTAACATATTTAATTATATAAAATGCATATTTACAATTTAATTATATGAATACTGTAGACTAGTTTTTATATATAGTATACATTGCAGTTTATTGTTATTTTTTGGATTTTTATTTTTCAGTTGATACATAATAATTGCACATACTTATTGGAAGCTGGTTTTTCTTTAGGAATGGGAATGGAGGAGTGTCTGTGTGAGTCTATAGGGGCTCTGCTTTGGGCAAGCAAGTTAGGATGGGATGGAGTGGAAAGAGTTGGAGGATTTTACTATTTTTATTTCATAGGTTTATGTATAATTTGATTTTTACCTCAAACATGGATTAATTTTGTAATAAAAATCACTCAAAATATTTAAAAATACAAAAAAATAGTCACTGCTGATACGCAGTTCTTAACGTAATTACTAGGAGAAAGGGAAGCACCACCTAAATCTAGGTAATCTTGGAGCATCAGCAGGAGACATTGAGAAGCACCATTTGTCCACATTCACACCAGTCTCAGAGAAATGCTCTCCATGCCCAGAAAACCACTGTTTCTAAACGATGGTTTGAGAAATGTGTTAAATAATCATTATGTACTTTTTAACCTGTATAAACATCTTGAAAATTATCTCCCTTTTCTAACTGTACATTTCAAATGCTCTTGGATATATTGAGTTCTAAAAATGAAACTTAAATTCCTAACGTGTGAGAAAAAATGTTCAATGTGTTGGGAAAATGTTCAAGTTTGAATTAAGTAAAATTCCTGAGGTGTTTATTTTTATTGTTTTTATTTGCTGGATAATTGTCTTTTCCATTTTTATGCATGTGGGTATATAAGGATAAAAATGCATTCAAACTGTTAAATTTAAAATTAAATATTAATGACTTCAACAAAGGTAATGGCAAACTCTAGTGAAAAACATCCTTTGTGATTGTAGATTAGAGTGCCTTAAATTGACTATAAATTCTAAATCATAATCTCCCATTCCTATGGCTATAATCGGTATAGAGAATATTAAAGGGTCTCCCAGTGATTGTTGTTAAATTATTGAATCATAGTTTTTCTCAGCTTAATAATTAAAAATATTTCAAATTCAAACTTAGTTTTGTAGATACTAAGTATTAAACCATTTGGTGATAACTAGACCTTGCTTAGCTACATTAAAAAAATTGACTTAGTCATTTTAGTTATGACGGTGAGGTGTAATTTATCAAAAGCACAATGAGAGGTTATCAAACTCTCATTTCAGTAAAAGATAGAGGAACATTACCCTCAAGAGATAAATCTTTCATTAAACTTTACAAAGACCTTAAGCAGTCTCTGCCCCATTTATCATTTCTAGTCTTTCAGAATGTACCAGCTGCCTGTGTTTAGACTGCAGCACAGGGCAGACAGCCAAAAGGGGGTTGATAGCTGGTGAACAGATGAAACTTCTGTTCCATATTTTACATGTTCATTCACCTTAGAAAATTATTTTAAAACCAGCCATGTTTTGGGCTAAATTTTGGTATTGTACAAAACTATAGAGTACATGTTAGTATTATTTTTTGAAATACGGTGAAAATTTCTTTATCATCAAAATATATTTTTTAGAAAAAATAAAATACAATTTCTCCTACATTTTCATAAAGTAATTATCTTGCTTGATGTTAGCATTCTGACTCATGTAAAATGTTATTTTCTTAAGAGTACTCTTAAGGACAATAATTATGTGATCATCTCAACATATGCACAAAAGGTGTTTGAAAAAAATTCAAGATGCTTTTATGATAAAACTTTCAAAATATTATGTATAGAAGGAATTTACCTCAACATAATAAATGATATACATGAAATGCCCACAGCTAGCATCGTACTTGATAGTGAAAATCTTTCAGCTTTTCTCCTAAGATCAAGAACAGGACAAGGGTACCCACTTTTACCATTTCTATTCAACATTATACTGGACCTTCAAGCCAGAGCAATTAGATAAGAAAAAGAAACAAAAGACATTCAGATTGGAAAGGAAGAAGTAAAACAGTCTTTTTTTATAGATAACACTATCTTATACACAGAATACCTTAAAGACTCTACCAAAAGCTGTTGCCTAATAAATGAATTCAGTAGAGTTGCAGGATGCAAAATCAACATATAAAAATCAGTGGGAATTTTATACTACAACAATGAACTATGTAACAAAGAATTAAGAAAACAATCCCATTTATGTTAGCATCAGAAATAACAAAATATTTAGGAATAAATTTAACCAAGGAGATGAGCGATCTCTGTACTGAAAACTAGAAAATACTGATGAAAAAAATTGAAGACACAAACAAATGAAAAGATATCCTGTACTCATGGATTGGGAGGCTTAATATTGGTGCAATGTTTGTACTTCCCAAAATAATTCAAAATTTAAGGCAATCCCTATGAAAATCTCAATGACTTTTTTACAGAAAAAACAATTTTGAAATTAATATGGAATCGCAAAAGACCATAAATAGCCAAACCGATCATGAGAAAGCACAAAAATGAAGGCATCACAGTTCCTGATTTTAAAGTATATTTCAAAGCTACAGTAATCAAAACTCTGTAACACTGGCATAAAGACAATATAGACCAATGGGATAGAGTTCAGAGCCCCAAAATAAATCTACATATCTATGGTTCACCAATTTAAAAAAATGTGCCACGAATACACAATGAGGAAAAGACAGTCTTTTCAATATATCATTCTGGAAAAACTAAGTATCTATATGGAGAAGAATTAAATCAAACCCTTATTTTACACCAAAATATATAAGAAACTCATACAACTAAATAGCGAAAACACAAATATACAATTAAAAAATGGACAAAAGACCTGAAGAGGCATTTTTTTCAAAGAAGACATACAAATGGCCAATTTGTGTATGAAAAGATGTTTAACATCATAGTCAGCAGAAAAATGCAAGTCAAAACCACAATGAGATATCATATCACAACTGTTAGCAATTATAAAATTATAATTTTATAAAAGATTATTTAAAAAGGCAAAAGATAACAAGCCTTGGCAAGGATGTAGAGAAAGGGAACCCTTATACACAGTTGGTGGGAATGTAAATTGGTACAAGCATCATGGGAAAAAATATGGAGTTTTATCGAAAAAAATAAGAATTAAACTACCATATGACCCAGCAATACCACTTCTGGCTATATATCCAAAGAAAATAAAATCGCTATCTCAAAGAGATAGTTTCATTCTCATGTTGATTGCAACATTATTCACAATAGCCAAGATATGATAATAAGCTAAGCGTCTGTCAACAGATGGCACACACACAAAATGGAATATTATTTAGTCTTAAAAAAAGAAAAAAACGGCGCACCGTGCGCGAGCCGAAGCAGGGCGAGGCATTGCCTCACCTGGGAAGCGCAAGGGGTCAGGGAGTTCCCTTTCCGAGTCAAAGAAAGGGGTGACGGACGCACCTGGAAAATCGGGTCACTCCCACCCGAATATTGCGCTTTTCAGACCGGCTTAAAAAACAGCTGCTGAATAAACTATTTATTGTTTCTTACTCCTTTGATTTGTATGTAATTAATTTTGGAGCTTATTTAATTTAATAAAGCGCCAAACATTTAATAATTAAAAAAAAAAAAAGAAAAGAAAAAAACTTCTACTATTTGTAACAACATGAATAAACCTGGAGGTCATTATGCTGGGTGAAATAAGCCAAACACAGAAAGAGAAATACTTTTTAATCTCCTCTGTGTGGAATCTAAAAAAAAAAGTTGAACTCACAGGAACAGAGAATAGAATGGTAGTTACCAAGGACTGTGGGGTAGGGGAAATGGGGAGATATTGGTAAAAGGGTACAAATTTTCAGTTATAAGGTAAATTCTGGAGACCTAAGTACAGCATGGGAACTACAGTTAATGCATTGAATACTTGAAATTTATGAAGAGAGATCTCAAGTGTTCCCACTACACACATATACATACACACACACACACACACACACACACACACACACACACACGTTACAACATGAGGTGGTGAATATCTTAATTAGCTTGACTGTGGTAATTATTTCATAATGTATACGTATATTAAAAAAATGATACTTCAATAAAGCTGGAGGGAGTAAAGAATAGAAATAAAACCACAACAAAACACAATAGAATGGAAAATAAATTGTGGTAAATTCACCAATAAATTACATACTCATTGCACATAGCAATGAGAATGACCAAACTAGAACTACACCGCAAAATATCGATAAATCCCACAAATACAATGTTGTGGGGAAAAATATAGACCAAAAAAAGAGTATTGTGATTCCATTTACACAATGTTGGAAACCAACAAGATTAACGTATGGTGTAAGAAGTAAGGATAGGCTGGGTGTGGTGACTCATGCCTGTAATCCCAGCACCTTGAGAGACTGAGGCAGACAGATCACTTGAGGCCAGGAGTTTGAGACAAGCCTGGCCAACATGGTGAAACTCTATTTCTACTAAAAATACAAAAATTATCTGGATGTAGTGGCGCACGCCTTTAATCCTAGCTACTCAGGAGGCTGAGGCAGAAGATTCGCTTGAATCCGGGAGGCAGAGGTTTCAGTGAGCTGAGATTGCACCACTGCACTCTAGCCTGGGTGACAGAGTGAATGAGATTCTCTCTCAAAGAGAAAAAAAGAAGTAAGGATATTGGTTACATTTGGTATAGGTAGTCCCTGAAAAAGGGCATCATGGGAATTTCTGGGTGCTGGTAATGATCTGTTTTTTAATTTGTTAGTTACATGGTGAATCCACTGTGTTGTGAAAATTCATCAAGATGTATACTAATAATTTAGGCACTTTTCTTTATGAAGGTATTATCTTCATTTTTAAAAAAACTTTAAGCACCACAAGAAAATGCTACTACATACCTAAAAGAGAAAGAAGGAAAATCGAAGGCACAAAAGGCTGACAAGATATTAAAGGATGCATTACATGTCCTTGTCTGACTCATATTCATTAGTTTAAGACTTCATTTCAAAAACCAGAGGGAGAAACTATAGATATTTCTTTAAGGGAGGTTTTTAACTCCTCTTAATCCAATTAATTTAAATAGTTAAATTTAATTTCAAGTGAAGGGACTTGCTTTAAAAAATAACCTCATGATCTGATAAAGAAAAAGTATAATAAATAGCTAAATTCCTATTCCAGTAGAACTTTTTAAAATGGTTTCATTGGACATAGGGCTTCAGAAATCAGGCCAAGAGTGGTGGCTCATGCCTGTAATCCCAGCACTTTGGGTCCCAAGGAGGGAGAATCACTTGAAGCAAGGAGTTTGAGATCAGCCTGGGTGAGACAGTGAGACCTCATCTTTTCAAAAAATAAAAACAGAAACATTAGCCAGGCGTGGTGGTGCACACCTGTAGTCTTAGCTACTTGGGAGACAGACAGGAGGTTGAGGCTGTAATTTGCCATCATCACACCACTGTACTCCAGCCTGAGAAATAGAGCAAGACTCTGTCTCAAAACAAACAAACAATAAAAAAGAAATAACTAAAAAATGCAAATAAAGTTACCTAAGTCTGTGAAGACTGTAATTGTTTTAACTTTGCCTGTATTTTTTTCCCAATAATTTAGGGATAAATAGTTGGGGTCGTATTTCTGTTTTAGTAATATCTGTACCACTTTAAGTGTCACTTGCATTGTTTTTGTTTTGTCTCTTAACCATATCCTTTCAGCTGATCATTCTTGTTCCCCACCTCCTATTACAAAGCTGCCAATAACCTGAGATAATAAAACAAATATTTAGTAGGAATTGATATGCGTGCACAGAGATGGCCCATAAATCTATACTTTGAAATTCAGCAGTAAACAACCCTCAGTGACACCACATTTTCAGTTGTATTTAACTGAAATCATTAAAATATTATTTAAATAATTTAAAAAACAAGAAATATTGCCCTGAGTGCAAAGGGGAGAATGGTGTGAAAACCCATAATGATGCTGTTCTAGAGATTTGGTAATAAACTAATGGAAGGATATTGAGGATGGTGAAAAGAAACTCCTGTGACTAGACCCAGTTGAATGTATTGTGACCAACTCATTCAGGTTTGTCCCCAGAGGTCCTCATTTTATCTGAAACTCATGTTTCAGGAAATCCTTTAGTCATGGTGATCAGTGAAGGGCTGACCACTTGAGCTGAATGTTGGCAAGGAAGAAGATGCTTTACTCTTTAGTATATGTCTTGAGAGACACGTTGAATGGCAATGGTATTTCATGAAACAGCAGTAATAGGCACAGTAGCAAATATATGCAAGGGGTGGGTAACAGGTAGCCACATGTTTACGTTTTGGTAATATTAAATTGGAGATAACTATGAGACATCCAACTGGAGATGGCCACTAGAGAGCTAGACATATGTGTCCAAAGGTCAAAAGAGTCCCTTAGTTGGAGGTCAGTTTAAAAAAACATCAAGAAGAGGGTTGTGGAAGCCATGGTGGTAGATTAGATCAATTAGTGGGAGTATAGAGAGAGTGGACTCAAGTAGAACCCTGGAAAATAACAAAAAACATATCTTTCTTTCCTTTTGTGATATAACTACAAGTTGGGAGGTTATATATTTCAGATATATGGTTCTCCTGCCTTATACTGTAGCATTAAATATAAACCAAAATATTATATTTTATTAGAGTTTGCATTATCTGTCATAATTTCTGTAATTAGCAGTCTGATATCTGGAATCAGGGTTTTTATTTTTTTTTTATTTTTTATTTTTTATTTATTTATTTATTTATTTTTTTGAGACGGAGTCTTGCTCTGTCGCCCAGGTTGGAGTGCAGTGGCGCGATCTCGGCTCACTGCAAGCTCCGCCTCCCGGGTTCACGCCATTCTCCTGTCTCAGCCTCCCGAGTAGCTGGGACTACAGGCGCCCGCTACCACGCCCGGCTAATTTTTTGTATTTTTAGTAGAGACGGGGTTTCACCGTGTTAGCCAGGATGGTCTCGATCTCCTGACCTCGTGATCCGCCCGCCTCAGCCTCCCAAAGTGCTGGGATTACAGGCGTGAGCCACCGCGCCTGGCCGGAATCAGGGTTTTTAAAGCACAATAAATGTTATAATAATTCATAACCTACTTAATGTTTGGTGTATATGTAAAATATATACCAAATCTCTAAAACATGAGTGAGATTTTGGTATATATTTTAAGGTGATAAATTGTGTAGGAGGAACTAGTTAAAGGAAAAAGGTTTTGCTTTTCTAGGGCCGATAAGTTGTGGTAAAGTAACTAGGAAATATATGGAGGGAAATAATAGAAGATAAGAATTATTTTAATAAGGTCTATTTATGAAGACTCATCCTGGCATCAGTTCCTTGTATGTGGTGATAAGAGTGCTCTCCTCTTCCTAGTATGGGGAGGGGAACTTTGTCAAGGGAAATGCATGCCCTGGCTTAAGATAGTGGGAGGGTAGAAAGCTCTTCCTGTATCTGCCGTTTCTCAATTGCTTTTGCAACTCAAAATAATCAATATGCCAAAGCAGCATATTTTGATCTCCTTGAATAGCTTACTGCTCTTGCCCTGCTCTCAATCGTATTTAGAGTTAAAACCAAAGTGTAAAAATAGAACTTTTTAATACTCTACAGCCAAGGATTTTTTGGCTTTGTCTCATTTTCCAACATTTCTTTTTCCACGTTCTTTCCATGCCCACTGTTTTAGATCTTCTCTAAATAAAGTGAAGTCTACAGAAGGTAAGTGGCCCTTATGTGGTACTTATCTTTCTGCAAATAAACACAGTGACTTACAAGTTTTTTAACATCACCAAACTTCAAAAAATTACAAATGCAGTAAAAGCTTGTGTTGTTAAACTAATAAGAAAATATGTAGGTCAACAATCTATCTCTCCCAACCCTACTCCTGGTCTGCTTCATTAGGTAACCAATATTAGCTGTTTCACACATTTAATTCTACCTGTCTCTATGTTTATATATATATGTTTATGTCTCTTTTTAAAATATATCTAAAATAAGATCACACTATATGCTTTATTCTAAAACATGCTTTTTTCACTAAACAATATATCATGAAAATCCCCCCATTCAAAATATACAGATATAACCCATTCTTCTTATAGCTACATAATCTTCTACCACTTTTTATTCAACTATTTCCTATTAATAAGCTTTTACATTAGCTCTACATTTTTTGCTATATATATATATATAAATACTGTAATAATATGAACATGTCTTGATACTCTATTCTATTTCTGAAAGAGAGATTCTCTAAAATAATGAGGAGATAGGCCACTTCTCCTACTGTCCCCTGTCTCCAAATAAAAGGAGGAAGTAAAAACAGAAAAATAACAGACTGATCAACGCCACTGGCCAGGCCTGTAGGTTAACGATTAACCCCACCCTAACCGCTTGTGCTATCTATAGATCACAGACAATGGTATGGAGAAATACTTGCCTTGCTCACCACCCCCACCTAGGCACATACCCTATGCTCGCTCAATCTATCATGACCCTTTCACGTGGACCCCTTAGAGTTGTAAGCCCTTAAAAGGGCCAGGAACTCTTTCTTCCGGGAGCTTGGTTCTTGAGAGGCAAGTCTTGCTGACACTCCCAGCTGAATAAAGCCTCTTCCTTCTTTAACCCAGTGTCTAAGAGGTTTTGTCTATGGTTTGTCCTGCTGCATTTCATGGTTCCCTGACCAGGAAGTGAGGTGATTAACAGTCGGTCGAGGCAGCCCCTTAGGCAGATTAGGCCTGCCCCATGGAGCATCCCTGTGGGGGACCCCAGCTGGCTTGGGCAACGCAGATCCTGAGAGCGCTCCCGGGTGGACATTCGCCCTGGTAGAACTCCTTGTCAGAGTGGTGCACGGCAGGCCCCTGCTGAGGATCACTGCAGTGGCTGAACACCAGGATAGAACTGGTGCTTGGAGTCTGTACATCTGGAATACGGTAGGACCAGTCCACTCCATTTGAGTGGAAGTGTGTCCTAATCACCCACGGTGTGCCATTATTGGCACTTTGGTCTCAGTTTTCATTTTGATTTGGCTTGGCTTGTTTAAAAAAAGGAAAGTGAAAGTGAGTGAATGCTTGTGTTTGAGACGGGCACCGGATGGACAGTGGTCACTGTCTGAAGTGTGTGTAGAGCCCCAAGCTGCAGTTCCATAGGATACTCATACAGCTAAGTGGCAGTTCATGCTGCCACCTGGTACCAGCCTGCCTAAGCTAAGATGATCTGAGATTCCCGTGAGGGAAGTGGCCAGTGGCAGGCAGGGCGAGTGAGTGACTCCTTTACCCTTTCCCTTCTTGTGTCGTGAGCGTCGTTTTTGTCTCGGTGCGGGGAAATGGATGAGATGCAAAGTAAGCCCACTCCATTATGGACTGTGTTAAAGAATTTCCAAAAACATTTTAATGGAGATTATGGGGTTACTATGACCCCAGGAAGACTTAGGACCTTGTGTGAGATAGATTGGCCACATTAGAAGTGGGTTGGCCATCAGAAGGAAGCCTACACAGTCCCTAGTCTCAAAGTTATGGCAGAAGGTAACTGGTAAGCCAGGACTCCCAGGCCAGTTTCCGTAGACACTTGGCTACAGCTGGTTTTAGACTCGCCACAGTGGTTAAGAGGACAGGCAGCAGCAGTACTAGTGGCAAAAGGACAGAGAGCCAAGGAAGAATCCCGCTCCACCCGCCGAGAGAAGTCGGCTCCTAAAGTCCTGTCCGACCCAACATTAGAGGATTCATGGCAACAAACAGCACCAGTGCCCACCCGCCCCTTCACCAAGAAGGAAGGCCTCCCACCCGAGCTTCCACAAGGCCTACATACCCCTAGACCACCCAGAGTAGAAAAGAAAGGATGCAAGACCTTGGAAGAAACCTCGCCCTTGGCAGCCCGTTTGAGGCCTAGAACTGGGATACAAAAGCCCCTGAAAGAGCAACAGTATACTGGGGTAGACGAGGATGGCCATATGGTGGAAATGTGTGCCTTTGTGTACCAACCCTTCACCTCTGCCAGTCTCCTCAATTGGAAAAACAATACGTCATCCTATACTGAAAAGCCTCAAGCTATAATTGATTTGCTCCAAACTATTACCCAGACCCACAACCCTACTTGGGTTGATTGCCACCAGTTGCTCATGTACCTATTTAACTCAGATGAAAGGTGAAGGGTGCTCCAGGCAGCAACTAAGTGGCTAGAGGAACATGTTCTGGCTGATTACCCAAACCCCCAAGAGTATGTGAGGATCCAATTACCAGGAACAGACCCCCAGTGGGACCCAAATGAAAGACAGGGTATGCAAAGGCTAAACCGGTACAGGGAAGCCCTTCTGGAAGGCTTAAAAAAGAGACCTCAAAGGCCACAAATGTTAACAAAGTCATTCAAGGAAAAGATAGAGTCTGGCACAATTCTATGAGAGACTATGTGAGGCCTATCGTACATATACTCCCTCTGATCCCGATAGCCCTGAAAATCAGCGCATGATTAACATGACTTTGGTTAGTCAAAGTGCAGAACACATTAGAAGAAAACTACAGAAACAGGCTGGGTTTGCAGGTATGAATACTTCACAGTTATTGGAGATAGCCAACCAGGTGTTTGTGAATAGAGATGCGGTAAGCCACAGAGAGAACCACAGAGAGAGCAAATGCCAAGCCCAGTGAAACGCCGACCTGCTAGCTGCAGCTATTAGAGGGGTTCCCCCGAAGGAGCAAGAGAAGGGGGGCCTGGGGAAAAATACCCAGTCTGGCCATCCATGCTTGCAGCGTAACCAGTGTGCTTACTGTAAGGAAATAGGACATTGGAAGGACAAGTGCCCACAGTTGAAAGGGAAACAAGGTGGCTCTGAGCAGGAGGCCTCAGACAAGGACGAAGGGGCCTTGTTCAATCTGGCAGAAGGGTTACTGGACTGAGGGGGACCGAGCTCATGTGACCCCAAAGAGCCCATGGTCAGGATGACAGTCGGGGGCAAGGACATTGAGTTTCTTGTCAATACTGTTGCTGAACATTCAGTATTAACCATCCCGGTCACCCCCTTATCCAAAAAAACTATTGATATAATCGGAGCCCCAGGGGTTTCGGCAAAGCAAACTTTCTGTTTGCCCCAGACCTGCACTGTGTGGGGCATGAAGCGATTCACCAGTTCCTGTACATGGCTGACTGCCCCTTGCCTTTACTGGGCAAGGGACCTACTTAGCAAGCGGAGAGCCACTATCTCTTTTACAAAGCATGGCTCTTTACAGCTAAAGTTACCTGGAATGGGAGTCATTGTGTTTCTTACGGTTCCTTGGGAGGAGGAATGGAGACTCTTCTTAACTGAGCCAGGCCAAGAGATAGGACCAGCTCTGGCTAAGCGGTGGCCAAGGGTGTGGGTGGAAGACAACCCTCCAGGTTTGGCAATCAACCAGGCCCCTGTACTTAGAAGCTAAGCCTGGGGCCCAGCCATTCAGGCAAAAGCAGTACCAGGTCCCCAGAGAAACCATTGAGGGCATCCAGGTCCATCTCAAGCACCTGAGGGCCTTTGGAATTATAGTCCCATGTCAGTCCCCTCCTACCTGTTCCCAAGCCAGGGACCAGGGACTACAGGCCAGTACAGGATTTGTGCTTGGTCAACCAAGCTACAGTGACTTTGCACCCAACGGTACCTAACCCATACACATTGTTGGGGTTGCTGCCAGCTGAGGACAGCTGGTTCACCTGCTTTGACCTAAAAGACTCTTTCTTTAGTATCAAACTAGCCCCTGAGAGCCAAAAACTGTTTGCCTTTCAGTGGGAGGATCTGGGGTCAGGTGTCACCACTCAGTACACTTGGACCCAGCTCCCCCAAGGGTTCAAGAACTCCCCCACCATCTTTGGGGAGGTGCTGGCTTGAGACCTCCAGAAGTTTCCCACCAGAGACCTAGGCTGCGTGCTGCTCCATTAGGTCAACGACCTCTGCTGGGACACCCCACGGCAGTCGGGTGTGCCAAGGGAATGAATACCCTGCTCCAGCACCTAGAAGACTGTGGGTATAAGGTGTCCAAGAAGAAAGCTCAGATTGCAGACAGCAGGTACGTTATCTGGGATTTACTATCCGACAGGGAGAGCGCAGCCTGGGATCAGAAAGAAAGCAAGTCATCTGCAACCTGTCAGAGCCTAAGACCAGAAGGCAGGTAAGAGAATTCTTAGGAGCTCCAGGGTTCTGCAAGTTGCAGATCTCAAAGTTTGCAGTATTGGCTAAGCCCCTGTACAGAGACACAAAGCGGGGAGACAAGGAACCTTTTGAATGGGAGTCCCAACAGCAATGAGCTTTTCATGAGTTAAAAGAGAAGCTCTTGTTGGCCTCAGCCCTGGGGCTACCTGACCTAACAAAACCTTTTACACTGTATGTGTCAGAAAGAGAAAAAATGGCAGTTGGAGTTTTAACCCAGATGATGGGGCTCTGGCCAAGACCGATAGCCTACCTCTCCAAACAGCTAGATGGAGTTTCTAAGGTTGGCCCCCATGCTTAAGAGCCTTGGCAGCAACTGCCCTGTTAGTACAAGAGGCAGATAAGCTAACTGTTGGGCAAAACCTAAACATAAAGGCCCCCCATGCTGTGGTAACACTAATGAACATCAAAGGACATCATTGGTTAACGAATGCTAGACTAACTAGGAACCAAAGCTTGCTCTGTGACAATTCCCGCATAACCATTGAAGTTTGCAACACCCTGAACCCTGTCACCTTGCTCCTGATATCAGAGAGCCCAGTTGAACATAACTGTGTAGAGGTATTGGACTCAGTTTATTCTAGCAGGCCCAACCTCCGAGACCATCCTTGGACATCACTAGACTGGGAGCTATACATGGAAGGGAGCAGCTTCGTCAACCCAAGGAGAGAGGTGTGCTGGATATGCAGAGGTAACCCTGGACGGTGTCATTGAAGCCAAATTGTTGCCCCAGGGTACTTTAGCCCAGAAGGCAGAACTCATTGCTTTAATTCAGGCCTTAGAGCTAAGTGAAGGTAAGACTAAACATTTACACTGACTCTAGGTGTGCCTTTTTAACTCTTCAAGTGCATGGGGCATTATACAAGGAAAAAGGCCTATTGAACTCTGGGGGACAAGATGTAAAGTATCAGCAAGAGATCCTGCAACTATTAGAGGCAGTGTGGAAGCCCCAAAAGGTGGCAGTCATGCACTGCAGTAGACACCAGTGAGATTCTACCTTGATTGCCTTGGGGAACTCCCAAGCTGACTCAGAGGCTCAAAAAGCAACATCCACACCCTACCGGGCATCAGTCACAGCATCCCCTGCTCCCTCAGGAACCTGACCTTGTACATACTTATTCTAAAGAAGAGAAGTACTTTCTCCAGGCAGAGGGAGGGCAGATGATAGAAGAGGGATGGATCCAGTAATTGGACAGAAGAATAGCTGTGCCACAACTGCTAGGAGCCACCGTCGTACTGGCTGTGCATGAGACCACCCTCCTAGGCCAAGAGTCACTTGAAAAGTTGTTAGGCCAGTATTTCTAAATCTCGCATCTGTCAGCCCTTGCCAAAACAGTGGCGCAGCCATATGTTACCTGCTGGCAGCACGATGCTAGGCAAGGTCCAACCATTCTGCCCATCATACAAGCTTATGGAGCAGCCCCCTTGGAAGATCTCCGAGTAGACTTCACCAAGATGCCCAAATGTGGAGGTAAAAAGTATTTGCTAGTTCTAGTGTGTACGTACTCTGGGTGGGTGGAGGCCTATCCAACATGAACTGAGAAAACTCGTGAAGTAACCCATGTGCTTCTCCAAGATCTCATGCCTAGGTTTGGACTGCACTTACGAATCAGCTTGGACAATGGGCCGGCGTTTGTGGCTGACTTGGTACAGAAGACAGCTAAGGTATTGGGGATCACATGGAAACTACATACCGCCTACCAACCACAAAGTTCCGGAAAGGGAGCAGATGAATCAGACTACCAAAACATAATTTAGTGAAAGTGTGTCAAGAAACAGGGTTAAGGTGGGTACAAGCTCTCCCTGTGGTATTGTTTAAGATTAGATGTACCCCTTCTAAAAGAACAGGCTATTCTCCTTATGAAATATTATATCATAGGCCCCCTCCCATACTATGGGGACTCCCAGGTACTCCTCGAGACCTAGGTGAAATTGAGTTACAGAGACAGCTACAGGCTTCAGGGAAAATTACACAAACAATTTCAGCCTGAGTAAATGAGAGATGCCCCATCAGCTTATTCTCCCCAGTTCACCCTTTCTCCCCAGGGTGTGGATCAAGGATTAGAACGTAACCCCCTTGTGGCCATGGTGGAAAGGACCCCAGACTGTCGTCTTGACCACAGCCATAAAGGTAGAGGGAATCCCAGCCTGGATCCACCACAGCCACGTTAAACCTGCAGCACCTGAGACCTGGGAGGTAAGACCAAGCCCGGACAACGCCTGCAAAGTGACTCTGAAGAAGACGACAAGCCCTGCTGCAGTCACACCCGGAAGCTGACTGGTCCACACACGGCCGAAGCATGAGGAAACTCATCTTGGGACTCCTTTTCCTTAAACTTTGGACTTATAGAGTAAGGACTTCAACTGACCTTCCTCAGACTGAGGACAATTCCCAGCATATATATCAAGTCACTGAGATAGGACAAAAGGTTGCTGTAGTCCATTATTTTATAGTTATTATGAGTGTACCGGGACTCTAAGAGGAACTTGTTTGTATAATGCTACTCTATACAAGGTATGTAGCCCAGGAAGTGACCAGCCTGATGTGTGCTCTAACCCATCTGAGCCTCCTATGACTACCATTTTTGAAATAAGATTGAGGACTGGGAGCTGGGGAAAAGCTGATATGAGTAGAGTAGTAACTAGAATAGAAGAGAAAGGAGTCCCCAAACAAATTTTCTTAAAATTTGATGCCTGTGCAGCAATCAACAGTGACCTGTATGGAAATAGAATAAGATGTAGCTCTCTAGATTGGGAAAGGGGCTATATAGTAGAAAATAAGTATGTTTGTCATGAATTAGGACTATGTACTGATGAATGTAGTTACTGGTCCTGTGTTATTTAGGCCACCTGGAAAAAAATATGAGAAGGACCCTGTCCTCCTTCAAAAAGGAAAGAGTAACTCTTCATGCACTTGTGGTTACTGTAACCTATTAGAACTACTAATTACCAATCCCCTTGATCCCCATTGGAAAACAGGAGAGTATGTAAATTTAGGAATCAATGGAACTGGACTGGATCCCTGAGTAAATATTTTAGTCCAAGGGGAGGTCCACAGGCTCTCTCCCAAACCAGTGTTTCAGACATTTTATGATGAGCTGAATCTGCCAGCACCAGAGCTTCCACAAAAAAGAAAAGAACTTGTTTCTCCATTTAGCAGAAAATGTAGCTCATTTCCTCAATGTTACTTCCTGTTACATATGTGGGGGAACCACTATGGGAGACCGATGGCCTTGGGAAGCCCGAGAATTGGTGCCTACTGATCCAGTTCCTGACATAATTCCAGTCCAGAAGACTTCTGGGTCTTGAAAACCTCTATTACTGAACAATACTGCATAGCTAGGGAATGAAAAGACTTCACCATCCCTGTAGGAAGGCTCAATTGTCTAGGACAGAGGTCTAGGACAGAGGCTGTATAACGGCACAACAGGGACAGTCACCTGGTGGGGTCTAAACCATACTGAAAAGTATGTAAATTTCCTTCATTACATTCCTTCAGTAAATTTCCTAAATTACAGATTGCTTGGCCCATCCACAATCTCATCGAGACTGGACGGCTCCTACTGGACTATACTGGATATGTAGGCACAGAGTCTACACTCAGTTACCTGATCAATGGCCAGGTAGTTGTGTCATTGGCACCAGTAAGCCATCCGTTTTCCTACTGCCCGTTAGAACAGGTGAGCTCTTAGGTTTCCCTGTCTATGTCTCCCGAGAAAAGAGGAGCATAGCTATAGGAAATTGGAAAGGTGATGAGTGGCCCCCCCCCGAAAGGATCACACAGTACTATAGGCCTGCCACATGGGCACAAGATGGCTTGTGGGGATACTGAGCCCCTATCTACATGCTCAACTGGATCATACTGTTACAGGCCATCTTAGAAATAATCACTAAAGAAACTGGCAGAGCTTTGACTCTTTTAGCCCAGCAGAAACCCCAAATGAGAAATGCCATCTAGCAGAATAGATTGGCCTTAGACTATTTGCTGGCAGCTGAAGGAGGAGTCTGTGGAAAATTCAACTTGACCAATTGCTGTCTGCAAATAGATGGTCAAGGACAAGTAGTCGAAAATATAGTTAGAGACATGACAAAGCTGGCACATGTACCCATGCAGGTTTGGCATGGGTTTGATCCTTGATCCCTGTTTGGAAAATAGTTTCCAGCTCTAGGAGGATTTAAAACTTTTATAATAGGAATAATAATAGTGTTAGGAACATGCATGTTACTCCCCTGTATGTTACCCATATTTCTACCACCTTAGTTCATCAAAAGACCTCAGCACAAGTATATTACATGAATCACTATCGATATGTCTCACAGGAAGATCTAGATAGTGAGGATGAGAATGAGAACTCCCACTAGTGTGTGAGGTTCTCAAAGAGGGGTATTAGGAGACAAGCCATTTCTCCTACTGTCCCCTGTATCCAAAGAAAAGGAGGAAGTAAAAACTGAAAAATAACAGACTGATCAGTGCCACTGGCCAGGCCTGTAGGTTAAAGATTAACCCCACCCTAACTGCTTGTGCTATCTATAGATCACAGATAATGGTATGGAGAAATACTTGCCTTGCTCACCACCCCCACCTAGTCATGTACCACATGCTTGCTCAATATATCGTGACCCTTTCACGTGAACCCCTTAGAGTTGTAAGCGGGAACTCTTTTTTTGGGGAGTTCAGTTCTTGAGACACAAGTCTGCCAACACTCCTGGCCAAATAAAGCCTCTTCCTTCTTTAACCCGGTGTCTGAGGGCATTTGTCTGTGGCTCGTCCTGCTACAATGGACCTTCTGGTTTAGAGAGTCTGTATATGTTGAACTTTAATGGATTTTTCCAATTTTCTAGTAGGTTACTTTCCAATAAGATTGTATCAATTAATGCTCTCATGAGCAATGTATGAATAAAGTGACCATTTCTTTTGAGAAGTTTAATTTCAAAGAAAGAAAGCCACAACACAATCATTTTTCTTAGCATTTGGAAACTCATGGTAAGGATGATTACTGCTTACTATCACCACCACTACTGTTTAACGCTAAAACCATTGATTCTAAAAAACTACTACTGTTACTGTATTGATACAAAATCAGGAGCTATCATTTATCGCACAACTTTTATGAAACAGCCATTCCTACAGTGTCTTTATTAGCAGTATTTTGTTTATTTCTAGATATTAATCTCTGTTAGGTTGGTGAAGAATCTGAGCGTTAGAATACTTGAATGGTACACATAAGATCACTCAGCCTGTAACTCCTGCCACTTCCAACTGAAGCCAAACACACTATTCTGAAATTCTTTGAAAGACAGGACATCAAGTTGACGGCTCCAGCCCAAAGCTGCACATACATACATGTGTGCATGGATGCACACACACAAAGAGCCGTCTAAAACTTAATGATTGGAGGAAATTGTGTCTTTTGTTCTTCATTTAAAATCATTTACTAGTAAGTAGATAGGAAAGCCATTTTGCTTGTTCTACTTCGAATATTATTCCCAGATTCATTGTCTTCCTTCTTTATATCATCATCACCTGATGCTTTAAGTTTAATGCTCCATGAATGACTTCTTCTATAAAGGCAAAAATAAATACATTTCTTTTTCTACAGATTACATATACTTTTCTATATGTAATCATATGAGCTTTGCAAGTTGTTAAACCTCAGGAATATACATGAGTGCCTGGTTGTTGAAATATCTGAATTAACACTTCTAGCATAGAAGCTTAAATTTAATAAAACCTAAACAAATACACTAGTTTGGACCAAATAATTATTTTGATGCAGAACAAAAACGTTGAGCCAATATGTGACCTTCCTTAGTGAATCTAGGACAAGTGGAGGAACGTTGGAGCCAAATAATCAAGATTACCAAACAATCAAGATTATGTTGGGTAAGACAAAATTGTAAAAAGAAAGAAAAGAAAAGAAAGAAAGAAAAAGAAAGAAAGAAAGAAAGAAAGAAAGAAAGAAAGAAAGAAAGAAAGAAAGAAAAAGGAAGAAAGAAAAAAGAACCAAGGTAACTATTAAATTCTTCATGAGATGAAGTAAGATAGACACAAAAACCAAAACATGATGTATTCTTAAATATGAGAAGCAGGAAATCTTGTCTAAAGAATAGAATCTAAAACCCAGAAGAGACAGACAGGTAGCTCCCTAGACAGAGCTAAAAATTGCAGAGCTCTTTCCAAATTTGGACAAACTATGACTTGTTTCCAAGAGCTATATCAGTAGAAGATGGCCTGTCATTGTACTTGGGTGTTTCAATGCAGGGAAGTTTGTCTTGATTTTAATTCCATATCATATCAGAGGCAAGGATGACAGTATAGGGTTAGAGGCTTACCACTGACCAAGAAATTTCTGTATTTGGAATAACTAGAGACACCAAAACCTAAACAAAAGTTGATATCCCCAAGTCCTTGATAAAGTCCTTAAAAGGTTAGAATTTCTTAAATTTGTCATTTGATCAAGACCCTGAAAATATGTTTATGTAAAATGAATTGTAACACAGGTACTTGTCAACATAATCTCCCCCATGAAACTAAACTTTAAAGAATTCCTTCTTTTCTTGAGTACAAAAGTACTCAAAGTACTTTTGTAATTCTGTTTTGACATATCTTATTTTGCCACATTATAACACTATTTAAGATGCAAGAGATGCCACATTCTTTATTCTTCAAAATAGTGTTGTGTTTAGCTGTCAGGAGCCCTTCACTCTTTTCTATGCAAAATCCAATATGTGTCATTTTCCATGGTTCTCCACCTGTCCCATGCACACTTACATTGGACTCTGCATACCGCCTGAGCAATTGTTACATGTAGACTGAAAATTTTGGCCTCTGGAAAGATTCTCATTCCTCCATGTCCTCATTTCTTAGTCAGTTTGTGCTTCTAAACAGTATGCCATGACTGGGTAGCTTTTAAACAACAGAAAAGTATTCCTCACAGTTCTGGAGGCTGGAAGTCCAAGATCAAGGTGGCATCATGATAGGGTCCTGGTGAGGAACCTCTTTCAGTTGCAGTCAGCTGATTTCTCATTGTAGCCTCATATGGTGGAAAGAGAGCTAGAGAGTTATCTGAAGTCACGTTTATAAGTGCTATTCATAAGGGTTGCATAATTATCTTCTAAAGGCCCTATCTTCTAATACTACCATATTGGAGCTTAGAATTTCAGCATATGAATTTTGTGGGGACAAAGCTCCTTGTGATTGGAAAATCCAAGCATATACTGTGGTTTGATCTGTTCACAATTCTTACAATGATTGATTTCTACCCATATACTCTTATTGGATGATCTTTCTTGAATGTACCATTAAAGGTCTATAGTTGAGAGGACATTGATCAGAGCAGCTTAACCCTACATAGCTAAAACGCAAAAGAATGATAACATTCCCCCAGGAACCAGTGATTTACAAATCCACAAAGGCAGTGCAACCTGGTTACCTTTCCTATGAGTAGAAAAAAGGAAAAAGCCCATGTAATTTTTCTGCTGCTGAGTCTGTTGCAGTAAAGAAACAAACCACAGAATTATTTCTGCATTAAATTATTATCATCCATGCTTGCCATAATTCAGGACTAACCCTATTGTTCTTTACAAAGATGGACTATCTGTGCTCACAGTAACTATCTAAACAGTTTTTTTTTTTTTTTTGAGATGGAGTTTCGCTCTTGTTGCCTAGACTGGAGTGCAATGGCATGATCTCAGCTCACTGTAACCTCCATCTCCCAGGTTCAAGTGATCCACCCGCCTCGGCCTCCCGAAGTGCCGGGAATACAGGCGTGAGCCACTAAGCCTGGCCCTAAACATTTTTTAGAAAGTATCAACTGAGATGTTAACTTTTCCCTCAACATTTCCCCCTTATATTTGATGTTTGTGTACCACCCAAAATGCTTCTGATGGATGTGAATTAGGGATGTTTTGCTCTTTTATTCTTGATTATATTTTCCAGAGATCCACTTTTGTCAATTTATGGCTTAAGAAATAAAGTCTTAGATGTATGATTGCCACCTCTTTCTATTTTCATTATTTAAAAATGGTTTTTTGATGTTTATAGCTCTCTTTTGAAACCCTTTCTTTAATATCAGTTTAACCTTCTGTGGCAGAACTGATAATGGAGTTTTTGAGATGATGATTTGGCCACTGCCTATATGTTTTAATCTATACTATTTCATTTTTTATTAAAATATTATTTAATTATTTACTACAATATTGAGAAATATTCTGTTTTGATTAATGCAAATAGTCTGCTATGCTGAATGGAAATTTGTTTTGAAAAATTTATTTTAGTTATTAACATTTACAGTTTCTATTTTTTTAATGTATTGAGAGTATCATTCTGGCTAAATATATAAAAATTATATAAATAGTTCAATGAAAATATAAATGGAGATTTTAAAAGATGAGTATCAGCTAAAGATTTCTATATGATTTGGCTCCATTATGCTGATCAGAATTCACCAAATCCTCTGTGTTTTAAAATTTATGTATTCTTGTATAAGGTAAACTAATGATAATGTGTTAAAATGAGCCTATAAAATTAGACTTATGTTGGTTTGTCTTAAAATTTATTAATATGACTCCTTGCCATATAACCATGTAAATTAGCCTTGTTTAGTGGATTACCACTATCTAAGAGCAATGACTGTCAAATTCTAACATGACAAACCGTCAATATTTGTGCAGTGATTCAGCTTCGGTCCCTTTTGTCAAATACAATTCATGGATCATATAACTTTTTTTCCATAGTTCCAATCACAGCCTTGCAATCCTTCTCATACACCCCTTCATGCAACTATAATCATTCAACTGGAGTTACTCAGGAAATAGATTCCATTTTCCATACTTGTTTCATTTGGTATCCTCTAATGTGCCCAACATGTTGCTTCCAACCTTGTGGATACACAGCCTTTGTTTAATAAATTGCACCGAAGTGAAACAAACAACATAAGCTCAATAAAATTGCACAAACATTATAATTTCAAAAGAATGTAGATGTTCAGTGTTCATATATATATATATATTTAAATCAAATAATGAGAAGCTTATGCAGTTTAAATATAAATTCATCACTTGCAACCACATATAAATAAAATAAATTTTATTGCAAATATCCCGTATAGCACCTGAACCAAGGAAAAAAGATCGAAGTGAGCTATGTAAAGTCTGTTACCCAGGGCATAGTCAAAGGTCTAGAAGAATGAGAAAAGAATATCAGTTACCCTGCCTGTGCGGTCCTTAATTTAATGTTCTATTCAGAACTTGAAACAGACTAGACTTAACACAAATTGAAATTCAAGCTTAAGGAAGCATGGAACAGCAACAACTTCATTTCCTTTCTTCAAAAAAAAGAAAATTCAGTTCTCTTTCTCCATCGTTGCTGCCACTGACTTCTGTAGAATATCCCTCTCCATCCCTTTTTGTGTATTGTATATATGTGCTTGAGTATTTTGAATAAATATATAATACTACATCTAAAAATTAAAGATTATCAGCATTACAAAATAACATGTCTATTGAACCTATAAAAATTAAAGTTTTTATAGGTTTATTTTATAGCATTTATGTTCTGCATACCACTCTTTTAAATTGCTGTGTTTAATTAAAACAGTATTATTTATCTTTTGATTTTTATTCATTATTTTGTTTTTATTTAATATATATATTTATTTTTTATTAACGACCTCCATTGATTTAGTATGTTTCTTTGTGCCAAGCAATGCATTTAATATAAGAATTTTTTTCATTCATTTATTTACTAACTCATATATTAAATCAACAGATGTTTTATTAGTGGCAACTCTTTCAGACTTTTGTGATACAGTGGAGATTAAGATAGTGTAAGAGCTTTGCTCTTATAGCATTTATATTCTAGTGGGATAATAAAAATACATACTGGAATAATATCTGATAGAGAAGGGACTATGAGGAAACTGAGCAGGATAAAGTGTAGGTGGATGAGACGGGGGTGGGGGATGACCAGGTGGCCAGGAAAAGCCTCTCTGGACTCTAAGGGTAGGTGAGAGCATGTGATGAGCAGAAAAGCAAAGCATCTAAGCCTAGAGAACAGCAGCAGGAACTTGGCTTAGAGGTTGTAAGCAGCAGAGATCAGACAATTGTGATAAAATGTGGTGACAGGGGACTGGATGTAGAATAAAATAAAGTTGGAGAATAAACAGGGGCAAAATAATCTGAGGCTATGAAGACCATGGTTACATGTTTCAATTTATATCCTTGTGCAGTGGGGAGCCATTTGAAGGGGAGTTGCGTAATTTGAATTTCATTTGAAAATGATCATTTAAGGGAACAAGGGCAGAAGGAGAGAGATCAAATAGGAGGCTATTGTTATGGTCTAGACCTAGGGTAATGCTTTTGACTAAGGTCAAAGGAATGAAGGTGATAAAATAAATCAAATAACTTTTGGGTTATTTTAAAGGTAGAGTTAATAGTATTTGAGTGTGTTAGGGATAAAGAGAAATCAAAGAGCTGACAGGATTTAAATATGAACCATAGAGAGGAATTAAAGGCAACAACAAAGATTTTGGATTAGGCATTTGTAGGAACAGAAGTTGCCTTTTACTGAGATGAGAAAGACAGAAAAGAAAAAGTAGGCTTTGGGGGGATATCAAGAGTGTGTTTTTAGGAAGATAAACTTTGATATGTCAAGTTGGCTCTTGTGTATATGAGTCTTGAGTTGAAGGGAAAGGTCAGGGATGGACTTATAAATTTGAGTATCAGTTTATTAATGTCACTTAGAACTTGGATGCTGGATGAGATCACCTGGCAAGCAGAGAAACAAAAGAGAGGAGGTCAGAGGACTAAGCCCTATAGCTCTACTGTTTTTAGAAGTTGGGAAAATGAGAATAGACAGCACAGGAAATAAAGAAGGATAAACTAGACAAAAAGGGAATTAACCAAGAGAGACTGGGTCCCAAAACATAAGTGAAGAAGAGCGTGATCCCTGTCAAATGCTGCTAAGTGGTAGAGTAGGAGTAGGATGAGGTAGTCATTAGATTTCACAATTTGCAGTTCTTGATGACCTTTAAAAAGGCTATTTCATTTGAATAATTACTGGAGTGATCCTAAAACAGACAGGACAAATGGAGTTGAAAACTGTGGTACTGAGCATTATTTTGAAGATTTTTGCTACAAAGAACAGTATTGACGTTCTATGATTGGAGAAAGACATGGAGTGAAGAAAGGTCTGTTCTTAACATTCAAGTAACTGCAGCATACTTAAACATTACTGTGAATTATTTTGTTCAACTGGGGTCAAAAACTGTGCTGTAAAGGGCAGATAGTAAATATTTTTAGCTTAACTGGCCCTATAGTCTCTGTGGCAACTACTTAACTCTGCTACTGCAGTGTGAAGGCAACCATAGATGAGTGAGCAAGGCTGTGCCCCAGTGAAACTTTCTATGTGGATGCTAATTTTTGAATTTCATATTATTTTACATGCCATGAAATATAATTCGGTTTGACATTTTTTCAGCCATTGAAAAATGTTGGAATTATTCTTAACTCAGGCATCTAGCCAAATTTGGCCTGTGAGCCATCCTCGGCTGATCCCTGCTGTAGAAGACAAAATCTGATGTTTGCCAGAAAGTGGGAGGACGGAGCTAGGTACTTTCATGGGGATGAGAATAGGCAATCCAGAGAAAAAGTGGAGGGTTGACCTGAGATAAGCACTTCATGACAAGGGAGAAGAAGGTTGAGGATGTGGATACAGATGCAGATTAGTTGGTAGATTTGGTGCTGGAAGTGCATGGAAGTATTCTTCTGATCTTTTGTCTTCTCAGGGAAACGTTTAAGCAAATCTTTCAGCTGAGAGAAGCAAGTAGGTAGGAGATATTAAAAGTTGAAGGAGAGTAAAGGGTTTATAATAGGAACCATGTAGAAGCAGAAAGTGAATTAGCTAGGGAAAAGCTGTGAGACTGAGAGGCAAGCAGTAAGAGCCCACTTGAGATTTCTGCCATGAATTTAAAACGAGACCTGTCAGCATGGCTCCATATTTTTTTCAGGAGTCTTCATCTGCTTGGGTATGGGCCCTAAGTAGGGAAAAGCTTGAATTTAAACAAATTTGGTATTTTTCCAGGTGGAATGATGGAAAAAGAAAGGCCAAGGGAGTTAGTATTTGCAAAGGAGTGATGACTGTGACTGACCCTGTAATTTGAGCTGCATGAGAAGAGAAGTGAGGATATAATGGGAGTGATGGAAAGTCAAAAAGGTGAAAAGGTAAATAAATTAGAAGTCCCAAGGAGAAAAAAGAAAAAAAAAGAAAAACTTTGGGAGACGGGATATGAGAGGGACAAAGTTGAAAGACAGGAGGTGGTGTTTGGAGAGTACAATGTTTGTAATACAGATCAAGGAGGTGGTGTGTTTTACATTGTTAGTGACCATGAAAGTGGGTGACAAGTGTAGATCATTGGGGCTGTTGATGTTAGGGAAGAAAGACTTAGAAAGTAATGCACTGGAAGCCTCATCTATGAAAATGTTTAAATCACTAAGAGTCATGACAAGAAGGCTAGGATGGGACATGGAGAGAACTATATTCTTCAAGAATTGAAGGAGGCAGTTTTTAAAAATTGTATATTGAGGAGTACATGTGCAGGTTTGTTATAAGAGTATATTGCATAATGCTGGGATTTGGGCTTCTGTTGAACCCAACATCCAAATAGTGAACGTAGTACCTGATAGGTTGTTTTTCAGCCCATTCCTCCCTCCCTCACTCTCCACTTTTGGAATATCTTCTTTATTGTTTCCATCTTTATGTCCACGTGTACCCATTGTTTAGCTCCCACTTACAAGTGAGAACATGTGGTATCTGATTTTCTTTTGTGTGAATTCTTTTAAAATAATGGTCTCCAGCTGCATCCATGCTGCTGCAAAGGTCATATTTTTTTTGGCTGCATAGCATTCCATGGTGTATACGTACCATGTGTTCTTTGCCAATCCATCACTGATGGGCACTTAGTTTGATTCCATGACCTTGCTATTGTGAATAGTGCTGTGATAAACATACACATGCTGGTATCTTTTTGATAGAACAATTTCTTTTCCTTTGGGGAGGTAACCAGTAATGGTTTCCAAGACAATGCTTATCTCTCTAGCCATTATAATATGCTGCTTCCTAGAAGGCTATACCTGTGTGATGTAGTTTGCAGTAAAAGGCAGGTTGAATCCCTTTAATAACAAACCTTGAATATTTTCAGTTAGACTTGCTACTTCTACTGTACTGCACATGCAGCTCCCCTGAAACCAAGGAGTCATCCTAATTCCTGACCACACCTCTTGCCTTCCGAATTTGTTCTTGGGATCAAACTGGAGTCCTGAAAATGTCCCCAAAGTCTCTTCCTGCTCCTTCTTCATCAAATCCAATGTATCTTATTCTTTTTCCTTCTCCTGCCTAACTCTTATGGCATCAAATATCTAGGAACGTTTTATTATTTTCTGAACGTATAAGTTACTTCTGTCTTCCCAACTGTCCTGTAAGTTCTGTAACGGTAAAACCATGTTTTTTGCTTTCCATATCTCACTCAACCCCTACTAGGCTCTAAGTGCACAGTCAGAAGTGGAACTTTTTGATTGATTAAGCTCGTCATCATGCAATAGCAGAATAAAAGTTTTTCGATTATTCCTTGAATTCACTAAACTATAACTAACACCTAAAAATCTATTAAATCAATAAATAATAAATTTCAGAAGTGGCATAAAACAAGACAATATTAAAAAGGCTTCATAGCAGACATTTGGTATTTGGTAAAAATGAACTTATTCATAATTCTATGAATTCATATTGGATGCACTAACATACTTGTAAAAAAGTGTTCATCCTGTTGTCTTTTTTATTATTTAAGGGGAAATCTTAAAGGCCAAAAAACTTGTGAAGTTCAATAATTAAAGTCAAGTAAATGTTCTATCTTGTTATTAAGGTAATTGGAAATTGAAGGCAATTTTGTGAAATGGAACACTGGAGAGAAATATTCAGAAGCAGAATGCAGCAGTGGAGACGTAGTGACAAAAGACAAGTGCTCTTCTCAAATGGCTTATTTCCAACAGTTTTTGAAAGCATTGACATTTGGTTTGGTTCTTTCCTATTGGTCTATATCTTGTTTCATATCGTCTCTTGGCAAGGGCAACAGAGTATAGTTGAGTTAAGGGAAGTTAAAAAAAACACAAAGAAAATTCTGCCTTCATGGTCATTACAGACCAGTCCTTGGCTCATAGTTTTTTCTTCAGAGAGTGCAACAATAATTATGGACTGTTAAACGGATCTTTTTTCCTTTCTTTCCATAGGAAAGGTCTCAAATTGTAGTGATGTGATTAATTGACTCTGTCATAAGTTATATGGAATTATATTTCTTTTTCAGATTTTACTTTTTCTCTCCATTTAATAGTCTGATTTATTTTAATGGCTATAATGTATTCTGGCAAAATCCATTTAATTTTGCATTATCTATATTGAATGCCTTTAATAAAAGTATTAATCCAAAAAGCATGGAAGAATATCCTGAAAATGATAAATGAGACTTAGTGTTTGTTTTATGAATCAGTGCCATCTTAATAATTTTGCAAATGTATATGGTTTATATAAGAAACCTGAGATAGCAGAATGCCCTTCAATAAAATCACACTGGCTAAAATGTTTATGAGGAAAGAGATATATTTCTTTACATTTCTTGTATTTTCTATTCTTATGTTTGGATGTAGTAAGTGAACATTGGAGATGTTAACCTAGAAGTTTCTTGTAAACAGTAACTATTTAAATAAGAGTAGTTAAGTGTTAAATTATATATAATATATATATATATAAAACAGATATATACATATATACACATATGTGTGTGAGATATATATATATATATATATATATATATGTATCGACACACAGTCTCACTCTACCACCCAGGCTGGAGTGCAGTGGCACAATCACAGCTCACTGCAACCTTGACTTCCCGGGCTCGAGCAATCCTCCCACTTCAGTATTTTGAGTAGCTGGGACTACAGGCGTGGAACACCACACCTGGCTAATTTTTTGTATTTTTAGTGGAGACAGGGTTTCGCCATGTTGCCTGGACTCAAGCGATCCACCTGCCTCGGCCTCCCAAAATGTTGGGATTATAGGCACAAGCCATTGCACCTGGCCTAAATGATAAAATTTTTTAATGGGAGAAATTTTATTTTATATGTTTTATCAGGTTCACAACTGATATCTACTGTGTACCTTGCTTGTTCTCTTTGCATCTGTTTTAGTTGATCTGGATATCCTATGGCAATTATAATAACAAAAACAGCGACATAAATAATTACTTAGTACTTACTATGTACCAGCCCTGTCCCAAGAACTTCACAGCTAATAAATGTTCACACTCAAACAAAATACCTTTGTAGGAACCAGAAAATGCTGTTAATATGGAAAAAGACAAAACTGATAGTCTTCTCTAATGCTTCCAACATCATTCAGTATTGAGATTCTAACAGAGTCAAATGTTCTTATCTGTAAGGCTATCTTACAATATCCAACATTATGAATTATAATTAGGGCAATGAGGTTTTCTTATTGTCTCTAAAAGTTTTTTCCTTCCATTATAATACTTAATTTTTTCCTTCCATTATAATACTTAATTTTTTCCTTCCATTATAACACTTAATTTTTTTACTACGCAGGAAGTTGTTAGTAGTGTCTATAATCATTTTGGTCATATATCAGATTAAAAATAACTTTAGTGACTGGGAGTATTTTCTTAAATATATATGCAACACACTTGGTATTTTTATCTCAGGGCTCAGAAAGACCTTAAAGTTTATGTAGCTAACTCATTGTAGAACATCCTCTTTTACCACTTTCTGGTTTACAATTGTATTCTTTATGTCTAGCATTTTATGCCAAACTTAAAATAATAGACCTACAATAAACGCTTGTTGAATGAGTGAAAGCAGGGTCAGGCAAAGCACTTCCTCTTCTCTGATGATAGATAACCTGTTCTTTATGAAGAAACCATCTTTTATAATAAAGAGAGAGATGTCATGATATGAAGCTCCAGCTGCTCTTCAGATTTAGACCTGATTCGCTGCCTTGATTCCTTTATATATGTCTACAGGACACCAATAACAGCAAGCACTTTTCAAAAAAATGATAAGTAAGGCATTTTCAAATGTCTTATTGATATTAGTCAAAAAAATAAACTTAGGTTTTATCTGAATTCCTTTTTAATTTTGATATGTGATGTTAGGTAGATAGAATTTTAAAAAGCTTAATAGGAACCAGGAGCAGAGTGTGTCAACATACATCGTAGTACATGTTTCTCAGAATCTTTAAAGAAACATACAGTACATTTTCTCTAAAGGAGAAAGTTTAGTGAAGGAATGCTTCATTCTTTATCAAAAATATAATTTTTTATCATTATACATGGATTTTGACAAATTTTCCTGCTAATCATGATTAAACCTGTTGGCACAAACATTTTGCTCTTTCAAAACCAAACCAAAGTATTATATATTTACCATTTTTTCTTAATAAAATATATTCCCCTTGCACATTTTTTATTTTTCAGAGTCATCCTGTTGGGTTTAGGGAAAATTTTGCTTTCTTCATATTATAGTTGTTTGATTTTTCAGAGAAGCTTGGTAAGTGTTTCCCAGTTTCAGAAATATTTTTGTGGAAGTCATTTATACAGATTATAGCAAATGTATTAAGGAAAAAAAACACTAGGTCTGTATCTTTGATATATCAAACAATGATACTGCTTTGATTGATTCCGCTGAGCAATGAGTTAATTTGGTGAGATGTTAATGGAATAATTTGTTTGAGATCCAATTACTATGTTTGAATCTCATAAGATTTTTATTCCCAGTTCAACCCACCGTTTATGGATGATCTTTAGACAAATCATTGTCAATTCAACAAACTCCACGTTCGCCTGTCATTTTAACAACAAAGACTGATGTTGACCATAATTAAACTAATTGAACAGTAAGTAGGTGCTATATAATACAATTAGTGCAAAATAAGAGGAGATTTCCAACCGCTTTCATTTGCTTTCCTCTGGAATACGGTGGTCTGGAGCTTAGTTACAATTCACATTGATTTTACTATGTTTTCAGTGTGTTTGAAATTACTTTTCAAAATGCCAGATACTACATTGGATTTTAGAGAAACAAAAATATTAATCAAGTCTTCTATCTGTGTTACGGAAACTTAAGTTCAAGTTTGAAATAAGTGGTCAATTTTTTCTTATTCTCTCCATCCCTTAGTCCAAAAGTCTCAAACTCACGTTTTTATTTCTACCAGAGTCAAAAAATAAGCTTCATGACCATAGTGGACCTCATGCCACACTATAGGGGGTGGCAGGGACTCTAGCATCAGGGAATCATGAGATTCATGTAATAACAACAGTCATTCAAATTCAGGGCACCATTGCCTTCAGGGACTGTGCACCCAAGGCTGATACACTGGATTTTTCAAGAGAAACCAGAATAAAGGACTTTAGGTGAAAATATCTTGATTTTTAAAAAAATACTGGTAACTAAATTTGAGACTACCAAAATATTGTGCAGACCAAGGAAAATATTTCTGGAACTAACTGTGTCCAGTAGCTCCCAGTTTATTGCAAGGAAAGTATTTCTGGAATTAACTGTGTCCAGGAGCTCCCAGTTTATCGCATCTCACAGATACTCTTGGACAAGAGTGTCCAGTGGGATTTACTCCATCATCTTGCTTTGTGGAGTTCCCTCAGAGCTGGAATAGTAAAATCAGAATGACTCTCCCTTAATCTGTATCTTATTTTCTTAGTTCTGTGCATAACTTCCAGTGACTTGGTTACAAATTGTTGTCTTATGCACCAATTTATTTTATGAGCCTACCCTAAATATGTAAATAACAAATGTTTGCTTAAATTGTAGAAAATTTAGGCTGCTTGCTCTACTGGGAATACTTAAAGTGTTTGAAGTAAATTTCTTGTTGCTACCTAATAGTTAAGTTCCTGGGTTTTACAAACTTTAACGGTGAGTTTTCAGACTGCACATGAAATACACACATGCATATACACACATACAGTAGCTTAAACTCTATATGAAGATTAAATTACACATTTAATTTAATGAGCTGCTTAATTCTCAAGATTTTTTTTCATTGTCAAATTAATTATTTTTGCTACTTAGAGCATGTTCAAGTTTGCGGTTGTTTGAGTTCATTCTATAACTGTAAGGATACCTTGAATTTATTTTTGTTGGATAAAGAAACAAAAATATCATAAAATCATGCAACATTCAGTCAACTATGGAGGTACATATACAAATGACCACAAGAAATAAAAATCCAAGTGATATTTATACAAAATTTATTTTAATTTTAATCACTTCAACTGTATAGAATGACTGAAAATGGATGGTAATTATCTATGTTATGCACAACATCTATTTATTATCCATCTGGCAAGGCTGGTCCTAAAACAGTAGCAGAATCATATTCTTCTGTCATTTTAACAACAAAGACTGATGTTGACCATAATTAGACTAATTGAACAGTGAGTGGGTGCTATATAATTCTGTTAGTGCATAAAATAGGAGATTTCCAACTGCTTTCATTTGCTTTCCTCTAGAACATGGTGATCTGGAACTTAATTACAATTCGCATAGGTTTTACTGTGTTTTCATTGTGTTTGAAATTACTTTTCAAAATTACTTTTCTTAGCAGGCAAATTGAAAGATAAACATGGAAAAAAGTTGCAATTATTTTAGGAATGTAATCTCTACAGCTGAAATTCTCATCTTTCAGCTTGCATGGGTACTCATTCAGTGACTGACCACACACACTCTAGAGTTAGAGAACCTGAATTCAAATATCACTTATAACTCCATTGTCTCCTGTAAATATTTCCCTAAGCCTTGGTTCCTATATTAAAAACGTGATAATAACAACCTCTTCCTTAGAGGGTTGTCATGAGAATTAAATGAGATAATGTGTGTAAAGCACCAAACACTATAGCTAGCATATAGTAAATGTGCAACATTTGTCTATCTTATCTATCATCTATCTAGATTATTAAGAAACAAATGAATCTATCTATCCATCCATTCTCCTCTTTACCATTTGTGAATTTGCAGAGGTAGAATAGGCATTTCTCTGAGGAAGGTGATACTTCAGGCATTATGGGTTTTTTGTTTTGTTTTCTCCTCTGTCACCCAGGCTGGAGTGCAGTGGTGTGATTTCGGCTCACTGCAACCTCTGCCATCTGGGTTCAAGCGATTCTCCTGCCTTAACCTCCCAAGTAGCTGGAATTATAGGCATGTGCCACCATCCCCAGCTGATTTTGTATTTTAAGTAGGGACGGAGTTTCACCATGTTGGCCAGGCTGGTCTCAAACTCTTGAGCTCAAGTGACCTGCCCGCCTCAGCCTGGCAGAGTGCTGGAATTACAGGCATGAGCCACCACACCTGGCCCATTATGATTCTTATTATCACAACTTGCCTGCATTATTTAGTGTTTCTGGTACATAAAGATTTGTATTCAATATTTTTCAACTGGAAAAAAATACCCATATATCTTAATTTAATAAATTTAACCAGATATTTCCAAATAGGTTGGATTTGAGCTATTTTCTTCAAGAAGATAGTTATTTTAAGCCTAACAAAATGTTATCTGTTCTGAACATCTTAAAGAATATGTGCTTGAGGAGTTTTGGAATCATTAATTTCATTTATTCCAATCAATGAAGATTTATTAAGTACACACTATACACAGAATAGTATGCTTGCTGGAGAAAAAAAAAAGGAGAGTCATGATACCTCCAGTTACTAGAGGGGTCTTTTAAGTTTACTGAATTCTGAAACTGAATAGATTAAGGGACATATTTAAGAAACAAATGAACCAAGCTCTCTACCTCTGGACTCTGACTCTGACCTCAATTAAAGTAGGATGTTCCTTTGAGAACTTCTGAGTATACAGCAAAATTGTAGTTAGTAAGTTCATATAAGTTTGACAATTACAGAGAACCTACTATTGTTGTATAAATAGCCAAAGTTGGCTTCTGTGTACTGGCCTCTAGGTTGTGTATAAGCCAGGCAAAAGCCTGCTGGCACCAAATTTAAATTTTTATACATCCAGTTATTTTTTATAACGGCCCAAACAAGTAGTTTTAGCCACTTAGAGCTCACCTGTCTTGCATACTACATGAAACTTCACCTTGCAGCTGATACCCATTGACTAGATAGAGCCCTGCAGTTAGAAAGTCCCAAGTTGTACTTTGGAGCTTTCTGACCCAGGGACTTTCAAATGCTGCTAAGCACCATCAGTGGACCCCTCTTCAATCCCTGTCTCCAGTCCTTCAATCCCCTTGCCCTCCTTTTTCGCTGGATGGCAGCCTCGGGACTGTCTTATGTTATGAGGGACTTCTCTTCTCATGCAACCCTGTTGAAGCACTGCCCAATAAAGCTTATGGTGTGTTACTGCCCCTTGTGTTAATATCTTTTTCCTTAATCAGTTCCCAAAGCCTTCAAACCCTCTATAACTGTGTGCCAATTACTGTGCAAGGCACTGAGGATAAAGAGGTAATAAGATACAGTCTTTGACTTTAAGGAACTTATATTCTGACTGGGGAGATATTTATGAATCATTTCAATGAAATGAAGTTTCTCTTCTACGAAGATATGCAGAAATATGAAAACATGAAGCACTTTGCTCAGTCTGGGGCAGGTAAGGAAAGAGCTCTTGAAGAAGATGAAGGCTGAGTTGTACCTTGAAGAGTAATTAAATTTTCAGTTATAATGTAAGAAAAAAGTGTGTTTTTTAAATTATTATTATTATACTGAAAAAAGTGTTTTTTAGGCAGAGGGAATAACAAAGAAAACCTTATTAGTGAGAAATATGTTGATGTATTATTATCCTCTTCTTCATTGTTTTTATTAGCATCATTGCTAAACTACTATTGGTTGAAAAACTACATAAGCACTTTATAAATACTATCTCATTTAATTCTCATAATAAGCCACATAAGCTGAAAATTATCAGTCCTGTTTTAGATACGACGGAACATGCTTAGAAAGTTAACTAACTTGCAAAGTTCACAAATATCTACCACAGTGAGTGGTAAAGACTACACAAGCTCATAGCTGTCTCCACTGAAAATGCACATAAATTGTTTCTAGGGTTGGTTTTGTTCTGGTATCATGGTTCTTAGTTATTTTATAGTCATAGTGTTCTTTCATTATTTTCCAGAAATGTTATTCACAATGTACATATGTCATAGCTTGTATTGTCCAAAGATTGTTGTATCCCCAGTTACAAGTTACTGCTTTGCCATAAAGTATGATGTAGGAAGTGATGAGAGGTTAAATTGAAAGAACACATAAGGACTAGAGTCTTGCCTATGTTTAGTTAAGTCTTTCCTACAGGATAAGAAAAGACTGACATGGTAAGATATTTTTGTGTGTATTTGTGTGTGTGAGTGGGCATAAGTTGTACTTGTAAAGAAAAAGAGAGCAGAGAGAAGACCTGTTAGGAGTTCAATGTAGGAGATACAAATGAAAGTATGAGGGTTTTATTAATAACAGTATTAAAAATATAGAGAAGATGTATTCATGCACAAAAAAGTGAAACCACGCTAAAGGTGGCTGATTGAATGGGTTGAAAGTGAGTCAAGAAGGGGAGAAGTCATGTTTATGTCAAGACTTTGAGTTAAAGTCACCGGATGGAATATCTGAGATTGGGAATATGGAAAGAGGTTACAGCTTCATTAGAGAATGGACTGACACATGAGAGAAGCACATAAAGTGAGTAAGTAGAATGGAGACCAAAAGCTTGAGACTTCAGTAGTTAACAATTGCTGTGAATCACTCAATGCCTATTAATTATTTTTGATTTCTCCTGCCATTCTCAACAGTATCTCTATTTGACAATAAAGTATATCATCTTTTTACAAATCATTAAAATTTAGCAAAGCCCTACATCTAAGTAGTGGATGTAGAGGTAGGAGACCATGAAAAAATTGGAGAAAAAACATTTCTCCAATATAGGAGTTGAAAACTCTACTACCTCAAGTGATCCTTCATAACCAAGGATCACTGGTGCAAGGAAAAGTTTCTTTAAAATGGAGATGAGTATGTCATGAAAATTCTGGAAATATGCTATTAGCATGTTATCTTAAAAACTGAAGTTAATATGAAAATAATTATTTACTTTCATATTTATTCTATTTATAGATAATATATTTTAAATATTTCACATATACATATTTACTTTATATTATTTATGAGTTTTATTTTATGTTTTCATTTTATTATTTTATATATTATATATATAATTTATGTATATAAATTATGTTTGTTTATATATTTAACTTATAGTATAAATTACATATTTATTTATATATTATATAATATATATTATATATTATTTATAAAATATTTATTTTATATTCTATATATTTTATTTCATAAAATGTTGATAGAAATTGTAACAAAAAGCCAGCACCTATAGTAAGCAATATGAGTTATGTCTATGTTTTTCTAGAATGCTTTCTGTGAGAAAATTTTCTGATGGTGTGAAAGAATATTCTTCCTTTCATTTTTGATTTTTACACAAATGATATATGACATCATATTTTCTTCAGCACCTCCTGAGCTTTCCCATGGGTCTCTTTTACTCTTTATATTTAAATCATTATTTTTTGAAATGATGATTGTGCCATTATCCCTGATAATAATTACATATTTAATCATTAACTGTTCTTTCTCTGTTAAAAATCTATTTATTAATGGCTTGAAGTTTAAAGAAACCCTTCAATATCACTTTCATTAACTTCAAGAAATCTGGCATTAGTTGGAAGATTTGTAATTGCACTTTAGAGTTTTTTTGTACTGCATTTAGTTTGGATAGTAGAATCAGCAAATATATAAACTAGTGTTAAGTGGGAAGGCTGTTTTAATAGAGATTAATTTTATATAATCAGTTAGATAGCCAGCATCTTGTCTTATAGCAATGCTCATTTTACAGCCTCATAACTGCATATTGAATCTGCAGATAAATATGACTGCTTGATATTTTTCCAGTTTATTTCAGGCAACTGCGAGTTTAGAGATTGCTGAAAGAACTATAACTGTTGTCTTTACATTAAACTTTTGCTGGAGAATATGATACACTTGCTATGATCAGAAGTGGTTATATTCTTTTAGCAGTTCCTCTTCTCATATATCTCTTCTTATTAGTGTAGTACATTAGTATTATTCATCACCACTATTTAGAATTAATAGCCTGGATTCTATTGGTCTTATAGGTTATAACCTACTTTTAGGCTACATGTCTTTCTGATAAGGAAATCTATTATCATCTGATTCATCAATTCAATGCCTAAATATTCTTCTTAGTGCACAAGTTTCTCTTTCTTGCTCATGCTGAAATATCACCACCTGAGAAGGGTGACATCTTTTCCAGGAACAATTAGCCATGTGAGAGATCTCACTAGAATCTGCCTCTTGCCAAAGAAACAGAAAATATATGCACGGTATCTGGAAATATATTTATGCTGTAGCTTTTGATTTTGTGTCTGACACCAGCATGCATTCTAGGACCTAACTGTAAGGGCAGCAATGAGGATTATAATGAAAGGGGAGAGCGGGCTGTTCATCTTTTGGAATCAGGATTGAAAATAAGCTTTCCATGGTTTTGAAAGAAGACTTTTCTTTGTGTTTTCCTCTGCTTTTAAATACATGTGGTGGTTTTTTTTTTTTTTTCCTTTTTTGCAGTAACCAGCATGTGAGACTTAAAATGAATGCTGTGGTTTGAAAGCCTACCCTCTGCATCTAATGAGTTTTCATTCCAGAGGAGCCTTCATTTCCTCCCCATCTCTATTCTTTCTTCACCCAAAGGTGGACTGTTTGGGTCTCAGAAATATGATTATCATATTTGTAATAAATGTGTGCAGAATGCATTATAAAAAGTTACGGAAAAAGTGGAGAGAAATATCTTCCTAGTTGTTAAGGCACAAATTTGCCTCCCTTCAAGGTCTACCACATACATTTCAGGTACTTATTTACTTATTGAATAATTATTTATTGTGTGCTAACTGAATGGCAGGCACAGTACGCATCCAGGTCCATAAAACATGCCTAAAGTGCTTGGCAGTCTCATGAGGGAAACAGACATTAACTAAGTATTCAAATATGTAAAAAAAAAGTTGCATTTATAAATAAATATATAAAGACTATATTTTTATTTCAAAATAAATATATAAATGCATGCAAAGAAGAGGAAATACTGGGAACCTAAAACAACAAATCTATGTCTGGGAATCAGGAAATCTTACTAGAAATACTGGCTTTTGGGCTGAAGTAAAATGTATAATTAATATTTGGGAAGGTGAAAGTTGGAGACAGTCAGTACAAACTCCTTAAGAACAGGGAGGAACTATTTTATTCTTTGTATTTTTTTTTTGAGAGTCTTTCCACAATGTCTTCAATTTAGGTTGAAGTTACACAAGATGCAAAAACAGAGTTTGCAAAGTCTAAAATATTTAAATATTTTGATTTCCCATTTAAAATATATTTAAATGTTTTTTCAATATTAATAAGGATGGATAGGTGCTTTATTTTCAATTTCTACTCATTCAGGACTGATGTCTTCATTTTCAAGAATTTATATTTTGCCATTTATTTAAAAAGACTCTTGTGGAAAACTGAGTTCAGAAGTCAAATGTTTCAGATTTATTACAGTGATATTTTAGCTTTAGTTGTAGATTGGTACCTTGAGTAGCTGCCCCTGGCCTGCCACTTAATACAGTTCAATTTAACCTAATATATACCTGGCAAATGCTTTTTGAATTGGTCTTAGACCTACAGACATCTTTAGAAGGAAATAGAATAATACTGCTAACACAGTTTTAGGAAGCTTCCATGTGTTTCTTGAAGATGTTCTGGACTTTCAAACAAAATGACAGAACAAATCCTCTTAATCAGAGGTTATAGCCCACAGGCCAAATCCAGTCTGCCACATGTTTTTGTATGGGCTATGAGCTGGTTTTTACAATTTGTTTAAATGGTTAAACAAACAAAAATGAAATAATACTTTCAACATATGAAAATCAAATGAAATTCAAATTTCAGTATCTATAAATGAAGTTTTGCTAGAATGCAGCCATGTTCATTTATCACATCCCATCTTTGGCTGCTTTAACACTACAGTGGTAGAGGTGAATAGCTGCGACAGAGCCCACAAAGGCTAACATACTGATGACCCACATGTACTTACGGAGCACATCTGGAAAGTCAGGAATTAAAAACAAACAAACAAACAAAAACAACACAATCTCTCTGCCCTCGTGGATTTTACTTTCTACTGGGGGAGTTATATAAACTCATAAATCGATAAGTTTACTTCAATTAATGTGATAAGTACTAGAAGGAAAATATAACAAGTTATGGCATAGGAAACACCTGAGGGCAGAGGTTGGGGCTGCGTTATTGAAGGTGTAAGCAGGAGGAGATGCTTAGTAGGACTCTAGGATGGGGCGAAGAAACAGCCATGAAGAGGAGGGGCATTCCAAATAGACAGTAAAACAAAAGCAAAAGTCCTGAGACTGGAAAGAGCTTGATGATTTCTGGATAGGGAAGAGAAGCTATGTGTGATCGAAGTGTCATGGGTGAACAGGATAGGGATATAAAACAAAGAAGTTGAAAGATGGGGAATGTTCAGTGTGGAATCTACTGAGCCTCTCACCTCTGATGAGGTTGATTAGATGAGTCTAACGTGTGGTCTCAAGCTCTGTATATTTTTCATCTCTCCAGGTGCTTCTATTATGGCCAGGTTTTGGAAACCACAAATATTTTCATCTTAGTCTAAGTGCCATGAGAAGCCACTGGAGAATTCTTGGCAGAATTATATATTTTAAAGTTCCGCTTGATTGTTGTGAAGAAATAGGTCTGCAGGAGGAAAGAGGAGAGACAGGAAGCTGGAGGGGGATGTTTCTGGAGTTGTCCAACCAAGAGACTTGTATTAGGGTAGCAGTAATGGCAGTGAAAAGGGGACAGATGTGGGCCACATCACAGAGGTAGAGCCAAAATAACTTGCTGATTGGAAGTGGGAGTAAGGAAAAGAGGAATCAGTGTCACTGAATAACTGGGAGGATGGCAGTGCCAATTGCAAAGACAAAACAGGAAAGGGGCAGGTTTGGAGGTGGAAGATGGAAATCAGAAGTCTTATCCTAGACAAGTTAAATTCTAGATATTTATTGGGTGGTATCCTTCAAACTCAAGAAGGCATTGCATACCCTCTATATGCTAGATAGCATTCTGGGCACTGAGAATTTTATGATTTAAAAAAATACAGAAAAAAACTCCATACCATTGTGGGATGTCAGAGTGATGGTGAGGTGATGAGCCTGAAGCTCAGAAGACAATGACCATGGTGAAATGCATAGATTTGCGAGTCCTTTGGTTGACAGATTGCTTTGCCTCTGTATTTTTACATTGAACTATTTTAACATTTTACACAATGATGCAGAACATTCAAAGACAACACAACTGTGGATTACTTTCTGGAGAAATGGACTGGCTTGAAAACACATCTCCTTCTGTGGACTGCAGCACCCTTTCTGCATGCTGGCAGAGCCATGTTGCACTTGAATGGACCTACTGGCAAATTTGGACATATTTGGATACTCTTCTTATTAGTATGGTACATTTGTGTTATTCATCACCACTATTGTGTTATTCACCACCACTATTTATAATTAGTAGCCTGGATTCTATTGGTGCATGTAGGTCTGCAGCTTCAGTTGTTGTCACAGGAAAAGGGGGGGATTTTTATTTACTTACTTAGTTTTGGTTGGACTGACTGCTGAGCTGACAGAGAAAAAGAGCTACTTCAACACCAGTATAGGAGAACCAAGTACTGCAGTAAATGAGTTTAAAAGGCATCTAGCCAGCTTTACCTGTTCCTGCTGATACATGAGACTTCAATCCAGCCAGAGCCGCAGGGTCTAGAAGAACCTACCCGTGTCTGAGCCTGAATGATAACGGATATAATAATACCTTGAACTCATGTAGCACTTTTGTACTTGGACTTTCAGAAAGGTGGGCTGAGCAGGTGCTATTATCTGCATTTTACCAAAATATCTCTCAGAGGCAAAAAGCGTGTGGGGAGGGGTGAATAAAGGTAAATATACCAAGATGAAGCCAAAGAGGCTTGAAAATAAGGTAGAAACAAGTGCACTTAGATTGAGAAGTTGCATGAAACCTTATGAATTGTTTTTGGTTACTTTCTGCTACTGGTGTTACTTATTTTCTAATTAATTACATCAAGTAACTGTCTGTTGATTAACTCATGATATTGTACCTAGCATGTTTGCTAACAATAGGGGTCTCAAGCTCAAATGCTTAAAAAGTCTAGGCAGACCAACCTGCATGAATGGAAGGGTGCAGGTTAGGGTATGCTGACCTGGGAAGCCCCTGCTCATCATAAAGTGGCCATCACTACTCAGGTCCATTGAGGGAGTTTCTAGGAATGTAGACCCAGGGTAGACTTGTTATATGACTCTTTAAAGGAAGCTGAAAGCAAACTTGTGTAATCTCTCATTTTTTTTTAGTTTTGCAACTAATTAAAAAAATTAAACCTCCAAGGGCCAAAGAATACTTCTTTGGAGA
Source organism: Homo sapiens (assembly GCF_000001405.40). NCBI lineage: Eukaryota > Metazoa > Chordata > Mammalia > Primates > Hominidae > Homo > Homo sapiens. The sequence continues at coordinate 75,167,709 of NC_000003.12, forward strand.
TAAATTTGGCCCACATGTTGCCAGTTTCTCAACCATCCACTTATGAATTCAGAATTGTCTGTTAATCCTACATATTGGGCCAGGTGTGGTTGCTCAGGGCTTTGGGAGGCCAAGACAGGAGGATTGCTTGAGGCCAGGAGTTCGAGACCAGCCTGGACAATATAGCAAGACTTTGTCTCTACAAAAATTTTAAAAGATAGCCAGGTATGGTGGCTCATGCCTGTAGTCCCAGCTATTTGGGGCTATAGTGGGGAGACTAAGGGAGGACGATCACTTGAGCCCAAAAGTTGGAGGTCACAGTGAGTTGTGATTATGCCACTGGACTTCAGCCTGGGAAACAGAGCTGAACCCTATCTCAAAAAAAAAAAGAAAAAAAAGAAAAAGAAAAGAAAAAAACCTCCTGCCAATATGGAAGTCTTGTAACTTGTTCCCAGAGAGAATGTTTTCCTTGAACACTTACTGTCAATAGCAGGAGTGACTTCTTTGAATGGCAGTTGGGTGAGCCCTGGAAATATCTGCAGCATCTCAAAGAGTATGAATAGAGCTTTTTAAAGCTCCTTGCATGACCTTCTATTAAATATAACTTACTTTGATCTTTAACACTAAAAATTAGGTAAGCAAATATTTATAGGATATATAGACTGTTTAAATATGTTCCTATGGGAGCAGAGTGACATGTCTGCACACATGGTAAATAGGTTTTCTTTTAATTTTATGAAGTTATAAGTTCAAGTGGTCAAATAAGATAGTAATAGAAATCTTAACACATATTTTTACAAAAGGACTCATTAGATCTGATTTAGCCACGGAGCTAAATTTAATTCATAATAAAGGCAGTCAGTTTTTAGTACTCTTCCTGTGTTGGAATTTGGTATAAAGCAAGAAATATGAATTTTGAATTATCAATAATTGATATATATGCAAGTGAGAAACCAGTTATTGACATAACTCCTCCTGATCTAATATAGCTAGTGGATATAGAAGTGGGAAGTAAATCTTAGCAAAGCTAATTTATTATACAAATAGGGAAAGTGAGGTACAGAAAAGCAGGATGTAAGTTTCTCAAATTCACAGGGCTAATGAAATGAATGGCCCAATCAGGACTTTAAAAATCCAGTCCAGGTTCTAGGCAATATAACAATAAGCCCTAAGCCCCAAACCAACCTACCCCCACGACACACAAACACCTTGGGTAAAGGAACTAGGAGTAGGTATATGAGATTCACTCTTCCTTCCCACCCTTCCCTTCCCTCCTTCTTCGCCCCACCGCCCCCAGCCCTTCTTTCTTTCCTTTCTTTATTCCTGTTTGAGGTACTCTGAGTTGGGAAGTAAGAGAGTAGGGATGTCATTATGGTTGCTGGTAGGAAATTCACCAGCTAAATCTATTGATGGAGGGGGTTCCAAATGGATATCGGGAATTAGGACATTCTCGTAATTTGAAAGATTCTAAAATATTTCTTTCATGGGATGTGATTCAATTTACCATTTCCCCAAGAAATATAACTTCCTGAAGGAAGATATGTTAATAAAGGTAAGAAAATAAATCACAAAATCCATTACCCAGAGACAGTTGTTTTTTATATTAAAATATGTGATCTTCATTACTTTTCCCATGAGAATTTAGGTTTACAAAAATTGATTCCGTCCATACATTATTCTTTCATTTAAGGATTTTCAAACTGTGACTTATGACCAATTAGTGGGTTAGAAAATCGATTTTGTGGGTAACAACAAGCATTAAAATAATTAATAGAAATAGACTATAAAGTAACTGAGTAAATAGTGCAGAGTAAGGATAAATATTTTGTCAGTTATATATGTGTGAATGTGTCTAGGACCACAATGTAAAGTGATTTTTGTATTGTCAGTAAAAATACTAGAAAACCAGTACTGTGGCTAGCTATTTCTGCTTATTATTATTATTATTATTATTATTATTATTATTATTATTATTATTATTTTGAGACAGAGACTTGCTCTGTCACCAGGCTGCAGTGCAGTGGCACAATCTCAGCTCACTGCAACCTCTGCCTCCCGGGTTCAATCGATTCTCCTGCCTCAGCCTCCCAAATAGCTGGGACTACAGGCATGCACCACCAAGCCCAGCTAATTTTTGTAGTTTTAGTAGAGACGGGGTTTCAAAATGTTGGCCAGGATGGTCTCGATCTCTTGACCTCGCAATCCTCCCGCCTCGGCCTCCCAAAGTGCTGGGATTATAGGCATAAGCCACTGTGCCTGGCCTTCTGCTTATTAATTTTATAAAACCTCCTTGTTTTTTTTAAAGACAGCATCTCACTCTGTCACCTAGACTGGAGTGCAGTGGCACAATCATGACTCACTGTAGCTTCGACCTCCAGAGCTCAAGCAATCCTCCTGCCTCAGCCTCTCAAGTATCTGGGACTATAAGCTCATGCCACCATGCTGGGCTAATTTTTAAATTTTTAGTAGAGTTGAGGGCTTCCTAGATTTCCCAGGCTGGTCTTGAACTCCTGGGTTCAAGTGATCCTCCTGCTTCACCCTCCTAAAGTACTGAGATTATAGGCATGAGCTACTGAGCCCAGCCAAAGCTCTTCCTTTTAAACAATTATTGATGTATATAATCACTTTGAATTCTGCCTGAAAAGAATGCATGCCATCTCACATTATTGCTCTCTGCTTTGTGAGGAAATGAGATCCTTTTGCTTAGAAGGATCACAGGTTCAATGTTTATTCCCACTCCAGTCTCATCTTGGAGGAGTCTTCCACTGACTATTGTTTTTATGGAGAGAAAGAGTTTCCAAACCATTACATTTCTGCTTACAGTGGCTTGGAATTTAAGTTCAACTATTGTCTGGGTTGGTGTTATTGCTATAGTAATCTAGCAGCAAAATACCATGGGTTTAGGATTCCTCCAGCCCAAACAGTTGGTATCTTGAGATTATTTTGCCCACATGTCTTTACTATTCATCCAAGCTGATTCAGGAATAAAGCAAACCCTTTTCGTTGCTTTTTGTTATTTTAGTAAGGACAGGTGCTGTAATGGATTCTTACATGCAAACTTGCTAATGCCTGGATTCTGTAGACTTTGATTTTGAAAAGAAAAATAATTATGAGTTCAAGGACAATAGATTTATTTATTTTCTCTTCTCTTAGCCACATTTTTAGTTTACTTGTATGGGTCACTGCACTTTGTCAATTATCCTTTTTTCTTCATTTGGCTTGCAGGTTTCCTTGAGCCATGACAGAAAATTAATCTAACTTCCAAGGATTAGTTCACAAATTGGGTGACCTCCATCGAATATGGGGGCAGTGGCCACAGCTGATCTTAAATCCTGACTTTTCTCAGTAGAACACCCTGCCCATTGGTCACCAACTCTAACTTGTCTTGAACCAGGGTGTGGGATTAAAAGCTACAGAAAGAATATAGGTTTACTAAACTTTTCTGGCCTTTTAATTTTATGTTTTAAGACTCATATAGTAAAGGCTAATTTATGTATTTGCTGAAGCAATGTCAGAATTGCTTTATGTATGTAAACAGGTGCACATACACACAAACTCATTATGTTAAAATTACACAGTGCGATGACTCTCTCTAATGCACACTGCACATAAGCCAAGCTTCCTGAAATTTATTTGACATAATTAATAAAGTAAATGTATCAGAAGATCAAAAAGTTGTCTCTAGAGTTTGCACATGAAAGTTCTTCCTTTGAATTGAAATTTTTATATATTTTCTGTGATTTGATAAGAGCAGGGCTGAAAATTGACAATCGTAATAATTATTTCCAGTTGATAGCCTACCACAGTTTTCTGCAAGCTGAAAAAAAAACTGACAGTACGTGGTCACTCTCTTTAAAGGGCTTACATGCTTTCCATCCTCACTCTAAAGCATAAAACGTGTCAAATGAACTCTGTAGAATAGGGGGTAAAACTAACATTCTTGTATGTAAATAAAATAGACTCGCAGGAGTAGCAGTTTGAATGTGTGTGCCACTCTCCTATGTTAAGGCCCTGGGCAGTTATCATGTCAAATGCAATGAAGTTTTACTAGTTCTCACAAGCAAGCAAGGAACATTTAAGAAGTACAATCTCATTTCAGGAATTAGAAATAATTCAGGTTGGAGAGACCTCTAGTGGGCATTTCCATTCATATCGATGATGAATCAGACAAAAACAGATAAAAGTTGATTAAAAATCACATTCTATATTTCTGCAATGATACATTCTTTTTAAAATAAAGTACACCTTATCAGGATATATATGAAATAGCCAAAACAGGTGCTCTTCAGAAAAATAATGAAGGTTTAAGTCTGAATATATATACTCAAAGCTAACTGTATTTTCCCTGTTAAAGTGCCACAGAACCAAAATGTAAATGTTAGTAAAAAATTTTACAAGTGGATATTTTTATCTACCTTATTTCTGCTCTCACTAAAATCCTGCTTAAAAATTCATTAGAATATAAATCATACATAAGACATTTATCTATTATTATCCTCAGTCAAAGTTTAACTGAATTGCATCATGGAAATTTTTCCAAAATGGGATACCAGTTATTCAAAGCTCCCTTCTGTCATACTCTCACACTGTATTTCCCAAGACACTATTGGACAAATAAAATTGGTAGCCAGAGCAATTATGAAAAGCCAGGTCAAAGAAACAAGTCCCTGCCCTACCTTTAGAAAGCTGAAAATGTGCTGGAGAAGAGACAACAAATCACAAAAGCCTGGGAGTGCCCTTGGCAAGGATATCATTCCCCAGAGAGTTTTGAGCTTCTCAAGCCATGCTTAATAACAGAAAATAAAGCCTGCTGAATTTTTATTGTCTGTAAGAATATTACAAAATACAATGAATTTTTATTTCTACCTGTTTATTAAGATGCACGTTTCAACTTATTTCATGTCATAATACAATGTGGCTTAGTTCTTCATTGCTTAGTAATTAACTGGATGGTTAATCATATTTCCCTCTCAACTGCAAATTCTTTGAAAGCAGAGAAGGCATTGTCTTCTCTTCTTACACCTCCTTATTAACATATTGCTCCCACACCTCTGTACTGCACAATTTCTGTACTTATTTAAGTGCACTTGCTCCTTCTCCTCCACGACTTCTTGAAAAGGCAATGTGGATTCCACAGTGTATGGCTAAGGGTCTGGAGAAAACATCTAGCCCAGCTGCAGACCCTTGGGTGTTTATTACTATTATTGATGATTTTGATGGTATTCTCTCCCTCCTTTGAATGTTCCCATTTCAGGCAGTTTTGTCTATAAATAGGATCTACCTTCCAGAGCCAATGGTTCCAATAGAGTTCTTTACTTATGTCAGTGAACTTAAATTTTAAAAATCTGTTTTCATAGAAGGTTAGCAGTTTTTTTCCCATTAAGAATGTAGGCTATATTATCTCTAGTGTATTCCACAAAAGAAATCAAAGGTATTTTCATACCAAGTTACAATTGTGGCAAGTAGAGCCAGTATTGTTTAGGCACTGTGTAATTATGGTAATTATTATGCCTGTCATTTAATCTTGGTACTAAAAGAGAAGCTCATGTATTATCTTACGAATTTGTATTTCTTTTAATATGTTAATTCTATCAATATGATGGTTTTTGTTTTTATGCCGGCTGATTTTGTTTTTGCATTGGCACATATTCAGAGAAGGGCTGCTGAGGCTTTATCAGAAAATATTAAGTGAGATTCAAGAACTGGATTAGCTTCCACTTAGTTATTCTTGCCCCCTACCCCCATAATTCATTTCAAACTCCTCCTTCCTCTGTAAGTGATAAAACCCTTGATATAAAATGGACTTGTGAAAGTTTCAAAGTGCCCAGGAAGAAGGCACTGGGCAGGCGATTTCCAATGGAGGTGGTCCCAGGTAAGAGGTACGAGGGAGAAATGGCCCAGATGGTAGCTGCTTTGAAAACGGGCAGGGGAAAAGCAAATCCCTGGAGGCAAGCTGAAGGAGGAAGGAGGGGAGTATAGTGCACTGACTGGGAATCAGCCTCACGGCCTGCAGAGCTGGAAGCTGCAGAGCTGAGATCTTAATGGGCATACCCTGGATGATAGGCATAGAATCTATTGCCCCTACCTCAAAGACTGGTATGAGGAGAAAGAAATCGAAGCAACAGGTGGTGGAAGAAATTCTGACTAAAAGGAATCACAGTGCTGTGTCCTAACTCAGCTACTGTCTCATTGATGGGTGGGGTGGGGGGTGGCTTTTAAAAATTATTTCAATAGTTTTTGGGGGGAACAGGTGGTGTTTGGTTACATGAATAAGTTCTTTGGTGGTGATTTCTGAGAGTTTGGTGCACCCATCACCTAAGCAGTGTACACCGTAGCCAATGTGTAGTCTTTTATCTCTCACCCCACTCCCATCCTTTCTTCCAAGTACCCAAAGCTCATTGTATCATTCTTATGCCTTTGCATCCCCATAGCTTAGCTCCCGCTTATGAGTGAGAACATACGCTGTTTGTTTTTCCATTCCCAAATTACTTCACTTAGGATAATGGTCTCCAGGACCGGCGTGGTGGCTCACACCTGTAATCCCAGCACTTTGGGAGGCCGAGGCAGGTGGATCACGAGGTCAGGAGTTTGAGACCAGCCTGACCAACATGGTGAAACCCCGTCTCTACTAAAAATACAAAAAAAAAAAAAAAAAAAAATTAGCCAAGCTTGGTGGTGGGCGCCTGTAATCCCAACTACACAGGTGGCTGAGGCAGGAGAATTGCTTGAATCCTGGAGGTGGAGGTAGCAGTGAGCCTAGATCATGCCACTGCACTCCAGCCTGGGCGACAGAGCAACACTCCGCCTTGAAGAAAAAAAAAAAAAAAGTCTCCAATTCTATCCAGGTTGCTTTAATGCTTTAAAGGAATTTTTAGCTATAACATATAAATAATTAAATTAAGAACTGTCAGATGTTGGCCAAAGGGCACAAACTTTCATTTATAAGATGCGTAATTTCTGGAGACCTAACATACAGCATGGATGGTAATGGAGGTTTTAATTGATTTGATTGTGGTAATCATTACACAATGTATCATATATCAAATCATTACATGGTACATGTTGAATATATAAAATTGGTATTTGTCAATTTAATGTCTAAACATTTTAAAAAGATGACAGCGTGGAAGAAAAATGAGAATACATTTAAAAAATTCAGAACTAAATATATTATCTGTCACATGGTGAATTCTAAAAAATTGTTTGTGGAATAAATAAGTGGACCTTTCAGATTTTTTTAAAAAAAAAGAACTGTCAGTATTTAGGAAGGGAGACTTCCATGAAATTGCTATCATATTCCATTTTAATCCACTCTTTTGATCAATATTACAGGATCTGGATGCATTCATTGTGCAATATTGGAAATTATTCTTAGCTTATAATTATACTGTGGCTGGGGAAAAGATGTTCTTTAAAAAACAAAACCTGTAAGTGACCTACTCTATATGAATACTGTGTCTTCTTTTTGTTTTTTCTAATTATTCCGTGAATGCCCATTTTCCTTTTCTCCAGGCTGCTACTGTCACATCAGTGACAGTTATCAGGCCCCTATTTATTTAAAAATTTGAATAAATGCACCAACCCAGGCTACTTCCATTGCTTGCTGCCAAATATTATTAGGTTTTTTACTAATTAATTACTAATTCAGTTGTCAGCTGAATTAGTCTCTCAAATTAATGTGGCTATGCAATGTGAGAAATCAGATATCAGTTGATACTGTAAAATAATATACACATTTTTTGAAAGACACATTTCTATATAAATGTAAAATGCTACAGAATTAAAGGAAAATCAACCGACCTATAGATGACAAAGTCGTGCTGCTGACAATGCTATTCATTGTCTTAAAGGCTTGCTTATAATAGTTCAAACATCAATTGCAGAGTTATGTACTTTCACAATCACAGAATGTTTATTACCACAAACATCTTTTAATTTCTTTTCTCTGAGTAAAAGTTTCCATAATTAGAACTATAAAAATTTGACATTAAATTAATGTGTTTCTGAAACCACTGTTTCAGTTAATGATAGTGATATCACTATTTGTCTAAAATGCTTGCATCTTCACACTGAGGAGTCACTGAAATATCTTAAAGTTAGCAGTGTTCGGTGCATCTAGTAACCAGTTTATCATTCACACTAAGCCCATGTTCTTTGTGTCTATATAGTCTACTCCAAACCTTACATATGTATATAAAACATCCACTTTATGATACCAATTTGAACCACCATATTATATCTAATTTGGAACATCATCAAATTATAAATCTATCTAGTTGGGATGGAAGAGCTAAGTTACCTCAAGGTCATTTCTTGAGAGCTTGGTATTCTTATATCGAGATTAGAAGGGGCAGCAACCATATAGCGCTGGCTTGTACATCATTAAAACCAAAAATGGAATTGAATTAATTGCCCCATGGAAAAATCAGAAATTTCACAACCTCCTCTCCCACACACAATCATGTTCCCATACTATCATTTTCTTTTTAATTTTATTTGTACTGACAAATAATAATTGTATATGTTTATGAGGGTACAATATAATGCTTTGATCCATGTATGCACTGCAGAAAGAGCAAATCGAGCTACTTAACATCTATTACCTGACCTACTATCTTTTCTTGAAAATTCGGGCTCTCTTGGTAAAAGGGACCTTTATCTTGCCACGCTGCTATCATCCAGAGGTTAGTGGTCCTGTCATTTCTCTCTTTTGGAGAGTAGGCAATTCAAAGTGTTCAGTTTTTCTCTCATGTCCTGATATCAAAAATGTATATATTTTTGGGAAAAAAAGTCTTACAATTAAGAAAAAAATAATATGTATTCACAATGCAGAAATGAGGATATATAAATAGGAAAAAGTTAGGTGGGGTGACTAAAAAGTCACGCAGCTATCGCTGGGAATAAATGAAGATCCTATGACCACTGATTCTATGCTTTTACCAGAAACTTGCTTTTATACTTGAAAAGGTACTTCCAAGTCAGAGTACAACATCTTTTAATTTTAGAATTTATGCTGTATTATTTTTAGAACCTTCATAACTGCCATCAAAACATATATTGGAGTTTATTTTTTAGGGACACCCAGACATCTGCAGCTGAGAAGAAACCAAGGACTCGTCAGTCAAAATTAAGAGCTTGAGCTTTGGAGTCAGGCAGATCTGGATTTAAATCTTAGTTCTCTTGTTTATTGGCAGTGTAACCAGAACAATCTTCTTAAACTTAAAGTTACCTTCAACTGTTCCTATTTTCCTATATCTTTGAAATAAATCCATAATTCAAACTCTTGTCATCCCCTCCATGGCCATCCTGCTCCCCTAACCCAGACAACTCTCTCTACCCTAATCACTTGCCCAAATTGTTTCTGTGCCTCCTGACCAGTCTTACTTCTCAAAATTTGCTAACGACTTTGCATTTCACTCAGAGTGAAAGAGAAGGTTCTTACTGTGATGTATCAGTAAAAAGCCATATGGGATGTGCACGCCTGACTCACATTCCTTTGTTATTTCCCTGATCTCGCCCTCCTCTATGCTGCCTCCTGCTGAGTCTACTTATTCTTGTGTTTCTTTTTCTTTCCTTTTCTGTAGAAGTGGGGGGGGTCCCTATTTGCCCAGGCTGTTCTTGAACTCCTGGACTTAAGTGACCCTCCTGCCTTGGCTTCTCAAAGTGTTGAGATTACGGGCGTGAGCCACAGCACCTGGCCCGAATCTACTTATTCTAGCCACACTATATTTGTTGCTATTCCTTGAACACCTCGGGCACATTCCTTCCTCAGGGCCTCTGCACTTCCTGCTTTGAATTATTTGCTTGAGTTATTCTTCCTTCAGTTGTCTACATGGCTACTACTTTCAGGGTGTTACTTAAAATCTCTTTTACAGGGGGTGACCTAACTCGTATGCATAACATTTCAATTCCTTTCAAACTCTTTCCATCCTCTTCCTTGTTTCATTTTTTAGCCAAAACCTTTCCACTATCTAATATGCTATATGTTTTAGTTATTTAGCTTGTTTACCATATGATTTGTCCCCAAGGGGATATAAACATCATAAATGAGGATGTTAGTTTGTAATTATCACAGAGTCCAGAATAGTGCCTGTTACACAGAAGCACTCCATTAGTTCTTACTGATGAGCAAATAAATGAAGAAATAAACCTCTCTGAATCCAGGAATCCCTCAGGATAACCCTCATGAGGTTATTGTATTCGTTCTAGATAATACTTGTAAAGAGTTGAGCATAGTACCCATATATATTGGGTTAAATGAAATCGATTCTTAACATTAATTTCACTTGTTTCCTTCTACTTTATAAAATATGGCTACTAGAAAATTCAAAACTACGTATGTGGCTTGTGTCTGTGGTTTGAATTATATTCCTATTGGATGGCACCTGTGAGATTCCATGTGAATTCTCTGACAGCAGAGATCTAAGTGCACAGTGGGACAGGAACCAGATCATACAGAAAGTTGAGAAAGGCAGAGCTTGATGAAAGAAGGAGGGGAGAGGGAAGGAACTTCATCGTCAGGGGTGTAGCAGGAAGCAGATGGCAACAGACAGCCACATAGAGAGGGCCACATTGTGACAGGTAGTTACCTCCAGTCAAGACTCACAACTAGTCCAAAGGAGACCCTACAGGGAGGGAACCTAGGAGAGGGAAACAATAACTTGACCTCATTCTCCTCCCTTACTCTGATGTCCTTGGGTCCTCCCCACTGCCTGAGCCAAGAGGAAGCCAGAGGAAAGGAAGGCCTCTGAGGTTTTTTCTATCTCAAAGTCAGCCTCACTAGCAGAGGTATGGAAGGAGACAGAATAAATCTTGGGGAGCCAAGGGGAAATATCCAGCAAGGGGGTGCTCATTTCTATACAGTGCTATAGACTGCCCTTAATTTCCTTATGTAGGGTGTCAGCTCCTCATGGATGCAGGTGCTGAACAGAAACATCTCAATATGCTTCTGAATGAGCCTATAACATTGGCATGTCAGTACATATTTGGTGGCAGTCAATAATAATAAAATCACAATTCCATGCCAAATGCAGTTCATATTATCTCTCTCAGTCTTGGACTAATTCCTCTATATACAATAACTGTGGGGAGTAGAGTGTTTATCCCGTAGGTGGCTACAAGTGAAAACACTGTACTCTGTTGAGTTTCTACAAGGCTACCTTACCGTTCATCAGCACATGTACAAATGTTCTGTCAATATTAATTCTCAGAATAGTCATAGTTAGAGCCTCCTGTCCCTTCTCCCAAGTTTCGGCTGAGAAACTGCTAGAGCATCAGAAGCAGTAAGTGGCCTACACAAAGACACGTTGCAAACTGCTATCAGGGTGGTGATTAGAATTTCAAGTTCCTGACTTAAGCTTAGACAGGTTGACTGCTTAGTGCCTCCAGAGAGAAACTGCAGCTGGCTGGCAACTTTGGCAGAATGTAGCAAGGTCTGGCTTAATCTCAGTTCCCCAAAGAATTTCCCATGGGAATCTAGGACCCTTAGTGGAGCAGACCTTTGACTGAGGTAATTATAGTAGGCCTGGTCCAAAGCACCTCCCAGTAAAGAGCAGCCTTCCCAGGAGATGATTGAGTGGTTTGTTTCATTGTACTTTCCTTGCTGCCATTTCTTTGATAAAGTCACACACTGATCTGCAGCTAAACACATTGCTGTTTAGGGGAAATCACGAATTAATGAAATGTGCTTCAGCGTTTATTGCTACATGGAAAATGTGTTGTTCCAGTGAGCAGAAACACTGCGGTGATTACAGTTAATAGAATCAGGGCTCCCTTATGTTTCCCTCAAACCGTCCTTGTTCGCATGGCTACAGAAGTACTCTACCAATTTAGAACTTCTGATGCTGGAGAGCTCAAACCTAGGATGACTCTGGTAAGAGCTAATTTCCATCATTATCTATCATTATCTCCTCTGAAAATTTATTTGTTTAATGTCTGGTGCCTCCTAACACAAGTCTATTACTTAGCATCTATGTCAAAATAATTTAAAATAAAAGAATGGCAAGCCACATCAAGGTTACTGTTCATCCATCCATGCCAGTCAGTAGCAAATAGATCAAAGGTGCTGATTTAAAGTTCCTGAAAAGGACAAGCAAATGCTATTAGGCGAAGAAAGAAAGCACTTTTCAATATAAATGAATACATTAACTTAGCTTTTGTTATGTAAGAGCTAATTCTTCCTTTTAAAGAACAAGGCAAATTTATGTAGTGCCTCCTCTGAATGGTTATTATAGAATATGTAGGAATATAAAAAAATTTTAGAGATAGTCTTGCTCTCAAGATGATGGCAGTCTAACAGGAAGGACGGTTTTTGAAGTAGTCAACAATTTTATATTGAGGCAGCAACGTGTAAAGCTCCCTGGTAGATGCCAGTGATACCACAGGAAGGAGACTGTCCTTGCCCTCAAGGTGCTAACAGTCTAGACTTAGATATGTATACTTTAAATAGGAAAGGTGTCTTAGGACAGGAACCTGCAAACAGACTCAGATGGAAATTTGCATGGTTTATTGGACAGTGTAATGGTGAACAAATCCTATAGAGAAACTAAGGAAGCAGAATTAGGTAAAATGAAACAGTTGGTATAGCTGATCTCACAAGCTTGAACTGGAATAACCCTTCAGAATTGTCCCAAATTGAGGCAAGGGACCATGCCCTGGAGAGAGGTCTTAAACACTAACGAGGTAGCTCCCTTCATGGCAGCAAAGTCCAGAGAAGTTCATACCTGTGAGCTTTCAGTGACATACCTACTTGGCAGCTGGTGGTAGCTTGTGTAGAAGACCAGAACTGGGGAGCACACTGTGAGATGCGGTGTGATTGGAACCTTCTTGCTTAAATCCACATGCTTCTCACGGTATGTTCATTCCCTCTGTGAACAGCTTGCCTGATTGGTTGGTCTCCTTTCCTGATGAAATTTACAAGAGGAAGCTCACTAGGATAAGCTGTAGTTTCTCTTACGGCACTGGTCTTGACCTCTCATGTGGGCTCCTGTTCACCACATCCTTCCGGGGCCATAGCAGCTGCACTTGTGTATTGTACCAAATTCAGCAGGGAAATACCAAGAATCTCCCCCAGTGAATGACCAAAAGCCAAAAGCAGTCTTCACTGTCCCTTTCTGTAACAGCAGTCTCATATCCTCCTCATGATGAGGCTCCCCTGCTAATTTGTTGAGTCCCTTCCTTGTCTCTGTATCTCTTGGCATGAGAGCACAAAGTGACTAAATAGCAGCCAAAGCGGTAAGTTCAAACGGAATTTTCCCATGCCCTTTAGACCACAGAACCTAGAGTTACTGAAACAAGGAGCTCACATTCCCAAGTAAGTTACTGGGATGTATGATTCATCCTGGAGGATGATGTCCCATCCTCACAAATAATTCTGTCCTTGCTGATATCTCAACTGCGCCTTGAACAGTTATTACATCACTCACCAGGCTAGTGGCTTCTGAGTGTGTAGTATGTGTTAGAACAGGGAGATACAATAGCCAGGTACATACTGTCTCACTTCTGCTATAAAGTGGGTGAATCCAGTTCAGTACAATGTCAGTGGCTTTATCTTAATACTAAAAATATGTCTTCCAGCATTGTTCCTTTTATTATTGAGTTGACTGTTTTTGACCATTTTCATTTTCATATAATTTTAGAATCACTGTGTCAATTTATATGCACATGCACACACAGGCTGATGCAATCTAAAGAAAATTAGATTGATCATAGGTAATAAAACCTATAGATCAACATGGGGGAAAAGGACATCTTAATAATACTGAATTGTCCAATCTATAAGCATCATACATTTCTTTTTTTATTTAGGTCTTTAATTTCTCTCAATAACATCTGCATAGAGGTTTTGTATATCTTTGTTTCCAGATATTTTAAGTATTTTATGTTATTGATAGGGTATCTTTTTTCATTTTATTGTGTATTTTAATGTATCTGCTATATAGAAACATAATTATTTTATATTGACCAAAGTTTCAATAAACTTGTTAACTTATCACATCTAATAATTTGAAGATTCTTTTGGATTTTTATAAAACAACTGTGTAATGCCTGAATATTGACAATTTTACGTATTTCTTTTCTACTCTTATATATGATTTTCTCCTTAATTTACCCCACTGGCTCAGATCACTAAGACAATAATGAATAAAAGTAGTAAGAATGAACATTTTTATCTTAGTCACAATCTCAAAGAAATAGTTTTTAAAATTTTGCCATTCAATGTGATGTTTACTGCAGAGTTTTGTAGCAATCTTTTGTCAGATTTAGAAAGTTCCCTTCTATTCCTAGTTCACTAAGATATTTTATTATAAATGTGTATTAAATCTTATCAATTGATTTATCACATCTTTTGAGAAGATCATATGCTTTTTCTCTGTTATTTTGTGAATGTAATTCATTAGATTTGTTTATCTTTTTAAATAATATAAAATCTTGCATTCTTGAATAAACACACCTAGGTATACCCAACGACATACAAGGAAAGATTTCTGAGCCTTGACATGAGTATAAGGATATTTTGCACATGGGGATGACACACATAATTGTGGCCAATAAAATAAACTATGACAGGTTGAATCCTGGTCCCACTTCTCCTCACTCAACTTCCTGCCCTATAGTAGTAATTTTATTTTTTTAGATTTTCTATTTTTGACACAGGGTCTCATTCGGTTGCCCAGGCAACCGAATACAGTGGCATGATCTCCACTCACTGCAACCTCCACCTCCCAGGTTCAAGCCATTCTCATGCCACAGCCACCTGAGTAGCTGGGACTATAGGCGTGTGCCATCACATCCAGCTAATTTTTGTGTTTTTAGTAGAGATGGGTGTTTGCCATGTTGGCTAGACTGATCTCTAACTCCTGACCTCAGTGATCTACCCGCCTTGGCCTCTCAAAGTGCTGGGATTACAGACTGAGCCATCATGTTTGACCTGTAGTAGTAATTTTCACCATAGTTTCCATGGCCTCATTGATGATAGAAAGAACTTGCCAATACCTTTGGAATTTGCCAGGACTTTGACTTTGGTGAATGGGTTTTTAGTAGAGGTGATATGGGATTTTTTTCATAAGAGATGGGGTCTTGCTATGTGGCCCAGGCTGCAGTGCAGTGGTTATTCACAGGGGCATCCACCACTGATCAGCAGAGGAGTTTTGACCTGCTCTGTTTCCAGCTTGGGCCATTCCACACTCTCTAGGCAACCTGATGGCCCCCTGCTGAAAAGTCATCATATTGATGCCAAACTTAGTGCAGATACTTGATCAGCATAGTGCACTATACAGCCCAGAACTGCTGGACCCAAGCAATCCTCCTGCCTCAGCCTTTTGAGTAGCTGGGACTACAGGTGCCCACCACTGCTCCCAGACTGATATGGAAAAAACTTGAAATGTGTTTGTATGATTGATTTTGCTCACTTGTGCTTCTGTCATTCCCAAAGAATAACATAGTATTCTATTGTCCATTCAGCTTGGGTTGAAGTATGAAATAGGTAGAGCAGGGCCACCTCTGTTGATGTACAGTCATGCAACCTAAAGCGGAACTACCTCAGCTGACCTCCAGACACACAAGCTTAGGCAGAACCACCCAGTCAACTTGTAGATGTTCAAGAAAGAAATAGAAGCCTGTTGTTGGATGCTTCTGAGATTTATGGTTGCTTGTTATGCACCATAATGGTATATATAGCTGACTAACACATTTGGGTGACAACTTTTTTATTGAATACCATACATTGGATATGAAATATAAAGATTCTAGATGATTGGATTTTCTTCCACGGAGGATTTACTCTACCCTTTGATATGCAGTTAGCCTTGAGGCAAGTCATCTGAATCTAATAAGGGACTGGGCTAATCTTGGACTGAAATACATCTTTTGAAGTTTCTCTCTACCACTGATTTACTCCTACTTCTAATGTGAAGCCCTTCAGGTTTCCAGTGACAGTTTTGTGTGTTTGCTAGGATTTCTCCTCCTTGGCATGTCATTAACTACAATTTTTGTCTCCTTAGCAGTGTGGAACTTCTGGAAACACCTTTGTTTTTCAGCAAGTTATTACTTCTTCTTAGCCTGTCACTCTGTTTAGTTAACATTTAAGACATGCCCCCAAGGGAAAACTATTGTAATGCCAATCTCCTGATGTGTGCCTTCTTCTAGAATCTCACCCTCTCATGCTGACTGCCTTGGCAGACCATTACTTCGATGTTTGCCTCTCCAGAATATTGAGAATATTGAATGCCCTGCAGTCTTCACTGCTTCAGAGCACCTGGCATCTGCTCAGCTACTCAGCCTCTTATCCTCCTCCAAAAATCAGCATATACTCCATGAGGGAAGAATTTTAGCTGGCTTTTCTAGCCTGTTAGAAGGTAATTCTTCATAGCTAGAAGCAGAAGTCATATAATTTTTATTTTCTACATTTCTCTAAGATTCATCAATACCTATTCATTTTCACTGCTGTATAACATTCCTTTATGTGAATCTATTTAGTTTATTTATTATTCTTCTGTTCTTAGCGATCTCAACTTTTTTGTTAATATGAACAAAGGTATCCTAAATGTTTTTACACATATTTTGGTAAACATATAAAAGAATTTCTTCAGGGTATAAACTTCAGAGTAGAATTACTGAGTTACAAGATAAGTGAATGTTTAACTTAAAAGTTACCACCAAATTGTTTTCTGAAGTGACAGTTAAAATGTATACTACTTATCAGCAAACACTACTTTATTTTTTTCCTTAGAATGTATCTACAAATACTCTATTAGATATTAATGAACATTTGGAATTTTTTCCTAGATTTTTTGCTATTATGGACAATGGTGTTTTTAGCAGTTTTTCATATATGTTTTAGTATATGTGAAAGTATTTATCTGGGATATATACCTCAGAATAGAATTGCTGGGTCATAGGATATATGAATATTCAAATTAGAAAGTAATGCAACACCATTTTCCAAGGTGGCCAAATTTTCATTCCCTACTAGCAGCGTTTGCTTGCTTAATATTTTTTTGTTTCAATTTATGTCAAGTCAATAATCTATTCTAAGACTTCTTACTTTTTAAATTTTCTATCCATTTGTTAAAATGAAAGGTGCTGGAGGGGAGAAATCTTTTTTGTTTACCCTATCCCCACATTTAGAAAATTACCTAGTACCTAGTAGCCACTCAATAAATACTTGTTGAATGAATCAATGAGTGAGTCAAAATATGGAGCTTGTAGGAAGATTAAAGTAAGGGAAGATTATTAATTTTATTTTGAACACGTGCATAAAACATTAGGGACAAATTCACATGAAGTTTTCCAACAGGAAGCCTGACAGTACGGTGAGTTAGAAGCTCAGTAAATAGGTCAATATTTCTTTCATTATGTATTCTTAACCAACTCATCTCCCCATCAAAATTAGTTATAACTCCTCCATGTTTGCACCACATGGGCTAGTACATTTAATCATTTCATGGTTTTTATTTGTATCCTATCTCTTAGAATAATCAGAAATGTGTAGGCTTCTCTCCTATAAGCCCTCTGGTTGTGCAGATTTGGAGAGGTAATACAACATTATGATCAAGATTTGTGCCAACTCTTCAGCTAGTCTGTCTTGACTTAATTATTAATTCTATAATAACCAAGTTTCAGCAAGGAAGATAGGGTCACTACAAATACAGGAATAGGGATATAATATGGGAATCAGGACTTGTGTGATTTCTGAAAATGGCCACATTCTTGTCATCACTGTAACATGGCCCTGGATACTCTCTCACCTCCTTGGATACACCCGCCGATAGTGAGACTGGGCTTAGTCATGTGACTTGTTTTGGCCATTGGTACAATATCAAATGTGATGCAAGCAGATATTTGAAGTCTTTTTGAACAACGGAACTTGCCCTTTCTTGCTGCTTTTTGCAACCCTGCAACTGCCTTGCAAAGAAACCTAAGCTAGACTGGTGGGAGAAAGAACTTAGACACCCTGTTAGAGAGTCTTCCACCTGTGAGACCAGCCACCATCATCCAGCTGCCTGCCAATCCACTACCTGACTGCAGATGCATGAGGACACCCAGCAGTGATCAGTCACTCTGGCCCAGACCAGATGAACTTGAGCACTGCCTTCAAAGAATTGTGAGCTAAATAAAATGGTGTTTGTTTATGCTTGAGAGTGATGTGTTTTAAAGCAAAAGCTAACTGGTCCAAAGCTTACATGAATGGTCCAGAAACCAGAAGCAGTAGTTGGAAATTATAGAAACACACACTAGCAACTCTAGTCTGAAATACTGGAGTGTCTGGACAACCAGCACTCAAGGGAAATTTGTAAAAATCATTGCACCTGGCACCCAACTGGGTTTTGCTGGGTCTGTGAAGTCACCTTTTTAGAGGAAGCCACCAAACCAGACTGATGCAATCTCCCGAAAAAAGTGCATTTTATTTTCACCTAACATATCACATGTAACACTAGTTACCAAATTCTATCCTGAAATCATAGAAAGAAAAAGATTCTGTGAAACAGCCTCAGGCAAAAGTAGTAATGGTGCCGTGTTGACCCCACCCCCAAAAAACAAAATTCCAGCCCGCATATTTATTAGGGATGTGACCTTGAAGAAGTTACACTCTGAGTGTCAGTTTATAAAATGAATGCTATAGGACTTAATTTCACTGGATTATAAGAGTCGTATGAATAAATGAAGGTTTGGAAGACCGCCAAGCATCTGGCAAGCACACAATAAATGGTAACTATTATTATTGGCCTTTTGTATTCTTCTCCTCCAAATCCAGCACAATTCCTTGTACATACAAGATATTCATTACATTTTTTTAAAAAAGTAAATATATTCTCACTATCTCACCCTTTCTTGACGTGCCCACAAAAAAAAATCTCATGAATAATTTATTCTAGAATTTTGTTCCATTCAAGTGATCAAAAAGTGTTTACTTTTTCCTCTGGTACTTGGCACTGAGTCAGCTGAGACCAAGATCAGTCTATCCAATTTTTAGAATACATCTGTCCCACTTTCAAATGGTGAGTTTACTGATATTTAGGCTTGGGGTAATTGTCTTACATCCCATGATCTCTCAAAGACTAACAGGCCAAACTATTTCAAAATTCTCCTATTTGCAAATGTATTCATACTCTGAAATGTAGCCCAGGTAGGCCAGGGGGTTAAAATCCCCTAGAAGAGTGAGTTCTTTCTTCCACACTTCTCCTATTGATTCATTCTTCAATATGGTATGCAAGGCCTGTTTGATTGTCAGCACTGTATGTCTCCCGCTTCATCTGTTGCCACAAGCAATTCAGACTCTAGTTATAAATGTGCCATGTTCTCTTTCACATCTGGGTTTGTACACTTTCTGTTTTTGTGTTTCTGAGAAGTTCATAAGTTTTCTCTTCAATTGGCCAGCTCCCTTTCATCCTTCAAATCTTTAATTAGGCTAGCATGTCCTCTAGGAAGCTTTCTTTAGCCTTTCAACACTGAGTTCAGCATTCTGCCTCTCACTTTCGCCGTCTTCCACCCCCAAAGATGGTGAAAGCTATAAAGCCAGAAGCCAAGGTGGTACGATTCACTGTTACATCCCCTCTTCATAGGTACTCAGGCATCACAGAAGAAATGCCTGTGTTTAACCACTCACTACCATATATTAACTATTTGATCTTGCGCAAGTTACTTAACTTTTCTAAACCTCAGTTTCTTCCTCTGTATAATGGGAGAAGAATTGTTCTTACATTGTGTAGCCATTGTGAAGATTAAACAAGATGATTCATATAAAGGATTTAGAACAGTGCCTGGCACATAAAAGCACCCAATAAGTGGTAGTATTCAAAGAAACACAACCCCTTTTATGTACTAATGTTCCCCGGCCAAAGTGAGGGTCAGGCTACTCTTTCTCGTGGACCAATAATGAGATGCAGACGAACTGGGGAGGAAGAGAGTTCCTATTTCTGCAACTATATACAGGGGGAAGGCCTGGAAATTATCACCAGACCGACTGAAAATTACAAAGTTTTCTAGAGCTTATATACTTTCTAAGCTATACATTTAAGTGTGCATTTATCCAAAGATGTATAAATCTTTTAATCTGTAACTAAGGTCTGAGTCCTGAAGACTTTCCTCTGGAGCCTTAGTAAATTTACTTAGTCTAAATGGGTCCAGGTGCTGGGGTGATTACACTTATCTTGTCTCCTGCTAAATCACAGAGGTTTAGGGAGTTCCTTCAGACCCCTAATAAGCTTGTTTGTGGAGGCCTGGGGAGTTTCTTTAGACCCACAATAAAACTGGTTTAATCCTAAATGGTCCTATTAAGAATTATTTTGTTATTGTGTTATGCTTTAAAGCCCAGGAAAGTCCTAGCCAAAATTCTTGATGGGCTTTTTTTACATCCCAACCTTTGTGTAAGGACACTGGTTTTTAATATTTAACTTAACCTCTCAGTCAGTCCTGAAACAGTTGTTATGGAGGCTTGCATTAGTGAGACCTGACCTGCCACAGGAGGTGTTCAGAAAATCTTTAATATTATTGATGATCATAAATACCCTGGGGACTTGACCAGTTTTTTTAATCTAGATTTTCTCAAGATTCTATAAGTTCTATTTCTTTAAGGCGTCATTCCTTATGACCAAAAATAAAGTACATAGTAGGAGCTTGTTACTTCTGATTGCAAGACATACAAATGTTATTCAAAAAGTAAAAATTTTGGGGAGGCTGAGACAGGAGAATGGCTTGAACCTGGGGGAGCGGAGGTTTCAGTGAGCTGAGATCGCACCATTGCACTCCAGCCTGGTGACAGAGCGAGACTCTATCTCAAAAAAAGAAAAAAAGAAAAAGAAAAAGTAAAAATTTTAGTGTATGCGTAGCAGCATATAAAAGGAAAGCCAAATCCAATCCAAGGGTCTGTTTTGTAAGCAACATATACCCTATCTACATCTTCTGCTTTGCAAAATTATCCGCTTGCAAGATACTCTCTTCACACACAGTTCTCAGTAGCTAGATCACTTAATTATTTCCCCATCTTTAGGAAGCTCTTTTTTCCCACATGTTGTGCCGTACTTTCCTCTTCTTGTCAGTTTGACTACTGCTGCTAGTACCTGCTATGCCTCTGGTTCCATGTTACTGTCAAATCGCCAGCCACATTTCCTTCTGGGAAGCTTGGCCCCCAGAATTCTCCTCCTTTTGAAATGACTGCTACAATCATCCCTCATGCATCTTTTATGCACTTACCTCAAGGATCCCAGATATACCCATGCCAATAACTACGAGCGTACTAAATTGGACACATGCCTTTCTTTTTGCCTCAAGGAGACCTTGTTGGATATCATTTCTTAGTTCTCCAGAGGGCAGCAAATAGATGCCCCCAAAACTACCAGGAACTTATGGCTCCTCTCTCTTTTTTTGTTGTTGTCTTTTATTCCTGCCTGTGCAACTGCAGCTGGAGCTCCCTGAGAAGCTAAAATGCACCGAGCTCCATGGGTTAACATCTAGCCGCAGTGTAATTCCCCTGCTTTGTATTGAGGAGGGTGGAATGCGCTTGAACAGCTATTATGGTGAATTCTGTGTGGAGTCCATCAGAGACAGATAATGCTTCCTTAACAGCTTTCAGACAGCATAGATTTGTACCAGTCTTCATGTGTATGTTGAATTCCCTTGCCAGAGTCTCAGAATAGTGAAAGGGGTCAAATTTGACATTTAAATTAATATTTTATACCTCTATTATGTAAAGGAATTCATTTCTTGGGTTCATTAAGATTTAATATTTATATCATTTTAGAGTAACTTTTTTTCTAAATTAAGTGACGTAATACTAACTAAGATTTTCAAAAGACAATAAAATGGGTAAATTCTTAGTTCAGATAATGTTTTCTCTTCTGCTTTTGTAATTTTCATGAATTTACGTATTATGTGCTAATTGAGGGCAAGCTATTAATCAAAAGAGGTTGAGCCTCTTTAAAAAAGAAAGAAAAGGAATTCTCTCGCTATGGTGTCATGCAAATCTGGTGTAAAATATTCATTTAAGCAAAAACAATGTAATGGCATAGTAAGGTCTCCACTCCACCTCCAAGACTAACATTAAAGAAAAGTGACTCAAAGGAATTAACAAATTGTTGAGCTTATCTTTAGCAGAGGGGCAATGATGGAAACTAAATTAGAGAGGAAAATATTGAGTAGTGAGGAATATAAACCACATATTTGAGACATGGAAGGACAAATAGAAGAAGGAGACATAGTAAAGGAGATGGTGAGGTGCTGAGATAAATGAAAAGCTTTGATGGGGATAGACAAATCTGTGTGTTTTTGCAAAAAAGAAGTAAGAGGACTGAAAAAGACATTGCAGATTTTCCAGAAAATTCAGGTTAACAAGAATAGATTGGTTAGCCCTAGAAAGAAATGATATTTTGCTCACCTTGAGTCAGTTTGACTGGAGGAATAAGGGGGTCTGTATTAGTCTGTTCTCACACTGCTATAAAGAAATACCTGAGACTGGACAATTTATAAAGAAAAGAAGTTTTATTGGCTTATGGTTCCACAGGCTGTACAGGAAGTATGATTCTGGCATCTGCTCGGCTTCTGGGGAGGCCTCAGGAAATGTACAATCACGGCAAAAGGCGAAGGGGAAGCACATACATCACATGGCCAGAGTAGGAGCAAGAGAGAGAGGCAGAAGATGCTGCACTTTTAAACAACTAGATCTCACGAGAACTCACTCACTGTGGTGAGGACAGTATCACAGGCTGCACCTTCAACATTGGGGATTACAATTTGGCATGAGATTTGGGTGGGGATCCAAACCGTTCAGGGTCCCTGTCTCAGAGGTCATGAAATTCAGCTAAGTTCTGTGCTTTCCAGGCCACCTGTCTAGAGGCTTTGGACAGGCTGCTTAAAAAACTTGAGAACCCTGAGTACCATCTCTCCAAGACTAGTTCAAGAACAAGCCCACTGACGACTTCAACATCATTTGTCATCTCTCAACTTGCACATTGCCAACAATATTCTGATCCTAGAAGTGACAAAAATATTGTGGCTAACACTTTTTTATGCCTTCTGCTCTAAAGATTCTCCTCTCATTGTCCTCCTGGGAAGATACTGTAATTGATATGTAAACAATGTGGAAGGAAATGTATTTCTAGAATGACCTTGTTTTCTAGAAAGCCAACATTGCTACTTTGCCAAATTTCTCCTATATGAAAGGTAAAGACAAAATTGTCTCAAGGGATTGTGAGAAACAGCAAGTACTTCAAAAGAATGTTACAATTAAAAAAAAAAAAATGAAGGACGCCGCCTTGAGTCAGCTTTGGAAAATATGCTAAAAGCACTTTCTTCAAGTAGTACAAAAATGGTTGGTTTGTGAGACTGTTTCAATGGGATTTCAGTTTTAATACTGACTAAATCTTTTAGTGCAGAATTGGAAGAGAAAATGTCCTCGCATTAATCTACCACAGTAAGTGCCTTTTATTTAGGTAAAGGAGAGCTGAATGATTAGATGACAACATAAATACCAGCAGTGATAGCCAAAAAATATAGATACCTTCAACAACCCCAGGGGCAAGTGACCTACTGTTTAATATAGAGGACTCCAAAGAATGTTTATTTCTGTCATCTAATGTCACACAATTAAAATCTTACTGATGAAATACTCAACAGCGAATTTTATTAATAATTGAGTTTTTTTCAAAAAACCCTTAGGATTTAATTTTGATTCTCAGAACTTTATTTTATGATGATGATATTTGTTTTAATCTCATACTTGGTTCAATACTGATTTTATTATTTGCCCTTTTGGTATTTGGCAAACTGTGTATTTAGTGTGGTTTTAATGTTTTTCCATAGTTCTCGGGAGTTCAGGGAAAGGCCTCACTTTTTCAGCAGTATAAACAGCTTATTTCCCTAACCAATCCATTCATGTAGACAAGTGCAATTAAAAATTCCTTGTGATCCATTATTTTGGAGTGGGGAAGGGCTGCAGTACTAAGCCCCAGTTCTTCTCAGATTCTCCTTATCTATCTCCAAGATTTCAAAACAGGATACTATCATTTTTCCACCTCATATCACTATGGATGGGAAACACTTAAATATTTACAGCCTCATTTGACCACTGATATTTAATGAACCAATTTTGTTTTTGTCTTCCCCAATTCCAGAATCCAAGTTCAAGGGGAAAAGTCAAGGACTAGAATCACAGGTCATAGCATCATTCAGTTAAGCAGGGTAAGCAGAGTTCCAGCTATTCTCTGGGGCTGTCTTTTTTCACATATTTTCTCTGTTCTTTGTTTAGCCTTTTCCTGTGGATTGCTCCCTCAGATGTGGGGGCTCACTCCTAATTGGCATATTCACATTCAAGTGTAACAAGTTAGAAGTGGGGACCTAATTTTTCTTGGTTCCACTGCTTGATTTGGCTAAATGAGGCTATCTTCGGTAACATTAAAATAAAATAAATATCTAGTAATGAATCTGACATTTTATCCTCATCCTCGTGTCACTTATTTATTTATTGCCTCTCAGCTCCAAATCCATCTTTTTGCCTGCTCTGTGAAATGGATCTGAGCCCTTTATTTTTCTTTGCCAACTGACACAATGTTAAGGCTTGTCAGTAGAGGGCGCCAGAGAGACACAGCAGGATTTTGTTTCCTGATATTGGTGATGGTTCACCAGCTTCTGCAGCACTTGTAGCTTCTTTGGTGCCCCCCAACTATGATGCGTGGTGGTAAGCGGCATCCACCAGCCCCTCTGTCTCTGCTTCTAGTGGGTTTATACTGGAGTGTCTCCAATGAGACTCATTCCTGAGAACAGATTTCACTGCCAACCTAGTGGAAGAATGTCTGGCAAATTCCAGAAGAAGGCAGGTTTCAGCAAGTTCTGCCAGCCCCTCTTTCATTCAGTGAGCCACAGCTCTCTCTCCCGCAGGTCTGGATCCCAGCCGTGTGTGGCGAGTGGTGGGGTAGGGGAGCTGCTTTCCTGTGGCTGCTCTATCTCAGCCCAAGGGTTGGCAGCTGCTCCTTCTATCTGCTACCCTTATATTGTTGAGCGTTATTTTCACTTCCTAGTAGCCAGTCCCTTATTACTTAAATTTCTCATTTAGTAAATAATTCTTGTCCAAATTACTCTTTCTCTTTACCTTTGAATCCACACCGATGCAATCTTCTAGTCAAACACTGTTTTCTAAACCTAATGACCTTAAAACTAAATTCCCTCTGTTTGAGGAAAGAACTGAAATTGTATTTTCCACTGCTCTCATGCCACACTCAACAACAGCAACTAACACAGACAGAAGACTTCTGGGACCAAATGTGTGTTGGGGGGGTTTTGCCCCACCACCAAGCAAGCAATTCATTCTGCAGCAGACACCAGTTGGGTCCTACAATTTCATCTTGACACTCTCTACCTGGAGATAGCATCAGATCCCACGGGTTGAGGGCTCAGTCCCACAAGACTGCCCCCCTTCAGAAACTAGTCACAGGTTTGGCCTCCAGAACTTCTGACCAACCAGCTTCAAGTTGGGGTTCCCACGACAGGCTCTCTGGTTAATTTGCTGGAGTGGCTCACAGAATTCAGGGAAACACCTATGTTTACCAGTTTATTATAAAGAATATTACAAAGGAAACAGATGAAGGGATGCATAGAGCAAGCTATGGGGGAAGGAACATGGAGTTTCCCAGCCCTCTCTGGGTATGCCACCCTCCAGGAACCGCCATGTGTCTAATTATATGAAAGTTTCTGAGCCCTATCCTTTTAGGGCTTTTAGGGAGGACTTACTACCTAGGCATGATTGATTAAACCACTGGCTATTGGCCCCTTTCTTCCCAGAAGGTTGGGGACCCTGCCTTTGTCTTTCTGGTGACCAGTCCCCATCTCAAAGCTGAGGGGCTGCTGGCCATCCATCCATCATTGGCATACAAAAAGATATCACTTTGGAGATTCCAAGGATTTCAGGAGTTGTGTGCCAAGAAACAGGGATGAAGACCCTGTAGATATTTCACAATATCAAGCCCTCTTTTCTCGTCTGCCTGAAAGAATGACATATTTACTTTTATGCACCACATTCATGAGAACAATTGCTACTGGGGAGGGAAGAGGAAAAAAATGGAAGCAAAATGGAAAAGTTCTGTTTACCTTTTATATTTTAATTATTTTATTAATAAGTACTTGCAACAATACTTCTGCAACTGCTAATGAAAACCAATTACAACAAAATTACTCTTCCACTTTAAATAACTACAAAACTGGAAAGAGATATACGAAACACTGATTTTAGGTGCCAGACTACAGCCAGCGCGTGACTATGGTGATTGAAAGAAGAAAATCAAATGAGATATGACTGACCCAGCTTATTGCCTGGAGGAAATTATTCAAGCCACAGTGTAGGGAGGGGAACAAATTCTGGCAATCTTATTTGGCTGAGAGGAGAGAGAGCTGAGTTTGGATAAGAAAAATCTGCACAGGGAGAGAGAGCTCTGGGGATTTGCACACAGAGTCCCCTTGAGTTTTTGGCTGGAAACTAATCTGTGTATGAGTAGGATGACATTTCCCCAAACCGAGGAAAGAACAACTGGAAAACCTTAGGCTGAACAATTCACAAAGCTCACAAAGGGCTGGGAATATTTGCATTTCCACCAGTCAAAACAGAAAGACCTTGTAATAGACAGAAAAATTGATAAAGTTTTCTAAAGGGATACACCTTAGTAGCAAGGCAAAATCAGTCCCAGATTAAAGTGTGCTCTGGACCTGCCATAATGTGCCTTGAATGAAAGCTTCAAAAGGATCATAAGGTTAATCCACAAGTAGTTACTTCTGTGGAAAGACAAAATCCAATACCAAAAGACAAAAGACAACACAAAATTAACACTATTCAATATTAAACTAAAAATTACCAGACATGCAAAGGAGCAGTCTGCAAAAATAGACCCAAATGATGGTGTTGTACCCAAAAACCTTGAGACAGTTATTGTAAATCTAAAGGTATATTCAGAGATTTGAAAAATAAGATAACTACAATGAAAAGAGAAATACAGACATTACAAAGGCCAAAATGAACTTCTAGAAATGAATGGTTCAATATTAAAAATTTGGAAATCACACTGGATGTGATTATCAGAAGGATAGACACCAAGAAAGAAAAGATAAGTGGCCTTCAAGGTCTAGCAATTGAAAATATCCAAAATAAAACACTGAGAAAAAGGAGTGAACAAAAAAAAAGATGCAGAACTTCAGGAAGCTGTAGGGTAATGTCAGTCTTTCTAATAAATGTGTCATTAGAGACCCCAAAATAGGGAAGTCAGTTGAAAGGAAAGACAAGAAAAAATAATAGTACAAATGAGACAGAGTAGAGAAGGGACTTGGCCCCACCCTTTACTAATATATTTCTTTTCCTTTTCTTTCTTTTTCCATTTCCTGACTGATGACCATTGGACCTTGAAGAAACTAAGATAAGCAGTGTTCCATCATAAGTCTTACTCAGGGAAAGTAACTTTATCATCTGCAGTGCACAAGACCAGAAGAATGACCGATCTTTACCCCTCACCTCATTATAACACTAAAACCTCTGCCAAGGGGGTTCTTATCTGCCATTTTCTGCTCATGTGATGTATGTGTTAGCATGATCCCTTACTACACCTGAGCATCCTGCACTCCACCCCATACATGTAGTGATGCTCACCTACTTCTTGAATTATTAATGTCACCTCCTTAAGACACTGCAATGCACTCCCCTCTGGGAGCCGGCTGGAGAAATTTTGCTCCAGTACTGTCTCCCTTGTGTTCCAGCATAACCCCCTAATAAAGCTTTGTCTGGGAAACTTGCTTGGCTTCATGTCAACTTCTATTATATGAGAGCCTAAGGACCTATGAACACTAACAAAAATATTCTCAGATCTAATGAAAACAAAAATCACAGTTGGAAGAATTTTAACAAACCCAAGTAGAGGAAAGGTAAAGAACAGAACAATAATATGCATAAGAATCTATGAAAGGAAAATAGATCTTGGGGCCCTAAAATCACTAAGCTACAGGGAATAGTCGAGCTGGGAACTGCTTAGGGCAAACCTGCCTCCCATTCTATTCAAAGTCATCCCTCTGCTCACTGAGACAAATGCATATATGATTTGCCTCCTTTGGAAAGGCTAATCAGAAACTCAAAAGAATACAACCATTTGTCTCTTATCTACCCATCGCCTGGAAGCCCCTCCCTATTTCACGTTGTTCTGCCTTGACTTTGAGTTGTACTGCCTTTCCCGACCAAACCAATGTTCATCTTTCGTATAATGATTGATGTCTCATGTCATCCTAAAATGTATAAAGCCAAGTTGTGATCAGACCCCCATGGGCACATGCCATCAGGACTTCCAGAAGCTGTGTCATGGGCACGCATCCTTAACTTTGGCAAAATAAACGTCCTAAACTGAGAACTGTCTCAGATATTTGAGGTTCAAAAATTAAACTGCTAAAAGCAAGTGATTAAAAAAGAAACATTTTTTAAAAGCAGCCGAAGGGAAAAAAGACAAAGACAAAAAGAAAAACAAAAATAAGAATGACAGAAGACTTCTCATCAGAAACTATGCAAGCCAGAAAATAATAAAGAGGCACTTTTAAAAAATGAGGGAAAGAAAGAGACGTTAATCTAGAGTTTTTTAAATAGTTAATGTATATTTTTAAAATGAAAACAATATAAAGACATTTTCAGTTAAACAAAAGCTAAGAAGTTTCATCACTAGCAGATCTGCACTATCAGAGCTGTTAAAGGATTTTTTTCAGGCAGAACGAAAATGATAACATGAAATATTTGATTGTCACAAGGGACGAAAGAGTAAGAGTGTCAAAATTGGTAGTTGTGTCAGTATTAGATGTTTATGGTTTATATAATTTACTCTCACTCTTTAACCAAACTTTCACTGAAAACATACACAATACCTTGAAAACAGAATTCACTGAAGATTCATTCAACTCAATATACACAAACTCAATTTTTACTGTTGTCCAACAGCACTTTTTTGATTAT
Source organism: Homo sapiens (assembly GCF_000001405.40). Lineage (NCBI taxonomy): Eukaryota > Metazoa > Chordata > Mammalia > Primates > Hominidae > Homo > Homo sapiens. Next base: position 75,196,645 of record NC_000003.12, read on the forward strand.
TATATGATTTCTGAGATTACTTCCTATAGCACAGTTTCTAGAAATTAAGAAACCTGTTTTGCCTTTTTCTATTATCTTCACATCCCTTCAGCCATCATGGGGGAATTTGAAAATAAGAAGGGTATCTAAAAGTTTTAGAACTAATAAACAACATGTGGTATATCCAGAAATTTAAAGGAACAAATTACTGACACATGCAACTACATGGATTATTACCCCCAAAAGCATAATGCTAAGTAAAATAAGTCAGAAACAAAAGACTTCATAATGCATAATATATAATCCACTTACATAAAATTTTAGAAACAGGCAAAACTATAGCAAAAGAAAACTACATTCATCTATGCCATGTAGTGTTTGCGTAGCAGATTAATGGAACGAAACAGAGAGTCCAAAATAGATCCACACATACATGGTCAACTGATTTTCAGCAACATTGTTAAGAAAATTCATCAAATAAAAGGTAGTCCATCTACAAATATTGCTAGAAAAATTGGATATACATATAGGACAAAATGAACTTAGACTTTTGTGTCATTTCACATATAAAAATTAGTAAGAAATGAATAGTAGGCCTAAACATAAAAGCTTACTCTTAAATTATGAAAGGTCACACAAAGAGTTTTAGATATGGCACAAAAAGAATGAATCATAGAATAAGCCTATGGATAATTTGAGAGTTCATCGAAATTAAAAACTTTTGCTCTTTGAAAGACATTTCTAACAAAATGAAAGAGCAAGCCAGGGACTGGGAGAAGCTACTTAGAAAAATATCTCTGATAAAAGGTTTGTATACAGAATGTACAAAGAACTCTTACAACTCTATATCAAGAAGAAAAGCAGCATGATAAAAATATTGAGCAAGAGATAAAACAAGATATGTGAATAGGAAATAAACGCATGAAAAAAGGCTCAATGTCCTTGATCTTCAGAAATACGAAGATGAAAACTTGGAAGAGTTGCTACTACATATTCATTTTCATGACTTAGATGTAAAAGATTGACCATACCAAGTGTTGTGAAGGATATGAAGCCCTTGTACCTTCCAGATATTGCTGCTGGGAGTGTAAAATTTTACAACTACTTTGGAAAACAGTTTGGCATTTTCTTAAATTGTTAACTATACACTTGCCATATGACCCAACAACCCAATCATTTGTATTTACCTTAGAGAAGTGGAACCTATATCTACCCAATGACTTACACGCAAATATCTTTAGCAGCTTTATTTATAATAGACAGAAATGGAAAACAACAACAATTAAGCAGGAAACTGTATAAGCACTTTGATGGAACTATCTTATTTCAGTAATAGTACCTACAAAAGAGGTATGGAAGTTTAGGAAGATCCAGTAACTTGCTCAAAGCCATAGATGAAATTGGCAAAGGCAAGATTCCTACTCATCTCTGTTTTCCCTTAACTACTTATTTTACGAAGCCGACACTAACAGGTGAGTGCAAGTTTTCTGCTAAGTGCTTTTGAAACATTGTCTTATTTAATCCCCACTAAAGTCTTCCGGGCATTATTAGCTCAATTTGTAGATTAGGAAACTGAGATTTAGATGTCAGTTAACCTGACTAAAGTTTTACAGATAAAAAGAAGTGAAGGAATCTGATATTCAAGTATTTGAACCCAGATATGTGTGATCCAAAAACCTGTGTCCTTATACATTGATTTCTTCTACTACAGTGTATGCTTCTTATGATAGTCAGTTATATACAGCAACTTCACTGGGCCTCAGAGCACCCAGATATTTGGTAAAACATAATTGTGGGTGTGTCTATGAGGGTGTTTTTGGATGAGGTTAACATTTGAATGGGTAAACTGAGTAAAACAGATCACCCTCCCTAGTGTAGATGAGCCTTATCCTCTGTTGGAGTCGTGAATAGAACAAAAAGCCTGAGTGAGGGAGAATTCTCTTTCTCTGCCTGACTGCCTTAGAGCTGAGACATTGGTCTTCTGCTTCCTGCCTCTGACTCGAACTTGAACTTACATCATCAGCTTTCTTAGTTTTCAGGTCTTAAGAATGGAACTGGAACTATACCCACTGGCTCTCCTGGATCTTAGCCTGCGGAATACAGATCCTGGGACTTCTCAGTCTCCATAATCTCATGAGCCAATCTCATAATAATTTATAAATTATAATAATATTTTTTTGAGACAGAGCCTCCATCTGTTGCCCAGGCTGTAGTGCTGTGGTGCCATCAGGGCTCATTGCATCCTTGACTTCCAGGCTCAAACGATCTTCCCACCTCAGCCTCTTGAATAGCTCGGACTACAGGCATGCGCCGCTGCAGCCGGGTAATTTACTTTTATTTTTATATTTTGTAGAGACAGGATTCTCCCTGTATTGTCTTGGGCTCAAGCAATCCTCCAGCCTCAGCCTCCCGAAGTGCTGGGGTTACAGGTGTGAGCCACCATGCCTGGCCAATAACTTATTTTTTATAATTTTTATAATAATGAATAATAAGGTAAATATAGATAAATTTATATCATAGTAGTAGGATATATTACATAGATGTATGTATTTATATAATAGGATATATTACAGTATATAATACAAAATATATATACAATATATAGTATACAAAATAATATGTTATATATTATATATTACATATACATAATAATATGTAATGTACACTATATATTATATAATACATAACATATTATATATAATATATGTTATATTAGGTTGGTGCAAAAGTAATTACAGTTTTCCCATTACTTTTAATAAATATGTACATAAAAATAGGATTCTGTTACTTCTATATAATACATAGGACATATATACATACATATATATATGTATATATAAAATGGGATTCTGTTTATGTTTATCTGGAAAACCTTGACTAATACCCTTCCTAAGGATGAATTTCTTCATAAGAAAAGAATACCCTTATTGAAGCCCACTTGTGCCAGGTAATGCAGTACAGCTGTGAATGAGCAGCTCCATCCTAAGGAATTATGGAACATCTCATTAGATTTTCAATGCACGGATCATGGTATAAGTGTACTAGGAGACCTCGAAAAAAAGAAACTGATGGATTCTGTTTTTATCAATCATCTAATAAAGTAAAAATGTAAATAATAAAGCAACGAATTGAATAAGCTGAGATAAAGAATTAGGAAAGCAACTATCTTGGAGATGTCACAATAGAATAATCACAAATTGACAGGATTTAGAATCTTTTGGTCCTCTTGAGTCTACTTAAGAATTTATATCCCAAGTGTCATAAAAGTACTCCGATCCTTGAATGGAAACATGCATTTTGCAAGTTAAAGGTTGACACAGATCTTGTTCCACGTCATTTTGCTTGGGTACAGTACTAAAGGAGAATATCTTCCGCCACTTTTTGAACAATTATCTTTTCAAAGGGAAATGCATCCTCTTTGTTCTTTTTTTAGGTCCCAAAATATCTAATAGTAGAAGTGAAAACCCCCTAAGAATTATAAATGTTTATGTTCATTAAATTTTAAGGGAAAGAGGATAATATATGTGATTGAATTATTTGCATTTTCATAGAAACAATTGGCTTTCAACTAGCAATTTTGACATGATCAAAGATAGATTTTTTTTCCATTAGATTTCAGTGTAGTGCTATAAACAAGCTCCATAAGTGCAGGCTTTGAAATTTTTTTCTCTAACGATAAATATGCGTGTGTGTGTGTGTGTCTGTGTGTCTGGGTGTGCTTTAAGAAGTTATTGATGGCAAAGAAATAGAGTTACATGTAACAAAACACCAAGAAAGATTTAGTATGTCTCATAAAATGCTGTATCCAGACCTGTGACAAGCCTAATAATGTCAGAGAAATGAGAGGCAATAAAGTCTTCCTTTAATTTATTATTGGCAAGGCATCTGCTAAGATGAGGTACATAAACCACAGGACACCTGGATGAAAATATGTGTATGACTTTCTGTAGATTGCCGTGGAGAAGGGGATAAAGAAAACATTCCACAAAATGGGAAATTTTATTTCTATATTTAATTGTACTGAGAATTATTGGATGTATCCAAATGGTTTTACACACTATTTAAAGGATTAATCATCTCTTTCTCCCACTACCTTGCCTTTAAGCATACACTTGAACTTTTTTTACTTAATGAGCAACTTAGTCTAATAGGTGCATATTTTAAGACCATTTTCATCTATCCTTGATTGTTGAAAGTATGTATGCATATTTACAAAATAAAGCAAATCTTATATGCATATATATGTTATTATTCTCCTCTGGCACTCAGCTCTCCTTCAAAGTTATTTTTGAAATCCCAGCAGTTTGATGGCTCTTTAATAAATACATTAAGAATGCAGGAAGTTTATTTTATTCAACCTTTGTGCATACCTGAAAGCTAATTGCATGGGAATTCTTGTGGAACTCTTAAAATGCAGGGATTTGGGGTAGTAGCATAGGATGCAACCTTACAAAATTGTTTAAAAATATAATTGGCTGTATTTAAGCCAGTGATATTTAGGCTATAATTAAGAGTATTTCCCTCAAAACACAACACTGCTTTATTCCCTACTAAAGTCTCCTTAAATGTATCAAAACTCTCACTGTTTCTACATTTTAAAAATGAAAATTTAAGCCATATTACTAAAGCTCAGTGCAAACCCCCACAGATGGCAACTTCAAAACCAGTTTGGCAAGTGGTTCCTGGACCCATTTTCTGTGATGATATTCATTGATATTGATTGAGGACTTAATATAAGTAAATCACAGAGAAGTAGGTACTAGAATATTTCAGTGTGCTTAGAACTTAGATGATTTTGCTTCAGTTTTATGCAGAGGTTCTAGAGTATTTTTTTACCCTTAAATGAAAGGCCTGAGAAAGAACAGAGTCAAGTAAAATACATATAAATAGTTTCCATTTACCTGTGTTGAATTCTACAAGTTGATTTAAATTTTGATTCCTTGTATATTACAGCACTGTGCCTATCTATTCTGCATAGTTGTATACGTATTGAAACAAGTTCCCCAAATATAAAATCTTTAAAATGGCTATCTCTCAGAAGCAACAACATAGCACCATAACTAATTGATGGCTCCTTGCCTTACCAATATAGTTATCTCATAGTTATCTCCCCTTTTACAGAGGAGCCTTAAAAGATAAAATTATTTGTCCTGCGTTAAATAAACTGTAAGTTACAAAAACACACTTCAAAAGTAGTTATTCAATTTAAAATGCCATGTATTTATTCTTATTCTTTTGTTAGTAAAAAACTATGAATAATGTGCATTTTAACGAAATATTTTAAGCATACAGAAATCAGCTCTTTCCAGAGAATCTGTTTCAGTCTTGTGACAGTAATTTGTTCAATGGATTCTATGTCTCACTGTGCTTTGGTATCATCCAGAAGAACTTAAACAATAGATATATTTCTGGGAATGAATGCCATTCATTAGAATCTGAAGCAACAAGTATGAGGTGGAGCCTAACATTCTGTCTATTGTATTTCCTTTTCACAGTCAAGTATTTCTGTTGCACAGCCAGGTGTGGGAATTACTGGAGACAGAGCTGCCTGATGTAACATAGAGCACTGCCATTTTTCCCCCAGGTTCTACAACAGTATTTTCCTTCATCTAAGAGGAGGAATATTCTGTGCAAGGTTGTGGTTTAAGAAAGTGTCCTGGACCTTCTTTAGCTGGTGGAATCTTCCTTAAGACTGACTTATTTTTTTCTTTTAACTAATATGATTCTAGTCATATGCATTAGACACATTAGACACATACCCAATTATTTTTGCAATGTGTATGTTCTTACTATCTTAAGTTGGCAACTACAAGTATTTCATATTGTATTGAGCTATTCTAAGCAGAGGAATATATACGATCTAAGGTAACCAATTCTAGACTTCTAGACACATTATGAGCTGATGAGTCCAAACATCACACACAAATACTGGCTGTAATGTTATTCTATGCAAAAGACACATAATAACATGTTTTTACACTAGTCTGCTTTATTATGCTAATTGGAACTTTCTCATTAAGTGCAACAACTTGTAACAAAGTAAAATACTACATAGATAAATAATAGTTCTTCAAAATCATACTAGTAGTTTTGAAGTGTTAATCATTTTCCCTGACTTCTCCAGTTTCAAAATGTTCAAACCTGCAGAAATGTTGAAATAGTATAACACTGGCTGTTGTTTCTTTAGATTCATAATTGTTGACCTACTACCCTCTGTTTGCATGTTTGTCTATCTCGCCAAATACACTTTTTATTTCATTCTATTAAACCGTAAGAAAGTACTTGGAAAGTATTTAAACTTTTATTTCTAAATATTTTGATGTGCATCTCCTTGGGAAAAGACATTCTCCTCTACAAACACAATGCTATTATCATACCTAAGAAAATTAACATTAATAAAATATCATCTAACGTAAGTGTTATTTAAATATTACCCAATTATCCCCAATGGCTTAAATTTTTTATTGTAAATTGGCAAATTATAGTTGTATATATTTATGGATTACAAAGTGATGTTATAATTTGTTAATACAATGTGGAATAATTAAAATCAAGCTAATTAATCTATCCATCACTTTAAACACCTATCCATTTTTTGTGATAAGAACATATGAAATTTACTCTCTTAGCAATTTAAAAATGTGTAGCACACTATTATTCATTAATCCACCACACTATGCACGTGATCTCAAAAACAAAACAAAACAAAACAAAACAAAAAAAACAACCTCATTTCCTCGTGTAACCAAGGCTTTGTACCCTTCAACCACCACCTTCTCATTCCTCCCAACCCCCAGCCTCTGGTAGCCATCTTTCTACTCTTGTTTTTTTCTGAGTTCGATTGTTTTAGATTCCGCCTATAAGTAAGAACATGTGATATTTGTCTTTCTGTGTCTGGTTTATTTTACTTAGCATACTATTCTCCAATCCCATCCATGTTGCCACAAATGACAGAATTTCTTTCCTTTTTAAGATGGAATGGTAGTCATTGTGGATATATACCAATTTTCTTTATCCATTCCTCTGTTGATAGACAGAGGTGGATACCATAGCTTGGCTGTTGTGAATAGGGCTGTGATGAACACTGAAGTGCAGATGTCTGTACAGATTTCAGATCTTTTGGGTAAACACCAAGGCATGGATTTGCTGAATTATATGGTAATTCCATTTTTTTTTTGTTTTTTTGAAGAATCTCCCAACAGTTTTACATAATGGCTGTATAAGTTACACTCTTACCAACAGTGTACAAAAGTTCTCACTTCTCTACGTTTTCATCAACACTTGCTGTATTTTATCTTTTTCATAACAGCCTGACAGTTGTGAGGTGACATCTCAATTTGGTTTTACTTTGCATTTCTCTAATGATTAGTGATGATGAGCATTTTTTTCATATATCTGTTGGCTATTTGTATGTCTTTCTGGGGTCAATGTCTATTCTGGTTCCTTGCCCATTTTTCATCAGATTTTTTGTTTTCTTTCTATAGAATTGTTTGAGTTTCTTATATATTTTGGATTTTAAACCTTTATCAGATGTATAGCTTGCAAATATCTTTTCCCACTTTGCAGATTGTCTCTTGACTCTGGTTGATTGTTTCCTTTGTTTTGCAGAAGATTTTTATTTTGGTGCAATCCAGTTTATCTATTCCTACTTTTCTGACCTGTACTTTTGGGGTCAAATCTAGAAAATCACCCCCCAAACCAATGTTATATCATTTTTCCCCCTGTGTTTTCTTCTAGTAGTTTTGTAGTTTCAGGCCTGATGTTTAAATATTTAAACTATTTTGAGTTAATTTTTGTATATAGTGTGAGATAAGAGTACATATTCAGGATATTAGTCTTTTGTCAAATATGTCATTTCTAAATGTTTACTCCCAGTCAGCAGCTTTATATTTTCATACTTTAATAGGGTCTTTTACAGAGAAAAAGTATTTTAATTTTGATGAGAACAGATTTGCCAATTTTTCCGTTTATGAATCATACCATTGGTGTCAACCCTAAAAATTCCTTTTCTCATCCTATATTCCAAAGATTTTCTCCTATTTTTCTAGATATTTTATAGTTTTACATTTTACTTGTAAGTCTATGATCCATTTTAATATCAAGTTAATTTTTGTATAGGATGTGATGTTTAGGTTGAGGATCACTTTTTTATGCTTATGGATGTCCAGTTGCTTCTGCACCATTTGTTGAAAACACTTTTCTTCCTCTATAGAGTTGCTTCTATTTGTTTGTAAAAAAAATCACTTTTCCATATTTGAGTGGGCCTATTTCTGGGTTTCCTATTTGATTCTATTGATCTGTGTGTCTCTGCCTTTGTGAAGAAAACACTGCTTTGATTCTGCAGCCATAAGACTTAATACTTGTAGCTGGGCATGGTGGCTCACGCCTGTAGTCCCAGCACTTTGGGAGGCCGAGGCAGGTGGATCATTTGAGGTCAGGAGTTTGAGACCAGACTGGCCAACATGGTGAAACCCCATCTCTACTAAAAATACAAAAATTAGCCAGGTGTGGTGGTGCACACCCATAATCCCAGCTACTCAGGAGGCTGAGTTGGGAGAATCACTTGAGCCCGGGAGGCGGAGGTTGCAGTGAGCTGAGATCATGACACTGAACTCCAGCCTGGGCGACAGAGTGAGACCCAGTGTCAAAAAAAATAATAATTAAAAAAAAGACTTAATACTTTTAGTATCATTCTTCCCACACTATTCTGCTTTGTCAAGATTATTTTAGCTATTCTTGAGCCAGGCCTTTACATATGAATTTTATAATAAGTTTTCTATGTCTACAAAAACCTTATTGGGGTTTTGATAGGAACTGCATTAAACTGATAGATAGATTAATTTAGGAAGAATTGATATCATTCTTATGCTGAGTCTCCCAACCCATAAAATAAGGTACAGTTCTACATTTATTTAAATATTTTTAAAATTTCATATTTTACTTTTTAGTGTACAAATTGTATATACATACCTATGTATTTTTTTTCTTTTTTTTTTTTCTTTGTGATGGAGTCTTGCCCTGTTGCCCAGGCTGTAGTGCAGTGGCGCGATCTCTGCTCACTGCAATCTCCACCTCCTGGGCTCAAGTGATTCTCCTGCCTCACCCTCCCAAGTAGTTAGATTACAGACGTGAACAACTACACCAGGCTAATTTTTGTATTTTTAGTAGAGAGGGGGTTCGCCAGGCTGGTCTCAAACTCCTGACCTCAAGTGATCGCTGTGGCCTCCCAAAGTGCTTGTAATCCCAAAGTGAGATTACAAGCATGAGCCACCACACCTGGATATATATATATATATATTCATTCTTAAGTGTATACCTACATGAATATTTCTTTTCCTTTTTTAAAAATAAAAGCAATTAGCACCTTGAATCTTTATTTGAGTAATTGTAAGTGGTATTATATTTTTAGTTTTTGTTCTGCATGTTCATTCTTAGTACACAGAAATGAGATTGAATTTTATGTATTGAACTTCTATGCTGCCATCTTGCCAAATTCACTTATTACTTCTAGAGAATTTTTGTAGATTACTTGGAATTTACTACATAGACACGTTATCTGCAAGTAGAGATAGTATTCTTTTTTTCTTTACAACCTATATGCCTTTTACTTATTTATCTTGCCTTATCGAGATGTCTAGATATTCCAGCACTGTGTTAAATAAGAGTAATGAGAGCAGACATTTTTACCTTGTGTATAATCTTAGAGAAGAAGCATTCCATCTTTTGCCATTAAATACGTTAGCTATAGTTATACATGCTGCTATTGAATAAAGGTTTATGTCCCCCCAAAATTCCATTTTGAAACACTAACCCCCAATATAATTGTATTAGGAGATGGGGACTTTGGTAGATGATTAGGCCATAAATGCAGAGTTCTTATAAATGAGATTAGAGTCCTAATAAAAGAGGCCTGGGAGTGCTCCCTTACCTCTTTCTGCCATGTGAGCACACAGGGAGAGGACAGCTATCTATGAACTGGGAAGCAGGCCCTCTCCAAACACTGATGCCTTGATCTTGGACTTCCCAACTTCCAGAACTATCAGGAGTATATGTCTGTTGTTTACAAGCCACTAAGTCTGTTACAGAATCCTGTTCAAAATAAGCAAAATGCTTTATGTCAACTGGATACAATTATTTAGTCCTATTTTTCTAACTGTTTTTATCATGAATGGGCATCAAACTTTGTCAAATGATTTTTCTATATTAACTGATATGATTTTATGATTTTTCTTCTTAAGAAAAATGGATGGATTCTGTTGACTAATTTTTATACGTTGAACTGGCCTACTGGTGTTGACATTTGGTTTTTCCAGTGAAGTGCAGAAGTCTCACTTCTATTTAGATCTCTTTAACTTCCCCTACTTCTTAATTTTAATTGGCTTAAGTATTCCTCAACATACCTTGCACACTACATCAAAACATGTTATAATTTTTATTTCAATCATACAAAATGGTTTTAAAAACTCATGAGGTGAGGAATAGTTTATTATGTTTACCTTTTTGTCTAACCTGTTAGAAATAGGGAAAAATGTTTACCTTTATTTTAATTCGTTCTTCTTTCTTTTCTGAAAGTTCCAGTCTTCAATTTTTTTTTAAATTTTCTGTTAAGATAGCTTCCTTTAGTCATTCTTTAAGAGTAGGTATGACAGCAACAATTTCTGAGTTCATCTGAGAATGTCTTTATTGCCCCTTAGTTTTTAAAGATTAGTTTCACTGAACATAAAATTTGCAGTCGACAGTCTTGTTGTTTTTTCTTTCAGCTTGAAAAATGCTTTGCCTCTTCTTTCTGGCCTCTGTGATTTCAGATGAGAAATGCACTATCCTTTGAATTGCTTCTTTCTGATATTGAAGAATTGCTTCTTTCTAAATAATGCATTGCTTCTTTCTGACTGTTATTAAAGTTTTTTATTTGTCTTTAGTTTTTATAAGTTTAATTATAAGGTCTTTTAGTGTGAATGTTTTAGGTTTTCCTTATTTGGAGTTGGCTCAGGCTCTTGGATCTATAAGTTTATATATATATATATATATTTTTTTTTTTTTTTTTTTTTTTTTTTTGCCAAATTTAGGAAGGTTACAGTCATCGTTCTTTGAATATTTTCCCAGGTCTACACTCTTTTTCCTCTCCTTGAACTCATATGAAATATTAGATATTTTGTTATTGTCCCACAAGTTCCCCAGGCTCTCTTCATTTTTTAAAGTCTGATTTCTTTTCCGTTGTTCAATTGAGCACATTCTATTGATCTGTCTTCAAGTTCTCTGAATCTATCCTTTTTAATTTACTCCCCTATTGACTCTATACATTGAAGATTTTATTTTAGTAACTGCATTTTTCAGTTACCTAATTAGCATTTGGTTATTTTTATAACATCTCTTTTTTGCTGGGATTTTTCAATTTTTAATTTGTTTCAAGATAACCCATAAGTGTTTAATCATTTTCATCATGGCTGTTCAAAAATGCTTCTTAGGTAATTCTGTTATCTGATTAATCTTGGTTTTGACATCAGTTGATTTTCTATCTCAATTAGTTTATGGTTCCTGGGTCTTGATATGACAAGTGTTTTTTATTTTTTATTGTATCTAGATATTTGGTTTTTATGTTAGGAGACCCTTAATCCTATTGAATCTCCTATTTATTAGGCAGTCACCCTGTTTATGTTTACCATGTTGGCTCTGGCCTATTTTTGTAGGTAATGGTTCCAGTTACACTTTAGTTTTTAGGGCACAAGCAAATGCAATTTTGGTTTGCTTTGTTCTTCTGGCATTGCTGGGCATCCCAGTCAAATCACTGCTGGTGCTGCCTGAGAGGGTGAGAATTGCTTCCCTGAGCCACCTGGTATCTCTATGCACCTTCTGCAGTAGGAAGGCACTTAGAAGCCACTGAACCTAGATCTTCTTACGCCACTGTGTCGAGGGCAGGTAGACACCAGGCTTCAGGTGATGCTGCTGGGATTACCCTGCCTAGCTTCGCTGTTGCTGCTGAGAAAAGATTAAGTCTGCACAACCAGACGTACCCTACAAATATGTACAATTACTATGAGGTAATTGTGTATTCATACTATGGGACACTCCCCTTGGATGCATCCTCCAAACTGGGAAAATTTAATTTCGCAGACCTTAAATTGTTTGGTTTAGGACTGGGCTCATGGGAAGGGAACCCAGAAGCCTGACATGCTAGCAGAAGGGTAAACATTTCTTTACCAATCAGGTTTGTGGCCTCCCTCTCCCTGTGCAAAAGGTTAAAAGGCCTTGGAATTTTTAAGCTGTCCTTACCCACCTGCTTGTTGCATTTTGATACATGTTTTCTAATAACCAGGTTTGTCTCTTCTCACCTTCAGGCCATCAAACTCCAAATGGTCATGCAACCAGAGTCTCAGATGGACGATAGTCCCTTTTGCTGGGAACCCTTAGAAAGGCCTCTGAGGAAGCTCTGATTTCCATTTTCCCAAAACAGAGCCCCCATCAGCAGGAAGCAGTTGAGAATAGTCATTGTCCTTATGTTATCCTTATTGTAATGGCAGTTAGATGCACTTCTTTAGAGGAGGGAATGATAGATGCAGGAGGAAGATAAGGAAACCTGCCCAGGGCCTTGTTTGGGCATGCCCATAATGGACTGGGGGCCCACCTACGTGCTGGGAGAGTGGGATGGAGCCACCGGGAATCCTTGTGCAGCGGGAAGAGGCCTGGCTTCTTCAGCTCCTGTGTGTGGTGGCCTGTTATTCAATAATCTGTGAGGTATGAGCCTGTTGGCTGGACTCCTTTATGTTTTGCTGAGAGCTTTCTTTTAATAAATTCTGCTCTCCTCACCTTTCAATGTGTCTGCATGCCTAATTTTTCCTGGTCATGTGACAAGAACCTGGATTTTAGCTGAACTAAGGAGCAAAAAGTCCTGCATCATAAGCATCCAATTGCAAGTATACCCATTTGTGGAGTAAATTTTTAGCAGTGAGATTGTTGTATTAAATGATTGTATTTGCTTTTTAAATGACCAAAAGACATCCAATATGTTCACATTAAAAAAAAATTATTTCTGGCAGTGGAAATATTAACCAAATAGCTATCAAAGATAGCTCTTTAAGAATTACTTAGGATTGCTGAGTACGTGGCTTAGAATCACTATTGACCTTATTTCTTAGAAAATAAGCTATTGAGAATGACAGGAAATTAATAAGTTTATTAATGAAGTTCTATTTATGCTCCTGCTGTAAAAGTGTGGCTATTTATTGGCTTAAAAATGAATTTGTATTTTGATTATAGGTTTCAATGTACAAAAACGTTTAAACTTGGTTATTTTGATATACACTATTAATGAGTCCAATCCTACTAGGAAAAGCACCTAAGATGGTGGCTGGCTAAGTGTAGATACTCAATACATTGAAGTTATTGAGTTGATTTATTCATAGCTCTAGAATTCTGAAGACCATAACAAGCCAAATTTGGAGACCAAAAGGAGTTTGTTTACTTTGGCAAGCTTGGCTTGTTTCTCCCCAAGGAGCTTCCTGGTTTATAATCTTGTAGCTAAAAACTGGATTTACCATCAGAACATCGTAGTGTAGTTACTAAGGGAAAGTACACTACAGATTCACGGTAACCAAACATGAGAGAATGAGGCATAGAATAAGACTGCAGATGTAGCAGTTTACAGTGAAGGTTGTAACTGTTGAAGATTGCTTAGTGGTGTCTCAGATATTTTCTACTCGTTCTCAGGTGATATTTCTTGCACCAAATTGAGATCTAAAACTCACACTGTGGGCATGGAATTGAAAACCTTAATACTGTAAGATTTCAATCATATCATCTACTGAGTATCAGCTACTGAGACTGAAGTTATTAATTCCTGAATGCATAGTTGCAATTTCCCCTTCTGGATAGTATTTAAGGATAGGGACAGCCAATCTGTGCTTTTTAAATTGCTTCTTACTGCATTTCTGCCAGCTCTACCTTCTGTTAGACGTACTCTTTTCTTAGATATGTTAATACATTCCATCGGGTTATAATCAAGTCCTGCTGACATTATATGGATTTCCACATTCTCCTTTGATCTTCAATGGGTTGATTTTACTGTTTAATGTTTAACTCTAAAAGTCAGTTTAATTCCCGCATTTCCAACTTCCTAGGAACACCTGATTTTACCCCAAAAGTAATGAAATCAGTAATAACATTAAGGATGTCATAGTACTTAATAAATGTGATGTCCTTTATATTTTTACTTATACAATTAGATGAAAACAAGCTCTAATTTAATGAGCTTGTTACTTGCTATGAGCATTAGAAAGTGCACATAAAGAGTACATAACCTATTGAAAATTGGATTGTCACATCAGACCATTGGCGTTCTCTAATTAAATATACACATACACACACAACTATACATGCATGCAGCTATATTTATTTGTATATAATGGATCTTTATGTATATGAAAAACCTTGGCCTGGTATAGTGGCTCACACCTATAATCCCAGCATTTGGGGAGGCCGAGGCAGGGAGATTGCTTTAGCCCAGGAGTTTGGGACCAGCCTGGGCAATGTAATGAGACCTCGTCTCTACGAAAAATCCAGAAAAAAATAAGCTTGGCATGGTAGCACACACCTGTAGTCCCAGTTACTCAGGAGGCTGAGGTGGGAGGATCACTTGAGACCAGGAGGTTGAGGCTGCAGTGACTGTGATTACACCACTGCATGATCTGCCATCCTGGGTGACAGAGCAAGACCCTGTCAAAAAAAGAAAAATTAAAACAATTTAAAACCTTAAGTTTATATTGATACTTTTCATTACAATTCAACATAATGTTTTTTTTCTAACCTTTCCATGTATGTCACTCCCATCTCCAACAGTAAAACACCAACTTTTCACTATCAACAATTCATTTTATTTAACTAGAATCACATAAAGTAGCTTCATAATTGTTAATTCATGTTAGAGTGAGAAAACAGCTACAAATTAGAGTTCAATACATTCTTAATTTTTTTAGTCTTTAATATAAGCATATATAATCAAAGCACTGTGCTCAAAATTTACTCAAGTTAGCTCCCTCCCTCACCCCTTTAAGTGTGGTTATGTTATTTATTTGCAATACAAATGGTTAAAATCTGGAAAAATGTGAACATTAAAATAAATAGTGAAAGTAGTGAAATATACAAAATATAGAATGAAATATAACAAGTATTCATAAGTTCATAATGATATAAATGATGGATGAATGAGATAGAATTCTTCCTTACTGTAGAGTGTAAACAAATGAGATAGAAGTAATAATGGAATTAGAATATCACCAGAGCAATAATTATTTTAGGCAGAAGCATGAACTATCATTAAAAATAATGAGTAAAAATTTGAAAATAAACAGAGCATTTCCCCAAAAGATGCATATTAAACTCAAAATGGAAAAAAAGTAGATTTCTAGTGCAGAAACTTGGCAGATACCATCTTACTTGAGTGATCAAAGTCAAAATCACCATTAATGATGCTGTGTCTCCTGATATGATGTACTGAGAAGGCAACAGCACCTCTGAGGTTGATACAGTTTGGCTCCGTGTTCCCACAAAAATCTCACGTGGAATTGTAATAATGCCCATGTGTCAAGAGTGAGACCAGGTGTATGTAATTCAGTCACGGGGGCAGTTTTCCCCATGCTATTCTCATGATAATGAGTGAGTTCTCATGAGATCTGATGGTTTTGTAAGCATCTGGCATTTCTCCTGCTGGCACTCTTTCTCTCTCCTGCCACTCTGTGAAGAGGTGCCTTCCACCATGATTGTAAATTTGCTGAGGCCTCCTCTGCCATGCAAAACTGTGATTCAATTAAACCTCCTTTTTAAAAAATAAATTACCCAGTCTCTGGTATTTCTTCATAGCTGCATGAGAATGAACTAATATAGAGGTATTGCTACCAAAAATGTAAATCAAATCATAAAGAATGTCTGAAAAACCCAAATTGAGGGACAGTCTACCAAAAGAATGTCTTACACTATTCAAAAATATCAAGGTAATGAAATATAAAGAAAGCTCAATAAACTATTACAGATTATAGAAAACTGAATAAGCATTTTAGCTGAATGCTAAATCCTGATTTTTACTTTTCAATGTGATGACTCCCTCAGCAATGAATTTGAGGTGACAAGCACTATTTTAATTTCATTTTGTTCTCAGTTTTTATGTCTTTTTGTGGATGGAGGAAATTTCTAATATTTCAAAACTGAAGTCATTATTATTTAACAGATTTTGTTAACTTTTAAAAATATATTTCTGACTCTTGCACTTCTTTGTACCATCCAAAACAAGACACGATTTACTTAGGACTAATGTTCTTTTGTTAGGGTGGTTCTAGGGCTTAATAACACTAAAACCTTTATGACTTTAAAATGAAAAATTGATTCAATTTCTTCTCAGCTAAAAGCTTTCTTCCTTCTAGACACCACTTTTGCTTCTGAAAACTACTATTAATGTCTCAATGTGCTTTTGAGAGACACTAAACATAAATACATAGTTGATTGCTGAAGCAACTCCAAGGTGTTGATCATAAGCTGGAGATTTTTTTAGTGTAGTATCCTCTTTGTCAGAATTTTTATTTTCTTGAAATTTAGTGCAATAGCATAAAACTATTTTTATAGCTGATACATAATGTATGATTGGCCATAAATCTGAACTCTGTCTGGCATTGGACAGATACAAGTACCACAATATAATAAATTTATTACAATGACTGACTTTAATAGCCCCTCATAGTCTAAGTTCAAAGCATTAGAGCTTTTGGAATGTTCCACACTTTCCAAGTTCCAGCTCTTCCGTCACCTGCACCTGTTTAAATGGAGATAAATGAATTGAAAAGTCAGTTAATGTATAAATGTTCCGTTTGCCCACTTCCACATGGACCACTGGCAGTCAAAAGCCCGCTGACACTGCCACATCATAAAACTCCTAAAGTCTTCTCTTACTGATAAAACAAGCTAAGATTATTTAGCTCTCAGGGGATACTGAGTTAAAAGAAAATTGAGCTAAATGTCCTTTGCAGCTCTTAATGTAGTCAACATTAGATGAATTTTCCTCTGCAGTAGTCAGCCTTTACTTTATCCTGATGTGTGTTGTGGGCTGGAGCTTCTAGCTGATGGCAAGCTTAGGAAGAAAGCCTCAGCTGACAGAGCACTGCAACCTCTCCCAAGGCCACTAACTCAGAGTTAATCCAAGGCAAACCCAGAACCTTTACTGGAACACTGTTGAGGAAGGAGATGTCTCTCCTTGACATGAAGATTTGATGAAGCCTGGAGCACCTGGAGGCTGCCAGGAAAAGAGATCCTAGTCCTACTGTAGAGAAGAACTGAGTCATACACTGTGGGGAGGGACCTGGTCTTGAGGACATCATTAAATATCCTAGATCCAGCTATCCCTGAAGATTTTCTATTCCTAGAGTTTTCATTTATGTGAGAAAATAGATCCCTGCCCCCTTCTCATTTCTACTGAAGCCAATTTGAGGTGGGTTTTAAGTGTCTTGCATCAAAAGTGTCATGAAGAAGAGACTTCCTCATTCTATTGAAATAAAGATTGTTAAACTTGAGAGGGCTGTGATAAGGCTGTTGAAAAGCACGTCAGGAACATTTGGGAATCAAGGGAAGAATCTGACTCAAAATATCAGGGAAGTGACTGGTTACATATTTTGACAAGACTCCTCAGATATTTTGGATGATATCTTACACTTCTAGTATAAAAGGCCTGTGTTTAAGCCCTTGATGCAGCATTTAATGTGTACAACCTTGCCAAGTCATTTATTTTCTTAGGGCCTTGGTTCTAAAATGAAAATCATTACCCCTCTTATCTACTTTAGACTGATATAAGAAACAAATCGGGGAAAACGCGTCACGTGACGACTGGCCCCGCCTCTTCCTCTCGGTCCCATATTGAACTCGAGTTGGAAGAGGCGAGTCCGGTCTCAAAATGGAGGTAAAACCGCCGCCCAGTCGCCCCCAGCCCGACTCCGGCCGTCGCCGTCGCCGCCGGGGGGAGGAGGGCCATGATCCAAAGGAACCAGAGCAGTTGAGAAAACTGTTTATTGGTGGTCTGAGCTTTGAAACTACAGATGATAGTTTACGAGAACATTTTGAGAAATGGGGCACACTCACAGATTGTGTGGTAATGAGAGACCCCCAAACAAAACGTTCCAGGGGCTTTGGTTTTGTGACTTATTCTTGTGTTGAAGAGGTGGATGCAGCAATGTGTGCTCGACCACACAAGGTTGATGGGCGTGTAGTGGAACCAAAGAGAGCTGTTTCTAGAGAGGATTCTGTAAAGCCTGGTGCCCATCTAACAGTGAAGAAAATTTTTGTTGGTGGTATTAAAGAAGATACAGAAGAATATAATTTGAGAGACTACTTTGAAAAGTATGGCAAGATTGAAACCATAGAAGTTATGGAAGACAGGCAGAGTGGAAAAAAGAGAGGATTTGCTTTTGTAACTTTTGATGATCATGATACAGTTGATAAAATTGTTGTTCAGAAATACCACACTATTAATGGGCATAATTGTGAAGTGAAAAAGACCCTTTCTAAACAAGAGATGCAGTCTGCTGGATCACGGAGAGGTCGTGGAGGTGGATCTGGCAATTTTATGGGTCGCGGAGGGAACTTTGGAGGTGGTGGAGGTGGTGGCAGCAGAGGTAGTTATGGAGGAGGTGATGGTGGATATAATGGATTTGGAGGTGATGGTGGCAACTATGGCGGTGGTCCTGGTTATAGTAGTAGAGGGGGCTATGGTGATGGTGGACCAGGATATGGAAACCAAGGTGGTGGATATGGTGGAGGTGGAGGATATGATGGTTACAATGAAGGAGGAAATTTTGGCGGTGGTAACTATGGTGGTGGTGGGAACTATAATGATTTTGGAAATTATAGTGGACAACAGCAATCAAATTATGGACCCATGAAAGGGGGCAGTTTTGGTGGAAGAAGCTCGGGCGGTCCCTATGGTGGTGGTTATGGATCTGGTGGTGGAAGTGGTGGATATGGTAGCAGAAGGTTCTAAAAACAGCAGAAAAGGGTTGAATGAGAACCCTACTTGCCTAAATGAGGAATGTCTTTCCTACCATCTAAAATACGAAGGTTTTTGGCTGGGTAAGGTTTGTAGTTGACAGTAAAACCTGATGACCCCAAAAAAAAAAAAAAAAAAAAAAAGAAACAAATCGGCATGGATATGTAAAAGATTTTGAAACTATAGAATGCCTAAAAACAGAAAATATTAATAAGAAAGTAAAATTTTCCACTTACATCAAGTAGTTTCTTTCCACGTTTGCATCTATCTTTTTTCCTTTGGGTAATATGTTCAGGTTTACCATGTTTTTAGAATTATTTTACTTCAAATTGGAAAAATCTGATGCATAAATCTAACAATGAGCAGCAGCTTACCATAAAGTACACAAAAATTTTCCTTTGAATACTTTATTTGAGAAGGTCTTTCTCACGTCTGCACATTTGGGGAACATATACTTAAAGATTAATAGGAAGAGTTTCTCTTCTTGGGAATATAAGATTCTCATGAGAAAAAATTAAATTTGATTTTAAAAAATTTCAGAAACGTACAACTCAGCTGTTTATTCTCATTGGTCTCTATGAACCTAAAAAGAAAATAAAAAGGTGGAGATATAATCTAAATCAAATACTATATGTGAACATGTCCAGATAATAGGAGCTTAACCACAAAAGGAATATAAATCATTCTAATATAAAGACACATGCACATGTATGTTCAATACAGCACTATTCACAATAGTAAAGACATGAAATCAACCTAAATGGTCATCAATGAGAGACTGGATAAAGAAAATATGGTACATATACACCACGGATTACTACGCAGCCATAAAAAGGAATGAGATCATGTTCTTTGCAGTTTCATGGGTGGAGCTGGAGGCCATTATCCTTAGCAAACTAATGCAGGAACAGAAAACCAAATAGTGCATGTTCTCACTTATAAGTGGGAGATCAGTGACGAGAACACACGGACACATAGAGGCTAACAACACACACTGGGGCCTATTGGAGGGTGGAGGGTGAGAGGAGGGAGAGGATCAGGAAAAATAACTAATGGGTCCTAGGTTTAATACCTGGATGATGAAATAATCTGTACAACAAACCCCCATGGCATAAGTTTACCTGTGTAACAACCCTGAACTTGTACCCCTGAAGTTAAAATGAAAGTTACAAAAAAAAAATCAGTGCAAATCTTGACTCTGGACTTTAATGTTCTAAGTCATACTCTGGCTCTGCTTACTCCTCTGTTTCATCTCCTGCACTACACCCCTCCCTTTTTAAACTATAGTCGCATTGGCTGCCTCTGTGTCTTCACCTCAAAGCTTTTGCACAAGAGCTTTTCTTTTCCTGGAACACACTTCTTCCAGAGCTCCCTAGGGCTAATCCCATCTTATACAAGTCTCAATGATTTTAACATGTCCTCCACAGATAGCCTTCCCTCTAATCACTTAATTTAAATGAAACCCCCAATTATTATCTCTGGCCTGTACTTATTGTTACCTATTTTATAATATGTCACCCCCATATGATATTTTGTTTCATCATTTACTTGTTTGCTTGTCTCTTCCACTGTAATATAATCTCATAGTAGCAGAGAATCTCTCTCTCTTTTGTACATGATTTTACTACCAGCAACTAGAAGAGTATCTAGTGCTAAGGAGGCCCTTAATAAATGTTTTTTGAAGAAATAAATGATGAATCAATAAGTCCTTATGGCAAAATTCTGTCCCATCGCAGTTGAGTTTATAAGATCAGGAAAATTCTGCCTTTCCAGTTGAACTACTAGTCAAAATTTCCAAAGTATGAATTTTTTAAGAAAAAGTCAATTTCAGATCTTTTCATTCTCTGTTTCTCTTGTTTTTATTTTGCAAAATATTTTAAAACATTATTCCAAATATGTTCTCAATTTGGGTGGGTACTGAAAAGTTGCAAATCTGTCTTGAATTTGGTGCCAATTTAATCTCTATCATTCTTCCACTTGGATTCTGAGCCTTTGTAGTGAGATCAGATGTTTATCTAAAGAACTTTTTATTTTGGGGCTTGAAAAGATGACATAGACTCCGTAACTTTTATGAAGTATCCCTGAAGCCAGATAATATGACTGTTATGGTGCCAGGGCATGAGGGCAGAAGCGATTTTTTAGCTTATTTGAACTCTCCAAGGAGTTTCTCTGCTGCTCACCTCTTTCCTTCTTCATTCAACAAGCTAAGTACCATGATTGCTCTTATCTTCGGCGCAGCCCTCAGAGAGTAGCATTTCACCACATCACTTCTGTCCTGGTCGTCTTCATCCTTTGACATAAACAATATAGAGGTTTAATGTAACATCCATTTTTTCACTCTCATCGTCAAGGACATTGGTAGAAGCAGGAAAACTCAGTGGCTCAGAACAGGGGCCATGACTTTTGTAGTCACTCTCTCACTTAGGAGTTGTGTCATTTGGATTTCATCCCATTTTCAAAAAATGGGGATGATAAAAGTGTCTAATGCAAAAGATATTGTGAGGTTTATATGAGAGGACACACACACAGCACTTAGCACAATCCTTGACACATTAAATACACAGCCAATAAACTGTTAGTTGCTTTTATGATTGTTGTATCTTTCTTATGATTATTGCCTCTGTACCAGTCTCTGACCTGCATGCTCCCATGAAGTCATTGCCAAACTTTTGAGACAGAAGGATCACAGCAAAACAGATCCACAGGTTTTGACTCCATAGGAGGGCCCAGGGCAGCAATTTGGTTGGCTGGATCAAAGTGGACAGAAGGGCAGAGAGAGCAGACAGCTGCTGTGTGTGCACAGGTCTGATGGCAACCCACAGAAAAACTTCATGAGCGATAAGGCCAAAGGTTCTTTGAGATGGGAGTTTATTGTATACCCTTGTTGAAGAAAAGACCTAATATGAATTGATGGGCTTTTTATTTCCTTGAAGGAAAAAAAAATTAAAAATTTTATCTGCATATTAAAATGCATCAGATTTAAATATAGATAAACTTGGAATGCATTTGCTGCATACTATCTTTACCCCTCCTTTCCCCACCTGTCTTCCTGTAATCATCAAACTATTATTTCTTGAACACTGACTGCATTTTTACCTGTATTCGAGTGAGGTCACTGAAGAGCTAGATTTGGTTCCTGTCTGACCATGTGACTTTCCTAAAACCCTCCTGTAATTCCTTTGAAATATATGCACTCAGCAGTCAAATAAATTCCTCCTGAAACCACATGGTAATTCCAGCATATGGTAAAGGAAGTTTTGAGTTTTTATCTGCCAAGCCTGACCTCAAACTTCTAGGAAACAGATTGTGATGTAACTTTTTAATAAGTTAAGTCTTCATCCTTACAAAGATACGTTATTAGATAGATGTGCAGTGGATGGCATACCATGCTATATTCGCATTATGTGTTTAATCTAAATATAGGTTTCCTTCAATGTAGCTTACAAAAGGAAATTGGTGTTATTTCACTTTTTAACTGTTGGGCTTGATAAGAACTGCTCAGCACATTGTATTTTAAAATATAAAAACATATAAAAGCTACTTACAGAATAAAACTGACAAAAATAAAATTTTCTGATATTGCTAGCCTCTGTTTTTTCCCTCCCAGGGGAAAACAGGATCCTATTTATTGCAGCTATAACAATATTTGTATCATTTCATCATGCCATTCCATTATCACAACTCAGCAGACTCAGCTGAATTTGGGGGCGATATGTTGAAGTCGTTTTTTTTCTTTTGCCATTTTGAACCAAATGCAGATTTAATGTCAAAAAGGTATGAAATTGACATTTATTAAACTATATAATATTTTGGAATGAAATAGCATGTCGTACATAATATTTTGCATAAAACTAATTTTAAAATGAGCAATTTGCAATGGCTAATTTTCATCCTATTGAAAGTAATGTTTGGAAGCAGATGGAGACTTGTTTAATTAGGGCTATGTTTTACAATGACATTTCACTCAGGATTTTTTTTGTCAAAATTTGTTTAATAAAAGAAGACTTAAAAAGATATATATAAATTTGTAGATGGTTTTATAGTTTGCCAAAGACCTTTGTTCTCATTATCTAATTTTTATTTCTAGGCTTATAACAGTTCTAGGATATGTGTAAGGCAGTTAAAATACTGCCTTAGAATGGACTACTAGACTATATGGAAACATGAAACAGAGATATTGCTTAGATCAGTAACTAAATTATCTGGCCTTTGTTAATATAGAATGACTACCCTAGGAAAAGGAATATCTACTTCGTAAGGTCTGAATCCTACTCAGAAATTAGCTGTGTGATAAAGATAAAGATGGCATTTGGCACCAGTGGGAACATCATGGCCATTTTAACACCAATTGGTTTTTCATTTGGGAAAAAATAAAATCAGATAACCTGTGCTACAAAATACTTCAAAGTAAGCCTCTCATGAAGTCAATATTTAAATTTGAACAAATTTATCAGTAAAAGATTTAGAAGAAAACAGAGAAGGATATTTGTATTATCTTGGGTTAAGGATGGTCTTCTTGCACACTTCAAGGAAAAGATTATAAAGTTTCATTTAAAAATTGTAAGGTTTAATGTGACCAAAAAACATTTTAAAAGACCAGTTGCAGCCTCAGGAGACAGTATTTTTGTGACCACTCTTAAGTTGGTGGTTGTTCCTTGAATCCAAGATACAATAGACATTCAAAAATGAGATATCAAGCCAAACTATGCATTTTTAAGGAAGTTATCTGTAAAACAGTAACATAACTTTCAATTCCTTAACCAAAATCATAAAAGGATCTGAGCAGCTGGTGATGGGGAAGCAGAAGAATGGAGAAGTGAAGTGTCTATAAAGAGGATATCTGAAGGTAGCCGTTACTGTGATGAAAAATCCCACCCCACTACCTTGGCTGAGAATATGCACTGTGGTCCCTTATCTTAGGACTAGTGAGAAGGGCTTTCCTTGGATCAAGAGGAGAGCCTGCTAACTGTCCACTGCCTTTGGAGGTGACAATCGTGCCTGACTTCCACCAGAGAAATGTCATGGTTGAGGGATGGGCTTGAGAGTTGCTGACCTGTAAGCCACAGAAGTTGCTGTTGAGTTAGGATTTGTTTGCTCTCTCAGAAAGTTGTCAGGGCAATGTGTCAGGATTCATGAGTGATTAGAACCTGGGTCATATCCTGAACATATGCTGAATGATGTTGTTTCGGGACTTGTCCAGGAAGATTGAACAAACCACAGAGAGATAAAGTGATAACCTGCAGGATTCCCAGATCAAAAGGAGACATCCCAACAGGACTCATGCAAAGCTCCATGTGAGAGTTCCTTTTAAATATCTGCTAAAAGAAAACATGATTTCATCTTATTGCAGTATCCATCTGAAACAGGAGAAGTTCCCTTATCCCCCTCACAGGGTGTGCGACAGGGGTGTGACCCACTTCTTTGGTGCCCACTGCTCAAACCCCTAGGGGGAGCATGCAGATGGGCAGGTTGTGGGAAGAGTTTTTGACCTCTGACCCCATGGCTGCCTCTAGGGTTGAGTGTTTACAGTTCCCAAAATCCCAGGGGGTGTGCGTTACAGTGCATTCTTTCAGCTTTGCCATCTGCAGGCAGCTTGTGTTAATGAGCTCAATTAGACTCTCTGTCTTATCGCAAGGACAGAGGGCTTTCTGTATTCTGGATTCTTGACCCAGTGCACCAGAAAAATCGGATCACACCTGGGCTTGGAGAATGAGTGCAAGGTTTTATTGAGTGGTGAAAGTAGCTCTCAGTGAGATGGACGGGAGCCAGAAGGGGGATGGAGTGGGAAGGTGGTCTTTCCCTGAAGTCAGGCTGTCCATCGGCTGGACTGTCTTCCTACAGCCCCCATCTGAATTCCCCTCAACGATGTCTCCTTTGTTCCTTGGTCAGTTGATGGCCTGCCGGTGTCTGCTGGTGTCTGTCCGTGTGCTCTTTCTCAACGTCCAGCTGTTTGTGTGTGTGCCCACTACAGTCTCGGGTTTTTATGGGCACAGAATGGGGGGCCAAAAGGCAACTTTTGGGGGGCAAAAACAGAAATGCCTGTCCTCATTTAGGTCCATGGGCACAGGCCTGAGAGTGGAGCCCTTGCCAGGGATCCTGCCCTTCTCTACTCAACACTTCCCTGCCCCTCTCCTGAATCACATCAATTAAGAGCTTTCTTCACCACCCCTTAGCTCTCATCCTTCTCTCTCCACTATTCACCCAACATCATCTGGGACCAGAACTAATGTCAGCAAAGCAGGGGAAGTAACAAAACTTCTAGGAGTAGAAGAAAGGATGAAAAAGCCAACCACAACCCCCTTTCTTCATTAAAGGCTTCCCTCTACTGTACTCGAAAACAACTTTGGCATTTTGATGATCAAATGAAAAAGTATACTTTCTAACTCTGTACTATTTGTACACTATTTGTACTTTCTAAATCTATACTATTCGTATTATTTAAAAGTGACCATAAATATTACAAACTAAGTTAACCAAGGTTTTGCCTGGAGGCAAGGGAAGAACAAATCCCATTATACAACATAAATAGTTGAATTCCACTTATATGAAAACACACATATATATGTTTAAAAGGCATATATGTATAAAAATGGATATCAAATGGTATGAAATAATTTGCACTAAATTGATAATTGAGGAAAAAATGTGAAGAGAAACTTCCAGACCAAAAGCTTCATGGGCAAAAGAACCATATCTTCACATCCTTACCAGGATAAGCATTGCAGAGGCAGTACTTTGTAGGTATGTAGGAGCTCAGCAGTTATTGTTGAATGAATGAATGAAAGAATGAATGAATGACTTCTGCTTTACACTGTATATTTCTCTTAAGTTAAAAATTAAAGACACTGGCTGGGCATGGTAGCTTATGCTTGTAATCCCAGCACTTTGGGAGGCTAAGGCTGGCAGATCACTTGAGGTCAGGAGTTCAAGACCAGCCTGGCCAACATTGTGAAACCCTGTCTCTACTAAAAATACAAAAATTAGCTAGACATGGTGACACCCGCCTGTAATCCAAGCTACTCAGAAAGCTGAGGCATGAGAATTGATGGAACCCAGGAGGTGGGAGGCTGCAGTGAGCTGAGACTGTGCCACTACACTCTAGCCTGGGCAGCGGAGTGATACTCTGTCTCAAAAATCAATCCATTAATAAATAAAATCATATAAAAATTGAAGACACTGGGCCAGGCGCAGTGGCTTAAGCCTATAATCCCAGCACTTTGGGAGGCCGAGGTGGGTGGATCACCTGAGGTAGAGAACTGGAGACCAACCTGACCTACATGGAGAAACCCCGTCTCTACTAAAAATACAAAATTAGCTGGGCATGGTGGTGCATGCCTGTAATCCCAGCTACCAGGGAGGCTGAGGCAGGAGACTCGCTCGAACCTGGGAGGCGGAGGTTGTGGTGAGCCGAGATTGCACCATTGCACTCCAGCCTGGGCAACAAGAGCGAAACTCCATCTCAAAAAAAAAAAAAAAAAAAAAATTGAAGACAGTGCATTTGTGTGCTATTCATAAAATTAAAATCAACCAACAAACCAATCTACCTACATGACAAATAACTAAGAAAACAATACTACCAGAGCTCTAGAAACAAGCACTTTGAATTGAAGCAAGCCTTCTAAGGTATCAATAGACTAAATATTGAATCTTAAAAATGATTTTACTCCAAATAGGTTAAATTTTTTATTCTTTTTGTTAAAAATGAGTAACACAAATGTATGCTACATTTTCTCTCATTTAAAGATTGAAGAGAAGTTTGTTAATCCAAAGCCAACAGGAAGCTCACAAGTAATTCCACAGTGTATCTTCCAGAAACATTTTCTGCATAGGGTAAAACTGCTGCTTACAGACATAAATACAAAGCAGCCACTTTACACCGATTAAAATTGAGCCATAACTTTTATGAGCTTTAATACAACTACTTTTTTAATGCTGCTTTTTGTCTCCTTGTTTACAAGACAAAGAGTTTTCTAACTTTACTATTTGATGCTTACTTACACATTTAGGGAAAGGAGTTTTACAGAGACATAAAATTAGACATGGAGATTACTTCATTTTTAACTGGTTTTGAAAATATGTCTAATAGAGCACATTTTTATTTAGAAATAACAAACAGGTTAATATAAAAAAGAGAGATCATTATCTCTTAGTGTATTCACCATGGTCTTGTTAACTAGAAAGAACTGCAAGAGAAGAAAGAACATTTAGGGACCCAGGAAAGTGTGCATATCTAGTACTTGCCTCATGTTGAAGGAGAAAGGCAGGGCTTCAGAATTCACTTTCATTCAGGTTTATAAAATTCAGGCAAAGAATATTTGCCCTCTGCTGGATTATTTTGGGAAAAATACAGATTTTCTTTTTTCTAACTATTAAAGGAGAATGGAAGAATAGAGTGGCAAAGAGACAGAGGGAAAGTAAAAAAAAAAAAAAGGAAAAAAGGAAAGAATGAAGAAAAGAAGGGAGGGAAGAAAAAAATTAGAGAAGGAAGAAAATATATACAGAAGGAAATAGATTACATTCACATTGTTGCTGGAAATATTTAATTTAGTCTGGTACACACAGACCTCAAATTCTTCTATTTATATTATTTTCTCAACTCAAATCTGAAAATGGTCCCCAGAATAGAAACCATTTAACTTTAGGCCTTTCTCTGGTACTAAAGTGACACTAGACTAATAGACAATTACGACCACTTTAATGGATGACTGAGTTATCATCATCCTATGAAAGTTAATTTTGGTTTTGAAAATTTAACAAGATTTCTGCAACCTTAATTAGTTATTCATTAATACAGTTTAAGTTGATGAATGCCTTCCAACAAGTAAAATATGAGTTTAAATTTGCATTCACTCTCCAAAGGGTTACATATTTCCTGAGAGTATCTACATATTCATAGGCAACATCGATGTGAATGTGACAGGCAAGTATTGGAGGGAGTGGCCAATGACTCACAGTTTTCTTGGCATTACAGTTAATGGGGAAACTTCTATCCTGTCTTTGGAGTTCTTTATCTCAACATGACTAATTGCTTCATCCTCAAAGTCTCCTTTTCCAATACCTTGCCTCTCATTTTGAGCCCTGAAGGAATCACACATCCAAGTGCTCCCTCTCTCATAAGTTCCCGTGTGCTCTGAACATAATGACTACCTGAGACTTTCAGGAGAGAGTCTGAGGTGGAAGAGTTGTAAATACTCTAAGCAGCCTTATTACCTCTTCCGCTCTCCACCTCTCCTCCACAGCATGTTTCCTAACTACTTCCAAAAGGCTGAAACATTGGTGGATGGAACAGAGCTTAACCTTCACATGAAGATCTGTTGATGCCATCCTAAAATATCCTTAAATCCATCTCATTTTCTCCATTTCTCTGACATCCTCACAGTCTAAACCACTGTCTTCTGTCACCTGAATCACAGCCGTACACATCAAACTGGTGTCTCTCTTATCATGCCCCCTTCAGACTATTTCAGGAGCTTTGGAGCAACACTTATGGGGATTCAGATCTTGGATATGTCTTTCATTAACAGTTGATCGTGGACAAGTTAGTCTACTTTTTTTATCCACAGCTTTGTCATCTTAAAATGGGATGAATCTATCTCATAGATGTATTTCAAGCAAGACACACTCACATAATGAGTATATAACTTGACCACAGAAGTTGCTCAAAATTAGCTATTTATGCTATTGTCTTCTAGGTAGATGTTACTCAAAAAATTTACAAACAGGATATGTAAAAATGTCGTAATTAACTCAAATTCAAAATAGAACCATTTTAGTCTTTTATGAATGGTACAAACTAAGAATTATGGAGATTGGGAGGATAGAGATATCTTTTTCTGGAAGTGAGAAGATCTCCCAAAGAAAGCAAACACTGGTGCATTTGTGCTTTTGTTTATTTATATTTTTGCTAAGTTTAGAAAAGAGGTAAAGAGTAAAAATGCTCCGTAATGGATAAAACAAAATTCTTTATCTATTAGGATAAAGAATTATTTACCCAAAAAACTAGAGAAACCATTTATCCCTTGAGATTTTATTCTATATATTAAATATGATCTGTGTTGGGGGAGTGTCTGCACACACACATTTTAGTTTGGATGAAAAGCAGCAAGGTTAATTTCTTCATTAGAAACTTCTGATTGGAAGTAAGAATTCTACACAGTGTGTATTGTTGTAGAATGCCCCATTGGTTTGTTTGCCTGTATACCCTGTGAGTTTACAGTGCTAGGAGAAATTTCCACCTTCTCTCAGATCTGCCTTTCTTTAATTGGAATTCAGAGCCTAATAAACCCTTTCTTTCCCTTTCTTTTTCTCAATTCAGTACTTGATATCTTCCTTGGTAACATTATTCCCGTTCTTTTAGGATGCCTCTACTTTCAGTCCAAGCACTTTGATAGGATAGTTAATTACTCTCTCTTCCTTATATAGCCATAGTGATTGGCTCCGAAATGGATGCAGAACAAAATAGACAATCACAATACTTTTCAGAGACTTCAGAGATGGCTACACAGGGAAAGATGCTTTCTTTCTAGCCTTTAAACTGGGATAATTTCAACCGGGGAAAAATAGTTTCTATGACTGCACCTATATGGCTCAACAGTTTCACAATGCAAAACAATAACATAGAAAGAAGGTGAAGCCAGACATCATGACTCATACCAGTAATTTTAGAACTTTGGAAGGCCAAGAGAGGAGGATCACTTGAGTCTAGGAGTTTGAGACCAGCCTGGCAAACATAGCAAAACCTCGTGTCTACCAAAAAAAAAAAAAAAAAAAAAAGTGAGTTGGATTCGGTGACTCACATCTGTAGTCCCAGCTACTTGGGAGGCTCACACAGGAGGATTGCTTGAGCCCAAGAGTTTGAAGCTGCAGTGAGCTGTGATCTTGCCACTGCACTCCAGTTTGGGCAACAGATTGAAGCCTTGTCTCTAAAAACAAACAAGCAAAGAAGGTGCATGCAAAGATGAAGAAATTAAAAAGAAAAGAGAGACATAAAACTTTAAAAACTCAGTTTTTTTTTATTTCTAACCCTTGAATTTTTAGTTATAAGTAAGATAAGGTATTTCTTTCATTTAAGCTAGTCTGACTTGAATTTTTAAAACTGACATACATGAGTTCTCACTAATGGACATTTCTTTTATCAATATTATTAAAAAAAAATTTTTTTTACAGGCTGGGCACAGTAGCTCATGCTTGTAATCCCAGCATTTTTTGGAGGCCTAGGTGGGAGGATCGCTTGAGTCCAGGAATTCAAGACCAGCCTAAGCAACATAGTGAAACTCTGTCTCCACACAAAATTTTAAAAAATAATTAGCCGGGTATGGTGGTGCCCACCTGTAGTGCCAGCTACGTTGGAGGTTGAGGTGGGAGGATCACTTGAAACCAGGAGGTAGAGGTTGCTGTGAGCTGAGATCACACCACTGCATTCCAGGCATTGTATTAACAAAAGGCAAAATATTCTTCTTAAATTTGAGGTTGTATGTAGGCTATTGTAGCTTAAATCATATAGCTGATGACTGATTTACCCTTTTACTCTGCATGCAGCTTCTCCTGCTGGAGTATCCTTCATGTGAGAAGAGAAGATTGGGATTTAATGAGAATATCACCTCAGAAAAATTGTATTTAGTGAAAGTAACATCACTCTGTATCTAATGAACAAAGCAGGGAGAGCCATTTACCTGGCTTTTCAAGACATTGTAAGCCCAGAAAAATTAGGAGTAGGCAAAGAAATCATGACTCCATGTGAATGTTAGCTAGGAGGCAAAGGAATATTAATGTCATAGATGACATTCCTCTGAAGGCACAGGGATAGATGAACACACTGAGAGCACTGGACAAGCCTTTGTGATTGACGTGGAGCAGAGCCACCATCAAGTCTCAAATCACAAAAGCCTGATGTACAAAGACACCTGGGCATTCTGGTGACCCAGGGCTCCCTGCCACAAGAATTGCTGTTGGATCTCTTAGAATCAATAACTGGCACTGAGAAAATTGGCATTGCATCTCCTGCAGTTTCAGTCTGTTCTTTGAGAATATTATGATGAATAGAGCTCATGTGGATGAATCTATTAGAAGAAAAAGAAGTGTTTAACCATCTTTTTTTTTCTTTTTATCTTTTTTTTTGTTTTGTTTTGGGGACAGAGTCTCGCTCTGTCGCCCAGGCTGGAGTGCAATGGTGAGATCTTGGCTTACTGCAGCCTCTGCCTCCTGGGTTCAAGCAACTTCCCTGTCTCAACTTCTCGAGTAGCTGGGATTAAGGTGCCCGCCACCATGCTTGGCTAATTTTTGTATTTTTAGTGGAGACGGGGTTTTTCCATGTTGGCCAGGCTGGTCTCAAACTCCTGATCTCAGATGATCTGCCCGCCCCGCCTTCCAAAGTGCTGGGATTACAGGCGTGTGCCATCACGCCCAGCCTCCAAGAAAAATTCTTATGCATGAGGCATTGCTTTTATCTACTTCATCTTCTACGCCAAAGTGAGATGTGCAAAATAAAAATGTCACCATAATACCTCTTAGCTTAAAAGTCATCATTAGCTCTCATCTTTTATAGGGTCAGCTCTGGGCGCTTAGCATGACACAAGATGCATTTCCTATCCTAGTCCTTAAATGCCACTAGAGGCCTTTGTTTTACATTAGTCCCCTTGCCCAAGAATACACAATGGCTCGTAATGTGCTGTATTACACCTTTGACATTGCTTATCCTGTGCCCTGCCTCAGATGTCCTGTACACCATTATTCCCTGGACAATGCCTGCTCATCCTGCAGAACTCCATCTGAAGTCTTATTTTCTTGCAAAAAAAATAAAAATAAATAAAAAGCCTTCTCCAGACCTTCACATTCTCATCAAGTTCTCTTTTTCCCTATCTCTATGGCACCCCTATGCACTTATGGAAATCATGTGGCCCTGTATTTGTTGCATATTCATTATACTTGACCCATTTCGGGGTAAAGACATTGTCTTATTTACCTTCCAGGCCCAGAGAAGCATTCAATATGTATTTGTACAATGAATGAACAACGGTTACTAATAGGCTGTTCAATGCTATTCTCCTCCTGCTTGGACTTCCTTGTGTGCCAGCTAAGTTATTAGGATGTTAATCTAAGTTTTATTTTTCCCATATTATATCTTCCTTTTTCCATGCAAACAGCTAGACCTTTGTACTCACTTGTAGTAGTTTCCTAGGACTACTGTAACAAATTACCACAAAGTACATGGCTTAAAACAAAAAACAACACAACTTTATTTTCTCACAGTTCCAGAGGCTAGAACTCTTGAATTAAGGTGTTGACAGAGCCACGCTTCCCCTGAAGGCTCTAGGGAAGAATCTGCCCTGACTCTTCATGGCTTCCAGAGATTGCCAACAAGCTCTGATGTTCCTTGGATTATAGTTTCATCATTCTGATTTCTTTCCCTGTTTTCACATGAACATTTCCCGTCTGTGTCTAAGCTATGCCTCTAACTCTCTCCTTCTCTTTATAAAGACACCAGTTATTGGATTTAGGGCTCACCCTAATCCAGTATAACCTCATTATAGCTGGATTACTTCTGCAAATAGCTTATTTCCAAATAAGGTCCTCTTTACAGGCACCAAAGGTTAGGACTTCAACATATCTTTTTGAGGGACACAATTCAACCCATAACATGTATCTGTGGTGAAGACTATATTATAGGGTCGGAGGCAGATGTTGCCTATAGACAGCTTGTTTTCCTGGATTCCTGCAGAAGTTAGTGTGGTGATTGTGCTTCTTGTTGAAACTATGAGGGGGGATTAGCAAACAGAAAAGAGGGACTAAGGCAGGGAGGGAGTGGGCGGGGAAGAGGCAGAGAGAGAGAGAGAACCCTGCAGGAGCCAAAAACCATACTTTAGCAATTTTCAGGGAAATGAGAAGATCTGAGGAAAAAAATGAACTCAGAAAACTCCCACTACCAGCCTTGTGCCTTTCATAGGGCAAATGGTCTCAACAATTAAGATACTGACCAACCACCACCACGATTGTCTAAAGAAGGCATTTTCCCCATTTTCCAACACTCCCATGGGCTTAGATTGGCACTTGCAGGGGCTTTGCTTTGGAAGTCCTGGCTAAAGAGATTGCTGATCCTAGTATCCATGTCCAAATACCTTTGACTTTTTTTCACAAAATGAAAGCCTTCCCAATGCTGATGGAGTTGATTCATTGCCTATCAGAGCACAAACTGTAAATAAATATTGCTAAAAATGCCCAGAACCTTTTTATTAAATGTTGGTGCCTCAATATTGATTTTGCAGGAGACCAAAATTTAATACGGAGACCAGCAATTTTAAGTAGTCCATGCTGGGTAGCTGATGTGCTCTGCTCTAACTAGTAGGCACTGGCTGGAGTCTGGGACCTGTCCTCATCCTCAGTCAGAGCAGACCGAATACACTGATCTCCTCCCAGAATCTGGAGAGGTCAACCTGTTCTTCAAAGCAGTGGTGGATTGGGGTTGGGGTAGGGGACAAAACAGATACAGCACCAAACATGAAAAGCATTGATTTATCTCCCTCTGCTAATGCATGTGAAGTGTTGATCCTGGGGTTGAAAGTCGGCAGAGGGCATTCTGATATGGCCTTCTTAGAACTTTCTTTGTGTCCTGCTATGACATAAAGTTCTCGAGCCTCCGCTCTTGCAAGGCTTTCTTTCAGTATGCTTTGGATTTTCTGTTTTTTCCTTTAAGACTTATGTAATGAATTTCTTTCTCCTTCTCACTTAGATTGTATATTTCCTGCCTTAACCTCTTGTGAAAGGAGGTAAAACTTTGAAAGTAAAAATACTGGGCAGAGTGAACAAATGGCAAAAAGGTGAGGAGTTTTGCAGTAAACAGGTGGACAGTTTAGCACAAGATGGTGGATATGGAAAGTGACAGAAGGTTCCAAGATGATGAAACATCAAACCAAATGTTTTCTTTAAAAAGAAGTTTTTCATGCCAAAAGATACTTTAATAATGAAAATGACAGCGGTATAGAGCTGTTATCTCATGTTTTCCAAGGTGTACTCCTTTGCAAAATAGTTCTAAAATATTCTCAAGCAATAACAGAATTCAGTGGTCCAAGATCTTTGTGAAACCTGCAGGCCACCCGTCTGACTTAGACAGCCACAATGCCCACCAGTGTATGAGAAGTTCTAAGAAACTCTGCAGAAAGGACACACGTTTAATTGAGTGGGTCTAAATTTGTTTGATGACACAATCCTTTTCTGGGTAACACCTATGGACACCCGTACAACTGATGCTCCAAGGAATGTACTTTGGGATATGGTCTTGAGGTAGACATAAATTTACAGAAACAAGGCAAAACAAAACAAAATAAAATGGCAGCTATTATTAGAAACAGGCAAAGGGGTCTGAATTGACAAGCCCTTCAATGGTCTTGTATTATGCACTTCACTTGGGAAATATAAATTAGGAGGTCCTGGAACTTCCTAAGAAATTTCTTCCCGGTCTTAATCTGTTCCCTAGTGTGTGACTTGGATGAACAAGATTTGATAAAGCAGGTAGAATCATAATGTTTTATTTGTAGGTGTAAAGGAAAAAAAAAGATGGTTGTACAACAATGTGAATACACTTAACTGAACTGTATCATTAAAAATTTTATACGATGTATATTTTACCACAATGTTTTAAAATGAGAAAAAAGATACATGAAGAAAAGTGGTCTTGTTAGCAGTCTCCCCAAAGTATTCTTATGATGGCATGGCCTCCCTATGTAAGTAAAGAAGTAGCCTTCCAAACTGCAATAATAAATGACCTGAGTTATCAAAACAGGAAACCTAGTGCTTTTGCTGTAATGAATACCATAGAACACACATGGTTTTGTAAACTATCTTTGTCTTCATTGGTTTTATGTAATGCAGCCTAACTCTTTACCTTGTTTTTATTTCCTTGAAATAATTATTTTATTTTTAGTGTAAAAGAATAATAAATAACTTATCTTTGGTGTGTCAGCACTTTAACAAAGAGATTGCCTTTCATAGGGGAGACATTTTCCATTTTGTCATAGCTACAGTTGCGCTGAATTAAAATATACATTTTCCTAGTTGTTTTCATTTGCTTTTCCAGATAAAATTTTATAGGTAGAGATTTTGATAAGTTGTGGAGAATTTTTCTTATTTGCTACAATTTCATCTTCAGGTGTGTTCAAAATAAGATTGCATTTAAAAATACTTGATTATAATTAGGCAGTTGAATACGTATAGGGATTCTAAGCTTACTGGAATCTAATGCATGTGGATGGCATGTTTAAAGCCTTCTTAAGTGACCTCTGACATCTGATTTCAGCAATGCAAAAAGAAGGTTATAATATATTAGTAATATGACAGAAAAGCTATATAGGTCTCCAAAATGAAACTTCAAAATATTTAATCATTGAAATATTTTTGAATTAAAGTGTAATTTACCTTAGTATAATAGAGATATTACAAAAAATCATTGTACAACTTGAGTGTAAAAGAGTTCATATAAATTAGTTACATATGTCTTTGAAAAATTTTTTAGTTTATAAATCCAATCATAATTAGCAGCTAATAGAATAACAGTCAAATAATTAAAGAAGATTTTTTTTGTTTTCTTAGAAGTATTGCTATAGCATATTAATTTCAATCTTGAATCAAAATTTAGATTTTTTGTCAAATTCCAACATTCTTCACCAAAGAATTTTTTTTTTCTGCAGTGAATAAATTCCATGTGCTATGACTTCATTGTTGGATGCTGGTATGTCTTAACTATAATCAGAGTAAACATGTTTTTCTCTGTTTCAGCCATAGCAATATGGAGCAAGAGTCTGGAGACTTGGGCTAGACGACCAGTTATGGTTAGGAAACCTGTAGCCTATTACTTAGTATAAATTCCTATCCCCTTAAACAATTGTTATGAGGCTTAAATGAAAAAAAAAATGTGATCATACTAGTAGGTAGTTTAACACTTAATGTTCTTGGCAAATAAATGCTTTCAGATAGCATTAACCATGGTTATTTATCATTATTATTTATTCATTAATTATTTCAGAAACTATTGACTATATAGCTTGTTGTAGCTGTTTGGGATACAGCAGCAATCAAGAATGACAGAGGTTTCTGCTTTCACTGAATTTGTAATTATAATGGGAAAATAACAAATAAATGTAATTATTGAGTAAACAACGTATGTTAAAAAGTGGTAAGTGCTGCAGAAAAAAATGAAGGAAAACAAGGGAAAAGGAATTGAAGTGTCAGGTGGCAGCTGGTTGGAAAATTAAATAGAGTGCTTTTCATAGGACTCGTTGATAAGATGAGATTTGAGTGAAGACTTGTAGGAGGAAGGTGGGAAGAACTTTCAGGAAGAGATAATAGGAAAAGGAAACCGTAAAGAACAAGCTGATGTGGGCTTTTGAGTATGATAGGCAGGCCATTGTGACTGGACTGAAGAGACTGAGGGATACAGAAGATGGAGATAAGGTCAGGGAAAGGTTGATGGTGGGCATGGAGTCAGACCTTGGAGTTCCTTCCAAGTAAGGATTTGGGCAATTACTTTGAGTAAATAATGAGACACGGTAGAATTTTGAAAAAAGAAATGACACTTGGCTGCTTGGATAATTATCTTTGCTAGAACAATAAATACTATCTATGGCCCAATGTCTTGTCTTGTCAATTAATATTTATTGAGCACATTTTCAGGCACTGTGAATTGAAGAATTGACAATTGTTTGATAAAATATATAATATTAACTCAATTACTTAAAATGACAAAAACAAAAACAATAACAAAAATACCCAACTAAAAATTCTCAATTTTTTTTTCTGAATCATCCAAATAAGTGTCACCATATAAATTAAAAAGGACTCTGCAAATAATTTGCATCATTCCCTTTGATTATATCCCACTCCTATGTATTAAATAAAGTTGGTATTTTTTCAATCCTGTATTAGTCTTAAAAATAAAGTTTGATATCAGCAAGTTTGTTGCCATCAAGTTTAACAGATTTTTTTTTTCTACTTAGATAGAGTCTAAGAACAATTTTAACCCTCAAAATAAAAAGTAATAAAATATTCACTTCATGCTAAACTTGCTGTAGTGCTGAGCTTCTAATTAGGCTATAATTTCTAGTAAATATTTTTAAATGTAAATTCAACTAGGCTCTAATTTTTTTCATGTTTCATCTCATCTCAGAAGTGTGATTGAGCTGAAAGGATATGGGATCTTGAACAAGTTTCATAATTTCTCTGAGCCATTCCTCATTAAAAAAATTTATTTTAGGTTGGAGGTACATGTGAAGATTTGTTACATAGATAAACAAGTGTCACGGGGGTTTGTTGTACATATTATTTCATTACCCAGGTATTAAGCCCAGTACCCAATAGTTATCTTTTTTGCTCCTCTCCCTCTTCACACCCTCCTGCCTCAAGTAGACACCGGTGTCTGTTATTTCCTTCTTTGTGTTCATAAATTCTCATCATTTAGCTCTCACTTATAAGTGAGAACACATGGTATTTGGTTTTCTGTTCCTGCGTTTGTTTGCTAAGTACAATAGCCTCCAGCTCCATCCATGTTCCTGCAAAAGACATGATGATCTCAAAGAAACAGAAAATCAATACTAATTTTACAAGAATTAATTCAGATAAAGTTTGTAAATGCTTTAGCCCTATACTATCATATATTAGATTGCTAATAAATGTTTATTGAATAGCTTGAAGCTGAATTATTTATTTTAGCTAAATGAAAGAGTTTTTCTTTAACCTGGTGTAAGTGAATCCTCTGTCTTTGCTTCATCTTTCAGCATGTCTGCCATTAGATCCTGCCCTTTTAATTTAAACGTTTTCAGAATCCATCGTCTGGATTATTTCATAAACATTTTAATTAACTGGCCTTCACCCTGGGTCATTCTTTAAAACTGTGTTCTTCTGTTCCTTTATGGCTCAAAATGGTTACCTATATCCAGCATGGCAAAAGGGATTAACATTATGAGTCCATTTTGATAGTTTATATCAACAATTAAGTAGTCTTAGGTTCTACCTGGCTTCAGGGAGATGGAGAGCTTTGATCAAACTGTGGTATCCGCTATGGAATGCAAGTTGAGGCTCTTATTCCAAATATTTGGTGACCTTCACCTCTCAAGTTTAAACTATTCAGCCTATATTTGAAGACTTTTAATAATTGTTTACTATGCTCCCTATCCAAACTCACATCCCTTTTTCCTCCAAGTAAATCCATTATCTTGTCTTTTGAATACATATTAGATTCATAAACATCTCCCTAATGATACTTGATATGGTTTGGCACTGTGTCCCCACCCAAATCTCATCTCAAATTGCATCTGTAATCTAAACGTGTCAAAGGAGGGAGGTAATTGGATCATGGAAGTTTCCCTCATGCTGTTCTTGTGATGGTGAGTTCTCATGAGATCTGATCGTTTTATAAGTGTTTGGAAGTTCCTCCTTCATTTCTCTCTCTCCTACTGCCTTGTGAAGAAAGTGTTTCTTTCCCTTTTGCTT
Organism: Homo sapiens; assembly: GCF_000001405.40. Classification (NCBI taxonomy): domain Eukaryota; kingdom Metazoa; phylum Chordata; class Mammalia; order Primates; family Hominidae; genus Homo; species Homo sapiens. The sequence continues at coordinate 75,235,115 of NC_000003.12, forward strand.
TCCCTCAGATTGTAAGTTTCCTGAGCGCCCCCCCTGCCCCCACCAAGCCACGTGGAACAGCGAGTCAATTGAAATGTTTTGCTTTATAAATTACCCAGTCTTGGGTATTTTTTTATAGCAGCTTGAGAATGGACTAATAAAGTAAATTGTTACAAGGAGTTGGGTACTGATACAAAGATAACCTGAAAATGTGGAAGCAATTTTGGAACTGGGTAACAGGCAGAAGTTGGAACAATTTGGAGTGCCTAGAAGAAGAGAGGACAATGTAGGAATGTTTGGAACTTCTTAGAGACTTGTTGAATGGTTTTGACCCAAATGCTGGTAATGATGTGGAAAATGAAGTCCAGGCTGAGGTAGTCTCAGATGAAGATGAGGAACTTCTTGGGAACTGGAGCCAAGGTTACTCTTGCTACACTTTAGCAAAGAGACTGACAGCATTTTGCCCCTGTCTTAGAGATCTTTGGAACTTTGAACTTGAGAGAGATAATCTGAAAATGCAACTTAGGTTTAAAAGGGAAGCACAGCATGAAAGTTTGGAAAATTTGCAGCCTGACGACGTGACAGAAAAGAAAAACCCATTTTCTGGGGAGAAATTCAAGCCAGCTGCAGAAATTTGCATAAGTAATGAGGAGCCTAAAATAACTCACCAAAACAATGGGGAAAATATCTCCAGGGCATGTTAGAGATCTTGGAGGCCTAGGAGGAAAAAAATGGTTTCATGGGCTGGGCCCAGCGCCTTGCTGCTTTGTGCAGTCTTGGGACTTGGTGCACTGCATACAGGTGTGGCTAAAATGGTCCAAGATACAGCTTGGGCCATTGTTTCCATCATGTGGAAGGCTTGGCAGCTTCCACGTAATGTCAGAAGGGAAGAATTGAGGTTTCAGAACCACTGCCTAGATTTTAGAGGATGTATGGAAATGCCTGGACATACAGGTAGATGTCTGCTACAGAGGCAGAGCCCTCATGGAGAACCTCTGCTAGGACAGCATGGGAAGGAAATGTGGAGTTGGAGCCCCCACACAGAGTCCCCACTGGGGTTCTAGTGGAGCTGTGGGTAGCAGGCCACCATCCTCCAGATCCCAGAATGGTAGATCCACTGACTCCTTGTACTGTGCACGTGGAAAATCCACAGACACTCAATGGCAGCCTGTGAAGGAGCTGCCCAAGGGCATGGGAGCCTACCCCTTGCATCAGCATGCCCCAAATGTGAGACATGGAGTCAAAGGAGTTCATTTTGCAACTTGAAGATTTAATGAAATGCCCTTTGGGATTTCAGACTTGCATGGGGCCTGTAACCCCTTTGTTTTGCCCAGTTTCTCCCATTTGGATGAGTGTATTCATCCAATGCCTGTGCCCCCATTGTATCTTGGGAGGAACTAACTTGTTTTTTATTTTACTGGCTCATAAGTGAAAGGGACTTGCCTTGTCGCAGGTGAGACTTTAGAATTGGACTTTTGAGTTAATGTTGGAATCAGTTAAGAGTTTGGGGGACTGTTGGGAAGGAATGGTTTGTTTTAAAATGTGAAAAAAACCAGGAGATTTGGGAGGGACCAGGGGCAGAATGATATGATTTGGCTCTGTGTTCCCACCCAAATCTAATCTCAAATTGTAATTCCCGTATGTCAAGGGAGGGGTCTGTAATCCCCATGTGTTGAGGGAGGGAGATGATTGGATCATGGGGGCAGTTTCCCCCATGCTGTTCTCATGAGAGTGAGTGAGTTCTGATGAGATCTGATGGTTTTATAAGTGTTTGGAACTTCCTCCTTCCTTTCTCTATCTCCTGCTGCATTGTGAAGGTGTTTGCTTCCCCTTTGCATTCCACCATAATTATAAGTTTCCTGAGGTCTCCTCAGCCATGTGGAACTGTGAGTCAATTAAACCTCTTTCCTTTATAAATTATCCAGTCTTGAGTATTTCTTTATAGTGGTGTGAAAATGGACTAAAACAATAATGCATATCTTTCTTGGCTGTTGTGAAATATTTCTGTTGTCTTTTCCATCAATTCAACCTCAGCCTTGAAGATTCAACTAAAACCTACCTTTCTTAAGGGACTTCTTGTCACTGCTATGGCTTGCCTTTGTCTCTCCCTTCTCTGAACTATTATGATAATTACTGTGTGTTGCACATTGGAGGAACTCATGACTTATCATTTATCATGCCATCTAGTTGTAATGCACAGGGCAATGCAGAGCATTGTAGTTCTTGAGCCCAGCCCAGGGAAACTGGCAGAGATTAGGATGTGGATATAAATATTTGCGAATGGTGATCAATAAATAGCTGCTAACCATTTTCACTGTAATTCAGTCAGAAAATGTGTACTCTAACAATATAGGAAAAGTACCTTAAAAATATATCCAGACTATTCATTTGCAAAATACGTAGCACAGAAAAAGAATGTGAGAAGTAAAAAAAAAAAATTTGAGAACTAACACTATGAGTCAGAGCTTTGAGATCTGAAGATTTCAGCCTTTTTTTAATGCAGATATCTCAGAAACTTCAGCAGAGAAAATAGGAACATTGAGTGACATGGTATGGATGGATGCATCTTTTGTTTTAACTTGTCTGTTTTGCTTTATTCAATAATATATTTTTTCCTCCTCCTTTTCACATCATTGACTTTTGGTTTAATGGTTTTCAAAGTGTGTGATGGGGCTTTAGACGTGGATATAGACAGACAAAAAGTTTCTTTGTCTTTCTATCCCGTGACTATATTTTACACAAGGTCAATAACAGGCTTCAGTGTTTTTACAATTACCAAGAGGATGGGATTTGTTATTGTGTGCAGATAAATGTGCTGATGCCTCCATTATTTATGGGATGAGATAAAAGTCATGAAGCCATCTGAGACAAAAGGCACGTATATGTTTTATATCTATGTTTTTGATGTGTTCTCTCATAGACATTGTACCTTCTATAGCCCAGTGACTACCTAATGTAAATTTCAGGTGGAGTAAAACTGTCAACATTTAGTATTTTTTATGACTTACATTTATGCAGCTAGGGGACAAACATCTCACTTTAGAAAACTGTGTGTAGTAGGTAGAGTGAAATTGGTTTTTAATTTTATTTTCTTAAAGTATCTAGTGTTTATGTTAGAGAAAAAGAATACCCCCAAGCTTAGGGGTGATTTCTAAATTTAAGGGCCTTTATGTGAAAGAAAAAAATGTTCCCAATGATTAAAATGCTTTAGAAATATTTTAACGTATAAAATCTGATTTCATAAATTTAGAAAATAAAAATATCTGTCTTTATTTTAAAGTAAATAGAGGCCAGGTGCAATCCCTTACACCTGTAATCTCAGCATTTTGGGAGGCTGAGGCAGGAGGATCGCCTAAGCCTGGGAGATGAGGCTACAGTGAGCTGTGACAGCCCCACTGCACTCCAGCGTGGACAACAGAGAGAGACGCTGTCTCAAAAGTAAATAAATAAATAAATAAATAAATAAATAAATAAAGCAAATGGAATATGTTGTCAGCTAACGACAAGGGTAATATTCTTGATCAATTCTCAGCAGAATCTTATTCTACTATTTGTTATTGTTTTTCTTGTGGTAAATTAGGGTTTAAGTGTGGCCATGAAGCAGAGAAAGGTCATCTAGTTACAAATAACAAAATATATCTAATTCACAGCTAATGTTGGCAAGGTTATGTGGGTCAAGGCACTGTCAGGAACTACTGATGATGTTATAAAATGTTGTAATTTTCTGGAGAGAAATTTCATAATATATTCCAAAAAGCTTTAAAATATTTATACTGTTTGAATAATTCAACATCTAGAAATGTATCCTAAAGCAATGACTTATATTTAGTGGTAAAATTAGGAAGCATTCTCTTTGAATTCAGGAAGAAAATATGCCCATTAAAACAGCTTGGAGTAGGGGAGGTATAGAGAGATTGGTTAATTGATACAAAATACAGTTAGATCTAAGGAATAAGCAAGGTGACTATAATTAACAATAATATGTTGTATATTTCAAAATCGCTAGAAGAGAAGATTTGAAATGTACCCAACACAAAGAAATGGTGAATGTTTGAGCTTATAGATATCCTAAATACCCTGATTTGATCATTATGCATTGTATGTTTATCAAAATAGCACATGTGCCCCATAAAGATGTACAATTTAACTTAAAACAGTATCATCAACATGTTACTAAATTTCCCAGACAATGCAATAAGATATGAAACATAAATGGAAAGTAGATATATTAGAAAGAAAGATGCAAAATTTTAATTACAGCTGATAGGATTGTCTCCATAAAAATTCAAGAAACTCTACAGCTAAACTATTACAGCTAATTAGATTTTAGCAATGTAGGTGAATGTAAGAGATCCATACTAAAAAAAAAGTCAGAGTCTCTGCATAGCAGCAATTAGAAAATATAATTAAGAAATAAGTAGAGACAACCATCAGAATTATATATTAGTATCTAATTACAGCAATGTTTAGATTTAAAATAATCAAGAGAATCCTAAATGTAAAACACTAGGAAAATAGTGACATAAATTATGATATATTTCTACAATGGAATATTGCTCCAGTCAGAGACCCTAAAGAAAACACATAATTGTCACAAATTTAAGCTATTTGAAGAGGATCTAAGTTTGTGAAAAGAAATCATAAGGAATGCAATGTCCGGGCTGGACTGGATAAGGAGTAATTAACAAAATCTGGATGAAAAGTGACTCTCTTTGAGAGGAGCAGCCAATCAGAGTTAATCCAGTAAGAAGGAACAAGGTGAATACAAATGCCTGACTTCAGGCTTCTTCCTTTCTCTGCTATTTTACCCTAGTTCCCCATTGTCCAAACCACCTGAAACCAGAGATCTAAGGAGCTGTTTTATTTCATACACACAGATTAGCTCCAGAAAGAAAGCAATGTGAAAAAGATGAAACACAGATTTGAAGGGTAAAATGGGAAATACTGTGCAGTCATTTAAAATTATATATTCATAAGTGATTTAGTGAATGGAAATATGTTTACTCTGAATATAGTAAAAAAAAAAAAAAAGTAAGATGTATTAAATAAATAATTACATACTCAATGAAATTCCCATTCTTCCCTCTCAAGCAATCTTGAAGACCAGACAGAAAACCAGGCTATGAATCAAAGAAAAAAATCAAAATCACACTTCATAACTGCTTCAGTAACCCTTGGCAACAGACAACACACTGGATTTTGGCTAATAACACTAAAATTTTTGCTGGTGAGGTCTTCAGAAACCGGATAGATGTGAAACCACCAGAACAGAAGTGGAGTGGGCACGATATCTGTTTCTTCAATTTGTAGTTTCATAGTCAAAAACTGGCATGTATATACTTAATCGGTGACATGTAAGTCACATGCCTTTATCCCAAATCTAAGAGAAGTTGAGAACTTAATTTCTGGCTTCTACCTTGGGAAGGGTCAGACTCATAAGCTGGAAAATTAGCCAACATACACAGGATATTCAAAGCTTCCAGGCAGACAAAATACTGTCAAGTGGTAAAACAGATATGAAAAAACCTTTTTTTCTCTCCTAAATTTAAAAAAATGTAATTTTCCTAAAACATTGTATGTGGCTTTCCATAAAATTAAAAGAGTCTTGGGAGAGAGAACATCTCATATGCTTCCTAGTGAATTACTTCCACAATAAAGCAATTAATGAAAATGAAAATACCGTGTATAACATTTTTAAAGCAGCCTTTTCACTGATAAATATGTTTTAGGTATATATACAGCTATAAAAAGTTTTCCTCATAACAATTCCATTTTATCTCAGGTATAATCTGTCAGGAGAAATTATTTCTCATTCCTAAAAATGGAACAAAAAGTTTGAGCTAAAGAAACACATTTCTCATTCAACACGCACATCCACAGTAGTTTCTTCTCATGCCGAAGTGAGAAAATCTACACTTCGGATTGTACAATTTTTATGAAAGTAATTAATAAATAAAAAATTTAAAAGAAAATTATATCTATATTGATAAATAATATCTATCACCTTGGCACCTACTAACAAAATTTTCTACTTAATGGTGATGTTTCAAAATATGGTCCTGCTCTATTTATGATAATATTTGATCTGCCCTATATAGGCTTTATATTACATTTAAATTATATGTGTACATTGCTTTCTTCATATTAAGACATGTCTATACAAATATTAGTAGCAAATATATTATTAATTTTTATTCCAATTTATGGTGGAGTCTTTGGCTTCTTCAAGTGGATCACTCCCCTAGCTGTCCAGAGCTCCACACCTGTTCTCCTGTGTTTTCCAGTGTCCGGTCATACAGAGTTTATCAGAGCCTAAGAATAGACTTGTGGTATAGAACGGCATTTCTCTTGCCAGTGAGAGGGTTCCTGAATGCTGATGAAGCAAAATTTTCACCAGATCTTTTGAGTAAAATTGATAGTGTTAAATCAAGTTTAGCCAAAAGCTGCCTCCTTGCCTATTTTAAGTTCATCCTAAAGGTTTTTCCATACATCATGTACTATAACCTAAATGGAGTTATAAACAGACTATAGTTTACTCTTGTGCCAATCCCTGAGAAAACTTTGATTGGCCAATCAAAGGTGGCCAACTGTTCAAACCATGTTCAAATAAGGCAAACACTGAGCGTCACCAGTCCGGCTGCTTCTGTACCTCACTTCCGTTTTCCATATGTCACTTTCTTTTTTTTCCTGTCCATAAATCTTCTACCAGGTGGCTGCACTGGAGTCTCTGAGCCCATTCTGGCTCAGGGAGACTGCCTGATTCACTCTTTGCTCAATTAAACTCTTTTAAATTTAATTTGGCTAAAGTTTTTCTTTTAACAACCTATACCCTGGAAACAAGGGACAGGAGGTGCTTGTGCAGTGAAAACTGGGTGTTCTTCAGTATGATTTAGCACTCCCATGACAGTTGCACACTTAAAACATTTCCTTTTTTCACTCTGTCACATTTCCTACTCAGCTCTTTTAGGGTGCTAGACTTACTCCCTTCTTTAGGAACTGGCTTACCAAGCAGTATCCACTTTTTTTTTTCTTTTGGTAACAAAATGCTTCCAGTTTTACTTGGGTACATTGCTGCCCACTGAAGACTACATTTTCCAGCCTCCCTTGCAGTTAGACGTGTCCATGTGACCAAATTTGGGCCAATGGAATGTGCATAGGAGACAGGTGTGCAGCTGAAGCGCTTTCCTTCTTTTGTTCTTTCAAAATAAACCTTGATATCTCTCTAAATGGCACACCAAAATCATCAGTAATTCCAAAATTAATTTTTATTTATTTGCAGGAAAGGAGAGCCCAATCTTCAAATCGTGTTAGAAATTAAGAGGAAATATTTGTAGCTATTCTTCTAGCATATCAAAGAAAGGAAAGTAAAATGCCAGACAGTAGATTTCCACATTCAATTTTGCAATCCAGTGATTTTCTAATACCTATGAGTCCTGCATACATGATTTGGAAAGCATATATTACTTAAGAAATTTACAAAGTGCAATAACCACTTTGGGAAGCTGGCGTGGGAGGATTGCTTGAGGGTAGGAGTTTGAGACCAGCTTGGGCAACAAACTCCACCTCTACAAAATAATAATTATTAATAATAATAATTAGCCAGGCATAATGGCAGGTGTCTGTAGTTCCAGCAATTTGGGAGATTGAGGCAGCAGGGTCCCTTGAGCCCTGGAGTTTGAGGCTGCAGTGAGCTATGATCATGCCACTGCACTCCAGTCTGGATGACAGACCAAGACTTTGTTTCAAAACACAAAAAGTAAGGTACAATAACATGCATCTACTATCATTCACTAAAATAATGTATTTTCTTTCACAAAACACCTTTTTCTTCTTATTTCCATAGCATATCAGAAAGATTGAATAAATTTCCAAAATATTAGACAGAAAAGGATTTAATGGTGCATTTGTTTTGATTTTCTTATTTCCAGGACAGGAGGCTGAGAAACCGATTCATTGGGCAGCTTACCCAAACTGAAAGGGCCAACCAGAGGCAGTGCTAGAATTAAACCCAGCTTTGTTGCTTTTAATAACTATGTCTTCGGCTTATCCACATGTTTATTTTCTTGAACAGCAGGCTTGTAATATTTGACCTTCTGTATAAATACAACTGGGTTATTATAGCAATTGATACTTTTCTGGATTTTATCATAGCCAGTAAATAAATTAACAGACTTAGAAGGCTCCAGTTTAAAAATCACCCAGCCATTCAGCACTCTGGATCATTGGCCTTTCTTTTTAAAACTATCCTCTCTTTGATAAAACCACAACACTCATTCCCAAAGTCTATTTTAATTAATATGATCCTCAACATTCATAACCGTACTTCTTTCTCTTTTGCTTTTTTTCATTCTGTCAGCAGAATATGTATTTGTTGGAAAATCTTCTTTTCCTTTATCTACACTACACACTACATGTTTCTCCTCCTTGTCACTTTCATTTGTCTATAGGAAAACTGAATACAGTGTCTTTTAATCTCCTTTTAAGAAACCTGTCAGTAATGATAGCACAAAGCCATCCTGTGGGTCATGTGTTTATGGATGCTTTTTGTTTTGTAGTTTAAGACTACTGACTGATGTTTGAATATTCAGTGCACTGACTCTTACATTCAGAGAAATCTTATCTGTAGTAAGCAGACCTAGGATGCAGCTTGTTTGCCTTTCACTCTGTAGCTTCAGCAACAGCAAACATCATTTTGCCAATTTTGTTCCTTTCTTTTCACTGCAATCATCTTCTTTCTTTGTCCTAGACCATTAGTTTTGCGGTACTCATGAGCCTCTCTCAACTCCCTTGAGAGTGTCATGGCATCCTCTAAAGGTAACTTGTGGGACATGCAAATCTCTCTGCCTTGACATCTTTCACTCCTACAGGTAGGGTTTGATGCTTTACCTTTCCACTATCTTGTGGCGTATCTCTTTCCTCAACACCACCACCCCCCAACCCCCGCACCCCACTACTGGCTTCAACTCCAAAACTTAGAGCATGGTTGGGTGTCCATCACCTTCTCTTTTTGCAGGAACTATCAAATACATAGATAAGTGTATAATGTGTACAACTAATGCCCACATTTCATCACTAACATAAAAATGAAATGAAAATGCTGTAAATAAAATTAAGATCTCTTTGACTACTCCCTAAGTCTCATCACTTACACTCCTGCCCAGAGGCAATGTCTGTCAAGGGCTAACTTAATATAATTTCATCCTAATTTTCATGTTTTTCAAACATACATGCATTTGTATAAACAATAAATATTGTTATTATTGGTGAGGTTTCTATTTACAGAAATGATTGCATAGGGTAATTATAAACTTGCAATTTGCTGTTTTACAGTTATCATTATGTTTTTAAGATCTATCTGCTTACAAATGTTAACTGTTTTATGAATCATTCCATCATGTGATTATACCTAATTTTGTTTAGTCATTTCCCTATTGGTGTTCATTCATGCCATTTCTAATTTCTACTGTTACCCAAATGAGCACACTTATGTGTGTCTCCTTGTGAACTTGTGTTTTACTAGAGTATATACCTAAAAGTAAGATTAATGGGTTACAGGATCTGTGAATTTTAGTTTGACAAGATATGCCAAATATCTTCCCAAACAGGACCTATCAACCTTAATTTTTACCAGTAGTATATAAAAATATTTATTTTCCAAAATGCCCCCAATATTGAATGTACATAGACTTCTAAAAATAATATCTGAATTCAACAATCTTAACTTGAATCATCCTTGTTATTTCCTGTTAAGAATAGAGAGGCCAGGCAGGGTGGCTTATGCCTGTAATCCCAGCACTTTGGGAGGATAAGACAGGTGGATCACCTGAGGTCAGGAGTTAGAGACCAGCCTGGCCAACATGGTGAAACCTCATCTCTACTAAAAACACATAAATTAGCTGGGCATGGTGGCAGGTGCCTGTAGTCCCAGCTACTTGGGAGGCTGAGGCAGGAGAAGTGCTGGAACCCAGGAGACAAAGTTGCAGTGAGCCAAGATCGCAACACTGCACTCCAGCCTGGGTGACAGAGTGAGACTCTGTCCCCCCCCCAAAAAAAATAAATAAAAAATAAAGAATAGAAATACTTCCAATTACTTTGAAAGTACTGTAAATAAACGAATACATGAAATGGTACACATAACTTTAATCTGTTAAATCCTGAAATACATCAATTTTTCTTTAAATGTAACAAAGCCTAATTAATGAATTCAGTCCTCCATTCTTGTTTATTACATTTCTTACAAGTTCTAGATACTGTGCCAGGTTCTGGGGATAAAATATTGCACAGTGGAATTGTTCCCTGGAGAAACTTACAATGTAGTGGGAGAAACAGATACCTAAACACCTAGTTACAATAAAGTCAAATAAGTGCTATCATAAAAGGAAGTTGCAGGTGATATATGAGAACACAGGAGAATGCCTAGGATTCCTAAAGGGAAGAGAAGGTAGGAATTAGTCAGGTTAGGTATGGGGTCAAGGGAAGTGAATTTATGAAAGATTTGAGAAAGGATTATCCATGCAGAAGAATGACATGTGCAGAGAACTGGAGGCTAAAGAGATGAGCAGATTCTCAATTCTATCAAAGAATTCAGCAGCATACCTGGGAAAAGAGTAGATATAGTCTGATGTTGGTACATGAAGAGATTTTAATACCGTATACTTAAATAGTTTGGATTTTGTTTGTTTCCTTCTAAGGAAGATGAGGAACCATCAAAACACTTTAAAATAAGATGGCGATGACTACATCATCAAAACTGAGCATTAGGAATAAGACTCAGAAAAGCACATAGGAGAAATACCAGCAGGAGCAGAGAAGAGACAGATGGATCAATGAAGGAAAGAGACAACAGTGACAAAAACTAGTAGAGATGGAAAACGGGCTGTAGAAAGAGATTTAAAGGAAGTAAAATCAACTGAACTTTGTTCACTCAATACATATTGAACATTTACTATGTGTCAGGCAAAGTTCTGGGTATTTGAGATTCATCAGTGAAAAAAATGCACAAAACAAACCCAAAAAACAACAAAAAATCTGCCTTTTGGAGCTTATGTTCTTAAAGTTGTGTTTGTCTAACCCACTGATTTCATGAAGGAGGGCTGTGATGCAGAGATGAATTATGGGCACACAGTAGGTAGTAAGAATGTGGAAGATCTGGATCTTCAAGAGTTGGAGCTTCCTCCACAGGACACTTGATGAAAGCTAGCATTGTTCAAAGGGAACCAACAAATGTACTTTGAGCAGCAGACATATTTGCTAATCAAATAAACTTGATATAATGAATTTGAGGGGGAAAAAAAGCATTTGAAGTTATATTTAATGTTTTGCTGGGTATATCTCAGTTTCTAGTGTGTTAGTTACCTAAGATGTGACTCCTAGGCCTGAGAATCTATATTGTGAATTGAAAGAAGATGCACAGTTTCTAGATACAACTAGATGATAGCAGGCTGACTTTTCTAGCAGATACACGAGGCATAGTACTTAAGGCCCACGATACTGTTAAGGGCCTAAAAAAGTGTTTTATTTTTAATCAGAGAAAATAAATGAACTTTTAGGTCAAAGAAAATAATACGTAATATTAATATATTCACCTTTAAGACAATGTATTCATAAAATATAACTTTAAATCTTTTTTGGAGGAAGGTGACCAGGAGGATAAAAGTACCTGTGCCCATCAAAGTCATAACATGGCTCTCTATAAAAGGGAAAGAGGGAATTCTGTTTTATGTTAATATGTTAAAAACAACCCAGCAACCTCATTTTATTATTGCCTTGATGGTACTCCTTACTTTTCAGCCTTCTTAGGAACTACCTGTTGGAGATTTTAAATATATCCAGATTATATTGTATCTGTTATTGTTTGGTCCTCACAAGCTCAACTTCTTGAGCTATCTTGGATGTTATAAGATAACACAGTAAAAGATACTTCAAGTTCCATGATTGAACCAATGGATTTAGAATCACAAAAATGTAACTTATTCCAAACTTCACACATCTCCTCATGTGACTTGATCGAATAAGACACTCAACCCTAGGTCTTTTATTTTAAAAAGGTGCCTTATTTACTACATCCATTGGGAAATAAGGAAGTGACATAATGATTCACCTCTGTGAAGTTGTTATCCACTTGTATTCCTAGGCCGGGCAATCTTTCTCTCTTGGGACGGGTGAAAGGTCAAGTCCATCTTGAAACACGTAACACTGTGACTTCACTTTGTTTGAGTCTTCACAAGCTCTCAAGAGCCAAAGTGGCTTTTCCAAATAGCATGCATGTTTTCCTCCATTTATAGCTGTGCCTTATAGTGTTTCTCTTACTCCTATCAAGAGAAACAAGAGCCTGCTCCTCAATGGACCATCTATCTCCTCAATGGTGGGGATCAGAAGCAAGATTGCCATTGGCTTATTTCCTCCTGAGATCCATTCAAGAGAAGCAGAATAAGTCATTATTAGTTCCACTACCTTATATATTACATAAGAAACTAAGATATTATTATCAGGTTCTAATAACCAAGATAAGATTGCTACTTTTTTTTTGTCATAGATTTTGCTAATCACAAATAGTCTAACACATTTTTCCTTACCCCCACGCCCATTATTCAATAATTGCAAACTGAGTTCTCAATAATTGCAAATCAAATGTCAGAAACTTTTCGAAATGCTAGGGAGCATCCCAACGTTTGTCCCTAAAGGATTTCAGTTTATAAAATACATTGCCAGCTATTGGGTCAACATGTTGGTGATTTTTAACTCTCAAAACGTAAGCTTGAGAATTTAATGACAAAAATCTTTCACAAAAGCACTGTGGTCTGGGTATAGAAAATAGCTAGAATGAGATGAGAAAACAAAATTAGAGCGTAAAAGTAGTGGATCTGGGGCACCACTTAGAGGCATGGTGCTTGGTAATGCATTTTTCTGTGCTTTTCCTAGTGTGCCTCTTCCTAATGAGACATTGTGGTAACCAGGGTCCCAAGTCTAGGAAAGGTTAAACTGTTTATCTTCATTATCTCAAGTCCTGGGGAACTTAATGGCCCTCAAGGCACATGCTGAATGGTTTCTGTCCTATATAATCGAGTATGCTATATTTCCAACCAAGATAAAAACCTCAGGATATATTTTTAAAATATTTCTATGAATGTACATGATATTTTCAGAGGGTTGATTAAGCTCGGGGCTGTCATTCTTTGAAAATATAACATCATTTCTGATAAACACTCAGTTTGTCTGATCCAAAATGGAAAAATTTATTTTAAATTGAGCAGAGAATTATACAATCATGTTATAGAAGCTGAGAACAATTTCATTATTTTTATCTTACTAATGATCATGAGCTATCTCTCTTTTGAATGAGGAAAATGATGAGATTGAGGTATGATCAATCCCGAATACAATTGGAAGGTTTTTTTTTTTCTTATAGTAATGGTGAGTTTGTGAAAATCTACTCCTCAGTATTTGACTGTTTCTTTCTGTGCACAGTTGTTACATATGTCAGATTGCTAGCTCTGATGAAGACACTATCTTAGACACGGAGAAAGTTAAATGAAATTCAGCCTGAAACCCCTTCATAGCAGGTCTCAGGGAGAGATGTTTGCCACATTCTAAAATCCAGAAAGGAATTCCATTATTCCTGAGCATCTTTACAGCTGGGCAAAGAAGATAAGTTGACTGGTACTGCCAGTAAGTGTATGGATTTTGAGATGATTGTTATGTTCAGGGATTTCAGGCTGAATAAAATTAATCCAAGTTGTTGCTAATAAATGTTGTATGAAAATCCTCAAACAATGGAGATATCTGCTTTTATATCTATTCATCCATCCATCTATCTATCCACTCATCCATTCATCATTAATGGAGCATATATTTATTGAGTCTTCATTATGGTGCCTACTATAATAACAATTAGGCACTGTTCTAAGTATTAAGAATATAACAGGACATAAGCATAGTGCTCTTGACTTCCTGAAATTTAAAGATTGGGGGGATGGGAGGTGACAGGGACCAAGTAGTAAATAAGCAGCTATGATACATTTTGAAATGCAGAGAGATAAGAGTACACAAAGGTCCTATGAGAGCCCCTGAAGGGGCAGGAAACTCAGATCTAAGAGGGTGATTAGGCAACTTCCTGAAGGAAGTGGCATCTAAGCTGAGATCTGAAGCAGAAGGAAGGATAAAGAATATCAGATGAATAGCAAAAACAAAGACCAGGACACTCACATATATACTTTTGAAGGACCTGAAAGAAGTTAGGAAAAACTGGATTATGGTGTGCAAGTTCAGGGGTCTTGGAAAAGTAGGCATGATAAGGTGCACCAGGGTGCAGTCTGTGGAAGTGTCTTACTGATTAGGGAGTGGTGGTGATTACAATGGGTACTCTGATTTAGTTTTTGGAATCACATTATTTTAAATTCATTTTTAAAAGTACATTTTCATTGTCTATTTATCAATGTGTTAAATTTATGTAATCTTTTTTATGAAAAAGGATTTCAGGTGGTTTCTAAAAGTACATAAAGTATGATGCAACTGCATGAATTCAAGGGGGTACAAGGATATGCACAAAGGAATACCACAATCAGGATACAATAAATCCTCCTACAAAGGCAGATTATACTGTCCTACAAGCTTCATCTGAATAACACTAACCCTTGGAGGAAGGGTATTTTGGATTCTTACAATGTGTGAGGCAGGGTTATAGCTGCTTTACATCTATATCTCATTTAATCCTCAAAGACCCTGCCACTCGAAGTGCAGTCCCCAGACCAACAGCATCAGCATTACCTGGGATTTGTGAGAAATGCAGAAACTCTGGCCTTATCTCAAATCTGTTGAATCAGAATCTACATTTTAACAAGGCCCTGGGTGATTCCTGAGCACATAAAATTTGCCAAGAAGTGGACAAAGAGCATTTACCATTAATATGTTTTTCAATTTACAGGTGAGGAAACCAGGGTTCTAAGAGAATAAGTAACCTGCCAAAAACTAAACACTTAGTGAGTGCAGGGGAAGATTTTGAGTTTACACTTTCTGACTCAAGGCACTTTTTTTTCAGGGGTGGGGACGGTGGGGCAGTCTTATCCTGTTGTCGATGCTAGAGTGCAGTGGCATGATCCCGGCTAACTGCAGCCTCAACCTCTTGGACTTAGGTGATCCTCCCACCTCAGCATCCGAAGTAGCTGGAACCACAGCCACGTGCCACCACACGCTGCTAATCTTGTTTATTTTTTTAGAGAGGAGATTTCACCATATTGCCCAGGCTAGTCTCAAACTCCTGGGCTCAAGCGATCCTTCCACCTCAGCCTCCCAAAGTGCTGGGATTACAATTGTGATGCATTATGCCAGCCTGCAGGCCCTTCTTGGTTTCTAAGTGGCATAGCTTCCCCCTGTGTTTGTAAGCTTTATGGTAAGCTTGCCCAACCTGTGGCCCACGACTTTGAATGTGGCCCAACATAAGTTTGTAAACATTCCTAAAACATTATGAGATTTTTAGGTGATTTTTTTAAGCTCATCAGCTATCGCTAGTGATAGTGTATTTTATGTGTGGCCCAAGACAATTCTTTATCCAGTGTGGCCCAGGGAAGCCAAAATAGTAGATATTTCTGCTTTACGGTGACCAGCCAAATAGGGAATATGGGCTTTTATGCAAAACGCATTGTCCTAATGATTTTTTATTTTTTAAGAGACTAGTTGCTCAAAAGAACAGCAGGGCAACTACCATCAACATTATCAGGAAGGAACTCTTCCCAGGGATTTATATAAGCAAGACTTTACATGATGCAATGAATGGTAAGTCAAGCAAAATCTTTCCACAAATGCTAGCTGATCAATCAAAACAATGTGATTTGATGGAAAATGACTTGGTTGGCAGTGATTAGCTAGAACATTTAGCTATCTCAGAAAGGCTGAAGCAAAAGTTGATTGGACAGCAGCAATGATGTAGGAGCTGTTTCAGTTAGGAAGACAAGCTAATGACATCCAAGTCCCCTTCTGCCTCTCCTATGTTGAGTCCTGCTCGATGGCTCCTCCCAACATAAAAAATTACAAATTTTTGTAAGCATTCACAAACCTAAATGTTTACAGGGATGTAATGGACTGAATTGTGACCCACCAATGTTTATTATGTTGAAAGTTTAACCGCAATATGACTATATTTGGGGATAGGACCATTAAAGAGGTAATTAAGATTAAATGAGGTCATAAGAGTGGGACCCTAATCCAATAGGACTGGTGTCCTTATAAGAAGAAGAGACACCAGGAAGGCACATGCACAGAGAAAAGACCATACAAGGACACAGCTTGAAGGCAGCAAACCAAGGAGAGGCCTCAGGAGAAAGCAGCCTGCTGACACCTAGATATGGGACTTCCAGCCTCCAGGACTATGAGAGAATACCAGTCTGTGGCATTTTGTTATGGCAGCCTTGGTTAACTAATAATAATGGGCTAAGCAAGTAATCTAAATAAAGGAAACCATGAGGTTAAATGTAAATGCATGCATTTGAGAAGTAATAGAGACTGCATTTAGGCCATTGTTGACACAGAATTGCAGGAACAGTATTGTCAAGCTCTCTAATCTTTAAAGAAAATAAAGTGTGTGTATGTGTATGTGTGTGTGTGTGCGCACGCACGTGGAGGTGGGGGGTAGTTCATGTAAAATCTTTTTTTTTCCAAAATAATATTTTGTTGGTTTATTTTAAAAGTCATAAACTATTGAATGATCTAAGCAAACATATCTGGGGTTTGGATCTACCCCTATGTGGTCATCAATTTGTAAACTCTTTGCCAGTGCTGTTGACAATTCATCATAGTAGAAGCAGTGAAAGACCATTTAGCCATGTAATCATCTTGCCTTCATATCACATCATCCATGTGATGCAAGTATTAGAATTTTTGCTCAAGTAAATTCTTAGATACTATACTTAAGAGAAATGGTGCCTTAAAATATGCAAGATATAACTGTCAAGGCTTGACACCACATGTATATTGACGGAAGCCAGAATAGCTATTGCTAAAAATGCATTTCATTGACTATGCCCTCTGCAAATGTGCCATGATGACAATCAATCAGGATAAATCACACAGCTATTCAACTAATTCATCCATAAAGAAAACTGGTAATTAGAGTGTTGAAGTCAGTGAGGCCAAAATCAGATGCCCATAGCATCTGCATTTGTAGGATATGAAGCTTTAATGGTGGTCTCTCAGAAATTTTAAAAACAGCCTTATTGGCATTATCCACTGCTATCTACATGGACAGCCTTCTCCATGATTTTCAAGGTCATATGAGTGGTTAAGTATTCACTTCCTTATGCATTTATAAATTGTAGGGGCTTTCCAGAGAAAGTTCTAAATGACTTATTTATTGTTGCTTGCAGTTCTGAAAACTCTAAATTAGAAATGTCAACTCCTTTGTTGGACAATAGTTTCATATTGGTGCTGGTCAGTGGGATTTCCCAACTTGAATCTCTTACTTGATTACTTTTTATTAATCTGTTTTTTAAACTACTTTTTTTTACTTGGTTATAGGATTTACTTCATGTCCTATCTCTGGTAATAGTCTTTAGCTTTTGCCCAGCCATGGTTCTCACTATCCCTTTCCTAGAATTTTGCAGTAAGGACTAATGGACTTACAGCTTTCCAATCTCATCTGACTCTAAAACCCATTATTACTATGTCTTTCTAAGGCAAAATTATATCACAGATTTTGGATTGATATAGTGGTATTCATGAGCCTTCACAATCACCTCTGCTTACCATTCTCTTACTAGGCTCCTTTTCTTTTACCTTCTGCTACAATGAACTCATCACTCACAGAAATACAGGCTTTTCTACACCAATACAGGTGCCCATGCTGTCACCTGTTAATTTGGGAAATATCTTGGTAAATGCTTTACTTGGTGACATATGCAGAATTCTAAACTTTATGGCTTTTTGTTTCTTGCTTAAAATATTTCTACTGTTCTGTTCTCTCTTCTAAGTATTTCTGCATATGTTATACTTTGAAATTGCTCCATAATTTTAGATGTTCTTGGTTTATTTATTTATTTTTACTTTACATATATTTTTTGAGACAGAGTCTCATTCTGTCACCCAGGCTGGAGTACAGTGATGCAATCTCGACTCACTGCAACCTTCGCCTCATGGGTGCAAGCCATTCTTCTGCCTCAGCCTCCCAAGTAGCTGGGATTACAGGTGAATGCGACTACACCCGTCTAATTTTTTTTTCTTTTTCTTTTTTTTTTTTTTTGAGACAGAGTCGCTCGATGTCACCCAGGCTGGAGTCCAATGGCGTGATCTCGGTTCACTGCAACCCCCGGGGTTGAAGTGATTCTCCCTGCCTCAGCTTCCCGAGTAGCTGGGATTACAGGTGCCCACCACCACGCCCAGCTAAGTTTTATATTTTTAGTAGAGACAGGGTTTCACCACGTTGGCCAGGCTGGTATCAAACTCTTGACCTCAGATGATCCACCTGCCTCAGCCTCCCAAAGTGCTGAGATTACAGGCGTGAGCCACTGCACCTGGCCAGTTTTTGTATTTTTAGTAGGAACAGGGTTTCACCGTGTTGGCCAGGCTGGTCTTGAACTCCTGACCTCAAGTGATCTGCCCACCTTGGCCTCCCAAAGTTTTGGGATTACAGGCGTCAGCCACTGCACCGGGCCCCTATTTTTCCTTTGTATTTCAATATTTCTCTTTGGGAAGTTTCTATTGAACTTTCCTTGGCTGTGTCAAATCTACTCATAAGCCCATCAAAGGCATTTTTCATATCCATATATAGGATTTTTTATTTCCAGAATTTTCTTTTGTTTCTTAGAGTTTCTATCTCTCTGCTGACATTACCCATTACTGTTTCCTTTAAGGTCCTTAAAATGTTAATCATACTTATTTTAAAAAGATAATTCCAACATCTGAATCATATCTAAGTGTTGTTCTGATGGTAGCTTTGTCTCTTCAGATTGTGTTTCTCCTCATCCTTTATCATGCCTTGTAATACTTTGTAGAAATCTACACATGCATCAGGTAACAGGAACTGAGATAAATAAGTCTTCAGTGTGAACATTTATTTTAACCTTTCTAGGGGTAGGATTGTGTTTAATATTTGCTGTAGCTGTAGGTGCCAGAGACTTCAAATTCAGCTGATGATCTTATTTTTTTCTTTGGTCTCCCCTCTTGACTTTGTGCTTCCCTAAGTATGTACTTCTTTTCAAATAGAGAGCTTTTTCAGTTGTAATCCACTGTCATTGTGTTGAAACCTGATGGTATGGTGTTAAGATGTAGGAGAGATATTGCATGATTAAAATCCTCCAATTAAATCTTAGTGGTTTTTTTTTTTTTTTTTTGAGATGAAGCTGTGTTGTTGTCTGGGGAAATACTGGAGGTTCATTGTCTCATGCCAAGGAAATCAAGGATGCAGAAACATAAAGAGTGCGCCTGAGAGTGGAAGTTTAGGCTGGACACGGTGGTTCACGCCTGTAATCCCAGCACTTTGGGAGGCCGAGGCGGGTGGATAATGAGATCAGGAGTTCAAGACCAGCCTGGCCAAGATGGTGAAACCCTGTTTGTACTGAGCGAGACTCCGTCTCAAAAAAAAAAAAAAAAAAAAAAGAACGGAAGTTTAATAGACAAAAGAAAGAAGAAAGCTTCCTTGTGCAGAGGAAGGGGACTGGAATGGGTTTCTAGCCTTGCAACAAGATGCAGCTGCTTTTACAGATGAGCTTGAGGAGGCAGTGTCTGATTTACAAAGGGCACAGAGGATTGGTTGGACCAGATGTGCCATTTACATAGCACACAAAGAGGCTGGTCATCCAACCCTGATCTTTTATTATGTAAATGGAGTTTTCTACCTGGCCTGCGCCATGCTGCCCATTTCTTTACTGCACATGTGGCGACAAAGAAAAGGGACCCCTATGTTGAATATACCTGACTTCCAGGTGTCCTTTTTCTATTGGCACAGCTGCCGGCATTCATCTGTGCAAGCTTCCACTTGCTTATCTATGCTTGCAGCTTGATTTTGCAGGCTGCTTTTTGTTAGAAAAGAAATTATTTGGGGGGTGCTTTTTATTAAAAGGGAAACCTTGCCGAGGACTCTGTTACCTTCACTATCTGCCTAAATAATTTCTTTTTAGCTCCTGTGTCAGAGATAGGGTCTTGCTCTGTCACCCAGGCTGGAGTGCAGTGATGTGATAGAACTTCTGGGTCTCCCAAGAGGCTAGGGTTACAGGCACTTCCACCACCATGCCCCACTTAAATCTCAGTGTCTATATCCTGGGGCTATGACCTTCATGATCTAGCTTTTATCCCCCTATCTCTCCCTATTCCCTTCCCTGGCTGCAGCATCCGCATTGTATTTCCTTGAAACCTTGATTGCTGTTGATTTGTTTTCCCTTCTTAGGTGAGACCAGGAGGCTAAAGGGAGCTTCAGTGGGAGGAATGCCTCTACTGTGATAAACTCTTAGCAGAGTCTTTCTTTTGGAGTGTCAGCCTTTGTTAAGGAGAAGACTGAGCTATTTCACAATGATTACTCTTCCCTTCCACCTGCCAGAGCCATGAAAAAACATCTTTTCAGATGTTTACTGTGAGAACCTGGTGGGGTTCCTAAATATAAAGCCCTTTAAAGTGTGGGAGACCCCTACCCCTAAATATCCAGCTCCTAATAGTTTCTCACTCTCACAGTAATTCATACACAACCCGCAGCAATTCATTACATTTACCATATGATGTTCCTATCAGTGTATGGCACCAGCTTCTTCTCTTCCAGGTAAGCAGATCTCAGGTGTGTCTCTCTGGATGCACCCGATGAGTCCAAGAAAAGTCATTGATTTTCAGTTGGTTCAACTGTTTCTTGTCATAGGCCAAGTATGACGTCCACGTTCTTTACATGTCAGAGCTGAACCAGACTCCTAAGCCTTTTTTTTTTTTTTTTAACTTTTTTCTTTTCTTTTTTGATGTTTAGAAGATATGGCAGTATTCCAGCACATGTTAAGAGTATCCTGGATGGGAGTATGGCAACCACTAAAGCCAGTCTCTAGTCTTTTCAATTCCACCAAGTTCTTTGAAGAATGAAATGACTTTCTCCGGCAATCACAGCCTTGCAGAAAATCTGTGCTCCTCGAGCATAAATGCTAGTTGAAGCTAACAGGGACAGAGTTGATTAATGAAGTAAAGGTACAATGCTGCTCCTGTTAATACATGCAAAGTTTACATGTTCCCAACATCAACGGGCTTTTGCCTAACTGTGATATCTTCTCTGAGCTAGTAATCTAGGTTGAGGTACTTGAGGGGTTCAGAGTATACCACCCCAAAATATACTACTCTGGCATAAGAATTGTTTTGAGCTAAAGGCAATTGAGGAAAAAACAGACACAGGACACACTCTCTGTCCTTCCTTTCTCTACTAGGAAGACTAGAACAATTCTTAATCACCTGAGACAATGCTGGACTCTTATCAGCCCAGAGATGGCACCAGAGGAACCTATATAACTTTACTAAAAGAAATTTTATCTTCTATTAGTTTCAGCCCCTATATATAGCCCACCACAAGTTATAGCCCTTGGAAGGCTAAAAGTCTTTTCTCTTATGTCTTGCCATTTTTCTACAAATTTATTATTATTTGCTAACGTACTATATATGCACAAGTTCTTTTTCTTTTTTTTTTATTTTTTTATTTTTCCTGAGACAAGGTCTTGCTCTGTCACCCAGGCTGCAATGCAGTGATGTGATCATAGTTTACTGCAGCCTCCAACTCCTGGCCCAAGGGATCCTCTAGCCTCAGCCTCCCAAGTAGCTAAGACTACAGGTGCACACCACCACACCTAGCTAATTTTGTACTTTTTGTAGAGATGTGGTCTTGCTATGCTGCCCAGTCTGGTATGCTCAAGTTTAATCACCCCTTTGAGTCACTTGTCACTGAGGTTTCTCCCAAGTGATGTGCACTGCACATATTAATAAACTCTTTGTTTTTCTCATATTAATCTGTCTTTTGTGAGTTTAGTTTACAATGAACATAAGATAGTGTCTTATTCTATTCGGGCTTTTATAACAAATTACCGTAGACCCAATATTTATTTCTCACAATCCTGGAGGCTGGAAGTCTTAGATCAGAGTGCCAGCATAGTTAGGGTCTGGTAAGAGTCCTCTTCCAGTTTGCACAGTTGGCATCTCCTTGTATCCTCACATAATGTAAAAAGAACAAGCTAGCTGTCCAGCCTGCTCTTGTAAGGGCACTAGTCCCATTCATGACAGTTCCACTCTCATGACCTAATTACTTCCCAAAGGCCACAACCTCTAAACGCCATTATATTGGGATTCAAGTTTCAATATGAATTTTGGGGGAACACAAACATTCAGTCCATTGCAGATGGGTAAAGGGAAAAGATTTTTCCTTCCCTACATACTCCATTTGTTATCTATTCTGAGGCTTGAGAATTTCCTACAAAACTGGTATGTTTAGATAGAGAAAGAGAAATTTTGCTAAATGATGCCTGTAAAGCTTAGCAGTTAGAAGTTTATATATCTAAAATCCTAATAAGCCTATGTTGGATGATACCTTATAAATCCTCCCTTCTTTCATTTTGAGGGAAGGAGCTGAGTCTTAGAGAGGTTGAGCCACATGTTCAAGAGTTTAACAAGTAATGGGGTCAGTAGAAGCCGTGTCTTTCTAACTCTAAAGATAATGGCAGCCTGTGTAAGACAGAGACTCTTAGGTTTTGTGTTGTCTCCTCTCTATGCTTCTTCCCTCTACCTCAAGACCTCTCCTACCAGAGCCTGTCTAAAGCCATGAATAGATGGAGCTTTTTCTATTGCTGCTGCAACAAATTACCACAAATTTAGTGTCAAGTAATACATATTTTATGTTATAGTTCTGGAGGTCAGAGTCCAAAATAGATTACTAGGCTAAAATGAAAGTATCTGTAGGGCTGCAGTCCTTCTGGGAGCTGTAAGGAAGAAACCATTCTGTGGCTTTTTCTAGCTTTTAGAGGTCATCCACATTCCTTGGCTCATGGCTCCCTTCCTCCATCTTCAAAACCAGCAAGGTTTGGCTGAATACTTTTGAGGCTGCCGTCTTTCCAATTCTCTTGCTTCTGTCTCCTCCTGCACTTTTGAAGAGATGACATTAGGTCCACCTTGAAAGTCTGGGATAATCTTCCTATTTTAATGTCAGCTGGGTAGCACCTTTAACTGTCGTTTGCTATACAACCTAACATATTCACTGTTTCTGGGGATTAGCTATGGACATCTTTGGGAGACCATTATTCTGCCTGCACTAGAGAGAGATAGAGAGAGAGAGAGAGAAATTCCTCTCTCAGCATATGGTTGGGGAGTTGATATATTAATGTATAAGTGAGAAATTAAAAAAAAACTGCTGGTAAATAAGACAGTATAGGACAATTAATTGATTAGATTCAGGTTATAGTCATTGGAATAGAGAGAAGGCACAGATCTAAGTGCACTGGATATATCCAAGAAAGTTACATCTATCTGGGTAATAAAGACTGCATAGCTATTGGATGAGGCAGGAAGGGACCGCAGTGAAGTGAGGAGCAGTTAGGAAAGAAGGCATCATGCGTACAGCATAGGGATGGAACCAACTCTAATGAGTTAGGTCATGTTGATAAATAGCAAGAAAACTGTGGATAGGAAGGGTAAGATGAAATTCTGTTTACTCTTAAAGCTAGACAGGGAATTCTTATGGAAGGATAAGTTTTAAAAATCCAAGTAAATGGTACATGAATTCTCCTTGGCTTCAGAGCACATGGACAATGATTAATTGCAGCAATATCATATGAAATCACCATTCTGTAGGTCAAAAATTGTCAAATATCTGCAATTTCTTATGAATCACCTTAAAAGAAGTGTAGAGGCTCAATATTACTCTAGAAATAGGGAGGGAGATTCAATGATCAGAAAGTTGTTCTTTAAAATCACCACAAGAGGGTGGTAAAGAATTATGCTTTATATCTGCACACCTGCAGAATATTGGTCTTTCCACACACAAAAATAATTATTTAAATGTATGTAAGATGGAGCTTTGGAGATGTTTTTGTTTCTAATTTGCTGTTGTTAATCATATTTAAAATAGCATAATTTGGCATCCACAAAGTATATTGGCTGCTAGCTGGACGTCTTCAATGCAGAGAACACCAGTTATATGCACATATCTCAATCTTCCATATGTGTATGAATGCGCTTAAAATGCAACAGATTCATACATATATTATAAGCACCTCGTCACTGTCAAACTTCTAATCTATGATGATGAATTAAATAGAATTTTAAATGGAGAAATCTGTATTTTAAATTCATTTCCCTATCTTGTTTATGAAATGAAATATTGAAATGAATTTAGGGGAGTGGTCCTGTGGTTCATGTTCAAATGTTAGTCAGGCTACGGCTGTTTACCATTCTCAGTGACCTTGATTGAATTGCTCAACTCAGCTGGGAACTGAATTGTGTATTTAGAGGATTAAGCAGTGCTGCCTGACATTTTAGAGTTAGACACACCTACTATAACTTGCTTTGGCATTAACGCTGGGCTTCTCTTGAATTAAAATGGCAACCTCCATTCTGCAAGTGAAGGTCTCAGGGACTTGAAGATATGTTTACTCTATCCAATAACATGGGTATTGATTTCTGATTTCTTTTTTCATTTCCCTTCTTTATAACTTAAAATTCCCAACATTTTAGTAGAGATGTATTTAATCGGTAGTCTTTGATTATTATATGTGCACCTGTGTCTGCAAGTATATCTGTACGTGTGCCTGTGTGCATGTGTGCATGGATGTATATGAGTGTCTGCATGCCTGCCTTGTGATATGTGAGTGAATACTTATCCAATGTGTGTGCATCTCTGTGTTTGTTTTGTTGTGTGTTTTCCTATGTGCATTACATAAGTGTGTGAGGGTTGGGTGTCTGAGAGTCTGTGCATGTGTGTCTACAGGAAGTACATATGCACATATGGCACACGCATTGGCATACATTGTGTGATGTGCACTTGTGTACATACACGTTTGTGTGTGGGTGTGAGATACACATTGTGGTGCGTTCATGTGTGATGTGTGTGCACAGGCATGTGCAAGAGTGTGCTGGTGTGTGTGCATGCATGTGTGTGTTCCTAATGTGCATGTGTGTGTGTCTGCATGTGTATTCGAGATTTTGGTAGGCAAGTAGGGAGATCTCAAATTGAGTGTCTGTGTGTGCATATGTGTATATATGTGCCTGTTTGTATATATGTGTGTGTGTGTGTTGTGTGTGTGCATAAAGATAAAGAGCTAGATACATTGTCTTTAGAACCGTATTCACAGTTGAGCGCCTTTCTCTGAGCCAGGAGAAGGCAGTGTGCTCCTTGTACCCTCTCTGAGTTTAACAAGGGAAAGCTTTGAACTTTCAACTCTAGTGCTGGAGCTGCTACTCCTTTTGCCTTTCCCTCTTCCCCCATAACACGTCTATTTATGTATTGTGTGGGAGATATACCTAATGCTAGATGACGAGTTAGTGGGTGCAGTGCACCAGCATGGCACATGTATACATATGTAACTAACCTGCACAATGTGCACATGTACCCTAAAACTTAAAAGTATAATAATAAAAAAAAGAACCCATTTTAAACCCACCAACCTCCCCTTACTTTTCACTTACTCTGTGTAAAAGCTCTGTAGTCAAGATTAAGAGCACTTTAAGAGCATAGGTGATTCGTCAGGGTATGAGAACTATGATTCAGGTATTTATTTTCATCACTTCATACCTTTACTTTCTCTAGTATTTGACAGTTTGGGCTCTCGGGTAATATCATAAATGACTTTGAGTTTCTTTGGAGAAGAAAAGTGTAAAATAGACTTTGAAATGATCTTTTTATTAATGTGACCATTTCATTAGCCACGGCAGATTTCTTTTAAGAATATATTTTCAGTGAATCTTTTAAAGTTCATTTTATGCCTGCCTTTATTTAAACTCGATATTCTTTGGCAAAAATGCCGGAGTAGACTTTGCAAGTCCTGTTTTCTTGGAAACAGATGATTTCTCACCTTTGAGGTTTGTCTTGAGAATGTGTTCTCTGATCTTCTTAGAGTTTAGTGCATAATCAGTTTTTCTTCTTTTTTTCCTGGCTCAGCAAATTTTCCAAGCTAGCTTTTTCTAGTTTTGGAGTATTTGGAAAAGAGCAGTGACTTTCTAGTCAGGGAGGCTCAAGGTCACATCTGGAGCCAACCACATGTCAAGTTTAATCTCCTGGCCTTTACAACTATTAATATTTACTCATGATGTCTTCTGGACATCTACAAAATTTTAGTCCACACTGTACAATTAGGAAACAAATTATATACTTCTTTTTTAATCTATTTTTTTTAACAGGAGTGGCTTTGGTTTCTTTTTTTAATGTATTCCTTCTTACTGTTATATAGTAGGCTTGCCATAAATTTCTACTGTTAGTCCTTGATATTTTATGAATAAAAAATTTTAAAAGCTGATAGTTTCTCAGATAATTTATAGTTGAAACATGTTAATGCCATCGATTTGCTGCATAAGAACCAGAACACCTCACCACCACATCACCCAAAATGTAAAGTTTATGCTTCAAAAGAAAGGGAGTAAAGCTGTTGGCTTTAAATATATAGAGACTACATAAACATTTCTTGCAACATTTGATTTACCTACATAATGTCAAGTATTTGTTGGCATCATGAAAGACAAGATTTTGGGGGATGAGATATGACTCAACCTACAGAAGTTTCTAGAAATGCCAAGATTTTCAAATTATTATTATAACTACAAAGAAGCATAGACATTCAGGTGATTTTTAACTCATATTTAATAGACATATGAGCTATTCCTCTGAAAGAAATGCTGGAAGACTATGTTTATCAGTTGACAGTGTCAAAATTAGGGTCTAAAATGTGAATCAACAGGACTCCTCAATTATCAGCTTGTTTTGTTCTTCTTGATCCATGGCTATTATCTCTGTTCTTCCAATTCCACTTCAGGATTTGTTAGTGCATATTCTCTCCCCTTTGAGATTAATCCATCCTTGATTTCATTGTCTTCTCATTCCCCTCTTATATGCTATAGCTGATCTGGCAGCGTGATTTCTGTCTGCCAACTGAATTCACATGCATTTTCCAAAGTCAGTTCAATTAGCTGATTTTGATCAGTTTATTGTATGCAAAATAGTCTTAGGAACTGTAGATACACAAGGACAATTCTCTTCCCCATACTTAATATGGTCATAAGCCTTTGGTTGTATACAGAAAAACTGGAAGAAGATCTTTAGGCTTCAATTTATTTCACCATAAGACTCAGCAGCTCGGTGTAGTACTCAATGAGAAAATAAAAACATTTTTAATACAAAAAAAGTACCTGTTTCTTTCACTGCTCTTTGGATTGCCTACTCTTAATGTTTCATCTCCATGTTTACACAGATTAGCTGATCAAAACAGGAGTGATGACCAACTAGTAAATGTATGATTTTGTGTTTATCCAGTCATAGCTAATTCTACTGTAGGTATTACTGAGTCCACATGGGACTGTGGGCTTGTGACACATTGACTGCAGTTCTTCAAGAGCCAGGAAATCTTCTCTAACTCAAATTCACTCTTCTGCTTTATGAACAGAAAAGCCAATGATAAATTATATAAGAAGATGTAACAATAAATTTGGATAGCATGCTTGACTACAAAACATTCTGGGTGAGGTTCAGTGTCGCTGATAAGGTGCAGAGAAAGTTGTGGAGAGACTCATGGCTGCTTCATTACTTCATGGGCAACTTGCCTAAGCTTGTCTTCCCTTTGTTTGAGATTTAATTCAGCCTTACTCACTTTATGTCACTTCTCTTTAGCCAATTCCATTCAATAAACAGATATTGAGCAACCATCAGATGCCAGACATAACCATATGTTCTAGACAGCAGCTAATATACTATCTGGTAAATAGTAGTAGTACACTGTAAATAGTTGAGATTAACAACTGTGTGAAAAGTGAGTAAACAAATGTATAGTTTTTCAAACATGGAGATATTCCCCTATTTGCCTCTCACTGATTTGGGGATATAGCTAACATTTCTGGCCCCATAGTTGGACTTTCACTGAGGGGTCATTCTTGCTGACTCTCTGGACCCTCTGTGCCTATGTAGCACTTTGGTGCCTGTCTGTTGTCTTCTTAACAATATTCCACTTCCCTGCTCTCTTGGATCCTTGTAGCTCCTTTCCATGTAGATGGAATACCATGCCGGGATCTTCTTTGCCAAATAATTCTGTAGTCTCTAAAATTATTGACTTCAGATTTAGTGCACAACAAATAAAAGCCTGAGTCACTCATTTGTTGACTCATTCATTAATTTGTTTTTCAAGAAAAATAATAAGCTTCTACCAAATGCTAGGCCATACTGCAAAAAGGGAACCCACACTTAACAAAAAGCAGTTCCTACACTGAAAATGGACACAAGGACAAGGAAACTGGTAATTATCAAAAGACAGCCTGACTTGAGCACTAAAAAACTATATTGTATGAAAACCCATCCCTAAAGTCTCCAAAATGGCCACATATTAGAAAAGTATCCAATGCATAATAATTTCATTGAATATTTGCCAAATAACATCTTCAGATGGACAAAAATGTCTATTCTATTAAGTCAATACAAAATAAATAGTGTCAAACAAAGAAGTGATAGTGATTGGAATGACAAGAATTAGATCAAAATTTTAAAAGTGGTATTTTAAGATGTAAATGAACTCAAACTAAGCTAGTAGCATTAATAAGACAGAAATTCTAGGAGACTTGCTTAAATAAGGAGGTAATAATTATTTTAATTAATTCATAAGCTTTTGAAATGGTGTCTCTAAAGTGATAACAAATGCTTTAAAAGAGTTTGCTTTCCTCAATAGGTTTTATAAAACTCTGTTGAGTAGGTAATGCCCGTTAAAGGTCACTCCAGCCATTCCCCACGATCATAAACTTCAAATGAGTACCTTCTAAATGAATGAAATTTTACTGTGAAATAATTCTGCTTATTTCTGCCAGGCTTCATGAATGCTTTGAAAAATTTCAGGAACCCAATCCTGATAAGCTACTAGGAAGTCAACTTCATTATGCGGTTATGGTCACCAATTTTTTTCCTGGGAATGACATATAAAACCTCTCATCTGAGCAAAATGAGGCAGATTAATGTTGCATAAAACATATACAGTCTGGATTACAAAATCGCAAAAGCTATCTCTTGGCTAGAGAAGCCTTCCCTCTTTAGATGCCTGTACGTTTCAAGAGAAATTTCCCCAGAGCTTAATTCCTGTTACAAACAAAAAATTCTACATAATAGAAATAAACCTTGATATAAGGAAATTTTAGTCAGCTTTGCTTGCTGGCTATGAAATATAAGTATAAATTATTACTTTAATTAACCTTTTGCCTATGCCAACTTTATCTTCAAAACTAAATAAATATTCTCCTCACAAGGTGATATGGTTTGGCTGTGTCCTCACCAAAATCTCATCTTGAATTGTAGTTCCCATAATCCCCATGTGTCATGGGAGGGACCTGGTCGGAGGTAACGGAATCATGGGGACAGTTACCGCCATGCTGCTTTTCTCATGATGGGGAGTGAGTTCTCACAAGATCTGATGATTTTTATAAGGGGCTTTTCTCCCTTTGCTCAGCACTACTTCTCCTTCCTGATGCCATTTGAAGAAGGATGCATTTGTTTCCCCTTCTACTATGATTGTAAGTTTCCTGAGGCCTCCCCAGCCCTGCGGAACTGAGTCAGTTAAACCTCTTTCCTTTATAAATTACCCAGTCTTGGGCAGTTCTTTATAGTAGCATGAGAATGGACTGATACACAAGGTTCTCAAAATAAATTGTTATGAGAATCACTAGACTTGGGAAATTATGCCAAAATCAGTTTCAGGAAATAATTATTTTAAAGTAAAGTGTTAGAAATGGTTGGCAGGTTTGCAGGGTCAGTGTCCACATTGGAAGCTGCTGCAATGTGAAACCAATTTGCTCTTCACTCATCTCCTCATCTCCCATCTCTTCCTCTTCTGCAATGCATCTCCTAATCCTCCTTAAATATAGTTTTTATTCTGTCACTCTCCCACTAAAAATCTTTCAACTGCTGAAAGGACATATTTTGAGCTTCCATTTATGTACTTAACACATCTTTCCAAGGAGAGGATTGGTTTGGATGATCAACCCTTAAGGGGTGAAAAGGGTAAGTATAGATAATAAAGGGTTACTTCCTATTTGGAATCCACATGTACAGACAAGCTACTGCAAGATTAGCTTTTAGAGACCCCAGTAGGATTAAGAATAACTGGGGTGTGTAGAAGACAAAGGAAGTAATATGGTCTCCTCTCCTGGCAACATCTCTGGGGAGGTACTAACAAGCATGTAAGTGTTTCCTACAGGCAAGAAGCTGTAGCGGGGGTGAAGAGGCTGCAAGTCTTCAAAAATTCACAAATTGGATTATCAATTCTTAAGGAGTCGGCCATTGTAGCAAACCATGCCTTGAGGCATAGAGTTGAAATGCCACTTAAAGCAGGAGTGAAGAAAAGCATTCCTTTTGAGAGGCAGTATTGCATAGGGTCAAGAGCATGAACTGTATTAGCACACTGTCTGGGTTTGAATTTCAGCTCCATTGTGAACTGACTCTCTGGACTTGGGCAAGTTATTTAAGCTCTCTACTTCTTAGTTTCCTCATGTATATAATATTGATAAGAAAGTTAGCTTTGTTCTACTGAAGAGATGTAAAATACTTAGAAGAGAGCCCGGTATATGGTAAGCACTATGCAATTATTTGCTATTATTGGAAAATATTTATTTGGTGCATATTGTATGATAAGAACTGTGCTGAAAATTGGGGATAAAATGGGGAGGGATTCAAATTTCCTGTCCTAAAGACTCCTATTCTAATTAGGGCACTTAAACTACAAGGTGGTAAATGCTAAGATAGAGGAGGATATAATATGCCACAGAAGCTCAGGGGAGGAATACTGAAAGCAAACAGAGAAGATTTCTTTCAAGAAGGGATAGCCTGAAACTCACCATAATGCTCAAGAAGCCCTTGACCAACCTCTCTTCATTCTTCCCCGACAGTCTCTGGTTAACCACTGTTCCACTCTGCTTCTATGATACCAACTCTTTTTTTTTTTTTTTTTTTTTTTAGATTTCACATGAGTGTGATTATTATTTGTCCTGCGTCTGGCTTATTTTACTTAACATGATGTGATCCAAGTCTATTCGTGTTATCACAGATGATAAGATTTCATTGTACCCCATATATACAATGTGTCAATTAAAACAAAATTTTTAAAGAAATTTCAGTTTTTTGGTTTCTCCCTTGGGCAGGTCCCTGAGAGGAATGGGTGTTAAAAGTTGGGGAGGAAAATCCAGGATGCAAACAGGTATCATTTCCTCTCAAGCATTTTCATTAAATTGCCTAAAGAGATCTTGGAAGAAAATGGGCTGAATCTTAAGTGTGCAGTTATTTTTGTGATTTATTTTCTTATTCGTAATCAACATTCATGTCCAACATACCTTTTCTATTTGTAACTTTATATTCTTTTTCTTAAAATAAGTCCCTCAAACCTGCATATGCTTTAGGTCCCCAAAATCTGTACTCACTTTACTCAAACAGTGAATGTGATTTAGCTAAATTAAGGGTCTCAGGGGTGAGTTGAAATGGATAAAAGAGCACTCGAGGAAGAGGTCTCATCTTAGGCAAAAGATCCATGAAGTAACACAGAAACTTGGGTAGTTCCAAAGAATTTTACAGATCCATCTTAAGTAGGGTATTTAAAGTTTGCTTCCATTTCTACTCTGTTGTTTAAGAACTTAATTACACAGACATTTGGGTCCTTATTTTAACTAATGTTCAATACTGGACTACTTCTTTTCACTCTTAGAAGAGTAACACTGAGAGAGCATGCTCAAGGTATGTGGTTCAATGTCTTATACAAGGTGGTAGCTTATATAAGCATTACCAAGACCCAAAGAGACAATATGGAGGTCTCTTCTTAGTATCTATCAAGCAGAAAATCCTCCCCAGGTTTTTTTTTTTTTTTTTTTTTGAGACGGAGTGTCACTCTGTCGCCCAGGCTGGAGTGCAGTGGCACCATCTCAGCTCACTGCAAGCTCTGCCTCCGGGGTTCACGCCATTCTCCTGCCCCAGCCTCCCAAGTAGCTGGGACTACAGGTGCCCGCCACCACGCCCGGCTAATTTTTTGTATTTTTAGTAGAGATGGGTTTTCACCGTGTTAGCCAGGATGGTCTCGATCTCCTGACCTTGTGATCTGCTCGCCTCAGCCTCCCAAAGTGCTGGGATTACAGGCGTGAGCCACCACACCCGGCCCCTTCCCAGCTTTTTGTATTGAACTCTATTGTAAAAAATAAAGTAAAGGTTCCTTTTCAAAGATTTTCCTCCCCATTTAATTAGGAATAAATAGTAGCTTCTCTTAGAAGCAAAATTTATTCAAAGACCTGTGCTAACATTCTTAAATATCTGCTAGCTGTGGTAAAGAAATCAATGTACTTTATGTTCTTAGCTCCCACAATTTGGCCTAAATATTTGCCCTGGCAGGCTTATACTGGTCGAAGCAAGCATTAGGTCATAGCCTGTTCCTTTTCCTTATTTAAAGGTGTTTTTTACCTTTCTCAGCATTCCACAAGTTACTTCCTCTTTCCTTTGTTCTCTTCTACCCTTGCCTCTTTAAAAAGTTCTAAGTTGCTAGTCAATCGGGACAAAACAAAATGTGAGGTCCCGTTCCAGCCAATGGAACTGGACACAACAGTATGGCGGACAGTTCAGGTTATAAATAACCCTGTCTCCTTTGTTCGGTGTACTCTCATGGCAAAACTGCTGGCAAGTGTACCCTTTCCGCAGAAAGTATAAAAATGGCCTTGCTGAGTAAATTAAATTTATGTTCAAGTGCTATTCTTTACGGCACCGGGAAACAAGCATTTCAAACATCTATGATAGGTAATACATGAATATGCTTATGTGTATATGATAATGTGCATATAATAATGTACAATATATAAAATAATATGCATACATTCTTCTGAGCTTATAGTTCTTAAAATATGCCAAAGTAAAATAAAAGCTCATTGTTCATCTGGATCCATTATTTTTATTTATTTTTGACATGCTTCTTAAATATGGGCAATTTGGATGTATGCATTTTAATTAGTAAGACTAGCTAATGTATAAAATTACTTTTAAAAGTAAAATAAAACAATAAAAAATAATTTGCAAGTATTAAAATTCTCATAATTGGGTAAAGTTCAAATGAAGAAATTCAGCATTTTAAATTTGAACTCTTTTAGAACAACTAACTCTCAGATGTTACACATTTCATTTTTTAAGAGGGAAAAAGAAAAAATGAGAAAAACAAGCTAACAAATGCCACGGAATTATAAATTAATAATGGTTATTATGTTCTGTGGTTTTGAACCTCTAACTATTCCACCCAAATAGAACATGGCACTTCTCACTCTAGTGTGGTCTGAGATAAGCCATGGATTCAGGTACTCTCAGAGGCCAGACACATCCTCAATCAATTATGGAGAGATCAACAACCATTTTGCCTTTCAAATGAGCTTGAGAAAAATTGGGCTGTTTTCCCAAAATGGAGGAAGTAGATGAGAACTGCTCATTCTCTGAAAAGGAATCATGTTAATGAAATGACAAAGAGAGCTTTGTTCATTTAAATACCATAAAGTCCATCCGAATTGGTAATAGAGTACGTAATTGTCTCTTTTATATCTCAGTCAAATCTTTGCTAGGGGGCTGAAGAATGAGAAAGAAAACTGGAAAGAACTCAGTTTCATGATATTTAAAATCCTTCCCCAGGGCACATGGGCTCTATAACAACCACAAAAATCCATTACTGCATAAATATAATCTTTTGAATTTTAAAGCAAACAAATAGAAATAACATGTATCAGAAAAAGTATTGTGCTACTAAAAAGAAAGTGATGCTTATAGTTTATTTATTTATGTTTTCCAATTAGTTTGCAATGACTATGAATATTACTTGGTTAATGACTGTGTTATTAATTCATAAAACTCTAAATAATGTTTGACTACATCTATGTCAATATATATGTGAAAATGGAGTGAAAATAAAGCATATCCATATTTCTGTGTATTGAAATTTTTCTTTATATTTTTCTATATTTCATACATTTTGCATAATAAACATAAATAGCTCTGATTTAATGTAATTTTTAAATTCTATAATATCAATAATATTATTCATTGTAATATATACCAGAATAAAAATAAATCTTTTTTATTGGAATATTCCTAAGTGCTTGCTGTTTTATTACATCAACTATGGTTATTAGACTGGCAAAAGAAGATTTATCCAGGTTATTTTTTTTTAATTATCTGGCCACAGGATAAATGTGGCTCATGGAAATTAATTGGGAGCACCTGTTCCAAGGTAGCTTTCTGACAGAGGAACATCAGTCTTCCCATTGCATGTAATTCTTCTTCTGAAGAGACAGAAAAATCTGTTTTTGGTAAAGTCAAGGTATTTGGCCACAGAACCAGACCTTTCTTTCCAACAGCCTCCATTAGTGTTTCCAGCTTCATGTGACAAAGAGATGGGTCGATCAAAGTATTTTTAAATGTGAGTCAATTGGGCGGCATTGTTGAAGAAATCCATTCAGAAACTGCCGGTGTATCCCTCCACATTTGAAGTGGGCCTGCGGGATTCAGATGTGATAATGGAAAAGTGGATAAATGACAGCTCTGGGCATCAGTTTCAAGGAAGTGCTCAGCTGAATATAGAAATCAAATGGAAGAAAACAAACAACACTTTGTGGATCCTCTCCCCTCGAAATTTGAATTGTTCCTTGCTCCTCTGTGCTTCCCGAAAGAAGACAAAAGGTCAACTGGTAACCTTTCATTGCTCTTAGAGCTAGATGACTTTCTTCTCAATTTATAAAAACAAGCTATACACACACAGCTCTGAATGACTTGGTTAACAGTCCAAAAATACTTGATTATTTCACCGATGCTGAATGATTCTCTGCCACCTTCACCAATGAACAGTTTAAAAAAAAAGCAAGCTTAGTTCTTGTATTCACTTGAAATCATAGTAACTGATGAGTTTGGTAACTTACAGTTTTAGAATTGTTTCCTGTGAGTGACACAGTGGAACTAGAATATCTCGAAAGTATTCCTACTGCTCCATTCTATAAAGTACAATAGTTTCACCTTATCTGCAGTTTGGCTTACCCACCATCCAAAAAAATTAAATGGAAAATTCTAGAAATAAACAATTTGTAAGTTTTTAGTCATGTAGCGTTCTGAGTGGCCTGGGGAAATCTGCGCTCCTGCTCCACCTCGCCTTGGATACAAATCCTTCTTTTGTCCAGCATATCCACACTTTCTACCCACCCATCTGTTAGTCACTTCATAGCCGGCTCAATTACCAGATGGACTGCTGTAACATTGCAGTGCTTACGTTCAAGTAACCCTTCTCTTACTTCATCATGGCCTCAAAGCACAAGAGTAGTGATGCTGGCAGTTTGGATATACCAAAGAGAAGCTGTAAAATGCTTCCTTTTTCAGTGAAAAAGTGAAAGTTCTCCATTTACTAAGGTGAGAAAAAATGGTATGCTGAGGTTGCTAAAATCTGTGGTAATAATAAATCTTCTACCTGTGAAATTGTGAAGAAGGAAAAAAAAATCATGCAAGTATACATAGGGTTCTGTACTATTGGAGATTTAAGGCATCCACTGGGGGTCTTGGAACATATCACTTCTGGATAAGGAGGGACTACTGTATGCTCTTTACTATGGTGGAATTTGCAAGTTCTCCTAGATTACGGCATGTGTTGCAGGATTAGGTCATAGAGACAGGTGGCTCAAATACTGACTATTCCACTTAGTAGCTAAGGGACTGGGCTATTTATTTAAGTTTCCGTTATTAAGTATCTGTTAATGAAGACAACAATTCTCACTTCATAGCGTCATTGTGAAAATCAAATACTATATTGTTGATAAATCTCAGCATAAAATCAGTTTTTATCAATAACTATTTTATGATTGTTATAAGTTTTATCATATGAATTCTTAACTTTGTTGAATATCAATTTTCTTGCCTGTAAAGTGGGAAAAATAACGATTTCCTCTTAGGTATGACAATTAAATTGAAGGAGCTAACTCTGTAGATACTGGATACTTAAATGATAGCTGCTTTGTATAACTCTTCTTTATTATCGCTATTATTATTACTTGAGAACTTTCCAACTTCAGTGTTTCCCAAGGTGTGTTCTATGTCCTACATTTGTGTGGAAGGAATACAACACTGAATTTAAATAAATGGTGCTATACTTACATATGAATTTTATTAATAATAACCAGCAAAAGATACTTGCTTTACACAACTTTCTTTTATACAATATTTATAAATTAAAATTGATTATTGGGGCAAAAAATAGACAAAACAATGATACCAGTGGTATGGGGGAATGGCAAAATGCACGTGCTTATTCATTCATTCACCTAGTCCCCTAAGTGCTAGGCACTGTACCAGTGCCATGTAACAGAACTTGCCTGCCTGGCAGACATACTTACTACCCCCAAACTGCAAACCAGCATTGAACATAATGGCATGCAATTGCCTTAATCTTCAAGTTGAGCTGTCTATTTTATGGCCTCAACAGCACACATCTTGGTAACAAGGCTGAATATGCCAATAAGCAGATTCCCAACATCACATTCTAATAAAGATCAAAATGACAGAACATAGCAATTATTCCTCACTTTTCGACATCCTAGTGTGATGGGGAAAAGCAGACTATTTCAATGCAAAGAAATCAAACCAATCAATGTGCCTGAATTGCAGTTCTGATCTCTATACAAGGGAAGGTTTAGGAGATTATGGCATTTGACCAAGGGGCCCTTATAACTTTTCTTACCACTGAGCTTTGATTATTATCTAAAAGAAAAGTAAGAGTTAAGAGAAAAAGAAATGTTATTCTGATTTAGATGAAATGAATGAATTTTATTAATGGAAAACAATAGCTGTGGTGGTAATAATGGCTTTTTTCTACATGTGAGGTAAACCATAGCATATTTTTCATTAAGGAAGTGAATTACAATTTCCTTCTATTACAAGGGTAAACAGGGAGGACATGGTTTTGCACACTGTGAATAAACAAATACATAAGAAATAAAGGAAAGTCTTAATGCCTGTCTCTCGCAAGCCCCTTTGTCTGAAACAGCACAGCACAGCTTGTCTCATGCATGGTGACAAAGAAGCAGAGGGAAAGTCTTACCAAAAATGCAGACTTCAGTTACAATGTCATTTGATCTTGTCCTTTGAGATGTGCTTTTTTGAAAATGCCTCTGCCGTTCAGCACTGCATCAGCAAAACAAAGTCCATGAACACAAAAACCGAATCTGTAACCATGCAGCTGTGTGTGTAGCTGTGAAAAATTTCTAAATGTGTTCAAAAAACATTTTGATGTAAATTAACCTAAACTTCCTGTATGGATATTATCAATTATTCATGACATAAATTATGCAACAGAGCTGTCAGTACGTACTTGATAGAATATACAGAATGAAATACATGTATTTATAAAAATACAGATATGATGCATATCTGTTAACATATTCATGCATATAAATATCCAATCACATAAACACATATTTGTATATATACATATATAACACATTCATGTAATAAATATATATATATCCATGAATACACATATTTACACATACATAAATGAGGCAAGTTGGTAGAATCAAAGAGCACTGAACCGACCATGCTTGGAAACCTGGATTCTAGCCATTTTGTGTGAGTCACTTACTCCTGCTTGCAGGATCTCTATTGCCTCAGTGTTTGGACCAGTGTCCCATTTCAGTATAAAATTCTTTCATTCTGTATCCCCTCAGCCCCTGTCTTACCAGATGTGGTACAGATGTCTTATTTAGGATGAGCCAAGGTCATCAAGCTTGGGAACTTGTAAGTGTCGATTTGGAGGGGTGAGAAAGGCATTCTTCCTAGCTCATTTAGCTTCTATTCATATATCAGACTTTCTCTGGGCCGTGTCTGCAGACTTTTGTTTATATCTCTTTGGATTTTTTTTTCCTAAATGCTAGAAAACTGATCCTGGTTCTTTCTGTGAATGAGTTTTCATCTGAGGGCTCACCCAGCAGTGAGCTACCAGTTCTCTTCATTTGAGAAGAGTGAATAGCTAATTATTTTATGACATACAATAGAGTCAAAATTAAGTTACTATGTTTTTGTACTATTTTTTAATTTTCACTATACTTTAAATGTTAACAGATGAAAGCCTAATTGGAATTTTCCAAAGGAAGCCTCATTTTTCATAGCTCAGTCTAGGAGCAAACGCCTCTATTTGTGTGTTAATTTTTTTTTTTTGAATTTTTTTTATTACACTTTAAGTTTTAGGGTACATGTGCACATTGTGCAGGTTAGTTACATATGTATACATGTGCCATGCTGCTGTGCTGCACCCACTAACTCGTCATCTAGCATTAGGTATATCTCCCAATTCTATCCCTCCCCCCTCCCCCCACCCCACAACAGTCCCCAGAGTGTGATATTCCCCTTCCTGTGTCCATGTGATCTCATTGTTCAATTTCCACCTATGAGTGAGAATATGCGGTGTTTGATTTTTTGTTCTTGCGATAGTTTACTGAGAATGATGATTTCCAGTTTCATCCACGTCCCTACAAAGGACATGAACTCATCATTTTTTATGGCTGCATAGTATTCCATGGTGTATATGTGCCACATTTTCTTAATCCAGTCTATCCTTGTTGGACATTTGGGTTAGTTCCAAGTCTTTGCTATAGTGAATAATGCCGCAATAAACATAGTGTGCATGTGTCTTTATAGCAGCATGATTTCTAGTCCTTTGGGTATATACCCAGTAATGGGATGGCTGGGTCAAATGGTATTTCCAGTTCTAGATCCCTGAGGAATCGCCACACTGACTTCCACAATGGTTGAACTAGTTTACAGTCCCACCAACAGTGTAAAAGTGTTCCTGTTTCTCCACATCCTCTCCAGCACCTGTTGTTTCCTGACTTTTTAATGATTGCCATTCTAACTGGTGTGAAATGGTATCTCATTGTGGTTTTGATTTGCATTTCTCTGATGGCCAGTGATGATGAGCATTTTTTCCTGTGTTTTTTTGCTGCATAAGTGTCTTCTTTTGAGAAGTGTCTGTTCATGTCCTTTGCCCACTTTTT
This sequence comes from Homo sapiens, assembly GCF_000001405.40. NCBI lineage: Eukaryota > Metazoa > Chordata > Mammalia > Primates > Hominidae > Homo > Homo sapiens. Next base: position 75,274,295 of record NC_000003.12, read on the forward strand.
GATGGGGTTGTTTGTTTTTTTCTTGTAAATTTGTCTGAGTTCATTGTAGATTCCGGATATTAGCCCTTTGTCAGATGAGTAGGTTGCGAAAATTTTCTCCCATTTTGTAGGTTGCCTGTTCACTCTGATGGTAGTTTCTTTTGCTGTGCAGAAGCTCTTTAGTTTAATTAGATCCCATTTGTCAATTTTGTCTTTTGTTGCCATTGCTTTTGGTGTTTTAGACATGAAGTCCTTGCCCATGCCTATGTCCTGAATGGTAATGCCTAGGTTTTCTTCTAGGGTTTTTATGGTTTTAGATCTAACGATTAAGTCTTTAATCCATCTTGAATTGATTTTTGTATAAGATGTAAGGAAGGGATCCAGTTTCAGCTTTCTACATATGGCTAGCCAGTTTTCCCAGCACCATTTATTAAATAGGGAATCCTTTCGCCATTGCTTGTTTTTCTCAGGTTTGTCAAAGATCAGATAGTTGTAGATATGCGGCATTATTTCTGAGGGCTCTGTTCTGTTCCATTGATCTATATCTCTGTTTTGGTACCAGTATCATGCTGTTTTGGTTACTGTAGCCTTGTAGTATAGTTTGAAGTCAGGTAGTGTGATGCCTCCAGCTTTGTTCTTTTGGCTTAGGAGTGACTTGGCGATGAGGGCTCTTTTTTGGTTCCATATGAACTTTAAAGTAGTTTTTTCCAATTCTGTGAAGAAAGGCATTTGTAGCTTGATGGGGATGGCATTGAATCTGTAAATTACTTTGGGCAGTATGGCCATTTTCACGATATTGATTCTTCCTACCCATGAGCATGGAATCTTCTTCCATTTGTTTGTATCCTCTTTTATTTCCTTGAGCAGTGGTTTGTAGTTCTCCTTGAAGAGCTCCTTCACATCCCTTGTAAGTTGGATTCCTAGGTATTTTATTCTCTTTGAAGCAATTGTGAATGGGAGTTCACTCATGATTTGGCTCTCTGTCTGTTGTTGGTGTACAAGAATGCTTGTGATTTTCGCACATTGATTTTGTATCCTGAGACTTTGCTGAAGTTGCCTATCAGCTTAAGGAGATTTTGGGCTGAGACGATGGGGTTTTCTAGATATACAATCATGTCATCTGCAAACAGGGACAATTTGACTTCCTCTTTTTCTACTTGAATACCCTTTATTTCTTTCTCCTGCCTGATTGCCCTGGCCAGAACTTCCAACACTATGTTGAATAGGAGTGATGAGACAGGGCATCCCTGTCTTGTGCCAGTTTTCAAAGGGAATGCTTCCAGTTTTTGCCCATTCAGTATGATATTGGCTGTGGGTTTGTCATAGATAGCTCTTATTATTTTGAAATACGTCCCATCAATACCTAATTTATTGAGAGTTTTTAGCATGAAGGGTTGTTGAATTTTGTCAAAGGCTTTTTCTGCATCTATTGAGATAATCATGTGGTTTTTGTCTTTGGCTCTGTTTATATGCTGGATTACATTTATTGATTTGTGTATACTGAACCAGCCTTGCATCCCAGGGATGAAGCCCACTTGATCATGGTGGATAAGCTTTTTGATGTGCTGCTGGATTTGGTCTGCCAGTATTTTATTGAGGATTTTTGCATCAATGTTCATCAAGGATATTGGTCTAAAATTCTCTTTTTTGGTTGTGTCTCTGCCCGGCTTTGGTATCAGAATGATGCTGGCCTCATAAAATGAGTTAGGGAGGATTCCCTCTTTTTCTATTGATTGGAATAGTTTCAGAAGGAATGGTACCAGTTCCTCCTTGTACGTCTGGTAGAATTCGGCTGTGAATCCATCTGGTCCTGGACTCTTTTTGGTTGGTAAGCTATTGATTATTGCCACAATTTCAGCTCCTGTTATTGGTCTATTCAGAGATTCAACTTCTTCCTGGTTTAGTCTTGGGAGAGTGTATGTGTCAAGGAATTTATCCATTTCTTCTAGATTTTCTAGTTTATTTGCGTAGAGGTGTTTGTAGTATTCTCTGATGGTAGTTTGTATTTCTGTGGGATCGGTGGTCATATCCCCTTTATCATTTTTTATTGCGTCTATTTGATTCTTCTCTCTTTTTTTCTTTATTAGTCTTGCTAGCGGTCTATCAATTTTGTTGATCCTTTCAAAAAACCAGCTCCTGGATTCATTAATTTTTTGAAGGGTTTTTCGTGTCTCTATTTCCTTCAGTTCTGCTCTGATTTTAGTTATTTCTTGCCTTCTGCTAGCTTTTGAATGTGTTTGCTCTCGCTTTTCTAGTTCTTTTAATTGTGATGTTAGGGTGTCAATTTTGGATCTCTCCTGCTTTCTCTTGTGGGCGTTTAGTGCTATAAATTTCCCTCTACACACTACTTTGAATGTGTCCCAGAGATTCTGGTATGTTGTGTCTTTTTTCTCGCTGGTTTCAAAGAACATCTTTATTTCTGCCTTCATTTCGTTATGTACCCAGTAGTCATTCAGGAGCAGGTTGTTCAGTTTCCATGTAGTTGAGCAGTTTTGAGTGAGATTTTTAATCCTGAGTTCTAGTTTGATTGCACTGTAGTCTGAGAGATAGTTTGTTATAATTTCTGTTGTTTTACATTTGCTGAGGAGAGCTTCACTTCCAAGTATGTGGTCAATTTTGGAATAGGTGTGGTGTGGTGCTGAAAAAAATGTATATTCTTTTGATTTGGGGTGGAGAGTTCTGTAGATGTCTATTAGGTCCGCTTGGTGCAGAGCTGAGTTCAATTCCTGGGTATCCTTGTTGACTTTCTGTCTCGTTGATCTGTCTAATGTTGACAGTGGGGTGTTAAAGTCTCTCATTATTAATGTGTGGGAGTCTAAGTCTCTTTGTAGGTCACTCAGGACTTGCTTTATGAATCTGGGTGCTCCTGTATTGGGTGTATATATATTTAGGATAGTTAGCTCTTCTTGTTGAATTGATCCCTTTACCATTATGTAATGGCCTTCTTTGTCTCTTTTGATCTTTGTTGGTTTAAAGTCTGTTTTATCAGAGACTAGGATTGCAACCCTTGCCTTTTTTTGTTTTCCATTTGCTTGGTAGATCTTCCTCCATCCTTTTATTTTGAGCCTATGTGTGTCTCTGCACGTGAGATGGGTTTCCTAAATACAGCACACTGATGGGTGACTCTTTATCCAATTTGCCAGTCTGTGTCTTTTAATTGGAGCATTTAGTCCATTTACATTTAAAGTTAATATTGTTATGTGTGAATTTGATCCTGTCATTATGATGTTAGCTGGTTATTTTGCTCGTTAGTTGATGCAGTTTCTTCCTAGTCTTGATGGTCTTTACATTTTGGCATGATTTTGCAGTGGCTGGTACCGGTTGTTCCTTTCCATGTTTAGTGCTTCCTTCAGGAGCTCTTTTAGGGCATGCCTGGTGGTGACAAAATCTCTCAACCTTTGCTTGTCTGTAAAGTATTTTATTTCTCCTTTGCTTATGAAGCTTAGTTTGGCTGGATATGAAATTCCGGGTTGAAAATTCTTTTCTTTAAGAATGTTGAATATTGGCCCCCACTCTCTTCTCGCTTGTAGGGTTTCTGCCGAGAGATCCGCTGTTAGTCTGATGGGCTTCCCTTTGTGGGTAACCCAACCTTTCTCTCTGGCTGCCCTTAACATTTTTTCCTTCATTTCAACTTTGGTGAATCGACAATTATGTGTCTTGGAGTTGCTGTTCTCGAGGAGTATCTTTGTGGCGTTCTCTGTATTTCCTGAATCTGAACGTTGGTCTGCCTTGCTAGATTGGGGAAGTTCTCCTGGATAATATCCTGCAGAGTGTTTTCCAACTTGGTTCCATTCTCCCCATCACTTTCAGGTACACCAATCAGACGTAGATTTGGTCTTTTCACATAGTCCCATATTTCTTGGAGGGTTTGCTCATTTTTATTCCTTTTTCTCTAAACTTCCCTTCTCGCTTCATTTCATTCATTTCATCTTCCATCGCTGATACCCTTTCTTCCAGTTGATCGCATCGGCTCCTGAGGCTTCTGCATTCTTCATGTAGTTCTTGAGCCTTGGTTTTCAGCTCCATCAGCTCCTTTAAGCACTTCTCTGTATTGATTATTCTAGTTATACATTCTTCTAATTTTTTTTTCAAAGTTTTAAACTTCTTTGCCTTTGGTTTGAATGTCCTCCTGTAGCTCAGAGTAATTTGATCGTCTGAAGCCTTCTTCTCTCAGCTCGTCAAAGTCATTCTCCATCCAGCTTTGTTCCGTTGCTGGTGAGGAACTGCTTTCCTTTGGAGGAGGAGAGTTGCTCTGCTTTTTAGAGTTTCCAGTTTTTCTGTTCTGTTTTTTCCCCATCTTTGTGGTTTTATCTACTTTTGGTCTTTGATGATGGTGATGTACAGTTAGGTTTTTGGTGTGGATGTCCTTTCTGTTTGTTAGTTTTCCTTCTAACAGACAGGACCCTCAGCTGCAGGTCTGTTGGAGTACCCTGCCTTGTGAGGTGTCAGTGTGCCCCTGCTGGGGGGTGCCTCCCAGTTAGGCTGCTCGGGGGTCAGGGGTCAGGGACCCACTTGAGGAGGCAGTCTGACCGTTCTCAGATCTCCAGCTGTGTGCTGGGAGAACCACTGCTCTCTTCAAAGCTGTCAGACAGGGACATTTAAGTCTGCAGAGGTTACTGCTGTCTTTTTGTTTGTCTGTGCCTTGCCCCCAGAGGTGGAGCCTACAGAGGCAGGCAGGCCTCCTTGACCTGTGGTGGGCTCCACCCAGTTTGAGCTTCCCGGCTGCTTTGTTTACCTAATCAAGCCTGGGCAATGGTGGGCGCCCCTCCCCCAGCCTCGCTGCCGCCTTGCAGTTTGATCTCAGACTGCTGTGCTAGCAATCAGCGAGACTCCTTCGGCATAGGACCCTCCGAGCCAGGTGCGGGATATAATCTCATGGTGTGCCGTTTTTTAAGCCCGTCGGAAAAGCGCAGTATTCGGGTGGGAGTGACCCGATTTTCCAGGTGCCATCGGTCACCACTTTCTTTGACTCGGAAAGGGAACTCCCTGACCCCTTGCGCTTCCCAAGTGAGGCAATACCTCACCCTGCTTCGGCTCATGCATGGTGCGCGCACCCAATGACCTGCGCCCACTGTCTGGTACTCCGTAGTGAGATGAACCCGGTACCTCAGATGGAAATGCAGAAATCACCGTCTTCTGCATCACTCACGCTGGGGGCTGTAGACTGGAGCTGTTCCTATTCGGCCATCTTGGCTCCAAAATTTGTGTGTTAATTTTTATTTGATGCTTTTTGTCATTGTGTTTATTACTTCTTTGGATATTAGTTAACATTTTTTGAAGACTTACTGTAAGGGAGCTGCCTATTTAATTATCTTATTTAATTTTCTTAACTATCTATTATAATTATCCCAATTTTAGAGATGAGAAAACTTAGGCACAGAGGTATTAATTAACTTGAGTAAGGTCACACAGCTAGGTGTGCCAGAGCTGAAATTTGAATATGGGCAGTCTGTCTCTAGAGTCTGTACTGTTAACCAAGATATTCTACTGCCACCATTGTAACGTTTGCCAATATGACTATTATAGGTACCAAAAAATCCTATCTCAAACCCACATAGTATATCCAAATACAAAGTCATCTTGTAATGTATGTCTACACATTGAGACTTCTTGACAAATATAGTAACTAGCGGTTTCACCTTGCAGAAATTATTAAATTGTTTTTGCTCCTTTTTCTTCAACTCTAAAATGGTTATAATAATAGTTATTTACCTTGTTGGGGCTCAGAAACCAATACCTCAAAATATGCTGCTCTGGCATGCCAAAGTAAAGAAGCACCTTTAAGGTCTCCCTCTGACTTTCCTCTGCCTTCCTGTTTCTCTGATCCTTTTGATTTTCCAAAAGGGGCTTTCTCTGAAATTTCCCTATTTGTCTGAGGAAACTTCTTGTAAATTAAAGGAAATTATCTTAAAACCCTCTTCTTAGGAATCTCATCAAATAACCAGTAAGGATTAACACTGGAGAAGAGGAGAAACTGGAAATTGTAACCACATGCAGACAGACTTTTCATCTATTCTTCCAAGGGCAGTTGTGAGAAATTACTTGGGGAACCGTACTTGCATAATAAGACAGCCCTTGTTCACAATGCAGTTCTGCCCCACACCCTTCTCTAACTTGTCCACAAGCTATTGTTTGTTCTTTGGTTCCATTCAGCATCCAAAGAGAATCTTTTGTAAATCATTATCTTGTCCTTGGGTCTGTTCATTCACTTTCCTCTCTCCAATGAAGAGGATATTTAAGCATCATTCATCTGGCCCTTTTTTGAGTTTTGAATATTTTTTGTGTGACTCCTATGCACATGATAAATTTGTTATGCTTGTCTCTTATCTTATCTTTTGTTATAGGAGTTTTGGCCATGACCCTTTATGAGGAGAAAAGGGATCACCCCCTTTTTGCCTCTACAACCTTATAGATATTTAAATATCTTTTATGGCATAGTCAATGTATGTGTGGGGAATAAAAGCTGCCTTTGATATAAGCTTAGTCCAGACATGATCAGGAAAGGAAATCTGCCATGAAGAAAATCCTGTATGGAAGGCATTTTCAGGACAGTGAAAGATGGGTTCAGAGAAGCAGGGCTACCAGCAGAGACACTCCTCAAATGCTAGCAGAAAAAAACACTAACAAATGCCTGACTGCAGAAGAATCCTGGGAGCCTGGACTTGCCTCTCATTCTGAATTGCATTTATTCTGGGAACTAAGCAGAGTGCTGTGTCAATCTGCTATGAGGGAGGCAGAATTATAAATAGAATATGTGCTAGAAATAGAAAATGAGATGAAAGATGGCATTTTGGGGCTTTCACGGCTTCCCCCAGCCCCCCCACCTCCTTCAGCAGAGGGAAAAAAGTCATCCAGTTTTGGTGAAGGCAAAAAATTCAGAAGCCATCATTCCAAGAGCAGTGGAAGGGAGGAAGTAGAAAGTATGAAAGTGGTGAAAAGTATAGAAGTGGGAAGAGTTGAGTGAGATGTGGGAGGGTAAGCTGGCCTCCTGGGCAGATGAGAGGAAACCAAAGAGAAAAGCCCAGGGCTAGGACACAGAATGAAGATTTACCCAGCTGGAGAGAAATTTGAAATAGCAAGATAGTAGTAACACATGGCCAGACAGGGATTGGGTTGGAAAAGAATTAAAAAGCTTAAACCCGGCTGGGCACAGTGGCTCATGCCTGTAATCCCAGCACTTTGGGAGGCCGAGGCGGGTGGATCACGAGGTCAGGAGATCGAGACCATCCTGGATAACATGGTGAAACCTCGTCTCTACTAAAAATACAAAAAAATAGCCAGGCGTGGTGGCAGGCGCCTGTATTCCCAGCTACTCGGGAGGCTGAAGCAGGAGAATGGCATGAACCCAGGAGGTGGAGCTTGCAGTGAGCCGAGATCCTGCCACTGCACTCCAGCCTGGGCAACAGAGACTCCATCTCAACAAATAATAATGAATAAAATAAAATTTAATTTAATTTAAAAAGCTTAAACCCTAAAAATGGAATTAGGTGGGAAGGCTAATATGACTGTGAGATAAAAGACCCAGGCCTGATCAGTAGCATTCCCAGGTAGGTCCATTTACCTTTTTCCCCAAAGCAGACCTTGACCTTCAGCTTTCAAGGTGAAACTTGACCTTCACCTTTCAAGGTGAATATCTTCAAAGGTGTTTTTGAATCCGTAATGAGGTATCATTTCATCAGGTATGAGGAAGGGTGTTCTAGCTATGGTTGAGGAAGGCTTAGTGGGAAAAAGTCTTGAAGTTGGAGGTGGGTTCTGGCCCCAGCATTGCCATCAACTAGATATGTGACCTCAAACAAGTCACCTGACTGGCCTGTGTGAGCTCGGTTTGGATATCATCTCTACCGTGAACTGCCTGTTTAATCTTGATCTATGTACTTCCTTTATTTATAGGCTTTCACAGCTTTCTTCCCTTCAGCAGAGGGAGAAAAGCCATCCATCCAGTTTTAGTGGAGGCAAGAAATTCAGGAGCCATCATTCCAAGGTAAGTGAAAGGGAAGGAGGAAACAAAAAGTATGAAAGTGGTAAAAAGTATAGAGGTGGGAGTGCAATGTAAACAGAAGGGTGGGAGGGTAAGCTGGTTTCCTGGGCCTTCGTAACTAGTCTTCATTTTTTTTCAAGTCCACAAAATAATGGGTATTAGACTCTACGTCTTAAAAGCTGCTGCCTGATGTAAAGTTCTACACTTTAATACTTGAATGAATACTTAGGGTGAGAGAGAATAGTGACCCCCTAACTTAATTTGTTCTACAATAGGAAACAGCTCTCATGGAGGTCATTCAGCTGAGATGCTGGATGAATTGACAGCTTTAAGTCCTTCTATAGTCAGAATATGTCTCCTCTCTACCTGGCAGAGATCCATGCCTCCCACCATTGCTGTATTGCAGGGGTACCAACTTTGGATCTGTGCTGCTTGAGTAGGGGAGCTCCCACAGTGTTTGTTCATACAAGAGGGTTTTCAGCAGCTACCCACCCAGAATAATTTGGGAAGAAGGTCTATAGATGCCATAAAATGGAGGCTCCTCAAGGAATCCTCAGGGGAAATGTTACAACAGCACTCTGCTGAGATGAGATGCACCTAGTTATTTTGCAAGTAGAAGGTGTGGAACTGCAGGTATGGTTCTGCTTTGTTGTCCCAAAATGATCAAAGTTTTGCAGCCCAAACAAGGATTTGGGGAAGTCACAGCTCAGAGAATACCCAAGCACATCAGTGTTCAAAAGTGTAGTATGAAGTGGTACTGCCCAAACTCATTAATATACCAGCCATGTGGTATATATAGGAACTTGCATTCTTTTACCTTACAAATTACATTATCAATTCACCTTGATGCAATAATGTGTCCTCCCATTGGTCCTTGAGCTTTACTAAGATAGTTTCTTTGGCCAGAATCCCTTTGAGGTCACTGTAAAGAGAACCCAACTTACCTATGGAGATTCTATTGCTTCTGTTCTGTCTTCTGCTCATCTATTTCTCAGCCCTGATGGAACTAGTATGCAAAACACTAGTAGGGAGATAATGTTGAATCTTGTCAGCCTTTATAACTTGATCTAGTAAGGTACTCCTCAAATAGCTCAGGTAATCTGTCCCAATATAGTCCTGATTTTGCCCAATCAAATATACTTCTGACAATAGATATGAATTCAGACACTGGGCCACTGGGTCACACTGTCTGGGGGTCATCAGTCTTGGAGGTTAGGAGTCCTGGCTGGGAAAACAGGAGACTCACTATCCTATCAAAGATTGTATACAGCACACCCATATCTGGGGATGAAATTGGGTCTTGGTCAGAAACCATCCTTGTGGGAAACCGAGGGCATTCCTAGTAGATGAAGTATCCTCTCTGCTGGGGGTATTTTGTCACAGTGACAAAGTGTGGTGTTTTGCAAAGCTGATTGACTACTGTCACCTCTTAGAAGGAGGTAAACCCATCATAAAGATTGATTGATGGCAGGGTCAGACTGACTATGGCTTACAGTTGGAGCTCTGTTTGAGTTAAGGTCTTGCTCCCTAACTCAAAGAGAAGTGTAGCCCTGGACAGGTAGCATTAGCATCATCTGGAAGTTTGTGAAAAAGCAGACTCAGGCCTCATGCCAATCCTACTGGATCAAAACTCCATTTGACAAGATTCCCAGGCAATTTACATGCCCATTAAAGTTTAAGAGGCCCTGGGTTAGGGTGCTTCTTTTGAAAAGAACATAAGCATCTCTTCCAGAGGCCAGTCATTTACATTGTAATAAGATAGCTTAATCAGAATACTTCTCATTTATCCTTTAGCTAAAATATGCCAGAATGGGAATTTTTGTTGCAAGGGAAAGAACATCACCAAATCCCCAACTCCTGACCACTACTGTAACTTCAGCTCTTACCATGGGGATCTAGCACATAGTAGCATCAACATATCTTTTGTCATTTGGCTGAATAACTCATTCACAATGAGAAAGAATATGTGGTTTTCTGTTATTCAGTATTTGACATATGCTCAGGTGTGGAGGGCAGAATAACAGACTACAAATGTCCATGTCCTAATCCCTAGAACCTATGAATATGTTACCTTACACAGAAAAGGGGAGTGGGTTTGCAGATAAAATTAAGGTGGCTAAGCAGCTGATTTTAAGATAGAGAGAATGTCCTGGGTGATCCAAGTGGGCCCCATATAATCACAAGTGTCCTGAAAAGTGAAAGAGGGAGGCAGAAGAGAAGATCAGAGTCAGAGAAGGAGATGTGAGAAGGACAAGTGCTGCCCTTGCTGGCTTTGAAGACAGAGGAGGAGGGCCATGGGTTGAGAAATGTGGGTGATCTCTAGAAGCTGGAACAGGCAAGGAAACTCTCCTAGAGCTCTCAGAAAAGAACGCAGTGCTACCAACACTTTGATTTTTGCCCAATAAGACATGTGGTAGACTTCTTACCTACAGAACTGTAGGGTAATAAATTTATGTTGTTTTAAGCTATTAAGTGTATAGTAATTTGTTATGGCAACAATAGAAAACCTGTAAAACAGGAAACAGTTCCTTTGTTTGGAATATGAAAAACAGACAAAATGCTAGAATTATGTATATTTTTTTCTTTTTCATATCTTTTGGAATTCACTTGCACATGTTTGAGGTAATCCTGCTTCTCAGTTCGTGGAATATTATCATTTATTCATAGAAGAACCAACCTTTTTGTGAAAACATTTTTTTAAGGTTTATTGTTTTTTTCCCTTCATCTATCATTCCTAATCCCACTGCCCTCCTTGCACAGGCATCCACTATAATACATTTAATATAGTTCTTCCAATCCATCCAACAGACGTTTATTTAGATATATGAGCGTCCTTACAAAAATACACAAGGCCGCTTTATGTGTGTGTTTGATACATAAATGGAATTGTGCTATAAATCCCATTCTGTTTTTGCTTTTTTACTCTTAACTCCATTTTTGAGATCAATCCAAGTTTCTAAATGAAAATATAATTCATTATCCTATTGTATACACAAACTATATTTTACCTGTACATTCCTTGGACATAGACACCTAGGTTGCCTCTAGCAGAGTGATAGTGAAGCTTGTTAGGAACATCTTGTGTTCCCTGGGAAGAATTTCCCTGGGTGTATACCCAGGAGTGGGCTTGGTGGATTTAAGGTGCACAATTATCCTTCAGAACGGCTGCATCTGCAGTGGGTGAGGGCTCTCTTTCCCCACCTTTTTGCCAATGCTTGGTAATATCTGACTTAACAAGTGATATGCAATGGGCAACAAGTAGCTGTGAAAGGAAGTGCTATATAGATGACTTAGTGGAAACCATGCTGTAAATGCAGAATGAGCAGGGAAATGTTAAAAAATAATTCTTGGAGGAAGAGTCTTACCAGCAGGACCGATGTGGCTGGGAAGAGGAAAGCCCTCCAGTCAAGAAGGTTGTGTGTGTGGCTCACCATTGAGTCATCTTTATCACCAGTGAGATCACCCTTCTTCTGACTACAGCTATCTGGAACTCAGTCTAGTCTATTTCCAGCCTGAGCTTTTTGCTAACCTTCCCTGGACATGTGAGGGACTCTCTTGACTCAGCTTCCAACTCATTCTCTGCTTTAACTTCCTCTTTGCCACTTTACAAATTTGTGTGATTTAATGACTTTTGACAGACACATGCCCCTGGGAAACCACGATTATTAACACATGAAACATTTCCATCATTCCGAAAAGTTCCCTAGCATATGTTTGCAGTCCATCCTGCCTCCTGCTCTTAGCATCATAGAACTACTGATTTGCTTTCTGTCACTTCAGGGAAGTTCACATTTTCCAGAATTTTATATAAATAGAATTGTTTAGTATGTACTCTTTTGTGTCTGGCTTTTTTCCACTCAGCATAATTATTTTGAAATTTATTCATTTTATTGACATATCAATAATTTATTTGTTTTTACTGCTGAATAGTATTCTATTGTATGAATATACGGCATTTTGTTTCTTTTCTTGAGGGACATTTGTTTTGGGCTATTATTATTAAAGCTTCTATGGACATTCATATATAAGCTTTTGTGTGGACATATGTTTTAATTTTCTTGGATAAATACTTAGGAGTCCAATGGCTGGGTCATATGACAGGTCTATGTTTAACATTTTAAGAAACTGCTGGCCAGGTGCGGTGGCTCACGCCTGTAATCCCAGCACTTTGGGAGGCTGAGACAGGTGGGTCACCTGAGGTCAGGAGTTCAAGACCACCCTGGCCAATATGGCAAAACCCCATCTCTAATAGAAATACAAAAGTTATTACGGTGTGGTGGCACATGCCTGTAATCCCAGCTACTTGGGAGGCTGAGGAAGAAGAACTGCTTGAACCTGGGAGGCAGAGGTTGCAGTGAGCCGAGATCGCACCACTGAACTCCAGCCTGGGTGACAAGAGCAAAACTCTGTCTCAAAAAAAAAAAAAAAAAAAGAAAGAAAGAAAGAAAGAAACTGCCATACCCTTTTTTCAAAGTGGTCCTACCATTTGACATTCTCAACAGCATTATAGGAGAATTCTAGTTGTTGCCACATTCTTGTCAAAGGTTGGTAGGGTCAGTTTTTTAAATTTCTTGCCATTTTAGTGACTGTGCATTGGTATTTCATTGTGGTTTATTTGCATGATAACTAATGCTCAACACCAACTAATCACGTTGAGTATTTTTAATGTGCTTATTTGCCATTCATATATCTTTTTTGGTGAAGTGTCTCTTCAAATATTTTGCCCATTTAAAAATTGTGTTGGTTCTTGTTATTGAATTGTAAGAATTCTTTCTATCCGGATATAAATCCTTTGCCATATATGTGTATTACAAATGTTTTCTCCTAGCCTTCCACCTCAGCCTCCCAAGTAGCTGGGAATGCAGGTGTGCACCACCACTCCAGGTTTTTCTGTTTTTGTTGTTGTTTTTGGTTTTTTTTTTCTGTAGAGACAGGGTCTTGCCATGGTGCTGAGGCTGCTCTCAAACTCCTGGGATCAAGCAGTCATCCTGCCTCAGCCTCCCAAATTGCTGACATTACAAGCATGAGCCACTGTACCTGGCTAACTTTTCATCTTTTAAAGTAGTGTCTTGCAAAGAACAACATTTTGAAATTTTAATGAAGTCCAGTTTATCAACCTTTTGGTTCATTGTCCATGCTTTTTGCATAGTAAGAAATCTTTGCCTGCCTCAAAATTGCAAAGCTTTTCTTCTGTGTTTTCTTCTAGAAATAGTTTTAGATTTTTACATTCACTTGTGCTTATTCTTAACTTCTCATTTGGTCTCTTGGATCCCTGGGTCCATGGAGCTATTCTGGAAGGGTTACTAGTATCTCTTTTTGCTTGTAATGGGAGCAAACCTTAGGACCTAACTGGAGTCCTTTGATTACATCATCAGCCATTTGGGCTTGCAATCACATAAACACACTGAAGGAAATTCCAGTAGGAGAGTGTTCTCTCCTACTTAGGTACTGTAATAGAGAATAAGACTAGTTATCCTTTTAGCCTAAATTGGATTTATATCCCTCTGAAGAAAAGTAGGTGGGGTGCCAGGAGCTGATTTGGCTAAAAGAAGAGAGAAGGTGTTCTTGCTGAAATGCCTGGGAAGGACAGGGGGATCAGGAGGCAACAAGGTGTCTGTCCTGGATATTTATGATGAGCCAAATTCTAGCAAGTCAAGCAGAAACTGAAGGATGTGATTTCATAACCGATGTTGTGAGACAGAAGAGCACAAAGGTGCTGCACTGGCACCTGGAGGGAAAGTGTCCTAAGGGGGAGAAAGAAGACACTTTTCCCCACTTCATGTAGACTCAGCATGGTTTTAGCCAGAAAACACTCTGGGAAGTCTAGGGTCACTTTGGCACCATGGGAGTTTGCCCCTCTGGTTGCTCCAAGAACACAGGTATTAATGTAGCACAGATATTAATATTAATATTAATTAGCACAGATATAAATGTAGTCACAGAAAGAAAAATAGGTGAAAAAGAGACACGTTCTTCAGTGCATGAGAGACTCCCTTTGGTATCTCTCAGAAATGTGGAAGCAGAGGCTATAGCACAAGCCTGGGTTATTGCTAGTAGCAAGACAGAAAATGAGGCTTGGGCAAGCTGTAGTTATAGTTACAATGGAAATGACTGGCCCAAGAGAGTGCTACAGATTACATAACAGCCACTAAGTAGAAGGACAGGCAGAAGGGGTAGGCAAGACATGTTCTCTGGCTGTTGCAGTCACCAAAAAGCCAGGGTACAAAGGCAGGGAGTTATCTGAACTGCCTTCCTGGAGGGTCATGCATTTAGGATCTGACTCATTGATTCTTTTCCTTAATTTTGCTCTGTACATTTCTCTAAGAGGGCTAACCAGTGTCAAGGTTTGATAATATCTGAAATGGTATTCTGGTACCAAAGTATCATCTCACAAAGTGTTTAGAAATTGCAAAAGAGGCTCCCTCTCCCTCTCCCTCTCCCTCTCCCTCTCCCTCTCCCTCTCTGTCTCCGTCTCCCTCTCTTTCCACGGTCTCCCTCTGATGCCTAGCCAAAGCTGGACTGTACTGCTGCCATCTCGGCTCACTGCAACCCCCCTGCCTGATTCTCCTGCCTCAGCCTGCCGAGTGCCTGCGATTGCAGGCGCGCGCCGCCACGCCTGACTGGTTTTCGTATTTTTTTGGTGGAGATGGGGTTTCGCTGTGTTGGCCGGGCTGGTCTCCAGCTCCTAACCGTGAGTGATCCGCCAGCCTCGGCCTCCCGAGGTGCCGGGATTGCAGACGGAGCCTCGTTCACTCAGTGCTCAATGGTGCCCAGGCTGGAGTGCAGTGGCATGATCTCGGCTCGCTACAACCACCTCCCAGCCACCTGCCTTGGCCTCCCAAAAAGCCGAGATTGCAGTCTCTGCCCGGCCGCCACCCCGTCTGGGAAGTGAGGAACATCTCTGCCTGGCTGCCCATCGTCTGGGATGTGAGGAGCCCCTCTGCCTGGCTGCCCAGTCTGGAAAGTGAGGAGCGTCTCTGCCCGACCGCCATCCCATGTAGGAAGTGAGGAGCGCCTCTTCCCCGCCGCCATCCCATCTAGGAAGTGAGGAGCGCCTCTTCCCCGCCGCCATCCCATCTAGGAAGTGAGGACCGTCTCTGCCCGGCCGCCCATTGTCTGAGATGTGGGGAGCGCCTCTGCCCCGCTGCCCCGTCTGGGATATGAGGAGCGCCTCTACCCGGCCGCGACCCGGTCTGGGAGGTGAGGAGCGTCTCTGCCCGGCCGCCCTGTCTGAGAAGTGAGGAGCCCCTCCGCCCGGCAGCCGCCCCGTCTGAGAAGTGCGGAGCCCCTCCGTCCAGCAGCCACCCCGTCTGGGAAGTGAGGAGCGTCTCCGCCCGGCAGCCACCCCGTCCGGGAGGGAGGTGGGGGTCAGCCCCCCGCCCGGCCAGCCGCCCCGTCCGGGAGGGAGGTGGGGGGGGTCAGCCCCCCGCCCGGCCAGCCACCCCGTCCGGGAGGTGAGGGGCGCCTCTGCCCGGCCGTCCCTACTGGGAAGTGAGGAGCCCCTCTGCCCGGCCAGCCGCCCCGTCCGGGAGGGAGGTGGGGGGGTCAGCCCCCCGCCCGGCCAGCCGCCCCGTCCGGGAGGGAGGTGGGGGGGTCAGCCCCCCGCCCGGCCAGCTGCCCCATCCGGGAGGTGAGGGGCGCCTCTGCCCGGCCGCCCCTACTGGGAAGTGAGGAGCCCCTCTGCCCGGCCACCACCCCGTCTGGGAGGTGTACCCAACAGCTCATTGAGAACGGGCCATGATGACAATGGCGGTTTTGTGGAATAGAGAGGGGGGAAAGGTATGGAAAAGATTGAGAAATCGGATGGTTGCCGTGTCTGTGTAGAAAGAAGTAGACATGGGAGACTTTTCGTTTTGTTCTGTACTAAGAAAAATTATTCTGCCTTGGGATCCTGTTGATCTGTGACCTTACCCCCAACCCTGTGCTCTCTGAAACATGTGCTGTGTCCACTCAGGGTTAAATGGATTAAGGGCGGTGCAAGATGTGCTTTGTTTAACAGATGCTTGAAGGCAGCATGCTCGTTAAGAGTCATCACCACTCCCTAATCTTAAGTACCCAGGGACACAAACACTGCGGAAGGCCGCAGGGTCCTCTGCCTAGGAAAACCAGAGACCTTTGTTCACTTGTTTATCTGCTGACCTTCCCTCCACTATTGTCCTATGACCCTGCCAAATCCCCCTCTGCGAGAAACACCCAAGAATGATCAATAAATAAATAAATAAATAAATAAGAAAGAAATTGCAAAAGAGAAAATATACTTTACAATCCAGATACCTGGCAGTTAACCACATGATCAAATTTAGCATCAATGACAGTAGGACAACTAGATATTGTATACCTCTTGCTGTAATATATTATGAAGTACACAACGTCAACTATGAAGCATTCTTTTTTTTTTTTTTTGAGATAGGGTTTTGCTCTGTCACCCAGTTTAGAGGGCAGAGGTGCAAAGCTCACTGCAGCTTTGACCTCCCAGTCTCAAGTGATCCTCCCACCTCAGCCTCCCTGGTAGCTGGGACTACAGATGTGTGCCACCATACCTGGCTGATTTTATATATATTCTTTGTAGAGATGTTGTTTCACCATGTTGCACAGGCTGGTCTTGAACTCCTGTGGGAGTTCTGCCTGAAAGTGCTGGGATTATAGGTGTGAGCCACTGTGTCCGAACTATGAAGTATTCTTGCCAAAATGAATTAACCTAAATCTAATCAAGCTTCTAGGCCAGAAGTATCCAATAGCAATACAATGTCAGCTACAGCTACATGTAATTTCAAATTTTCTGGTTGCCACCAAAAGCACAAAAAGAAAAAATAGATAAATTGTACTACATAAAGATTAAATACTTCTGTGCATCAAAGGACACAGTCAACACAGAGAAAAGGCAAACCACTGAGGGCGAGAAAATATTTGCAAATTGATATTCATAATATATGAAGAATCCTTACAACTCAATAACTACAAAATAATTAACAGATTGAAAAATGGGGAAAGGAGTTGAATAGACATTTCTCCAAAGAAGATGTACAACTGGTCAATAAACACATGAAAAGACTAATTAGGAGGGAAATGCAAGTTGAAACCACAATGAGATCAAACACATTAAGTTGGCTAGTATAAAAAAAAAAAAAAAAAAAGAAAGTGCCAGGCACAATGATGCTGTAGTCCCAGCTACTCAAGAGGCTGAGGTGGGAGAATTTCTTGAGACCAGGAGTTAGAGGCTGCAGTGCACTAAGTGTGAATAGCCACTGCACTCCAATATGTGCAAAACAGCAAGACCCCATCCCTAAAATAAAATAAGATAAAATAAAATAAAGGCAACAAAAAATAACAAGTATTGGTAAGGATGTGGAGAAATGGGAACCCTTGTGCATTGCTGGTGGGTGTGTAAAAAGTATAGCTGCTCTGAAAAATGGGATGGCCATTCCTCAAAAAATTAACCACAGAATTACTATATGATCCAGCAATCCCACTTCTGCATATACATCCAAAAGAAGTAGAATCAAGGACTCAAACAGATATTTGTACCCCCCTGTTCATAGCAGCATTATTTACAACAGCCAAAAAGTAGAAGCAATAAAAGTGTTCATCAATGTATGAATGGATAAACAAAATGTGGCATATACACATAGTGGGATATCATTCAGCTTTAAAAAGGCAGGAAATTCTAACACGTGCCACAACATGGATAAACCTAGAAGACATTGTGCTAAGTGAAATAAGTCAGTCACAATAGCACAAATACTGTGTGATTCTATTTACATGAAGTACCAGAATTGTCAAATGTATAGAGACAGAAAGTAAAATGGTCATTGCCAGGGGCTGAGGAGTTAGTGTTTTACTGGATGCAGTTTCATGGGGTAGATAAAAAAGTTCTGGAGGTAGATGGTGGTGATGATTACACAACAATGTGACTGTACTTAATGCCACTGAAGTGTACATTTAAAAATGGTTAAAATGGTACATTTTATGTTATGTGTATTTTGGCACAATGAAAACAGCTATAAAAGGCATTCTTGAAACAACTAGGGATATCTGATATTCTGGAATTATTATTACTTTTCTTAGGTGTAATAAAAGTATTGCGGTTATATACATTATATAAAAACAGGATAATGTCCTTATTCTTAGGAGACACCTTCTGAACTATTTGGGGATAAAGTGCTCTGTAATATCTGCTCTGTGAAGACAGACCTTAGGGAGGCTTTTCCTCTTTATTATACTTCAGGCACCATACTTGGGTACCATACTCATCACATGACCCAGCAATTGCCTGGACTTTGCAGGCTCCAGATGGTCTTCCCACATGTTAACCCTCACAACAACCCCAAAGATAGGTCTTATAGGTCCCTATTTAGTAGGTAAGGAAACTAAAGTTCCAATGTTTTCCCAGGATCACTTGGTGGTACATCCCCGCAGGCCAACTGGAACTTGAAGCAAGCGACACAAGCTGGAGACTCTTATTTTCTCTACATGGACTGAAGTTTCAGTAAAGACTCAGTTAACACAGTAGATTTTTCCAAGACTTTGGGGTTTGAAAGGTCACTGGGACAGGCCAGAAAAGAGGAAGCAGAAAACATATCAATTCTTAGAGTGTGATATGTGAGATTCTTCCAAATGATCTGTGGTCTGGGTCTATTGCCCACAGAAGGTTGATGGCATCCTGGATAAGATCAGGTCTTCTAAAGCAGACTCGGGGTTGGAATTTTTGCTCCATCACTTACCAGCCATGCTACTTGGGGTAAATTACTTAAACAATCCGAACCTTAGCTTCCTCATCTGTAAAACAGAAATAATAATAATATTTCTCATGGGGCTGCTGTGAGGATAAAATTAGATAATGTACCCAAAGCTCTTCACACAGAAAAGCCTCCCCTGCTGGATCTCTCATGTACCCCCTGGATTTTCTAGCAGAGTGTGGCTTCTCCAAAACCTTCTCAAACAGCTGTTGAGAATCAATGTTTGTAATGAGAAATATTGCGAATGAGGAGCCAGAAAAAGTCTGACAGCCTTTGCAGCAGGGGGATGAGAAGGAGGTGGTTGTGTGTGTCCTCAGCTCAGTGGTAGGTACTGGGCATGTGGTAGGAATGAGAAAGTAAAAGTAGCTATTATTATTAGGATAGTATCTATAACTTTTATTTTTTTGCATAAATTAACAATTTAACAAAAACCAGACATCATTTTTGTTGGTGCTTTACTAGAAACATTGCTGTTTTCTAATGACTTCTGGTAGTATTTCATTATTATTTTTTCTTTTTGGTTTTATTTTGTGTAAAAGGACTAAGTGAGATGGGTCTTTGCAATTTTTTTCTTTCCAATTGACTAGCTAGTCAATGCTCCTTTGGACCCCTGCCCACCCCCCTGAAAAAAAGGAAAAAGAACAAATTGAGAACTTATGAAACCACAACCCAGAAACCTGAATGTTTTTCATTTTAACTTTTCTTGGAAAAAATTGATGAAAAGTCTGTGCTGTGGTTTTAAATGGCATTGGGATGCCTATCTCCTGTCCCTACTCCCAAGACCCTAAATGTGATTTATATATCCCTATTTTAAGCTAGTGCAGATTTATGAGACTTTAAACACCATGGATGGAGTTACTGGAGGTTTAAAGGGATTAAGCAGGTCCAACAACACCTGGAGGTGTATAAGTTGTTTAAAAGATTTATCAGCATTTCCATGTTAAAATTCACTTCTCAAGGTTTCTCATATCGTGGATCTAAATCTATTTTGGGCAGAGGAGTAAATTTTTAGGATGTCTCATAAATGGAGAAAAAAACCATCCCTCTATCGCTTCTTGCTTTGTTTTCTGGGCTGTGCCTCTGCCCCCTCACCTCTCTATCTTGCATGTCTAGCTAGTTCTGTCTCTGGGGTTTCCCTTCTCTCTGTTTCTGTCCTCTCTCAAGCAGTTGATCTCTTAGTGTTCCTCTGTGTTCACAAACTCAGCATCTGACCCATGAACCTAACAACAGCCAGAGAGAGCCAGAAGCTTTCTTGCCTGCCTTTGGCTCCTCGTGGTCCAGGGAGGGCTGCGGTGGGTGGGAATGCCTTATGACACAGGGTGACTAGTCTCTGTGTTTACACCAGGGGGAGCAATGACTCCGTGGCTGAGAGGGGCTGGCTAGAGTCTGGAGTTTCCAAGTGTCCATTCAAAGCAAAATACACAATTCCTAGGCAGTTAAATTTAGAAGACTCTGTATTGAACACACTTGAAAATAGGTTCAGGGCACAACATGGGCACACACGCTTTGTCATATTCTACAAATACTGGGGAGAGCCAACATTCTTCTCATTGCCAATAATTATGCTCATCAGCCTCCATGTCTTGCCTCTCATGTTTCTTCCACATCCCAGTTCTGCCTACCCTGACCAATCAGTGTGGATGTAGGGAACATGAACACATTTTAATATCATCCTGAACCAGACATCACTGGGAAGGAAATTGGAGAAACTAAAACCCTAGAAAAGACAAATCTAATCTACAGTGACAGAAAGCAGACTGCTGGTTGCTTGGGGCCAAGGTAGGGGCAGATCGGCTGAGATGGCACAAGAAAACTTTTTGTGATGTTGAAAGTATGCTATGCCTTGATTGTGGTGATGGTCACACAGGTATATAAAGTTGTAAACACTCACTAAAATCTACGGTGAAAATGGGCATAAACTATACCTTGGTTTTTAAATGTCTCTGTTGTACATTCATGCCAGCCTTTACCTCCATTAGCACAGACAATAGGAAGTTGTGTGTGAATCTTAGAATGCTCCCCAATCCAGGGATGGTTGTTCAACCAGCCTATGCCATGTATCCATAGAGGGCACGGATAATCCAAACCAGCAGATAAAACACCTAATTAGTTCTAATTGACTCTGGACTTATTCTGTGCATTTGCATTCCCTGAGTACAACCTGACTGATAGGAGCAGGGAGAGTAGGCAGCCAAGAAATGCGGCAGGGGACGCCAGATTAAACAATTACAAGGGAGGGACAATGAAAGGGTGACTGACCACGCAGATGATAAAGAATTGTTGACTTTGTCATGAGAACCGCATATTGCTCAAAGCAATTGGTGAAGTGGAGCAGATGTGCATTAGAAACGAAACCAACCACCTGGAATGGTCATGGTCTCTGGATAACAGGAGCTTCATCAACTCCGTCTTTTCCACATCTCTACAATTTTGATATTACTTAAGTCAGGCACACTGCTCTATTCATTCTGACATCCGAATATCCATTTTAAAGTGGGCTAGGCTCACCCAGAGGATGATACAACTAGATTAAGAAATGAAGTGAAGGTTTAGAACATTGGATTTTTGTCCGTTTGTGTGACCTTCTGGAAAATCACTTGTTTCATTTATTTGTTCCTTTATTCCCTTATTCAATAAAATTATTGAGTACCTATTATAAATGAGGCTGTTTGCAAGACATTGGTGATATATTGCTATAGGTGTCGTTTTCCTCATTTGTAAATGCTCATACTGGGATCCCTGGACTCTCCTGACCACGTGCTAATGGTGGGTAGTGATGAGGTCAGGCTCTGAGACCTTCAGTGGTGCGCCTAAATGTTGAGGTTGCCTCAATGCAAAAGATAAGACTCTCCAACTTCATTGGTCTGTATCTTTTTAAAGGGTGGCTCCAGATCACTGAAAGCATCTTTGCCATGAAAATTCCAAGGAAATGAAATTAAGCATGTTAGTTTTATTTGTTGAAAATTTGCCCTTTAAAAACCTCCTGAGACCATTTTAAAATTAATTTCTTATTGCTTCAAAGCACAAACTCACATTTAGGTATGAACTAACATTTGATCTAGTGCAAGGCAGTAAACTAGGGTTTTTGTCAGGCCTTTCTCCCTGATTTGCAGTGTTCCCTGGCACACCCACCCCCTCACTAAGCAAAATTTAGAAGTCAACAGACACAAAATTCCTTCTCCCTTGAAATCTTCTTCACACTTACTTTCAAGCATCCAAGATATACAAGCTCTTTCAAGCACACAAGGTCTGTTCCCTTCCAGGTCATCAAGTCAACTCTCAGAAAAGAGTCTGATAGAGTGAGATTCAATTTCTACTCTGTCCATTTATAATGTGTGACCCATGGAAAGTTCCCTAGCTTCTTTGCCCTGTAGTTTATTCATCTGGTAGTGGGGATAACAATATCTACTTTGAGTTGTTGTCCACTTTAAATAAAATAATGGATATAAAAATACCCAGCCAATAGTAGAAAATCAATGGTGGTTGTTATGAAAGCCTAGCAGAGGTGAAGGCTGGAGATTAGAGAGAAAAGTCTGCCATAGAGTGAGAAGTACTCCATGAGGAACCAGGACCTTCAGTCTTTGTTGAGTAGGTGGCTCCTATGGAAGGATAGGATCTTCAGACTGTTAAGCTCAGAAGTATGTATTATCTATCTGGGAGGACTGGCATTCTAAAAGGGGAAATAGGTCATCCATATGCCAAAAATGGGAGGGCCTGGCACCCAGCTATAGGAAGAATGAATATGGAAGAATGATGAAGAAAAAGTAATCTCCAGACAGCTGTGGTGGCCATATCAGCAGATGCCACCATCAGATTACCTCCACATTCCCCCAGGAAAAGTTGACATTTCCTGGTCCTTTCCAAAGAAGGCACAGTCCCACCAACAGGTCAAAATTGGTATCACAAAGAGGGCTGAGAACCTGAAGATGGAGCATGCCTGCTGATCCAAAAACAACAGATAACTGGCTCCGGCTGTGATTAAAGTTGGTTGGAATTCACAGCCGGTAGAACAGTGACCACATTAATGAACTGAACTTCAGCTTATCCTCCTGTTCCAAAGTCCTTCTTCCCTCCACACTCACAGCCAATTGTACTATGTAGATTTATGATGTTAGCACCTGGAAGTGTTGGATGGCCTTGATTGCTGTTTAATAAACTCTAACGTGTGATTTGAAGATATAGTTACAGGATGTAAACTGACTTTTAATTGCTAGGAACCCCAAATAAAAACCAACTACATTGTAGAGCTCCACATAGGCAGGGACAACATCTATCTTTTCTACTGCTTTATATCAAGCATCAAGCTCGGAGCTTCTTGGATGTCCAACCATCCTGGTTCACCTGGAGCTCTCCTAGCTTCAGCACTGAAAATTCCTGTGTCTCAGGAAACTGCTCAGTCACAGATAACCAGGGATGGCTGGTCACCTGGACTTGGCACATAATAGATGGCCAATAAATTTTTGTCAACCAAAAGAAATGCATTAAATAAGTAGTAGAAGTGTAACTGGAATTGCAATGCAATAAATTATATTAACTACTTTGGATACAAATCGGTCTCTAATAGATACTGGTTTGAAGTTGAGTTTGATGAAACCAGCATACTAATTTGATGATATATAGACCAGTTTTAGACTTTCTATACCTTCTCATTTCTGTCCCTTCTTTTGACCTAAGTGTGTATATCTGGGCAATTAGCAACAGGGCCACACAGTTTCGAACTGTCAAAACATGGTCAAACATGACTAGGATTTCTAAAGTTATTTTTCTAATTATTAACTTTCCCATCCCATCTACATAGAAGCCGGCTGCTTTAACATGATCCATAGCATACACTTGGGAAGGAAGGAGCATTTGTACAATCAAAGAAATTCAACAATCCTTTACTGAGTGACTACTATGGACACTGTGCTGGGTGCTGCAGGGCATTCAAAATGGGTGAAAAAGGATACTTGCCCTTAGCAGCTCTCAGTCTAGGGAGAGGATGTATGAATAAACAGACATGAATATTTATGATATGAAGCAGAAGGGTATACTATTTTAATGATTTTAATTGTGCCCTATATGACTACGGGAGAGAGGGAGATTGATTTTGAGGCATTGTGGAACGTCCACTTGAAGGAGATAGGATTTAAGGTGGGCTTTGAAGGAAGTACAGGACTTCAAAAGTTGGCTATGGGGTGGGGAGAATTTCTTTCCAGGTAGAAGGGAGAGTAAGGGCCTGGGAATTAGTTGCATTAGGCCACTTGCTACAGAAACCTGACTACAGGGACTTAGCTAAACAGAGATGTACATACAAGAAGCCCAAGGCTAATGCAGAACTTCAAGGAGCCGTCAATTCTCCAGGCTTCTTTTCTCTTTCTGCTCCACCATCCTTAGCTTGTGGCTTTATTGATCTGTGTTCCCAAGATGGTTGCTCCACCTCAAGCCTCATGTTGTGCACAAGGCAGGAAAAAGGAGAAAGAAAAAAAAGTAGCAAAGAAAAGGAAGAAGGAAAGAAAGGAAGGAAGGGTGGGGAGAAGGTGGAGCCTGTATGAGGAGGGCAAAAATTTTCCCCAAATCCTTAGCAGACTTTTTATTCAGTTATATCTCATGATAAGAAACAGGTTACATGGCCACCCTAGCTGCAAAGGAGTCTGGGCAGGTGAGCATCATAGCTGGACATATTGCCCTCCTGAATATTATTGTAGTTCTGTTAGTAGCAAGGTGGGGCAGAATGGATTTGGGGTAGGTACCCAACAGGGTCTGTGCCTTTGAGCAGAAGCCTAGAGATGAGGACAGGGCAGGGATTGCTGGATAAATGAGAGAATGAAGAGTAGAATCTTGTGCCTGGAATGGAGCAGGTGTGTGTGGTGTGTGTGTTTGCGTTTGTGTACATGTGCATGTGTGTATGTGTTGAGGGGGCAGGACAAGATGGGATGGCTTTATAGGTGTGGAGAGAATTCATCTGGAGAAAATAGTGGGAAAATATGAACCAAATGCTAGAGATACATGGCTTTAACCTGTCTCTTTAATTTCTCTGAAAAAGCTCCAGATCAGCCTGTTTCATGTTTCATGAGATGGTGTTCATCCTTTACTGCCATCTGCTTCCCTCCTCAGTCTCATGTTATCAAGAACCTTGGATAGGCTGGGTGTGGTGGCTCATGCCTGTATTCCAGCACTTTGGGAGGTTGAGGCAGGAGGATCGCTTGAGCCCAGGAGTTTGAGATCAGCCTAGGCAACATAGGGAGACCCTGTTTCTACAGGGGGCAGGGGAGGGAAAGAACTTTGGATAGTTGTATTAAAAATGCCACTTTCAAACCTGTACCTTCATGTCAGTATCAGAAGATGACAGAAACACAGCTTTTTCTTTCTGTCAAATTTACCTCTTATCTATTTCAATTTTACATTATTGCTTATATGTTATACTGATTGAGTCTTGTATTTCCCTTGGGTACCGTACAATATCAACCTTTCAGCATGAAACAATTATGATTTTAGTTTCGTTAACTAATAATCAGGAGAAAAAATATATACAGAAACATGATACTAATCAGAAATATACATATATATTTGTCTATATATTTCTGATTAGTATTTATGAATCTAAAATCATATTTTATACACAAACATACTCCCTCCTCCCCCATGTATATTTTCCATCTATAGCAGTATTTTTTTCTGGATAGATAGACATTGAGACCTTATTTTATTGTCAATATAGTAGTTTTCTTTTTTTTTTTATTATACTTTAAGTTCTGAGATACACGTGCAGAACGTGCAGGTTTGTTACATAGGTATACACGTGCCATGGTGGCTTGTTGCACCCATCAACCAGTCATCTAATGCTATCCCTCCCCCAGCCCCACCAACCCCTGACAGGCTCTGGTGTGTGATGTTCCCCTCCCTGTGTCCATGTGTTCTCATTGTTCAACTCCCACTTATGAGTGAGAACAAGTGGTGTTTGGTTTTCTGTTCCTGTGTTACTTCGCTGAGAATGATGGTTTCCAGCTTTTTCCATGTCCCAGCAAAGGATATGAACTAATCTTTTTCTATGGCTGTATAGTATTCCATGGTGTATATGTGCCATGTTTTCTTTATCCAGTCTATCATTGATGGGCATTTAGGTTGGTTTCAAGTCTTTATAGCAGTCTTTTTGTGAGTCAGACTTGTTCTTTAGCTTGGAAATTTCTTTTGTATCTTGGAGCAATTTTACTTTGGTTACTCTGTAAGCTACAGCTCTAATTAATTTTCCCATTGCTTGGCTCCAGTTTTGGTTTCTTTCAGGGCAATAGTTTCTGAAGATAACAACTATTCTGAAGAGTAGTTGAAGAACCACAGAGAGCCTATCAGTATTAGGGGAAGTTATAAGGTTGTGATTACTCTAAGTCAGGGGTCAGCAAACATTTTTTTAAAGTGCCAGATAGTAAATATTTTTTACTTTGCAGGCCAAATGGTCTTTGTTGCAACTACTCTGCCCTTGTAACACAAAAGTAGCCATAAACACTAAGTAAATGAATGGGCACAGTTATGTTCTGATAAAACTTTATTTACAAGTCCCCTGCTCTAAGTGAACAGCAGAAAGAGATTCTCTCCCTTGAGCATGCTCTTTGTCTGTGTTTTTTCTTTTTGTCTTCATATCACCATCTTTCCTCCACACTTGTCTTTATTCCTTTTTCATCATAACTTCCCTGTTTCTCACTTTCTTTTCCACATCTTGGTCCTTTCTTGTCACTTGCTGCATGACATGTCCTCCAGGATGCCTGGCAGATCCTCCTAGTCTTGTGGGATGACATCAGAAAGGAAACATCACTCCTCCTTGGGGCCACTTGGTGACAGAGTGTTTCCTGGGATGACTGGATTACGTGTCTGGCCGCTTTTTAAGTACACCTAACTCTTTGTGGATAGCTTAAGATATGTTTTAGTTTATTAGCTGCATGATTCCTCTGGCTTCCTGGGATCTGCATCTCTGAGATGACTAAGGGGGTCTTTCTTTTAAAATGCCAGTGGAAACTGAGGCGTATTTGAGTGTTCTTTAGTTTGTTGAGTTCTCCCATCTCTTCCAAATAGGTGAAGGCTGACAGGGAACATGAATGTGGCATCTGTAACAGCAACTTCCTGAGGATCTGTAGGAAATTGACATGATTTTACCTCCTGGAGATTTCCTCATTCAGACAGGTTTTTGATCACCACATGCTTCCCCCAAAGACAGGATGAGAGTGAATGGGCTTCCACTGCAGCAGGAAAGATTAAGAGTAGAGGTCAGGAAGAACTCTGGGGCTGTCACAACTGTATATTAAGCAAGGCCAAGACCAGGGGATGTTTTGGCATTCCGTTGGAATTGTTAAAAGAAGAGGACAGATTTTTCCTGTCCTCACTCTAAACAGAAAATAGTGTGACAAAGGAAACAGCTTTCTGTTAGAAATTTCCTGTGCAGTATGGACTGAGGGCTGGGAATCAAGATTTGAGACCCAAATATCTTCCACCAGCTTCCTCTATGCAGACCACCCTTCAGGGTGCTGGCTGCTTGCTTCAACAGGGAACACACCCACCCTTCCACGATCTGAGTGATGCTGATATTCTTCTGGCTTCAGAATTCTCTATTCCTTTCTTTTTCTCTCTGCTGTGTCTTTCCCTCAGCTTTTTAGCTATGCACAGCCGCTCCATTTTGAAAACAACAGAAAAAAATAAACATTTGGAAACTTGACCATCCTGTCTAGCTATTGTCTTCTTTCCTTTTTCACTGCCCACACTTCATGAAGAGATGATTCCTCTTTGCTGTTTCCATCCCCTTACCACACACTGGCCCCTGTCCTGCCTGTGGTACGGTTCTACCCTCTGCTTTGCTCCCTCACCACACACTGTCTCCTATAACCCAGTTCTAGGCTCCTCTTTCTCTGCTGAAGCTCACTTAAAACCTGCCACTTACCCAAATTCTGTTTCCATGTCTTAATCCTCTCTGCCCCTCACTTTCCTGTGTCATCTGACATGTTTGACCCCTGTCTCCTTCCTGACACCCTCTCCCCTAGTCTACATGGCCAACATATTCCTGTGACTTGTCTCTTTGGCCTATTGTTTCATTCAATCATTGGCTTCACTTCCCCACTTTGCCAGGGGAGGCCAGTTGGCAAGCTGTTGTAGAAATTCAAGACCATAGAGCTGAAGGCTGGGCTAGGATGGCATTAGAGGGAAAAGAGGGCAATGGATGTTCTTTCAAAGGAAAACAGAGGGTTAATGATAGCACGGATGCAGGAAGTAGAGGAAGGGGAGGAACCCCACAAGTCTCTCAGATTCTAGTCTGTGAAATTAGAATAAAGAACTCAAAAAGGTGGAGAGAGGTGCTGGTTCTAAGGCACATTTCATCTGAGTAGAAAGCAGGACATACAGATAGATAATTCATCCAAAGAGGAAAGTTAATGGAAATGGATAGAAAATATTTTATCTCATTCGTTCTTGGTGCTTCAGCCAGCTCCTAGCTCCTTAATCAATATTCCCAGCTGCCAAGCCCTGTCTCAGCTCCTCTGCCAACTGGACATCACCATAGTAATTGGACATTACTAATTGCAGATTGGACATTACCACCTGGATGCCCATCATCACTTCAGGCTCCTAACATAGGCGAGGAAATGTGTGTGATAGGGAAACAGCATGGGAACCGGCCTAGGACTCATAAATTCTGGGGTCTGCTGTGGATCTTCGGGCAAGTCACTTTACTCTCTACTTTTCGGTCTTCTCATTGTTGAAATGAGGGGTTTGATTAAGTAATATCTTAATCACTTGCCCCATCTTTCCCCAGATTAGTTTCTCCTCTCTCTCTAGAGGAAAAATTTCTCCTTTAGAAGCCAATTTTTCCTGTTATGCCATTGTTCTCTCTCGGTTACCTAGTGTAACCTCAGAGGCTTCTTGGACTCCTGCTCACCCCGCTCCCTCTTTCCTGCCCACACCTGCTTCTCTCCACATATAAGGCATCAACACATGCTATTATGTTTCTTTTCTCATTGCCTTCCACAGCTTTCCATTTCAGTCACAGCCACAGCTTCATTGAAGTCCTTATACACTATTCTACGGACTCCGAACTCCTTCTTCCAGTCTTCTAGGCTCATCTACCTTCTGAAAACACTTCTTCCATCTTGTCCCATCCTGTCCATTCCTTCCTTTAAATCTTTGAGTAGGGGTGGAGGAAAGGGGGTATGTGTCAAGATGCCTTTGGAGCGGTTTCTAAATACACAGACATAAACATAGCTCTTCCCTTCCTCCACTCTGGCATTCTTATGCATCATGTGAAAAAGTTTCCCCAGGTTATGATTTTCTCTCTGTATCTCTCTCTCTCTCTCACATCATTGTAAAGAATCTACATTATGAAAATTTAAATATTTTATAGACTATAAAAGTCCCCTTAAGATAACTGGTATTTCCTTGTTAGCACATGTAGCTTTATCCCATTTACTTAAAAAATTGCCTTTTAAAGAGTTTTATTGTGGTATAATTGACATTTGACAAATTGTGTGCATTTAAAGTGTGCAATTTGATCAGTTTCGACATAAGCATACAGCCATAAAACCATCCCTGCAGTCAAGAACATATCCATCACCTCCAAAAGTTACACTGTTCCCATTTATAATCCCCCCCTCTCCCCTCAGCTCTCAGTCCCTGACTCTGGTCATCTCCAGACAATCACTGATCTGCTTTCTGTCAGTATAGTTACTTTGCATTTCCTGGAATTTTATAAAAATGGAATCACCTAGAATATACTCTTTGTTGTCTGACCTCTTTCACTCTCCATAATTATTCTGAGATTCATCCAAGTCCTGCGTAGTATTCTGTTGTATAGTTATATCATAATTTGTTTATCTGATCGCTTGTTGATGGATTTTTGGATCACTTCCTGGTGTTGGCTATTATAAATGAAGTTGCTATGAACACTTGTGTGCAAATCTTTACATGGATATATGCTTTTATTTTTCTTGGGTAAACACCAAGAGTGGAATGACTGTGTCACATGGTAAGTGTATGTTTACCTAGTTAAGAAACTGCCAAACTGTTTTTTGAAATAATTGCACCATTTTATGTTCGAAGTGTAAGAGAGTTCCATTTTGCATCCTCTCCTCATCCTCACCAACACTTGATATGTTCGGGCTGTTTGGTTTTAGGCATTCCAATAAATCACGGCATCTCATTGAGCTTTTAGTTTGTATTTTCCTCCTGACTAATAGTATTGAGCATTATCTCAAATGCTTGTTGGTGTCTGTATAGCTGCTAAAGTGAGTGTCTAGTCAAATCTTTTGCCCAGTTTTTAAAGGTTAGGTTGTTTGTTTTCTTATGAATGTCTGAGTGTTCTTTATGTATTCTGGACACAGAGGGATGGCAGTGTGAGACGGACTTGGCCCATCTTTTTTGGTTTGGAGATGGAGGAAGGGAAACACAAGCTAAAAAATGCAGGTGGCCTCTAAAAGCTAGAAAAAGTAAAGAAATGCATTCTCCCCTAGATCCTCCAGAAATGACACATCCCTGCTAACATATGTTAGCCCAGTGGGACTCATTTCAGACTTCTGACTTCTAGAACTCTGAGGTAATAAAATTGTGTGGTTTTAAGCTACAAACTTTGTGGTAATTTTTTACAGCAGTCATAGAAAACTAATACAGATTTTCAATTGTTCAAGCACCATTTGTAAAGACTATCATTTTTATACTGAATTCCCTTTGATTTTTTCATTCTTGAAAATCAACAATAGCAATTGGTGATATACGTATGGGTCTGTTTCTGGACCCCATTTTATTCCATCAATCTATTTGTCTATCTTTACACCAATACCACATTGTCTGGATTACTATAGCCTCATAAGTCTCTTGAAATTGGGTAGTGTAAGTCCTCCAACTCCTTCTTTTTAGTTGTTTTGGCTTTTCTAGGTTCTATTCATCAAACCAACTTGTAAATGTCTACAAAAAAAAGCCTATTGGGATTTCATTGAATCTACAGATCAATTTGGGAAAAATTAATGTCCTAAGGATTTTGAGTCGTCACAAAATTCCATGACACAGTATTTCTCTCCATTTGCTTAGATCTCCTTTAATTTCCTTCAGCAATTATTTTATCTTTGAGTGTATGGATCTTACATATTTTAAAAATTAGACTAAGGCTTCAAATTTCATATTTCCATGCTAATATAGTGATGTTTTAAAATTTCAAATTCTAAATCTTCATTGCTAGGTTATAGAAATACAATTTAATTTTTATATTGATCTTGTACCCTGAAATCTTGCTAAACTCATTATTAAATCTAGTAGTTTTAAAAAATATATTTCATGGAATTTTCTAAGTCGCAATCATATCATCTTTAATACAGACAGTTTTACCTCTTCCTCTCCAATTTGGAGGCCTTTAATTTCCTTTTCTTATTGCACTGTACATCCAGTATGACATCTTGCCTTCTTCTGATCTTAGGGAAAAAGCTTGCTGTTAACTATAGATTTTTGGTAGATGCTCTTTATTAAGAGAGCCCTTTCTATTCCTAGTTTGCTGAGAGTTTTGGTCAGAAATGCATATTGGATTTTGTCAAATTATTTTCCTGCATCTACTTAGATGATCATATGCTATTGCTTTTTAAAATTTTAATTTAATTTTATTTTTTGAGACAGGACCTGACTCTCATGCCACCATGCCAGCTACTTTTTGTATTTTTTGTAGAGATGGGTTATGCCATGTTGCCCAGGCTGGTCTCAATATTCTGGGATCAAGTGATCTGCCCACCTCGGTCTCCCAAAGTGCTAGCATTACAGGTGTAAGTCACCACGCTCAGACTAGTATTTCTTTTTAAATATGGTATATTAGTTTCCTAGGGCTGCTGTAACAAAGTAGTGCAAAGTGGGTAGCTTAAAATAATAGAAATTTATTCTTTCACAGTTCTGGAGAGAAGTCTGAAACCAAGTGTTAGCATGGCCATGCTCCCTCTGAGACTCTGGGCAGAATCTTTCTTTGTCTCTTCCTAGCTTCTGGTGGTGGCTGTCAATTCTTGGTATTCTTTGCTGCTGCGTCACTCCAATCTCTGCCTCTGCCATTACATGGCATTTTTCCCTATGTGTCTCTGTCTTCATATGCAGTTTTTTTTCTTCTTATCGGGACATCAATCATATTGGATTAGGGACCATCCTAGTGACCTCATCCAAATTTGATTATATCTGCAAACACCGTGTTTCCAAATAAGGCCACTTTCACAGCTACCAGGGATTAGAACTTTAACATACCTTTTTTGGGAATACAAGTCAACCCGTAACATGGTAAGTTACATTGAATAGTTTTCCAAATGTTAAGCCAACCTTTTATACTTGGGATAAACCCACTTGGTCATGATGTATTATCCTTTTTATATATTGTGGATTTTATTTGCTAAAATTTAATTAAGAATTTTACATTATATTCCTAAGGAATAGTAGTCTACAGTTTTTTTTTTTTTCTTACATGGCCTTTGTTTAGTTTTGGCATCAGAATAATGCTGGTCTCATAGAAGTTGTTGGGAAATATTCCCTCCTCTTCACTTTTCTGGAAGAGCTTTTTGTTGTTGTTGTTTTTTGTTTGTTTGTTTGTTTGTTTTTGAGACGGAGTCTTGCTCTGTCGCCCAGGCTGTAGTGCAATGGTGAGAACTAGGCTCGCTGCAAGCTCCGCCTCCCGGGTTCACACTATTCTCCTGCCTCAGCCTCCTGAGTAGCTGGGACTACAGGCGCCCGCCACTACGCCCAGCTAATTTTTTTGTTTTGTATTTTTTAGTAGAGACAGGGTTTCACCATGCTAGCCAGGATGGTCTCAATCTCCTGACCTCATTATCCGCCCACCTTGGCCTCCCAAAATGCTGGGATTACAGGCGTGAGCCACCGGGCCTGGCCTCTGGAAGAGTTTTTATGGAATTGATATTATTTCTTCCTTAAATGTTTCACAGATTTACAAAAAAAAAGCCATATGAATCTTAAGTTGTTTTGTTGGGGGGGGCGGTGTGTGGGGGAAGCTTTTGAGCTACAAATTTAATTTCTTTAGTAGATAAATACCTATTTAAGTTAGTGATTTCTCCTTGAGTGAATTTTAGTAGTTTGTGTCTTTCAAGAAATGTGATCATCTTGTGAAAGTTGTCCAATTTGCTGGCATTAAGTTGTTTATAATATTCTCTTATTATTTTTACATTTATAGAATCTGTAGTGATGCCACCTCTCTCATTCCTGCTGATAGTAATTTGAGATTTTTCTTTTATTTTCTGATCTGTCTGGGTGGAGGTTTTTTGATTTTATTGATCTTCTCAAATAACCCACTTTGGTTTCATTGATTTTTTTGTTTTTGTTTTCCTGCTATTTTATTGCTTCTGCTCTGATCTTTTTTATTTCTGTTCTTCCACTTTGATTTCACTTGCTCTTATAGTAGAATAGGAGCTTATTGATGGGAGATCTTTATTTTCAAAATAGGTATTTAGCACTATAAATATCTTTCTGCGTTAGCTGCATCCCACAGATTTAGTCTCCCTTAGCTGCATCCCACAGATTTTTATATAATGTGTTTTCATTTTTATTTACTTTGAGATTCTTTCTAATATCCCCCTTCGAATTCTTTTTTTTGGGGGAGCCGGCAGGGGACAAAGTCTCACTGTGTCACCCAGGCTGGAGTGCAGTGGCACAATCTTGGCTTACTGCAACCTCTGCTTCCTGGGTTCAAGCGATTCTTGTGCCTCAGCCACCAGAGTAGCTGGGATTACAGGCGTGCGCTACCACGTCTGGCTAATTTTTGTATTTTTAGTGGAGATGGATTTTGCCATGTTGGTCAGTCTCATCTTGAACTTCTGGCCTCAAGTGAGTGATCCACCGGCCTCAGCCTCCAAAATTGTTGGAATTAAAGGTGTGAGCCACGGTGCCCAGCCCCTCCTTTGAATTCTTAGTAGCTCAGTTGTTATTTAGAAGTATGTTATTTACTTCCCAAATATTTGGGAGTTTTTTCTAGATTCTTTTTGTTTTTGATTTCTAGTTTAATTCTGTTGTGGTCAGAGAACATACTCTGTATGACTTAAAAAAAAAAACCAACTGAGGTATAATTTATATAGCACTTTGCATGATTTTAATCCTTTTAAACTTATTGAGATTTGTTTTATGGCTTAGCATATGGTTTACCTTGATAAATGCTACCTGTGCATTTGAAAAAATGTGTATCTGCTGTTATGAAGTGGAATATTCTATAAATGTCAGTTCGGTTAGGTTGGTTGATAGCATTGTTCAAGTCTTCCATATCTTTACTGATGACCTGTCTCCTTATTCTATTAATTGCTGCATTTTTCAGATATTAAATTATCTGACTATAATTATAAATTTTTATATTTCTCCTTGCAATCCTATCAGCTTTGCTTCATGTACTTTGAAGCTGTCTTATTAGGATTGTTAGGTCTACTTGATGAATTGAAATGTCCCTCTTTATCCCTGGTAATATTCTTTGCTGTGAAATCTTCTTTGATATTAATATAGCCATGAACATTTAACATTTTGATAGAAATTGCCAAATTTCCTCTCAAAAAAGTCTATGTCACTACATAAGGTGTTCCCCCATTCTTGTCTGTATCTTGAGATTTTGATATGAACCTTCCTCTAAACATGTAATGTTTCTTCTGAATTGGGGTGAGCTAATGCCTTGCCAGGCTACTGGTTCTTTAGCTGCACAATGGTGGCAATTAATAGCAGCTCTCCATCACATATGTGTGTTGGGGGGGGGTAGGGGAGCAGACAAGTTAAGGGGAAGGAAGATTTTGAAAAGACAAGTGAGAAGCATTTTCATTGTCAGAAAAGGCATAGGTAAAGGGGCATCTTGAGCCAGTTCAAGATACTAAGGCCACATGAATTAGATCTCAGGGCGGTCAACTTGTGATGTCAGAGTCACTACAGAGGTCTGATAGATGTACTCAAGGTTGGAGACAGGTCTGATAGGTGTATCCAAGGTTGGAAACAGGTCCTTTTTTTTTAAATGGGTGAAAAAAAATTAGACTATTTGTGTCAGTGAAGAAAGTGATGAGTACAGGGAGCCAGGAAGTGTTCATTAAAAACTTATTTAATTCATTTTATTTGTCACTAGGGTTACCCAGTTAGTGGATCTGCCTTGGCCCCAAGAGAGAGGTGGAACCAAATATGTTACTGGAGACAAACAGATCCAGGAGATGCTGTCTGATGGGTTTCAGGTCATCAACTTTAGACCAGTATCTGGTTTCCCTATTAGGCGTGTTTTAACCATTAGGTCAGGCCACCACCTCTCCAACTGTCTGGATGAGGCAACAGTGAACAGCGCTCAACAGACCTTATTGAGAGGTGAAGCTGGCTGGGCTTCTGGGTCGGATGGGGACTCGGAGAACTTTTCTGTCTAGCTAAAGGATTGTAAATGCACCAATCAGCCCTCTGTGTCTAGCTAAAGGTTTGTAAACACACCTATCAGCACTCTGTAAAAACGCACCAATCAGCACTCTGTGTCTATCGTACATATCCAGTGTTTTATCCTGTATGTTTACTTGTGTCTCTCACATGGTCTTGGCTACAGTGGGGCAGGAGCTACATTGGGAAGGTGGGTCTTTTTCACTCAGGAAAGACTGCTTTGTACTAGATTTATACCAGAATTGAGTGGAAGGAGTTCTGGAGTAAGAGAGAAGGTTTCTTATTTTTAAAGACTAAGAAGGAAAATCATAGCAAGGAGCATATAGCATCATGATGATAGGGCTGGGTGCTGATGTGGCTTCAGCAACAGCATATGAGCCAACACTGCAACAATTTCAGCAAGATGAGCCTGGCCCTGTGCAAGGAGGATGTGTGAATTCAGAAGGGTTACATATTTTGGGGTGAAGTTAGGGAAATTTGTATATAGGTTGGTTATTAGATGATGTTCAGAACTATTATTAATTTTGTTAGATGTGGTAATGGTATTGTAGCTGAGTGCCCTCATATTTAAGAGATTCATATTGTAGTATTTATGGGTGAATTGTCAGGATGTCTGTAATTCACTTCAAAATAACTCAGCAAAAATGATGGAGCAAATATGGCAATAAGCTAATAATTGTTAAATCTAGGTTATGGTGACTAGTTATGGTATTCTTTGTACTTTTCCACATGACTAAAACATTGCTTAGTTAAAAAAAAAGAGTACAGGCTCTGAAGCCAGACTGCATGGGCCCAAATCCTGGCATGTGGTTTTAACCTGTGTGCCATTTTCTCCTCTTTAAAGTGAGATGAGATAATAAAGGTTCCTACTGCACAGGGTTGTGTAAAGATGGAATTGTATAACACAGAATGCTTAGATCAGTATCTAGTCCATAAATTCTCAACAACTGTTTATTATTATTACTAAAAAGAAACCATCTCAAGAAGTTGAGATTTCAAGCTTAGAGTGGGGCTGAGAGAGAACATAACTTTTCTGGAAGCCAGTCAGAGACATCCAACTCAGCTCACCTACCAGTTTTGGTGAGTTGGTGGGAGCAGGAGAAGAGCTGGGCTTGATGGGGATCCAGGATCCCTAATGACACTCTTTTCCTTGGGAGGGTGGCCTGAGTGTTGTCAGGGAGAGGGGCAGCGGGTCATCTCCCACAAGAGATATTGAGTCATCAGGCTAGGTGGGAGAGCATATTAGACAATGACATGAACATTGTGTTGTGTTGCTCATCTGTGCTCAGAACTGAGAGTTCTAGCCATTATGATTTTTTTTTCTTTCTATGTTGCACAGGAAATTTTGCAGGGGATGAAGAGGGGTGTAGAGAAAAGAAAACTCAGCTTCTGTCTGGAAATTCCGCCGCACCAGAGAGAGTCCTGAATGTGCTGAGTTGCATAGTATAGAGATTTTCAGAGCGAATCAATTGTTCAAAGATGACACTAGGGTGAAAATGGGTTCATTAGATGTACCAGTCAGGGCTTTAGCAAGAAACAGATGACCCAGGCATGTTGGGTAACTTGAGGAAGGTTTAATGAAGGGACTCTCTTTTTTTTTTTTTTTTTTTTTTTTGAGACAGAGTCTCGCACTGTCGCCCAGGCTGGAGTGCAGTGACGCAATCTCGGCTCACTGCAACCTCCACCTCCCAGGTTCAAGGGATTCTCCTGCCTCAGCCTCCTGAGTAGCTGGAATTACAGGCACCCACCACCACGCCCAGCTAATTTTCTGTATTTTTAGTAGAGATGGGGTTTCACCGTGTTAGCCAAGATGGTCTCGATTTCCTGACCTTGTGATTCACCTGCCTTGGCCTCGCAAAGTGCTGGGATTATAGGTATGAGCCACAGCGCCAGCCTAATGAAGGGACTCTTTACAAAGGTGTGGGGAGGGATTTAGACTTGAACAAGTAAGGGAAGTGGGTGGTTACCAGAATGTGTGTGAAAGAGCAACCTCAAAAGGAGCTATGACCTGGGTTAAGGGACATAGCGAGCTCATGGGCAGCCGTGACAGTGTCTGGAATAGGGAACTCCGCAGCTTCACCCTCCTTGCTTCTTCTGATCTCCTGCCATGACTTTTCAAAGGCTGAGCTCAGCAGAATGCCAGAGGGCAAGGGAGCCTTCATATGATCCATCTAGGTCAGCCTTGGGCACTCAGCCAGCTGGAGAGGGACAGAAGATGTGCCTGGAACAGGTGGAGAGTGATGGAAGGGCAAACAGGAGCCCCTGGTTGACTAGGAGAATATGAGGCTTTTAGGAGACACAATTTTCTCCAACCCCACTTTCAGTTAGTTTCCCAGTACTAATATGTGAGCTAGGTGATCTCCATGCTCTAGCTACATAAGCTCCAATATCTTTACACAAACTCCACTTTATAAGGATGCAGTGTTAGCTGCAGTGCAGGCTGAAGCAGACTTTAAATCCCCAAATGGGAGATCCAGAAGGTTCCAGAAGAGACATTAGAGATAATTTAGTCTATTTGCCTCATTCCTTTAGATTAAAAAACAGTTCCCAGGAGGCAAAGTGATTAGTCCACAACTTCTTCGTGGCAGAGCCAGAAAGGGGATGCTCATATCCAGGCTCTCAGTAAAATGATATTTTCTGAGGCCCTAATCCTACTCTGCCTTCAGATATGATATTAGCACTTATCCTCTCTTCCTACATCCCTGACCTTGACTGTTCTTTCCTACCCCACCCACCCCTGTTGTGATGGGGAATTACTCTGATGCAATGGTGGCCTTTTCAAGTATGCTCTACACATAGTTGTCACCCAAACCAGGGGTCATGGAACTGGAAGCTCACAGCCAAATTAGGATGCTCAGATCACATGGTTTATTAAATCAATTTGAAGCACACAGCAAAACAAAACAAAAAACCCAAAAAACAAAAACAAGAGGAAAGATATGGGATAGGTCTGTGCACTTAGGATAAGGTAGAAATGGGGAGAAGGATCACATCCCTGACTTCTGGGTTACGTATCAAAGTCTATGTCCTGTGTATCTCTCTGCCACGTCAGCCTTTCTTGCTGATGATGTGTTTATGGAAACCAGAATTGAGAAGTGAGCAGGAGGGCACAGCAGGCAGGAGGTACCTGTTCCTAACATACACTCACCTTTTCAGAGAGGCACTGGGGCAGCTATGCTGGCCAGGGGAGCCACTCACCAGTTATCCTGATGAACTGCTCTGGGTTCTGGGTGCATGAATTGGGCAGAGGACTGGTGAGGCCTGACTAGGATGTGAAGACACAGTTTGAGAGACTCCTGACGTAGTCTCGTAACTACCCACCTGCTTCCTGATGTACTGCACGTGTTTCCTGAGGCCCTATGCCATAGCTCAGCTGGTTGGCAGTGGCCTTAAGGAGGTCAAACCATGGGTCTGATTCCTATGGGGCCCAGCTAGACTTACACAGAGGAACAAATGGTTTCTACTCCATAGGCAGTGCCTCCTTTAACCCTGAGTGGCTAGTCTGAAAATCTCATCATTGAGGGGGCAGGATGACAAAGTTTGGATAACTTAACCAAATTCCAGTTCTAGGATCTAGATCCCAATTCTAGAAGTTGGGGCTAGGGATATGGTCTTCTTTCTGGGAGGAAACCACCCACCTCCATCTGTCGAACTCAGTATACTTGTCTGGGCCCTTGTCAGCCTCCACTTGGTGTAACCTGCCTTTCCACAGGTAGCATCCTCTGTGACATCCAGTGAGGTTGCAGCATGTGAGCATCCAGACCATCTTGTGAAATTAGAACTAAAACCAAAAAGGCTGGTTGGCCCAGTGACACCAATGACAGTCCCACCTCCATCTACATTTCATGTTCCTGGGAGGCTTCTTTTTTGCTGAGTGTGCTATAGAGTGAGATTTAATCTTTAGAGTTCATCTAGCAGCACCTCTGTTTCCACCTGACATACTCAATATCTGTGCTTAGGCAAGAGACAAAAATAAGAGGCAGCTAGTGCAAAACCCCCTTCCCCATCTGCCTTCATCATAGACTAACATCGAGGCCTCTGCCCTTCCATGTCTGGAGATGATGGAGAAGCCTAGTAGATTTTAAATATTTATTGATTTACACTCTTTCCCCAGCAGTTGAATAATGCTTATTGACAGAAGCACTGGGGACATATCCTTTTTACAAAAAGAAAAAAAAATATCATGGCGCTTGGAGGAATTGGGGAGGGGTAAAGAGGAGCCCGCACTGAGTGATGGCCTCAGGAAGGAACAACGTGACATTTTCCACTGGATGCATGAGGTAGCAATGTGATTTGTGATGTGAAAAGGGCCTCCAGGCCCTGGGAGTGCCTGCATTGAGACTGAAGACTGAGGATGTAAAGTGGGTGTCTGACCTCCTGCTTTGGTCTGTCTGGATGTGGAAGCATGAATAACAGTAAGGACAATAATCATTAGTAATCATACCTAGTATTTATTGAATACCCTCCACACGTTTGGTATAAAGTTGAACATTTTCACAAATATCTCATTAATCTTTAAAATGACCTTTGTGGGCCCTATTTTTAAGATAAACAGACCCAGAGAGGCTAGGAACTTGCCTAAAGTCACACAACTGTTAAGTGGCAGAGCTAAGACTTGAACCAATTAGTCTATTTGTCTATTTCCATAGTCCACATTCTTTCTATTGGATCACCCTGTGGGAAGAAGGAATTCATGGAAACCTGGCAGTAGTAGTAGGAGGTAATACTGAGGGAACATGGTTAAGATGTCTGAGAGACTGGGGATCTCCCAGAGCTGAGTCGACACGTGTCCCTCTATGTCGTGCACAGCCCAGGGTTAGTGCTAGAGAGAATTACATGAAATCTGCTGCTCCCTTTTACTTGTAGCAGGGAACAAGGCATGCTTGAGAAAAACAGGCAGGTTGGATTTTTAGGTGTATAGGGCAAAAATAGAAAATCAAACAATGTAAACTGTAGTAAAGTGAGAGAGTTCTTCACTGTGCAATGGGGAACCATTGAGTATTTTGGAGTGAGAGAATTATATGGTAGGACTGCTTTGCTTTAGCAAAATTAATTTTTTAGCAGTGTTTAGAGTGGATTGCAGAGTGGACTAGGGTAAATGCTCTAAAGGAGTAGATACCACATGCAGCTGAAGCTCAGAGGAAAGGGAGGTGAGCTTTGCCTGGGGGAGTTAGGGAATGGTTTGTAGAACACTTGACCTAGGCCTGGAAGGATGAATTTGGTGAGTCAGTGAGTGGGGCGACCAAGATATTTCTGGAGGAGAGACTGGAGAACCTCCTCATCAGGCTGCTGTGCAAATGGGCTTGACTAGCAGGCATGTATTTAGATACCATCTTGCTTTGAAAGGAATTTACAGTAGCTTAAAAAATGTGCCATGACAAGATAAAATAAAGAAAAATAAGGAGGTGATGAAATAGAGGCAGAGGAAAAATTAAGGTAGGAAAAATGAGATGAAGATAGGATTACAGTTAGTACAGTTAGCTGGATTTGATCCCTATATTCTGGGGACTTGCTCTCTAGGGCTTATGGACAGAGACCACTGTTAAAGATAGCATGTGTGGAGTGAAAGCAGAGACTGTGAAGTGGTGATGGCTGAAAGACTTGCAGCCCTGAAAGTCTCTGCTCTCAGTACCAAGCTCAATGATCCGTGCTGAGAGGTCCAGGAAGCATACACATACATACTTACCAGGTCCTTGCAGAACCTGCTGGCATTCTTTGTTTACTGAGAACATACCATACTGAGTCTAGATTCCAAGGCTTTGTTCCTGCTGGAACTTTTGCTTGAATGTTCTTTGCATCCTAGCCATTGTCTTTATGAGGCTGCAGCATATCCCACTGCCTATGGGGAAGAGATCTTCTATGACATCACCCTGTTTCCATCTCTGATCTCTCTGAACACGTTCCATGACTTGTCATCACAAACCCCCTTTCGTTATTGCTGTTTCACATGGTAGGTGTTTGCTACCCAGCTAGACAGACGTTAAGCTCCTGGCGGACAGCTGGGAACTTGTTTCCTAAGTCTCAGTGCCTATCCCAGTGTTGTTTATAAAGTAGCGGCTATGTAAATGTAAGCTTGACCTTCCCTTCCTCTGGCATTTGCCTTGTGTGTCCATTTCAGTGGGTCCTCAGCCCAGTCAGGAGGTCTTGGTTTTAGGACTCCTCTGTCATTGTCGTGGGTCTGTCCCTTCTCCTTTCTAGGTCTCAGTTTTGCCACCTATAAAAAGAGAGGATTTCACTGAATGACTGTTAAAGTCCCTTTCACATATATAATATTTGTGTGATTGAAATTGACTTAATTAGGGATAGTTTCTGCCTTGTCTTGCTCGCTTCAACTATCTTTTTTTTGTGTGTGTGCTGATATCTGTCATTGAAAGGTTTCTATTCATGTTTAAACCTCATGTTTAAAACTTAGCATTTCTATGTGGAAGGTGATCAGTAAGGGGAGGGAGGCAGCCTTGTGCCTGATTAGATGACATGGGTGGCATGGTGTACATGCCTGCATAGGTGTGCTGGGATGCTTGGTGATCTGAGCTCAGTTAGGTGTTACGTGGTGGGTGACTTCTGTAATGGTGTCATCCCATCCCTTGCAGGTATAAGTTTGCTGGAAATTCATTGACTAAGCACTTTCCAAATGCAATCTCTATTTCTCCCAACAACTCTGAAATGTAGTAGTCACTCCCATTTATAGCTGCAAAAACATACCCAGAGAGGTTAAGTGATTTGCCAGAAATGTTCAAAACGAAGATCTCACCTAAGGCTGTCTGGCTCCAAAGCTTGGGTTCTTTTCATCAACATTGCCTTGCAACTCAACCCAAAAGAGGAGAGCTGAAGACATCTGTCTTAGTCTATCTGTGCTGCTATAGCAAAATACCTGGTACTTGGTAACTTATAAAGAACAGAAATTTATTGCTCATAGTTCTGGAGGCTGGGAAGTCCAAGATCAAGGAGCTGGCAGGTTTGTTGTAAGGATTCAGTCTCTGCTTCCAAGATTGTGCCTCGAACGCTGCGTCCTCTTTTATGAGGGCCTTAATCTCATTCATAATGAGGGGAGAAGCCCTCATAATTTAGTCACTTCTTAAAGACCCCACCTCTTAATACCATCACATTGGCCATCAAGTTTCAGCATCTGAATTTTGGAGGGGATCCATCTGAACCATAGCTCTTTTCATCAACATTGCCTTGCCCCTCAATTAAACCCAGAGAAAGAGAGCAAAAGATGTCCATGTCACAACTATGTAGGAAGGTGAGAATTTCCCAAATTACAAAGTGTCTCCTCTGTTAGAATTTCCCTTGGGCACATCAGGTCTTGAGTCAGAGAGATTCCTAAAAGACCTCTTGAAGATCTCTTCTAGGCTAAGGAATCTGAGACTTGAGGAATAAGATGTATTTCTATGCCAGGTTTCAAGTTTCTTTCTTCTAACAACTAAAGCTGGATGTTTTTTCCATAGGCTGTTGACACCAGGGAAGAAAAAGAGGATATTGTACAGGATAAATGTAGTGGGAGAGGAGCTATTCCTTTTTAAGTAGTGGATATCAATTTCCTAAATACAATCCAGGAACATATTACACTTCCTTCTGCAAGTCCTTGTAAAGGCAGCAGCTCAGTGCATTCTTATTCCTGGACTTGTTCTGTTCTGATCTGCTCCCTGTATCTGCTCTCTGTGTCTCTTTCTGTTCCTCTGTCTGTCTGTCTCCCTCTTTCCAACCAACACTTGAAAGTGGTCTCTTCCTGTTGATAAAGCAAATATCTGCAGTTTCACCTGACAAGTCAATCAATGCCATTGATGAGGTGGTTACTGCAAATGAATTCCTGTTCTACTTGTGAGATAACCTTGAAATGAAAGAGAAGATGGGGATCTTGGCCCAGGGGAATTTAGCCCATAGAGGTTTCCTGGAGGTAACAGTGAAGCCCATCCTCCCACACCCC
Organism: Homo sapiens; assembly: GCF_000001405.40. NCBI lineage: Eukaryota > Metazoa > Chordata > Mammalia > Primates > Hominidae > Homo > Homo sapiens. Next base: position 75,317,271 of record NC_000003.12, read on the forward strand.
CAGGAACCTGGAAATAATAGAAATGAAGCTGCCTCTGAAGGTTCAATTAGGTCCATCCATGTATCCCCCATGGATGTGATCTACCATCTGTAGCTATGGACCAGGAGGTGTTTTGCAAGTATGTGAAGCCAAAGACTCCATCAGCATGACCTGGAAATAATCTCAGGGATATTGGCTGAAATGAGATTGTAATTTAGTAACATAAAACCTAATTAATTGCTCTGAGTGCAATTTGGAGAAAGATTGTATAGAAGGTGCTGGCCAGCCAGGGCACTTCTGAAAGGCAAGTTGAAGCAGAAGCTGGTGGTGCCCATTCAGACTCTGGCTGCCCACCAGGGCCCTTTGGTTCTCCAACAGGATGAGCACTATTCTTGCTAGTCCATCCTATCATGGCCTGCTGATGTTGAACCATGACTTGCTCTGCAGACTTCCCAAGCCTTGATTACATGTTCATCATGCAACGTTCTGATGACAGCTTGGCATCTCCAGTGCATCAGCCTACACTGATTACAGTGAACTGAGCATTCCAGGGTCCTGTGGCAGTTGCGTTTCACTGTTACTTTTGGCACTCAAGATATGGAGTTTCTGGCTTATACATCAGCCTTGTGAGCTTGGTTAATACGAATCTTCACCCAGTGATAGATCTGCTCCCAAAGTCCTGACCCAGTCTAGTTTCAGAGCACACACACTTTACCTTGTGGGTTAATCAAGAACAATGTCATCTGTGGAGCCTCTTGGAAGCAGTAAATGGCCCACTCCTTTTAAAATTGCAGGCATGCTGCCTTTTCTATGCAAACTTTACTCAAGAACAGGCAGCAATGACATTGACACATAGGAAGGACTTCACAATTTATTAAGCAATATATAGACAAGCCTAAGAAAATAGTGTGCAAAAAGATACTATAGGCACAACTAAGAGCCAAGGAGCTGTAGAACACAGAACTACCATCAGTCACCCCCATTTTTTTTAAGTAGCCTTTTAAAAGCCGCATTTAGACTGAGGAGAAAATTTAAAAAGGAATAAATCTTCTGTTTAGGAAGATGTTAATATTAGCTAATATCAATGGATTGCTTATTATGCACTAACTACTGTATCAAGCTCTGTAAAATAAGCATTACCATAATTGATCCCCAGAACTACCCTTTTAAGCAGATAAACACTATTTTACCTGTTTGGCAAAGGAAGATATTGAGCTCTGAGTTCACTGAACTCATAATTAGGAGTGCCAGGATTCGAACCTATGCACATAGCTACTATAATTTATTGGAATAGGCTTTTGCAGGTGACACAACATGGAAGTCCTTTGTCTCTGACTTCTCCATCAAGGCACTGACCTCAAGCCCAGAATAGTGTAGTAACTTTCAAGTTCTCATCATGCTATAGGATGACTGAGGGGAGAAGTTCTGTGGCCTGTAGTTTGAAAGGAATGAACGGACTTGGACAGCAGAGATAGAGGCTAAGAAAGTGTTGCAATGCCTCTTACCAGGTTGGAGGTAGTAGGAGAAGCAGAATAGATGGATGGGATAGGTTACAAGGGAACAGTGGGGCTAGGCAGGGGATGCTGAGCTAACTCAGGTTTGCATTTCTACAGTCAGCTTCCTGCTATATGCCCAAGACAGAGATGCAGTAACAAAAATGGAAGGAATGGATAAATCCAATTATACTCTATTGTTTGTTTTAGAATTCTCAGTTCATAGCTTCAGAATGACTTTTCTATGAATGTTTGCCCTGAATTTCTAAATCTGGAGTTCCATGAATTGAATGGGCACCGTCATGAAGAAGGAAGGGCAGGGCCATGGCAGGCCTGACTGGTCAGGGTTTAACCAAATCAGTGGACAATCTCTTTGATAGTCTAGTCAGAAGCATTTTCTGTGAGTTAAATCTGGATTTGTTCCTGTTTTCCAGGCATATGTAAGTTTTGGAGCCCACAATCACAAGGTCCAGAGAATGGAGCCCAGAATTTATCTTATCTGGAGAGAGGAGACTAAGAAACTATTATGAAGTAGATAGATCCCTCACGCTGAAACTCAGTTACCTCTTCCTCATCAACTCTTAGAACCTGGAAAGACTGTCCTATCATTTCTCTTGGTCTGTGCTTCTTTCTCCTGCCTGGAAAGTGTAGACCCATAGAGTACCTCACATTAGCTCCCTCCTACAGATTATAAGAATGTTATATAAGACAAGTTCTAGTGTCCTGATGGCTTATGAACAGCACTTTCAAAATTTCTTTAATTTGGAGACATGTCAGTGTATTTTTTCATTTTGTTTCTGGCCTCCAAGTAGTTCACTGAAAAAGTGTTTTTCCTGTTGTGTTGTTGTTCAACTTAAAAAAGCTTTTTACTATAGTATCTTGGAAATTTCATGTAAATTAGATTTATGTAAATAGACAGATTTTCATTAGTTCACATTCATATTTACTCTCTCAAAAACTATTACAAACAAGCTTTGCTTTTATAAGAGCCTTACTGTCTTTTCCTTTCATAGATCATGCTTGCTTGCATGCTCAGAAGTCCTATTCTTAAGCTATGTCCTGCCTACTTTCCTGGTATGAAAATTAGAATTCTCCCTGGATCCTTTCATATGAATGGAGGCTACATGGGCACTCTGCCAGTTCTAGAGCATGAGTGACTTTGTAATCAGAGGTTACACATTTTGGGCAGCCTCACCACAGTTTCACCCTTGACTTCCTTTAGGACTCCCAGGTGGATGCCATGTGGTTCTGGTGATTTATTTACACTTCATTTGTCAGTCAGGTTCCCATGCCCTCACTGCAGTTTCAACCCTGACCTCGCTCCTGTCCATCAAGGAGAGCAAGTTGGGAAGGATTTTCATTCTTGAGGACACCACTTGTACTAAGAGTATCATCAATTGTTTCCACTGATTTGGTCCCATTGGAACAAAATAACCTTTGGGATTGACCTTGGCATTGGCATCTCTCAGGTTTATTTTTGGTCTCATTATTTTCCTGGTTGTTCCATTTTTATGAGCCATTTCTTTCTCCAGGTTCTCTGTGAAATCTCTATCTGGTCATGCAGGGATGCTTGCTTTCTTGAGGGTCTGCTATTTTAGGCCCTGGCCTCACCCCATCTATCCTGGAATTCTAATACTATTTAAAAATAATAGACTGTGACTTTATAAAATTTTCCTTTTCATCTTCCCTTAATAATCTCACTCTCTTTCTCTGAAATTTGGCATTCGGGTTTGGGGTGCAGCTTGAGGCAGGAGCAGGACAAGCTGTAGAGAGGGAGTATTGTGCATTCTTACCAAGAGGCCCTTTGGCAATGCAGATGCAGAGCTGAGCATGCTGTCTGAGTCAGGGCAAACTCTGTTCCTGAGGCTTGTGTTCTGAGTCAAGATCTGCACCAAGGACGGCCCAAGGTTGCCAGCGTTGTGAGTGTACCCCTGTCTCTGCAGTGTGGCCTATGTGCAGGCTTCCTTCCACACCCCATCTCGCATACTGGCCTGACATGCTTCCTGTGATGAGGCCAGAATCTCTGCAGGACAGACTAAGAGAATGGGCTGAAGTGGCAGCACTAGGTGCCCCTAGTTTGCAACTTCTGATTCTGGTTCAAACTCCTCGGTTTACAGATTAGGAAACTGAGATCCAGAGAAGTTAAGCTTCTGGCCCAACGTTACAGGGAGTCAGTGAAGGAGTCAGAGTCACTACCTGTGGCCTCTAACTCCTGTCTGCTGCTATTCCACTTCTTAGTGCTGGTTTAGGACCAGACATTGTCTGTGCTGGGTCAGGCTGGCCAGAGGAGAGTGGACCTGGGTGGTAATGGTTGTGTGATGCCTCATGTCACATTATTAGCCCTCTGCTTTTGTGAGTTGCTGAGCTCAGATGGCCCAAATGGGTGGGAAGGCTCAGGGAATTCAGGAAGCTTTTTCAGGTAGCAGCAATGCTTAGGGAGAGGAAGAGAGTGGGGAGGATTTAGGCTGCCCCCTGGTTTGGAGCTCCTGAGGACTTAAGGCTGCGGTACTCCCACCCATTCATTCCTACTCTTTCCCATGGCATGCACATATGCAGAGCCACTTCCAAATCCGCATCCTGCCAGTCATTCAGGTGCATAGCTTGGGATCATCCTTAATTGTCCCCACTCTTCCTCTGGAATTCCTCAGCTCTGAATCCCCTTGCCAGTCCTACCGCCACTCTCCAGTTCAGAAGTTTAATGATACACCATTGGGACTATTGCAATAGGCTTCAAACCTGACTCCCAATCTATTCTCCCCATTACTGTCTGATATGTCTTCCCAAGCACAATCTTTGAACCTTGGCATGGTCCTGCTCAAAGTAGCTCCCATTGGATAAAGTAGCAACTCCTTAACTTGGCATCCCAGGCTCCAAAGCACCACAGCATTGCTGCCATCGTCATAAGGCTGGCCTGGGTGTGCATCCCAGCTCTGCCACTTATCAACTGTGACATCATGGGCAATTTTCTTGACTTCTATGAACACGTTTGCTTCTTTTGATAGGGGGTTTTACATGGAATTGTTTCAAAGACTAAATGAGATCATGAATGTAAAGCAGTTAGCCTGGCATATACTGACTACTCAAAGGTATTATTCAAGGACCTCTACGCTCTGGCCCCGGTATTACCTGTCCCATAGGCTTAGCTCCAGTGTGAACTACTTGGTGATCTCTGTGCCTTTGCTCCTGTTTTTCCATCCTCTAATATTCATCTTTTTGTGGTGCTCCTTTATATATTTTGTGCCATAGGTATTTGTGTATTGTCTTGACTTCCTTACTCAACTGTATGTTGTTAGAGGGCAGGACTTGGGTCTGACTCCTTCTGTACTATACTAGCATAAGAGACACAAAGTGTTTGTGGAATGGATATTTACCTCAGTAAAACAGCTGCCTAGACTGGGGTTCCATATTAAATAGTTAATTGATAATGTGTTTATTTATAATAGCCTCATGGATATTTATTGGGTCCTACTGTGTTTAGGGGCTCATTGGTAAAAGCATCAGGTACAGTCTAGGCCCTGCCATGTAATGGGGAAACAGACTGGTAGAGTGGCCATAAGGATGGTGACAGGGCAGGTGCAGGGCTGTGGTTGGGGAGGTACAGGGCTGTGATGGGAGACACTGAGGAGGCTATGGGAGCACATAGCAGAGACAACAAACATAGTCCTAAAATCCTGAGGGCTTGCTGGAAGAAGAGGTCTTTCACCTGGGACTACAAAGATGAGTAGAACCTTGACTCAGGCACATAGTAAAATTGCTTTAAGTCTCAGTTTAAAAAAATCTTGTTTTATTTGCATTTACTTGCAAGCACTTACAGAAATACTTCCTTAGTACTAGGTTTTCTGAAGTGATCTCTCACTCTCAACCAAGGCAGTTGTTAACATTTGAAGGTTTCTAGGGACTGGGATGAGGGTTATTGATTGTATTCAAATTTTACCAAGCCAACAGCTGTGGCTGGAGACAGAAAGTTTTCTCTTTTAAGAGCTGGCTGGAAGATTATTCTCTTCTATTTGGGAAAAGATAATCATATACTTTCAGGCTGTTGGGGTGGGGCCTATTCTGTTTTTGTTTGTTGCTTGCTTGTTTTGTGGCTTCAGCTGTGTGGATACAGAGCAGGAAGGCTAGAAGCAGGAAGAGGCTGGGGTGTTTTTCTGACCCTACAGATAGTTCTTCTTGGGTCGAGAAGAAAGACTGTAGTAGCAAACATGATCTGCAGCTGCAGAGAAAGCAGAGGGGATTTTTGCATCAAGGACAGACATGGGGATGAGGAACTGTATACAAGTCAGGAAACTTGACACCAGAGAGAGGAGGCCACAGAAGATAAGGGGTCTCCGTAGACCCTGTACAAAAGAAATGTACAAGAGGAAAGTAAATGGATTAAGAATCATTGTGATGGAATAATCAGAAAGATTATGAATGATACATGTTTCTTTAAAAGGGATTACTTTTTTGGCTTAGTGCTTGCACTCTATTCTCTTATTTTATCATTTTATTTTTAAAAGTATTAAACTGTGCTAACTTCTTTTTAACCACACCTAACTTTTAGGACCCAGAGCCCAAGGCATCTACTGCCACGTGGTGGTACAGTATACCACCTGTGGGATTTGGAATTGATGAGAATATACATTAATTGAAAATTGATTCTGCAGTCAAAATATGGAATCATAGAACATAGAGTTGTTGGAGATATTAAAGATTACATAGTTTTTCTTCTAATAAAACCCAACATCTTTTATATACAGTATTTTAGTTGAATACCTCCAATAACAGGGAGCTCATGATCTGGCCTGACAGGCTATTTTGTCATTCATTCTTGTTAGTTAGAATGTTTTTTCTATTTATTTATTTATTTATTTATTGATGAAGTTTAGCTCTTGTTCCCAGGATGCAGTGCAACGGCACGATCTCGGCTCACTGCAACCTCTGCCTCCCTTGTTCAAACGATTCTCCTGCCTCAGCCTCCCGAGTAGCTGGGATTGCAGGCATGCGCCACCACGCCTGGTTAATTTTGTATTTTTAGTATAGATGGGGTTTCTCCATGTTGGTCAGGCTGGTGTCGAACTCCCAACATCAGGGATCCACCTGCCTTGGACTTCCAAAGTGCTGGTATTGCAGGCGTGAGCCACCACGCCAGACCTATTTATTTTTTAATAGAAAAAATCACTTGTATTTATTTGTCTTCATGTTTACCTCTGGAGAAACTCAAGTTTAGTGATTCATCTATATAATAAGCTTTCAAATATTTGCAGGAACGTGTTTGTTTCCTCCGTAATCTTTTTGTCTTCAAGTTAAACAGTTGTAGTTCCATATTTATTATTCTGATGTCATGCTTTTCAGAATCCCCATAGCATTTCTTTCCTCTACTTTCTTTCTGTGTTGCCAGTGTTCCTGCTGCCAGAATTGGATCCAACCCAGTGTTCCAGACATGATCAGCTTAGTGAACTCTAGTACTTGCAGGCTGTCTGAACACCAAACTTCTAACACCTTCTGTATAGTATGAGTTAGCTTTCTGTAGCCTTTCCACAATGCTGACTCCTCTTAGGTTTGTGGTAACTGAAAGCCCAAGAATTTTTATCCTTTCCCACATTGTAAAACTTTTTTTTAAAAGCTGAAAGCAAGGCTGAACTTTAAAAAGAAAGCTTAATTACACAAGTTTAACACAAATACATTCTGAATTTCAGAGGTTACTCATAAAGCCAAAGCCTTTCTGAACTCCATACTAACTCAGTTTCTCTTTGGAGGTAGATCCTGGTATTAGTTATTAGGGGTCCTTCCAGACCTTTCTGTGCATTTACATAGATAGATAGATATCAGCAGAAATGTGTAAATTGTGTATGTGTGTTTGAGGTTAACATATCGTTTTGCAAGTTTCCTGCATGCAACATGTCCTGGAAATCTGCCTAGTATATTTCACAGTGTGGATATTCCGTAGTTTTCTTAACAATTCTTTGATTATTTCTCTTTTTTAAAATCATCATAAACAGCGTCTCCTTGTACGCATGTACAAGTGCTTCTCTAGGGTAGATACAAAAGACTGAGTGAGTGGTACATGCATGTTTATTTTAAAATGTAGATCTCAGATATGAAATTTGCCCTTGTTAATTTTGACCTAGTGTTAGTATCTGCCCAGATAATTTTACATCTTGATTTGGGTCATCTATTATAATATTAAGCCCACTATACCAGTTCTGCATCATCTGCCCACAGTATAAGCATATCTTTGATCTCCTGATCTAAGGAAATGATTGTTTTAAAAGTCAAACACGACAATCAAGGGAGGAGTTCTGTGGCCATTACCAGAGACCTGCATTCCATCTAAAGCTCACTGTATTCTCCTAACAAACACTTTGGTCTGTGCAGTTTAACTACAGCAATTCTACCCAACTATACGCTCATCTCATTCATTTTTCACCATTTTATATACAAGAATTTCATGGAGGACATTTGTAAAAGGCTTAGCAGAAATCCAGGCTCACCTTCTATGACATTCTCCTGTCTACTGTAGCGGGACTGTCATGGAGAGAAATGAGAATAGCACATATTGCTCCCGGGCACGTGTTATTTAAAATAGATCCTGGTAACACTTTAATGAGCAATGTGTTTATGTACCTCTATGCAAGAGTGTATTCAGTCTCAAAGATATCAAGAAAAAATAAGCTGTCCACTCCCAGTTGCCTGTCTTGCCTACATGTTCTCAGTCTAGTTGGTCTCCCAGGGAAACTGTCTGATGGCTGAGACATAGCTGCTTTAGTGACAAGCTCATGGGTTATATTTCCAATGTTATTCAAGCTAATTTGTCCTGCCTCAACATAACATAACAGAGGTAAAGGGGCCAAGCACAGTGGCTCATGCCTATAATCCCAGGTCTTTGGGAGGCCAAAGCAGGCAGATTACTTGAACCCAGGAGTTCAAAACCAGGCTTGGCAACGTAGGGAGACTTTGTCTCTACTAAAAATACAAAAATCAGCTGGATGTGGTGGCACACACCTGTAGTCCAGCTACTGAGGCCAAGGTGGGAGGATCCCTTGAGCATGAAAGTGAGCCAAGATCAAGCCACTGCACTCCTGCCTGGGTGACAGAGTAAGACCCTGTCTCCTCTTTCCAGATCTATTGAGAAAAGACTCCTTCCACCTCTCAGAATGCCCTACTCCCTGCGGAGGGACCTGCTTAAGTGGTGACTGATAGACAAGGCCTTAAGATAAGCTTTTTCCTTAACAAAACACCGGGCTCTTGAAGTCTTGGTGAGTGAAGGGACAGAAGGTGGGGCTGATTTTTTGAGACAATGCACTCTCCTGTATTGAAACAAGGCAGGTCCATTGCAAGGTCTGCTTCCACCACTGCAGGGAAAATACCAGAAACCTGGCAAGGCTGGGGGCACCATCAGTGTTTCAACCTTTGGACAACTGTTAACAAAATAGAGGAGTAAATAGTGATTAGTGTTTTCTATTGATAGACAAATTCTCAGCTGCCACCAGTATCCTGACAAAATAATAGGAATTAACTAAGAGGTCATATAGCACAGTGGTCTAGGCATGGGAACTCAGCCACCTGAGTTCAAATCCCAGCTCTGTTACCCCCAGCACCTTGCATTTGGCAAGGTACTTAACTTCTCTGTTAGTTGGACAGTACAGTCGTCGTTGGGAGGATTAAATGGGTGAAAAGTGTAAGAGGCCTAAGATAGTGTCTAGCACGTAGTGTTCAAGAGATGTCAGCTATTCTTTAAACACAATTTAAAAATATTTAGAAGATGTCTTACAGTTTGATTTGGGGCTTTCTCTGGAATCCCTTCCCACCTCTCCTGGTCTTTCTCTCCCCTCCATGTGCAGCTTTCCTTGGATCATTTCTTCTGCTGCTGCTCTGGATCTGAATTGTTCCCTCTGGGACGGTTTCCGTGGAAAGGGAGGCTGGAGTGGCTAGGATCTCTAGGCTCTTTACCACTCAGGGACCAGCAAGGAAAACACACTACATGCACTCAGGGCACAAGAAAACAGTGGCTAATGGCTCAGAAGGGTTTCTGAGAGCAGGCCTGGGGTCTGCCTTACATCGCTTAGTTGAGTGAATTATTTGTAAATGGCTGTTGATGGCTCTGGGTTTAAACCCCATGCAAGCCTGAGAGCAGCTGCTCCCAGCCGACTTAACCTCAGTTTCCCTGAGGCTGGAGCAGCCACAGACCTCCCATTGTGCAGGCCTGTGTGGCTGCACATGTCCTGAGGATGGTGGATGCCACTCTGCATCCTGCCTGGAGAGATCACTGTAGGGTGACCTGGGAAATGGTCCCAGTCAGGGTTTCTAATCAGTTTTACCAAGGACTTTCCAAGTGGGAGAGCCCCACAGGGGTGGCAGGACAGGCTGTGGCATCTGCTCCTCTGGACGTCTCACCCCAGCCCAATAATCCCCCACGCCTCAGGGGAGAGGGGCTGAGCCAGCAGAGGTGGGGGATGGAGGAGACGACTTCTGGAGGACCCTGCCAATCTGAGGACATCCACATGGAAAAGTTACTGCGTCAACACATTAGCAGAAAATAACACACTTTTCTCTCTGCCAGCCAGTGTCCGCTTCACTCTTTCAGCGCTGAGGTTCAACATGCTCAGCTGCTCCAGGTGTGCTGTCCCAGATGTAAAGGGTAGACAGACCCTTACTGGGGGCTGAGAGGGATTGTGTGATCTTCAAATGCTCCATGTTGCTTGTGAGGGGAAGGCAGGTGAGGGAGGTGAGGGAGAGAGTGGGGAGGGTGCTGCCAGGGGACAGGGAGGGGAGCAGCCCACGGGGAGAGCACTCTGACACCTCAGCTGACTCGGATTTGACAGGACCTGTCCACTCTGGCCTCTTCTGTGGCTGCCCTCTGGCCTGAAGGGCGAAATGTCACTTCCCGGGAGCTTCTTTGTACCCTGCCCTGGCCAGAGCCACCAGCATCAGCTCAGACCGGACTCTGTTCTGCGTTGGCAACCTATCCCTCCGCTGGCTGCCAGAATGGGGTGTGGAGGTCGGCTGGCCTCGGAGCTCCCACCCAGACTTGGGATTTACAAAAGCACTTCAAACCAAATTCAGGGTCCAGAGAAAATCCTCCTATGTCACCCCCATCTCTTCTCCAAGTATAAACTGGCCCCTCTGAAAACTCCAGACCCCAAAAGCCCACACAGATGGAAGGATTTGGGGGCCCCCTCCTCTCCCCACCATCCAAGAATGTGAAATACCAGCAAACAAAAGTCTCATGCAAATTAGGAAGCGAGCAGCTCTGTCTGCCCATGAGTGTGTGCTGTAGGGGCTGTTTTGGGATTTTGGCTTTCCTGACAGATCCCTTCAAACCCACAATGCTATCAAGACTTAAGTTATTGTTGACCCCAACTCAGAGCTCCGTGCCATCTGGTCACTGCCCACCCTTCCCCTAACCTAAGACGCTGCTCTAAACAGCTCTTTACTCAGAGCTCCTCGCTGGCTTGAGCCTCCGTGTCCCCCACCTCCAAGCCTGTGAACAGAGCCCTCTCCACGCTGGAGCTGGGAATTAACTCAGGCTCAGGTCTCCTCTGGGGAGCCACAGGTGGGGGTGCCATGAGAGGGCTCTGCCAGACGGATGCCGAGATGTGGGCATGTGCCACAAAGACCAGGATCCCAGCCCTTAGCCCCAGCCTTGGTGCATGTACCCAAGGCCCCTGAGCAGGGACCTATCCTTGAGTGAGCAGGAAACAGGGGCACGACCCTCCTACCCAAGCTATGGGCTGCTAACAGAGGTCAGCGAGACCAAGGCTGCATGAGCTAGCAGTGGCCCTGGTACAGAGGCCCCTTCTTCTCCAACCCCCACACTCATTTACCTTCCTGGGAGAGGACGATGAACTTGGTGGTCTTGAGGGTCTTTCCATTCAGCGTCCAGGTGATGGTGGCTGGGGGGGGTCAGAAGACACCTGGCACTGGAGCAGCAGCTTCTTGCCCTCTGCCACACGAACATCTTGCAGCTTCTCCTTGAAGGCTGGGGCTGTCTGTCCCCTGGCTCTCTGATCTCTTTTCATTATCTGTGGTCCCTGAATGGCCTCTCTTGCAGTTCACATCATTCTTAAGGTCTTTCTTGAGTTCTTCTTTGCTAGTGGATTTCAGGGTCTCAGCAGGCTTGGTGTTGCCCACGGGTTTCAAGGGTCCTGAAGGCTGTGCATTGCTCAGGGGCTTGGAACTTGCCACTGCCTTGGCATTCAGGGTCTCAGCACTGCTGCTACCATTCTCTGCTGGTAATTTCTTCTTGCCACCCAGCACTGAGTGAAAATCCGGGGTGGTAGGTTTTGGCAGTGGCACCTTCTCAGGCATGGGGTCTTGGAGTCCCCTTCTTGGCCAGGACAGAGCAGAAATCGACCTGCTGGGGGCTGTGCACCTTCCTCTCTTCCTCGCACACAGTCTTTGGCTTCACTTGCCACTGCAGGTTGGCACGGAGATCCATCTGCTTGGCTGGGATCTCCTTCAGGTCATCTTCCGATAGTGTCTTGGTACTCACCTTCTTCCCCAGGAGGTCTCGGAAGTCCAGCTGCTCCATCTCTTCCTGGTGGATCGCCTCCTCAGTGTGCTGCCTCGTCTCCATGCACCTCTTCAGCACCCCTCGCATGTCCTCGCCGTCTTCCTCCTCTGGCCAACCCTGCCCTCTTGCTGGCCAGCCAGGCATCAGGGACCCATAGCGGTCACTACCACCACCATCAGCACCAACTCCTCCACCACAGAGGCCCTCACAGCTGGCAGGCTCACTCCCCCTGCAACCAGTGAAGGGAAAAAGGAAAGTAGCAGGAGGAAAAGGGGCTGGGTAAGAAAGAAACGTCAGGGGAGAGCAAATCCCTGAGGGAGGGTAGAGGGGAGCGGGAGGGGAGGGGGGAGGCTGGCCAGGCTGTGTTTATAGATGGGAACATTGGTCAGAGGTGCTCACTTGCTTAGTTGGTTTATTACATCGGTAATGACTTCAGTAGCCTTATAGGAGTGTGTGCAAAAAAAAAAAAAAAAAAAAATCACCCCCTCCTTCCCCTGCTCTCCCTCCCTCATTCCCCTTCCAGGCTCTCCTGTCTGGCTTTGGCAGCCTCAGCTGCAGGGCACAAACAACTAGGGCTGCTGGGCTGGAGCTGCCAGGGCCAGGAGGAAGGTGGGGATGGGAACATGGCCTGGTGGGGCAGCTCCTGGGGGCACTCACTGCAGGAGGGCTTTGGCAGGGCTGTTCTCTAGCATCAGTGACATCTGGCAACTGCATTTGCCAACCCGGTTCCTGAGGAATTCCAAAGATCAATAAAGATTAAGAGGCCCTCTGGACAAAGGGCCTGTTCAGTGTGGATTTGATTGCAGGAATTCATCAACTTGGCTGTGACATTCACCCCAGCCTTAGATTTAGGGCAGGACCCTCTCATTCTGTGGTCACCCTTTATTTTCTCAGCTCTTATTTAAAAAGAAGAAACAAAGAATCTCTGGACAACAGCCAAGGCAGGCATCCAGAAGTAGGAATACTTTTCTGTAAGTATATAATATAATCAATCAATCGATCAGCTAATAAAAGGGGAAGGAGAAAGGCTAACACTGCTAGGGACTGTGATGGAGCAGCTCGGTCTAGACAGATAGGCCCTGGTGGTGGGCCTGCTCAGTGACCCTGACTCTGACTCCATGATCCCTTAACAGGGAGGTAGTTCCTTTCCCTCTCCTTCTCAGGAATGGAAGCACCCTCAACCCCCCACTCATTGATAATGCTCTCAGATCAGAAGTTTTTGTGTTAAAAACCCAACAAGTGTTTTCCTACATGAGTGGCCCTTTCTCTTCTTCCTTCAGGTGGGGAGGGCTCTGGATTCTTCCTGTCCATAAACCTGGTCAGTCTCCTGCTGGTGCACAGAGGCTCAGGCCCTCTGCTCAGGGGAGGGGCTGTACCCTGCCTGGCTGCAGTGCAGTGGATTTGCAGCAGATTGTCCCTCCAACCCCATAAGGCTGCCACCTGCTAGCATTTCTGAGCTCTGACCAGCCAAGAAGGTTCTGCTCAGGCTAGGGGAAGGGGTGGGGGCAAGTCTGCAAGCCAGAGGTGACTAGTGATGGTTATAACAACTGCATTTCATACAGCACCCTCCAGCTTTCATGACACCCACACACAGTTCTTTCTTGATATCTACAGCATGCCAGAGAGGCATAGAGTACTGCCATGCCCAATTTAAAGATAAGGAAAGGGGGCTCTGGGGTGGGACCCTCAGGGTCTCTGACAACAGTGCTCCCACTCATGCCCCTGGATGTGGCTGTCTCACTAGCACTCAGACCCAATAGCAGATGTGCCAAGCTCTGTGACAGATTCTTTACATGAAACATCTCATTTAATCTTAGAACAGCTCTGTGAGATTAGAGTCAGCACTGTTTTTATAAGGTAAGAAAAATGAGGCTTATAAAGGTAAAGTAGTCCAGGTGCAGTGGTTCACGCCTGTAATCCCAGCACTTTGGGAGGCTGAAGTGGGAGGATTGCTTGAGTTCACGAGTTTGACACCAGCCTGGGCAACATAGCAAGACCTCACCTCTATTAAAAAATAATAATACTAAAGGTCAAGGTTAAGTAATTTGCCTAAACTCACAGAGCGTGCTAGTGGAGGGAGGGGTTGGGACCTGTGACGCTATGACCTTTGCACCCCACCCTACTGTGCTTATCAGTACAAATCTGGTCTGGGACATGTGTGTGTCCATGCACGTATGTAGATATCAACCATACACATGATGCACACATATACTGGTCTAGCTGGTGGGCACCTGCCCCTGGAGGTCTGTGTTTGGGAATATGTGCACATATGAGTTACACCCACCTGGACAGGCATCTGAGCATGTGTTCTTGTACGTTCTGCTGGCGTGTGTGGGTCTCCACCTCACTCTGCCTGGCCTCCCTCCCAGTGGATGGACACTGGCAGCCCATGGCCTGGCCCAGGATTCTCAGGGGCTCTGGGGTGCTGCTCACCATTGGGTGCTGGCACCCATTTGAAGCAAGGAGAAGCCAATCATTGCTATCCTCCAGCCTCCCCTCGCCTGCTGGGCTCCCCTCTCCTGCTGAGCTCCCCTCCTTTGTCCTTCTCCCCAGTGCCCTCGTGCTGTCCCAGGCTGTGCTGGTGCAGGTGCCTTCCTGACTGCCTTAGCTCTTTCACTTCTCTCACCACCCTGGCCATGCATCCCATAGCCTGTCCCCTCCCAGCCACCCTCCTCAATGCTCAGGCTCTCAGAGGGCACAGATTCAAGGTGCAGGGAGTCTCAAGTCTGGAGAATTTTGAGTTCAGGGTGTTCCTTTGCTCAACAAACAGCAGTTAGAAACCTCATGGGTGCCAGGCCCTGGGAAGACTAAGAGGTCCTCAGCGTGCCCCGAGTTCTCAACACTCAGAAAGGCTTATGGGCTTTGGGTGAGCTTGTAGAATAACCATGTGAGGTCACCCTGCTTCTGCCAGGCTGCTGGCCAGTGTCAGGCCACTCTTTTCCTACTTTTAAGCACAGCCTTGTGGTGCCTGGATTGACATGGAGCAGGAAGATGAGATGCCCAAGGGCTGTGTTTGCCTGGCAGTCCTTTCAGCATCTCCTCAGCAGAGTTTCCTCCTGTCACCAGTAGAACACAGCCCAGATGCAAACATCAGGAGCAGACACTGCCCAGATGGCTGCTTTACCCCAGCTGAACTCCTGAGAGGCTTTGGTGGTGGCCAGCCCTGTGCACCAAGCTGGAGTAAGCCGTCTCTCCCCATGGGGGAAGCAGATGAGGGCTTCTTTCACTTTCCATGACCTGTGCTCAAGGTGGGGAGCACAGACTCAGATAAGCTTCTCAAGGGCTCCTGACCAATCTACCCCCAGGCCTTACCCTGTGGCACCCAGCAGTCTAAGGGGTCAGAGGAAGGTGGAGGACTTGGTACCAAGGCTGACCCATTAGGTGGAACATCCGGTGGTGAGGGTGATCTAGTGGTAACCATTCCTACAGCCATACACTTAAATCTCTGCTGGGCCTTAAAGACAAACCATGGGTTCATTTGCAGCCTACAAAGTTCATAGTGGCCTCCTGCCTGGGACCCACATGTCAGATCACCTAAGCTGCTGGAACAGGGTCTTGGGGCCATCTTTGACATCTGCACATACCTAGTTACAAAATCAGGGCTGGGACTGAAGATGAGGCCCCATCCCAGGAGCTGCCACAGAGCATATGGGGCTATCATCCTATATACTGAAACTTTCACAAATAAACAGAGTCCTTTTGCCTCGGCTTACTAAGCCCTGAATAAGAGTCCCACTCTTTGATTACAAAGCCTTGGATCCTGTCCCACCCTGAATCATCGACCTCTTGGATGGTTTTATATGGAAAAATCAGTTTAAAGAACTAATTTCCTGGCAAGTATCAAGTGTTTCAAGTATTCCAGCTGGAATTTTGACCTGACTTTTTGTCATTTCCCCTTTTGGCACAGTAGACAAGAGCTAGGAAGGGAAGAGAGGCAGAAACTACCCACCCATACCTGCCTCACAACCCTAGCAGGGACAAGCAGGATCTGCCCACCCCTCTGCCCTTGTACACCAGACCCCCGGCTCCCTCCCAGCCATCCAGTCGTTCCCCTCGAAAGGCACCCTGCTCTAGGTCTAGGTCACTGGAGGAGCGAGGTCTCTGGCAGGCCTGCCACGTACCCTCAGGAAACTCTACTGACTTGCTTCTTCTCAGGTGGGGACAAAGCCAAGGCCAGGGCAGTGGCCTCTGAAAGGAATGAAGAGGCTGGACTTTGGGGAAGAAAAAGAGGCAAAGGCTGCAGGCTGGAGGCTCTAGTGTGGTTTCCCAGGTCCTTCCAGTTCCCTGTGCACTTGGGAGAAACTCCCCATGCAGAGCCATAAGGAATGGAAGAGCATCTGATTTAAGTCAAAAGATGAGGGCTTGAACTTGGGCTCTGTTACTTGCCTTTGGGTGGCCACAAACAAGTCCATGACCCTGAGACCTCACTGTCCCCCGTTATTAAACAATGATGAGGCTAGATAACTTCTGAAACCCCTTCCAGCTGGGACAATCTAAATTTTTTTTTTTTTTGAGACGGAGTCTCGCTCTGTTGCCCAGGCTGGAGTGCAGTGGTGCGATCTCGGCTTACTACAAGCTCCACCTCCCAGGTTCAGGCCATTCTCCTGCCTCAGCCTCCCGAGTTGCTGGGACTACAGGCACCTGCAAGCACACCCAGCTAATTTTTTGTATTTTTAGTAGAGACTGGGTTTCACCATGTTAGCCAGGGTGGTCTTGATCTCCTGACCTCATGATCCGCCAACCTTGGCCTCCCAAAGTGCTGGGATTACAGGCATGAGCCACCATGCCCGGCCGGGACAGTCTCAATTTTATGACTGTCCCCAGCTGGCCCCAGATAGTCTGCCTGCCGACCTCCTGGTGCACGCCTCCTCTCTGGCCTGGCAAACTTCCCACAGCCCTTTGCTTGGCTCTGCCCCCACCCCACCCTTTCTTGCTCAGCCTACTCAATAGCTAAGCCTTATCACATTTGCCAAGACTCAGCCTTCCTTCTCCATCAAAATCCCAAAACAAGCTCATCTCCTCTAGGATGTCTGGCTTGAGTAATGTAAGCATTATCTCAAAGTGCTACTCCTTCTATACGACAAGATCATCAGCACATATTTTTACACATCATCAGTTTCCATTCTTTGTACTGACCTATGGGGTAAGTGTGTACCTTCTCCCCATTTTGGAGGCAGAGTGGCCTTCCTGGTAATAACTAGTTCAAGCATAAGGCAAAGGCAGTTGATGCATTCTGAGTGTACTGCTAATAATAGTAGGGTGACCAGCAGCTCACAAGCATCCCATCACTTGACCGCAACAGACATGTCATTGAGCTCAGCTGAGATTAGCCTTGCCTAAATCAGCAGAACTTTCTAGGATACCCAAAGACTCCTAAGAAATAATAAAACTGCTTAAAAAATCTAGTTATTTTTAATAGTTATTAAGTATTGGGTTGGTTTGTTACGCAGCAAAAGATAACTGATACAGGTATAAAGCACATGGTCACAAAGGACCTAAGGGGATAGGGTACATATTAGGTTTTGCATTAGCCTTGGCATTTAGCTCTAGAGCCTATTTGTAGCTCAGAGCTGTGAATATGATGGCTCAGTATGGGGAGATGATAAAGTACAGGCAAGAAAGCCACTTGCAAAGTGGTCATGCACCCGGGCCAGGACAGGTCTAACCATCCTCAGGATGTGGCACCACCTCCTATTTGTAGGTTAGGTGCAGACAAATGCTCTTCTTCGATGCTTACACCAACCCCAGGACCCACAGAAGGCATTCTGTCCCCACCAATCCAGGGCTGGCATAGGATTTTAAGAGACAGAGCATTTTCAAGGTAAAAGAGCATTTCTGAATCACATTCATCTAATAAATAGCTACCCAGTGTGGACTATGGGCTCGCCACTGTTCTAGGCCTGGCAATGTAGCAGTGTGCCTCATGGAGCTGACCTTCCTGTGCAACCTAGCAAGACCTTGAAAAGGAGAGAAGAAGGTAATGGGGAAATGTAACCTCCCTGTGGTAGTTTTAAAATGTCTGCAAATTCTTCTCTCCAAGAGGCGGAACTGAATTTACCTCCCCTTGAGTATGGGCTGTACTTAGTGACTCACTTCTAACAAAGTCGGACGTGATGGCATGTGGCTTCCAACCGTAGGTCTTAAAAGACACTGCAAGCTCCGACCTGGGCTCCCTCTTTGATCACTAGCTCTGGGGAAGCCAGCTGCCATGCTATAAAGACACTCAAGCAGCCCCACGGAGAGGTCCACAAGGCAAGGAGCTGAGTCCTCCCACCAACAGCCAGTGAGGAGCCAAGGCTTCCCACCTACAACCAGTGAGGAGCTGAGGCCTCCTGCCACAGTCACGGGAGTGAGCCTTGGAAGCGGATCCTGCAGTGTCAGTCGAGCCTTCAGAGACTGCAGCCCCTGCCGACATCTTGACTGAAACTTCAAAATCATCCAGCTAAGCTGCTTCCAAATTCCCAGCTGGGAGACGATAAATGTTTCAAGCTGCTAAGTTTCAGGGTAATTTGTTACACAGCAATAGGTAACAAATGCATTCCCTCTATCCCCCTGCTTTTCCAACTTTAATCCATTCCTCCTTCCTTCATACTCACCATACACCACATAATGGGGGAACAGGGATGTAACAAGACAGGATTCTGGGGAAGTGAGCTCAAAAGGGAAGGTTCTAATGAACACTTGCTATACTGAAGTGTAAGATGCAAAAGCTTGTGAGCAGCACTGAGCCCGCACTTGCTTTACCTGGAAGTCCAAGCCCCACATTGGTTTGTGCTTCTTCTGGCTGCCCAGACCCAGGTTAGGGGAGGTAGGAATTTGGAGGGAACGGTTAAGGGAGGCTGGCCGGACATGCAGACTCACTTGAGCAGGATCTCATAGTGGCCGGCATGCCAGGGCTGCACCATCTTTAGAACCAGGGTGAACACGTCCTCATTCTGAAGCACCTCGAAGTGGCCATTGTCTTTGGAGACGGCTTTGCCATCTCGGAGCCAGTGCACGGTAGGAAAGGGGTCACCAGCTATGGCGCAGGAGATGAGGACACTCTGGCCCAGGGAGGCTGTCACTGAGCGAGGCTTACTGATGAACCAGGGCTGGGAGCCATCGTGAGGCTCTGGAAGTTGGCAAAGGGCAGAGCTAAACAGGGAGGCCCCTCAGCAGGCAGTGTCCACTCAATTCTCCATGGAGGTGAAAGAGGGAAGATAGCATGTCACCCAAGTAACAGCTTGTCCAGAAATCACTGCGATTGGATACACAAATGCAGCACACCCTTCTCATTGCACATCCATCTCCGATATATTCTCAGAGGATAATATTAACATGACTGTATATCCAACGTAAGGGGACATAGCCCAGAAGGCACAGGGGCACCGAGCCAGGTGCTAATGATCTGTATCCAATGCGTGTGATTAAGAGTTGTCACTCACTTTATGTGTGCTTAACTTGCCTCTCCTCTTAAATATGTTATCTGATGGCAAGGACCCTGTTAAGCCCATAACTCACCTCAAAAGCTCTCGCTGCCAAATTGTTCAGTGTATTACAGATTTCCCTCTTAGTACTCTATGCACCTTGGCACCAGTAATCCAGAGAGGGCAGGGACTTCAGAAAGCTGGGAAGGACAGCCCCACTCAGTCAGAGCTTGTGATGTTGGACAGGGAGCTGGCCTCTGGGACTGGGGTGGGACTGAGGGAACAGAGGGCCTACAGTGGGAAGAAAGTAGCCTCATGTGGTTTCCTTGCCTCCAAATCACTTTTGGAGAGGCCGCAGCAGCACCTCCTTCCCACTCGCTCTGAGTGGGTCAGCCTCACCTTGTACCATCAGCATGGCCTGGGTGCGGACCTCTTCGGCGCTGTTCCAGGCCTCGCAGGTATACATGCCCGTGTCCTCCGGGAACACTTCCTGGATACAAAGGCTGTGCTGAGTGCCTCTCTGTTCAAAGTGGAAGTCCTCTGACTCTTGGATCTCATTCCCATTGTGCAGCCAGATGACTTCAGTGGGTGGATTCCCTGAACCAGGAGGAGGGGAAGGGGGACTGGTTAGGGAGGTCCTTCCCGCCATGCAGCAACTCTGCACTTAATACAGTGATATTGGATGAAACACTCCAACAACTCTCTATGCTTCCACTTCCCCATCCGTAAAACAGGAATTCAAACAGGATCTACCTCGTGGGTTTGTTGGGAGGATGAAATGAGTCAACCAAACCTCCCTTAGCAGCCCATTAGGACAGCAGATTAGAACAGCATCTGGTACACAGAAAACACCCCATACATGCTCATCAGAATTATTTAACATAAGATTTGGGGAAAATACTAAAAACCCAGAAGTGAAAATATGATTTCAGATATGAAACAGAAAACCCAGGAAGAATAGTTTTTAAAATTAGAATTCAAGCTGCTTGATAATCCTAAGTGGTGACTGGACTCCTGGGTTGAAACTGAATGTGTTTTCTGCTCTGCACTGCTTCACATGGTGCACCCACATCTAGGCAATGGTAACTTCATGGTAACTCCCTTGCAAATTTTCAGCAGAGAGAGACCTCAGGTAGCATTTCATTTTTCTATCACACAAAATATCATCCCAGGGTAAAGATAGGTACCAGCTTGAGCAGGATTTCCAAACATGGCTCTTGATGGATAGCATTTTCAGTTTTTACTGGTCTACTTTTCTGGGTAGTTTCTGGGGATTTTTTGGAGCATAAAACCATGGGCATCTGTGAGGCTTTCCTCTGATATAAGAGCTGAGCTGTTAGGCACTGCTTCAAAGGAGCAAGGGCCCTGGAGGAGGCTGCTGAGGCAGGCTGTGTGACACCAGGCCCTGGAGAGGTTCAGGAGAGGGCATGGCATGTCTGCCATGGGTTAGACATCAAATGCCTGGAGGCAGGTGCAGAGCACCTCCAATCTCTTTCAACTCAAGGACTCAGTGTGCAGCACGGTGAGTGTGGACAGGGGAGGGGACCCAGCCCTCTGCCTAGGACCATCAAAGGGTGGCTTCTAGCCCGCAGGAACAGGGAGTCCATCTAAGCATCCCTAAAAGGGCAAGTCCACAGGATCTCTGATGGCCCATCTGGTTTTGCTTATGCAGCTCAAGAGGGACTGAAAAACTAGGAAAGCGACCTTCAGAGTGTCAGAGGCACTGATCAGTGGCCAATTACCAGTTATGCACTCAGTGGAAAACTCTGGCTCCTCAGCCATGAGCGATGTGCCAGGATCTTCTCTGGGCTTCTCTCACTCACCTCTAGCAAGGACTGTGATATCTCAGACCAGGATACTAATCACATGCTCTTGTTTCCCTGCCTCTGTTTTAGAAGAACCTCTGCTCTATCATTTCACCGCAAAATTTGAATAGAGCAACTGAGAAAACATCTTCTGAGATTTGGGAAGTTCTCACATAATGTGGTTTTGTACCAGTCTTTAAAACCTTCCAGCTACACTGGCCACACTATAATTTCAAATTAATCTCTCACTGCTCTAGCTCTATGGCCATCTTCTTCCTCTGGACCATTTAATCGGAATCTAGAAAATCCTACCCAGAGAAAGCAGAAAAGAGAGGACAAGAATCTCCATTTCTTTGGGTCCATCACCTGATGGTCATCTGATTTTCTGGTGGATCAAGGATCTGAGCGGGTCCTCGGAGAGCAATACTCATTGCAACCAAGACCATTTTCATGTTAATCCCCGAGAGAGAGCTGCAGAGACAGACCTGACACTTGGGCCATCATAGTGACCTGGCTTCCATCCATGACTTTGAGATCAGAGAGGCCCTGCAGGAAGATGGGTGCATTGGGCTTGCTGGGAGCCACAGGCAGAAGGTACTCGCTCTTCCCGCTACTCTTCTTTTCTGTGTGGTAGAAAACAGAGTGTGGGGTGAACGTTCATGCATTCATTCAACAAACACAGACTAAATGACCACTTGGTACATGACTGTGTTGATGCTCAGGTTCCCACCAGAAACTGGCAGCTAACAGATGAAGAGTGTTTGGAGTTCCTAGAGATCATTAGGAACAAGATGCCTCCAATTTCTCTGCTTGGCAATGATGAGGTTCTTGCCTGATAGCCAGGAATGAACAATGAGTGCCTATAAGTTTGTGAGTTTTTAAAACATTTTATTTATTTTTCAAATAAATGATACCCTCACATGGCACAAAATTCAAAAGATACCAAAGAGTATGGCAAGTCTCCCTCCCACCCCATCCCCTGGCCACCAGTGATCTCTCCTCAGAGGCAACGAGTTTTCAGTTTCTTGTTCATCTTGGCAGAGATGATCTACGTGTGTAACATATGGAAGCAAACAGCATTTATTATCTTCTTAAAAAGTAAATGAAAGCACGTTATACAAAATAATTGGCATGTTTTTAACTTAACAGTACGTCTTGGTGTCTCTCATAAGGCAGAACTGAAACGCTTCTTTGTCATTTTCTATAATTATATGGTGCTCCATTCCCATCCTAGGAAGTTTTAAGCACCTCATGAAAGCCAAGGACACTACACTCATTAGAACGGCTAAAAATAAAAAGACATCACATCCCAAGAATTGGTCTTGACAAGGATGTGGAGCAACTTGCAAATCTCATATATGGCAGGTGGTACAGAACCTCCTGAAAACAGCTTGGCAGTTTCTTAAAAAGTTAAACATATACTTCCCTTAGGATCTAGTCATGCTACTCCTGGGTATGTCCCCGAGAGAAATGCAAGCACATATCCATACAAAGTCGTGTACACAAACTTTCAGAGCAGCTTCATTCACAATAGCTGCAAACTAGAAATGACCCAAATATCCATCAACAGGTGAGTAAATAAACAAATTGTGATATATCCACACAATGGAATATTACTCAGCAACAAAAAAGAATGAACTACTGAGGGCACCACAACAGGGATGAATCTCACAATAATTATGTTGAATGAAAGACACCAAGCTGTAGGACCAGCTACTTGGGAGGCTGAGGTGGGAGGATCACTTGAGCATGGGAGGTTGAGACTGCAGTGAGCCATGATCACACCACTGCACTCCAGCCTGGAAGACAGAGTACGACTCTGTCTCAAAAGCAAAAACAAACAAACAAAAAAAAAAAAAAAAAGGAAGAAGCTAGACAAAGAGAGAGTACATACTGGATGACTCCATTTATATAAAATTCTAGAAAATGCAAAGTCCAGTGACAGAAAGCAGGTCAGTAGTGGTGTGGGGCAGGGGACGGGAGGTTGGATTATAAAGGGGCATGAGGAAACATTTGGAGACAATGAGAATTTCACTTTAAAAAATCATGGCAAAGGTTTCATGTGTGTACATATGGCAAAACTTAACAAATTAAACAACTTAAGTATGTGTAGTTTATTGTACATCAATAATACCTTAATAAAAACTGGGAGAAAAAATCAATTTCTCAGAGAGGGAGTGCGTCGGCAAGTCGAGGAGGGTGAGAGGCCTGGCCCCTCACTCACATTCAGTTTCTTGTGGAGGTGGCTGCAGCCTTTCCTCATTCTTGGAATCCCCGCCTCACAGGAGCTGAAGGGGAGGGGGCTGTGGAGTGGCTGGTCCTGCCGTCCACATCTCACAGGGAACAATCCTGGTGCAGGACAAGCCATGGGTGCCCAGCCTCTGGTATCTCCCTTGGTCCTATGAGCCAGGCAGCTTGACTTTCAGTAATGCCATTTTAGCATTTTTTGTTTTTGTTTTTGGCAGATGCAGCTGTTGAGAAGGGGAGGGTTAGGATATTTCTAACTTAAACCCTAAGTTTCTGGGGAAAGCACCGCCGGCATTTTGGGTTTTTATCAACACAGGACCACAAATACTAGACCTTCTTCAGGAAGCGGAGCCATGGGGAGGTTTCCACGGTATGTAATGTATCTGGGCAGGTGTCACCTCCAAAGTTGCCACTGAATTTTTATCCACTGCCACTGAAAATGAAAGCAGGCCTACTGTAGAACTCTCCTAGCCCAGCCTCTGGGAACCTGGATGGGGAGAAGCTGGGAAGGTCCAGGAGGCTGGAGGAAAACCCCAAAGCAGGTGCAGTTGAAGGGCATGGAGCCTGAGTGTGACAGCAGGTAACCCCCAATGGTCCCTTTCGAAGATGGGGCTCTCAGGCCCCTGCTGCTCTCCAATGCTCCTGACTCAGCATTGCAGCCTTTGATGGAGGGCTACCAGGGGCCTTGGCAGAAGCTCCAGGAGTGGGCTTGGGGACATAAGACTGGAAATACACAGGTCTATCTCGTTTCTCTCACTAGGCTGCAGCAGTCAGGGAAGCTGGCTGCCTCAGGAGAATTGAGGAATTTCCTGTCTTGCACAGACTGAGAAGGCTCAAGGACAAAAATGTTTTTGTCTTTCCACAGCACTCCCTATTCCTGCCTCTCTGCAATCTCAGCGAGTCCCCAGCCTTACAGAGCTCCGTGCAGATGGGCTCAAATTCCTAGGTGCTACCGAAACGTCACCAACTCCAGCGCACTCCCCTTTAAGCCTGTGGCAGTCTTCTCTTCAACCCCACCTTCTCTGGGTTCTTCCCACCGCCCCTGTTTCCTGGGGATTTGGCAAAGCCAAGCCACCCTGTGGGTCTCAGCCATTGGGAACTAAAAGCCTATCTTCCCCTCCCTCCCCTGGGAGCTCAGAAGTATGCATGAAAGGGTGGCCTGGGAGCTGCCTCCCACCTGGCAGCTCACTGGTTCCACCTGCAGCCGTGGAGGGGATCCTGGCCTCAGGCAAGTCTGCCTCCGTCTGAAGCCCCGCTTCCTCATCGGTCTCTAGGGGGAGTCGTGGTATCATCACAGGACTTTGGGTAGTTTTAAAGAGATAATAGGTAAAAATACTTTGTACAACCATTCATTATCAATGAGAATATTTGTATGAGCCTAGCATGAGAACTGACTCACATCTATCCACTTGGGCTCAATTACTCGATGGGTTTATCAGCAGCCAAAGAACAAATGGAGTCTGGGCCTCACCCAAGGATTATGGACTCATATTTATACAACCTGAGGCAAATACTGTTAGGAATACAAATGCATTGCTTAAAAATATCATGGTATATATCTCAAAGTAATTGAGGACAAGTTTTCATTGCACCCCCTCCAGGAGATGACTGAGTGAACTTGGGAGGAACAGCTGATATTTAGTTCTGGTGTCACTCATTGCCTCTGGCCCTGTGTTTTGTTCCCCAAAGCCCTACAGCAAGATTGAAGGGAATATGGAAATGATTGGGAGTGAATGTTCAGAAGGAGCCTGTTCTCAGACCGGCAAGGTGGGACCCAGTTCCAACTCACCACTCCACTGTACTGGTGTAGAGACCAGAATAGAATTAAGGGGAAGTGACTTGGCTAAAATCATGGGGCCAGTGTGGGCAGACCCAGAGCCTTCTGGCGACAAGGCTGGGATGTTACGTAGGCATCTCTTCAAAGGGAACCAGTCTCCACCAATGGTGCCCATGGTGACCGCTCCAGGACAAACACACTGTCAGCTGACCCACATCCTAGATCCTTGACAACTGAGAAAAACTAAAGCAGAACAGAGACAAGCCAGGTGAAAAGGGCAACACGTGTGTGTGTGAGTGTGTGTGTGTATTTCAATTCATTCCAAAGCCAAACAAATTATTCTAGCTCATCTCTGGCCTCTAGACTCTATCAGTTTCTGCTCACTCTTCTGTGGACTTAGGAAAAATACAAAGGGACAGATGGAAACTGCCATTCTTAACTCATGGCCCTGGCTGTGTGATCTGAAGCAACCTTCCCAAAGCAAGCCTTGGTGTTCTCTCCTCCAAACTTATGGCAACATAATACTGAAAAGTGTGATGTCTACATCATCAGTCTAATGCATGGTAATATTGCAGGGTTTTACATGATTCAAAAATAACAATATAAAACAGCTAGAACAATACATGGCATACAAGAAGTATAAAAAAATCAATGTTTTCTGACTTTCCCAACCCAACTGACTCCTTTGGTTGTGGAAATTCAACCTGATAATAACTGCAATGAGAAAAACCCCCCAAACCAGAACTTTCGTGTAACAATGATTCCTTATAAAGCCCAGTGCTCCAGGATTCTAAAAGATGTTCACAGCTCATTCAGTGTTATCCTCAACATCTCAGAAATATTGGGCAGATTGTGTCTGTTTTACAGTGGAGGGAGCTGAGACTCAGAGAAAGAAGCTCACCTGTCCTAAGGTCCCGGGGCTGCGATGCCCCACGAGGAGGGGGATGCTACTGGCAGGGTCCTGGTCTGAGTGCTTTCCCTTGACTGTCCTGGGAGCAGAGGCAGGTCTCCTCATTTCTGCGAGGAGCTTTCTGTCATCATTCACATCCATGTCCAGAGCTACCCGTTACCCTGGGAGTCACTCATCTCTGCTTGTCCTTTGGCCTCCTTCTAGCATCATCCTGGTTTAAGGACCAGGGTCTGAGGCAAGAGGCCCCCGGTGGCAAGGTTGTCTCAGAGAGCCCAAGCCTTCTTCATCTTGGGAGGACACACACTGGCCATGGCACACAAATAGCAAGGGATGCTTTGCTGGGACCTGCCCAGCTCAAATGGGGCCACACTAAATATACCCTGGGTTTCCCCACAGCTGTGCCTCCTGCTGCTCTACTGAGACTGAGCCCAGAGAGGGCCTTCTTTCTGGAGTGCAGAAAGGGCTGAGTCTCCTTGTTTTCCTTGCCTAGGATTAAGGATCTAAAGCGTATATTTCTGTTGCTCTGTTACTTGGTATTAGCCAATTCATTCACAGACTCAGTCATTAAACTGCCACTGTCCCATTTTGACAGAATGGAAAAGGATTGATCCGGCTATCCTCCAATGGGAAAGACAAGCACAATGACTAAGAATAAGCCAAAGCAGATGCTGACAAGTAAAAATGATGCCATGTAGACAAAGCTGTTAATAGGACTTAAGAAAGAGCAAGAATGGGAGAAAGGGAAGAACAGAGAGAAGAGAGAGAGAATGTGAGGAAAAGAGAGGGGGAAAAGGGAAGCAAAGGAAGGTGGAGAGAATGAGAGACAGACAGATATATGCACTCTGCCCTTTATGATTCTACTGACCCATGGATTTTTTCCATCCTTGCCATTTTGGCTGTTTTTGACTCATTAGAAGTTGTTTTTGAAGCCAGTTCCTAGTCATGAAACTATACATGAAATGATTGCTCTGGTGAAGCAAAGTCATCAAATAAATGACCTATCAGGATCCCAGGCAGCCATGCAAAAAGCCCATGGGCTGAAGCAGGTGGGGGCCTGGTGCTGCTTCTGATCGGCTGGGCTACTGTGGGCAGCTGACACCACCTCCTGAGCATCACTTTCTTCATCTGTAAAGTGAATTTGGAAGTGTCAAGTGGAGTTGTGAGAATTAAATAAAACAAGCCAGCTTTTCTAGCCTATTAGACTTTTCCTATCAAACAATTCCTTCTTAAAAACAAATTGATAGTGGTTTTACTTTAAAAACCTTAATATAAATTGATACGCAACATGGCGTTTTGGAAAGCTTTTATTTAGAGGACGAGTTAGACATCCACAGAACGGGAGCAGTTTGTTACCTCATGCACTAATTCTTCTTGTAAAATAACCAGTAAAGCCTCTTCTTCAAACCCAGCACCAGGAGCGAGGCCTTTACCTCCTCTAGGACCTGACACTAGGAATCCACTGCTGCCTTTGTCCTGGTGGCTGGCCAGGATCTGGCATCTCCTTCTGCACTACAATAATTCTGCTGTCTTCCCTTCACGGCCCTTGCTTTTCTTTCCGTGGTTTTAGCAGGAAAAACAACTAACTTCTGAATTTCTCCTTATAAGTGTGTTTTTCTACCTGCCAACATTTGCTGGTCAACTTGCTACTTTCTGAAGCCCCATGCTCCTGGATCCAAATTTGCATTCAACGCATGTTTGCCTTAATCTTGGATCTACCAAATATTTTCCTTAAGCTTTGAACATGAGCTGTATTCCTTAGTTATTACAATGCAAAATACCATTCCAGCAGCAATTCTGATTCACTCCAAACCCCGTTATACTATGAAAATTCAAGAAATCACCAATTGAGGGGGCACCATGGAAGCACAGTTCCCCCATCTTCCTTTATTTGGAGTTGAAAATCCAGCATGGTCCAGGGATCACCACCAGCCTCCTCCTTTCCCTAAATTCCAGGATTGTGAACTCTGGAGGATTCATCAAAGGAGAGTTACATTCTCCCTGCTGACATGCCACACAGCCCCTTCCCATTTCCAGGGGGTTTGTGCAAGCTGTAAATCCCCAGGGCATCTGAATTCCCCTTAAACAAAAGGCTGTCTCCTAACCAAACAGAACCTTCTTGAAGTCAGCAAAATGGCTACTTTGTGGCATAAAAAGGATTCTTCTTCCCAGAGCCTTGTTCTCTTTTGGCCTCCCTTCCTCCCAGAACTTAAGAAGCAAATAGGAAGAGAAGTGTGCAAGGAAAAGAATGAAAGGAACGAAGATGTATAATATCCCAAAAAAGATCTCTGACCAGTCATTACTGGTCAGGGTTGCTAGCTGGGAAGCAAGGATCACTGAAACCACAGCATTTTCCCTGTCTTAGAAGTTATAATCACACTCTAAACATAAAGGTATGGCACCTAAACTACCCACTGTTCCCTCCCAGTGTGGGCCTGAAAACCACACTCTTAGTTACACTATCATCACATGGGTCACATTTTGCCACTAGGAGCTCAATGCTGCGATTCTGAATAGCATTCTTGATCTGGGTCTCCATGTAATTATGACCGACTATAGGCTGTAGAGGTGGAGAGTTATAAAGCTCTATAATGGCCCTATTAGTAAAATGAGGCTCAAGTTCTATGGTATGGGCATAAACTTACAAGTATATGCTCAGAAGTCTTTCTGTAACATGAAGAACCCACATGGTACACAAACCCAACTCTGTACTCTACCTACATAAAATGAAAATATTGGTTATAAATTTTAACACCTACTGTGTACACCTACTCTGATACTATTCCTAATATCCTAAAAATAAATAGGACTCCCAATATCACAGTTGGTGTACACACTGTGATATTATTTGTAATATTCCAGTGGGATGTTACTCCTCAGGTCACAGGGGGTTAATAGCCTGGGTCAGTATTCCTCATATTCCAGGGCAGTGATACTCCTAAAGTCACAGGGTGTGTACCCCCTGTGATGTTATTCATCCTATTCTAGGGGGATGTTACTCCTAATGTCACAGGGATGTACACCCTGTGATATTATTCATAGTATACCAGAGGGATATTAGTACTAATGTCACAATGCATCTACACCTTGTGATATTATTCATAATATCCTAATGTCACAGGGGGTGTGTTCCCTGTGATATTCTTCCTAACATCCTAGACGGATATTGCTCCTAACGTCACAGGGTGTGTACACCTTGTCACATCATTCATAATATCCTAAAACCACGTTATTCCTCAGGTCACGGGGTGTTCACCCTGTGATATTATTCATCATAGTTTTGTGGGATGTTACTCCTAATGTCACATAGAGTGTACACAGAGTCACACAGTGATATGACTTGTAATATTCTGTAGAAATTTTACTCGTAAATCACAGGGGCTGTACGTACCTCCTGTGATATTATTCGTAATATTCTAGGGGAATGTTACTACTATTGTCACAGGGGGTGTACACACTGTGATATGACTCGTCATATCCTAGCGGGATGTTACTACTAATGTCTCAATGCATGTACACCCTGTGATATTATTTGTAATATCCTAAAGAGATGTTACTACTAAAGTCACAATGCATGTACACCCTCTGATATTATTCGTTATATCCTCGGGGGATGTTACTCCTAATGTCACAGGGGGTGTACTCCCTGTGATATTATTCATAATATCCTAGGGGGGGAATTATTTTTAATGTCACTGGGGGTGTATATCATGTGTATTCAATGCCTGTGATACTATTCTTAATATCCTAGGGGCATGTTCCTACTAATGTCACATGGGGTGTACACCATGTGTGTACACCTGCTATGATATTATTCCTAATATCCCAGGGGAATGTTACTCCTGATGGCGCAGGAGGTGTACACCACGTGTGTACATGGCCTGTGTTATTATTCATAGTATCCTAAGGGGATGTTTCTTTTAATGTCACAAAGAGTGTACAAAATGTCACAGAAGTTGTACACCTTGTGACGTTATCTGTAATACCCTAGAAGGATGTTACTCCTAATATGTCACAGGGGTGTACACACTTTGATATTATTTGTAATCTCATAGAGAGATATGACTTCAAATATCACAGTGGATGTATGCACATAGTGTATACCCTGTGATATTATTCATAATATCCTAGGGAGATACAACTCGTGATATCACAGTGCATGTACCCCGTGTGTACACACCCTTGATATTAGTCATCATATCCAGGGTAAATATTACTCCTAATATCACACAGTGTGCACACCCTGTGATATTTTTCATCATATTTTAGGGAGATATTGCTTCTAATTTCACAGTGGGTGTACTCCATGTGTGTAGACTCTGTGACAGTATATTTTATATCCTAGGGAGGTATTACTCCTAATATCACAGTGGGTGTTCACCCTGTGATATCATTCTTATTGACCTTGCTGCCTTTTTTAACCCACACTACAAAAGGAATGGAACAGATAAGAAGATATTGAGATTAGACCGTGCTGCCATGCGGCCGCTGCACGACACTTTTAATATCCCTGTTTCTCAGGCTGTAGATGAAGGGGTTCAGCATGGGTGTGACCACCATGTACATCACTGAGGCCACTGCAGCCTTTCTCAGGGAAGATGACACATCTGAACTGAGGTACCCTCCAAAGCCTGTTCCATAATATCAGCAAACAACTCACAGATGGGGAAGGCTTTACACCTCCCACAGATGATGAAACCCTCAGAATGGAGGAAACAATTACATGGTAAGAGAAAAGGGTCCCCGAGATGGGAAGAAAACCAAATATGGCAGCGGGGAAATACATGATTATGTGATTGGTGAAGGTGTCACAACATGTGAGATGGGGGAGTTGAGAAGGGTCACAGAGGAAATTAGGAATTCCCACATTCTTGAAGCAGGTCATTTGTAAGGCAATCAAGTTGTGCAGCTGAGAAAAAGAAAGAAAAAAAAGACAGCAAAACTAGGAAGCCACAGAAACACGGGTTCATGATGGCTGAATGATATAGAGGGTGACAGATGGCTACAAACCAGTCATAGGCCATCACACTCAGGAGCATGTCTCTCTTCCATGCCTCCAAAAATGGCAAAGAGAGACATCTGAGTCAGGCAGCCTGCATAGGAGATGACTCTGCTGTGAGATTGGATTCCACAATCATCTTGGGGACCGTGGTGGAGGTGAAACCGATGTCAGGCAAGGACAGGTTGGAGAGGAAGAAGTACATGGGGGTGTGGAGGTGGGAGTCAGGGCTGATGGCCAGGATGATGAGCAGGTTCCCCAGCACCTTGACCAGGCACATGGACAGGAACAGCCCAGCGAGGACCGGCTGCAGTTCTGGATCCTCTGAGAGTTCTAGGAGGAGGAATATAGAGACACCTGTTAGACTCTGTCAGTCTGTAGAGTTTGGACACCTTTTACCCAGAAAAGAGGGTTGAAAAATCGGAAACAAGTAAACCAACACCCAGCGTTGTGTCTGCATTTTGGATAGAAGCAATTCACAAGTAATGTTTTCAGATTTCAGAGCAATCCACGCTCAGCAATATTTTGCAGTTCTGACAAACTCAATTGTCTTCTAATGCTTTCATCATTGATTTCTGTGTTATTCACTTCTTGCTGTACACACCTGCCTTAGAGACACTAGATTCAAGAATGTTCCAACAACCAGATCATTATATATAACAAATTGGTAATTGCTGGAAAATACAGCCTATCTTTTCCGAAGAAAAATATGTAATAAAACCATTCTCTTCACTTTAAGAAAAAGGTTATCCTAATTAAAGGAAATTAAGACCTCAAATATTTTATTTCATTCGAATAGATTGATACAAATTCCTTTGATTGAGAACATTTATAAACACCGTATAACAGCTGAGACCATGCCATCTGGAAATGAAATGAAAGTTGATAGTTCATAAGCAGAAAATAGTTCCACAGGCCAGTTAGGTCCTGGTGATTTCATCATTCTGTTTTCTAACTTTTCTCCTTGAAGAGATAATTGCTTACTCAAATCGGTGGGTCTTGTTTTAAAATTCATGTAAGCTATCACTCCTGTCCTTAGCTGAGGTAGACTTAGACTTTTCATCAGAAAGTTTTTCCAGACGCGGTGGCTCATGCCTGTAATCCCAGCACTTTGGGAGGCCGAGGAGGGCGGATCACGAGGTCGGCAGATCAAGACCATCCTGGCCAACATGGTGTAACCCCACCTCTACTAAAAATACAAAACCTTCGCCCTGTATGGTGGCGCGCGCCTGTAGTCCCAGCTACTCAGGAGGCTGAGGCAGGAGAATGGCTTGAACCTGGGAGGCAGAGGCTACAGTGAGCCGAGATCACTCCCCTGCACTCCAGCCTGGGCAACAAGAGCAAAACTCCTTCTCAAAAAACAAAAAGCAAAAAGAATCAAGTAAGTCGAAGTCACACTGATGACAGCCAATTTTTGTGAACCAAAGAAGTGTCAATTCAATAATTAACATAGATTTTTACTTTTGCTATCTCCTACGTACCAAGCAAGATATAGCCCCTGCGGAATCAGAAACAAAAGAGACTCGCTTGTTCCTCCCACAATACTCAGTACTTACTGAGATAAGGACAAAATAAAATGTCCTGTCTGGAATGCAGGGAAACCAGAACTTCAGGTCAGGGGATATTTCCGTTGAATTGTATGGAATTTAAGCCTAAAATGTTAACGAATGTATCTAAAATTCAGTTTGCCTTTACTTTATGCATCCATCATGTAGAGATCACGAAGCAGGCACCCATGATCGGTTTAATCATCGCTCACTTCCATTGGCTCAATTAGAAATCAACTCAGATGAGAGTGCTGAGTCTCAGAGGATGGACATCTCACCCCTTACTGTACAGATAAGTAGAAAGGGTGGTATTGAAAATTAATGGCCAGACTCTGAGTCCCGGGTACTATACATGATGGTCTTCCAACTCTCAAAAAGTTGTGGGTTTTTCTGTTTCTGTTTTTGTTTTTTTGAGACGGAGTCTCGTTCTGTTGCCCAGACTGGAGTGCAGTGGAGTGATCTTGGCTCACTGCAACCTCCGCATCCCAGGTTCAAGCTATTCTCTTGCCTTAGCCTGCTGAGTAGCTGAGATTACAGGCGCCCGCCACTACGCCCGGCTCATTTTTTTCTCTTTTTAGGAGAGACGGGGTTTCACTATGTTGGCCAGGCTTGTCTCGAACACCTGACCTTGTGATTCGCCTGCCTCAGCCTCCCAAGGTGCTGGGATTACAGGCGTGAGCCACCGCGCCAAGCTTCCAAAAGTTTTAAGCAGAGCTCAGAGGTCTTAACCACAGGCACATCGGAGGAGCATTTTTGAAATGGTTTCCAGCCTCCTCAATAGGAGTGGAAGCCAAACTCCGAATTTATGGCTCCTTTGAGGAAGTCGAGAGCTGTAAGGAAAGCCAGAAACAGGGGCAAGGGAGAGATGCATCCCGAATGATCCTCTCCCAATTCTTTCTGGAATTTTTGATGTGATCTCAGCTGCCCTTTCTATACTTGACACAGTGATTGTGGCACCCACTGGTCTAGCTGTGGTCTACAAGGAATCCCCAAAAGGAAGGGCACAGTGAACAGGGGCATAGGCCTGAGTGATAAGGATTTGAGAGGGCAGGTTGGATGCAGGGACAGGACTGGCCAAATGCCATGTGTCTGGATTTAGACTGCCTGGTTCAAATTGGACTCCACCCTTTTTGACTTCATGATCTTGTAGAAGTTATATGAAAATGCGTTGCTCCTTTTCTAGTCTGTAAAATAATAATGAAATGTGCACTAATAACTGGGAGACTATGCAGATGAAATGAAACAGGCTGCATACACCACAGAGCTCAGAGCCTGGCCTTTAGGAAGCCCTCAGTAAGGGTTCATGACGCCATGGTGTCTGTCATCATCCTCTTTATCCTCATCATCACCTTCATAATCTTTTTGTTGTTCTGAGGGAATAGTTTAGAGGGATTCCTTCTCTGCTGTCATGGGTGAGATGTCTATGAAAAGGACAACCAGTGGGGGAGGAAAGCAACATTTTGAATAAGATTTCTGAGACCCCCCCACCACAACCAGGAGCAGTATCTCCACAGTCTGCTGAGCTGACAGTTGGCACATTGGTCTCCTCCCATCTGCCCACCACACTCTCCTGTTTGTCCTGAGGATGAGGAAACAAAACAAGGCTCCCGACCATCCCTTAGCACTCACTGAACTGCCCTTCCTCTCTGCTGGGCCATGACCACGGAGAACAGGTCCACTATCCTCCCTGCGTGGTGCAGTTTGGAGGCCCAGACTCCGTCCTCAAGGCTGGCCAGAAGACAGGGTGAGACATGAGCCTCCTGATACAGGTGACGGGTGTGGAGCCCACAACACTGGAACCTCACACTGCAGGGCTGGAGGCACAGACTGAGTATTTACTATTCTATGGCCTGGGGGGCTCAAGGCACAGAGCTCCTCATTAGCCAAAGTCGCCCAAGTTACCTCTAAGGATTTTCTCATAATAATGCAAGAAGAAGAGAAAAGTGAGTGTCCACAGAAGCTTTGGGGCTCTTCCTCTAATCAGGAGGAAGCTTGTGTGTACTATTCGCTTCTTTCTTTTCTTTTGAAAGATCCAACTGCTTTAATTTTCACCTTTTATTATGCAAAAATATACCACCTATAAATATGAGAAATGATAAATATATATTATTTCATATGGAATGGCCAGTGTAAACATTAACGATTTCCACGCTTTTTCAGTTTACAGTTTAATCACATTAAGTACATTCACATTGTTTAGCAACCATCACCGCCATCATCTCCGGAACAGTTTTATCTTTCAAAATGGAAATTGCACCCATTGACCAAACTCTCCATTCCTCTCTCTCGCCCACCCTGGGGGCCACCATTCTATTTTGCCAGTCTATGAGTTTAACTACTCTAGACCCTTGATCTAAGTGGAATCATACCGTGTTTAATTTTTTTTGTTGTTTTTGTTTTGGAGACAGAGTCTTTCTCTGTCGCCCAGGCTGGAGTGCAGGGGCGTGGTCTCGGCTCACTGCAACCTCCACATCGTGGGTTCAAGCCATTCTTGTGTCTCAGTCTCCCGAGTAGCTGAGACTATAGGTGTGCGCCACCACGCCCAGCTAATTTTTGTATTTTTAATAGAGACGAGCTTTCACCATATTGGCCAGGCTGGTCTACAACTCCTGACCTTGAGTGATCCGTCTGCCTCAGCCTCCCAAAGTGCTGGGGTTACAGGTGCGAGCCACTGAGCCTGGTCGTCTCTATCCTTTTGGGATTTATTTATTTCACTGACGATTATGTCTTCAAGGTTCATCCATGTTGCAGCCTGTGTCAGAAGTGCCTGTCTGGGTTTTTTGGTTTTTTGTTTGTTTGTTTGTTTTGTTTAGTTTTGTGTTTTCATGGAGTCTCATTCTGTCTCACAGGCTGGAGTACAGTGGCACAATCTGGGCTCACTGCAACCTCTGCCTCCCAGGTTCAAGCGGTTCTTGTGCCTCAGCCTCCTGAGTAGCTGGGACTATAGGCACACGCCACCATGCTCATCTAATGTTTTGCATTTTCATTAGAGACAGGGTTTCACGAAGATGGCCAGGCTGGTCTTGAATTACTGACCTCAGGTGATCCGCCCACCTCGGTCTTCCAAGATCCTGAGATTACAGGCGTGAGCCACCGCACTGGCCAGAAGTGCCTGCCTTTTGAAGGGTGAAGAGTCTTCCATTGTATGAATGAACTGCAGTGTGCTTTTTCATTCATCTGTCCATGAACCATTGGGTTGCTTCCACATTTTGGCTGTTGTGAATAATGCTGCTATGAATATGGGTGCACAAATATCTCTTCCACTCCTGGCTTCTAATTCTTTTTGGTAGGTATCCACAAGTGCAACTGTGGGAACATCTGATAATTCTGTTTCTAATTTTTCCAGTACACGCCATACTATTTTTCCTGTTCCTTCATGGTTTTACATTCCCTCCAATCATGTTCAAGCATTCCTACTTCCCTCTAGTTTCACCAATTCTTGTTTGTTTATTACATCCATCCTAATGTGTAATATCACATTCTTGGTTTGATTTGTGCTTCCCTATGATGAGTGATATTGAACATCATTTTAGATGCTTATTGGCCATTGCTATATCTTCTTTAGGGACTCGTCTACTCGAATCTTCTGACCATTGTTAATGGGATGCTCTGGTTTCTTGTTGTTTAGTTCTAGCTGTTCTTTCTCTATGATGGATATCAGCCCCTTTCCAGATGTATGATTTGCAAATACTTTTCCTCATCCATGGGTTATGTTTTCACTCAGTTCACGGTGTTTTTTGATGCACAAAAGTGTCTGTCATTTAGACGTAATCCAAGGAATCTAATTTTCTTTTGTTGCCTATGCTTTTGATGTCATATACCAGAAAGCATTGCCCTATCTGATGACATGGAAATGTGGCCAATGTTTTCTTTTAGGCATATTATACTTTTAGCAGTTGGGTTTAAGGCTTTGATCCAGTTTGTGTTAAGTTTTGTACCGGGTGTGACATAGGGTCCACCTTCATTCTTCTGCATGTGGAAATCAAGTTTCCCCAACACCATTTCTTGAAAAGGCTGCTTTTCCACCAATGAACTTTCTTAGCACTCATGTTAAAAAT
This sequence comes from Homo sapiens, assembly GCF_000001405.40. Taxonomy (NCBI): domain Eukaryota; kingdom Metazoa; phylum Chordata; class Mammalia; order Primates; family Hominidae; genus Homo; species Homo sapiens. The sequence continues at coordinate 75,353,984 of NC_000003.12, forward strand.
CATTTGAACACATAGGTGAGAAGTTATTTCTGGGCTCAAAAACAAACAGACAACAGATAAGGATATAGCATGGGCTGGGCGTGGTTGCTCCTGCCTGTAATCCCAGCTGTTTGGGAGGCCGAGGCGGGCAGATCACCTGAGGTCAGGAGTTCAAGACCAGTCTGACCAACAGGGAGAAACCCCCATCTCTACTACAAATACAGCATTAGCTGGGCGTGCTGGGGCATGCCTGTAATCCCAGCTGCCTGGGAGGTGGAGACAGGAGAATCGCTTGAACCCAGGAGGCAGTGGTTGCAGTGAGCCAAGATGGCACCATTACACTCCAGCCTGGGCAACAAGAGCGAAACTGCATCTCAAAACAGAAAACCAAAACCAAAAAAACCCAGCATGATTTCAAGAGCAAAAAGAGAATAGCTTAGAAACCAGCATAATGAGAAAGGTAGGAAGCTTCTTACCAAAGCATCTGGAAATACGCAAGAAATTCTTGTGTGCTAAAATTTTCATACTGTGCTGTCAAACACTAGAACTCACTTATTCCATCTTTCTGTATTTTGGGACCCAGTTATCCACTTCTCTTCCTTCCCCATCCCACCCGTTTTCTTCCTAGCATCTGCTAACCACCTTTATACTTTCCACCTTCCTGAGATTCCTTTTGTGTGTAGGTGTATGATGGAGTCTCTTTCTGTTGCCCAGGTTGGAGTATACAGGCACAATCCGGGCTCACTTGAACCTCCACCTCCCAAGTTCAAGCAGTTCTTGGGCCTCAGCCCTCCGAGTAGCTGAGACTACAGGCACGCATCACCAGGCCCGGCTAATTTTTTGTGTTTTCAGTAGAGACGGGGTTTCACCATGTTGGCCAGGCTTGTCTTGAACTCCTGGACTCAAGTGATCCGTGCAATTTGGCCTCCTAAAATGCTGGGATTACAGGCCTGAGCCAATCCACCTGGCCAAGATTTTCTTTCTTGTTCCTGAATATATGTGAGGACATGTAAGATTTGTCATTCTGTGCCTGGCTTATTTCACTTAACTCACAGACCTGCAATCTCATCCATTTGGTCTGCAGTGGAGAGGATTTTATTCCTTTTTAGGCTGAATACTACTTCTTTGTGTGTGTATACCACAGTTTCTTAATTGAACAAATTTCTAGAAAGCAAATATTTTTAAAAAGTCTCGGAATGTGAAACTTTAGAGATACTCTGCCCATTTTATTCTTTTCTATTTCCCATCTTATGTATATGCAAGTGTATAACAAAGCAGCAATCAGTGTGTGTATAAATCTATCACTTCAACAAATGTAAAATGAAAATGCTAAATGGTGGCTGGGCGCGGTTGCTCACGCCTGTAATCCCAGCACTTTGGGAGGTCGAAACCAGCAGATCACCTGAGGTCAGGAGTTCAAGACCAGCCTGAGCAATATGGAGAAACAGTGTCTCTACTAAAAATACAAAACAAAACAAAAATCAGCTGGGCATGGTAGTGCATGCCTATAATCCCAGCTACTTGGAAGGCTGAGACAGGAGAGTCGCTTGAATACGGGAGGCAGAGACGGCAGTGAGCCGAGACCGTGCCATTGCACTCCAGCCTGGGCAACAAGAGTGAAACTTGGTCTCAAAAAAAAAAAAAAAGGAAATAAAAAATAAAATGCTAAATGGTAAGAAAAAACAGCATAATAAACATTTGTATGGTGTTGATGGACAATTCATTGGAAGATAATATTTGAAGAAATCATATTGCAATTAACTTCTGTTCTTACTCATTGGAACTTGATGCCTCTAAAAACATTGGAACCACCTCTAGTGCTTTAAAAAAAAAAAAAAAAAGCCACATACCCACACAGGCCCAAGTAGATCAGAATCTCAGCTAATGAGACCCAGGGCTCATCATTTGTAAGCTCACCAGGTGATTTGACTCAAAGCCAAGATTGAGGATGGGTAACATGGATCTCTACACATAGCCTGCCTAAATAGATTCTCTAGAAGCAGTTTATAAAGAAATTCCACATGAACTCTGGAAGAGGATATGAATTTGATGTACAGTATGTCCTCACTTAACATCTTTGAAAGTCTCTTGGAATCTTCACCTTTAAGCAAAGTTATGGATAGTGAAACCACTTATTCCTCATCAACATTATAACTAGACAACTTTGAACGCACCAATGGTGTTGGAGGACCTGCTGTGCATTGTTTCCATAAAGTCAGTTTTCAGGGAATTCCAAAGTGAAGTGAGGACTTCGTGTATATAAGTGATGGTTGTGATTCCACCTAGATGACAGGCTTATTGCTCAGAAACTAAAGGAGGCCGCCTAGGTATAGAGGACTCAGTCAAGAGGTTTCTGCTAAACAAAGGATTCCAGAATACTCACCCATTCCAGTTAAAGGCATAACGAAGAAAGCAATATTCACATAGCAAATGTGGAAAGGAATAAAAGCCATCAAGCAACAAAAAAAATGTGACTAAGGGGCAGGATTTGCAGATGTAGGGATTTAATGTGGTTGCCCTTTCTTACAGACACAAGAAAAAGGATGGAAGAGATCATGAGATTCAACTGTTGTGCTGCGCAGCCTCCACGGGGCACTTTGAATGTCCCTGTTTCTCAGGCTGTAGATGAAAGGGTTCAGCATGGGGGTGACCACAGTGTACATCACTGAAGCCACCACACCATTGCCGGAAGGTGGTGACACAGCTGAAGTCAGGTACACGCCAATGCCTGCTCCGTAAAATAAGCAAAAAACTGCCAGGTGAGAGCCACAGGTGGAGAAGGCTTTATACTTCACATCTGACAATGACATCCTTAGAATGGAGGGGACAATTTTATAGTAAGACAAAAGGATCCCTGAAATGGGAAGAAAACCAAACATAGTACTATCTAAATATATGAATATGATATTGATGACGCTGTCAGAACAGGCAAGGTTGAGAAGTTGAGATGGCTCACAGACAAAATTAGAGATTTCCACATTCTTGAAGAAGGTGAATTGTAACACAATCCATCTATGCAGCTGGGAATCCAACAGGCTAAGGAAAAAGGACACCAAAACTAAGAAGACACAGAAGTGAGGATTCACGATGACTGGGTAGTGCAGGGGGTGACAGATGGCCAAAAATTGGTCATAGGACATCACAGTCAGGAGCATGTCTTCTATACATGCAAAAAAGACCAAGAAAGACATCTGTGTCAGGCAGCCCGCATAAGAGATGACTCTGCTATGCGACTGCATGTCCACAATCATCTTGGGAACCGTGGCCGAGGTGAAACCGATGTCAACCCAGCGCAGGTTGGAGAGGACGAAGTACATGGAGGTGTGGAGGTGGGAGTCAGAGCTGACAGCCAGGATGATGAGCAGGTTCCTCAGCACCGTGACCAGGTACATGGACAGGGTCAGCCCAGCGAGGACGGGCTGCAGTTCTGGATCCTCTGAGATTCCCAGGAGGAGGAATTCTCAGACACCCGTGAGATTCCGTGGCTCTGTGTGACTTGGACGCCTTGAGAAGAAAAGAGGATTGGAAAAATAAAAGATAAAAACCAGCGCTTAATGCTGTGTGTATATTTTGGATGCAAGCAATTCACAAGGAACATTTTCACACTTGAGGGCCATACACCATCAGCAATATTTCTCAGTTGTGACAAACCCAAAAATCTCAGAATTATTACATGATTTACCTTTTTGCTCTTCAACTCTTTCTGTACATACTACTTTAGAGAAAATCCACTGAAGAATGTTAGAAGACCAAAACGTAACATATAACAAATCCATGATCTCAGTAAAACATGGCCTACTCTTTTCAGAGAAAATAAAATGCAATAAACATATTCTTCTCTCTTCAAGAAAAAGATCTCAGTCTAATTGAAAGAAATTAAGAAGCAGTGGAATATACTCTATTTCATTCTGACACGATGCTACAAATTCCTTTGATGTAGAATATTTAAAAGGACGATACAAGAGCTAGGACCGCATTATCTAAAAATGAAATCAAACCTTAGAGTTCTTAATTGGAAGACCCTTTAACATTCCAGTTACTTTTCATATTTATTATCATCCTTAGGTTTTCTGACATCATTTCTTCATAAAGGTACATGCACACTCAAATATGGGAGCTGTGTTTCTAAATGAATTGAATATGTAACTCTTGTCCGAGCATGATGGCTCACACCTGTAATCCCAGCACTTTGGGAGGCTGAGGCTGATTTATCACCTGAGGTCAGGGGTTCCAGACCACCCTGGCCAACGTGGTGAAACCCGGTCTCTAGTGAAAATAGAAAAAATTAGCTGGGCGTGGTGGCGGGTAACCCTAGCTACTCGGGAGGCTGAAGCAGGCGAATCCCTTAGAACATGGAAGGCAGAGATTGTACACCCTGTGATATGATTTTTGATATCCTAGGAAGATATTGCTCCTGACATCAGAGTGGGCCTACACCCTGTGATATTATTTGTAATATCCTAGAAAGATATTGCCCCTAATATCACAGTGGCTGTACACCCTGTGATCTTAATTGTAATATCCTACAGAGATATCACTCCTAATAATACAGTGAGTGTACACCCTGTGATATTATTCATAATATATGATGGAGATAGGACTCCTGATATCACAGTGAGTGTGCACCATGTTTGTACACCCTGTGATATTATTTGTAACAACGTAGACAAATATTATAGCTAATATCAACGTGGGTGTACACCCTGTGATGTTATTTGTTATGCACTAGCTAGATATTACTCCTAACTTCACAGTGAGTGTACATCATGTGTGTACACACTGTGAAATTATTTGTAATACCCTAGGAAGATATTACTCCTTGTATCACAGTGGGTGTACTCCATGGGATATTATTTGTAATCATCTAGGGATTTATGATTCCTTATATGACAGTGGGTGTACACTCTGTGATGTTATTTGTGATGTCCTAGGAAGATATTACTCCTAATAGCAAAGCGGATGTACACCATGTACATCATAGTATCCCAGAGAGATATTTCTCCTAATATCACAGTGGGTGTACACTCTGTGATATTATTTGTACTATCCTAGAGAGATATTGCTCCCAGTATCACAGTGGGTGTACACCCTGTGATATTATTCATAATATCTAGAGAGATATTACCTCTAATATCACAGTTTCTGTACACCCTGTTGTATTATTCATAATATCCTAGGGAGTTATTATCCCTAACATCACAGAGCATGTACACCATGGGTGGACACCCTGTGATGTTATTGGTAATATCCTAGGGGGATATTACCCTTAATGTCACAGTGGGTGTTCACCATGTGTGTACACACTGAGATGTTACCCGTAATATCTAGGGAGAAATTACAGTGGGTGTGCACCATGTGTTTCTATTCTGTGATGCTATTGGTAATATCTTAGAAAGTTATGAGCCCTAGTGCCACAGTGGGTGTATACCATGTGTGTCCACTCTGTGATGTTATTGGTATTGTCTAGGGAGATAGTTCTCATAATATCACCGTGGGTGTACATCATGTATGTACTCCCTGTGGTCTTATTGATTATGTCCTAGGTTGATAGTACTCCTAATATCACCGTGGGCGCACACCATGTGTGTACATTCTGTGATGGTATTCGTAATATCCTAGGGAGATATCACTCCTGATGACATAGTGGGTGTACAGCCTTGTGATATTCTTGGTAGTATCCTTGGGAAGTATTACTCGTGTTATCACAGTGAGTGTACACCCTGTGATAGTAGTTGTAATATCCTAGGGAAATATCATTGTATACCCTGTGATATTGTTTGGGACATTTGAGAGAGCTATTTCTCTTAAAGTCAGAGTGGGTGTACATCCTGTAATATTCTTCCTAATATCACAGTGGGTGTACACCGTGAGTGATATTTTTTTCTAATATCCAGCGGGGGAGAGGATGATATTGCTTCCAATATCACGGAAGGTGTACACCCCCCTGTGATATTGTTCCTAATATCCAGGGAAGGAGAGGATGACATTATTCCCAATATCACTGGGGGTGTACCACCTCCCGCCGGGATATTGTTCTTAATATCCGGAGGTGGAGAGAATGATGTTACTCCCAATATCACAGGGGGTGTGCACCACCCCTGTTTGTAAACACCCCCTGTGATATTGTTCCAAATGGCCTGTGAAAGAGTAAATATGACTCCCATTACCGCGGGGGGTGTTCAGCCCTGACGATATTGTTTTCTAACATCCAGGGAAGGAGAGTATGCTATTACTCCCAATATCGCAGGGGTTGTACACCCTTTTGTGTTTTTGTGCCCAATATCCAGGAAAATAGAGGATGATAGTACTCTCAATATCGAAGTAATTGTACAGCACCCCTGTGATATTCTTCCTAATATCCAGAAAGGAAAAGAATGAAATTACTCCCAACAGCATAGGAAATGTATACCCACACTGTGATATCTTTCCCAATATCCAGGTGGGGAGAGGATCATATTACTTCCAATGTCGCAGGGTGTGTACACCCCCTCTGTGATCTCATTGCTAACATCCAGGTTTGGGGAGGACGACATTACTCCCAATATCACAGGGGGAGTACACCCCCCCGTGACCTTGTTAGTCATTTCCTGGGTGGAGAGGATGATCTTACTCCCAATATCGCAGGAGGTGTACACACCCCTGTGAAAATCTTCCTCATATTCAGAGGGAGAGAGGATGATATTACTCCCAGTACCGCAGGGGGTTTACACAGCCCTGTGATACTCTTCCTAATATCCACAGGGAGAGAGGATGATATGACTCCCAATATCGCAGGGAGTGTACACAACCCTGTGATATTGCTCCTAATATCCAGAGTGAAAGAGGATGATATGACTTTCAATATCGCAGGGGGTGTACACCCCTCCTGTCCTATTGTTCTGAATACCCTGGGAGGGAGAGGATAAGCTTACGTTGAATATCGCAGGGAATGTACGCCCTCCCCCTCTGATACCCTTCCTAATGTCCAGGGGAAGAAAGGAAAATTTTATTCCCAACATCGCAGAGGCAGTATACCCCACCTGTGATGTTGTTCCCAATATGCAAGGGGGGAGAGGATGATACTACTCTCAATACCGCAGAGCTGTTCACATCCCCAGTGACATTTTTCCTAATATCTAGGGGAGAGACAATTATATGACAGCAAAGGTCGCAGGGTCTGTACATCCCTTCCTGATATTGTTCCTAATATCCAGATGGGAAGAGGATGATATCAAATATGAAAGGGAGTGTACACCCCCCACCCCTACGATGTTGTTCTTAATATTCGTGAGGGGAGACGATGATATTACTCCAAATATCGCAGGGGTTGTTGACACCCCTCTGTGATATTGTTTCCGATATCCGGGGGGGGGAAGAAAATCATATTACTTCCAATATTGCAGGTGGTGTATACCCCAGCTGAAATATGGCACCGAATATCCAAAGAGGGAGAGGATGGTATTAATACCAATATCGAAGTGTGTGTACACGCCCCTTGTGATATGGTTTTTAATATCCAGTGGGCGGGAGGATATTAGTCCCAACATCCCAGAGGGTGTACACTACCCCTGTGATATTGTCCCTAACTTCCAGAGGGGAGAGGATGATATCACTCCCAATATCTCAGAAGTTGTACATCCCCCATGATCCTGTTCGTCATATCCAGGGAGGCACAGGATGACATTCCATTGAATTTCGCGACAGGCGTACACACACAGTGTGATATTGTTCCTAATATCCAAGAAGGGAGAGGATGATATTACTCCCAATAAAGCAGTGGGTGTACATCACCCCTGTGTTATTGTCTCTAATATCCGGGGCCGGGGGAGGTGGGGAGAGGATAACATTCCCTCAAATTTAGCAGGTGGTTTGACGCCCCTTGTGGTGTTGTTTTCAATATCCAGCGGGGAAGACAATAGTACTATTTTTGATAGTCTGATTCATCCGCTCCACCTTTCCGGAACTCTGAGGCCGGGAGGCGGCATGCAGTTTCCCTGTGATCCCCAATACCTTTGCCGTCTTCTGTACCAAGGCAGCCAAAAACGCAGGCCCATTGTCTGAGCCAATCCGTAAGGGCGTCGAAATCTAGGAATCAGATCTCGAAGAAGCACAGAGGTTACTTCACGAGCTTTCTCAGTTCGTTCTGGATAGGCCTCCACCCACCCAGAGTAGGTACGCCCAAGAACTAGTACATACTTATTACCTCCACACTTTGGCATCTCTGTGAAGTCCACCTGGAGACCTTCAAAGAGGGCTGCTCCATAAGCTCGTATGCCGGGCGGAACAGCTGGACCTTGCCTCACATCATGCTGTCGGCAGGTAACACACCGCTGCCTCACCGTTTTGGCAAGGGCTGAGAAACTCGAGATGTAGAAATACCGGCCTAACAACTTTTCCAATGACTGTTGACCTCGATGGGTGGTTTCTTGCACAGCCAGTACAACTGCAGCTCCTAGCAGCTGTGGCACAGCTACTCTCCCATCTGGTAACCGAATCCATCCTTCCTTCATCACTTGTCCTTCCCTCTACCTGGAGAAAGTCCTTTTCTTCTTTAGAAGAAGCAGGTCCAAGATCAGGTGCTTGAGGGAGCACTGATGCCCAGAAGGGGGCAGATGCTGCTTTTTGAGCCTCTGAGTCAGCGCGGGGATTCCCCAAACCCAGCAAGGTGGAAGCTCGCTGGTGTCCTCTGCAATGCGTAACTGCCACCTTGTGGGGTTTCCATACTGCTTCTAATCATTGCAAGATTTCTTGTTGATATTTTCTGTCCTTTCCCCCAGAGTTCAATAGGACCTTTTCTTTCTATCATGCTCCATGCACTTGAAGGGTTAAAAAGACATACCGAGAATCAGTGTAAATGTTGACAGTCTCACCCTCACTGAGTTCTAAGGCCCGAATGAAAGCAATGAGTTCAGCTTTCTGGGCTGAAGTGGCCTGGGGCAACGATCTGGTTTCAACAACAGTGTCCAGGGTTCCCACTGCATACCCTGCACCTCTCTCTCCTTGGGGGTTGAAGAAGCTGCTCCCATCCACGTATAGTTCCCAGTCTACTGATGCCCAAGCCTGGTCCCGGAGGTCAGGTCTGCTAGAGTCAATTGAGTCCAACACTTCTACACAATCAGGTTCGACAGGGCTCTCTGATACCGGGAGCAAGGTGGCGGGGTGTAGGGTGTTGCAAACTTCAATGGTTATACGGGGATTTTCGCAGAGCAGTTTGGTACTTGGTGAGTCTGGCATTCGTTAGCCAATGATGTCCTTTAGTATTCATTAAAGTCACCACAGCACGGGAGGACTTTATGTCCAGGTTTTGACCAAGAGTCAGCTTATTTGCTTCTTGTACTGGCAGGGCAGTTGCTGCCAAGGCCCTCAAACAGGGGGACAATCCTTTAGAAACCCCGTCTAGTTGTTTAGAGAGGTAGGCCACCGGCCTCGGCCAGGGCCCCACAGTTTGGGTTCAAAGTCCAGCTGCCATCTTTTCTCTCTCTGATGCATACAATGGAAAAGGCTTTGTCAGATCGGGTAGCCCCAGGGCTGGGGCTGCCAGAAGTTTTTCCTTTAACTCACGAAAGACTTGCTGTTGTTGGGATCCGCATTCCAAAGGTTTCCGGTCCCTGCACCCTTGTGACCTCCTACAAAGGCTTGGCTAATACTGCAAAGTTTGGGATCCACAGTCTACAAAACCCCACAGCTCCTAAGAATTCTCTCACCTGCCTTCTGCTCTTAGGCTCCGCTAGATTGCAAATGACCTGCTTTCATTCTGATCCCGGGCTGCGTTCCGACCCCTGTCGGATAGTAAATCCCAAGTAACGTACCTGCTGTCGGCAAATCTGAGCTTTCTTCTTGGACACCTTCTACCCACCGTCCTCCAGGTGCTGGTGTAGGGCATCTGTTCCCTTGGCACACCCGAATGCCGTGGGGTGTCCCAGCAGAAGGTCATCAACCTACTGGAGCAACACGCAGCCTAGGCCTCTGCTGGGAAAATTCTGGAGGTCTCGAGCCCACGCCTCCCCGAAGATGGTGGGGAAGTTCTTGAACCCTTGGGGAAGCCCGGTCCAAGTGTACTGAGTAGTGACACCTGACTCCGGATCTTCCCACTGAAAGGCAAACAGCTTCTGCCTCTCAGGGGCTAATCTGATAGGAAAGAAAGCGTCTTTCAGGTCCAAGCAGGTGAACCAGCTGTTCTCAGCTGGCGGCAACCCCAACAATGTGGACGGGTTAGGTACTGTTGGATGTAAAGTCAGTGTAGCTTGAAGAAGAAAGCGCAAATCCTGTACCGGCCGGTAGTCCTTGGTCTGTGGCTTGGGAACAGGCAGGAGGGGAGTGTTCCATGGACACTGACAAGGAACAATAATTCCATAAGTTCTTAGGTGCTTGAGACAGACCTGGATACCTTGAAGGGCTTCTCTGGGGACCGGCTCCTGTTTTTGCCTCACCGGCTGGGCCCCAGTCTTAACTGGCCAATCCTGGAAGGTTGTCTTCTGCCCGTACTTTTGGCCACGGCTTAGCCAGAGCTGGTCTTCTCTCTTGGCCCGGCTCATTTAAGAAAAGTCTCCATTCCTCCTCTCAGGGGACCATAAGGGTCATAATGACTCCCGTTCCGGGTAACTTTAGCAGAGAAGAGCCATTCTCTGTCAAAGAGATAGTGGCTCCCAGCTTGCTGAGCAAGTCCCTTCCCAAAAAGGTCAAGGGACAGTCAGGCATGTACCAAAACTGATGAATGACTTTATGTCCTCCTACAGTACAAGTCCGAGGCAAGCAGAAAGCTTGCCTTGCTGAAACCCCTGTGGCTCCAATGACGTCAATAGTCTTTTTGGATAAGAGGGCGACTGGGGCTGTTACTAGCGACTGTTGCGCACCGCTATCTACAAGAAAGTCAATGTCTCCACCCCCGACTGTCATTCTGACCAGAGGCTCTTTGGGGACGCTTGAGCCCAGTCTCCCTCAGTCCAAGAACCCTTCTGCAGGTTGAGCAGGGCCCCTTCCTCCTTGTCCGGGGCCTCCTGCTCTGAGTCACCTTGTTTTCTTTTGAGCTGAGGGCATTTGTTCTTCCACTGTCCTATTTCTTTACCATGAGCACACTGGTTACGCTGCAAACTCTGACAGCCAAGCTGAGTTTCTTTCCCAGGGCCCCCCTTCCCTTGCCTCTTTGGGGAGGCCCCTCTGATTGCTGCAGCTGACAAACAGGTCGGCGTGTCGCCGGGCCTGACCTCCATTCTCTTTGCCGTTTTCCTTACGGCTTACTGCATCCCTGTTTACAAACACCTGGCTAGCTATTTCTAGTAATTGTGATGTATTCATCCCTGCAAGCCCAGCCTGTTTCTGCAGTTTTCTTCTCATGTCTTCTGCGCTTTGACGGACTAAAGCCATGTGAATCATGCGCTGATTTTCAGGGTTATCGGGATCAAAGAGAGTATACATACGATAGGCCTCCCACAGTCTCTCGTACAATTGTGCTGGACTTTCTTCTTTTCCCTGAATGACCTCAGAGAGCTTGTTAATGTTTGTGGCCTTCTGAGCTCCACTCGTTAATCCTTCCAAGAGAGCTTCCCTGTCTCGGTTTAGCCTTTCCATATCCTCTCTTTCATGTGGGTCCAACTGGGCGTCGGTTCCTGGCCACTGAGTCCTTCCATACTCTTGGGGGTTTTGATAATCAGCTGGTGCATATTCCTCTGGCCACTTAGTTGCTGCTTGGAGGACTCTCCGCCTTTCTTCGCTGTTAAAGAGGAACATGAGCAACTGGTGCCAATCAGCCCAGGTGGGGTTGTGGGTCTGGATAATAGCTTGGAGCAAATCAATTAGGGCTTGTGGCTTTTCGGTATAGGGCGGTGTATTGTTTTTCCAGTTGAGAAGGTTGACGCAGGTGAAGGGCTGGTAACAAAAAACACGCCTCTCCACCACGTGACCATCCTCATCTATCCCAGTCTACCGCTGCTCTCTCAGGGGCATTTGTGTCCCTGTTTTGGGTCATAAACGAGCTGCCGAGGGAGGGGTGCAATGGAGCAATGCGACTTACCGCAATTAATAATCTCAATTATCAATTGACACTAATAATTATCAATATTAATAACCCATAATATAATTTTTAAAATCAATACTGATAATAATGATAATTAATATTAGTTATACTAACGATAAGAATACATGATTAATATTAATGATTAATGAAGCCTGATATTAATAACTGATATTGATCTTATTCATTAGAAAACAGTAATATTAGCTCCTAATAATTAATATTAATAATAATCTGAAAACTTTTTATTAGCAATTATTTCTTAATATTAATATTAATATCAGTCATTCATATTCATGTTAATAATAAATGAGGAATAATTCATACTAATATTATGCCCTAATACCTCAGTGGGTGTACACCCACGTGTGATATTGCTCCTAATGTCCAGGGAGGGAGAGAGCATGATATTACGTTCAATATCGCAGTAGGTGTACACACAGGCGGTGATATTGATCCGAATATAATCTCCAGGGGTTGGAGTATGACGTTACTCCCAATATAACACTGGGTGTGCATCCATCCGGTGATTTTGCTCCTAATATTCACGGAAGAAGAGAATGCTATTACTCCCAACATCGCAGGAAGTGTACACCCCCTTGTGAGGTGGTCCTTAAAAATATTCCAAGACGGAGGGGTTGATATGACTACATATATGGCAGAAAGTGGACACCCCCAAGGATATTGTTCCCATGATCCTGGAGGGAAGAGGATAATATTACTTTCAATATCACACAAGGTGGACATGCCCCCAGTGATATTGTTTCCAATTGCAACATGGGAGAGGAGGACATGACACCCGATATCCCAGAGAGTAGAAACAGCCCTGTGATACTGTTCCTAATATTCAGGGAGGAAAATGATGATATGACTCCCCATACAGACGGGTGTACAACTTCTGTACACCCAGGTTGTACACCGGTCTGTGAAACAGTTCATAATCTCCAGAGGGGGAGATGATATTACTCACAATATGATAAACAGGCTGTGAGTCCACCGCGGATCCTAAGAGCCAGGGGGGCAAGAGGGGCTGGCTCTTTCTTACTCCCGGCATCTCGGGGGGCGCCTCGCCCCACTGTGATGTGGGTCCTACGAGCCAGGGGAGCAAGAGGGGCTGGCTATTTCTTACTCCCCTCATCGCGGGGGCTGCCTCGCCCCCCTGCGATGGGGGTCCTAAGAGCCAGGGGGGCAAGAGGGGGTGATATTACTCCCCTTCTCCTAGTATGTTTTCTGTACTGCCACACTTGGTTAACACCCTGGGACATTATTTTCCATATTCTAGGAAGGTGTCACTGTGTAAGTCCCCGCGGGTATACACCCTGTGATATTATTCGTGATATTGTAGCGAAATGTGAATCCTGATGTCACAAGTCTCTACACACTCTGATATTGTTCGCAATACCCTAGCGGGACGTTAATAATAATGTCACAATGTGTGTACAGCTTGTGCTATTATTCTTAATCTCATAAGGGGAGGTTGATTTTATTGTCACACGGAATATTTTCCCTTAGGTATGATTCGGAATATCCTGGAGGGATGTCACTCCTTATGTCACAGGGTTTGTACACCTTGTCAAATTACTCATATTACCCTTATAAGATGTCACTCCTCATATCACCGAGGGTGTACACTCTGTGATATTATCGTCATATTCTAGGGAAATGTTACTTTTAATGTCACAGATGTTGCACACCTTGTGAAATTTTTCGTTATAGTTTTGTGTGATGTGACTCCTAACGTCACACGGGGTGTACACACAGTGATATTATGTGTAATCTTCTATAGAAATGTTACTCGTAAATCACAGGTCCTGTACACACTTTAGTATTCTTCATCATATTCTAGGAAAACGTGACTACTAATGTCACAGGGCGTGTAGACCCTGTCATAAAATTCATAATATCCCAGCGGGAGTTCACTACTAATTTCACAATGCATGTACACCCTTTGATACTGTTCGTATTATCCTAAAGAGATGTGACTACTGATGTCCCAATGCATGTACATTCTCTGATATTATTTGTTATATCCTCAGGGGATGTGACTTCTAATGTCACAGGGTGTGTACTCCCTGTGTTCTATTTCATAATATCCTAGGGCAATTGTACTGTTAATGACACAGGGGGTGTACACATTGTGATATTATTCATTATATTCTAGAAGGATTTTACTCCTAATGTCACAGGGGTGTACACCCTGTGGTAGTATTCATAATTTCCCAGAGGTCTATACTCCTAATGTCACAGAAGATAACACCCTGTGACATTATTCGTAATATTCTGGTGAGATGATTCTCCTAATATCACAGGGGGTGTACACCCTGTGATAGTATTCTTACTATTCTAGGGAGATGTCACTCTTAATGTCACAGGTGTGTTCCTTCTGTGATATTATTGCAAATATGCTAGCTGGATATTACTACTAATGTCACAATGCGTGTACACCTTGTGATATTATGAGTAATATTCTGGGGGGATGTTACCCCTAACGTTACAGGGGTGTACACTGTATGATATTGCTCCCAATATTGTAAGGGGATGTTACCCCTAATGTCACAGGGGGTCTACAGCCTTCGATATTATTTGTAATCTTATAGAGAGATATTACTTTAATGATCACAGTGGGTGTACACACATGGGCTACACCCACTGGGATATTATTTGTAATATATTAGGGAGATATAACTCCTAATATCACAGTGGGTGTACCCCATGTGTGTGCACCCTGTGATATTATTTGTAATATCCATGGTAAACATTACTTCTAGTATCCCACAGAGGGTACACCATATGATATTTTTCATAATATCATAGGGAGATATTGCTTCTAATAACACAGTAGTTTTACACCACGTGTGTACACTCTGTGATGTGATAACTTATATCCTAGGGAGATATTCCTTCTAATATCACAGTGAGTGTACACCCTGTGATATCATTAGTAATCTCCTAGAAAGATGTTGCTGCTAATATCACAGAGAGTGTGCCCCCAGTGACATCATTCGAAATATCCTAGGGAGATGTTACTCGTAATGTCACAGGGGTTGTACACCCTGTTATATTATTGTAATATTCTAGGGGGGTGTTACTTTTAAAGTCACAGGGGTGTACACCCTGTGATGTTATTCGTAATATCCTAGGAAGGGGTTACTCCTAATATCACATGGGTTATCCTAGGAAGAGGTTACTCCTAATATCGCACTCCTAATATCACACCCTGTGATAGCATTCGGAATATCCAAAAGGGATGTTACTTTTAATGTCACATGGGGTGTACACCCTTTGATAATATTCGTAAGATCCTAGGGATATATGACTTCAAATATCACATTGGGTGTACACCCATGGTGTACACATTGTGTGTGAACACCTCCTGTGATATTATCCATAATATCCTAGGAAAATGGGACTCCTAATATCACGGTCAGTGGACACCCTGTGATATTATTGGTAATATCCTAAAGAGATGTTACCACTAAGGTCACAATGTATGTACGCCCCCTGATATTATTCGTTATATCCTCGGGGGATGTTACTCCTAATGTCACATTGGGTGTACTCCCTGTGATATTATTCATAATATCCTAGGGAGATGTTACTTTCAATGTCACCGGGGGTCTATATCATGCGTATTCAATGCCTGTGTTACTATTCCTAATATCCTAGGGGCAGGCTACTTTCAATGTCACCGGGGGTCTATATCATGCGTATTCAACGCCTGTGTTACTATTCCTAATATCCTAGGGGCATGTTCCTCCTAATGTCTCAGGTGGTGAACACCATATGTGTACACCTGCTGTGATATTATTCGTAATATCCTAGGGGAATATTACTCCTGATGGCACAGGAGATGTACACCATGTGTGTCAACCGCCTGTGTCATTATTCGTAATATCCTAGGGGGATGTTTCCTTGAATGGCACAAAGTGTGCACAAAAGGTCACAGAAGGTGTACACATTGTGATGTTATCTACAATACCCTAGAAGGATGTTACTCCTAATATGTCACAGGGGTGTACACACTTTGATATTATTTGTAATCTCGTAGAGAGATATGACTTCAAATATCACAGTGGATGTTCACACATAGTGTATACCCTGTGATATTATTCATAATATCCTAGGGAGATGCAACTCCTGATATCACAGTGCGTGTAGCCGGTGTGTGTACACCCTTGATATGAGTCGTGATATCCAGGGTAAATATGACTCCTCATATCACACAGTGTGCACACCCTGTGATATTTTTCTTAATATTTAAGGAAGATAGTGCTTCTAATATCACCGTGGGTGTACCCCATGTGTGTGTACTCTGTGACAGTATTTTTTATATCCTAGGGAGGTATTACTCGTAATGTCACAGTGGGTGCTCACCCTGTGATATCATTCTTATTTGACCTTGCTGCCTTTTTTAACCCACACTACAAAAGGAATGGAACAGATAAGAAGATATTGAGATTAGACTGTGCTGCCGTGCGGCTGCCGCAGGACACTTTTAATATCCCCGTTTCTCAGGCTGTAGATGAAGGGGTTCAGCATGGGGGTGACCACCGTGTACATCACTGAGGCCACTGCACCCTTTCTCGGGGAAGATGACACATCTGAACTGAGGTACCCTCCAAAGCCTGTTCCATAAAATCAGTAAACAACTGACAGATGAGACCCACAGGCGGAGAAGGTTTATACTTCCCACCTGATGATGAAACCCTCAGAATGAAGGAAACAATTTTATAGTAAGAGAAAAGCGTCCCCGAGATGGGAAGAAAACCAAATATGGCAGCAGGGAAATACAGGTTGATGTTCCTGGTGAAGATGTCACAACATGCAAGATGGGGGAGTTGAGAAGGTTCCCAGAAGAAATTAGGAATTTCCACATCCTTGAAGCAGGTCGTTTGTAAGGCAATCAAGTTGTGCAGCTGGGAGTCTAAAAGACTGAGAAAAAAAAAAAAAAAAAACAAGGACAACGAATCTAGGAAGCCACAGAAACAGGGGTTTAAGATGGCTGAACGATATAGAGGGTGACAGATGGCTACAAACCGGTCATAGGCCACCACACTCAGGAACATGTCTCTCTTCCATGTCTCCAAAAATGGCAAAGAGAGACATCTGAGTCAGGCAGCCTGCATAGGAGATGACTCTGCTGTGAGACTGGATGTCCACAATCATCTTGGGGACTGTGGTGGAGGTGAAACCGATGTCAGGAAAGGACAGGTTGGAGAGGAAGAAGTACATGGGGGTGTGGAGGTGGGAGTCAGGGCTGATGGCCAGGATGATGAGCAGGTTCCTGAGCACCGTGACCAGGCACATGGACAGGAACAGCCCAGCGA
Source organism: Homo sapiens (assembly GCF_000001405.40). Taxonomy (NCBI): domain Eukaryota; kingdom Metazoa; phylum Chordata; class Mammalia; order Primates; family Hominidae; genus Homo; species Homo sapiens. The sequence goes on from NC_000003.12 coordinate 75,371,279, forward strand.
GGACCGGCTGCAGTTCTGGATCCTCTGAGAGTTCGAGGAGGAGGAATATAGAGACATCTGTTAGACTCTGTGGGTCTGTATCGTTTGGATACAACCCTCTTTTGCCTGGAAAAGAGGGTTGAAAAATCGGAAACAAGTAAACCAATACCCAGCATTGTGTCTGCATTTTGGATAGACGCAATTCACAAGTAATGTTTTCAGATTTCAGAGCAACCCACACTCAGTAATATTTGTAGTTCTGACAAACTCAATTGCCTTATAATGCTTTCAACATTGATTGCTGTGTTATTCACGTCTTGCTGTACACACCTGCCTTAGAGACACTAGATTCAAGAACGTTCCAAAACCAGATCATCATATATAACAAATTCGTAATTGCTAGAAAATACAGCCTATCTTTTCCGAAGGAAAAGATGTAATAAAACCATTGTCCTCACTTTAAGAAAAAGGTTATCCTAATTAAAGGAAATTAAGAACTCAAATACTTTATTTATTCTACTAGATTGATACAAATTCCCTTGATTTAGAACATTTGTAAACGCTGTATAACAGCTGAGACCATGCCATCTGGAAATGAAATGAAAGTTGATAGTTCATAAGCAGAAAATAGTTCCACATGCCAGTTAGGTCCTAGTGATTTCATCATTCTGTTTTCGGACTTTTCTCCTTCGAGAGAGTAATTGCTTACTCAAATCGATGGGTCTTGTTTTAAAATTCATGGAAGCTATAACTCCTGTCCTTAGCTTCAGTGGACTTAAAGTTTTCATCAGAACGTTTGGCCGGACGTGGTGGCTCATGCCTGTAATCCCAGCACTTTGGGAGGCCGAGGAGGGCAGATCACAGGGTCAGGAGATCAAGACCATCCTGGCCAACATGGTGAAACCCCTCCTCTACTAAAAATACAAAACCTTCGCCCGGTATGGTGGCGCATGCCTGTAGTCCCAGCTACTCGGGAGGCTGAGGCAGGAGAACGGCTTGAACCTGGGAGGCAGAGACTACAGTGAGCCGAAATCACACCACTGCACGCCAGCCTGGGCAACCAGAGCAAAACTCTGTCTCAAAAAACAAAAAACAAAAAGAATCAAGTAAGTCAAAGTCACGCTGATGACAGCCAATTTTGGTGAACAAGGAAGTGTCAATTCAATCATTAACATAGATTTTGACTTTTGCTGTCTCCTAGGTGCCAAGCAAGATATAGGCTCTGGGGAATCAGAAACAAAAGAGACTCACTTGTTCCTCTCACAGTACTCAGTCCTTGCTGGGAGAAGGGCAAAACAAAATGTCCTGTCTGGAATGCAGGGAAAGCAGAACTTCAGGTCAGGGGATATTTCCGTTGAATTGTTTGGAGTTGAAGCTGAAAATCTTAAGGAATGTATCTAAAATTCACTTTACCTTTACTTTATGCGTCCGTCACCTAGAGATCACGCAGCGGGCACCCACGATCGGCTTAATCATCACTCACTTCCATCGGATCAACTGGAAATCAAGTCAGATGAGAGTGCTGAGTCTCAGAGGATGGACTTCTCACCCCTTGCCATACAGAGAAGTAGAAAGGGTGGTATTCAAAATTCATGGCCAGACTCGAAGTCCCGGGTACTATACTTCCTGGTCTTCCGACTCTCAAAAAGTTGTGGGTTTTTTTGGTTTTGGTTTTGGTTTTTGTTGTTTTGAGACGGAGTATCGTTCTGTTGCCCAGACTGGAGTGCAGTGGAGTGATCTCGGCTCACTGCAACCTCTGCATCCCAGGTTCAAGCTATTCTCCTGCCTCAGCCTGCCAAGTAGCTGAGATGAGAGATGCCCGCCACTACGCCTGGCTCATTTTTTCTATTTTGAGTAGACACGTGGTTTCACTATGTTGGTCAGGCTGGTCTCGAAATCCTGACCTTGTGATTCGCGTGCCTCAGCCTCCCAAAGGGCTGGGATTACACGCGTGAGCCACCGCGCCCAGCTTCAAAAAGTTTTAAGCAGAGCTCAGAGGTCTTAACCACAGGCACATCAGAGGAGCATTTTTGAAATGCTTTCCAGCTTCCTCAATAGGAATGGAAGCCAAACTCCGAATTGATGACTCCTTTGAGGAAGTCGAGAGCTGTAAGGAAAGCCAGGAACAGGGGCAAGGGAGAGATGCGTCCCAAATGATCCTGTGCCAATTCTTTCTGGAATCCTCGATGTGATCTCAGCTGTCCTTTCTATACTTGACACAGTGATTGTAGCACCCACTTGTCTAGCTGTGGTCTACAAGGAACCCCCAAAGGGAAGGGCACAGTGAGCAGGGGCATCCGCCTGAGTGGCGAGGATTTGAGAAGGCAGGTTGGTTGCAGGGAGAGGACTGGCCAAATGCCATGTGTCTGGACTTAGACTGCCTGGTTCAAATTGGACTTCACCCTTTTTGACTTCATAATCTAGTACGAGTTCTATGAAAAGGTGTTGCTCCTTTTCTAGTCTGTAAAATCATCGTGAAATGTGCACTAATAACGTGGAGACTACGCAGATGAAATGAAACAAGCTGCATAGAGCACAGAGCTCAGAGCCTGGCCTTTAGGAAGCCCTCAGTAAGGGTTCATGATGCCATGGTGTCTGCCGTCATCCTCTTTATCCTCATCATCACCTTCATAATCTTTTTGTTGTTCTTAGGGAATAGTTTAGAGGGACTGATTCTCTGCTATCATGGGTGAGATGTCTATGAAAAGGACAACCAGTGGGGGAGGAAAGCAAAATTTTGAATAAGATTTCTGAGACCCCCAGCACAACCAAGAACAGAAACTGCACAGTCTGCTGAGCGGACAGTTTGCACATTGGTCTCCTCCCATCTGCCCACCGCACTCTCCTGTTTGTCCTGCGGAGGAGGAAACCAAACAAGGCTCCCGACCGTCCCTCAGCACTCACTTGAAGGGGTGGCCTGCCCCTCCACACCTGTGGGTATTTCTAGTCGGATGGGATGAGAGACTGAGGAAAGAAATAAGACACAGAGACAAAGTATAGAGAAACAACAGTGAGCCCAGGGGACCGGCGCTCAGCATGCCAAGGATCTGCACCGGCACTGGCCTCTTAGTTCCCTCAGTTTTTATTGATTATTATTTTTATTATTTTAGCAAAAAGGAATGTAGTAGGAGGGCAGGGTGATAATAAGGAGAAGGTCAGCAACGAACATGTGAGCAACAGAATCTATGTCATAAAGAAATTCACGGGAAGGTACTATGACTGGACGTGTACATAAGCCAGATTTATGTTTCTCTCCACCCAAACATCTCAGTGGAGTAAAGAATAACAAGGCAGCATTGCTGCAAACATGTCTCACCTCCCACCATAGGGTGGGTTTTTCCCCCATCTCAGAATTGAACAAATGTACAATCGGGTTTTATACTGAGATGTTCAGTTCCCAGGGGCAGGCAGGAGACAGTGGCCTTCCTCTCTCTCAACTGCAAGAGGCTTTCCTCTTTGACTAATCCACCTCAGCACAGACCCTTTACGGGGGTCGGGTGGGGGGACGGTCAGGTCTTTCTCCTCCCACGAGACCACATTTCAGACTATCACATGGGGAGAAACCTTGGACAATACGCCACTTTCAAGGGCAGGGCTCCCTGCGGCTTTCCACAGTGTATTGTGCCCCTGGTTTATTGAGACTGGAGAATGGCGATGACTTTTACCAAGTATACTGCTTGGAAACATCTTGTTAACAAGGCATGTCCTGCACAGCCCTAGATCCCTTAAAACTTGATTTCATACAACACATGTTTTTCTGAGCTTCAGGTTGGGTCAAAGTGGCTGGGGCAAAGCTACAGATGAACAACATCTCAGCAAAGCAATTGTTGAAAGTACAGGTCTTTTTCAAAATGGAGTCTCTTATGTCTTTCCTTTCTACATAGACACAGTAACAGTCTGATCTCTCTTTCTTTTGCCTACACTCACTGAACTGTCCTTCCCCTCTGATGAGCCATGACCACGGAGAGCAGGTCCACTGTCCTCCCTGTGTGGTGCACGATGGATGCTCAGACTCCATCCTCAAGGCTGGCAAGAAGACAGGGTGAGACATGAGACTCCTGATACAGGTGACGGCTGTGGAGCCCACAGGACTGCAACCTCACACTGCAGGACAGGAGGCACAGACTATTTACTGTTCTGTGGCCTGGGGGGCTCAAGGCACAGAGCTCCTCATTAGCCAATGTCACCCAAGTTCCCCAACCTCTAAAGATTTCCTTCTCATCATGCAAGAAGAAGAAGAGAAAAGTGAGTGTCCATAGAAGCTTTGGGGCTCTTCCTCTAATCAGGAGAAAGCTGGTGTGTATTCTTTGTTTCTTTCTTTTCTTTTTAAAGATCCAACTGCTTTAATTTTCATCTTTTATTATGGGGAAATATACCACATATAAATGTTAAAAATTATAAATATATATTAGTTCATATAGAATGGCCAGTATAAACATTTACAGTTTCCACTCTTTTTCAGTTTACAGTTTAATGACATTAAGTACGTTCACATTGTTTAGCAACAATCACCGCCATCATCTCCGGAACGGTTTTATCTTTCAAAATGGAAATTGCAACCATTCACCAAGCTCTCCACTCCTCTCTCTCGCCCACCCCTGAGTGCCACCTTTCTAGTTTGCAACTCTAGGAGTCTAACTACTCTAGACACTTGATAGATAATTGGAATCATACCGTGTTTATTTATTTTTTTGGAGACAGAGTCTTTCTCTGTTGCCCAGGCTGGAGTGCAGTGGCATGATCTCGGCTCACTGCAACCTCCACATCGGGGGTTCAAGCGATTCTTGTGTCTCAGTCTCCCGAGTAGCTGGGATTACAGGCATGCGTTATCACGCCCAGCTAATTTTTGTATTTTTAGTAGAGACGAGCTTTCACCATATTGGCCAGGCTTGTCTCGAACTCCTGAGCTTAAGTGATCCGCCTGCCTCAGCCTCCCAAAATGCTGGGGTTACAGGTGTGAGCACTGAGCCTGGGCATGTTTATCCTTTTGGGATTTATTTATTTCACTGACGATAATGTCTTCAAGGTTCATGCATGTTGCAGCCTGCGTCAGAAGTGCCTGTTTGTTTTTGTTGTTTTTTTCTTGGTTTGGTTTTATTTTGTTTTGTTTTGCGTTTTCATGGAGTCTCACTCTGTTGCACAGGCTGTAGTGCAGTGGCACAATCTGGGCTTACTGCAACCTCTGCCTGCCGGGTTCGAGCGATTCTTGTGCCTCAGCCTCCTGAGTAGCTGAGATTACAGGTGCATGCCACCACACCAGCTAATTTTTGTATTTTTAGGAGAGATGGGGTTTGCCATGTTGGCCAAGCTGGTCTTGAACTCCTGAGCTTAGGTGATCCACCCGCCTCAACTTCCCAAAGTATTAGGATTACAGGCATGAGCGACTGTGCCCAGCCCAAGGATGTGTATATTTTCTATAGACTTTTGATGATAATACTTTGACAGCAAATATATTGTGAGTATATATATATATACATATATATACACATATATATACATATATATACACATATATACACACACACATATATATATAGAGAGAGAGAGTGAGAGAGAGAGCGAGAAAGAGAGAGAGTCTCCCTTTTTCACCCAGACTGGAGTGCAGTGGCACAATCATAGCGTGCTGTGGCCTTGAATTTCTGGGCTCAAACAATCCTCTCACCTCAGCCTCCTGAGTAGCTGGGACTACAAGCATGTACTACCATGACCGGCTAACTTTTTATTATATTTTTTTGTAGAGATGAGGTCTGACTTTTTTGCCCAGGCTGGTCTTAAACTCCTGGCTGAAAGTGATCCTCCTGCCTTGGCCTCCCCAACTACTGGGATTACAGGTGTGAGCCATTGCACCTGGTGTGAAGCTGGGATTGCAGGTGTGAGACATGGCATCTGGTGTGAATATCTCCTGGTAAATACCTTGTACTTTCACTTTCATTAAGATGTCTTTCGACCTCATGAAATTATCTGAAAAACAGAGATGAAACACTGTTCTGCTCCATCTTCCCTGCAGGCACTTGGGCCCCATCCTGCTCTCTTGCCCCCCCTCTTCTAGTGAATGGCCAGATAGGAACTATTGCAGATTTATGGGCCATGTGGTCTCTGTTGCAAATATAACAGCTCTGCTGTTGTAGTGCAAAAGCAACCACAGACCATATGGAAATCATCTTTCCTGCATGGCCTCTATAATCTTTCAGAAATACATGTTGGGTCACACTACTGCCTGACTTAAAACATATAGATGACCTCTTCCCTCTCCTAAGCTATTAGGTTGGTGCAAAAGTAATTGCTGTTTCCATTAAAAGTAATGGCAGAAATTGGCTGGGCATGGTGGCTCACACCTGTAATTCCAGCAGTTTGGGAGACCGAGGCAGGTGGATCACTTGAGGTCAGCAGTTTGAGATCAGCCTGGGCAACATGGTGAAACCCCATCTCTACTAAAAATACAAAAATTAAAATTAGCTGGGGGTGGTGGCGTGCACCTGTAGTCCCAGCTACTTGGGAGGATGAGGCAGGAAAATGGGTTGAACCTGGGAGGTGGAGGTTGCAGTGATCCAAGATCACACCACTGCACTCCAACCTGGGTGACCGAGACAGACTCTGATAAAAAAAAAAAAAAAAAGTAATGGTGGAAATCACAATTACTTTTGCTCCAACCTAATAAAAGTCAAGTCCTGAACACAGCCTAGGAAGCCGGCTATGATCTGGCCCTTCTCACCCTCCCCAAGTTCAACTCCCGAGACCTTCCGTTTCCTCTCTGCTCCCTGCTCCGTCCTCCCATTCCTCACTCGTGTTGCATCAGATGCCTGCGCACCCTAGTGTTTCTGCATGTGCTCTTCTGTTAGCCTGGAAAGTTCTTTCCTCCCTCTACCTCCAGCACTACTAGATACCTCCCCCTGCCTTAGCCTAGCCAGGTCCCCTGTCATGTAGTCTCAGAGTATCTTGAATGTCTTCTTCACAGCCCAACTTATAAGCTCACTCACTCGCTGAGTGGGTGCCATCCTTTCTCTCCACCTAGAATACAAGCTCCCTGAGGGCAGGGGCTGGAACCCTCTTGTTCTTTGCCAAGTCCCCAGTGCCATCTCTGGCACAGAGTGGGCATTATGAAAATATTTGCTGAGTGCATAAAAGGAGGGAATCATGGATTTAAGCCCTCGGCTTGGCGCCCTGGTGATGGGGCTCCATAAAACCAGTTCCCATTTTTTCTCTCTCCTCTTCTCCTGGGAGGAGGGTGTCTGGGTTCTCCTGCCAGTAGGGCTTCTCTCTCATAAGACTCCAGGTGCCTCTTGGCCTAGGCCTGCCTCCTGCTAAGTGAGCACTCTTTAGGGCAAGTCTGCATCGACTCTGCTGAGATCCAGCCACCAGAGATGGATAACATGGGCAACGCTTGGCAGGTCCCTGGGAACGAGGCTTCCGAGTCATCTGGACCAACTAGTTTGAAGTTACAAACTCACCAGATGTTGGTCAGCTGGAATCTTAGTGATGAGCTGGTCCAACCCCTCTTGTTGTAGTCAAGTCACTTGTGCAAAGCCACCACTTGGCTGGGACCCCAAGCTCAGGCCAGGGATCTCTCCATGGTCCCAGGCTTTACACTAAGGGAATGTCAACTGTTCTCTAGAATCACTTGGACTACTTTATACTTTTTTGTCTCCTTTTCCTATTCTGTGTTCTGGAAAAAGAGAGTTTTCCTTGTGATTGAACAGAATCTTCACACTGTGTTATTGCCGGCATTGTTTTAAATTTAGCCTTGGTTCATCCCCAGCTGGAGTGAATGACTTTAATTTGATCAGCTGCTGTATGTGCTTGGGAGCCTCCGAAGGGGGTCCTATGGCCTTTAAGGCTCCTTTCCACTCTTAGATCCCGACTTGGGGCAAACACACACTCCAGCTCGTTCATGTCCAGATAAGACACCCAGAGGCCATGGCGAGGGTTCCCCCTGTCGGGGCCCTATTGCTGTTGAGAGGATCAAGGCAGCAGTCAGGGCCCGAGGGTTGTCCAGAAGAAAGCACAAAGCATACCCAGCGCTGGTCTGACAGCAATTAGGGGTGTGACAGAAACCTTCTGTCATGGAACCAGAGATTGGAGACCGTGGGAACACATCCAAATCCACATCTCCGTGACAAGGTGGTGCTGATTTCCAGTGGTCCTCCCTGGTGGAGGAATCACGTAGCTCTGACTCTGGAGCGTGTTTCTGTGTTTCTCTTTCAGTATGAGCTTGTCTGTGGCCCTGGAGTTCCTCCCTTATGAAACAATGATGCCTCCCAACACAGGACGTCCCAGGCTGCAAGCCTGTCCCTTCTGCCCAGCTTCCTTACCCCATACCACAAAAGGTGCCCCAAAAGCCCACAGCAGGGCCTGCCAGAGGCTGATGACATATCTGTCACTGTCCCAAGGGGGCAGGGGCAGCGATGGAAATATTGGGCCACAAAAGGCATGCCTGCAGGCACATATGAGGTAAACACCCAAAGCCAGATGTCAATGAAACAGTAATTCGGTGGAATAGGAGAGGTCATAGTCTCATGCAAGACTGTCTAAATAAATAAGTCTCCTTGTGCACAATCTGCAAAGGGAAAATGTTTCATGCCGAGCCAGCTATTACACTGCCTTGCTAAGAACTTCCAACACACACTTACACACACAGATACACACGCACATATGCATGCACACACATGAATGCAAACACACTTGCACCTACACACACATGCAAGCACACATACAGATACACACGCACAAACACACATACAGATACACATACGTACAGGCACACACATGGACACACACAGATACACACATGCACACACAGATACACACATGCACACAAACACGAAGGCACACACATGCACATGCATACAGACACATGCACACACAGGCACACAAATACATACTCACATGCACACACATATACACATATGCACAGAGATACACATGCATGCACACACATGCAAACACACATGCACATGCACAGACACATACGCACACATATGCACACATACATGCACACACACATGCACAGATGCACACAGAGATACACATGTATGCACATACAGGCACACACATGCAAACATGCACACACAGATGCGCATGTACACACATGTACACACAAACACATGCACATACACATGCACACACAAAAGCACAAGTGCACACACACATGCACACATACACATACAGATGCACACACAGACACATGCACACAGATACAGACACACATGCACACACAGACGCACACACATGCACACATCCACACGCACACACACGCTCACACATATGCACACACATGCACATGCACACACGCATGCACATGCTTACAGATGCACATGCACACTTGCACACATGCACACACGTGCACACACACGCACGCACATATGCACACACATGCACGTGCACACACGTGCACACATGCACACACATATGCACACGTGCACACGTGCACACATGCACACACACCCACACATGTTCACACATGCACACATACACACACACCACTCCTTTTCCATTTCTCTAATTTCCGATTTTTTTCTATGAGCTTCCTCAGACTCATGATCTTGATTCTAGAATGAATTCAGGGAGTAAGTCTGTATTATTGAAATGACAGTAAATTCAAACATGCCTAAGAAGCTTTTTCAATGTTGGGGAAACCATCTCACAGATCATTCAAATGACCCCAGAAGACACTTCACCAGGAACACTTGTTCATCTCCCTCTCCCTTCTGCCAACCTCTGTGCTTTAATATCGGGGCCAAATCTCTCGATTTTGGTTTCTCATCTCTTTGTCCCCATGTACACTGGACTGCACTACTGTGTCAAAGCTACTTGCAGCCTGACCTGGGAAATGCACTTTTGGATTCACTCGATTTGCCACCTATTTGGGTGATTTGGGCTGGAAACTGCCCTGCTCACACTCTTGGCTCCCAGCTGCTCCTGCTTTGGGGGTGCCTAGAGACCCCAGCTCATCCCATGGGTCACATCCCCACAGTGGGGCCGGGGATGCGACTGAGAGTTGTCTGGGCACCTGTCTCCAGCAGCATTGAGGATGGAGCTCAGCACTGTGTGACGTTGGCTGGTGGCCACTGCCTGTTTAGGTTGAAATGGTCCAGCCTGATGTCCACATGCACCTCTGTGGCACACTGGCCTGCAGACCCCCGAGCATGCGCTGCATGCTTCTCACCTCTAGAGTGGCCACACAGACAGCGATACAGACACACCAGGAAAACCTACAGGCAAGCCCAGAGTCGCCCGTTCTACTAGGGCTTTGTGAGCCTCTGTGATTTAAGTCATGAGCTTCTTGTGGTGATTTCATTTAGCTAACATCCAACACAGTGCATTTAGAGACTCTTTCTCTTGGACATTATATGGAGGCATGGCCATGGTTTGCTGAGATAAATGTCCCAAAACACCCCTCAATAAAACCAAATAACAGCTCATCAACTCCTTACATTAAAAAAAACCTGACATCTTATAAATAGCAAATACTGGATGAAAATAAGGCACAGGAAAAAGCTCATAAGCCCAGATCAGCAGTCATCATTCAGTTGTTCCTTAACTACTGACTGCGCACCTGTTCTGTACCAGCACCGCATCCTAGATGCAGGGACACCACACGAAATAAGATGACAAATCACCTGCCCCTGTGGAGCTGAGCCACTAGCAGGAGAGACAGTCACTAAATGAATGTCTCTATCCTGTGGTTTCTGGGAATGACAATCACATAAAAGGATAGAAAGGGATGGAGGAAAGCTAATTTAGACAACTCAGGATCAGAATGGGGAGGTGGTTGCATCCCTCAAAATTCAGAGTAGCTGGAGTGCAAGCCTTGTATTAGCTGAGCCTGAATCCTGGCCCTGCCGTTGTCCATGGTGTCCTCAGGCAAATGGCTCAACTCCTCTGACCACCGACTTCAAGTGCAGAACAGGGGACCAGAGTCCCATCTCTCAGGGTTGTTGCTGTGGACTGAATTGTGTTCCCCCCAATTCACTCATTAGGAGCTAATTAACGTTAAAGGAGGTCATAAGGGTGGAATCCTAATCTGATAGGATTGGTGGTTTTATAAAAAGAAGAGATGTCTCTGTCTCTGTCTCTCCCCCTCTCTGCCATGTGAGGGCAAGCAAGAAGGCTGCTGTCTGCAAGGCAGGAAGACAGCCCTTACCAGAAAGGGATTGGTGGATACTTTGATCATGAACTTCTGGCCGCCAGAACAGTGAGAAAATCAATGTCTGTTATTTAGGCCATGTGGCCTCAGGTACTTTGTTATGGCAGCTGGGCTGGCTGAGGCAGTTGTTGAGAGGAACCGACAAGGTTGTTGGGGTAAAGCACACAGCATGGCCACAGCTCACTGAGCAGAATGTCAGACTCATTCCCCTTCAATTGTTATTCTCTGTCTGGAGGATTTTCATGTTGGCTTTTCTCCAAGAAGCTCCCTGGGGTCTTTGTAAATATGGGGATATTTCTGACAAGAAAAATCCTTACGGTTCTTAACATTGACAATGATCAGGAACAGCAAGACATGAAAATGATAAGATGGCTAGAAAAGAGAGGACCCACAGAAGAAACCAACAACCACACAACACAAACACACACACACAGGAGGACTCCTAATGCAGGAGGAGAATAGAACATCAGGGGACCCCGAGACTGAACTTTGCATCTCATGTATTGAGATCATTCCCTGATATGGTTTGGCTGTGTCCCCACCCAAATCTCATCTTGAAATGTAGCTCCCCTAATCCGCATGTGTCATGGGAGGGACGTAGTGGGAGGTAATTGAATCATTGGGTGGGTCTTTCCCATGCTGTTCTCATGATAGTGAATAAGTCTCAAGAGATCTGATGGTTTTATAAAGGGGATTTCCCCTGCACAAGCTCTCTTGCCTGCTACCAAGTAAGACTTGACTTTCCACCGAGACTGTGAGGCCTTCTTCACCATGTGGAACTGTGAGTCCATTAAACTTCTTTCCTTTATAAATTACCCAGCCTCAGGTATGTCTTTATTAGTAGCATGAGAACAGACAAATACATTCCCTAAGCCTCTATTTTCCTCTGAGACAGGCTTACCCCGAATAGCCCTATCTTTGCAGGCCTTGAATAGTAATACTGTTATGTGTTACATTAACATGTATTTTACTGAAAGTCTCTGGTTTTTGTCTCTCTGAACATAGGCAGGCATTGCTGAAACTTGCAGATGACATTCCAAAATGCATTCTATCTTAAGATAAGCAGAGAGTGTGGTGAGGAAAAATTGTACATACCTTCCCCTCAATGAAGAGGTCCCCGTGGTGTGGCCGGCTTTGGTATAAGCCTTTTGGCTCTGTTAATTCACGAGGGCTGAGTTTGATTGATCCTCATGGGGAAGACTAACAAGGGAAACCTTGGCAACCATTAGGAATAACACTCATGACCCAGAAACTGGTTCTGTCTTCATGGGTCATCATCTGTCTTGTTTACTAAGTGACCTTCTGGCTCATTTTTCTTCCAGCCAGGGTTGGAATTCAATAATTCTAGTTCCTTCCCAAATTTTAGAGCTGGGAAATGCATTCCTCGGGTTTCTACTTTTCAAAAGCGAACAATATCTGTGGAGCTCAACTCCTAAATAGTGTGACTTTGTCTGTTTATGTGGTTCTCTTGCTGACTGCCTGATTGCGACTGTGCCTGAACTCAGGCCTCTGTGTTTCTGAATCTTAGAAGCGGTGGTTGGCATGTCAAACTTGAAGTCATTGTCCTTTAGTCCTCTGAGTGTTATAATTGAACAGCACATTTATGAACAACACTTTAGTAAATCCATCAGCATTCTAGGAAGCTTTGATTCATTGACCTATCTCTAATGTAAGCAAAGGCTGCCAGAGAGTCGCTAACAAGAATTCCATCTTTCCTCAGAAACTTCGATTCGCTTGGGTCAAAGTTCATACCTGTTTCATGAAAAATGCAAAACCAATTAATCACAGCTGTTCATAGTAGGCTTATTCTAAGAGATCTCTGCTGTTCCTACCCCAGGGACAGCCAGAATAATTAAAAGTCACAGAAATGAAACAAAGGGGCCTCTGGCTAAATTATAGAAGATTAACCCAGGAAGAGCACTTATTAAATAGTAAGCAGTCCCCGAAAATATTAAAGTACAAAAAGGATTAGAAATTGTTTTAAGTGTTGGTTCCAACTTCAGGTGCTGGTCTTCCACTCCACTGTGGAAGGGAACAAATGGATTTTCCCATCCTAAAGACAGTGACATTAATCACACACCTTGGAGGCTTAATAACATCTCCCTTTAGTTTATTTTAATTGTTTATTTATTTATTTATTTTTGAGATGGAGTTTCACTCTTGTTGTCCAGGCTGGAGTGCAATGGCGCGATCTTGGCTCACTGCAACCTCTATCTCCTGGGTTCAAGCAATTGTCCTGCCTCAGCCTCCTGAGTAGCTGGGATTACAGGCACATGCCACCATGACCAGCACATTTTTGTATTTTTATTAGAGATGGGGCTTCCCCACGTTGGCCAGGTTGGTCTCGAACTCCTGACCTCAGGCGATCTGCCTGCCTTGGCCTCCCAAAGTGCTGGGATAACAGGCGTGAGCCACCACCCCCGGCCAATAGTATCTCACGTTAAGCATGGAGTTGCTGTCCGCTGTGTGGCCAGAGATAAAAAAAGCCTCCCTTACAGAGGGAGGTGGTATTGGGCTACTTTTTTTTGGAAACAACAGCAAAACGTGAGGCAAATCCGCTTTTAGATCCTGGTTACACTGCTGGATGGAGCTTAGCAAGCCTGTGATAGGGTAGCCTGGTGGTGGCTTGGTGGACTCCTAGCCATGTCAGACAGGACAGATGCCTTTGAGGAGAGATGGCACAGTGCTGGCTCTCAGGCCCCCACTGCAGGGGGATCGGGCTGTTTATGGATCGGGTGGGAACCCTGTTAGAAAAATAAGAGGAGGCTGGGTGTGGTGGCCTACACCTGTAATCCCAGCACCTTTGGAGGATGAAGTGCGTGGATTGCTTGAGCCCGGGAGTTCGAGACCAGCCAGGGCAACTTGGCAAAGCCCTGTCTTTAGAAAAATAATAATAATTGTTAATTAATCAGTTGATTTTTTTAAAAAAAGAAAGAGTAGTGGAGCTAAGGAACACAGAGCCTGCCAGAAAGCCAAGGTGGCCAGCTGAAAGGACACCGAAGAACATTACCATAGTCCTCTCTGAGCTTTTGGACTAGGGGTGTTTCATGTGGTTTTCATATCAAACATACTTTACTTTTATACTTAGGGGGGAAAGACCTAATACATACAATAAAGGTAACACAAGACAAAACTCTCACCAAAGTATTCTTAGATGCTCTACTGGGTCTCTGCGATTTCTATTAGGGACCCCACGGGTTTGAATTCCATTCTAGATTTGATAAGAAAATCCAAATGCTCAACCTCCTCATCCCACCCCCCACCCCTCCACCCCATTTACAAAAGCCAAGTGAAAACTAAGGAGGGGCCGGGTGCAGTGGTTCACACATGTAATCCCAGCAGTTTGGGAGGCTGAGGCGACGGGAACACCTGAGGTCAGGAGTTCGAGACCAGCCTGACTAACATGGTAAAATCCCATCTCTACTAAAAGCACAAAAATTAGCAAGGTGTGGTGGTGGACGCCTATAATCCCAGCTACTTAGGGGACTGAGGCAGGAGAATCACTTGAACCCAGAGGCAGAGGTTGCAGTGAGTGGAGATTGTGCCACTGCACTCCAGCCTGGGTGAGAAAAAGCAGAACTCCAAAGAAAAAGAAGAAAGAAAGGAAGAAAGAAAGAAAAGAAAGAAGAAAGAAAGAAAGAGAGAGAGAGAGAGGGAGGGAGGGAAAGAAAGAAAGAGAGAGAGAGAAAAAGAAAGAAAGAGAGGGAGAGAGGGAGAGAGGGAAGGAGGGAGGGAAAGAAAGAGAGACAGAAGAATAAAGAAAGAGAGACAGGGCAAGAAAGAAAGAAAGAAGGAGAAGAAGGAAGGAAGGAAGAAAACGGAGAGAGGGAGGGAGGGAGGGAGGAAGGGAGGGAGGAAGGAAACTAAGGAGGAAGGTGGCGTGTACAGAGGTACAGAGGCCCTCAGGTCCTAGCCGGCCCTGGGTGAGAAGAGTGAAACTCCGAAGCAAAAGAAAGGAAGGAAGGAAGGAAGGAAAGAAGGAAGGAAGGAAACTAAGGAGGAAGGTGGCGTGAACAGAGGTACAGAGGTCCTTAGGTGCTAGCCGGCACTGGTGCCTACGCAGCAGCTCCCAATGGGCTCAGCTTTGCAAAAAGCTCATTGTGTAACCCAGGAAGCCCAAATTTATTTCTGAGCAGATGTCTTTTCAAAGTGATTTTCCTTTTAGGAAGTGAGAGGAGAATGAAGGGGAGGTTTATCCTACTTCTGATGTTAAAAAAGTCAAAACAAAATAAATTGGTCTTCATTGCAACTATTGGCTAAAGCACTAATCATCACCAGGACCGGTACCTCAAACACACCTCCTGACAGCCCCTTCCATTCTAATCAAGGTGTGCCCAACTGTGGTCACCCAGGGGCTGTTTACCTTTACTTAAAAAGAAATGCTGGCAGTAAGCCATAAAAATTACCATATTCAGCATCTTTCTGCTTCAAAGGTTTTAGATTAACAATGGCTGGATCAATCACTTTGAGTATGTTCTTGGGAACTAAAAGCCAAAAAGAAATATTTTAAATACGTGGTATATTTTTAAAATGTGGACTCAATATATTTTTAAATGCAATGTAGATAAGATTTTAAAATCACTTTCCAAATCGGTGCAAGAGTCACTCACTCTTCCTGTTAGATACACATACTTACACACAACCCAATGCTATCCATGTGATCATCAAATCCTCCAGAGAGGTGGTTTTAGGCCCATTTTGCAATATTTAAAAAATGGAGAATAAAAACAAGATATGATATATCCATCCAGCAGAATACACCTCAGTAATAAAAAGGAGTGAAGGCTCGGC
Source organism: Homo sapiens (assembly GCF_000001405.40). Lineage (NCBI taxonomy): Eukaryota > Metazoa > Chordata > Mammalia > Primates > Hominidae > Homo > Homo sapiens. The sequence continues at coordinate 75,387,192 of NC_000003.12, forward strand.
ATGGTGGCTTACACCTGTAATCCCACCACTTTGGGAGGTCGAGGTGGACAGATTACTTGAGGTCAGGAGTTCGAGACCAGCCTGGCCAACATATTCGAAACCCCGTCTGTACTAAAAATACAAAGTGAGCTGGGCGTGGTGGCACACGGCTGTAATCCCAGCTACTTGGGAGGCTGAGGCAGGGAGAATTGCTTGAACCTGGGAGGCAGAGGTGGCAGTGAGCGAACATCGCACCACTGCATTCCAGTCTGGGTGACAGCGTGAGACTTCAACTCTAAAAAAAAAAAAGTGAAGTACTGATATGATACATGCTACAACATGGATGAACCTCTGAAATATTACATTCAGTTAAAGAAGTCAGCCATGCACACACACACAAAACCATCCATTGCATAATTCCATTTGTATGAAATATTCAGAAAAGGCAAATCTAGAGAGAAAGTAGATGCGTGGTTACCTGGGACCGGGGGGTTGGAAATGGGGCAGTGATGGCAAATGGGCATAAGGGAGCTTCGGGGGATTGTGAAAATGTTTTAAAACTGGAGGGTAGTGATGGTTGCACAACTCTAAATTTACTAAAAATCATTGTATTGTATTCACGTGTAATAGAATTTTAAGAAAAATAAACAACACCTCAATAGAGTGGTTAACTCTGGGCCAGGCATGGTGGCTCACGCCTGTAATCCTGGCACTTTGGGAGTCTGAGGCAGGTGGATCACTTGAGTCAGGAGTTCAAGACCAGCCTGGCCAACATGGTGAAACCCCGTCTCTACTAAAAAATACAAAAATTAGCCGGACGTGCTCACTTGAACCCAGGAAGTGGAGGTTGCAGTGAGCTGAGAGTGTGCCACTGCACTTCAGCCTGGGTGACAGAGCAAGACTCCATCTCAAAAAAAAAAAAAAAAAAAAGAAAAAAAAAATATATATATATATGGTGGTTAACTCTGAAGATGAGCTTCCCTGGACTTAGTAAAGCAAAATGACTGTGACCAACTCAAAATTCACCATCAAACTCTCCCAGCACCTGCTCTTCTGCTTTCTACCCCAAGCTCTTTGCCTCTGTGTTTCCATCGTAAATCTGGAAAGAATTCGAAGATTCTGTGCTAAAGTGATTTGCTAAATATTATCAGAAAGGACTACAGAAAGATGCAGAGAGGACGGCAGCGTGACCGACTCCTTTGAAGGTGGTTTAAGACTCTGCTGAACTGACCCTAAGAATAAGCCCTGGGATGTCAGAATCCCCAGGCAAAGCAGCTGGCAGATGACGGCACCCACTGAAACAGAGGGCAGAGCAAGAATTCTGCAGGCCAAGCACACTGCCACAGGCTGGGAGAAGGGAGTGGAAACTGAATATTCCTACTACATAAAATTGCTTATTTTTATTAGTTCCTCAGCCCAGCTGAGATCTTGGAGAAGTAGCAACAGGAAATGGAAAGAAAGTGAAAACAAACTGCAAATTCAACTGCACTGCTTTTTAAAAAAAGAACAAGTGAGACATCTTCAGCAGCAAGAAAACCTTTTTTCCTTTCTTGGAGGGCTTAACTAAATTCTTCTGGAGATGTCCCAGGATCAACAACCACAGGACATTCCTAGATTGTGAGTTTTCCATGTACAGGAGGCCCTGGTGCCTTCGTGCCCATCAGCAAGGGAGACTTCCCAGGGAGGCCCGGTGAAGTTGCTGGAGGTGGCTGATGATTTCCAGGGCCTCGAGGAATGTCCCTTGGCTGTCCTCAGGGCACACCACTGATCCTGGGACCATGGCAGCTTCGAAGAGCTGAGCTGAGCTGCTGCAAAATGCTTTCTGCTTTAATTACCTCTCATTCATTTCTGGGCCCTGAGAAGGATGCAGTAGCCTGGGAAGTGTCAGCTCTCCCTGCCAGGGGTGGTACTTCTTTCTCATGTCTGCCTCTTCGCTTGTTCTCAAACTGTGGCTTCAGGAGGGCCTTGGCTCTTGGCAAATGCCAGAGGCTTTATAGTTTGAGAAAGAATCAGAATTTTGAAGAGGAGCTCAGAGAGGAAGGTCATTCTAGGATGCACTTTGCAGAATAACCAGGCAGTGAAAAGGTGAAATTGGCTGTGTATGACACAGGCCACCGCAGGGAATGTGCCCCTCTACTATGTGAAATTGGCTCTGATATCCAGAGAATCTTTTAGGACCTTTAAAATCACCATTGTCAACACACTTGTCAGATTTTTGCATCTCCTTGTTTCAAACTGTTTTAGAATGAGGTCAGGGACAGGGGTGTGATTGATCACCTTCCTGCTCCACTTCAGATATGTTGGTGAAAACATTAGGAAGCACTCTTCATGGAGCTCCTACTGTGTGCAGGACACTGTTCTCAACAGTTTAAACCAGGGCCATCTTCCTCCTCATCAACACCTTTCCTCTCCCACTCAGCAGATTCACTGTCTCAGCCCCTAGTGTGCAGCTAGTGTGCATGCCCTAGTGTTCACCCTACAGGATGCTTCTCTTTGGAAGACTTAAAACACCACCCCCAAGCTAAAATAGGCCCCCTCCACTGCTATAGTCTTCTTCCCTTTTCTAAAATAGCATTTGTCACAATAGGGCATGCTGATGTGTCTGGCTATTTGGTTAATGCTTGCCTTTCTCCCTCAACTGTTCACCCCATGAAAACAGGACCGTGTCTTTTTTTTTTTTTTTTTTTTGAGACAGAGTTTCACCCTTCTCACCCAAGCTGAGTGCAGTGGTGAGATCTCAGCTCACTGCAACTCCGCCTACCAGGTTCAAGTGATTCTCCTTGTCACAGCCTCCCGAGTAGCTGGGATTACAGGCATGCCCCACCATGCCCAGATAATTTTGTATTTTCAGTAGAGACGGGGTTTCACCATGTTAGCCAGGATGGTCTCGATCTCCTGACCTCATGATCTGCCTGCCTCGGCCTCCCAAAGTGCTGGGATTACAGGCGTGAGCCACAACGCCCAGCATTAGTTTAGTTTTTTAGAGACAGGGTTTCACTCTGTTACCCAGGCTGGAGTGCAGTGGTGCAATCATAGCTCACTGCAGCCTTGAACTCTTGGGCTCAAACCTAGGCTCAAGGGATCCTCTCACCTCAGCTTCTCAAGTACCTGGGAATATATGAATGCACACCATGCCCAGCTTACATTTATTTGTTTAAAAGACAAGAAAGAGGCTACGCACAGTGGCTCACACCTGTAATCCCAGCATTTTGGGAGGGAGGCTGAGGCAGGAGGATCGCTTGGGCCCAGAAGTTGGAGACCAGCCTGGGAAACATAGCAAGGCCTCATCTCTAATTAAAAAAAAAAAAAAGCAAGAAAGATGATATGATACCAAATCAAATCATTTCCTTTACTAGGAAAAGGGCAAAAACAAGGCACGGTGTCAGTTAAGAATCCCTCTTTAGAGAAGCATGAAAAGTCTGCCCCAAATCTGGTAAATCCAGGAACAACTGACTATCAAGCTGATGGTGCATTCTAGGTTAGGATGATTTGGACCAGGTTGTACTTTGTTCCCAAAGAATTCAAGGAAAAGTTTGTTTGTTTAATCTGCTTAACATAGTAAAATCTTCCTTTGCAATGTCATACAAAGTTGGCATTACATGTGCACTGTTGAAGAAAACATAGTTAATTGTTTTTTTTAAAGAATGTACTCCAAAACCATTTAATTAGTAAAAATGTTTAATAATGATTTCTTTTTTGTTTTTTTTTTTTTTTTTTTTTTGGAGACGGAGTCTCGCTCTGTTGCCCAGGCTGGAGTGCAGTGGCGTGATCTCTGCTCACTGCAAGCTCCACCTCCCGGGTTCATGCCATTCTCCTGCCTCAGCCTCTGGAGTAGCTGGGACTACAGGAGCCCACCACCACACCTGGCCAATTTTTTGTATTTTTAGTAGAGACAGGGTTTCACCGTGTGAGCCAGGATGGTCTCAATCTCCTGACTTCGTGATCCACCTGCCTTGGCCTCCCAAAGTGCTGGGACTACAGGCATGAGCCACCGTGCCTGGCCCTTTGAGTACATTTTCTAAGAAGTTAGTCATGAGTTCAGATGTCTGCCTCAAAGAGATACTTGTGGTTTCCATTAAAGAACCCACCTTCCCTTTCTACGGGAGTATTTATGGGAGATATGGGCCTGGAGGTTGGAATCCATCCTGGTTGTACTTTGCTATACTGAAGTAAGGAGTAAACCTACAAATAAATTCATATTGAAGTGTACAAAGGGGGCTCTACAATAGGTAGGAATTCTATTTAGTTTTGTTGGGTAACAAATCCTTTGAGAAGCAAATAATAGCTCACCTACAAAACTGGTGATCTGTATAAGTTGGGATTTTTCATGGATCAGTTTTGCTTGGATTGAACTATATAATCACAAATATATTTATACCCAGAGAGACAGAAAGAGTGTCTGTTGAAACTGTATCTTCTTAACCTGTCTATAAAAGGCAATACCTGGAAGGTGGTGGATGCCACACAGGTTAAGCTATCTTCCTTCTGGGAGGCAGGCTTCTGGGAACTACACATTTGGTAATCTTGCCCATAAAATGCCAATTGGACACTTATCGTAGAATGCCGAGGGCACTGTAGATTCAGATAGTCCCCATCACAGTCATAGGTGGTGTGGTTTTGCAGGAGTTTGGTTAGGTAACCTGGAAAATATTCAGTCGGGTTACAAGAGGCCCAGGAACCCACAACTCCTCCTTGGGTTTGGGGACAGGAGGACATTGGTTCCCCTGGGGAAGGGCTATTGAGTTAACAACATGTGGGGTAGGGCCTCCCTAGCAGCTCTGGTGCAGAGGTCACAAAACCAGGCCCAGAGGTGGGGCACAGGAGCCAATGTCAGCTTTCATGTTGATATGGAAGGGTGGCAGGGGAGTGCTGGGTAGAGAAGGGTGGAGTCCCTGGCTAGGGCTCCACCCTTGGGCTTGTGCCTTTGGACCTTAGTGAGAACTGGCACTCCTGTTTTCATGACCAAATGTTGCATTTTCCAAGACTACTCTGGCCTGCTATGACCCCCATCCTGTGCCCATAAAAAACCCAAGACCCTAGTGGGCACAGACACAAGTGGCTGGACATTGAGAGGAGGAGAGAAGCAGAAGAGCACACCGACAGACATCAGCAGATGCTGGCAGGCTTTTGACAGTGGGGAGATGTGGAATTCAGTTGGGGGCTGTCGGAGGAGAGTCTGGCTGCTAGGCAGCCCGACTCTAGGGGAAGACCACCTTCCCATTGCATCCGCCTTCTGGCTCCCCATCCATCTGAGAGCCACCTCCTCCACTCAATAAAATCTTGCATTCATTCTCCAAGTCCACATGCGATCTGATTTTTCAAGTACACTAGGGCAAGAACCCGGGATACAGAAAGCCCTCTGTCTTTGTGATAAGGCAGAGGGCCTAATTGAGCTGATTAACACAAGCCACCTGCAGATGACAAAACTGAAGGAGACCTCTGTAACACATGCCCACTGGGGCTTCGGGAGCTGTAAACACCCCGAACTGAATTCCACACGCTGCTGTGGGGCCAGAGCCCAGAAACGCTCCCCACGACATGCCCGTCTGCATGCTCCCTCTAGGGGTTTGAGCAGCAGGGTACTGAGAAGCGAGCCATGCCCCTGTAGCTTGCCCTGCAAGGGGGATAAGGTTACTCCTCCTGTTTCAATGTCTGGGTCAGAAAACTTGGTCTGGGATGGCCCACTGAATGGTTTGGAGGGCTATTTCCCCTTCAGGAAGCACTAAGGTATCGGCCAGGAGCCAAGAAGTCCTGAAGCACCTTTATAAACCAGGAAAAAAAATTGGGGGAGTATCCCCTGGACGTGTGGATGCCCATCCTGAGGGAGGCTTTCATTTGCTCATCTCCCACTAGTGAGGCCATGCCTTATTGGGATGAGAGGATGCAGTTTCATTTCAAGAAATCACTCTTGGCTCTGTCTTGGTTCTGAAGAGGAAAGACAGGCAGGGTGACCTGTGCAGAGAGGTGATGGTGGGGCTCTGCTGTGGGTTGAATGGTGTCCCCTCAAATTCACGTTCATCAGTGTGGGGAAAAGCAAGAGAGATCAGATTGTTACTGTGTCTGTGTAGAAAGTAGACATAAGAGACTCCATTTTGTTCTGTACTAAGAAAAATTCTTCTGCCTTGAGATGCCGTTAATCTGTAACCCTACCCCCAACCCTGTGCTCCCTGAGACATGTGCTGTGTCAACTCAGGGTTAAATGGATTAAGGGCTGTGCAGGGTGTGCTTTGTTAAACAAACGCTTGAAGGCAGCATGCTTGTTAAGAGTCATCACCACTCCCTAATCTCAAGTACCCAGAGACACAAAACACTGCGGAAGTCCACAGGGACCTCTGCCTGGAAAAGCCAGGTATTGTCCAAGGTTTCTGCCCATGTGATAGCCTGAGATATGGCCTCCTGGGAAGGGAAAGACCTGACTGTCCCCCAGCCTGACACCCATAAAAGGTCTGTGCTGAGGAGGATTAGTGAAAGAGGAAGGCCTCTTTGCAGTTGAGATAAGAGGAAGGCATTTGTCTCCTGCTTGTCCCTGGGCAATGGAACGTCTTGGTGTCAAGTCCGATTGTATATTCCATCTACTGAGATAAGGGAAAACCACCTTAGGGCTGGAGGTGGGACATGCTGGCAGCAATACTGCTCTTTAATGGATTAAGATGTTTATGTGAATGCACATCAAAAGCACAGCACTTAATTCTTTACTTTGTTTAAGATGCAGAGAGCTTTGTTCACGTGTTTTCCTACTAACCTTCTCTTGGCTATTACCCTATTGTCCTGCCAAATCCCCCTCTCCGGAAACGCCTGATAATTATCAATAAATACTAAGGGAACTCAGAGGCCGGTGCCTGCATGGGTCCTCAGTATGCTGAACGCCCGTCCCCTGGGCCCTATTTTCTTTCTCTATACTTTGTGTCTCTTTCTTTTCCAGGTCTCTCATTCCACCTAACGAGAAACGCCCACAGGTGTGGAGGGGCAACCCACCCCTTCAATCAGGAACCTCAGAATGTGACATTTGGAAATTGGGTGGTTGCAGATGTAACGAATTAACTTGGCGACATACTGGAGTAAGGTGGGCCCTTCACACCATATGACTGGTATCCTTATAAGAAGAAAAGAAGAGACTCAAAGGGAAGACAGCTGTGTGCAGCTGGAATGATGCATCTGAAGCCAAGGAATGCCGCGTATTGCCGGCCACCACCCAAAACTGGAAAAAGTCAGGAAGGATTCTTCCCTAGAACCTTCAAAGGCAGCACAGCCCTGCCAACACCTGCATTCAGACTCTGGCCTCCAGAACTGTGAGAGGATGAATTTCTGTTGTTTTCAGCCACCCAAGCTTAGGAAATGGGTTGCAGCAGACTGGGAATAAGACAGGCAGCCAGTCAGCCTCCGTGGAATTCCCAGGCAGCTTGCAGGAGCCACAGCGGGCCCTGGGCTCTGAGAAGGTCTGAGGCCCAGCAGGCGCAGGGGCCTAAACTATTTATCGGCAAGGAGGAAGGAAGGTTCATCCAGAACGTGGATCCCCTTCCTCCTTCTCACACCTCACAAGGTCACAGCGAGGTGGCTGGGAGGAGAGCCAGGGACTTTTCACTGAGGTGTGTGGGAGACAGCTTGGCAGCCCTTGGACTCTGAAGGGAGGAGGTGGTGGGAAGGAGGGCAGCTTCGGAACTTCCCAGTTCCTGCTTGATGACCTGTGTGTAAAGTATTCCTGTTTAGGTCTCAAAATCCTCTCAGAAACATAATTCTCAGAAAATCCAGGCACCCAATCCAGCTCCCTGGCCTTCCCTGAAATCTGAAGTCAAAGGGGCTGAGCCAGCCTGCCCTGGGTGTCAGGCCTCTGAGCCCAAGCTAAGCCATCATATCCCCTGTGACCTGCACGTACACATCCAGATGGCAGGTTCCTGCCTTAACTGATGACATTCCACCACAAAAGAAGTGAAAATGAAAAGGCACACAGCGCTGGCACAGGCGCTGGGAGGCGCACAGGAGACCTCAGGCCCAGGCTCCACTCCCCAGCTGTGAAAGGACCGCTGGCTGGACCCCCAAGCTAGCCCACCAGGCCTCCATAGAGCTGCTCAGCATGGCCGTGGCCAGTACCAAGAGACGGTGGGAGACGGGTGAGGTACAGGCTCAGTCTGCGGCCAAGACTCTGTCCTGCAAGATGAAGGTAATGAAACAGAAGTGCAGCCACAACAAAACAGCCAGTTAATGTGGAAACAAGGTCGACAACTACTCAGACAGCGTCATGATATGTTAACAGAAGGTAGTTCAGTTTCTCCAGATTACCACAGAAGACAGCTCTGTGGATCCTCCTCAGATGAGATGATTTAATGTGGTATTGGGGAAATGAGAAGCCATCTGAGCACAAGCGCTCCCTGAGGGTGGGCCACCACTCTGGCTCGTCTTCCATAATCGTCGCTGCAAATTGTAGCCTGGGAACGCTCCAGCCGTATTTCAGCTTGCCTTCGGGCATCGCCGCCTCCGAAGCGCAACAACAAGCAATGCAGTCTGTCCACGGACCTTCGCACAGACTCTCAGCGCCTCCCGCCTCTCAGCAGAAACGCCCAACAGAACGGTTAGGACCAGTGAGCAGGCGCACCTTAGCTGGTCCGAGCAACAGGCCCCAGGCAGAGAAACCGCCCTAGCAGCTGTCTCGTGGTGCCCAGTGCAGGTGGCGGTTGCTGCTCAGGTGCCTCGGGCTGGCGGGGCTCCCTGGAGCGCGAGGCGCGCCCTGCCCCAGGGCCTGTTTGACTGTCGCCCGCTCGCTCTTCTCCTCTTCCACCGGCTCCCGATGCTCTGAGCCCCCCGCGCTGGGCCCTCTGCAGCCCAGGGATGGGGTTGAGTGGTGCTTCTCTGCCTGGTGCCGCCGCTGGGCCCACAGCCCTGCTTCGTCACTGCGTCGCCCCCGGGGTCCGCGCTGATGGGCGCGAGGCGCGAGGATGGGATCCGGGTTTGCCACCGCTGCAGCCAGCGCACCACTTGCAGGTGGCAGCTGCAGCTCGGGCTCCGGCCGGGGCTGGCGGGGCTCCCCTGGGATGGCCTCCTGGGCCCTGAGTGTGCCGCCCATCCGGCCAGAGGGTGCGCGCCTCCTGCACCCCGGGCCGAAGCCCATGCCCGGAGCTCCCGCCGCAGACTACCTGACTTGCCGCGGCTGGGCTGGCCCCCGGGGTCCGCGCGGCTGGAGGCGCCCGCCTCCTCGGGGATTCCCAATCCTCGGCGACCCCTGCTCAATGTGGCGGCTGCAGCTGCAGCGCCCGTGGGCTGACGTGGCTTCCGGGAGCTGCGGCCGGCCACGCCCGAGGGCCCCACAGGCTGCGCTGCCCTTGCCAGCTGCTCCTGACTGGCACCCAGAGAGCAGGATCTGGCACTTGGCACTCTGCAGCCACGGGGATGAGGCTGAGCACTGGTTCTCGGCCTCATGGCGCCGCTGGGGCCACAGCCTGACTTCACCTCCCCTTCACCCAAGTCGTGTGATGGGCACGTGTGAGGAGGGGCAATCGGGGTTCCCAAGGCTGCTGCCTGCATGTCACTCCGTGGCCACTAGGATAGGGCTGAGGAGCTACCAGGGGATGAGCACATCGTGGCCATCAGGATGGGGCTGAGAGTCTATCTTTATCCTTATGCACCTGCCCAGCCGACTTCCCGACAGCCACTACTGCAGCGTCCTGTCAGGGAGTCCTTGCTGTTGGGGCTGGGATGGGGAGGGCATGGAGAATCAGGGATGGTCTGGCCATTGCTGCTGGTGCCTGATGTGCAGGTGGCAGCTGCACCTAGGGCATGGGCTGGTAGTTCTTCTCTTTTGGATGGTTTCCAGGTGGCCCATTGTGCTGTGACCAAGCCAGAGGGTCCACTCCACCTTAGCCCACACTAGGAGTCCAGGGGCTACAGGCGTGGGTACTGTGTGGCCAACCAGAAGGGGCTCAGCAGCCAGTTCGGCTTTCCTGCCTTTGCAGGGCTTTTTTAAATTTTTTTTTTATTTAACATTTTCTAAAAATACCTACGAACAAAAAGATGCATATCAAACACATTAGGAAGGTTGCACATGGGAAGACGGGGAATATAAATGGGGGTGAGAATGAAAGAAAATAAATGAGACAGGAACTTTGTATGGATCAATGATAATAACTCAATCCTCTATGTCTTTGACAAGAAGGAGAAGGAAGAGGAAGAAAAAGAAAGTGGGATAAAGGATCAGAAAGGGAGGAAAACAGAAAAACTTAGAGTATAACTCCAGGGTAGACCTGTTTTGTTGTTGCTGGGTTGGTTGGTTGGTTGCTTTGTTGTAATTTTCATATGTTTCGCCATGTTGGCCAGGCTGGTCTCGAACCCCTAGCCTCAAGTGATCAACCTGCCTCGGCCTCCCAGAGTGCTGGGATTACAGGCATGAGCCACCACGTCCAGCCCCCACACTGCGTCTGGCCTCCGTGGTAGACCTCCCAGACAGAGCAGCCGGGCAGAGGCGCTCCTCAGTTCCCAGATGGGGTGGCCAGGCAGAGGCGCTCCTCACATCCCAGACGATGGGCGGCCGGGCAGAGGCTCTCCTCACTGCCCAGACGATGGGCGGCCGGGCAGAGGCGCTCCTCACTTCCCAGACGGGGTGGCCGGGCAGAAGGGCTCCTCACTTTCCAGACGGCGAGGCCGGGCAGAGGCTCTCCTCACGTCCCAGATCCACAAAAGAAGTGAAAATAGCCTTAACTGATGACATTCCACCATTGTGATTTGTTTCTGCCCCACCCTAACTGATGTACTTTGTAATCTCCAACACCCTTAAGAAAGTTCTTTGTAATCTCCCTCACCCTTGAGAAGGTTCTTTGTAATTTATAATTCTCCCCACCCTTGAGAATGTACTTTGTGAGATCCACCTCCTGCCCACAAAACATTGCTCCTAACTCCACCGCCTATCCCAAAACCTTTAAGAATTAATGATAATCCCATCACCCTTTGCTCTCTTTTCGGACTCGGCCTGCCTGCACCCAGGTGAAATAAACAGCCTTGTTGCTGAAAAAAAAAAAAAAAAAAAGAAAGAAAAGTGAAAATGGCCTGTTCCTGCCTTAACTGATGACATTGTCTTGTGAAATTCCTTCTCCTGGCTCATCCTGGCTCAAAACCTCCCACACTGAGTACCTTGTGACCCCCACTCTGCCCACCAGAGAACAACCCCCCTTTGACTGTAATTTTCCTTTACCTATGCAAATCCTATAAAATGGCCCCACGCCTGTCTCCCTTCACTGACTCTCTTTTCAGACTCAGCCCGCCTGCACCCAGGTGAAATAAACAGCCATGTTGCTCACACAAAGCCTGTTTGGTGGCCTCTTCACATGGACGTGCATGAAAGTGGGGTCCTCATGCCCACCAGTCCAGAGTGCTCTCTAGAGGAAGGCTACAGACACTTCCTGGCTCGCTCATCCAGATGTTAGCTGTCTTGCTGAAACTCCTTTTTTCACCCTTGAAAACCACTGGAAGAATGGCCAAGAACCCAGCTATCCTGAGTAAGTTCACTTAGAGAAGCAAAATCTAACATGAGTGGCAAAATGGACATTGGCACCAGGAGTGTGGGTCAGAATCCTGCCCCTTGGAACTACATCATCGCTTGTACAGTGTACCCCCCAGGCACCAAGAGACCAGGCCGAGACCCTTCAGTGTCCCTGGGCCTCTGGTCAGTGTCTTCCCACCTGGCACACAGGCAGGCCCTCATAAAACAATGAGTACTGAAAGTTCCAGCCTTCTTGGTGGGTTCTCAGCACCCCGTCGTGAGCCACACCCTGACCCAGGGAAATCAGGATCACCCTGATGCTACCCGTAGGCTAGTGCCCCTTCTGAAGTGCCCCAGGCTGGCACCCCTATACTTAGATCTCTTCAGCCTCCTCATGAAAACCTTCTTGTCCATCACCCCAGCAGTCCCCACACTGTGCAAAATGAGCAGCTGACCACACGTCAAATCAATTTTCAGAGTTTGCCTTTGGTTTAATATTGACGGCTCATCCAAAAGATCTTGTCACTATAGCTAGATGAAAAAAATGACAAGGCTCTGGAGAAGCAGAGCCACAACATGGAAGATACCTGGGTCCCAGGTTCATGAGGAGAGGAGCTGCCTGCTCCACAGACTGTCACATGAGTGGGAATGAAACTTTTTCTGCGTTTAGACCATTACCTTTCTTCAGTCTGTCCCATAGTCTACCCCCGCTAAACAGAACTTGACCTCCACCAGACCGTTTACATCAAGACCTGTATGTGCAGTGCAGTGGCCTGAGCCTCCAATCCATGCCCCACCTATCCAACCGGCCTTGCCATATTCTTACTCTGAGAGTGGTATTCTGGGGACAGAAGCTCAGTGCATAGAATTGACTAATGCCAGATCCTTCAGGCGCTTTGCACTTTGAAGTCTATCTGTCCTAGCACATTCCAAGTACAAAGAAGACACTTCAACAGTACAACCTGGCCTACACTCAGTTCAATTCCTTCTTCAAAAACCTAGGCCCGGCCAGGTGTGGTGGCTCACATCTGTAATCCCAACACTTTGGGAGGCTGAGACGGATGGATCACCTGAGGTCAGGAGTTCGAGACCAGCCTGGCCAACATGGTGAAATTCCATCTCTACTAAAAATGCAAAAAATTAGCCGGGTGTGGTGGCACGCCCCTGTAATTGCAGCTACGCTGGAGGCTGAGGTGGCGGAATTGGTTGAACCCCGGAGGTGGAGGCTGCAGTGAGCTGAGATTGTGCCACTGCACTCCAGCTGGGGAAACAGAGCAAAACCCCATCTCAAACAACAACAACAACAACAACAACAACAACAACAACAACAAACAAAGAAGCCTAGGCCCATATCCAGACAATGGAATGTTATTTAGCACTAAAATGAAATGAGCTATCAAACCACAAAAAGACATGGAGAAACCTTAAATGCATACTCCTAAGTGAAAGAAGCCCTTCTGAAAAGGCTGCACACTGTATGATTCCAACTATATGACATTCTGGATAAAGCAAAACTATGGAGACAGTGAAAATATCCACGGTTGCCAGAGGTCAGCAGAAAGGAGGAATGAATTGGTGAAAGACAGGATTTTTAGGGCAGTGAAACTACTCTGGGTGATACTACAATGGTGGATCCACGTCATTGTCCATATGTACAAACCCATGCAATGTACAACACCAAGAGTGAGCCCTCATGTAAACTATGGACTCTGGTTGATAGTGATGTGTCAATGTAGATTTATTGACTATGACAAATATCCCACTCAGGTTTGATATTGCTAGTGGGGAAGCTGCGCATGTGTGTGTGTGTGGCAGGTGGCAGTAGAGGTTGATGAAAACTCTGCACTTTCTGCTCCATTTTTCTTTCTTTCTTTTCTTTTCCCTTTCTTTCCTTTTCCCTTCCTTCCTTCCTTTCTTCCTTCCTTCCTTTCTTCCTTCCTTCCTTCCTTCCTTCCTTCCTTCCTTCCTTCCCTCCCTCCCTCCTTTCTTTCTTTCTCTCTCTCTCTCCTTTCTGTTTTTCTTTCTTTGTCACCCAGGCTGGAATACAATGGTAAGATCTCAGCCCACTGCAACCTCCACCTCCCAGGTTCAAGCAGTTCTCCTGCCTCAGCCTCCCAAGTAGCTAGGATTACAGGCATGCACCACCACACCCGGCTAATTTTTTGTATTTTTAGTAGAGACGGGGATTCATCATGTTGGTCAGGCTGGTCTCGAACTCCTGACCTCGTGATCTGCCCGCCTCGGCCTCTCAAAGTGCTGGGATTACACGTGTGAGCCACAGCACCTGGCCTCTGCTCCATTTTTCTATGAATCTAGAACTTCTCTAACACATTAAGTCTATTTAAAAGGAAAAAAAAAATCACAAAGGTAGCATTACCTTTGTGAGGAGAGGAGCTAACGTTAGGGAGGGGAGAACGAGGAGATCAGGCAAGCTGGCCATGCCCTGTTCCTTGATCTGCATGGCATGCATGTGCTTTACTTTGTGAAAGCTCACCCAGTTATCAACTTTGGATGTGTAAACAAAAATGTTTAAGAAAACTTCACCTGCAGTTATCTGATCCACACTCTTAAGCAATAAAGAAAGCCTAGGCACACGGAGCCTTGGGTAACTCATGGAGCAAGGGGGTGTGGAATGCCTTCTGTAGCCAGCCTCAGTCCCACGAGGATGTGCTGCTGGGTGACAGCAGGACAGGTTCATGAGGACCAGCCATCGCCCAAATGCTCTGTTCCTCCAGGCTGCCTGCCTATGTCTCAAGCTGTTTGGTCTACAGTGCCCAAAGGTCAAGAAGAAGGACAGTTAGAACAATCCCATGGTTTCAGCAACATGGAGGCCATCAAGAACCATTTTGAAACCATATGGAATGGGGGGTGGGACAGAAGCTTGTTTGGAAAAGGTTGAAAAGTGAGTGGAGGGGCCAGGTGCGGTGGCTCACGCTTGTAATCTCAGCACTTTGGGAGGCTGAGGCAGGCAGATCACCTGAGATGGAGAGTTCAAGACCAGCCTGACTACATAGAAAACCCCCGTCTCTGCTAAAAATACAAAATTAGCCGGGCGTGGTGGCAGGTGCTTGTAATCCCAGTGAGGAAGCTGAGGCAGCTGAATGACTTGAATCTGGGAGGCAGAGTTTGCAGTGAGCTGAGACTGCGCCATTGCATGCCAGCCTGGGCAACAAGAGATAATCTCCACCTCAAAAAAAAAAAAAAAAAAAAAAAGAAAAAGAAAAAGGGAAAGAAAAAAGAAAAGTGAGTGGGAGGTAAGAAAGTCAAAGATGGTCCATGTAGTAGTCAGAGTAACGGCCCCCAAAGATGTCCACAGGCCTTAATCCCCAGGCAGTGATTATGTTACCAGACATTCATGGTAAAAGGGACTGGCAGATGTGATTAAGTTCAGGATTTTGAGTGGGGAAGATTATCCTGGATTATCTGGAAGGGGTTTATATAATCACAAGGGTCCTTAAAAGGAGGAAGGTGGCTGAGTGCAGTGGCTCACACCTGTAATCCCAGCACTTTGGGAGGCCAAGGTGGGTGGATCACCTGAGGTCAGGAGTTCGAGACCAGCCTGGCCAACATGGTGAAATCCCATGTCTACTAAAAATATGAAAATTAGCCAGGGATGGTGGTGCATGCCTGTAATCCCAGCTACTTGGGAGGCTGAGGCAGGAGAATTGCTTGAACCCAGGAGGTGGAGGTTGCAGTGAACCGAGATTGCACCATTGCACTCCAGCCTGGGCAACAAGAGAAAAACTCCATCTCAAAAAAAAAAAAAGGAGGAAGGCAAGAGAGTCAGAGTCAGAGAGTCAGAAAAAGGAGTTGTGACAACAGAACCAGCAGTTGGAACGATGAAGCCATGAGTCCAAGAATGTAGGCAGTCTTTAGAAATGGGAAAAGGCAAGGAAAAAGATTTTGCCTTGAAACCTCCAAAAGGAATGCAGCCATGCAGAAATCTTCATTGCAAACATCTGACTACTAGAACTGTAAGAGAATACATGTGTGCTGTTTTAAACCACTGAGTTTGTGGCAATTTGTTACAGAAGCAATAGGAATACTAGTACAGTTTGTATAGATGACTGTGGCAACAGTGTGGTGAAGATGAGAGAAACAGAGCTGTGCCGGGCACAGTGGCTCACGCCTGCAATGCCAACACTTTGGGAGGCTGAGGTGGGCAGATCCCGAGGTCAGGAGATCGAGACCATACTGGCTAACACGGTGAAACCCCATCTCTACTAAAAATACAAGAAATTAGCCGGGCGTGGTGGCAGACGCAGGGAGGCTGTGGCAGGAGAATGGCGTGAACCTGGAAGGTGGAGTTGCAGTGAGCTGAGATCACACCACTGCACTCCAGCCTGGGCGAAAGAGCAAGACTCCATCTCAAAAAAAAAGAGAGAGAGAAACATAGCTGTAAGAAGGATCAGGGAGAGATTTTTAAATAATTGTGACTGAGTTAAAGTTGAAAGAGGCTTGTGTATATATGTATGTGTATAGATAAATACGTATGCAGATGACCCTCAGATCATAAGTATTTCGATTTCTTTCTTTTTTTTTTTTCCCCTGAGACGGAGTCTCCCTTTGTCACCCAGACTGGAGTGCTGTGGCGTGATTTCAGTTGGCTGCAACCTCCACCTTCCTGGTTCAAGCAGTTCTCCTGCCTCAGCCTCCAGAGTAGCTGGGATTACAGGTGCCCGCAACATGCCCGGCTAATTTTTGTTTTTGGCCAGGCTGGTCTGGAACTCCTGACCTCAAGTGATCCACCCACCTCAGCCTCCCAAAGTGCTGGGGTTACAGGTGTGAGCCACTGCACCTGGCTCATATGTATTAGATTTCTTACTGTGGGTTATGGTCCGACAAGTTTGAAGGGGGATATTGTCGAGAGACTGCTCAAAATGATGAACCGTGGGCTCCAAGCTAATTATAAGAAAGGAAATGAGCACAGAAGAGGCAAGGGGCCCAAGGGATCAGAGATTCTGATGAGGACCAGCAAGGTCAGAGTGAGGGAATCACACAGCAGGCTGGAAAGGCAGGAGGCTGTGCCCATGAGTTGTTTGAGGAGTGATTTCAAGGTGGATTTGCAGGTTATGGAAAAGTCCAGGAGTGGCCATAGAAGGAGGTTGGTGGAGAAGGTTGCTGGAAACAAGGATGCCAGGACTGAGAGTGAAGATGCCCTGTGGACCAGGCATCTCCCAGGATGAAGGTAGGAAGTGGGTTGGAGCAGGAGTCAGCTGCCAAGTTTGTCCTTAAACAAAAGGCAGATGACAGATGAGCTGCTCCCAATCTAACGCCCTTTTTGGCATTCTCCTTTCCCGGTAGGCAAGTTCACACATTCCAGTGTGCTGGGCAGAGTCATGCCACTGAACTTCCCACACCTTGGTTTCTTGGCTGGTTGAAGAGAGATCCTTTTTAAAGAACAGCTACTAATGCAGCTGTTTATTAATGATTCCCTCCGGGTCAAATTAGCCATCATGTTGGATCAGTCAAAACTGCTTTATTTCTTAATAATTTCAGCCAGAGCTTGTACGGTCTAACTCTATTTGTGGGCAAGTATTTGCCATCCTGGAAGACGGCAGTTGTGCACACTCTGTTAAGAAATCAGTCCTGGAATCCAGTAGAACTTGGAGATGCTCTGTTGATTCTTGTTAAACTGGTGAGGAGAGGAAATGGGAGGATGTAGATTCTTTTTTTTTTTTTTTCCTATCACCCAGGCTGGAGTGCAATGGCATGATCTCGGCTCACCACAACCTCTGCCTCCCAGGTTCAAGCAATTCTCCTGCCTCAGCCTCCCGAGTGGCTGGGACTACAGGTGCGTGCCACCATGCCTGGCTATTTTTTTATTTTTAGTAGAGACAGGGTTTCACCATATTGGCCAGGCTGTTCTCGAACTCCTGACCTCAGGTGATCCTTCTGCCTCAGCCTCCCAAAGTGCTGGGATTACAGGCGTGAGTCACCATGACCAACTGGATGTAGGCTCTTTTTTCTCAGCTTCACATTGCTCAGGGATCTTGGTACAGCTCATGTGTAACTCCAAGATTCTCGTCCCTGTTGAATCCTCCCACTGTGTATCAGCAGAAACTCTTACAGTTACTGCCATAGCTAAAACCTTCCTCAAAGGAGTATCCTGAAAGGCTTGGGTGGAGCAAATCTTAGAAAAGCTTAGATCAAAGTTCTCAGGTTTTCATTTTTAGAATACATATTAGGAGTTCACGACATGAACCCCTAAGAGTGGAGGGAGCTCTCCTCTGTCTTCTGAAAGACACAGGGAAATCCTTCTTGGGATTGGCATCCTCATCACATTTACAATGAAAATCCATTAATATTCAAATAATCCAGTGACTATAGAAAGACCAGCGTGAGAGGAAAATAAATCTTGGGGCCCCATACTTACTAAGCCAAAGGGAACAGTCAAGCTGGGAACTGGGTCACGCAAACCTGCCTCCCATTTGGTTCCTAACTAAGATGGCTACAAAGATAAAAAGCTACATACATCGCTCACCTTTTGCCCACAAGGAGATTCCTTGCAGGCCCCAAGATCTTTACTTGAAAACAGTTCTGTTGAATTTCACCCTGGCAATATCAATTGATAGCTTATCCACAGATGCGGGACGGGACAGGACAGAACTCAAAGTCATCCTTCTGCTCGCCTGAGAGCAATCACAAATGTATATCTGATTTCTGATTGCTTCCTCTGCCCTGTTGTTTACATCATCTTATGTAAAATTGCAGATTCCCTTAGCCAGATGAAGTGACAGCATGAATGACTATTTCCTCTACTCACCCTCATATGAAACTTGTATATTCCCCCAATATCCATCCTTTCCCCTTTAAATATTGAAGCCCTTAAAATTATCTTTGGAGAAAGGCATAGACCTGTCTCCCTGGTGGATGTCCTTAACTTTGGCAAATAAACCCCTTAAAATGATTACAACTTGCCACGGTCATTTTCATTGATTTATACCAGAATGAGGTAAATAACTGATTTTCAAAGAATCATGGTATGTGTCCCAAAGTGTTCTAAAGGAGTGTGATATTTTGAAATATATATTTGATCTTTCACATGTTTCCTTCCATACAACTCCTAAAACCCTTAGAATCTCCAAAGTGATGTGTTTTGGTATGCTAATAAGTTGACTGATGGCTGGCAGCCCCTAGCTATCTTCAGAATGGGGGCCAGTCCCTGGAACGACCAAGGCAAGATTAGAGAGTTGGGACTTTGAGCCTAACCCAAACTTCCAGGGAGAGGAGAGGAACTGAAGGTTTTATTGGTCACTAATGGCCAGTGATTTAATCAATTGTGCCTAGGTAATGATGCTTCTATAAAAGTCCAAAAGAATTGGGTTTGGAGAGCTTCTGGATAGCAAAACATGTACAAGTTTCTGGAGGGCAGGGCACCCAAGGTGGGCATAGAAGCTCCACACTCCTTCCCCATCCCTTTCCCTGTGTGTCTCCTCATCTGTATCCTTTGTAATAGCCTTTATAATGAACTGATAAACATAAGTAAACTTCCCTAAAGTTTTTCTGTGAACCCTCCATATTGATGGAACCCAAGGAGGGGGTTATGGGATCCTCAACTTGAAGCTGGTTGTTCAGAAGTTCTGGAGGCCCAGACTGTGACTGCTGGGAAGAAGGGCAATAATCTTGGGGACCCAGCCCTCAATCTGTGGGATATGATGCTATCTCCAGGTAGATGGTGTCAGAATTGAATTGGAGTATAGCCAGCTGGTATTTGCTGCAGAATTGATTGTTTGCTTGTTGGTGGGGAGGAATCCCCAAACATTTGGTCACAAAAATATTCTGTGTTGATTGTTGTTGAGTGAAAGAATAGAGAAAGTATTTTGAGTTTGTGTGTGTGTGTGTTTTCACACAACTAGTGTCAGAAGTGGGATTTGCTGGTCGAGGCCGTGGCTCATAGAAACCTGTGCTTTGGGAAGAGAAAGAATGAGAGGGGCCAGGCGCGGAGGCTCATGCCTGTAATCCCAGCACTTTGGGAGGCCAAGGTGGGTGGATCACGAGGTCAGGAGATCAAGACCATCCTGGCTAACACAGTGAAACCCCGTCTCTACTAAAAATACAAAAATTAGCTGGGTGTAGTGGCGTGTGCCTGTAGTCCCAGCTACCCGGGAGGCTGAGGCAGGAAAATGGTGTGAACCTGGGAGGCAGAGCATGCAGTAAGCCGAGATTGTGCCACTGCACTCCAGCCTGGGTGACAGAGCCAGACTCCTTCTCAAAAAGAAAAAAAGAATGAGAGGATGGAGGATAAGGGACCTTTGATTCCTGGATGGTCACATGGTCACCCATGGTATGAAGTCACAGCTGTGCTGCACTCAGTTATTAAAGGTGAAAGTTACCACTGGAATTTGGAGATAGATCCAACTCTTGGGAAGTTGGTTCACTGGATGTGCAAGGAAATGCAAACTAATAATAAAGAAGTGAAATATTCAATCCTTTGGTTATTGTTATCTGTAATAGCTAAAATAAAAATAAAAGAGGGCGCTAGGTCCAGCCTCAATGCTACACCAAGCTTAGATGGCAGTGAGTCTGGGATTTGGCCACTAGCTTTGGAGCCATTCCCTAAGGGCAAAATTATGCAGAAACAACAGAAAATGCCTCTGAGACCTGTGGTTACCAAGAAGGTAGTCAATTTCGGGGAAGGGCAAAATTAAGTAACTACTGAAACGAAGGGGTAGAGTGTGAAGGAATTGTTTTATTTTGTGTTTCAGTATCTTCAACTCCCTGAGGGACCTTTACTAAAATGGACTGTGAGAGTAACTAATTTAGGGGCAATATCTTTGGTTTTACATGCTGCAGAGGGGAGGAGAATGTTTGGGTTGATGCAGGATCCACAGCTCACTATGGAACAACCTCAGATGGCTACATGCGATCTGGACATACAGCAGGCTATTCCTGAGGCAACAGCCAGCCTAGTAGACTGGATAAAAGCCACCATAATGTTTGTTTACCCTGAGAAGGGGGACTGTCCAACTCCACCTATAAATGCCAAGTGGAGCCCTCCAGATGAAGCAGCTGACATGCTTTGTATGCAAGCCACATGGGACTGGCTTTATGGTGACTGGGATATCCACCCACTACATTGTCTGTTACCCAGGTCATGGGAAATGCTGTGATTAAGGGGTCCCATTTGATTTGCATGGACACCTCATGCAAACTCACTGCTGCAAAATCAAGCTATGGTCGGAGAAGCCTTATTGAATTTGCTATCTCAGCTTCCCCTCATGGGTCTTATAGATGCTAATAAAAACATTAGGGCAATTAATAAAATAATGTGGAAAAGCAGAGGACAGGGTCAAAGGACTCATCTCATGAAGGTGGATGTATTTAAGCAGTGATTGAGAAATAAAGAGATTAAAGAAAACATCAATAAAGCTAAAACTAAGAGGAAAAAGGGAAGCGCCATGGGACTCATCGCAGGAGGCTGAAAATCTTTAGTGGTGCTTAAGAAATGAGACGAATAGAATGGAAATTGATGGGGTGAAAACAAAGGTCTTAATACAACACTATTGAAGGTTGGGTGGACCAAAAAGAGCCCTTGCTGGCTGCCAACATTAAGGAGTTCCAAATGGGTTTGCTGTATTCACCTTAGTCTGGAGAAATTTTAAAAGTCATTAAGCAGAGATTACAATGAGAAAGCTGGTCAGCAATCACCTGGGCCAATGTTGAGGCAGGTTCATCCAGATAAAGATTGACAAAAGGGCCAAGGCTCCTTGGCTCAACCCTCTGCTGGCGACTCAAAGTTTTTTGCACTGGCTGATGGAGAAGAGAAACTCCTGGATCTAGAACTTAAAAATGTAAGGGTTGGTAGAATTATGAAAGTTGGTGTATTTGAACATGCTTCATATGAAATGGTTACATCTCTTTTACCTGATTGTATTAGGGAATGGACTTTGTATCTGACTTGTCCTTCAAGCAATATTAGTGGGACGTGAGATGGGAGCCAGTAAGATTGTCCCCAGCCCACAAAGTGCAGAGTGGAAGCTGCTGAGCTGGGAGGGACATATTCTCCATTCAATAACCCCTCTATGGAGCCTCTAATGCAGCATATGGAAAAAGCCTGTCACCGTCTCCCAGCAAAAACTCCCGGCCCATAAAATGATCTTGACACCTGAAATACCCATGCTGTCTCAAGTGACATCATAGAAACACTCTAATGAGGCTGGGCACAGTGGCTCACACCTGTAATCCCAGCACTTTGAGAGGCCGAGGTGGGTGGATCACCTGAGATCAGGAGTTTGAGACCAGCCTGACCAACATGGTGAAACTCCGTCTCTACTAAAAATACAAAAAATTAGCCAGGCATAGTGGTGGATGCCTGTAATCCCAGCTACTTGGGAGGCTGAGGGAGGAGAATAGCTTGAACCTGGGAGGCAGAAGTTGCAGTGAGCCAAGATCGCACCATTGCACTCCAGCCTGGGCGACAAGAGCAAGACTCCATCTCAGAAAAAAAAAAAAAAAAAAAAAGAAAGAAACATAATAAAACAGAAATGGTTTATACAGCATCATGCTATGTGGGGAATGCAGGGATGAGATATTCCCAAGGAGGGAACCTCTTTTCTCCTACGACTGACTGGAACAGTGAGGAGCTGCTGGATTCTATCAGCAGTTCGACAATGCCCTATATAACCAGCTCTCAACTCACTCACCCCCAGTTGTTTGGTCTATGGATGATAATTTCGAGGTGAACAAACAACATCCTGTTTGGAGGGCTGCTACTCTGGCTAAAGATGATAAAAATCAGTCTGCTCAGTGAGTTGAATTGCATGCTGTTTTCCTTGCTGCTGATTTATACTAGAATGATATCAATAACTGATTTTCAAAGAATCATGGTGTGTGTTCCAAAGTGTTCTACAGGAGTGTGATATTGTGAAATATATATTTGATCAGTCGAACAGTGGTAGAAGCCCCGTGTTTGGGTTTTGACTGACTCCTGGGCAGTGACCAGTGTCTTGGCTGTACACTCAGGCAAGAGGGCAATAGCCACCTGGCTTATTAACGGGATATCCATATGGGGCACAGCCCTGTGGAGATGGGAAAGATGTCTTGAAGTAGAACAGGTTCATGCCCATCAGAAAAACTCCCTTCCAGGCTCAGGAGGTGGCTGGGGTCACCAAGTGAGATTTTTCTGTGTGCTCCTGTGAGGTGGTCACCTGGGTCCATGAAATGAGTGAACAAGGTGGCTCTGCAGCAGTGCAGAGATGGGCTAAATCTAGCCATGACCCTCGGGCTCAAAATGCCAATAACTATTCTGTCACTGGGTGTGGTGGCTCAAGCCTGTAGTTCCAGCACTTTGGGAGGCCGAGGTGAATGGATCACCTGAGGTTGGGAGTTCGAGACCAGCCTGACCAACATGGAGAAACCCCATCTCTACTAAAAATACAAAATTACTGGGGCGTGGTGGTGCATGCCTATAATCCCAGCTGAGGCAGGAGAATTGCTTGTACCCAGGAGGTGGAGGTTGCGGTGAGCCGAGATGACGCCATTGGACTCCGGCCTGGGCAACAAGAGTGGAACAACCTCTCAAAAAAAAAAAAAAAAGGAAAAAAAAAAGAACTGTTCTGTCTGCCAGCAAGAGAAAAGAGACTGCCCATGGCTGTGAGGCACATTCCCTGGTGGGAAAGCTCTTAGCATAACTGGCAAGTGAGATGGATGCTGGCAGCCCTGGGGGGCTACATCTAGGTCTTGACAGGAATAGACGCTGTCTCTGGACTGGGCTTTGTTTGCATGGTAGAAGATGCAAATACTCAGAGTGCCATTAAAAAAAAAAAAAAAGGCCAGGCACGGTGGCTCATGCCTGTAATCCCAACACTTTGGGAGGCTGAGGTGGGCAGATCACCTGAGGTCAGGGGTTCAAGACCAACCTGGCAAACATGGTGACACCCCGTCACTACAAAAATACAAAAAAATTAGCCAATCCCAGCTACTCGGGAGGCTGAGGCAGAAGAATCACCTGAACCCAGGAGGCGGAGGTTGCAGTGAGCCGAGATCGTGCCATTGCACTCCAGCCTGGGAGACAGAGGGAGACTCTGTCTCAAAAAAAAAAAAAGAAAAGAAAAAAAAGAAAAGAAAAAGGGGAAAAAAAAAACAGAACAGGAGATACTGCATTAATCTTGATGGCCAACGTCATTGCTTCAGAAAAAGGAGCACTCTATACAGCCCATAATGTCCAACAATGGGCAGACAGGCATCCACTTCAGAGTCATAATTTGGCACAGAAGTGGAAGAGGCAATTCAAACGCTGGTTGTCTAAAACGGGGGAGGTGAAAGCAGGAGGGCTGGTGATAGAGTTTGGATCTGTATCTCCGCCCAATTGTGTGTTGAATTGTAATCCCCAGTGTTGGAACTGGGGCCTGATGGGAGGCAGTTGGATCATGAGGGCAGGTTTCCCATGAATTGTTTAGCACTATTCTCTTTGGTATTGTACTCACGATAGTGAGTGTGTTCTCATGAGATCTGGTCGTTTAAAAGTATGTGGGGCCGGGCGTGGTGGCTCACGCCTGTAATCCCAGCACTTTGAAAGGCTGAGGTGGGTGGATCACCTGAGGTCAGGAGTTCAAGACCAGCCTGGCCAACATGGCAAAACCCAGTCTCTCATAAAAATACAAAAAGTAGCCAGCATGACGGCGGGCGCCTGTAATCCCAGCTACTTGGGAGGGTGAGGCAGGAGAATCACTTGAGCTCAGGAGGTAGAGGATGCAGTGAGCCAAGATCACACCATTGCTCTCCAGCTTGGATGACAGAGCAAGACTCTGTCTCAAAAAAAAAAAAAAAAAGTGCACGGCACCTCCCCCAGTCATTGTCTCTGGCTCCTGCTCCTGCCATGTAGGAGGACTGCTCCTCATTCATCTTCTGCCATGATTAGAAGCTTCCTGAGGCCTCACCAGGAGCAGAAGCTGCTATGCTTCTCGTACAGTCTGCAGAAGAGTGAGCCAATTCAACCTCTTTCCTTATAAATTACCCAATCCCATTGCTTCTCAGCCTTTTGGCTAAGATCAAGTATAAATTACCCAGTCTCAGATATTTCTTTATAGCAATGCAAGAATGAACTAATATAGCTGGCTTGCACGCTTTGTGAGTGTGCACTCATCCTTAGCATTAGTGGTCTAAAGGAGTGGCCTTCCAGATTTTTCTCCATTTTTTTGGTTGATCTGGGGAAGGGGGCGTGGGGAGGATGCTGACATGACCATGCAATTTTTTTTTTTTTTTTTCCTGAGATGGAGTCTTGCTCTGTCACCCAGGCTGGAGTGCAGTGGCACAATCTCAGCTCACTGCAACCTCTGCCTCCCGGGTTCAAGCAATTCTCCTCTCTCAGCCTCCCAAGTGGCTGGCATTACAGGCGCATGCCATCAGTCCCAGCTAATTTTTGTATTTTTAGTAGAGGTGGGGTTTCACCATGTTGGCCAGGTTGGTCTCAAACTCCTGACCTCATGATCCACACGCCTCAGCCTCCCAAAGTGCTGGGATTACAGGTGTGAACCACCGCACCCAGCCCAATGAACAGTTCTTGAATGAATGACACAATGAAGAAGACTACCAGAACAAGAGCAGATCAAAGGTGAATAAGTGAGTAGTAGCTTCTGATTAATCCTCATCAGCAACCAACATAACCCAGGGCTTATAGATTTCTCTATGTAATATGCTACACACATGTCTACGGAAAGAGAGAGAGAGAAGCACATCAGTCAACCAATTTTAAAAAGTTACTCTAAATGTGCTGTGTTGGTCTTGTATTACAATCTTTAGATTACAGTATTATTTTATTTCAAACAGGACTGGTAGAAACTTCTTCATGCCTTTTCAACCAAAGACCTTCAATACGGTGAAACCCCTAAAAATACAAAAAATTAGCCGGGTGTGGTGGCGGGCACCCGTAGTCCCAGCTACTTGGGAGGCTGAGGCAGGAGCATGGCATGAACCCGGGAGGTGTAGCTTGCAGTGAGCCGAAATTGCGCCACAGCACTCCGGCCTGGGCGACAGAGCGAGACTCCATCTCAAAAAAAAAAAAAAAAAAAAAAATTCACACTTTGTTCTTTGACCAAGTACAAACCTTACAAAGTTATGCAGTGAACACCATCTGACTTAGATTAATTGAAAAGTAACTGGATCAATCCCCCTTTACCCCAAGCATCTAAATGGAACAATTTGCTTTTCTTTTCTTCGGGATGCAGCATAATCCTCAAACTACAGAGCCACTTGGCAATGAAGCCAGGATCACAGTGCATTTGATAACTTAATGCAACTTTTTACTAGCACTTAAAACTCAGATATGAAATCTATACTTGATCTTTTCTGCTTGGAATTGGCCAAATTAGTGGTTCTGCCCCAGTATACAACAAAAGGCTCTCAGAAACACTCAGGGTCGCTAACCAATCAGAAGGACCAACAGAGCTCGACAAACAGACAAGGGGGTGGAAGTGCACCGCCTTCCACCCCACCCGCTTAGACAGCCTTGCAACTCCGCCCACTTTGAGGATGTGTAGGATGATCAAGGTAAGCATGATACCTATCTTAACTTCAAGGTAGAAATTAAGGCTTGAGGGCACTTATTTGGTGCCTTATTCAGTTAATTGGAAGATTATATGGTAATTTCACTGCTCATAATAATTAAACCTTTTTTTTTCACTTTAGGGATGATAATGACATTTGGAGACTAGCACTGTAAACCTCAAAAATCTATTTTGAAGATGACTGGATTTAGGAGCAGGACAGGTTTGCTGTACACTTGAATGAACATGCTTTGTTCCCCAAAGCAGCAAAAAAGCCAGAGTCTGGAAGTTTCTAAAACTTGAAGAAGACGCAAGTGGCAAATCCAAAAAGCTGTGCCTAGAGAACAGGTCAGTTGACCGGCTGTATCTATTCCAGGCTCCCGAGTGGCTCGGTGGAGGATTTCGGACAGGTCTCTCAGTTTCCCCTTCTTTGGTTTCACCTTAGAGTGAGAGAAAGTCACAGCATTTCTTCCTTTGTATTTCACAGAAACACAGGTGGCTGGATTGACAGTCAGCAAATGTAAAGAAATACAGGCGCCCACATGGCACTTATGCTGGCCTGGCCTCAAGCTTCATATTCATCCTTAATTGGTTCCCTGGCACACTCACCAGTGACCTGGCTCCACTTCACCAAATGGACCCAAGGGCCCACACTTTCTTAATTCTCCTGTAGACCCTTTATTCACTCCCCCTCATCCTTTCTTTGCTGGCGGTGGTCGCTTCTGACTGCCCGAATCCTTTTTTTTTTTTTTTTTTGAGATGTAGTCTCACTCTGTTGCCCAGGCTGGAGTGCTGTGGTGAGATCTCAGCTCACTGCAACCTCCGCCTCCCCAGTTCAAGTGATTCTCCTGCCTTGGCCTCCCGAGTAGCTGAGATTACAGGCATGTGCCACCACGCCTGGCTAATTTTTTTTTGTATTTTTAGTAGAGACATAGTTTCACCATGTTGGCCAGGCTGGTCTCTAACTCCCGACCTCAGATGATCCACCTGCCTTGGCCTCCCAAAGTGCTGGGATTACAGGCGTGAGCTACCGAGCCTGGCCTCAATCTTATGCTTACTATTCTTAATCTGTTGCCTCATTTTATAGGCCGGGCACTGTGACTCATGCCTGTAATCCTAGTATTTTGGGAGACTGAGGCAGGAGGTGAAACCCTGTCTCTACTAAAAATACAAAAAATTAGCCAGGCGTGGTGGTTGGCGCCTGTAGTCCCAGCTCCTCCAGAGGCTGAGGCAGGAGAATGGCATGAACCCGGGAGGCGGGGCTTGCAGTGAGCCGAGATCGCACCACTGCACTCCAGCCTGGGTGACAGAGTGAGACTCCGTCTCAAAAAAAAAAAGGATGAAAACTCCTGGTTCGTGCTTTAGCTACATCCACAGGAGCAACAGACTAAGACATTCTTCCACACAATAACAGACCCAGGCAGTGCAGAGCCATGTGGGTCTTGTCTGTCCTGTTGTCCACAGTCTGGTTTTATCTTAGACCTAGCCTGGTGCAATCCATGTTGTGTATTGGCACTCCACTTAAGTTTCCTGTTTGTAAAAAGCCCCTTTCATTCGGTGATTCCTCAGGGCTTTAGGGGAACTTTCTGGAAACCAGGAAGAAGGAAGTAAAGGTTGTTTTACTGAGGATAGGTGATGTTGGGCGCGGGACCCAAATGAGTGGTTTGAGCAGAAAGTAGCCTCCACGCTGGACTAATGCTTGGCAACATTATGCGAAAATTTGGGGAAGCCGGGAGAGGAGAGGGCAGAGTTTCTTTCCCAGCCAGCCAGGGGGTCCAGGCAGTTTTGATCCTAGGATGTCTCTCTGTGCATTCCCAAGTGATTGCAAGGCTTCTTCTTGTCATCGTCTGGATTCCCCAAGCGTCCTTCTTTTCCTGGAGCCTCTGAGTCCTCTATTCCTGAGGCCTTTCTTCAGCCCTCCCAATAGCCCTGCCATGATTTCATTGCAGGGCTGTGACCGTCTATGACAAGCCGGCATCTTTCTTTAAAGAGACACCTCTGGACCTGCAGCACCGGCTCTTCATGAAGCTGGGCGGCACGCACTCTCCATTCAGGGCCCGGTAGGCCTGCCATCCTCAGCTGCCTTCTCTCCTGCTCGCCACTGCCCTGGCCTCTCCCCTTCTCACTGCAGAACTGGGAACCCACTCATCCAGGGGTTGGCAAACTAAGGCTACAGGCCAGTCTCCTGCTTTTGTAAATCAAGTTTTATTGGGACACAACACACTCATTGCCTTCTGAGTTGTCTACAGCCGCCTTTGAGCTACAATAGCAGAATTGCGTTTTGCAACAGAGAACCTGTGGCCCGCAAAGCCTGAAGTATTTACTCTCTGGCCTTTTAGGAAATGTTTGTGGACCCCTGCACTGTCTTACTCTCCTGCCAGTGGGTTCCCAGGCCTGCGGCAGGATCTGTGGACCTGTGTGTCCCCTGGGGTGTCTCACGGGGCTAAGGAGGGGACCTTTCTGCAGGTCCACACACCCTGAGGTGGGCACCTGGGTAAGCTGGGGTGGTGTGGGAGGGCGTCCTAGCATGCTCATCTTGAGTCCAGGGGATGATAAGACAGTAAGTCCCATGGAGAAAAGGAATGAGTCAGTCTTGTTTGCTGTTGTAACCTTAGCACCCAGCAACAATATTAGAGAAAGCAAGCCCAGGCCCCGGATGGCAGGGATGGCCTGGTGCTGCTGATGTGGCTGGCCACCCCAACCGTTGGGAGTCTGCAGGCCTCGCCATGGCAAGAGATGCCCGTTCTGGGTCCTGGGCCTGCTCTGTGGCCTCTCACAGGGTTTTTTTCTGCTCCTTCATCTCAGAACCTGAGGACCCAGCCACAGAGCGGTTGGCCTTCACAGAGCGGGATGCTGGGAGTAGGCTGGTGACACGTCTCCACGAGCGGCCAGCTCTGCTGGTCAGCAGCACAAGCTGGACAGGTCTGCATGACCCCTGGGGCACTTGGGGTTGGTGTGAAGGGCACCTGGCCAACCTGTGTTCTCCTCACCCCTGCCAGTCCTTCATGCCCCCACCCCGCCATGGTCTCAATGAGAAGGGGAGGGCGTGTGAGCTGGAAGAGTGCTGTCTAGAAACAGGCCCCTGATATTGAATTCTCTTCTCATAGAGGACGAAGACTTCTCTGTCCTGCTGGCAGCTTTAGAAAGTAGTTGTGTGGCTGCGGTGAGGAGCGCTGGGCTTGTCGGGGCCACTGAACTGTGAGCTGCTTGCCTGGCCTGCAACATGTTCCTGTCCCGGGCTACTGGGTGGGGCAGCCTGGGGACAGTAGGGGTGGTGGAGGTGGGCCTCCCTGAATCCCCATTTGGGTCATTGAGTGACCAGGCCCTCAGGCTGAAATGCCCCCTCCAGGAGAGTATCTCACAGAGGCTGGGGGACTCCCTGCCAGAGCAGTGCACTTTCTCCACCTGACCAGGTGACTCTGGCTATTGTTTATTCAAAAATTTTTTTCTGAATGGGGATGGTGGCTCACACTTGTAATCCTAGAACTCTGGGAGGCTGAGGCAGGCAGATCACCTGAGGTCAGGAGTTCGAGACCAACCTGGCCAACATGGTGAAAACTGTCTCTACTAAAAATACAAAAATTAGCTAGGTATGGTGGTGGGCGCTTGTAATCCCAGCTACTTGGGAGGCTGATGCACGAGAATTAGTTGAACCCGGGAGGCAGAGGTTGCAGTGAGCTGAGATCACACCATTGCATTCCAGCCTAGGTGACAGAGCAAGAGTCTGTCAGAAAGAAAAAAAAAAAATCTATCAGAAATTCCATGTAGAATTGTTTCTTTTTTAAACACAGAGTTTGAACAACTGACTCTTCATGGACACAACTTTCCTTCTCTCGTCTGTGTGATAACAGGTACCGCCTGGGACCCTGGGTGTCTGTTTCGTTGGGGGATGGCAGAGGGGGAGGGGCACGCAGCCTTTACCCTGTGCTTCCCACGATCTTGTCTCCTTAATCCTCACTGCAGCTCTCTGCCATAGGGTCTTATACTGCTTGACATGTGGGAAACTGAGGCTCAGAGGGTTTCACAGCAGGGCAGGGAGCCCAGATTTGAATCTGTAGATACCAAGCTTTCTACTTTTTCAGTAGTTTCCAAGCATCTTTTTTTTTGTTGTTACGTCATTGGTGTCTTTTTTTTTTTTTTTTTGAGACAAAGTCTCTGTCGCCCAGGCTGGGGTGCAGTGGTGCGATCTCAGCTCACTGCAACCTCCGCATCTCACATTCAAGCAATTCTCATGCCTCAGCCTCCCGAGTAGCTGGGACTACAGTTGCCCACCACATCCAGCTTATTTTTGTATTTTTAGTAGAAACAGGTTTTCACCATGTTGGCCAGGCTGGTCTTGAACTCCTGACCTCAGGTTATCCACCCGCCTTGGCCTCCCAATATGCTGGAATTTTAGATATGAACCACTGTGCCCGGCCATGTCATTGGTGCCTTAACCAAGCCTTTTTTAATTTTTCAAACGGAAGAGCCCCTGTCCCACAGTTACTGCTGCTGAGCCCTTTCAAGATGACTCAGTGAAGAGGGAGAAAAGTGGAAGCGGTGTGGGAAGAAGCGGGGTCTGGGCCAGCTGCTGGTCCTGCTCTCCTCCCTCCTCTGGCCTCTAGGCTTCCAGGAGTGGTTCGGAATCCGCGCCATGTGCTCTGGGGGCTGTGGCAGGGCAGGGGCAGCTTGGAACCTGCGCCATGTGCTCTGAGGGCTGTGCCAGGGCAGGGAGATTCCTCGTGTACCCTGCGCACAACACGGACAGAAGGCTGGGTCCACCCAGTGGGCGGTCGGGTGCCAGGCTAGTGCTTACCCCGCCTTGTTTGCAGCCCGAGGCCAGCTGGTTGCAGGTGCAGGGCTATGTGTCAGGGGTCAGGGTGCACACACCCCTGCAGGTCTCGGGGCTCCTGGGTTGCTCCTGGAAGGGCCCAGATAGGGCCTGACTGGAGCTGCTGAGGGGTGGAGCTTCTGGGAAAGGGATCCCTCCTAGCGGGGAGTGTCTTGGGCCTGGGGCCATGTGGCAGGGACAGAGACGGGTCCATGGCAGTGTCTGCTCTTCTCTGTGAAGGCAAAGGGCCTCTGAGGGAGTATTACAGCCGCCTCATCTACCAGAAGCATTTCCAGCACATCCAGGTCTGCACCCCCTGGCTGGAGGGCCGAGGACTACCCCCGCTTCTAGGTGAGAGGCCAGCAGGAGGCTCAGGGAGGAGGCGGGGCCTTAAGCAGGGGGAGCAGGGGTGGGCGGGATGTACATTTTCTGAAAAGGTGGCTCTGGAGGCCACTTGCGGACAGGACCTGGGCTCTGGCTGAACTCCCGGGTGGAGGGTACTTCCTGGTATGCCAGCCCCTCCCTGCCAGGTGGCCCCAGAGGCCCTTTACCAAGGGGTTTGAGGAGGCCACGTCCTTTCAGTCGGCCACGCCCTCCATTCAGTCCTCTTCCTTCCTGCAGGAGGGCTGTGCCTGGGGTTGGGGCCACTGTTGCCCAGGTGTGGGAGGGCAGTGGCTTTGGGAGGTACAGGGACGATGTGTCAAACAGCATCGCCTCTCCCAGTGAGATGGTTCTCCTTTGCCTCCGTCTCTTTCCCCGTTGATTTCTCCAAGTGGGGAGTCGTGGCTTGGTCCTGATGGGTCTCTAGAGCCGCATCTTCCAGCTTCGAGTGAGCAGAGCAGTTGGAGGCTGAGGGCCTTTTCCTGGCAGGATTCTCCAGCTAGTCTTTGTTTTAGATAGTCTTGTTCCGTTGCCTAGGCTGGAGTGCATGATCTCAGTTCATGCAAACTCCGCCTCCTGAGTTCAAGCGATTCTTCCACTTCAGCCTCCCAAGTAGATTACAGGATTACAGGAGCCCGCCACAACACCTGGCTTATTTTTGTATTTTTAGTAGTGACAGGGTTTCACCATGTTGGCCAGGCTGGTCTTGAACTCCTGACCTCAAGTGATCCTCTTGCCTTGGCCTCTCTAAGTGCTGGGATTCCAGGCATGACCCATCATGTCTGGCCCCAGCTAGTCTTTAGAAATGTTAAGCTATTTGGCTTTATTTTCACACTGACAGCTGGTTTGTGGTGGGTGTGCTGTGGTTTATTATTATTATTATTATTATTATTATTATTATTTTGAGATGTAGTTTCGCTCTTGTAGCCCAGGCTGGAGTGCAATGGCGCGATCTTGGCTCACTGCAACCTCTGCCTTTCCGGGTTCAAGCGATTCTCCTGCCTCAGCCTCCTGAGTAGCTGGGATTACAGGTACCTGCCATGACGCTTCGCTAATTTTGTATTTTTTTTAGTAGAGATGGTGTTTCACTATGTTGGCCAGGCTGGTCTTGAACTCCTGACCTCAGGTGATCCACCCACCTTGGCCTCCCAAAATGCTGGGATTACAGGCGGGAGGTGAACCTGGGAGGTGGAGGTTGCAGTGAGCTGAGATTGTGCCACTGCACTCCAGCCTGGGTGACAGAGTGAGACTCTGTTTCAAAACAAAACAAAACAAAACAACAACAACAACAAAAGACAAATTGTGGTTATGTATAAGAAGTGTCAGCTTACATTTTCAGATGTCCCAGCCAGGCCGTGTGGCTGCTTGGCCAGCTTAAGCCACTTGTGCTTGGGGCTGTCGGGGGCTTTATCCAATTCTCACTCCCCTCGGGGGATGTTGTCTCACTGTGCTGGGAGGATTTGTGTTCCCAGGGCACAGACCAGCGCTCTGACCCACCCCTCTTGCCTAGCAGGGTCGGCGGACCTGGGTGTCTGTCTGCACACGTCCTCCAGTGGCCTGGACCTGCCCATGAAGGTGGTGGACATGTTCAGGAGCTGTTTGCCTGCGTGTGCCGTGAACTTCAAGTGGTAGGAGCAGAACCCGAATCTTTCTGGGGATAGCTTCACAGATCCACCGCTGAGGGGGAAGCAGTGCAGAGTGAGCTGCTCACAGTGAGGCCCTGCCCCTCGGTCAGTCTAGCACACACTGGAGGCCATGAGGAGGAGCCCTGCGGTTACTGTGCCTGGGCTGAGCCTCACTGAAGTAGTTGCTTCCATTTAGAACTCATGTTATATTTAGGTTGGTAGAAAAGTAATCACCATTTTTCCATTAAAAATGGCAATTACTCTTTCACCAACCTAATATAAAAAAAAAGCACCTTAAATACTAGAACTCCACTCGGGGCTTTTGCTCCTAGAGTAGAATTGGCAGGAATTGCCTGCAGGCTTACATGGTTTTCTTTGTTTTTCTCTCCCACCATGTCCCTTTTGGTCAACCTCACGTGCTGGGTTTGAATCAGTTAAATGAGTGTCATGCTGTGGCCTCACTTCACCCAGCATAGACAAGTGTTTGGAAGGGTGGCGTTAGAGGAGATTCTAGAAGCAGTAGCCCCAGCACAAGTTGAGCCCTTGGCCCCTGCTCAGGAGACGGCCTCTGGATGGGATTCAGGGATGCGAGCCCCTCATGTGAGCTGAGCTCAGGGAATGTCGGGATCAAATCTGGTGTCCTAGAAAAGTCATCTTTTATGTGCTGAACCAGTCCCCAGGGGGTTGCATTTACTTGTTCCATGGCCATGGAATTTAGAAAAACATGCAAAAATAATTCTTCAGTCCTTGAAGAGCATCCAGCACAGAAGGTACAAACCCTCCTTAAGGCTCCCTCCTCAAATCGGTTTGGCCATTTTGATGTGCACCCCCGCCAGGCCTTTATACCCTTCAGATGCCAAATCTAAGAACCAGCTCCCAGAAACCACACCCCCTGTTCCAACCCCCAGCCTGGCTTGAGCGTGGGGTGGGTGGGAGCCCAGCTGGGCACCCCAGGGGTCTGGTGTCTTCTCCAGGAAGCTCTCGGGTTCCCTTGGTTCTCTCTGCAGTTTACATGAGCTGGTGAAACATGAAGAAAATGGCCTGGTCTTTGAGGACTCAGAGGAACTGGCAGCTCAGCTGCAGGTAGCCATGTCTGCCACCACGCCAGGGTGGGCAGGGTTCTGGAGACTGGCACCGAGCCACACTCCCTGATCCCTGCTTCCCACAGCCAGGGTGGGACCATGGGGGGTCTGGTGGAAAAGCTAGGGAGGGAGCAGAAGTCACAGAGGCTGGCCTACTCTGCTGTCCTGTTTCAGTACAGTAGGCTCGGGAAAGTTAGGACACAACGCCACCTGCCCTCTGGATTTATGGAGCTGACACGCCACAAATGATGCTGGATCCAGGTGGGCCAGGCTGCAGTTTAGGAAGTGATCAGGATCAGGTAGGTGCATGGGCTAAGGGAACTTCTGGGACCAGCCTTGAAAGATGGGTGGAATTCTGCAAAGGTTACTTGTTTCTTATTGCAAAAAGTAATACATCATTCTTGTCAACAGAATGATTGGGAGGATTTTCAGTAAAGGTCCAGGTCAGAAGTCATTTAGACTGGGTCCCCCAGTCTCTGTCAGAACCATGGTACTCTGTTGTGGTGTGAAAGTAGCCACAGATCATCTGTAGATTAAGGGGTGTGGCTTTCTTCCAATAAAGCTTTATTTACAAACACAGGCTGTGGGCTGGATTTGGCCTGCAGGCTGTAGTTTGTGATCCTTGATTCAGAGAGTTTAGCAAGGCTGAAAAGAACACCCACTCCCCCTTGTTACCCACAGATGGGTGGGACTGTGTTGGCCAGAGGCCGAGAGGAGGGTGCTCACAGGGGAACGTACAGCATGTAGAGGCCGGAAGGTGCTCCAGGGCACCAAGTGTGGGAAAGTGGGACATACGGGGAAGTTTCCAGAAAGCATGATGTCAAGTGGGAGGCGGAGCGCTGCTGGGGTGTGAAGGGTCTCAAGTCCAAGTGAGGGAGTTAGGGACTTGGGAGGGGTTGTTGTTGGGTCGGGGACCTGGGGTCAGCCAGGTGGTGACCTGGGATGGGGTGGGGACAGGCAATGAGGTAAGCTCTGCTCTTTAGTATTTTGCAGATGCTTTTCTCAAACTTTCCTGATCCTGCAGGCAAGCTAAACCAGTTCCGGAAGAACCTGCAGGAGTCGCAGCAGCTCTGATGGGATGAGAGCTGGGTGCAGACTGTGCTCCCTTTGGTTATGGACACATAACTCCTGGGCCAGAGGCTAAAACCCCAGGGCCCCTGCTGTCCTTCCCGCAGCTTCTTGGAGTGTCAGGGCAAACCCTTTCGAGCAGCGCCTCCCAGTGGCCAGAAGCTGAAATGACGGCAGTGGTGCCACCTGGTGAATGACCCGGGAAGCTGTGGTTGGCCCTGATTTCTTCTTTGGAGTCTCTGAAACGCTTCCTGTCTTTTGTTCTTCATGCCCCGTGCCCCTGTTAGCGTATTACTGTTCTCTGACTTCCCTGTGACCTCTGCAGTACTCCTCATCCTGCATTTGGTCTCCAGGTGTCACCTTTCTGCCGTGTTCCTAACACTTTGATCCCTGTCTTGAAAAAAGCACCTGCTGCACCATAGGCTCAGGGATGTGGCAGCTGCAGTGGGCTTGGCTTTGTGAGGAACCGAGTGTGTCCAGGGATGTGACAGCTGCAGCGGGCTTGGCTTTGTGAGGAACCGAGTGTGTCCAGGGATGTGGCAGCTGCAGTGGGCTTGGCTTTCTGAGGAACCAAGTGTGTCCACATTGGGGGAACGTCATACTTGATACACACTTTTTTATCTGCACAAAGCCAGAATTTTCATGTCTGATATATGGTGATTTTCGTAAGAACCAGAACTGCTGGCAGAAAGGGGGCACCCACACGCTTAGATAGCCGATGTCTTATTAGAGGGCAGTTTGTGGTTTCTGATTTGGAATTTAACATTCTCCAAACATTCCAGTACAATGAAAGTTTTATCCGCTTTCCCATATAAAAATTCTTCCCATGAGATTGACTTGATTCTCACAATCCCGTTGGAGTCGTGTGTGAGTCCTACAGTGTGAGGTTCAGCATTGCCATCTCCAAGTGCTCTCCATAGGGAAACAGTTTCTGGTCATGATGAGCTTCCGCTTCCCATATGATCCCAGCCCGGCCTGGAAACAGAGCACGTGCTTGAGGATGGCGGTGTTTGGGGACAGGACGTGAGCGTTTTGTGTGGGGCTGCTAGGACAGGCCTGGTGGGGTAGGGGGTGTCTAAGTCAGTTTACTTGTTTCACAGGTTCCCAGGCCCACCCAGGTACCTAGAATTGGCCACCAGGATGGGACTAGAAATCTGGTTTTGCATAGAAATGGCTAGCAGCAGGCACCATGCCACTGTCCACTCTCTGCCCGCGTCTGCCCCAGCACTTGGCACAGCAGGACAGAAGCAGAGATCTGAACCCACATCTACCTGGCTGCTCAGTCAACTCACTCTTCACAAAGCTTAGAAAGTGGCCGGGCACAGTGGCTTATGCCTGTAATCCCAAAACTTTGAGAGGCCTATGCGGGCGGATCACTTGTCTTCAGGAGTTCGAGACCAGCCTGGCCAACATGGTGAAACCCCATCTCTACGAAAATACAAAAATTAGCCAGGCACGATGGCGGGTGCCTGTAATCCCAGCTACTTGGGAGGCTGAGGCGGGAGAACTGCTTCAACCCAGGAGGCGGAGGTTGCAGTGAGCCGAGATTGTGCCACTGCACTCCAGCCTGAGTGACAGAGTGAGACTCCATCTCAAAACACACACACACACACACACACACACACACACACACACACACACAGCTTAGAAGGGGCTGGTGTTCTCATAAGCACAGATGTCTGAACAGCCATTAGCCAGGATGATTCTTTTTTTTTTTTTTTTTTTTTTTGCGATACGATGTTGTTCTGTCACCCAGACTGGAGTGCAGCGGCACAGTCATTGCTCACTAAAGCCTCGACTCCTGGGCTCTAGCAATCCTCCCACTTCCTGAGTAGCTGGGATGACAGATGCATGCCACCATGCCAGTAATTTTTTTATTTTGTAGAGATGGGGTCCTGAACGCATGGCCTCAATCGATGCTCCTTCCTCAGCCTCTTTTATTATTATTTTTTAGATGGAGTTTTACTCTGTTCCCCAGGCTGGAGTGCAGTGGTGCAATCTCAGCTCACTGCAACGCCTCCCAGGTTCAAGTGATTCTCCTGCCTCAGCCTCCCGAGTAGCTGGTATTATAGGCGTGCACCACCACGCCTGGCTAATTTTTGTGTTTTTAGTAGAGATAGGGTTTCACTGTGTTGGCCAGGCTGGTCTTGAACTCTTGACCTCAGGTGATCTGCTCACCTCAGCCTCCCAAAGCCTCAGCCTCTTACAGTGTTGGGATTACAGGCATGAGACACTGTGACCCGGGATGATTTTCAGTCACTTTTTTTGTTACAAGTGGAAAATGCGTATTCATAAAAATGACGTAGTACAGATATGAACGTGTAGAAATCTCTATAATCCTGCCATCCAAGGATGGCACCTGTTAACGTGTATATCAGGGATGTCCAATCTTTTGGCCTCCCTGCGCCACATTGGAAGAAGAAGAATCGCCTTGGGCCACACATAAAATACACTAAAGCTAGAATAGCTGTTGAGCTCAAAGAAAAAAAAAAAATCACAAAAAAACCTCATATTGTTTTAAGAAAGTTTACAGATTTGTGTTGGGCCACAGGTTGGACAAGCCTGCTATATAGATGTTCTAGGTTTTCCCCTATAGGTATACTTATGTGAAAATGATTATTGTGATAAATTTTTTTTGAGATGAAGTCTTGCTATGTTGCTCAAGGTGGCCACAAACTCCTGGGCTTAAGCCATCCTCCCACCTCAGCCTCTTGAGTAGTTGGAATATAGGTACTCATAACCATGTGTGGGTGATTATTATTAGTTTTTAAACAAAACTGGGGCTGGGCGCAGTAGCTCACGCCCGTATTCCTAACACTTTGGGAGGCTGAGACAGCAGATCACTTGAGGTCAGGAGTTCAAGATCAGCCTGGCCAACATGGCGAAACCTCAACTCTACAAACAATACAAAAATTAGCCAGGCGTGGTAGCACGCACCTGTAGTCCCAGCTATTCAGGAGGCTGAGATGGGAGGATAGCTTGAACCTGGGAGGTAGGAGGTTGCAGTGGGCCGAGATGGCACCACTGCACTCCAGCCTGGGCAATACAAAGCCAGACTCTGTCTCAAAAAGAAAAAAAAAAAAAAAAGGTGGGCGGGGGCTTATACTATGTGTGCTGCTTGGCACTGTTGTTTTTATTTAAAAGATATTGCAGGTTTTTTTTCACGTAAGTATCTGAAGAAAGACTTCCTTTTTTTTTTTTTTTTTTTGGTTTTTTGCTTTTTTGAGATAGGGTCTTGCTCTGTTGCCCACGCTGGAGTGCAGTGGTGAGATCAGGGCTCACTGCAGCCTCCACCTCGTGGGCTCAAGCCATCCTCCCACCTCAGCCTCCTGAGTAGCTGGGACTACAGGTGTGTGCAACCACATCTGGCTAGTTTCTGTATGTTTTGTGAAGACAGGGTCCCACTATGTGGCCCAGGTTTTTCTTGAACAACTGGGGTCAAGTAGTCCTCCTTTCTTAGCCTCCTAAAGTGCCGGGATGACAGGCCTGAGCCCCGCGCCCGGCCAGCCTCCTGTGCGAGGTTGTGCGGGACTCTGTCGTGGAACCCAGTATGCCTTCATGTGCTGGCTTGTTTGTTGGCTCTGTAGTTAACGGGCTGCCCCACGTGGACAGGCACTGGGTTGTCTGTGTCTCTGTGTGCAGGCAGAGGCTGCTGCGGGTGCATCTGTGCACATGGCTGCCAGGAGGGGCTGTGCTCAGGGGGAGCTGGGGCAGAGGCTGGTGGCATTGGGAGGCTTGGGTGTAGTGTGGAGGCACGAGAGCCTGGTGGCCGGGCTGCAGTCTGCAGGAGCTCGAGGGTCGCTTGGCCTCTGTGTGTCCTAATGTCTTTGTCGGTGAGATGGGACAATGACAGCACACCCTCACAGGTGCTGGGGGCTGACAAACGTCAGGTCTGAGGACAGTGGTTGGCCCACTGAGAAGTTCCCCTTCTCTATAGTCACCCTGCTCGTCTTCCATCAACTGGGTGCTCAGGACAGTGGTGTGGTGGATCAGCCTGTACAGCCTGTGCTCCAGCGTCCTGCAGGCCACAGCTGTGTCCAGCCATGACCCCGACTGCCCCTCCCACCACCTCCATTTTATAGATGAAACCAAGGCCCAAGGGCTTAGGGAACCCTGCTCTGAAGCACATAGTAGGGCTGCTGGGCTCAGACCCTCCCTCCCTCTGCTGAGCCGCCCTCCTCCTGCCGCAAGCCCCCCACACCCCAAGCCCACCCTGCTCGCCGGCCTCTGCCTGAGTTCCCCGCATGATGTGGGAGTGTGGGGCATCCTAGCTTTTCCCCGGCGCCCAGTTCTTTCACTTCCACTGGAGTCCCGCAGGGACAGCTCGGGGACCATGCAGGCCCAGGTGGGCGTGGGGGCTCACCTAGCTCGGTGGTGAACAGCTGGCACGTCTCTGGGTTGTGGACGGTAAAGGCCACGTAGACCTCAGGAGACTGCTGGTGCTCCCAGCAGGCAGCCAGCCTCCGCAGGATCCCGACCAGCGACACGATGGCTTCTGGGCAATACAGCACGTCTACGGTGAAAGCTTCAGGTTACTGAAAGGGATAAGTGGAAAGTTCCAGTTCATACTGACCTCAGCAGCAGGGCGAGGCCAGAGAGGCAGCGGTCATATGAGACTATTAGATGCCATTTGACCATTTGGGCCATTAGATGGAAAGGCAATTACTTGGGTGAAAAAGGAGAACCCTTAGTAGAGAAAGCTGCAAAAGA
This sequence comes from Homo sapiens, assembly GCF_000001405.40. Lineage (NCBI taxonomy): Eukaryota > Metazoa > Chordata > Mammalia > Primates > Hominidae > Homo > Homo sapiens. The sequence continues at coordinate 75,426,797 of NC_000003.12, forward strand.
CCGAAGCAAAAGAAAAAAATCTCCAGACTCACTGGTGTTCCTTAAAAAACCAGCTCTGGTTCTCGGCCTATCTAGAGGGCTTTGAATGACAGAAAGCCTGACCCTGCCGTGAACTTCGTGTTTCAGGTGTCTGCCAATTGGTCTGCTGGCTTGAGGGGGTGGGCCTGTGTCCCTGGCCACCGCTGGACCTGTGGGTTTCAGGGCTGGAACCCAGGACCACAGGCAGAGCTCTGTTCCACCAGAGAGGGGACTGAGTGTGCTGGCAGGGGTGAGGGGTTTTCGGTGGCCCAGCCAAACACCACCTTCTCTCAAGGGCCCTGTCCTCATCTCAGAAGTGGTTGTTTTCCTCCTGTGGTCTCTGAAGGACACAGGGCATGGCTCTGGGACAGAGCCATGTGGTGATGACTGAAACGGGAGTATGCCTGTATCCAACAAGAGGTCTGTGGCTTGAAGGTCACCTTAAGAGGCACCCCTGTCCTTTGATGTCACCCTGGAGGCCCAGAGTACCTCTTCTGGAAGCCCCATCATGTCCATTCCCGACAGCGTCCATTGTTCCCTTTTCCCAGAGCCAAGGGCTGGGTAGAGCTGCATGGACACCACCTGCACAGGATGCCTGGGGCTGGCCATTACCTGCTGCAATGACAACATCTGGCTGGAAGGCAGAGAGCTGATGGACCGTCGCTACGTCCCAGTCCAGCTGGGCCACTGTCACCCTGGGGCTGTCTAAGTTGGCAGTGATGTCTGCCTCTAATGAGAGGCCATTGAGAAGGACATTCCCTCGGAGCTGCTCGAGGACCCGGCTGTGACAGTCACTGAAGATGAATGCCCGGGGGCGGTACATCTTGCAGATGGCCAGGCCTGTGAGGCCGGCACCACTGCCAAGCTCTAGGACAGTCCTGGTGGGAGGAAAGGGGACCGTGTCTTCAACTGCACCAGGGTAAGCCTGCCTCAGTGCCCTGCCCTGTGCCACAAGGTCACCTGTTAGTGAAGGCTGCTGGGTTCTCGATGGCCCATTCTGCAAGGTAGAGGGTGGCATCCCATGTGACCAGGCCTGTGGTACCATGGGAGATGATGGCTGTGCTCTCGGAGAGTGTGACTGAGCCTCCCGAGGGCTGCACCAAGAGAGGGCGAGAGAGTAAGTCCAGCGATCAGAAGGCAAGTGGCTTAGAAGACAAGTAGCCATCCACCATATGTCTGAATAAACCATGACAGGACCAATCGCCACTCAGCAATGAGAAGCAGCTAACTGTTGACATACCAACAGCTTGCACAGACCTCAAGGGTGTCACATAGCATGAAAGACACTCAGGCCACACTGGAGTCCATTCATCGAACATTGCTGAGACAACAGAATTCTGGTGATGGAGCACAGGTCAGTGGTGGCCAGGGGCCAGGTGTGGCTATGAAGGGATGGCTGCCTTGTGATGATTCAATATGCTATGTTTTTCCTTTGTGGTTTTCTGTATCTATGTTTTATTTTTTTTTTTTTTGAGCTCTGTCACCCGGGCTGGAGTCAGTGGCACGATCTTGGCTCACTGCAACCTCTGCCTCCTGGGTTCAAGCAATTCTCCTGCCTCAGCCGCCCAAGTAGCTGTGACTACAGTTGTGTGCCACCATGTCCGGCTAATTTTTGTACTTTTTTTTGAGACAGAGATTCGCTCTCGTTGCCGAGGCCGGAGTGCAATAGCACGATCTCAGCTCACTACAACCTCCACCTCCCAGGTTCAAGAGATTCTCCTGCCTCAGCCTCCTGAGCAGCTGGGATTACAGGCGCCCAGTACCACACCCCACTAATTTTTGTATTTTTAGTAAAGATGGAGTTTCACCATGTTGGCCAAGCTGGTCTCAAACTCCTGACTTCAGGTGATCCCCCTGCCTCAGCCTCCCTATGTGCTGGGATTATAGGCATGAGCCACCACGCCTGGCCTAATTTTTGTATTTTTAGTAGAGATAGGGTTTCACCATATTGGCCAGGCTGGTCTCGAACTCCTGACCTCAGATCCACCCGCCTTGGCCTCCCAAAGTGCTGGGATTACAGGCATGAGCCACCATGTCCAGCCCTGTCAAGTATTCTTTGAGGACTGGGCACCAGGTCCTTGTGAAGCAGGTAGTGTGTGTCACCTATTGGACAAATGCCCAACAACCCCACGAGACATGCTGTTGTTGTTGAAGTGCTTGATTTACAGACAGGGAAACTGAGGCTAAAGAAGGTTAATGGACTTCATGTCTAAGACTGCAGAATGGGTGAGTCAGAATTTGAACCCACACCCACATTTTCACTTTGTCTGTGCAGGAAGTGTATCTGGGCTGTGAGGGGGAGGAGGGTGCCCTTCTCATACCAGCAAATAACTCCGGTGGCCCTGGGTGGACTCCTTGGCCATCAGGGTCTCTGCCAGTGCCTCATACAGCTCGTCCAAAGCCTCCATGTGGACAGCCTCGTGCTGGGGGCAGACAGAGTGAGAGCTTGTTTGCTTTTGTTCTAATCTGTAAAAATGGCCAGATGATTTTCACCAAGTTTGGAGGGGAGATTTGGGATGGAATGGTGTAACACCGGCCAGCTGGCATATAAAATATTCACTTCGTTGGGCATGGTGGTGTGTGCCGAATAGTTCCAGCTACTCTAGAGGCTGACATGGGAGGACTGCTTGAGCCCAGGAGTTCCAGGACAGCCTGGGCAACAGAGATCTTGTCTCTAAAAAAAAATAATTCCACTTGGTAGGGAAACATGAACGGGAGGGCCTTCAACAAGAGGTGTTGAGAGGGTAGGGTTAGATGTAGTCTAGGGCAGGAGACAAGGATTCCGTGAGAGCTGCCACCTGACCACGACAGAGAGCTCTGTGTTTGGATCAAACACAGAGAGGAGGAAAACAAAAGGTGCTTTTAAGTGAGCCCAGACAGAACTGTGAGGGCGGCCCATGCTGCAGGCTGTGGCTGTCAGCAGGCTGCTTCTCCACAGCTGGCCCCGTCCTATGATTCATAGGGCAGCAGAAGGGTACACTAGGTGACTGCTGCCCTCTCCTGGTGGCACAGGGCAGAACTGCTGGTGACCACAGATGCACCCTTTTGGGGAGGACTAGGGAGAAAGCAGGTATTGGAGAAGCAGGGGATTGTTTATTTGCTAAAAGTGTGGCCCTTTCATTCAGCAAGTCTGCTTCTGCCTACTGAGGAATGGCCTCTCGACATCCCCATGTCAAACCCTGCATATTCAGGCCCATCTTTAAAATCCATCCTAGGCCAGGTGAGGTGGCTCATGCCTGTAATCCCAGCATTTTGGGAGGCCAAGGCAGGCGGATCACCTGAGGTCAGGAGTCCGAGACCAGCCTGGCCAACATGGTGAAACTCTGTCTCTACTAAAAATACAAAAATTAGCCGGGCATGGTGGCGTGTGCCTGTAGTCCCAGCTTCTTAGAAGGCTAGACATGAGCATTGCTTGAACCCAGGAGGCAGAGGTTTCAGGGAGCTGAGATTGTGCCACGGTAATCCAGCCTGGGCAACACAGTGAGACTGTTTCAAAAAAGTAAATAAATAAGTAAAAAATAAAATCCATCCTATATCAGTCAGGAAAGAGCTCATTCCAGCAGGATCAAAGCAGAGAATTCACCAGAGGAACTAGTTCCAAAGGTATGGCAAGAGCTAAATCTTCCAAAAGGGGCCCGTGGGGCAACCCAGAGACGGACAAGAGCAGGAAACTCCAAACCCTTCAGCGGGCAGGACAGAGGGTGTGGGTGAGGGTTCCAGTGCTGTGGGCTGGACCAGCCTGGTAGGAATGAGAATTCATATGCTAGGAGCTGGCGCCCCAGAGAAGCAGCTGCTGTGGAAACCCCAGGAGGCAGAGTGAGGGAGAGACGCTGGCCTCCCCTTCTTCCTGCCCTGCACTGTCTCCCATGGGTCACACTCAGATGCAGCCAGTTGCCTGGGGAGGCCCCTGCCATGCTGGGGTTTGCAAAGAAGGCCCAGGGCCTGGGAAGGATGGGGTCTCCAGCACGCAGGTGGCTATGCTGTCCGGCTACTGGGCGGACACTGCCCATAACTGACCTTTTTGATGAGTTCTGAGAGAAAGCACCGGGCTTTCTTGACTGACGGCGGGTGCTTCACACACACACAGGATGCTTCACAGTCTACGGCAAAGGACAGAACGTTGGTTGCTCGAGAGCCCATCTTAAGTCTCCTATGAGCTTCAAGCCAACACAGCAGAGGGCAAACTCCAGGCTACCCGATCCCTCAGCAAAGATGTACATGGACACGGCGTTCTGGCCCCACGCATCTGAAGTTTGTCTTAAGATATAAGCCGTTTTCTAAAGATGCTTCCACTGCAGTGGCACAGGCTATGGCAGCATTTCTAATGCCCATTCTGAGCAGGAACACAGGGCATGTGGGCCCAAACCACCTCCCTCCCAGGGGAGCCAGTGTGAACCAGGGTTTGCTGTAAGGACAGTCGCCAACTGTCTGGCTTTATGGAAGAGGCGGGAAGGCCCACTCAGCAACTGCTCTCTTGGAGCGTGTGTCCCTGGGGACAGGATGGAGGGGAGGGAACGCTCAGGGTGACACTCCCACTAAAGCCGAGAGAAGCCAAGTGCAGGATGAGCAAGTTCCAGGCAGTGGGAACAGCCTGTGCAAGCTCTGAGGTGGGCACGGGCTGGCCCTTGGAAAGGAGGGCAGAGGGACTGGTGTAGCAGGAGTGGGGATGGTGGGAAATCAGGAGCCTGGAGGGAGAGGGAGGAGACAGTCCGCAGCTCCTGCTGGCTGGGTGGGATGCAGATTCTGCCCAAGGGCAGCAAAGTACCCCACACAATACACTGGCTCTTCATGCTGGTGTTGGTTTTTCATTTTTTCTGACACAGAGTCTCGCTCTGTTGCCCAGGCTGGAGTGCAGTGGCCCGATCTTGGCTCACCGCAGCCTCCGCCTCCTGGGTTCAGCGATTCTCCTGCCTCAGCCTCCCGAGTAGCTGGGACTATAGGCGTGCACCACCACGCCCAGCTAATTTTTTTATTTTTAGTAGAGATGGGTTTTTACCATGTTGGCTAGGCTGGTGTTGAACTCCTGACCTTAGGTGATCCGTCCACCTCAGCCTCCCAGAGTCCTGGGATTACAGGTGTGAGCCAGTGCACCCAGCCTTGTGCTGGGTTTTAAAGCAGCTCTCCCAACATTTCATGCTTCACCACCTATGAGAGTGAGGCTTAGGGTGAAACTCAGAGCAGGGTGTGAGATAACTTCAGGTATCTCCATGATCGAAGCCCTGACCTACTGTATTGCCCCGAAAGTCTTCCCTGCTGTGTCTGCATCTTTTCCATGTGGATAATCTTGGTTCACCTCTAGCACAGGAATTCTTCACCGGGGCTCCTAGGATGGGCTGGGTGGGTGGGGGTGGAGGATGTCTGTCTCCCCTGAGTTTGTATGGAAAACATATTCTTCTGGTGTACTTCTTTCTGGGAGGGAGTCTATTGCTTTGTCTTTTCAGAAGGGCTCATGGCCCTTCGAAGGTGAAGACCCAGGATGCAGGGTGATCTGCACTTGGCCCTCAAGGCCAAGGTCAGCCTCTAGCTGGGCCGGGTGGTGATCCTGGCTCTCACCTGCATGCAGATGCACTTGAGTCCAAACCCCACCCTGGGCAAAGCAAGGGCCCATTTAGGTCTAGAAGAGACAGGAGTGGGCAGGACAGGCCTCATGAATGCAAAAAAGAAAGTCTCTGAGCATCTACCAAATGCTAGAAGCTGTTTTGTACCTGTCATCTCTGTTTTTGCTGTGGATGGTTTAAAAAACATTCGCTAGATTTCACCCCTCTTGCAGATTTTTGTATATTCTGATGTCTTTGTCTAAGTCTTAGATAGACAACGAAAGTGCAGGAGCTGTCGGAGGTGCTGACACCCACCTGCAGTGCTGACTCAATGGTTTTGTTCTTTGAACAGGGGTGTTTTTAAAGGGTATAAGCACACCTATGGTTCTTCTCTCAGGTCTTCCGGAGAGATTCAGGAGGCAGGGTCATGAGTCCCAGGGACTCTGGGATTCTTACCTTCTGCAAAATATCCCGCAGCAGCTCAGAATCTGATGAGTCTCTTAACTTTGCTTCTAAGCTCTGTGTGGACGGGAGAGAGAGAAATCTCAAGGGCGCATTCACAGGAACATTAAAACACGCAATAGAATGTGTTGGCAAAGCGCTATGTGATCCCTCCCTGGGGACGTGGAGCCAGTTGGAAGTGGAAGCCACAGTGGCTGAAAGCCTGACCTTCAGATGTCGCTGGGTGCAATTGGATGAGTCACAGGAAGAAGACTGACTCTTGGCCGCATTAGTCATGGCTACTTAGCGGCCACCCGGGTCATGGGCCAGCTCCCTGGTTGCACTGGTCAGCCAGGAATTACCAGGGCAGCCATGGCAACAAGGTTTGATGGGCTTGCCATCTGAGTTTAAGTAGAAATGCAGAATGTGCTCATACCAGCCTGGGTTACATTGTCCTCTTACAGGGGCCTCAAGCCCAGCAGCAAGCTTTGGCTCCTGAGTTAGGCAAACTGTCTCGGCTGGTATGTGACCCACGGCAAGGCACTTCATTGCTTCAGAGCTCCTTCCATGCCATAAAAGGCCCTACAAGACCTGGTCCTAATCCCTCTCTCTGGCCTGTTCTCCCTCACCCCTGGCCCACCCTGCTCACTCCACTCCAGCCACACTGGCTGCCTTGCTGTTTTTCCTCAACCATAGCTGGCTTGTTTCCACCACAGGGCCTTTGCATATCCTGTTCCCCAAGCCCTTCCCATGGCTGGCTGCCTCACCACTCAGGCCCCAGTTCAAATACCACCTCTTTGGGGAAGGCTTCCCTGATTCCCCGACCTTGGTGACTCTTCTCCCCAGTTGCTCCATTCACCATTTCCCTGTTTTATTGGCTTTAAAGCCACTCTCATCTGGTCTTTTCTTGTTTATTCATTTATTTGTTTATTCTCTGGCTCTCCCATGCAAGCAGAGCCTCATCTATCATGGGTACTGCTGATCCATGGTGCCTGGCTCATGGAAGGCATTTATTAAACATTTTGTGACTGAATAAAAACACCAGCTAACACCGACATGCATTTACCATGAGCCAGGCACTGATCCACAGGCTTTTGTACTCAACGCTGACAACAACCCTAAGAGGTAGGTATCATTATATCCCCCATTTTATTAATAAGAAAACAATAGCACAGAGAGATGCAGTCACTTGCCCAAGGTCACACAGGGCCAGGGGTTGGGCCAGGATTCGAAGCAGGCAGGCTGTCTCCTGGGTCTGAACTCTCAACTACTTCACCCTAATCAAACAATCTCTCTGGTCAAAAGTGAGTGATAATAATAGTACCCACCTCGTCAGTGTTGAGGGTGAGCCGAAGTTAGCATTCAGTGTGGGCATGTGAACAACTATAGTCAATATTGAATGGAGACCTATGATGCTTTTATGAAGGTTTCTATTTTGGGTTAAAAATGCACAAATTTCTCCTGACTAAAATTGATCTCTGAGTGCTAAATATTTTATGTCAATGGAATAACGCAAATGATTAAGCAACACCCCATAAAATGGGGCAGACCCAGGGAGGAATATATATCCGAACTGACTCATCCCAGTGAGCTCACTGCACATGAATTACAAATGGAGAGGGGTGCATTAAGCCCCTCTGCTGGCAGAAGGGAGGCTGCTGCCTGCCAGGCGCCTGTGCTGAGAATGGCAGGTCCCCAGGGAGAGGAGAGGCCACCCCCTTCTCTGTCTCTTCCATCACAGGCGTGAAAGCCTCAGCGCATGATCCGATTCTGTGCAGTGCTCGACATACAGATGAGAACACTGAGGCACGAGGGACAGCCTGTGACCTGGTCACCGTGCTCAGGATGAAGTGGTTACCCGCGGGCCTGAGGGCGCTGACTTTTTAGAATGGGCGAGGGCAGCTGTGTCCCAGTGACCAGAACGATTACTACCTTTAAAAAGTCGTGAAAATGATCGTGAACTGTACCCCACACCGAGCACGCGTCTGCCCCCCCAAGGCGGTGGAGACGCCCTCATCTTCCGCCGCCAGCTCGCGGGGCAGGAGGGGTGCGAGCGACTCTGGCCAGGCCCCAGGGACGGGGACCGGGTCTCGCGGCCCTGACCGGGGAGAGCCCAGGAACTCACGTGGCAGGAGCGCCGGGGGTTTCAGCACGGAGACCCATCCCGTCTGCCCCTGGACTCCCGCGAGCCCCGCGGGCCTCTCCGCTCGCCCGCCGCCCCCCTGCCAGGGGAAGGAGCGCAGCGTGCGCGCCGCCAGGAAGCGGCGCTCGAAACTCTGCAGCAAGAGTTCGGTCCCCGCATTCTCCTCGGGCGCCATGACGTGGGCGGGGCCGCAGCGTTGCCGGGAGACCGGGCGGAAGCCGGGCCTGGACTGAAGAGGGGGTGGGCCCAGGGCAGTGCGCGGCGGCAGAGAGGGGGCGGGGCCTGGGGGTAGGGTCAGGAGGAGCGTCCTGGGGGCGGGCTGTAGGGCGGGGCCAGGATGAGCGTTAGGAGGGCGAGGCCTGGGGTAGGGCCAGGATAAGCGTCGTTGGGGCAGGTCCTGGGTAGAGTCCAGGTTGGCGGGTCCTGGGGCGGAGTCAGGATAGGGCGATCCTGGAAGCTGGGCTTCAGAAGCGTCCAGGTTGGTGGCGTCCTGGAGGCGGTGCCTTGCGTGTGGGCAGGATAAGAGTCCTGGAGGCGAGCATTAGAGCGGGGATAAACGCCATTGGGTTCAGGAGGCGGGACTCAGAGCAGAGCCCAGGAGACAGGTCTTAGGGTGGGGCTAAGGCCAGACCCAGAGAAGGGCTCAGGAGGCGGGGCCGGGGCGGGGGGTTGACTATGTCGTAGCACATGGCCAGGCGGTGCGCGGACTCTGGGAGGCAGAGCTTTGGACGGGCCGACGTGGGGAGGGGCCCAGGGTCCAGGAGGCGGGGCCGAGTCCGGGCTGCCAGCTGCGCTCAGGAGGCGGGCCCTGGGAGGCGGAGCTTAGGGAGGGGCCGGTGTCGGGAGGGACCCAGGGACTGGGAGGCCGGTCGGGGCTGGGCTCAGGGGCCGAGACCTAGCTGGGCTTGGGGCGGGGCCGAGACGGAGCGAGGGATCCAGGGTGTGGGAAACGGGGAGGGGTTTGAGGAGGGGATCGGAATGTGGCTCAAGTTGGGAGGCGTTACCTGCGGAGGGTTTGAGGCACGCCCAGGAGCGAGCCCACGGTCGGCCGACGCGGGGCCAGGGGCGGGCCCCAGGATCCGGAGCTTCGGGCGGGGCCGAGTCTGGGTTTGGGGCCCGGGAGGCGGGGCCAGTTAGGGCGAGGGTCCCTGGGATCGTCGGGTCAGGCCTTGGGCTAACGTAGACACTCTCGCAGTACCTCCGCCTTCAGGAAGGTCTTTTTAGCAGGGGCCTTACAGGTGCACGCTTCGGTCCTGGAGGCCTTATCCTAACCTCTCCATCAGCGCCACCCGTCTGGGGCCCGAAAGGAGGGAGCTTTCCCTCTGTCCTCCAGCCTTTGGACTGTCTCCAAACAAGCCATTCGTTCACCAAATACTTATTAAGCACCTACCATGTGCCTGACAAGGGAGATGTAACGGTGAGAAAGACTAGGTGTGGTCTGGGCCCTCCAGAGGCTCAGGGGCTCGTGGAAGAAGTGGACATTGAAGTACTTATCACACAAATGAGTATAAAAGTACAATAGCGATATCTGCCACAAAGATGAGCAGACAGAGCTAGCGGGGCTTGCAGGAGGAGTTTTGATCTTGCAGGGACAGGAAAGAGGAGTTAGCTCCTGCGGGGTGGGATGGGGGGGTGGTGGTGATATAGACGTGGGGACAGAGTGGAAAACAACAAAAATATAATTATTTTAGTTCAAAGTTATTGTGTCTTGAGTTGAAAGGCAGGGCAGTTAGCAACACAGTTCAGATTTCAGTACTGCCCCCGAAATCTGAACTGTGTTCAAAGTCTAAAACGTTTACCTTAGCAAATTCCTCATAAAACTCCATTTGGAAGAGTCTCGAGAGCTAATTTGTTAAGTATACTTGCAAAAGGTAGATGAGGAGACAGATAAAATCTTATTACCTCTTTCAGATGAGAGGCACTTGAGCCCTGCTCAGCTATGAGAATAAGAGAGGGGAATTAATTCGAATTGAATACACTTGTTCTCTTATAGCTGTTGTTCCCCACCAGAACCAAATGAGCGCAAGATCTGACAAAGAAAAAAAAGGTTCATCTTTTATTCCCCCAAACACTTTCATTTAAATCAAGAGGATGGGATGTGGTTATTGCTGTGTTTTTAGACAGAATCAACGGTTTCTGTGTCTGAGATGTTGCATACACCCTCTCAGTCCCTCTATCCTGAGATGGAGTCACCTGAGGATCCACAGCAAGTCCTAACCAGGGATGGGTCTGGGTGATTAAGGAAGGTTGGCTTCAGAACTGGGCCAGGGGCACTGCTTTGCTTTTGCTGTTTTGATCAGCTCTCTGCCTGCAGGAGACAAGGAAAACCAATGGGAACAGGTTAGCTATACTCATAAATCTTGGGCTTATTTTATTAACTCACATAATAGCTATTAATTGTCTTTCCTCCAAGGAGCAAAAGGGCATATACGGTCAATGCCATAGTAAGTAACACTGTATTATGTTATACTAAAATATTAATAAATCTAGGTTGGTTCAGTCTTTCCTGAGTCCATAGATTGGAAGCAGATTGAGGAAGGACGCTAGTGGACCACAGAGCTGAGCCATGCACACAGAAGAAATCTTTTTTTCTTTTTTTTTTTGGAGACGGAGTTTTGCTCTCTTGTTGCCCAGGCTGGAGTGCAATGGTGCGACCTCGGCTCACTGCAACCTCCACCTCCCAGGTTCAAGCGATTCTCCTGCCTCAGCCTCCCGAGTAGCTGGGATTACAGGCATAAGCCACCCTGCCGGGACATTTTTGTATTTTCAGTAGAGACAGGGTTTGAACACGTTGGCCAGGCTGGTCTCAAATTCCTGACCTCAGGTTATCCACCTGCCTCGGCCTCCCAAAGTGCTGGGATTACAGGCGTGAGCCACCGCGCCTGGCCAGAAGAAATCTTTATCTTGGTGTGCAGTCTCTGGTGAGGGACAAATGTCATCTCTCTTGGATCTGAATCTGGAAGGATAAAGGCACTGAAGGGATTTTTTTGTTTCAGGCAGTCTCCTTCTGTTGCCAGGCTGGAGTGCAGTGGCACGATCTCAGCTCACTGCAACCTCTGTCTCCCGGGCTCAAGCGATTCTCCTGCCTCAGCCTCTCGGGTAGCTGGGACTACAGGCACGCGTCACCATGCCCAGCTAATTTTTGTATTTTTAGTAGAGACAGGGTTTTACCATGTTGGCCAGTATGGTCTCAATCTCTTGACATCATGATCCACCTGTCTTGGCCTCCCAAAGGGCTGGGATTACAGGCATGAGCCACCATTCCCGGCCTCACTGAAGGGATTTTTTTAATGTCACGTGGCTCTCACAGGTGCTGTGTGTTCGGGTGCAAGTGAAGATTACGACTGATGCTTAAAAACAAACGTAAAATTCCAGGTGGTGTTGCTATGGGGAGCAGCATTAGGACAATCTGAGTGGTTTCAGTTGCAAGAGTGTGCGTGTACGTGCAAGAACTACAGTCAAGATTCAACTTCTGGCTTTCAGGGTCTCTTTAATAATAGTAATAACAACCTAAGGCAGTTTAACAGTATGGAATGGTTGCCTTTTAGAAGTTAAGCTATGGGCATGGAAGTTTCAATCAGTACATTGAAGTTTTTCTTTTATCTCTCCTATGGTTAATGGTTTCTGTAGAAAAGGACCAGTTGATTTCTTTCTAAAACGTTGCTTCAGGGTGTAGAGACCTTTATAGGTCATGTTTCAACTTACAGAAAATTTTTATAGTTCAAATATAAATTACGTTCAATGTGGGCTTTGTAATAGAATTTAAGGTTAAGTAAAGTTTCCACTTTCCTTAGGCTGTTTGCAGTGCCCAGCAGGCCCCATGATATCGAGATGGAAGTTATGTTAAAGGAGGAGATTGGTCAGGGATGGGCAGAATAAGGAATATGGGCAGCTCAGGCTAATGATACAATGATTGAGATGTAGAAAGAAGGCCAGGCACGGGATAATGTCTGTAATCCCAGTGCCTTGGGAGGCCAAGGCAAGAGAATCGCTTGAGGTCAGACCAGCCTGGTCAAGAGAGTGAGACCTAACCTGTACAAAAAAAAAAAAAAAAAATTAGTTGGGCATGATGGTGTGCGCCTGTAGTCTCAGCCACTTGGAAGGCTGAGGTCAGGGGATCCCTTGAGCCCAGGAGTTTGAGGCTGCAGTGAGCTATAATCACATAACTGTACTCCAGCCTGGGTGACAGGGTGAGGCCCTGATTCAAAAAAAAAAAAAAAAAAAAAATGGGTCAGGGAAAAAGTTGGAAATCTTAATCCTCGGTACCCAGGAATGTGACCTTATTTGGAAATAGGGTCTTTCTAGATGTAATCAAGTAACGATGAGTCATCCTGGATTGGGGGCTGCTAGTGAGGGGGCAGATGCAATGACTGGTGTCCTTATAAAAGAAGAGAATGAGGGCCAGGCATGGTGGCTCATGCCTGTAATCTCAGCACACTTTGGGAGGGTGACGTGGGGGTATCATTTGAAGTCAGGAGTTTGAGACCAGCCTGGCCAATAATAACAATAAAAAAGCCATTTTAGATTCTAATCCACTGAAAGAAAACTGTCCCTTAGTTAATGGCATGCTTATTGGATCCATGAAGTCTTTGAAAATTTAAACGGCAAGGACACTGCTCTCTGTGGTGGTGGAGAGAATACCAAGGATTTAAAGGTCTTTAAGAAAGAGAATGTAGAAAGCGTACCCATTGGAAACAGCAAGATGATGATAATCGTACTGACAGTAATAATAAGTTCAAATATATAGAGCTTACTATGTATCATGAATTGTTCTGAATGCTTTATAAATATATGTTACCTCCCTTACCCTCATGGCAGCCCAGTAAAGGCTCCATTCCCCATTTTACAGCTGGGGAAACTGAGTTACAGAGCTTTTCTGCACTGAGTCATCAGGAGCAAATGCTAGATCAGGTAATTGAACCCAAGCAATCTGGTTCCAGAGCCAAATAGATGTATTTTTTATGGTATAAAAACATATACATACATTTTTAGGGGAAGGGTGGGGGTAGGATGGGATGAGGATTCTGGGTAATTGCTTGGTAAATGCCAAATACCTTTCTTGTCTGTCCCTGTTTTCAAATGATAAAGTAATGTCAATTGCAACTTTTTTTTTTTTTTTTTTTTTGAGACAAGGTCTAGCTGGAGTACAGTGATGCAGTCATAGCCCACTGCAGCCTCAAATTCCTGGGCTCAAGCGATCCACCCACATCAGCTTCCCAAGTAGTTGGGACTACAGGCCCACACTACTGTGCCCAGCTAATTATTTTAATTTTTGTAGAGATGGAAGGTGGCGGTGGGGGGGTGTCTCGCCATGTTGCCCAGGCTGGTCTTGAACTTTGACCTCAAGTGAACCTCCTGCCTCAGCCCCACAAAGCTCTGGAATTATAGGTGTGAGCCACTGTGGCTGGCTACAATACTATTTATTTATATTTTAGACCAAGAGATATTCTAGCATATAAGAAATGTGATGCTCTCTGTAAATTGAAGAGTTGGTCTAATATTTCTCCTGGTGGATACAGAAATTGCCTGTCTGCTCCGCTCTGGTTGAAGAAACTAGTCCGACTGTCTCTGAGGCTATGGAGCAGTCCATCGAGAATGAAAGCCCTCGGCCAGGCACGTTGGCTCACACCTGTAATATCAGCACTTTGAGAGGCCGAGGCAGGTGGATCACTTGAAGTCAGGAGTTCGACACCAGCATGGCCAACATGGTGAAACCCTGTCTCTACAAAAAATAGAAAAATTAGCTGGCCCTGGTGATGCGTGCCTGTAATCCCAGCTACTCAGGAGGCTGAGGCAGGAGAATCACTTGAACTTGGGAGGCAGAGATTGCAGTGGGGAGCTGAGATCACACCACTGCATTCCAGCCTGGGCGACCGAGCGAGAGTCTCTCAGGAAAAAAAAAAAAAAATGAATGTCCTCATGATGGCCTCAAGCACATTGGTCCCTGAAGAGAGTCAAGGAAGGCCCACTGCACTGCAAAGCAGGCAGGTGGACAGGAATCTGAGAAGTGGATTCAGTGAGAGGCATTGACCCAAAGGATTTTCTGCCTAATGGTCGGTCCAGCAGAATATTAAACTGAGCACAGCATCCTGTTCCCTGAAACCATCTGGTTGGTCAGTGGGGAATGTTCTTGTCTCGTTAAATGTCCTCATGCTACTGTCAAGATATCCTGTTACAAAACGTCATAAACCAGGTTTACAAATAGGCCAGGTGACTGTGGAATTTCTCCTTGGCAATGCCTTAGCTATGGGCGTGCGATTAGTGTGCAATAATCACAGTGTTCCGGGCCACTTGAGGGATAAAATATACCTTAGGTGATTAACTGTTGTATTTTAATGTGAATATTTCCACCAACATTAAACAGTAACTCCATGAGTTTTCTCATACCTGTTACACTCTGGAGTTGCAACAAGCTGACATGAAGCAAGTTGCAAACATAATTATCGTATTTGGCTCCTATTCACAGCAAGGGTTCTTCAAGCTGTACGTGGGGCAGTCTTCCCTCACATGAGGTTTATAGCATCATTTATTTAATTATTTATTCATTTTTTGAGACGGAGTTTCGCTCTGTCGCCCAGGCTGGAGTGCAATGGTGCGATCTTGGCTCACTGCAACCTCCGCCCCCCCGGGGTTCAAGCGATTCTCCAGTCTCAGCCTCCCGAGTAGCTGGGATTATAGGCACGCGCCACCACACCTGGCTAATTTTTGTATTTTTAGTAGAGACAGGGTTTCACCATGTTGACCGGGCTGGTCTCAAACTCCTGACTTCAGGTGATCCACCCGCCTCAGCCTCCCAAAGTGTTGGGATTACTGGTGTGAGCCACAGCTCCCGGCTATAGCATCATTTAAACTTTGTTTCTGCCATGAATTGTTAGTTGGTAGTTAACAAAAAATAGACCACCTCATTTATGTCTCACAGTTAGCATTGGTTTTTGTGTTTTCTTTAGGCTTGTTTTTTAGTTGTTTTTAAAATTGTGAAACAGGGTCTTGTTCTGTTGCTGAGGCCAGAGTGCAACAACACAGTCTTGGCTCACTGCAGCCTCAACCTCCTGGGCTCAAGCAGTCCTCCCACTTTAGCCTCCTGAGTAGCTGGGACTACAAACACGAGCCACCACCTCTGGCTAATTTTTAATTTTTAATTTTTTTTTTTTTGAAATGGAGTTTTGCTCTGTCGCCCAGCAGGTTGGAGTGCGCTGGCATAATCTCGGCTCACTGCAACCTCCACCTCTCGGTTCAAGCGATTCTTCTGCCTCAGCCTCGGCACCCACCACCAGGCCTGGCTAATTTTTAAAAAATATTTTTAATAGCGACAGGGTTTCACCATGTTGGCCAGCCTGGTCTTGAACTCCTGACCTCAAGTGATCCCCCTACCTCAGCCTCCCAAAGTGCTGGGATTACAGGCGTGAGCCACCACGCCAATCCTAATTTTTAAATTTTGTGTAGAGACCAGGTATTGCCATGTTGTCTAGGCTGGGCTTGAACTCCTGGGCTCAAGTGATCCTCCTGCCTTGGCCTCTCAAAATGCTGGCATTACAGGCATGGCCCTTATGTCTGGCCCTTAAAGCTGCTTTTTAATAACAGCTTTATTGAAAGATAATTCATATACCATACAATTTACCCATTTAAAGTGTATCATTTGGCCGGGCATGGTGGCTCACACTTGTAATCCCAGCACTTTGGGAGGCTGATGTGGGAGGATCGCTTGAACCTAAGAGTTTGAGATGAGCCTGAGCAACATGGCAAAACCCTGTCTTGACCAAAAATACAAAAAAATTAGCTGGGCATGATGGTGTGTGTCTGTAGTCCCAGCTAATCAGGAGGCTGAAGTGGGAGGATGGTTAGAGCCTGGGAGGTGGATGGTGCAGTGAGTTGAGATTGCACCACTGCACTCCAGCCTGTGCAACAGAGCCAGATCCTGTCTCTAAATAAATAAATAATGTGTATATTTCAGTGGTTTTTAATATATTCACAGAGTTTTGCAGCCATCATCACCATCAATTTTAGAAATTTTAATTACCCCAGAAGAAACCCTGTATCCATTAGCAGTCACCCCTTATTTCTCCCCGACTATCCCCACCCCTGGCTCCTGGCAACCATTAATCTACTTTCTGTTTCTTTGGATTTTCATATTCTGGGCATATATATATATATATATATATATATATATATATATATATATATAATCATCTAATATTTGTCTGGCTTCTCTCACTTAGCCTAATGGTTTCAAGGTGTATCCAGGTTGTAGCATGAATCAGCCCTTCATTCCATATTTTGGCTGATTAATGTTCCATCACATGGGTAGACTGTATTTGTTTGCCCATTCATCTGTTGTTGATAGGCATTTGTGTTGTTGCCAACTTTTGACAATTATGAATAATTTTGCTACGAGCATCTGTGTGTGTCTTTGTATGAACAGGCTTGCATATTTTTTGATATGGGCAAATGAGAACCAGCAGCGGGGGGCCTCTGTAGTGACTGTTTTGGTGATCTTTGTGTACTCTGTATAATGATCAGCCACTCAGGCTTGGGGGCAGCACTTAACCTTACATTTCTTTCTTTTTTTTTTAAGATAGGGTCTCTCTCTCTGCCACCCAGGCCAGAGTGCAGTTGACGCAGGGCAGGGGAGCCCCGAAGTGGAGCATAGTGTGTCCGGAACTGGTGGGTTCTTGGTCTCACTGACTTCAAGAATGAAGCCGTGGACCCTCACGGTGAGTGTCACAGTTCTTAAAGGCGGCGTGTCTGGAGTTTGTTCCTTCTGATGCTCGGATGTGTTCAGAGTTTCTTCCTTCTGGTGGGTTTGTGGTCTCGCTGGCTTCAGGAGTGAAGCTGCAGACCTTCAAAGTGAGTGTTACAGCTCTTAAGGTGGCGCGTCTGGAGTTGTTTGTTCCTCCCATTGGGTTCATAGTCTCGGTGGCTTCAGGAGTGAAGCTGCAGACCTTCGAGGTGAGTGTTACAGCTCATAAAGGCAATGTGGACCCAAAGAGTGAGCAGCAGCAAGATTTATTGCAAAGAGCAAAAGACCAAAGCTTCCACAGTGTGGAAAGGGACCCCAGTGGGTTGCCACTGCTGGCTGGGGCAGCCTGCTTTTATTCCCTTATCTGGCCCCACCCACATCCTGCTGATTGGTCCATTTTACAGAGAGCCGATTGGTCTGTTTTACAGAGAGCTGATTGGTCTGTTTTGACAGGGTGCTGATTTGTGCATTTACAATCCCTGAGCTAGATACAAAAGTTCTCCAAGTCCCTACTAGATTAGCTAGACACAGAGTGTCGATTGGTGCATTCACAAACCCTGAGCTGGACACAGGGTGCTGATTGATGTATTTACAAACCTTGAGCTAGATACAGAGTGCCGATTGGTGTATTTACAATCCCTTAGCTAGACATAAAGCTTCTCAAAGTCCCCACCAGACTCAGGAGACCAGCTGGCTTCACCAAGTGGATCCCACACGGGGGCCACAGGTGGAGCTGCCTGCCACTCCCACGCCCTGTGCTGGTACTCCTCAGCCCTTGGGTGGTTGATGGGACTGGGCGCCCTGGAGCAGGGGGCGGTGCTCATTGGGGAGGCTTGGCACTCATCAGGGAGGCTCAGGCTGCGCAGGAGCCCACGGAGGGTTGGGGGGAGGCTCAGGCATGGTGGGCTGCATGTGCCGAGCCCTGCCCTGCAGGGAAGCAGCTAAGGCCCTGCGAGAAACTGAGCAAAGCAGCTGCTGGCACAGGTGCTAAGCCCCTCACTGCCTGGGTCCAGCGGGGCTGGCAGGCCACTCTGAGTGCTGGGCCCAGTGAGCCCATGCCCACCCGGAACTCGCGCTGGCCCGCAAGCGCCACGCCCAGCCCCGGTTCCTGCCCAGGCCTCTCCCTCTACACCTCCCTGCAAGCTGAGGGAGCCGGCTCCAGCCTCGGCCAGCACAGGAAGGGGCTCCCACAGTGCAGCGGCGGGCTGAAGGGCTCCTCAAGTGCCGCCAAAGTGGGAGCCCAGGCAGAGGAGGCACCGAGAGTGAGCTCGAGGGCTGCCGGCATGCTCTCACCTCTCAATAGCACGTGAGCGTTCTTGTCTTTACCCAAGAAAGAATTCAAGGGCAAGCCGGAGGTATAGAAGAAAACAGCTTTATTGAAGAGGCAGCATTACAGCCCTGTGACTGCTCCTGTAGGGCAGGGTTACCCTGGAGGCAAAGAGTAGCGGCAGAGAGTTTGCAATCACATTTATACCCACTTTTAATTGTATGCAGATTAAAGGGCAGTTTATGCAGGAATTTCTAGAAAATGGGTAGTAACTTTTGAGTCATTGGGTCATTGCCATGGAAAGGGGCAGTAACTCCCGGGTGTTGCCTTGGCAATAGTCAACTCACATAGCACACTGGTGGGCATGTCTGATGGAAAGCTGCTTCTGCCCCAGCCCTGTTTTAGCTAGTCCTCAATTTGGTCTGGTGTCCAAGCCTCGCCTGTGGAGTCAAGTCCTGCCTCCTATCTCACAGTGGCGTGATCATGACTCACTGCAGACTCAACACCCCCGTGCTCAAGCAGTTCTCCCACCTCAGCCTCCTGAGTTGCTGGGACCACAGGCACGTGCCACTACGCCCAGCTACATTTTTTTGCATTTTTTGTAGAGATGGTGTTTCACTGTGTTGCCTAGGCTGGTCTCAAACTCCTGGGTTCAAGCAATATACCTACCTTAGCCTTCTAAAGTGCTGGGATTACAGGTGCGAGCCACTACACCCAGCCCAAACTTACATTTTTAATCTCAAGTCACTTCTCTCTAGGTTTTGATTTCTTCTTTTAAATAGTGGAACTAAGAGCCTCTATTTTATAGGGTTGTTGGGAAGACAAAAATGAAAGAACTGCTATTCAATGTTTAGTGAAGCGCTATGCACAATTTTGAATAATGAAGTTGGTGTTTATTTTTTATTATTTGTTTATTTATTTTTTAGAGACGGGGTCTTGTCTGCTGCTCAAGCTGGAGTGCAGTAGTGCAATCACAGCTTCGTGCAGCCTTGACCTCCTGGGCTCAAGAAATCCTGCCACCTCAGCCTCCTGAGTAGCTGGGACTACAGGCATGCATCGCCATGTCTGGCTATTTATTTATTTGTTTGTTTTTTGTAGTGTTGGGGTCTCCCTATGTTGCCCGGGCTGGTCTTGAACTCCTTGCCTTAAGCAATCCTCCTGTCTTGGCCTCTCAAAACACTGAGATTACAGGTGTGAACCACCATGGCCAGCCTTATTTTTATTTTTAAATCAGCCTTGTCGAGTTGAATTGGTCATTAATCTTGTATAATGGTAATTTGGGGCAGCATTGGTTGGGCGGGGGGTGGGGAACATTTAGGACCCTGTGGGCTACAGCTCGTAGCGTGGGCACTTATTTTATTTTGTTTTGTTTTGTTTTGTTTTATTATATTATATTACATTATATTATATTATATTATATTATATTATATTATATTATATTATATTTTTTTGAGACAGTGTCTCACTCTGTTGCCCAGACTGGAGTGCAGTAGCACGATCTTAGCTCACTGCAACCTCTGCCTCCCAGGTTCAAGCGATTCTCCTGCCTCAGCCTCCAGAGTAGCTGGAACTACAGATGCGCACCACCACGCCCAGGTAATTTTTGTATTTCTAGTAGAGATGGGGTTTCACCATGTTGGCCAGGCTTGTCTCAAACTCCTGACCTCAGGTGATACACCTGCCTCAGCCTCCCAAAGTGCTGGGATTATAGGCGTGAGCCACCGTGCCCGGCTGTGCTCTTATGTTTGATTTTTGCAGAACCACCCTTCCCTAATGGATGTCTCCTAGATCCAAGGTGACTTTATTCATTTTAGAATGAACTTACCCCATTGATACTGTAACCAAAGTTGGCATACATCACGATTGGCAGAACCCGGTCATGTTTAGCGAGATGGAAGTGTTCTGGAAACCCCTCCTTCTTGTAGATGTGGAGGTGAGGGTACGCATTCTTCAGTGCCTGGTAAAGGGCTTCCTCTTGCCCCAATTTGGGCAGGGGCATCCCAAAGCCACCGTAGCCCACAATATCAAACTTGACCAAGTCCATAAACTTGATGTAGTTGGACAAGGGATCTTGTTGACATTGGGTCTCTTCTTCACGGTGGTCATCCCATGGTCTCATGTGATGATGACGCTGAGGTGTTCTGCAGGCTGTGCTTCTCAGTGGCTCCCACCAGATACCTGATGGTCCTGTCGATTTGCTGAATCATCAACTTCCTATTCTCTGCCTCTGGCCTGAATCGATGTCCCACGTTATCTGGCTCTCTGTAACACAGAGTCACAAAGTCAAAGTCTTCCTTGGTGAACCAGTTCATGACAGTATCGATGTTCGCACTCCGCTCTGTCTCGTTGCTGTTTGGGTGAGTGTAGGACTCCACCAGGGACTGCTTGACAGCCTCACCCTCGTATTTAGCACCTCCCCTGGAATAGTGGGATGATGCTGCTTTGTTGCCCTGCAAGTACAAGAAGAAAATTCCGTCAGGGCCATTTATCATACCTTTCTCACAATCAGCAAAGCTCGAGTTGTCTACATCTGTGCCCCAGTCCAAAGACATAGAAAATATGTGGTCTTTGGAGTCAGACAGGGTGGAGTTAGATTCTGGGCTTCCCCAGGATCTCATAGCATCTACAACACTGTTAGTTACAAGATGTGCTATTATTTTATGGGCTACTAAGCAGAAAAATGCTGCCAACGAGACCGTGACTTACCAGTGATTGTAAGGTGTATTCCAACTTCAGAGATGGCAAAATGAAAAATAATTCCTTAGAATAGAGGGAGACGGTAATTTCTGTGTTGTTGGTGGTGAATTTGTGCATGTGTGTTTTTTATATATATACATATATATATATATATATATATACACACACATATACGTGTATATATGTGTATATATAGACATACCTATATACATATACATATATATGTGTATATATGGTGCTGCAGTGGTACAATCATAGCTCGTTGCACCCTTGAACTCCTGGGTTTAAGCGATCCTCCCACCTCAGCCTCTTGAGTAGCTGGGGCCACAGGCATGTACCACCATACATATATATATATATATATATATATATATTTTTTTTTTTTTTTTTTTTTTTTTTTTTTTTGTGACACGGTGTCACTCTCTCACCTAGGCTGGAGTGCAGTGGCACGATCTCAGCTCACTGCAACTTCTGACTCCTGGGTCCAAGCAATTGTCCTGCCTCAGTCTCCCAAGTAGCTGGGATTATAGACACGTGCCACTATGCCCAGCTAAGTTTTGTATTTTTAGTTGAGATAGAGTTTTGTCATGTTGGCCAGGCTGGTTTCGAACCCCTGGGCTGAAGTGATCCACCTGCCTTGGCCTCCCAAAGTGCTGGGATTACATGTGTGAGCCACCGCACCTAGCCCTAATTTTTTTTTTTTTTTTTTTTTTTTTTGTAGAGATGAGGTCTCGCTAATTTGCCCAGGCTGGTCCTGAACTCCTGGGTTCAACTAATTCTCCTGCCTCAGCCTCTCAAAGTGCTGGGATTACAGGCATGAGACACCACGCCAGGCTGGTGGTGAGTTTTAAAATTTTCCAGTGCCTCAGTGTTTCTACCTGTAGAATGCCAAAAAGTAGATGGCATCTTTGCGAGGATGAAGCCGACTAGCTTTTTTTAATTTTTTTTTGAGACAGAATTTCTCTCTTGTCACCCAGGCTGGAGTGCAATGGTGTGATCTTGGCTCACTGCAACCTCTGCCTCCTGGATTCAAGTGATTCTCCTCTCTCAGCCTCCAAGTAGCTGGGATTACAAAGCCAGCTAGCTTTAAGATACAGTGTTGGGCATCACATTTTGGCACGGAGCAGGCACTCTTTTCTTTGCCCTCAGGTGGGACTTAGCCACCACAAGCCTTCCCTGGTGTGTGCAGTGGGTGATGAATGCTTGCCTGCTCAGCACCCACTACATGGTGGGCTGGGTCACATTACTCTGACTCCCCCTTGAGCTTCAGTCCGTGCCTGGTTCAAGATGTATTGACTCAACTCGAGGATCCAGAGGTGGGATGTGGCTCTGGCCTGGCCAGAGGACCGAAGATGCTGCATGCCATGGCTACAGCAACTGGTTCAGCTTTGGGCTCATGTCCTAGTCAGAGCCAATGAGATGTAATCTTGGGATATCTGCTGGGCTGTTGGGAAGGGGACAGGCTGCCCTGCTCATCCCCATTCCTGATGCTGAGGGATCTGAGAAAATCACTTGTAAAATTCGGGGGTGTTTGGAAGATGGGGAGACTGATGTCTCCTTCTCTCTACAGACATCTGATCAGCTACAGAGCTTGACTGACCTACCCAGAGGCAGAATGATATGGTGGTTAAAAGTGTGCCCTGGGCCGAGATCTTGCCACTGCACTCCAGCCTGGGTGACAGAGTGAGACTCCATCTCAAAAGAAAAAAAAAAGTGTGCTCTGGGCTGGTCGCAGGAGTTTATGACTGTAATCCCAGCAGTTTGGGAGGCTGAGGCAGGAGGATCGCTTGAAGTCAGGAGTTTGAGATCAGACCCTATCTCTAGAAAAATGTTTTAAAAATTAGCTGGGTTGGTGGTGAATGCCTGTAGTCCCAGCTACTCAGGAGGCTGAGGCGGGAAGATTGCTGGAGCCCGGGAGTTCAAGGCTGCAGTGAGCCATGATCAGGCCACTGCACTCCAGTTTGAGGGACAGAGAGAGACCCCATCTCCCTAAAGCACAAAAAAGTGTGCTCTGGTGCCACACTGCCTGGTTAGATCCTTTGTCCACCACTTAGATGCATGTTATATAAATGCTCTCCTCAGTTTCCTCATCTGTAACTTGGGGATGATAATGCTGCCCCATTAAGTGGTTATGGGGACTAAATTCATGTGGGCGCATTGGTAAGTATTCAACAAGCTTGATTTTTTCCTGGAGAGGGAGAAAGAGCATACAGTGAAGTGGCATGCTCAGGTGCATTGGGGCAAGGATTATTTCCTCTGGCTTCTGCCTCCTGGGAGGTACTAAGGATGGATCTGAAATGTGTCTGCAGACCCCAGAGTTGGGGACTGCAGAGGGAAATTGAGATCAGGGACCCCAGTCTGGCAGAAATGGGTGCAGCATGGGGCATTGGGTTCCTTCCATCAGAGGCATGGGGTGTGTTGCAGACAGTCATGAGATGTGGCTGAATCTTGCAAGGGAGCTGCAGTCCTAGGGTTGCTGCTTGAGACAATGACCGCTGTCAGTGGAACCTGGTGACCTTCACCCTTCTCTGTCAGGCTGCAGACAGCAAGAGATGGCAGGAGGTTACACCCAACAGGAAAAGGGCCATTGCTATCCCACAGGTTGCCATAGGAGGAGATGACATCTCTTCCCTCTCCTCCTCCAGCAGTGTCAGCTGGGGAAGAGGTGGGTGGGGGTGCACAAAAGAGTAGACCACAGACCATGCTCCTTCTCCTCCAGTCTGCTGGGGCCCCAAGAGAGTCTGCAGCCCTTGGCCAGGGACCGGCTGATACAGGAGAACAAAAGATCTCAGTCTGGGATAACATGGTGGTGCAGCTGATCCTCTGGAACTCCCTGTGAGATCAGACTGGAGCCAGTCTCCAGCTGAGACCACATCTCACTTAGCTCCTTCCCTGCCATATCCTGTTTTCCTTACTCCTATCTACTGAGAGTCCTGAATGAATTACATGCACTCAATCCCTGCCTCAGGCTCTGCTTTTAGGGAACTTGACCTAAGACAGATATCTTAGTACTAAATACTTTGCAAGGCCTCAGAAGCTCTGCTATCCACAGGCAGGTGAGATATTACCTTCCCTACCACCTGGCAGTCATAGTCTATGATGCGATTCAGCTTTGTGGAAGTGCTTCTGTAAAGAACTTCCCCCAACTTAAGATGATCTTAATTTGCTTACTTGTTTACTGTCCATTTAGCTGCTGTAAAATGTGAGCTCCAAATCAGTGGTCATGTCTGGTTAGTTACCCATTTCCTGGGACCTAGAACGGGCCTAGCTCAGAGCATGTGCTCACTATTGATGGAATGCATGTTGAAAGAACGCATGAATCTCATCTCCTTTTGTGGGTGAAAAACTCATCCTATTCTCACTCCTGATTAACTTTCCTTCTTTTTTTTTTTTTTTTTTTTTTTCAAAACGGAGCCATGATCTGTCACCCAGGCTGGAGTGCAATGGTGTGATCTCATCTCGCTGCAACCTCTGCCTTCTGGATTAAAGCAATTCTCCTGCCTCAGCCTCCCGGGTATCTGGGATTACAGTTGCACGCCACCACACCTGGCTAATTTTTTGTATTTTTAATAGAGACAGGGTTTCACCATGTTGGCCAGGCTTGTCTTGAACTCCTGACGTCGTGATCTGCCTGCTTTGGCCTCCCAAAGTCCTGGGATTACAGGCATGAGCCACCGTACCCAGCCACTCTTGATTAACTTAATGGAAATATTTACAGAGATTCTTTCTCTTCTGGGTTCTAGCGTCTTATCTGTAACCTCTGCAGGTAATACATTTTCCTTCCTGATAAAAGCATTTCTATGGTTGCTTTTACTTGCAAATCCTCTAATACTTATTTATTCCATTTCTGATTGGCATTAGACATAATTCTCAATTTTTAGTGACAGCACTTTTGTTAACTTACATATCAATCGACTTTGCCTTGAAATGTGACATTGACTAGAAGGATGAAACTTCTAACATGCTGTAGAACATAGTTTCACTGGCTAACTTATTATTTAGAAGAAGCTAATATTGCCATTATGAGGGACTTAGGTGGCTCTGAAGAACCAGTTGTATTTCTGATGTTTGCAATGTTAAATCACAGATATTGCCAATGTGAAATAGGTTCTGTATGCTGTGTTCTCAATACACACCTTTTCCAAAGATATCCCAAGCTGTAGTCTTAGGAAACTGTGATTTTTCTTATTTGGTCTCATAGGAATTTGGGGAGCTATGCAGGATCTCCATAAAATGAGCTCCAGAAAGACACATGTGTGCACATGCACACACACTCACACACACACTCACACATGTACCACACCACAATTGACTGTTTATTTGGGACCCACGATTATCAGAAGTGCTATTTTCAACAAACACTTCTGAGAAATAATCTGAACACTTAATTGGATGCAAAAGAGTCAGTATTTACTATTCTACCCTTTAATTAGCATAATCAGTGTTTCCAGCAGCAAAAGTAATTGGAAAATCGCTAGTTTTATTAGGTTAATTATTCTCCCTTATCGTAGTGTGGCATCAGCGTGGCTATTATTCTTAAATTGCCTCTTTAAAACAAGGGCTGGTGCTTCTTACAGGCAATTCCTAACTCTTGGGTTTTGTAGAGAGCCCAAAACTCTTTAGAACCTATAATTCAAGGAAAGGCTCCACTTTGGTTTTGCATTTTGTCTGGTGTCTTTGGCTGACAGAATTTATGTCACAAGGTGCACATATTTGGGGGAGGCTCATGGACAGCCCATCGTGCTTGTGCTTTGGTAGGAAGTACGTGCCGTTAAGGGGAAGGAGATAGTTACTGATTCTAGGGAACAATTGGGTAGAAAGAGATGGACTCCCTGTGTTTGAAATTCAAAACTCAAGCTTGGCTCTAAGTGTTTCCTTGCTTTGCTTTGCTCCAGGGGAGTCACTGAGCAGAACGAAGCGAGTTGCCTGAGATTCTTCAAAGCCCCAGCCCTTTTGGAGGTTACATTGTTATTCTCAGAGCCTTTATGATGCATAATAAAGACCTAGCTTGTACCAATATTAGGATGAGTTATCTTGCTATTAACATTCTTTTAGGTAGAAGTTGCTGGTCCCATCTTGCTCACAATCCTCCAAAGTTTGAAAGTTATTTTCCAGGAGACTTGGCTTGCACTGAGAGCTGCCCTCCCACTCTCTCTCCAAATTTCCTCTTCGGAGTAGCCTAACAAGGTGCTGTCACAGACCCTTGTCAGCCACGATGACCCCACCCAGACCATCCCTCTGCTGTTTCACTCTTTGATACTCTCTGGAGCTCTCTGGGGAGGGGTGAGACCTGCCGTCTTCTTTGTACGGTTTGCCCAGGTCTTACAGTCATGGCTGGCTGCCTCTCTCTGAGAACTGGGACTCCTGAACTTGGTGAAATACCTCAGCCATCGATCATGTTGAATTATTGGGAACACTCATTTAAAATCCGAGCCTGTTCCAGATAGACTCTCTCTCTTTCTGCCCTGACTGTGAGAGAAGCCCTGCTGGATGGTGGAGATGCTCGTGGGCTGTGAGCAAGGGATGCAAAGGCTGCCGGGAATCCCATCTTTCCAGCATCATCTGCTAAGTCACATTAGTTCCTGGGTATCTGGATGGGTTCTAGCAGCATTACTGTCATTGAAGGAAAAATGATAGCCATATTAAAGGTTAATGCAGCAATCTCCACATAGGCTGCCTTGAAGGGACGCAGGACAAGGGTAGGTTTTCCTTGTGATGGACAGGAGGCAGGCGGCCCTCCCACAGCCCTGCCTGGCAATGCAGGTGTGTCCCCAAAAGGCACTGGGGGCCAGCTGGAGTGCTATGCCGAGGCGGGCTGACCTGGGCCGTGGGTTCGCTGATTGCAGCGGTTTCCTGCCAGCTCCTTGGAGAGCTGGCAGATGGCCCAGCCCCACAGCAGGAGCCGCGAATGGCAGAGCGACATACAACAATTTGATATCCACTTGCCAGAGGAGCCGGGTGTCATCAGTCGCCTGGATCTGTGCCCAACTTCTTTTTGCATAAACACTTATGAATTCAGCCAAGAGGAAAAGCACTCTGATTATGAATTGAGCAGAAGGAAACAAAGTTCTGCAGATAAACACCAATGAGACAAAAAAACACAAATAAGAAAAATGACAGAAAAGAAGAACCTTCCCAGAAGCCTCCTGCCAGTGAACGGCCACCATAGCAAGAGCATGGAGGCCCTGGGTTTTGAACTGTGAGATAAGGAAGATGATGAAAACCTCCCTAGCAGCCAGGCAAGCACAAGATTCCTGTGAAATCCAGGTCTAAGTGTTTTGACTACAGAAGTAATATTATGTCATAGGTGAGAGCTGTGAGTTGCTGAACCCAAAGTGAGTTCAAATCCAAGTTCTGCCTCCTGCAACCTTTGTGACTTTGAGAAGTTCCAACACCACTTTGTGCCTCAGTTTTCTCATCTGTCAAATGGGCATAATCACAGCTCTTGCCTCAGAGTTGTTGTAAATTAATACATGTAAAGCACTGAAATCAGCCTGGTATACACTAAGTGTTATGAACGTTATTTTCTTGGAAGGACAGAACTTATTTTCATGGTCTAAGCCAGAAAATCTAAAAAATGTGAGAGAAGGGGAAAGAATCTAGAGTGTCACCATGAGGGGGAAAAGTCAACTTGAAGCAGGACAGGGTCATTGACAATTTCCTGTGATTCTACAGCTGCCTTGTAAACTATGGTAGCTCCTAGCCACTTGTTGTTTAGATTTTGTGCTTTAGAAATGAATTAAGGCCGGACATGGTGGCTCATGCCTGTAATCCCAGCACTTTGGGAGGCCAAGGTGGGCAGATCACCTGAGGTCAGGCGTTCAAGATCAGCCTGGCCAGCATGGTGAAATCCTGTCTCTACAAAAATACAAAAATTAGCCGGGCATGATGGCGGGTTCCTGTAATCCTAGGTTCTCAGGAGGCTGAGGCAGGAGAATTGCTTGAACCTGGGAGATGGAGGTTGCAGTGAGACAAAGTTGTGCCACTGCACTCCAGCCTGGGGAATAGAGTGAGATTCTGTCTCAAAAAAAAAAAAAATTAGGTAAAATAAGAGAAAATTGAAAATTCAGCTCTTCATTCTCACCAGCCACATTTCAAGGGCTCAACAGCCCATGTGGGTGGCTAGCAGCTCCCATATTGGACAGTGCAGAGTAGAGCAAGTCTGCCATTGCAGAATGTTTGATTGGACCATGACCGAATAGTCTAATGCAGTGGTCCCCAATTTTTTTTAGCACCAAGGACCAGTTTCCATGGATTTTTGGGGGGAAGTTTCCGGATGATTCAAGTGCATTAAATTTATTGTGTACTTTATTTTTATTGTTATGAACATTATAATATATAATGAAATCATTATACAACTCACCATAATGTAGAATCAGTGGGAGCCCTGAGCTTGTTTTCCTGCAACTAGATAATCCCATCTCAGGGTGGTAGGAGACAGTGACAGATCATCAGGCATTAGATTCTCATAAGGAACACACAACCTGGATCCCTTCCACATGCAGTTCACAATAGGGTTGGTGCTCCTATGAGAATCTAATGCCACTGCTGATCTGATAGGAGACAGAGCTCAGCCAGGGGGATCAGCTGTAAATACAGATGAAGCTTCACTCGCTAGCCTGCTGCTCACCTCCTTCTGTGCAACCCAGTTCCTAACAGGCCACAGACCACTACTGGTCCGTGGTCTGGGGACTAGGGACCTCTGGTCTATTGGATAACACTGGCTTGGAGCATACTGATCAGCCAAAGAAGTGCTGAGATGATTTGGCCTCCGTTAGTAAGAATGATGGACCTTTTTTTTTTTTTTTTTTTTTGGAGACAGAGTTTCACTCTTGTTGCCCAGGCTGGAGTGCAGTGGCACCATCTTGGCTCACTGCAACCTCTGCCTCCCAGGTTCAAGTGATTCTCATGCCTCAGCCTCCCAAGTAGCCGGAATTACAGGTGCCTGCCACCATGCCTGGCTAATTTTTGTATTTTTAGTAGAGTCGGGGTTTTGCCATGTTGACCAGGCTGGTCTTGAATTCCTGACCTCAAGTGATCCGCCTGCCTTGGTCTCCCGAAGTGCTGGGATTACAGGCGTGAGACACCGCACCGGGCCAGATGGACTTTTTTTAAGCATTTAGTTCCAAGCACTTTCCCTGCACTTTCTCAGTTAATCCTCTCAGTGACTCTTTGAAGCAGGGAGTATGACAATCTTAACTTCCCAGATGGAGCAACTCAGGCAGAGAGAGCAAGTCATTGGCCACGGTCGCCCAGCTGAGGAGGGATGGAGCCAGCTGAGATCCTCTTCTAGGGAGCTAACACTGCAGCCTGCATTCTGGGCTGTTGTATTCTCCCATGTTGCTATCTGACGAGCACAGCATGGGCTCAGAGTACAGAGAGGAGGAACCAGGTAATAAGGATAGGTCTGGGGTGAAGGCTGGTGCCTTGGGGAAGAAGAGAGAGGCCCCATTCTAAAGGGATGCCATTGGAAGCTCATAGTGATAAAGCAAAGCCGACAGGTTTTGGGACTGGGAGTTAAGCACACAGTTCTGGTTTCTGCCTTTTCACAGTGGTGATGAATGGGCACTGAGACCCTCTCAAGCTAAAGTTGTCATCATTGCTCTTCATAGTCTGAAGGTGCATGAAATGGTCAACTTTCTTCCAAAGGGCTTTTATGCCTAAGTCTGTGGATAGTGTATAAACAGATATTTACTGAATTCCTGCTGGGTGCAGACACTGTGGCCAGCCCTGAGGCTACAGTCGAGATGAAGCCAGTCTCTGTCCTCATGGAGACCTATCTATTGATAAGAAAAGAGAAAGCTCACTGAGCATTGACCCTGTGCCCACTGCTTTTGATGCATCTCTCATTTAATCCTTCTATCAAATCGGTGAAATAAACACATCACCATCATCCCTATTTCACATTTAGGGAAACATATGCTTAGAGAGGGTAAGTAACTTGGTCAAGGTCGCACAGCTTCGAACTCTCATCCCACAGGTGCAGGAATGAGAGGCAGCAGCCGGGGAAGCCAGGGTCTCCGGAAGTCCTTGTCTCTGGGCGGTGATCCAGAGAGAGAGAGAGAACACGATTGTCTCAGCAATGGGTCTTCTTCTGAGTCTTGAAGGAGCACTTCCAGAGCCTCTCAGTGTTAAACATCGTGTTGTGAATGACTCCGTGAGCTCTGACCCAGTGACCTTGGGGATAAAGGAGGGGAGGTACGGATAAGCTCTTCGAATGGATGTTGCCGGGGTGTCAGTGTTCTTTGAGGGCACAGACTATGTGTCACTAAAGAAAGAGCCCAGTGCCTTTTCTCATTGCTCAAGAGATTGAAGGGGTAGTAAGAAAAGATGTTAAGTTATAAACACGTTTCAGTTTTGGTACCAGTTGAACCAATTTACGTTTTGAAGAGGAAAGAGTCTTGCCTACAATGTCAGCCCCCGGGTTTTCCTTCTGCTTATGGAATCCAGGCAATGGGCAAAGAGAAAAAGAAAACTAAGGAATCAGCCAGGTGCAGTGGCTCATGCTTGTGATCTTGGCACTTTGGGAAGCTGAGGCAGGTGGACTTCTTGAGTGCAGCAGTTCAAGACCAGCCTGGCCAACATAGTGAGACCCCGTTTCTACAAAAAATACAAAAAGTTGCTGAGCATGGTGACATGCACCTGTAGTCCCAGTTACTTGGGAGGCTGAGGTGGGAGAACTACTTCATCCCAGGAGGCTGAGGCTGCAGCGAGCCATGATCGTGCCACTATACTCCTGCCTGGGTGGCAGAGTGAGGCCCTGTCTCAAAAGAAAACAAAAAAGATAAAAAGAAAACTAGGGAATCTAGACAGCATAAGTTTATATATATAATAAAGAACTGAGATAGAACTGGGTTGACTGAGTAATTATTTGAACTGCTTTTGACTGAATTTTTCCTATTGGAGTCAACCTTTGTTTGTGTGTGTGTGTGTGTGTGTGTGTGTGTGTGTGTGCGTTTGGTTTAGTTTTGTCTTTGTGTTTTTTTGAGACTGGGCCTTCTTCTGTTGTCTAGGCTGCTGGAGTGCAGTGGCATGATCTCAGCTCACTGCAACCTCTGCCTCCCGGGTTCCAGCAATTCTTCTGCCTCAGCCTCCCAGTAGCTGGGACTATTGGGCATGTACCACCAAGCCCAGCTAATTTTTGTGTTTTTACTAGAGATGGGGTTTCACCATGTTGGCCAGGCCTGGTCTTGAACTCCTGGGCTCAAGTGATCCGCCTGCCTCGGCCTCCCAAAGTGCTGGGATTACAGGTGTGAGTCCCTGCGCCCAGCTAGAGTCTACCTTTCTTTGAATTCACTGCAGTGCAAAGACTGGGACATGTGGAACTCCAGGTGTGTATGGGTTACATAGAGATGCTAGGGGCTGATTAAGGAAGGAAAGATATGAGAAGCCTGCAGAGCATGCTTTCCCAGACTGTATGGGCCCTGGGAAAGGAGAAGTGGACAGAAAGGGAACACTGGGTGCCCTGGAAGAGAAGATTCATCCAGGTCATCAGGGAAGTTACTAATGCAAGGGAAGAAATGCAGAGTCAGGGCCAAACACGCTTCTTCCAAGTCCTTTCTGTCTGCTCAGTCACCTCTATGCTTATTTTTCTTCTTTCCTGTAAGTAGTGCCACGTGTTTTCTCCCCATTCCTAGTCACTCCTAGTCAACTAACTCCTCTCTTTACCATCTTTTCATCAGAACTTGAAACCTCCTCTCCTTCATGTATTAGTGATCATGTTTCTCCATAATACTGCTAGAAACAAGAATTGAAACCTGGAAAACCTGCATTTGAATACCAGATCTGCCTCTGCTAACTATTTGAGAATTTATTTTGTTCAATTCTTTTTGTTGTTGTTGAAACAGGGTGTCACTCTGTCGCCCAGGCTGGAATGCAGTGGTTCAATCTTGACTCGCTGCAGCCTCAACCTCCTGGGCTCAATCCATCCTTCCACATCAGCCTCCTGAGTAGCTGGGACTAAAGGTGTGTGTCACCACACCTGGCTAATTTTTAATGTTTATTTTTTTTGTTTACTTATTTGTTTTTGTAGAGATGGGGTCTTGCTATGTTGCACAGGCTGGTCTCAAACTCGTGGGCTCAGGCGATCCTCCTGCCTTGGCCTCTCGGATAAAATGGGAAAAGTTCCCTTGTCCCCCTCGAAGGGCATGCGATGGAGGTGTGGTTCGCTTCATCAGTGCCCCATTGCTCAAACCTCTAGGGGAGCATGAAGACAGGCAGGGAGCCCCATGGCAGTGTCTAGGGGTGAATGTTTATAGTTGAAGCCCCAGTGGGCGTGTGTTACAGGGTGCTCTTTTAGTTTAGCCATCCGTAGGTAGCTTGTGTTAGTCGGCTCAATTAGACCCCCGCCTTATTGCAAAGACAGAGGGCTCTCTTTGTCCCGGGGTTCTTGCCTTGGTGTACCGGAAGTGGTGCGATCTCAACTCACTGCAAGCTCCGCCTCCCGGGTTCACACCATTCTCCTGCCTCAGCCTCCCGAGTGGCTGGGGCTACAGGCGCCCACCACCACGCCCAGCTAATTTTTTTGTATTTTTAGTAGAGGTGGGGTTTCACCGTGTTAGCCAAGATGGTCTCGATCTCCTGACCTCGTGATCCACCCGCCTTGGCCTCCCAAAGTGCTGGGATTACAGGCGTGAGAGTGCTAGGTTTTATTGAGTGGAAGTAGCTCTCAGCAGATGGGGGAGCCAGAAGGAAGATGGTTTTCCCCTGGAGTCGGGCAAGTGACCTGACTCTTTTCCGACTGTCCCAGCCAAACTCTGCCTTGTTCTGCCAGTCAGTGGCCTGCGGTGTGCCGGTGCCCATTGGTGCGTTCCTCTTGACATGCAGCGCCCATGTGTTCCTCTGCTGATATGCTCCTCTTGAAGTCTAGCTGCCTGTGTGTCTGCCTTCTAGGGTCTCAGGGTTTTTATAGGCACAGAATGGGGGTGTGGCATCCAAGGTGGTCTTCGGAAATGCAACATTTGGTCAGGAAAACAAAAATCCCTGTCCTCACCTAGGTCCTTGGGCACAGGCCCTGGGGTGGAGCACTAGCCAGCGACCACACCCTCCTCTACCCAGTACTTCCCTTCCTCACTTCCATATCATTTAAAGGGACCACATTCTTCCCTTCCGAGCACTTCCCTTCTGTATCACAAAGTGCTGGGGTTATAAGCATGAGCCACTGGTCCCAGCCAATTCCATTCTTTTAACGCAAACTAGAAAATAAGTGTTCAGAAAGGCCTGCCTTATCCACCTCAGGGAGTTGCTATGAAGATCAAGTTAGATCATATGCAACAGAAGTTTAGAAAAGATTCCAAAAGCACTGCACAATGGGAATGTATTTTTAAACTCTACTGAGTGGACTTAAAAGTATGTTTTTTACTTTCTTTTTTTTGTTTGAGACAGAGTTTCACTCTTGTTGCCTAGGCTGGAGTGCAATGATGCCATCTTGGCTCACTGCAACCTCCGCCTCCCAGGTTCAAGTGACTCTCTGCCTCAGCCTCCCAAGTAACTGGGATTACAGGCGCCCACCACCATGCCTGACTAATTGCTTTTTTTTTCTTTTTGTCTTTTTAGTAGAGATGGGGTTTCACAGTGTTGGCCAGGCTGGTCTCGAACTCCTGACCTTAGCTGATCCACCCACCTTGGCGTCCCAGAGTGCTGGGATTAAGGCTTGAGCCACCACACCCAACCTGTGTTTCTTTTTTAAGCAAGAAAACAAATGCCTCTCCCCAGCTCTCACTAAACCAATCCCTCTTTTTTTTTTTTTTTTTTCCCATAGGATTCTTTTCCTTCTTGCCCCAGTGCAAACATTCTATTTTCTTTTGGCCCTTCTGTCCATCTGTGAAAGGGTCAGGCTTTCTAGCTAACCCGTAATCAAATATTTTTGATGACCACAGTCAAGACAGTACTTATTATTTTTTTTGAGATGGAGTTTCGCTCTTGTTGCCCAGGCTGGAGTGCAATGGTGCAATCTCAGCTCACTGCAACTTCTGCCTCCAGGGTTCAAGTGATTCTTTTGCCTCAGCCTCCCAAGTAGCTGGGATTACAGGTGCACAACACCACGCCCAGCTAATTTTTGTATTTTTAGTAGAGATGGGGTCTCTCTATGTTGGTCAGGCTGATCTTGAGCTCCTGACCTCAGGTGATCTACCCACCTCAGCCTACCAAGTTGCTGGGATTACAGGGGTGAGCCACCCTGCCCAGCCAAGACAGTACTTATTAATGCCTGAAACACATTCAGGAGCACATGAGCTGGCTGTGGCTGTTCTAACAAAGTTCCCCAAATGGGTGGCTCAGGACAACAGAAAGTCATTCTCTCCAGTTCTGGAAGCTTGATGTCTGAAATGGGCAGGGCTGTGCTCCCTCTGAAGTCTCCAGGGATGAATCCTTCCTCGCCTCTTCTGGCTTCTGGTGGTTGCTGGAAATCCTTGGCTTGTGGCCACATCATTCCATTCTCTTCCTTCATTCTCATGTGGCCTTCTCCCCTGTGTGTCTCTGTCTCTTCTTCTCTTCCCATGAGGAAGCCATTATTACTCCATTTAAGGTCCACACTATTCCAGTATGACCTCTTTGTAATTAAATCTGCAGTGACCCTATATTCTTTTCTTTTTCTGAGATGGAGTCTTGCTCTGTTGCCCAGGCTGGAGTTCAGTGGCACAGTCTCAGCTTGCTGCAACTCTGCCTCCTGGGTTCAAGTGATTCTTCAGCCTCAGCCTCTGAAGTAGCTGGGATTACAGGTGCATGCCACCATGCCTAGCTAATTTTTGTGTTTTTAGTAGAGACAGGGTTTGGCCATGCTAGCCAGGCTGGTCTCGAACTCCTGACCTCAAGTGATCCTTCTGCCTCAGCCTCCCAAAATGCTAAGATTACAGGCATGAGCCACCATGCCCCATCCCTATTTTCTAATAAGGTCACATTCTGGGATTCCTGGTGAATGTGAATTTTTGGAGGACAGTATTCAGTCTAGCAAAAGGCAGGGCATCCTCATTTTCTTCCCTACTTCAGAAATAAGGAAGTTAACTTCAACCCCTCGCAGAGAGAGAGAGAGGCTTCCTGAGCTTCCAACAATCAATTACCCAAATATTAGTCGCAGAAGAGCACTAAGGGTTGTGCACAGCACGTGGCCAGCCCGTTCTCAGAGTCTGTCAAGTTTAAGGTGAACGCTAATACTGAATGAGTTTTAAAATGTATTTGACATTTTCTGGTCATTGTAACATGTTCTCACATCGTGATGGCTGGGGTTTCTCTCTCAGGTGTAATCTGCGAAGTCAGATGTGACACAGCCTGGGTGAGGTGGGCCAAGCTGGGAACTGGGTTAGGAGGGAAGCTGGGGAATGAGCGCCAAGGTCTCAGATCCCAAACTGGCTTTAGCCTGATTCACCCAGAGGGACCTGGTAAAAAATACACATTCCAGGGCCCACCCCAGACCTAATGAATCAGAATTACCTGGGAAGGAGCCTGGGGAGCTCTGTTTTCAGAAGCAGCCCAGCAGAATCCTACCATCAGACAGGGCTAGGAAACTGAGCTCAGGCTAGGGCAGTAGTTCCCAAACTCGTCTGTGCTTCAAAAAATACAGATGCTGATGGCCAGTCATGGTGGCTCACACCTGTGATCCCAGCAATTTGGGAGGCTGAGGGGGCAGGATCACTTGAGCCCAGGAGTTTGAGACCAGCCTGGAGAACATAGAGAGATACTGTCTCTGTAAAAAATTAAAAAATTAGCCAGGCTTAGTGGTGCCCACCTGTGATCCCAGCTACCCTGGAGGTTGAAGTGGGAGGGTTGCTTGAGCCCAGGAGTTGGAGGCTGTAGTGAGCTATGATTGTGCCACTGCACTCCAGCCTGGGTAGCAGAGTGAGGCTCTGTCTCAAAAACCAAACAGAACAAAAAACAAAAAACAGATGCTATGTCCCATTCCAGAGGTTGAGGTTTAATTATTCTGGGGTGGGGTGTTGCCTGGGTTTTGGAACACTTAGAAAATCCCATGTGACCCTAAAGTGTAGATGAGTTTGGAAACCACACATGTAAGGCACACTTGAATTGGGGAGCAGTGAGGTGGTGTGGGCTAGCCGGCCAGAACCCAGGGGTGGGGCGGTAGGAACCAGTATTGCAGAGGCCATGAAGGCTGGGAAGCATAGTGTCTGGGGCCCATAACAATGCTTGGACATGAATGCTTTAGACCTAAGACAATTGGCTCCTAAATGTGAAAACTGCAAGGCTGAAATGAATGCATGTTTAATGCTTTGCAACATTGTCAAGTGGTCAGGTGCAACTCCGTTCTGAGGGCATGATGCCTGAGATATTCCTGTAATGGGGGTTGATTTTAATGAATTTAATATGGTGTGGAGTGGTGCCTTCAAAAGTAAAAATGTCAGTTCTAAGTTGGTTGCGGGGGGTCTGGGCAAAGGTCTTAAAACACCGTGGTAAACACCCCAATTTTAAAACAGGGACTTTTTTCCAAGAGACTTTTTGAAAATAGCTCTTATTTTGAGGGGAGGAACCCTGGCGGGAGAAAGCCAGAGTTAAGCCCAGCTGAGAGGGAGTTGGCAGGCAGGGGTCTGCCTGGTCCTCACTGAGGCTTGCTACTCAGGGTGAGCTTCCTAAACCAGTGCAGATTTGCTGGCCCACTGAGCCTCCCAGATGAGAACCTGCATTTCAACAAGGTCCTCAGTGCAGCAAAGTTTGAGATATACTGGGCTAGAACACCCAGGGGACCTAAAGGTTCTTTGAAAACTAAGGAAAATAGGCAGGAGGTGGTGGCTTATGCCTGTAATCCTTGTATTTTGGGAGGCCAAGGTGGGTGGGTCACTTGAGGTCAGGAGTTGGAGACCAGCCTGGACCAACATGGTGAAACACCATCTCTACAAAAGATACAAAAATTAGCCTGGTGCAGTGGCAGGTACCTGTAGTCCCAGCTACATGGGGACAGGAGAATCGATTGAACCTGGGAGGCAGAAGTTGCAGTGGCCAGAGATCGCACCACTGCACTCCAGTCTGGTGACAGAGTGAGACTCCATCTAAAAAAATAAATAAATAAATAAATAAAATAAAAATAAATACTGGGCTAGAAGACCCAGGAGACCCAAAGATTCTCTCAAAACTAAGGAAAATAATCTAGGTCACATATATATTCTCTTTCTCCTTCTCCTCATTGCCCCTCTCCACCAGTAATCTTTATAGACTCAAATAGAGTTGATGTTCTATAATCAATTCTAGTCACTTTTATTTATATTTATTTATTTTAGAGATGGGGGTCTCACTATGTTGCTCAGGCTGGTCTCAAATTCCCGGGCTCAAGTGATCCATCCACCTCGGTCTCCCAAAGTGCTAGGATTACAGGCATCAGCCACTGCACTTGGCCGTTACTTTTATTTTTGATGTTCAAATTATAAGCTAATGTCTGTGAGACCATAGATTCTTTTTATGCACTCAATACGTTTTTGTGTTTACCTTACATTTTTATTATGGAAAAGATTCTGTTTTTTCCACTTGTTTCTATTTGATAATGAAGCCCTCTGTGCCTATCGCCAGCCTCAGCCGCCATCATCTCATTACCAAGCTGGGTTATTTTGAAGCAAACATCTTCAATATTTAGCCGGTGTTCAAATTTACCAAACCATCCTAAATGAGTGTTTAGAATAGTTGTCTCATTGGAAACAAGGTCAAAACAAGTACATTTTACATTTTTAGGCCAGTCTTGAAAGTAAGCGTAAAACCATGTGTGGGATAGGAGGTGGAACTAGCCTCTCAAGGTGGGACCTGGATACCAGACCCAATTGAGGACTAGCTAAGACAGATTCCACAGTGAATAACACCAGGAGGTGGGAATATTAAGGTCCATTGCAAAGGCTGGCTACCACAATTATTTGATCAACTAGTTATCAAACCTGACTGCAGCTGAGAGAGATTTGTTTTTGCTTTTTTTTTTTTTTCAGAGACAGGGTCTTGCTATATTGCCCAGGCTGGACTCAAACTCCTGGGCTCAAGTGATTCTTCTGCCTCAGTATCCCGAGTAGCTGAGACTACAGGTGTGTGCCACTGTGCCCAGCAAGATATTAAAAAATACATATGCGCGGACACCACTCTAAACCAACTAAATCAGAATCAGATATAGTGAAGTCATTAATCATTTTGCTCCTGGGTCTTTATGACAGTTTTGCTCCTGGGAAACTCCTGGGAATGTGGTAGAGAGAGAGAAAGAGATGGGAAAATACGATTTTAAGAAGTGTTGCTATGCATTTTGAAAATAATATTTCTTTGGTGTTTGTCTTGAGGGATGGCAATAAACATTTCAATTGCTTTTAAGTATGCTTGCATGCTGGAATGATGGTTCTATGAATGCAGCATCGAACTGGGATTGGGCCACATGGCAGCCAGCATGAGACTTTATGCCACATTTATAAAACATGAATGTCATGAGCCCACTCTCAGGGACCTTACTATTTGGAGGGTTAGGTCAGATCCACAAATCTCTTCTATCTCATGGTAAAGGAAGCCTGGCGTGTAGCAGGAGATGGTGTGAAACAATATCATATTGCATGATCAATATTTGTATTCTTAGCAATATTAAACTTTTTGACCCCCTCCATTGTGTCATCAATTTGCTTAATACAGTTTCTGCTTCAGCGTCGGTTTTTAAGCCTGGTGTAAGCTGTTTGAAACCCAGGCACGTACCCCGCCCATTATCTTTGGCCTAGTTAACACCTCCCGTCCCTGCGTGGTGGTTTGGAGAACCTGCTTGTTCCTCATCCCACTGATCCCAAACCCAGGACACCCCACAGCTGCTGACCATGACTAAACCTAATGGAGATTTAATGCCTTTCTTCTGATTCTCAGGGTCTGACATTCATTCACTTAAATACTTGCAGAGTCAGCCAGGCATGGTGGCTCACACCTGTAATCCCAGCACTTTGGGAGGCAGAGGTGGGTGGATCACGAGGTCAAGAGTTCAAGACCAGCCTGGCCAACATGGTGAAACCCCATCGCTACTAAAAATACAAAACTTAACTGGTGTAGCAGTGCGTGTCTGTAATCCCAGCTACTCAGGAGGCTGAGGTAGGGGATTTGCTTGAACCTGGGAGGTGGAGGTTGCAGTGAGCCAAGATTATGCCATTGCACTCCAGCCTGGGCAGCAGAGTGAGACTCTGTCCCAAAAAACAAAAATCCCAAAAACTTGCAGAGTGAATTTAGGAAACCATGAAGTCTAGAGTTTGATCCAATCCCTTCCTTTTTCTCTTTCTCAAATATTTTGAGCCAGGTGTTATTCTAGATTGTCTTGTGATATTTACAATCTAGGAGAAGGCAGGAGAGAGAACTAAGAACAGAGAGCATGTTCTGAGATGTCTGTTGTGTTTGCATGTACCTTCCCTCAATTTCCCTACTCATTGGCCATGCTAGAAAGCAGGTCTTGGCGCCATATTTGTACCATGGTACTTCCCCTCCCTATACTCAATTGGTTGGCCAGAAGCACAATTGTCATTCTCTCTCTCTCTCTCTCTCTCTCTCTCTCTCTCTCTCTCTCTCTCTCCCTCTCCCTCTCCCTCTCCCTCTCCCTCTCTCCCTCCCTCCCTCTCCAAGATATCCAGTAACTGACTGATCAGCTGGTGGTGGGCTCTGCTGGCTGCCATGATGGGCCACCAGAAAAGGGGGAAAATTGTTTGTGAGTGAGAGAAGCAGAGATAAGAAAGTCCACAGGGCTGATAAGAAAGACCATGGGCTGCCGGACGTGGTGGCTCACGCCTGTAATCCCAGCACTTTGGGAGGCCAAGACGGGTGGATCACGAAGTCAGGAGATCGAGACCATCCTGGCTCACATGGTGAAATCCCATCTCTACTAAAAATACAAAAAATTAGCCAGGTATGGTGGCGGGTGCCTGTAGTCCCAGCTAATTGGGAGGCTGAGGTGGGAGAATGGCGTGAACCCCGGGAGGTGGAGCTTGCAGTAAGCTGAGATCGCACGACTACACTCCAGCCTGGGCGACAGAGCAAGACTGCGTCTCAAAAAAAGAAAAAAAAAAAGAAAAAAGAGACCATGGGCTTCTGAGAGCCAGAAAGAGGCATTTTGGTTTCTGTAACTGCAGTTTCCATTCTCTCAT
Organism: Homo sapiens; assembly: GCF_000001405.40. Classification (NCBI taxonomy): domain Eukaryota; kingdom Metazoa; phylum Chordata; class Mammalia; order Primates; family Hominidae; genus Homo; species Homo sapiens. The sequence goes on from NC_000003.12 coordinate 75,466,710, forward strand.
GGCCTCTCATTTGTTTCTCGTGCCCATGAGTTTTCCTGTTAGAGATAAGGTGTGCTCCTTTCCCTCCAGCTCATGCAAATGGGTTTCTGTTTCTTACAATCATTGTTCCCAGATATGGATGGTGACTGATGCTCTACTAAATGCTGAAAAAAAGCAGAGTGGAAGCACAGAAAAGAGGGCTTCTCTGAGGAGGTGACGTTAGAGCCCAGTTGGAAGGCAGGGGTAAATGCGCACCATGATTTTTTAGGATTAAAACCAAGTATCTCACTGCTTGGGCACATGTAGATAGCTGTGATTTAACAGTAAACTGTCCCAGTTATACCCATTGTCAGTTACCTCACCACAGGGATTATGTAGCCCTGAGTTTGCTTAGTGATTATTTATTTTAGGTTGTTGTTTATCCAAACCTCTTAAACGGCACGCGTTTGGACCAAGTGACAGCATCGTTCATTGATGTTGTGGGCAAACCACTATTTTATTACTCAAGACTGGGTAATTTATAAAGAAAAAGAGGTTTAATGGGCTCACAGTTCCATTTGGCTGAAGAAGCCTTAAAATCATGGTAGAAGGCAAAAGGCACATCTTACATGGTGGCAGACAAGAGTGATGAGAGCTATTTTGGTTATTGTTCACTGGCCATAGAATTTACTTCTATATTTTGAACTAAGAAAAGAGCCGGGAACACAAGACGGTTACAGGTCTGTCTTTTGTTTTTGATAATGATGATGATGATGATGATGAAATGGCTGACATGGTTCATGATTGCTTTTTCTCATCATCTCAGACCTAGATTTTTGGCTGGACTATTGGCTTGGGATAGATGAAAATCATTCCTTGTATCCCCTGATCTTAAAGTCAAGACTGAACCAACCTCCAGACACAAGCCTTCATGGGGCTTCAGATACCATGAGGAATGGGCATCCCTGCAATATTGTCATGGCTGTCAAAATTGTTATTGGAGCTGAGCAAGTGGGCCCTCTCCTGCCATTCCATCCTGCTTAGATTTCCCATTCAACATCAATCGTATTTTTTATTTTTTATTTTTTTTTTTTGACAGAGTCTCACTCTGTTTCCTAGGCTGGAGTGCAGCGGTGGGATCTCAGCTCACTACAGTCTCCACCTCCCAGGTTTAAGCAATTCTTGTGCCTCAGCCTCCCAAGTAGCTGGGATTGCGGGTGCACACCATGAAGCCTGGCTCATTTTTTTTTTTTTTTTTTTTTTTTTGTATTTTTAGTAGAGACAGGGTTTTACCATGTTGGCCAGGCTGGTCTTGAACTCCTGACCTCAAGTGATCCACCTACCTTGGCCTCCCAAAGTGCTGGGATTACAGGTGTGAGTCACTGTACCTGGCCCCATTTCCTCTTATACCATAAGTCATTGCCTGCAAATGTGTTTTCTCCATTAGTTTGCAAAAGCTTCCTGAGAGTAGGCCTGTGCCTCATTTATTCTGGAATCTTCCTGGCACAAAGCACAGGGCTTTATCCTCAGTAGGCATCCAACAAATGTTTAATTTCATTCAACAGCTCCTCTTACCACTACCCCCACCTTATTTGCAGGTGGCTAAGTACAATCAGAACAAGTAGGTATCATAAGATTTAGTCCAGAGTCAATCTGGGAAGAAATTACTTTAGTGATATGAAAAGAAACCAAGCTATTTAGTCAGAATACTTCTGAGAGTATCCTCTGTCCAAGCATTTGCTGAATTTCGATCTACTAATTTTCAGGTGGAACAGTATGGTTGCAGAGAGTCCATTTGGATATATATACACTTTCATGCATTCATGTCTTTAACAATAATTTGTGGCCCTGCTGTGTTTGTTCACTAACTCCTTCGAACCTACCATATAAGCTATATCTTTATTTTCCTTGTAATTTGGGAGGTCCAATGCTTCATTAAGCTCACATGCCTGAAACTAATGAAGAAAATAGCTCGTTAACCAGCTAGTATAAAAATAGCCACCAAAATAAGTCAATCACCCGCCTTAAATCAGCTCAGTACTGCCATCTTGAGCGGAGAAGCCCATTCTGAATCGCAGTCAAGACACTGATGGAAAAGCAGCTCTCTCTGGGTATCAAAACCACGCTCGCCCCAAATCCTTCTCCCCAGAATTCTACTCATTGCTCACCCACTAAACCCAGAACAAACCAGAAGTGCTTGAAATGAGGATGGGTAGCTCCGTGTACCAATCAGAATTTAAAACTGTATCAATTCCTGCTATAGAAATGAGGCTTCTCCCCAGGACCAGCATTCCATGAAGGCAGCCCTTTTCTAGATGGAGAAAACACAACCTGAAGACACCCGTTTCCCTAAACTGCTCTCGCTCATGTATAAGTACAAATGAAAAATGCTGACGCTGCTTCCGTTGGCATTGCTTTTTAATTACGGCCATCAATAAATCATTTTATCCTTGAACAAGACTTGAGAATGGCCCGAAGGCAGAGGCATGATTCCTTAGGAATTAGGCCAAAAGAGAATGGGCTGTCTCTCTTCTCACCTCTTCTCTTACTCTGCTGTCAGAAACAGAAACGTTCTCTGTGAGTAGCTGGGAGCCGACGGCCGCACTTGAGTTCCATCTGGGGCTTCTGTTGACACAGTTTTACCCCAGCCTGCCTTGATGGCCACTGCCACACAAGCTGCATCTGTTCTTTCTTCTGCGCCTCTTGTTACATCGTTGTTGTTTTTCCTCTTTCTAGTGTAGTGAGCTGAATGGTGGCTTTACACAAGATATATCCAGATCCTTGTGCCTAGAATCTGTGGAGGTGGCATTATTTGGAAAAAGGGTCTTTGCAGATGTAATTAAGTTAAGGATCTTGAGATTATCCTGGAGTATTTTCGGTAGGCTGTACATCTAAAGACAAGTGTCCTTATAAGAGGACACTTTTGTCCAGGCGCAGTGGCTCATGCCTGTAATCCCAGCACTTTGGTAGGCTGAGGTGGGTGGATCACCTGAGGTCAGGACTTCGAGACCAGCCTGACCAACATGGAGAAACCCCATCTCTACTAAAAATAAAAAATTAGCCGGGCATGGTGGTGCATACCTGCAATCCCAGCTACTGGGGAGGCTGAGGCAGGAGAGTTGCTTTAACCCAGGAGGAGGAGGTAGCAGTGAGCTGAGGTCATGCCATTGCACTCCAGCCTGGGCAACAAGAGTGAAACTCCATCTCAAAAAAAAAAAAAAAAAAAGGACACTGTTTTTCACGTGCATCCAAGTGAAGAGACCACCAAACAGACTTTGTGTGAGCAATAAAGCTGTTTATTTCACCAGGGTGCAGGCAGGCTGAGTCCAAATACAGAGTCAGTGAAGGGAGATAGGGGTGGGGCTGTTTTTATAGGATTTGGGTAGGTAAAGGAAAAAGGGGTTGTTCTCTGGCAGGCAGGAGTGGGGGTCACAAGGTGCTCAGTAGGGGAGCTTCTGAGCCAGGATGAGCCAGGAGAAGGAATTTCACAAGATAATGTCATCAGTTAAGGCAGGAACAGGCCATTTTCATTTATTTTGTGGTGGAATGTCATCAGTTAAGGCAGGAACTGGCCATCTGGATGTGTACGTGCAGGTCACAGGGGATATGATGGCTTAGCTTGGGCTCAGAGGCCTGATGTTCCTGTCTTCTTATATTAATAAGAAAAATAAAATGAAATAGTGGTAAAGTGTTGGGACGGCGAAAATTTTTGGGGATGGTATGGAGAGATAATGGGCGATGTTTCTCAGGGCTGCTTTGAGTGGGATTAGGGGCAGCGTGGGAACCTAGAGTGGGAGAGATTAAGCTGAAGGAAGATTTTGTGGTAATAGGTGATATTGTGGGGTTGTTAGAGGAAACATTTGTCATTTAGAATTATTGATGATGGCTTGGATACAGTTTTGTATGAATTGAAAAACTAAACAGAATAAGAGAAGGAGAAAAACAGGTATTAAAGGACTAAGAATTGGGAGGACCTAGGACATCTAATTAGAGAGTGTCTAAGGAGGTTCAGCATAGCCTTGCCAGCAAAGATTATTTATTTAAGAGTTAAGAGTGGCGGTTTGGGGATAGCATCAGGAGATATCAGCTGTGATGGCTTGGAGAAACAGTGTAAATCAGCAGTGTAAACAAGAGCAGGGCATGTATGAGTAGTTGAGAACGGTGAATAAAAGTGTGACTAGAGAGAAGATAGTAGGGATGACAAGTTTTTTTGGGGCACAGTCCAAGTTGCTCTGGTGTCTGGAATGAGACTGGGGCTTAATAAAAAGGAGCATCTATACAGGAGCTCAAATGGGCTGTACCTTGTAGCATTCCAAGGACAGGCCTGAATTCTGAGAAGGGAAAGTGGTAAAAGTATTGTCCAGTCCTTTTTAAGTTGGTGGCTGAGCTTGGTGAGGTGTGTTTTTAAAAGACCATTAGTCTGTTCTACCTTTCCTGAAGACTGAGGACTGTAAGGGATATAAAGGTTTCACTGAATACTAAGAGCCTGAAAAAATGCTTGGCTGACTTGATTAATAAAGGCCGGTCTACTATTGGACTGTATAGAGGTGGGAAGGCCAAACTGAGGAATTATGTCTGACAGAAGGGAAGAAATGACCGTGGTGGCCTTCTTAGACCCTGTGGGAAATGCCTCTACCTATCCGGTGAAAGTGTCTACCTAGACCAAGAGGTATTTTAGTTTCCTGACTCAGGGCACGTTGAGTAAAGCTAATTTGCCAGTCCTGGGTGGGGGCAAATCCCTGAGCTTGATGTGTAGGGAAGGGAGGGGGCCTGAAGAATCCCCGAGGAGTAGAGAATAGCAGATGGAACACTGAGAAGTTATTTCTTTGTGGATAGATTTCCACACTGGAAAGGAAATGAGCGGTTCTAAGAGGCGGGCTAGTGGCTTGTACTATAGGATAGCCTGCCTTTGCTGGTGTGTGGCGATTAGGCCTGGTGGAACTGCCATCAATAAGTGTGATCAGGGTGAGAAACAGGAAAGAAGGAAATGTGGGGAAATGGGGTGAACATCAGGTGGATCAGAGAGATACAGTCACGAGGGTCAAGTGTGGTATCAGGAATAATGTGGGAGGCCGGATTGAAGTCTGGGCCATGAACAGTGGTAATTGTGGGAGACTCAACAAAGAGTTAGTACAGCTGAAGGAGCCGGGGAGCAGAAAGTATATGTGTCATCTGTAAGGAAGAAAATAGATTTTGGAAATTATGAGAGCTGTAGAGAGTGAGTTGAGCATAGTTTGTGATTTTAAGGTCCTCTAAAAGTATTAGGGCAGCAAGAGCCACTGCATGGAGACATAATGGCCAGCCTAAAACAGTAAGGTCAAGTTGTTTGGACAAAGAGGCTACAGGATGCAATCCTGGTCCTTGTGTAAGAATTTCGACTACACAGCGCTGCACTTTGGCTGTGTGTAGTGAAAAGGGTTGGGATGAGTCAGGGAGAGCTAGGGTGGGGGCAGCCTTTAAAGCTGTCTTCAAGGAACAGAAAGAGGAGTGGGGAAAGGATTTAGGATCTATGGGGTCAGCTAGGTTTCCTTATTTGAGTTTATATAATGGTTTTGTTAGGATGGCAAAACCAAGTATCTAAAGGCAAAAGTATCCAACCATGCCCAGGAAGGAAAGGAGTTGTTGTTTTGTAGCTGGGGTTGGGGTTTGAGAGATTAGTCGGACACGATCGGCAGGGAGAGCACGTGTGTTTTTATGAGAATTATGCTGAGATAGGTAACAGACAAGGAAGAAATTTGGGCTTGACTGAAGTCATAGGGACTGTCCGTGAAGTTTTGTGGCAGTGCAGCCCAGGTAATTTGCTGAGCTTGATTGGTGTCAGGGTCAGTCCAAGTGAAAACAAGGAGAGACTGGGATGAAGGGTGCAAAGGAATAGTAAAGAAAGCATGTTTGAGATCCAGAACAGAATAATGAGTTGTGGAGGGAGGAATTGAGGATAGGAGAGTATATGCGTTTGGCACCATGGGGTAGATAGGCAAAACAATTTTGTTGATAAGGCATAGATCCTGAACTAACTTGTAAGGCTTGTCTGGTTTTAGGACAGGTAAAATGGGGGAATTGTAAGGAGAGTTTATAGGCTTTAAAAGGCCATGCTGTAGCAGGCGAGTGATAACAGGCTTTAATCCTTTCAAAGCATGCTGTGGGATGGGATATTGACATTGAGCGGGGTAAGGGGGATTAGGTTTTAATGAGATGGCAAGGGGTGCATGATCGGTCGCCAAGGAGGGAGTAGAGGTATCTTATACTTGTGGGTTAAGGTGGGTAGCAATGAGTTGTAGCTATAGTCCAGGAATAGTCAGGGAAGCAGATAATTTAGTTAAAGTGCCTCAGCCTAATAAGGGAACTGGGCAGGTGGGGATAACTAAAAAGGAGTGCTTAAAAGAGTATTGTCTAAGTTGGCATCAGAGTTGGGGAGTTTTAAGAGGTTTAGGAGCCTGGCTGTCAACACCCACAACAGTTATGGAGGCAAGGGAAACAGGCACTTGAAAAGAAGGTAATGTGGCATGGGTAGCCTCTGTATTGATTAAAAAGGGGATGGACTTACCCTCCACTGTGAGAATTACCTAGAGCATCTGTGATGGTCCTGTAGGCTTCCAAAGTGATTGATCAGGCAGTGTCAGTCTTCAGCTGCTAAGCCAAGAAGATCTGGGAAGGAGTCAGTCAGAGAGCCTTGGGCCAGAGTTCCAGGGGCTCTGGGAGTGGCTGCCAGGTGAGTTGAACAGTCCAATTTCTAGTGGGGTCCCACACAGATGGGACATGGCTTAGGAGGAATCCCGGGTTGTGGGCATTCCTTGGCCTGGTGGCCAGATTTCTGGCACTTGTAGCAAGCTCCTGGGGGAGGTGGTTCTGTAGGAACACCTGGCCACTGTGCTTTAGGCGTTTGGAAGTTCTTGTGTGCTGGAGATGTGGCTGGGGTTTGTCTCACAGTGGAGGCAAGGAATTACAACTCAGAAATATGTTGCTACTTGGTTGCCTCTACTCTATTATTGTACACCTTGAAGGTGAGGTTAATTAAGTCCTGTTGTGGGGTTTGAGGGCCATAATTTAATTTTCAGAGTTTTATTTAATGTCGGGAGCAGATTGGGTAATACAATGTATATTGAGAATAAGACATCCTTTTGACCTTTTAGGGTATAGGGCTGTAAAGCATCTCAGGGTTGCTGCCAAATGAGCCATGAACTAGGCTGGATTTTTATATTTGATGAAAAGGAGCCTAAACTCTATCTGATTTGGGATAAAGAAAAAGGAGCATTAACCTTGACTATGCCTTTAGCTTCAGCCACCTTTTTAAGAGTAAATTGCTGGGCAGGTCGGGGAGGGCTAGTCATGGAACAAAACTGTAAGCCGGACGCGGTGTGAGGAGGGGAGGTGACAAAAGTATTATAGGGTGGAGGAGCAGAGGCTGAGGAAGAATTGGGGCCTAGCTTGGCCTGGTGAGGAGGGGAGAGGTCAGATTTTTCTGTAGAAAAGGAAGATTAGAAAGACTCAGTGATGCTTGGGGTTGGGATTGAGGGGGCAGCTGGGAGGGAAAGAAGGAAGATTTGGGATGAGTTGCACTGGGAACAGACTAGGGAGGGACCAATGTGTAAAAGAATGCCTGGACGTCAGTCACCTCAGACCGTTTGCCCATTTTATGACAAGAATTATCTAGATCATGTAGGATGGAAAAATTGAAAGTGCCATTTTCTGGCTATTTGGAACTACTGTCAAGTTTGTATTGGGGTCAAGCAGCATTGTGGAAGAAAATAAGGCATTTAGGTTTTAGGTCAGGTGTGAGTTGAAGAGGTTTTAGGTTTTTAAGAACACAGGCTAAGGGAGAAGAAGGGGGAATGGTGGGCAGAAGCTTACCCATAGTGAAGGCGGCAAGCCTAGAGAAAAGAGAGAGTAGAGACACAGAGAGAAGGGGTGGGGGGTTCTTGCCTTCCAGAAAAGCAGGAAAGGGGTTGGGGTGCAGAAATAAAGGGTTGTGATACAGAGCTAAGAGGTCAGGGCACAGAAATAAGGGGTTGGGGTGCAGAGATAAGAGGTCAGGTCACAGAAATAAGGGATTGGGTCACAGAGATAAGAGGTTGGGGCATGGAAATAAGGGATCGGGGCACAGAGATAAGAGAGGGTTCCTGCCCCTCCCCCAGAAAAACAGGACTTGCTGCTAAGGGTGAAGGAGAAGGGGTTGAGGGGTTCTTGCCCCTTCCCCCAGAAAAGCGGGACTTGCCACTAAGGGTGAAGGACCAAGGCAGGCGTCCCTGCGTGGTCTGACACCTCTGAAACCTGGGTGAATAATCAGAGAGGCATCCCTGCAATGATTAAACACCAAGGAAAGGGTGTCTTCCCAAGTCCGTGACAGGCGCTGGAGTTGTGGGTCCATGGATAAAACGTGTCTCCTTTGTCTCTACCAGAAAATGAAAGGAATTGAAATTAAGAGAAGGGAGAGATTGAAGTGTGGTGCCAAGATTGAAAGGATAAAGAGGTTGAGGGATAGTGAAGGAGGTTGGAGAAGAGAGTAAAAAGAAGTCACTTACTGGATTTGAAATTGGTGAGATGTTTCTTGGGCTGGTCAGCCTGAGGACCTGAGGTTGTAGCTGGATCTTTCTCTCAGAGCAAAGAGCAGGAGGACAGGGGATGGATCTCCCAAGGGAGGTCCCCCGATCCGAGTCACGGCACCAAATTTCACATGGGTCCGTGCGAAGAGACCACCAAACAGGCTTTGTGTGAGCAATAAAGCTGTATATTTCACCTGGGTGCAGGTGGGCTGAGTCCGAAAAGTGTGAGCGAAGGGAGATAGGGGTGGGGCCATTTTATAGGATTTGGGTAGGTAAAGGAAAAAGGGGGGTTGTTCTCTGGCAGGCAGGAGTGGGGGTCACAAGGTGCTCAGTAGGGGAGCTTTTGAGCCAGGATGAGTCAGGAGAAGGTATTTCACAAGATAATGTCATCAGTTAAGGCAGGAACTGGCCATCTGGATGTGTACGTGCAGGTCACAGGGGATACGATGGCTTAGCTTGGGCTCAGAGGCCTGACACTCTTCCTCCAGAGGAGGAGACCCAGACAGAAGAGGAGAAGAGGAGGAGGCAAGGTGATCACAGAGGCAGAGATTGGATCATGCAGCCACAAGTTGAGGAATTCTAGTAGCCTCTACAAGCTGGAAGAGGCAAGGAATGGATTCTCCCCTAGAACCTCTGAAGGAGCATGGTCCTGCTGACATTTGATTGATTTTGGACTTCTGGCCTCCAGACTTTCCTTTTTCCTTTTTTTTTTAGACAGAGCCTTGCTCTGTTGCCCAGTCTGGAGTGCAGTTGCACGATCTCGGTTCACTGCAACCTCCACCTCCCAGGCTCAAGCCATTCTCTTGCCTCAGCCTCCCAAGTAGCTGGGCTACAGGTGCCTGCCACCATGCATGGCTAATTTTTGTATTTTTAGTAGAGATGATGTTTTGCCATATTGGCCAGGCTGGTCTTGAATTCCTGGCCTCAAGTGATCCACCCACCTCAGCCTCCCAAAATGCTGAGATTATTTAGGTGTGAGCCACGGCACCAGGCCCAGACATTGTTTGAAGCCACCCATTTCATAGTTCTTTGCTGCAGTGGTTGTGGAATATGAATGCACTCATGCTGTTGGTTGGACTTTGCTGATCTTGTGTCTGTTATGCCCTGGCAGTTCTACAGGGCCTGGAGCTGATATGGAAAACCTCCCTTCTTTCCCAAATGGTCCCCAGTTTCCCCGTTCACTGAAGGCCCTGCAGTCAGGAACAGTCAGGACTTTGCACCCAGTTGTTGTGGGTGTTTGGCCGACCCCTCCTCTTGTGTGATTCGTGGACCAGCAGCATTGTGTCACCTGTGAGTTTTTGGAATTGAAGACTCTCAGGGCTCACCTGGGAGGACCTCCTGGGCCAGAATCTGCATTTTAACAAGATGCCTGGGTGATTTACGTAAACGTTCAGATCTGAGAAGCGCTGGTAGGAGAGGCTTTAAGGTGGTAATTAGATCTTTTCTCCACCTGCAAGAATCTTAGTTTCTTCATGTTAAATCTATTAACTGTGGCAATGGCATGGGGGTTATAAAACAAAACAAAATCCTTACATCAAGAATGCACCCTGGTGTGTTATGGATGTGAGTGAAATGAAATGTCTGGAATTTGCTTTAAAATATTGTAAAATAGCAAGAAGGAAAATAAAAGCAGGAACTGGAATGAGATTGGTGAAATGTTGACAAGTTCTTGCAGTGGGATGATGGGTGCATGGGGGTTCATGGTGTAATTCTCTCCCTGCTTTTTGTGCACATGGGAAATTTCCATAATGAAAAGTTAGAGGTCAGGCACGGTGGCTCATGCCTGTAATCTCAGCATTTTGGGAGGCTGAGGTGGGTAGATTGCTTGAACCTAGGAGTTCAAGACCATCCTGGACAACATGGCGAAAACCCATCTTTACTAAAAATGCAAAAATTAGCCAGGCATGGTGACAACATGCCTGTAGTCATGTTGAGGCACGAGGTTGAGGCATGAGAATCACTTGAACCCAGGAGGCGGAGGTTGCAGTGAGCCGAGATCGCACCATTACACTCCAGCCTGGGCGACAGAGTGAGACTTGGTCTCAAAAAAATTTTTAATTTTCTTTTTTTTCTTTCGAGATGGAGTCTTGCTCTTTTGCCCAGGCTGGAGTGCAGTGGCATGATCTTGGCTCACTGCAAGCTCCACCTCCCGAGTTCACTCCATTCTTCTGCCTCAGCCTCCAGAGTAGCTGGGACTGAAGGCACCCACCACCATGTCCGGCTAATTGTTTGTATTTTTAGTACAGATGGGGTTTCACTGTGTTAGGATGATCTTGATCTCCTGACCTCGTGATCTGCCCACCTTGGCCTCCTAAAGTGCTGGGATTACAGGCATTAGCCATAGTGCCCGGCCTTAATTTTGTTTAATTTTTTTCTTTGTTGAGACAAGATCTCACTCTGTAGCCCAGGCTGGAGTGCAGTGGTGTGATCCCGGCTCACTGCAGCCTCTACCTCTTGGGTTCAAGCAATCCTCCCACCTCAGCCTTCTGAGTAGCTGAGACCACAGGCATGTATCACCACACCAGGCTAATTTTTTCCCTTTTTCTAAAGGCAAGGTCTTGCTATGTTGCCCAGGCTGGTCTTGAACTCCTGAGCTCAAGCAATCTTCCCGTTTTAGCATGGGAGTAATCCCAAAGTGCTGGGATTACAGGTGTGAGTCACTCTACCAAGCCTCAACTGTTTTTCATGACTCCACTTTTTCTCACCTCTTGGAAATGAGTAGTCTTTGAGGGAATGTCTTTTTTGTCTCAATCTCTGGTTTCTTTGCTCAGTGCACCTGTGTTTGGCGCTTTGTTGATCTCCAGGCCTTTTTCAGCAGTGTTGTCCCTGGAGAGCATGATGGCAGCTGATGGCTTCTCAGCATCTTTTAACTCAGTTTAAGATGACTATCAACATCATCTAGTCAGCAACTGTTGCTCTCGACAGCTGGGACTTCATTTCCTTTCTCTTTCTCCACCTCTCTAACCTCTTTAAGACTCTGTCTTTGTCATGGGTACAGCATCACCAGTGTGGCCCTTAGGCTCTCTTACTTACATGTGATCTGCGTATTATGTCTTTACTTCAGGGCTTCTCAACCAGGGGGTAATTTTGCCCCCCCAGAGAACATGTGCCTATGTCTGGAGACAGTTTTGGTTGTTGCAGCTGGAGGAGGTGGTGCTACTGGCAGCTAATGAGTAGAGGCCAGGGATGCTGCTAAACATCCTACAATGCCCTGGACAACTCCCACTAAGACAAAATAATGATCCAGCCCCAAATGTCAATAGTGCTGAAAGTGAGAGACCCTGATTCCATCTTAGAGCTTAGAGATCATCCAAGCACATTTGGGCCAAATTGTTTTTGCTACTGTCCCATGAAGAAAAGGCAGACTCATGACTGATGGCAACATCGATGGGAATTTTGTTTACCTCTTCTTTGTGGACTTTGGGATACGATGACTTACCATTTGTGCAAGTTGTGCATCTCACACCTCCAGGCGCCACCCACATATTTATGAAAATGCCACCCCAGGAATTGCACAGTACATAGTCTACATGGCTATAAGCAGTTGCTCTGGTTTTGGGGTTGCCCTGGTGTGCTCTGAAACTAGGAGGAACTTTATTTCTGGCCATTAGAGGCCCTGAGCATGACATTGAGTATTCCTTCAAGAAAGGAGAAATGTTGAACAGAGAGGACCTCATTTTTATAACTCTTGACCATCATCTAGTTGCAGAGCATCCACTTTTCACCCCTGGGCCATATCCATTTGACGGATGTAAAATGATCAAATTATACTATCATGGCTTACGCTTTTGATAGCTTCTGCCCGGAACATAGTGGTAAGAGCCTCTCATTTTCAATTGATTCATTGGGGGAGAAAATATACACGGCTGCCCTAAGACTTTCTATTACACACCATTTGCTTGACGGGATTTCTTTAGTTTCTGTAGCATAACTTATTCTAACTGGTCCTCAATCACTTTGCAATAAAAACTGAGACTGTGAAAATGTTCATTGTCATTACCAGTGACAGAGCAGTAAGTACAGAGTTCTGGAGAGGGAAGGAATCGAGAGATTTAAACTAGCAGAATAAGCCACTCACCCTCAGAATTGCTTTTCTTCTTGGTGGGAACTGAGGGGAATTTCGACAGGGTTCAGAGGGACTGCGGGGAGTGGGGCTGGGAGATGGCTGTTTGCACGTGTGGTCAGCAAATCCAGTGAGGGGGTCCATGTACTGTGGGCAGCCCCACAGATGGAGTTGGGGTTGCCCTGGACTGAGTACTGGGTCATCAGACTGCAAACCGCCATTCTCAAGACATCGAGGCCCAGGCTGGTGCAGGAGATACATCGCAGTGTGTCAGCCTTTCTTCCATCGCTCCTCTCTAACGACAGTTCCCGATTTTCCACCAAGGAGTCACTAGTGCCCCAGGGCATGTGTGCGACTGGCCACTCCCCACCCTGATCTGGGGCTGGGGCATGTGGTCCCAGCCTGCATGTCAATATCCTTCCACCTCCTCCACCACCCTGGCCACAGTGATTGGGTCTGAGAAGCAGATTAGCCAAAGGAGAGACAATCTTGGAAATTTCATGTTCATGCTTAAGAAAGTAAAATGGAAAGTGGGGGGAGGGTGAGGGGTCATTCTGATGATATAGTTTGAGGACCTGGATGTAGCCACACCTGTAGCTGTCAACTCTGTGCCATAGTACTGCTTTTTTTTTTTTCCTTCATATTTAAATACTTTCTAGAGGCAAGGTCTTTTTATGTTGCTTGGGCTGGTTTTGAAAAGTCTCTTTTGGGGGGATGCTTTCACTGCTTCACTTCCTTTCTATGACAGGTCAGGGAATCAGAAGACAAGGGAGATGACTTTTTTTTTTTTTTAGACAGGGCTTGCTCTGTTGCCCAGGCTGGAGTGCAGTGGTGCAATCACAGCTCACCACAGCCTTGATCTTCTGGACTCAAGAGACCCTCCTGCTTCAGCCTCCTGAGTAGCTGGGCCTGTAGGCGGGTACCACCATGCCCAGCTAATTAAATAATTTTTTTTTTTTTTTTTTTTAGAAATGAGATCTCAGTATGTCACCCAGGCTGGCCTCAAACTCCTGGGATCAAGTGATTGCCCTGCCTTAGGTTCCCAAACTTACAGGTGTGAGTCCCCACACCAGTCAACACTGTGGTCTTATGCACCTGGTGTCCCCATAGGCCTGAGCAATGATCCTCCTGCTTCAACTTCCCAAAGTGCTGGGATAAGAGATGTGAAGCACCATGTGTGGCCCACACAGAATTCTTATGGGTTAAATTGAGTCCTCCTCAAAAGATGTTGAAATCCTAAATTCTAGTAGCTCAGAATGTGATCTTATTTAGAAATACTTATTGCAGGCCGGGCATGGTGGCTCACAGCTGTAATCCCAACACTTTGGGAGGCCGAAGTGGGTGGATCACCTGAGGTCAGGAGTTTGAGACCAGCCTGACCAACATGGAGAAACCCTGTCTCTACTAAAAATACAAAATTAGCTGGGTGTGGTGGTGCATACCTGTAATCCCAGCTACTCAGGAGGCTGAGGCAGGAGAATCACTTGAACCCAGGCAGCGGAGGTTGCATTGAGCTGAGATCGCGCCATTGCACTCCAGCCTGGGCATCAAGAGTGAAACTCCATCTCAAAAAAAAAAAAAAGAAAGAAAGAAAGAAAGAAAGAAATAGGCTTATTGCAGATGCTATTGATTAGGATGAAGTCATCCTGGAGTAGGGAGGGCCCTAAGTCAATGACTGGTGTCCTTATAAAAGAGGAGAGGACACGCTGAGTCATGGAGACACAGGGAAGAAGGCCATGGATCAGACAGAAGATTGCACTGATGCGTCTGCAAACCAAGGAACACTGAAGACTGCCAGGAGACTGCAGGAAACTAGGACGAGGCAAGGCAGGACTCCCCGACAAGTGCAGGAGGTAGTGTGGCCCTGCTGGCACTTCCATTTCAGACTGCTGGCCACCAGAGCCGGAAGACAATCAATTTCTCTTGTTTCAAGTCACCCAGCTTGTGGTACTTGGTTGTGGCAGCCCTGGGGAATGAATATAATTATTTTCTTTCTTTTTTTTCTTTTTTTGAGATGGAGTCTCACTCTGTCGCCCAGGCTGGAGTGCAGTGGCGAGATCTCGGCTCACTGCAAGCTCTGCCTCCCAGGGTCACGCCATTCTCCTGCCTCAGCCTCCCGAGTAGCTGGGACTACAGGCACCTGCCACCAAGCCCAGCTAATTTTTTGTATTTTTAAGAGACGGCGTTTCACCGTGTTAGCCAGGATGGTCTCCATCTCCTGACCTCGTGATCCACCTGCCTCAGCCTCCCAAAGTGCTGGGATTACAGGCGTGAACCACTGTGCCTGGCCAAATATAAGTACGTTTAAATTAACTCTCCTTTTCTCTCCCTCTTCTTCTAAATCATTTTTGCCTGAGCAACAGCTAGGGTCTAATACGGATGTGATGACTCACTTCAAAGTGGGGGAAGCCAGTCCCCATGTGCGCCCAAAGCTCCTGCTGCGTTGGCTCTGGGCTCAGAGACTGGACCATTATTCTGGAGGCTTGCTGAAGATCTGAGACAGGGCAGCATTCTCTGTTGCCTTTAAACAAAGGCTGGTGCTCGCCCAGGCATGTGAGCTCCACAGAGGATCTATTTGGAAGGCAGAATTCTGAGATGACCCCTTAGGTTCTTGCCCTGGATAAATCCCAGGTGTAATCTCCTCTCCCTTGGAGTGTAGGCAGGACTCGTGGCTTGCTTCTAATCTATACCTATGGAAAAGTTGAAAGGATTTTACAGATGTAACTAAGCCCCTAATCCGTTCCCTTTGAGTTAATCAAAAGGGAGATTATTCAGGGTGGGCCTGACATCTTCAGGTGAGATCTTCAATGAGGATCTGGAGGAGAGAGACTCCTTCCTCCTGGTTTTTGGTTTTTGTTTGTTTGTTTGTTTTTGGGATGGAGTCTCATTCTGTTGCCCAGGCTGGAGTGCAGTGGCACGATCTCGGCTTACTGCAACCTCTGCCTCCTGGGTTCAAGTGATTCTCCTGCCTTAGCCTCCCAAGTAGCTGGGATTACAGGCATGCGCCATCATGCCTGGCTAAGTTTTGTATTTTTAGTAGAGACGGGGTTTCACCATATTGGCCAGGCTGGTCTCGAACTCCTGACCTCGGGTGATCCACCTACCTCAGCCTCCGAAAGTGCTGGGATTACAGGCGTGAGCCACCATCCCCGGCTGGTTTTGAAGAAGCCACATGAGTTCCACAGTTCCATGGAAATAAATTCAGCCAACAACCATGAGAGGTTGGGAGAAGACCCCAAGCCTCATATGAGACACTAATTCCAGCCAACATCTTGATCACAACCTTGTAAGAACCTGAGCAGAGGACCCAGCTAAAGCTGCACCCCCAGACTCCTGACCCACAGGAAAGGAGAGGTAATAGATGGGTGTTTTAAGCTGCTAAATTTGTGTTGATTTGTTATGCAGCTTAGAAAATGAATACATCATTCCATTTTTTAAAAATCATAAGCTAATTACACCATTCGATTTTTTTTTTTTTTTTTTTTTGAGACAGAGTCTCACTCCATCGCCCAGGCTGGAGTGCAGTGGTGCAATCTCGGCTCACTGTAACCTCTGCCTCCTCGGTTCAAGTGATTCCCTTGCCTCAGCCCCCCAAGTAGCTGGGACTACAGGCATGCACCACCATACCTAGCTAATTTTTATATTTTTAGTAGAGATGGAGTTTCACCATGTTGGCCAGGCTGGTCTCGATCTCCGGACCTCAAGTGACCTGCCTGCCTCAGCCTCCCAAAGTGCTGGGGTTACTGACATGAGCCACCGCACCCGGCCCTACACACCATTCAATTTTAAGGAACTTCCAGGTGCTGTGGCCAAGCCCCTCTTGTGTGGCATGGAGGATGGGGGAGATGGGTTGGAAGATGACTGGATGGGGGCACGGAGCTAGGTGGGAAGAGGAAAAGTGTCTTGAAGGAAGTAAGTCCCTTCAGATAAGGGAGGAAGAAGCTTGATCAGTATGCAGACTTTCACAGTCCTTCAGTCATGGGGATATTGGAGGAGAGACAGGTGTTGCCTTGTATTTGAGAGTTACCATCCCAGGCAGTGACCCTACTTCCACCTTCTTGCAGGTGGGGCTGGAGGGCAAATACTTAGAGGAGAAATGAACACCCTTTGTAAGCATGTGAAAAGTTTCTGGAGTGGAGAGATGATGAAGCAGGATATTTGGAGTCAACAGCCAATGTTTTTATTTTATTTTTTATTTTTTATCATACTTTAAGTTTTAGGGTGCATGTGCACAACGTGCAGGTTTGTTACATATGTATACATGTGCCCTGTTGGTGGGCTGCACCCATTAACTCGTCATTTACATTAGGTATATCTCCAAGTGCTATCCCTCCCCCCTTCCCCCACCTGATGACAGGCCCCAGTGTGTGATGTTCCCCACGCTTTGTCCAAGTGTTCTTATCGTTCAATTCCCACCTGTGAGTGAGAACATGCGGTGTTTGGTTTTGTCCTTGCAATATGTTTGCTGAGAATGATGGTTTCCAGCTTCATCCATGTCCCTACAAAGGACATGAACTCATCATTTTTTATGGCTGCATAGCATTCCATGGTGCGTATGTGCCACATTTTCTTAATCCAGTCTATTGTTTTTGGACATTTGGCTTGGTTCCAAGTCTTTGCTATTGTGAATAGTGTCGCAATAAACATACGTGTGCACGTGTCTTTATAGCGGCATGATTTGTAATCCTTTGGGTATATACCCAGTAATGGGATGGCTGGGTTAAATGGTATTTCTAGTTCTAGATCCCTGAGGAATCGCCACACTGACTTCCACAATGGTTGAACTAGTTTACAGTCCCACCAACAGTGTAAAAGTGTTCCTATTTCTCCACATACCCTCCAACACCTGTTGTTTCCTGACTTGTTAATGATCGCCATTCTACCTGGTGTGAGATGGTATCTCATTGTGGTTTTGATTTGCATTTCTCTGGCCAGTGATGATGAGCATTGTTTCATGTGTCTTTGGCTGCATAAATGTCTTCTTTTGAGAGGTGTTTGTTCATATCCTTTGCCCACTTGTTGATGGGGTTGTTTGCTTTTTTCTTGTAAATTTGTTGGAGTTCATTGTAGATTCTGGATATCAGCCCTTTGTCAGATGAATAGATTGCAAAAATTTTCTCCCATTCTGTAGGTAGCCTGTTCACTCTGATGGTAGTTTCTTTTGCTGTGCAGAAGCTCTTGAGTTCAATTAGATCCTATTTGTCAATTTTGGCTTCTGTTGCCATTGCTTTTGGTGTTTTAGACATCAAGTCCTTGCCCATGCCTATGTCCTGAATGGTATTGCCTAAGTTTTCTTCTAGGGCTTTTATGGTTTCAGGTCTAACATTTAAGTCTTTAATCCATCTCGAATTAATTTTTGTATAAGGTGTAAGGAAGGGATCCAGTTTCAGCTTTCTACATATGGCTAGCCAGTTTCCCCAGCACAATTTATTAAATAGGGAATCCTTTCCCCATTTCTTGTTTTTGTCAGGTTTGTCAAAGATCGGATAGTTGTAGACATGTGGCATTATTTCTGAGGGCTCTATTCTGTTCCATTGGTCTATATCTCTGTTTCTGTACCAGTACCATGCTGTTTTGGTTACTGTAGCCTTGTAGTATAGTTTGAAGTCAGGTAGTGTGATGCCTCCAGCTTTGGTCTTTTGGCTTAGGATTGACTTGGCAATGCAGGCTCTTTTTTTGGTTCCATATAAACTTTAAAGTAGTTTTTTCCAATTCTGTGAAGAAAGTCATTGGTAGCTTGATGGGGATGGCATTGAATCTATAAATTACCTTGGGCAGTATGGCCATTTTTACGATATTGATTCTTCCTACCCATGAGCATGGAATATTCTTCCATTTGTTTGTATCCTCTTATTTCGTTGAGCAGTGGTTTATAGTTCTCCTTGAAGAGGTCCTTCACTTCCCTTGTAAGTTGGATTCCTAGGTATTTTATTCTCTTTGAAGCAATTGTGAATGGGAGTTCACTCTTGATTTGGCTCTCTGTTTGTCTGTTATTGGTGTATTAGAATGCTTGTGATTTTTGCACACTGATTTTGTATCCTCAGACTTTGCTGAAGTTGCCTATCAGCTTAAGGAGATTTTGGGCTGAGATGATGGGGTTTTCTAGATATACAATCATGTCATCTGCAAACAGGGACTATTTGACTTCCTCTTTTCCTAGTTGAATGCCCTTTATTTCCTTCTCCTGCCTGATTGCCCTGGCCAGAAGTTCCAACACTATTTTGAATAGGAGTGGTGAGAGAGGGCATCCCTGTCTCCTGCCAGTTTTCAAAGGGAATGCTTCAAGTTTTTGCCCATTCAGTATGATATTGGCTGTGGGTTTGTCATAGATAGCTCTTATTATTTTGAGATACATCCCATCAATACCTAATTTATTGAGTTTTTAGCATGAAGCATTGTTGAATTTTGTCACAGGCCTTTTTTGCATCTAATGAGATAATCATATGGTTTTTGTCATTGGTTCTGTTTGTATGCTGGATTATGTTTATTGATTTGCGTATGTTGAACCAGCCTTGCATCCCAGGGATGAAGCCCACTTGATCATGGTGTATAAGCTTTTTGATGTGCTGCTGGATTCGGTTTGCCAGTATTTTATTGAGGATTTTTGCATTGATGTTCATCAGGGATAGTGGTCTAAAATTCTCTTTTTTTGTTTTGTCTCTGCCAGGCTTTGGTATCAGGATGATGCTGGCCTCATAAAATAAGCTAGGGAGGATTCTCTCTTTTTCTATTGTTTGGAATAGTTTCAGAAGGAATGATAGCAGCTCCTCCTTGTACCTCTGGTAGAATTCGGCTGTGACTCCAACTGGTCCTGGACTTTTTTTGTTGGTAAGCTATTAATTATTGCCTTAATTTTAGAGCCTGTTATTGGTCTATTCAGAGATTCAACTTCTTCCTCGTTTAGTCTTGGGAAGGTGTATGTGTCGAGGAATTTATCCATTTCTTCTAGATTTTCTAGTTCATTTGTGTAGAGGTGTTTATAGTATTCTCTGATGGTAGTTTGTATTTCTGTGGGATTGGTGGTGATATCCCCTTTATCATTTTTTATTGTGTCTATTTGATTCCTCTCTCTTTTCTTCTTTATTAGTCTTGCTAGCGGTCTATCAATTTTGTTGATGTTTCCAAAAAACCAGCTCCTGGATTCATGGATTTTTTGAAGGGTTTTTTGTGTCTCTATTTCCTTCAGTTCTGCTCTGATCTTAGTTATTTCTTGCCTTCTGCTAGCTTTTGAATGTATTTGCTCTTGCTTCTCTAGTTCTTTTAATTGTGATGTTAGGGTGTCAACTTTAGATCTTTCCTGCTTTCTCTTGTGGGCATTTAGTGCTATAAATTTCCCTCTACACACTGCTTTGAATGTGTCCCAGAGATTCTGGTATGTTGTGTCTTTGTTCTCGTTGGTTTCAAAGAACATCTTTATTTCTGCCTTCATTTCGTTATGTACCCAGTAGTCATTCAGGAGCAGGTTGTTCAGTTTCCATGTAGTTGAGTGGTTTTGAGTGAATTTCTTAATTCTCAGTTTTAGTTTGATTGCACTGTGAGAGAGTTTGGTATAATTTCTGTTGTTTTACATTTGCTGAGGAGTGCTTCACTTCCAAATATGTGGTCAATTTTGGAATAAGTGCGGCGTGGTGCTGAGAAGAATGTATATTCTGTTGATTTGGGGTGGAGAGTTCTGTAGATGTCTATTAGGTCTGCTTGGTGAAGAGCTGAGTTCAATCCCTGGATATCCTTGTTAACTTTCTGTCTCATTGATCTGTCTAATGTTGAGAGTGGGGTGTTAAAATCTCCCATTATTATCGTGTGGGAGTCTAAGTCTCTTTATAGGTCTCTAAGGACTTGCTTTATGAATCTGGGTGCTCCTGTATTGGGTGCGTATATATTTAGGATAGTTAGCTCCTCTTGTTGAATTGATCCCTTTACCATTATGTAATGGCCTTCTTTGTCTCTTTTGATCTTTGTTGGTTTAAAGTCTTTTTTATCAGAGACTAGGATTGCAACCCCTGCCTTTTTTTGTTTTCCATTTGCTTGGTAGATCTTCCTCCATCCTTTTATTTTGAGCCTATGTGTGTCTCAGCACATGAGATGGGTTTCCTCAATACAGGACAGTGATGGGTCTTGGCTCTTTATCCAATTTGCCAGTCTGTGTCTTTTAATCGGAGAATTTAGCCCATTGACATTTAAGGTTAATATTGTTGTGTGTAATTTGATCCTGTCATTATGATGTTAGCTGGTTATTTTGCTCGTTAGTTGATGCAGCTTCTCCCTAGCCTTGATGGTCTTTACAATTTGACATGATTTTGCAGTGGCTGGTACCGGTTGTTCCTTTCCATGTTTAGCACTTCCTTCAGGAGCTCTTGTAGGGCAGGCCTGGTGGTGACAAAATCTCTCAGCATTTGCTTGTGTGTAAAGGATTTTATTTCTCCTTCACTTGTGAAGCTTCGTTTCACTGGATATGAGATCTGGGTTGAAAATTCTTCTCTTTAAAATGTTGAAAATTGGCCCCCACTCTCTTCCGGCTTGTAGAGTTTCTGCTGAGAGATCAGTTGTTAGTCTGATGGGCTTCCCTTTGCACGTAACCGGACCTTTCTCTCTGGCTGCCCTTAACATTTTTTCCTTCATTTTAACTTTCATGAATCTGACAATTGTGTGTCTTGGAGTTGCTCTTCTCGAGGAGTATCTTTGTGGCATTCTCTGTATTTCCTGAATTTGAATGTTGGCCTGCCTTGCTAGATTGGGGAAGTTCTCCTGCATAATATCCTGCAGAGTGTTTTCCAACTTGGTTCCATTCTCCCCGTCACTTGCAGGTACACCAGTCAGACGTAGATTTGGTCTTTTCACATAGTCCCATATTTCTTGGAGGCTTTGTTCATTTCCTTATATTCTTTTTTCTCTAAACTTCTCTTCTCGCTTCATTTCATTCATTTCATCTTCCATCACTGATACCCTTTCTTCCAGTTGATCGAATCGGCTCCTGAGGCTTGTGCATTCGTCATGTAGTTCTCGTGCCTTGGTTTTCAGCTCCATCAGGTCCTTTAAGGACTTCTCTGCATTGGTTATTCTAGTTAGCCATTCATCCATTCTAGTTAGCCATTCATCTAATCTTTTTTCAAGGATTTTAACTTCTTTGCCATGGGTTTGAACTTCCTCCTTTAGCTTGGAGTAGTTTGATCGTCTGAAGCCTTCTTCTCTCAACTCATCAAAGTCATTCTCTGTCCAGCTTTGTTCCATTGCTGGTGAGGAGCTGTATTCCTTTGGAGGAGGAGAGGCACTCTTATTTTTAGAGTTTCCCATTTTTCTGCTCTGTTTTTTCCCATCTTTGCGGTTTTATCTACCTTTGGTCTTTGATGATGGTGACGTACAGATGGGGTTTTGGTGTGGATGTCCCTTCTCTTTGTTTGTTTTCCTTCTAACAGTCAGGAACCTCAGTGCAGGTCTGTTGGAGTTTGCTGGAGGTCCACTCCAGACCCTGTTAGCCTGCGTATCAGCAGCAGAGGCTGCAGAACAGTGGATATTGGTGAGCAGCAAATGTTGCTGCCTGATCGTTCCTCTGCAAGTTTTGTCTCAGAGGAGTACCCAGCCATGTGAGGTGTCAGTCTGCCCCTAGTGGGGGGGTGCCTTCCAGTTAGGCTACTCGGGGGTCAGGGACCCACTTGAGGAGGCAGTCTGTCCATTTTCAGATCTCCAGCTGCGTGCTGGGAGAACCACTACTCTTTTAAAAGCTGTCAGACAGGGACTTTTAAGTCTGCAGAGGATTCTGCTGCCTTTTGTTTGGCTATGCCCTGCCCCCAGAGGTGGAGTCCACAAAGGCAGTCAGGCCTCCTTAAGCTGCAGTGGGCTCCACCCAGTTCAAGCTTCCCAGCTGCTTTGTTTACCTACTGAAGCCTAGGCTATGGTGGGCGCTCCTCCCACAGCCTTGCTGCCACCTTGCAGTTTGATCTCAGACTGCTGTGCTAGCAATGAGCGAGGCTCCGTGGATGTAGGACCCTCCGAGCCATGTGCGGGATATAATCTCCTGGTGTGCCATTTGCTAAGACTGTTGGAAAAGCACAGTATTAGGGTGGGAGTGACACAATTTTCCAGGTACCATCTATCACCCCTTTCTTTGACTAGGAAAGGGAATTCTCTGACCCCTTGTGCTTCCCGGGTGAGAGAATGCCTCACCCTGCTTGGGCTCACACTCAGTGCACTGCACCCACTGTCCTGCACCCACTTTCTGACACTCCCCACTGAGATGAACCCAGTACCTCATTTGGAAATGCAGAAATCACCTGTCTTCTGTGTCGCTCATGCTGGGAGCTGTAGACTGGAGCTCTTTCTAGTCAGCCATCTTGGCTCCACCCCCGTTATTATGATGCTTACACAGAGTCCTTTGCTTTCCAGCCACCTCCTCTCCCTCCTTTTTAGGTTGGAATCCCTGTATTTTAGTGGCCACTGGGATTCTGAAATGACCAGGTCTTTGTCTCAGAGACCTCACACATGCTGTTCCCTCTGCCTGGAACATTTTTCCTTGCTCTGGTCCCCTGAGATCTCTTTCAGCTCAACTGCCCCATGCTCAGAGAGCCCCTTTCTCCCTCTCTAGTTTGAAGCCAGTTTACCCCTGTAGTCTGTGCCTGGAAAACTCGTTTTCCTCCTTGGTGCCTCCTGAGTTGTCACAGGATGTATGTGCCTGTTAGGGTGTCTGGTGTCTGTCTCCCCAGCTAGACTGCATGCTCCTGGTGTGCTGGAGGGACTGGACTAGCACAGGCCAAGTCCCTGGGGCTGGAGGGAGCAGGGCAGAAGGCACAGGCAAAAGGCCTTTGTGATCTGGAGGGAAGTGAAGGAGAGGGAGAGAGATGAGAGAGGCTGGCAGAAGATAGGCCAGTGGCCAGGCTGCATGGGATCTTTTGGGCCACAGAAAGACATTTGAATTCTCATGTAAGAGAACCAGGACACCATTGGAGGGTATGAGTCACCTCATCTAACTGAGCTCTGTAAATGTCAATGTTTTATTATTTTTATACAATTCTTTAAAAGTGATTTAAATTATTTACCTTTTTATTTTTATTACTTTTATTTATTTATTTATTTTTGAGACAAAATCTTGTGCTATTGGCCAAACTGGAGTGCAATGGCATGATCTCAGCTCACTTCAACTTCCACCTCCTGGGTTCAAGTGATTCTCCTGTATCAGACTCCCGAGTAGCTGGGGTTATAGGCGTCTGCCACCACGCCCAGCTTATTTTTGTATTTTTAGGAGAGATGACGTTTCACCATGTTGGCCAGGCTGGTCTTGAACTCCTGACCTCAGGTAATCCACCTGCCTCAGCCTCCCAAGGTGCTGGGATTACAGGGGTGAGCCACCATGCCCGGCCTTATTTACTTTTTTAAAAAAGATCAGGCCAAGCACAGTAGCTCATGTCTCTAATCTCAGCACTTTGGGAGGCTGAGGCGGGATGATCACTTGAGGCCAGGAGTTCAAAACCAGCCTAGGCAACATAGTGAGACACCCCCTGCTCCAATCTCTAAAAAAATGAGAAAATTAGGCACAGTGGTTGGTCTGTATCCCCAGTTACTGGAGAGCCTGTAGTAGGCAGGACTGCTTGAGACCAGGAGTTTGAGGCTCCACTGAGCTGTGACTATCCCATTGAGCTACAGCCTGGGCAACAGAGTGAGACCCTGGAGCCGCCTCAGCCTCCCTAGAGCTGACTGAGGTCTGCTTCTTATTCCAGGAATGATGGGTGCTGGGGCTTTGATGGTCATCGGGTGAAATGGGCAGAGTGGTGCTTACCCGGGATGGTGGTGAAGTGGGACGGGGAGGTCATCGTGACAAAGGGCGGCATGAGGTACTTGGCCTTGAGGCTCTCCCCGGCCTGACGGTCCAGTTTGGGGGTGTCCACATCCTGATCCTAGTCCCAGTGGAAGCCCTGGAAGGAGATCAGCAGTAGCTCTGAGTGCTCTTCCTCCCTGGGACAGGGTGGCTACCCAGTAGGACAGGCGGCAGCAGCAGCAGCAGCTGGAGAGCCCCGAGCCCTGTCACCCCACTAGCACCTGTTATGCACTCCTCACAGAGTTCATGGGCTTCTCCCTCTTTAGTCCGTTGTTGAACAAAGTCCACATTAATAATTCTGCCCAGTTCTGTTGTGAGACAAACAACCCGGAGTGTAGCAAGGTGCCGCATATTTGCAGGACAGTATGAAAGCGTTCTGGAGATGGATGGGGGACATGGCTGTACAATGTGGTGGATGCACTTAACACCACTGAATTTTTCCTTTGAAAATGGCTAAAATAATAGATTTTGTATGTATTTTACCACAATAAAAAATTAAACTGGCCGGGCATGGTGGCTTACACCTGTAATCCCAGCACTTTGGGAGGCCGAGGCGGGTAGATCATTTGAGGTCAGGAGTTCGAGACCAGCCTGGCCAACATGGAGAAACCCCATTTCTACTAAAAATGCAAAAATTAACAGGGTGTGGTTGTACATGTCTGTAATCCCAGCTACTTGGGAGGCTGAGGCAGGAGAATTTCTTGAACCCGGGAGGCGGAGGTTGCAGTGAGCCGAGATTGTGCCACTGCACTCCAACCTGGACGATGGAATGAGACTCCGTCTCCAAAAAAAAAAATCAAACCATGTGAAATATTTTGGACTCTTATAATAATACCAACATTTTGAAGATCTGGGGAGAACGAACTAGATTGGCGCTTTCCTTGGCTTGTATGTCCTGTTTTTATAGGGAGAGCAAATTATTGTTCAGCAGCACTATTAAAATAGCTACAACAGGATGGGCATGGTGGCTCACACCTGTAATCCCAGCACTTTGGGAAGCTGAGGTGGGAGGATCGCTTGAGCCCAGGAGTTCAAGATGCCAGCCAGGGCAACATGGTGAGACCCTGTCACTACCAAAAATACAACAACAACAACAAAAATAGCTGGGTGTGGCTGCGTGCACCTGTAGTCCCAGCTACTTGAGAGGCTGAGGTGGGAGGATCACTTGTGCCCAGGAGGTTGAGGCTGCAGTAAGCTGTGATTATGCCAGTGTACTCAGCCTGGGTGACAGAGTGAAACCCTGTCTCAAAAAAAAAAAAAAAAAGCTGCAGTGGACTCAGTGATCATGAGCCAGGCACTGTACACGTATACATCATCTCATTTAATTTTTTCTCTTGTTTAAAATTAGTTTTTCCTCTAATCCCCATGTTGATCAATACTTTCTTAATCCAAGGATTTTATTAGTTGAAAATTTCGCACAAGAATTAAAAATTGCCTGGCGTGATGGCTTACACCTGTTATCCCAGCACTTTGGGAGGCTGAGATGAGAGAATCGCTTGAAGCCAGGAGTTTGGGCTAGTCTGGGCAATATAGTGAGAATGCAACTCTATAAAAAAAATTAGAAACCCTGGGTGTGGTAGCCTTCACCTGTAGTCCCAGCTACTTGGAAGACTAGGTGGGAGGATTGCTTGAGCCCAGGCGGTAAAGGCAGCAGTGAGCTATGATTGTGCCATTGCACTGCAGCCTGGGGGACAGAGTGAGACTCTATCTCTGAAATGAATGAATAAAATTGTGGTATAATATATGCAACATTTACCATTTTGTGCATCTGAAAGTGTACAATTCAGTGACATTTTGTACATTTATCATGATGTGCAATTATCACCACTACCTAGTTTCAGAGCTTTTTCAACACCTCCATTGGAAGCCTCATATCCATATCCATTCAGCAGTCACCCTGCATACCCCCTCCCGCAGCCCCTGGAAACCTCTCCTCTACTTTCTATCCCTGTCAATTGGCTTAGTCTCAACATTGCATATAAATGGAATTGTACAATATATGACCTTTCATGTCTGGTTCTTTCACTGAGCATGTTTTTAACGTTCATCCATATCACAGCATGGATAAGTTTTATTTTCTTTTTAGACCCTATCTAAAAAGAAAACAAAATGGTAAAACAAACAAAAAAAGTATATAGGATGGAGATCAGATGTGTCCTGCAAAGCTGATAATATTTACTATTTAGCACTTTACATAGAAGCTTGCCTACCTCTGAATGTTATGCAGGTACAGGGATGACATTTATCTTGGCACTTATAGAAAGACCTGTAAGTTGTATAAAGATGTCATCATTGGATTTCCAGTAACAAGAAGCGGCAAGACATGACGGTGTGTCCAGGTGTTCAGGTGAAGTTTAGGGAAGGTCTTGTCTCGATGAGGTCGGATGTGAGACCCAGATGAGATAACCCCATTTCCCCTGCTGAAATTGCCTGAGAATTTCATTCCAGTTATTTGCGTGGGTTGATTCTTTCGGTTGGGGGTGGGGTGGGTGAGGAGATGAAGTGTCAGGGGAGTTCTATTGTGTATTTGCACAACTTGGCTTTCTTTTCACTTGGTGTGGTGTTTTGCTGTATGAGGAATTTCATAGACTTTTGTAATGAATATGCAGCTTAGTGGTTTGAGTCCTGCCAGGCGGAGGGTCATATCTCAGCTCTGCAACTCATTATCTATGACGCCTTGGGGCAGGTCCCATAACTCTCTAAGCCTCTGTTCTATATTCCATGGGGTTGTGAGGTTCAGATGAAATAATGCATGCTGGCAGGAATGGTTACTGCTCATGGGATTTCCATGTGCTCCCCGTATTCCCCAGACCCCCAGTAGTTAGATGGATCCATGCCGGGGTCCAATGCTCTATAAGTGGAAGTCACTGACATCACCTCTAGTCTACAGATTTGAGGGCTTGGGAATAACTATCTCATCCTCTCATCTCCTGGTGCAGTAACTATGGGAGAATCCCTGCATTAAGATGGTAGAATTTCCATTATTCTAGGTCTTTGAGTGGCCATATGGAGCACACCATACCCAGCCAACCCATTGTGGACATGGAATGTAAGAAATCAACCTTGGTTGCTAAGCTGCTGAGACTCTGGGGTTAATTTGTTACTGCAGCATAACCTAGTCCATCCTGACACATGCAGCATGCAAGCCACTTACGTTGACCCTTAGCCATGGTAAGTGCTCCACAGATGTTAGTTACTTTTGGTAGGAAGACAGATTGCCTCTGAAAGTTTTGTTAGCTGATCTCATGATGCCAATGTTGCTATTTTCTAATTGGATAAATTGGACTTGGCTCTCCTTCCAGCATGTGGGAGAGACAGATGACTGAGAGACAATAAAGCACTATTATCTTCAGTTTGTGTCCTTGGATACCCTTGGTGGCAATGAACATTGTATGCTCCTCTGAGAAAACTGGACCTAAAGGAGAATGGGAGGTGATACCAGAATTGGGAATGTCCAAGGCCCCAGGTATTCCCTGGTCTGGAGTCCACTTTGAGTCCTTGGTTGGGAAGATTCTCCGAGGGAACATAAATGCTTTTACTATCTAGTTTGTCTCTTTGATAATTAAAACTCTTTTTTTTTCATTCCAGTAGCTTTTGGGGTAGAGTTTGGCTCTTTGAGAATTGCATACTAATTAATTTTAGGGGTCATCCATACACATCTCTATATTCCTGAAACACAGTAGAAACAGCCAGCAGTCAGGCAACCATCTACTGTGACCACTAAAACATCCCCAAAGTGAAACACCAGATGTGATCTGCTAGGTTTAGTGGAGGTGGCTGGCTCGAGAGTTGATTATATTCATTATCGTCACTGTGGTGATTATGGCCACAACATTGTGATGCATCTTGTTCTTCTTCTGGTGAGTTGCAGTTTGGAAGGAATAAATCCATTATTCTTTTTTCTTTCTTTTTATTTTTTCTTTTGAGTCTTGCTCTGTCACCCAGGCTGGAGTGCAGTGGTGCCATGTCAGCGTACTGTAAACTCTGCCTCCCAGGTTCAAGTGCTTCTCCTGCCTCAGCCTCCCAAGTAGCTGGGATTACAGGCGCCCACCACAACACCTGGCTAATTTTTATATTTTTAGTAGAGACGGGGTTTCGCCATGTTGGCCATTCTGGTCTTGAACTCCTGACCTCAGGTGATCCACCTGCCTCAGCCTCCCAAAGTGCTGGGATTACAGGTGTGAACCACCACGCCTGGCCCCATTATTCATTTAACCAATATCTATTAGCACGTTGGGTATAGTGGAGGATGAACTGCAGGGGAGGGAGGAAGCCTCCTCCTGCCACTATGTTTTCAAGTTGTGCTAATACTCCACCATGGGACATGCAGGCTTGTGGGTCTCAGAGCTCCAGAAGCATCTCCCAACCACACCATCCTGACCCAGGTTCTACTGAAAAATACATGATTCTAGCAGAGCCATCTCTGACACTTCCCTTCTTTTGAATGGCTGATCTGTCAGTCATGGGGATCCCTTATGAAAGTGCAGTGTGCTTTGTGAAACTTGAGGTTGATCAAAGAATACCATTAAACTTTGTTAAGAAATGTACATATTGATGACATACGCAGTGGGGTGGAGGTGGGGAAATTCCCAAATACATTTTAGAAATTATCTCACAAGGAGGTAATAGTCAGAATCTTGGTTGCCAGTGACAGAAACTCATCCTACTAGTGTGGAGTGGAAAAGGGATCATGTTTTGGTCTGCACTCCCCAACCCCAACCCCAAGCAGATGCTGAAAGAGGGACAGGATTGCAAGTGGATTATTTAGGAGATGATTCCAGGGAACACCAATAGGGGAGTGAGGAACTGATTCATGAAAAGGCAGGAGGCCACACAGGGGGCTTCAGTGAGAAGCTTACCACTCCAGGCAACTAGGATTTGACCCCACTGGGGACCTCTGGGAGGTGATGTGGAACACATTTCGAAGTTGTTCCATCTAGGGGACGAAGATACTGAAGCATTTATAGCCTGGTTCCCATCCGTCACTGGCTGAGGACTGGTCCCAGGGCATCAACTCTCTGGCTTTTTTTTCTTTCATTTTTTTTTTTTTTTTTTTTTTGAGACATAGTCTTGCTCTGTCATCCAGGCTGGACTGCAATGGCATGATCTCGGCTCACTGCAATATCTGCCTCCCAGGTTCAAACGATGCTCTTGCCTCAGCTTCCTGAGTAGCTGGGATTACAGGCGCCTGCCACCATGCCCTGCTAATTTTTTTATTTTTTTGTAGAGACGGGGTTTTGTCATGTTGGTGAGGCTGGTCTTGAACTCCTGACCTCGTGATCCACCTGCCTTGGCCTCCTAGTGTTGGGATTATGGGCGTGAATCACTGCACCCGGCTTCTGTGGCTTTTCTGACATATTCCATGCCTGACTTTGAAAAAACTCTCAGGTGAAAGTCTTGGTTGTATGCAGTAGCAAGCATGTACTAGATTGATAAATACAAAGGGGCTTACCACAAGATCTCTCTCTCCATCTCTGGATGGAGACACCATCAGATCTCTCTCTCCATCTCTGTCTCTAGGTTTGTCTGCATACTAGCTTAATTTCTTCTTACTCAAGCCTTTTCTCCATAAGGCGAGATATGTGGTCACAAAAGCTCCTGTATTTCTCATTACACACAGTTCCTGTCATCACAGAGAATGATTAACTTGGCCTGGTTCCAGTTTGGAAAAATATTCAAGGGAAGAATTCTGATTGGCCAATTTAGGCCAGATGTTCATCCCTGAGCCAATCAACTGAGGCCAGAGGGGTGGAGTCATGTGAGAACATGGCAGCCCCCATGAGAGGCACGTGACTGGAGTAGGAAGTGTGAGTCTCCATAGAGGGGAGAGGGCTGCTAGGCTGAAAAGGCAAAAGATGTCTGCAGTAAAAGGAATAGATTAGGAGATATATTCTGTTAAACCTGTTAATTATTAAAAAAAGAAACTTTCAATATACAGTTACAGTATACGTGAGCCGGTGGCTCACGCCTATAATCCCAGCACTTTGGGAGGCCGAGGTGGGCAGATCAGAGGTCAGGAGTTCGAGACCAACCTGACCAACATGGTGAAACCCCGTCTTGCGCACCTGTAATCCCAGCTACTCAGGAGGCTGAGGCAGGAGAATCACTTGAACCCGGGAGGTGGAGGTTGCAGTGAGCTGAGATCATGCCACTGCACTCCAGCCTGGGCAACAGAGTGAGATTCCCTCTCAAAAAAAAACAAAAAGTTACATTGTGGTTCCTTCAGCATGATTTATCAGAAAGGAAAAACTTACCATATGCATATTTCCTATGCATAGGCTACTGCTATGAATTCAAATTCTTTTTTTTTTCTTTTTTTTTTTTTTTTACTATACTTTAAGTTTTAGGGTACATGTGCACATTGTGCAGGTTAGTTACATATAAATTCTTAAGTTCCAAAGATTAATTACTATGTTTCTCAAGACACATAAACTGTGTTAGAATCTGCTTATAATAAGGCTGAAGTTGAGTAAGAAGAGAACTGGCATTTAGTACACTACTTTTCTTCTGTCGAGTACTGTCAAGTTTAAGTTCTGCCTGGAAGTAGATGCACCTCAAGGGAGGGGTACATGTAAAGGTGTGTGTGTGTGTGTGTGTGTGTGTGTGTGTGTGTGTGTGTGTGTGGTAGTTTCCAAAGATGGGTACAATTTTCTGCAAACGCTCGTGTAGTGTAATTGAACCAATCTTTCCTTTAAGACGTAGAGTTTATATTCCTCTACATGAATCTGGGCTGCCTATGACTTGCTTTGGCCAGTGGAATGCTGCCAAAGTGATGGTGACCAACTTCTAGCCGTGAAAGGAAAATAAACCTTGGGGACCCAAGATCACTAAGCTAGGCCGGGCTCGGTGGCTCACGCCTGTAATCCCAGCACTTTGGGAAGCTGAGGCAGGCGGATCACCTGAGGTCAGGAGTTCCCAGCACTTTGGGAAGCTGAGGCGGGCAGATCACCGGTCAGGAGCTCAAGACCAGCCTGGCCAACATGATGAAACCCCGTCTCTACTAAAAAATATGAAAATTAGCCAGGTGTGGTGGCAGGCGCCTGTAATCCCAGCTACTCGGGAGGCTGAGGCAGGGAAAATTGCTTGAACCCTGGAGTTGGAGGTTGCAGTGAGCCGAGATCACACCACTGCACTTCCGCCTGGGCAATAGAGTGAGACTCTGTCCCCCCCCAACAAAAAAAAAAGTTACTAAGCTGAAGAGAAATGTCAAGCTGGGAACTGCTTAGGGCAAACCTGCCTCCCATTCTATTCAAAGTCACCCCTTTGCTCACTGAGATAAATGTATATCTGATTGCCTCATTTGGAGAGTCTAATCAAGAACTCAAAAGAATGCAACCATTTGTCTCTTAACTACCTATGACCTGGAAGCCCCCTCCCCACTTCGAGTTGTCTCACCTTCACCTTCACCTGGAGTTGTCCTGCCTTTCCAGACTGGACCAATGTACATCTTGCACATATTGATTGATGTCTTATGTCTCTCTAAAATGTACGAAACCAAGCTGTGTCCCTACCACCTTAGGTACATGTTGTCAGGACCTCCTGAGGCTGTATCACAGGGGTGCATTCTCAACCTTGGCAAAATAAACTTTCTGAATTAACTGAGACCTCAGATTTTTGGGATGCATATAGTCTTAGGCCTTGAGGGCCCTCTCGTAGTTTCCATATTTTTGCCCTCTTGGATGCTGGCACCAAGCAAACCTTGGCTATCCTGCTTAAAGGGTCATTTGGAGAGGGGCTCTGGAGGGCGAGGGGCCACATGGAGGAAAAGAAGGTTCCCCGGCTGACAGCCAGCACCAACTGCCAGGAACATGCGTGAGGCTGTCCTGGATGTTCCGCCCATCTGGCCCTCCAGCTGCAGGTAGCCACACAAATGAGCCCAGGTTAAGCCAGACAGGAAGTCCCCATGCAACTCACAGGGTCATGAGCAATAATGACTTATGGTGGTTTAAAGTTTCTAATTTTAGGGTGCAATAGGTAACTGAAATAGCCCACAAGGGTGTGAGCCTGTGGAGGGTGCATTTCCCACTTGAGGAAACTTCTCAATTCCCAGGATCCAATCCAGATAAGACTCTTGTTCTCAGTGTCCTTGATGGAAATGGCAATGAAATTTTTGCAGATTGGACCATCTCAGGGGAATCCCAAAGATCGGAAACTATTTTCTTTCTTAGAAACTTCCACACAGCATTGAGCCTTAGGAATTTCTAAGAAGGATCTGAAATGAAAAAAAAATCTTTTGAAAGGTATTTGTATAGCTTCACTTCAGCAAGATTCATGGTGGGTGTTAAACTAAGTGCTGGTGTTAAGCCAAACCATGTTTTTCAAAGACTCATCTGGCCTTAAGGTTGGCAGGATCAGAGTGGCCTCCCAGGATCTAACACATCCTCAGAAGAGTTGGTTCAACAGGCATGTACCCAGATCTCTTTGAGCTAGTATAATACTCCCTTGAGTCAAAGGCTGCCACATCACATCTCCTTTAAGTCCCCCTAAGTACGACCCCAGAAGCATTGATAAAGTGTGCTATTACTGAAGATTTCAGGAGGACATAAATGAAGAGATTAAACTGCAAGATACCAAAACTTCCATCTTTGCTAAAGACCCTCATCCAGCCTGGGTGCTGTGGCTCATGCCTGTAATCCCAGCACTTTGGGAGGCTAAGGCGGGGGGATCACCTTAGGTCGGGAGTTCAAGACCAGCTTGATCAACATGGAGAAACCCTGTCTCTACTAAAAATACAAAATTAGCCAGGTGTGGTGGCACATGCCTGTAATCCCAGCTACTAGGGAGGCTGAGGCAGGAGAATCACTTGAACCTGGGAGGTGTAGGTTGCGGTGAGCTGAGATCATGCCATTGCACTCCAGCCTGGGCAACAAGAGCAAAACTCCATCTCAAAAACAAACAAAAAAACCCTTATCCAATGGTCATGCCACTCTATCTCTCCATGTAATTTCTCCTCCTGGCTGTCTGTAGCAACAGCCTTCTGAGGAACCTCACTCTGCCTTTCAAAATCCCTTCAAATTGTACCCTTCATCAGCAAAGTATTTAGCTCAACATGTATGCCTCTGGGGGAACTCATCCACATGCCATTTAAGGATATTTCCAGCAACATCATCTTCACTACCCCAGGACAGCATTTTAGAGTGGATTACGTGCCTGCTGGATGTGTTGTTCTTGAGAGAGTTAGAGAAAACGCTACAGTTTGAGATGAATTAAGAGTCTGTTTATTTAGCCGGCGGCTAAGGAACGGCTAACGTTTAAAGTTCTCTCGGCTTCGAAGAAGGGGCTAAGATTTTCTTTTATACTTTGGTTTAGAAAGGGGAGGGGGGTCTAGTTAAAACAATTTTACATAAGTAAAGTAGGCAAAAAAGTTAAAAGGATAAATTGTTACAGGAAAGTAAACAGTTCTAGGTCTAGGGCCTTTAAGACTATTATAAGGTGATAGACACGGGACTTTGGGCGTTATCAATAGGATGAATTCCTGGGAACTGCGGTTATTGCTCACCACAGTATCTTATCAGTTAATTGCATTCTTCGATGTGCTGGGAGTCAGCTTGCACAAGTTAAGTCCTTGAGGAAGGGGCTGCCAGTGAAAGAGCCAAGAAATGGAGTCTGTCTGGCTCTCTTAGCTAAGGGAGAGTCAATTCAGGTGGAAACAAGGCTAGGTCACTAAAAGAAAGGGAGAGTCTAAGAACACGGTTAGTAAAAACAAGGTTAGGCATTACATTCCTCACTTGTGTTTTTGGGGAATCAAATCATTGATTCTTCAGTTATAAAAAGGGGGTTATATTGAGTCTTAAGATACATAAGTTTGACAGAAGCTATGCGTTGTTCTACAAACTTAAGGAACTAATTTAATATACAAGGCCCAAAAATTAGACTTATTAGTAGGATGGGGAGGGGGTCTGGCTAATTTAGTAATTAGAGTGGTTAGCTATGGGTTCTAGTTGAACATGTTTTGATACTAGGGGATGTTATTTTCTTGTTCTTGTTGGCGCTTGTCTAGATTTTCTTGCACTTTTTGGAGTGTATCTTTTATGACTAAGAATGGTGGAGGAACTATTAAATCAACTTTGTCAGGGTGTTTCTGGAACATAGGGTTACTTAGATCAGTTAAAGGTCTGATTGGCTTGGGTGGGCTTCATGAGACTAGGGTTTTTTTGGATGGTGAACATAGACTTAACATTAAATCCTGGGATATAAAATCTTAATCTTCATGCCATGCCATGATACTATTGAGTTGAATTGAGGTCATGGACAGTTATAATAAGAGGATTACAATTTTTTCTAGTACATAATTTAGGATGAGAAGCATGACTTATGGAAAGAGTTGAAGATCTGGTTGATCTTTTAGAGTAGGTGGCTAAAGTTACACATGTCTAATCAGGGCAGAAAAACTGATAAGCATCTTGACAGCTAGCATCAGGGTGATTTCTAGGACAGAGGTAAAAGTCAATATTTTGGAGTCTTTTTTCTGCACTTTTGGAGCTTCTTCATTTAGTTTGGCTCTTGGAATGTCTGAATCTTGCTGCAAGGTCGACACTTCCTGCCCCTGGGACTGGAAGATTGTGTTGCTTTTCGTGGGTATGGGCTGGCTTTGGGAAAAGTACAAATAAATCAACTGCGAAGGAGACTTCCTTGGAGGTACTGGCCTTCTAAGTGGTGTTTGCAAATACACGTCCTGTTGTGAAAGAGGTGAGGAGAAAGGAGTAGGAAGGCACAGAGGACATAAAGCGCAAAAACAAATAAGTGAGGTAGATAAAAAGAATTAATCTAATGGCTTCACCTGACTTAGGTGCAGTTTTAAGGGGTCTGACTTAGGCCTGGAGACTTATGTTTTTAGCTGGGCTCTGTTGGCTTTTTTGATGCGGGGGTGATGAATCTAAGCAGGAATGCCGTCTACTTTCAGAGCAGTTGGAGTCGTGAGGATGACGGTGTGAGGTCTTTTCTAAGCAGGAGTGAGTCTTTCTTTTTGGAACTTTTTAACAAACACTAGGTCTCCTGGCTGGAATGAATGGCAGGAGTGCACCTTACTTTAAGTAGGGCTAAAGGAAGGAGACTTACTTAATTTACACTGGTTTTTAAGATTTTGTAAGAGTGTTTTTTAGGGTGTGGTTCACGCGTTCTACTTGCCTGGAGCTCTGGGGTTGATAGGCACAATGGAGCTTCTATTGAATGTTTAACGCCTTACTGACTGACTGAGCTATAGGCGAGGTGAAGGCTGGTCTATTATCAGACTTTATGGCAGCAGGCAACCTATATTGAGGGATGATTTCATTGCATAAAAACTTAACTACTGTGT
This sequence comes from Homo sapiens, assembly GCF_000001405.40. NCBI lineage: Eukaryota > Metazoa > Chordata > Mammalia > Primates > Hominidae > Homo > Homo sapiens. The sequence continues at coordinate 75,502,373 of NC_000003.12, forward strand.
TGGTGGTTTCGTTTTCGGTAGCAAATGCCTTAGTCTATCTGGAGAAGGTGTCTACTCGTACTAGAAGGTATTTGTACTTAGCCTGGTGTGGTTTTACTTCTGTAAAGTCAATTTCTTACTTTTTTCTTGGCGAGTTTTTTCAGAGACAGTGGCCAGGGCTGGGTTTAGGACTCTGTTTGGCATTTACATGAGCGCAGGTTGTGCACTGGAGAGCTGCTTAATCTGTTAGGCTTTGAAGACGGGGGATCTTAAAATGGCTCCGGAGGAGCTGAGGTAGCTTTGCTCTTTTTAAGTGGGTGGTAGACTGTAGGTGACTGATTAAAGTTTCTTTAATAGTTCAGGATATGAAGAGTCTAGAGTCAGGAAGAATCTACTAACTTTCCTGATTTTTATTGGCTCTGAGATCTGAAGCCAGTTTTTTGTTGTTGTTGAGTATATGGGATTGTCAGGCAGATCTGGCTGTGGAAAGGAGACTGTGGGCAGCAAGTTTAGAGGCGTGACTGAAAGTGGCGCTGTGACCTTAGCTGCTGAATCAGCTTTCTGGTTACTATGGGCAACAGCCTTGTTTTCTTTTTGATGTCCTTTGCAGTGGATCACAGCTACCTGCTGAGGTGAGTAGCCTGCTTTCCTGGTAGATGGCTTTATGTACATGCACAGTAGCAAAGGCGTACTTGCTGCCAGTGTAAATGTTAATACGTTTATTCTTAGTTTATCGGAGAGCCTGAGTGAGGGCGATCAATTCAGCCTTTTGTGCTGAGGTGTTCGCTGGTAAAGCTTGAGCTTACAACACGTCTGTCTTCATGGTAACAGCTGCACTGGCTTTTCCTACTTCCTGCTTGAGGAAGCGGCTACTGTCTGTGAACACGGCGGCATCTGCCTTTTCCAGGGGCACATCTTGAAGATCAGATCGGCCAGTTTCGATAGTTTCTAACAGTTCTTGACAGTCATGAGCAGGAATAGTGCACTCTGAGTCAGGAAGTAGTGTAGCTGGATTGAAACACTTTGTGGGATAGAAAGTCAAACGAGGCTGATCTAACAGTAAACTTCGATACTGCAAGATGCGAGCATTTGACATCTATTTGCCAGAAGCACTTCGTAGTAAGGTCTTTACAGCACGAGGAGCTGTAAGGGTTAAATTTTGGCTTAGAGTAAACTTATCTTCTTGGGCTAGGCTTGCTGTAGCCTCTACAGCTCACAGACAACTTGGCCATCTAGAGGCCACAGGATGTAGCCTCTTAGATAAATAGGCCACTGGGTGTCTTTAGGGTCTTAAAGCCTGAGTAAGCACCTCTTTAGCAACTCCTTGGCTTTTATGGAGATATTAGGGAGGGCTAAAGCAGGGGCTTCAGTTAATGCTAAATTAATGGGCTATTTTATTCTGCACTTCTTGGATAGCCGCCACTAAGATTTTTGTTTGTCTTTTGAATGCTTTATCAGCGGCCTTTTCAGCTGCCTGTGTTGCTTGTTTTTGTTTTTTAGCCTTTTGATGGTCAAAAGCTTTTTGGGCTATTTGTAAAAGCTGACTGATATTTATTCTAGCAAATCTTTCTAGTTTTTGGAGTTTCTTTTTAATATCCGGGGCTGCCTGAGCCACAAATGCTAAATTAAAAGCACGGCTATTTTCCGGAGCTGCCGGGTCAAAAGGGGTGTAAATCCAATAAGCCTCCTGGAGACGCTCTAAAAACTTTCTTGGTGACTTATCGGGCCTTTGGACAACTTCAGTGATCTTAGACAAGTTTATGGGTTTCTGAGCGGCTCTTTTAATACTTGCGAGGAGATAGCGGTGAAAATCGCCTAAAGCTCTCCTTCTACTTGAGGAATTTGGGTCCCAGTTAGGCCAGGTAGAGGGAAAGACCTCTTCAAGGAGGTCTCTAGTGTCTTCTTCCGGTCTATTGGCTGATGTGAGGAATTATTTTTGGCTTCTTTTCGGATACGTTCGTTTTTTTCAGAGGTGAAAAGGGTTAAAAGGAGCTGTTGGCAATCATCTTAGGTGGTCAGGTGAGTCCAGAGTACGGACTCTATTAGAGAGGTCAAAGCCTGGGGCTTCTCAGAGAAGGGAGGATTATGGGTTTTCTAATTATATAAGTCAGAAGTAGAAAAAGGGACATAAACTAAGAAGGGGGCTGAGCGCTCATTACCTGGAGGGACTTGTGCCTCTCTCAGTGGTAGTAGAGGGGCTACTTCTTCCTGCCACGGTCGCGATTGAGAGGCAATGGGTGGCGAGCCTACAGGGGACGTCGTCGAGGAGACATGGGATAACTTTAAGGGAGCAGGCTGGTTGTAAGGCGGTGGGACTGGGTGAGGGAGACTCTCCTCTTCTTCAGAGGGAGGCAGTACAGGGGAAGCCGAACCGGCTGAGGGTCGAGGTGAAAACGCGGTCTGGCTTAGGAGGACCTTGGAGGTAGAATTCTGAATGGCGCATGAGCGGAGCTATGGAGGGGCTCCTGACTAAACTTAGCTATTGATCAAGGTAGGGAAACTGATCAGGGTGGCTAGGAGTTTCAGTAAGAACCTGCCACACAGTTTGAACAATTGTGAGGTTCAACGACCCTTCAGGGGGCCACTTGACTTTAAACTTTGGCCATTTTATTTTGCACAGTGTCTGGAGTTTGCCTTTTTTAAGGCGGACTTTATAATCCTCTGAGAAACTGAGAGGAAAATTCTGCAGCACACATTGGAGAGGGCTTTAACTTTTACAAGGCTGGGAGGAAGTGTTTCTTATTTTTTTTTGAAGGCAATTTAATAAGATTTGAGCATAAATATTAAACTTAGCATGGACAGAGAAACTTATTTCTTAGGGGACTGGAGTATTGAAAGAACAGAATCAACATGACTAGAAAGAGCAGAAAAACTACAACAGCTAATGCTACTTGCTACATTACTGTAGCTTTAAGATTGAGGGAGGAGGACTAGAGCCAGCCTGAGATCTTCTGGGTCAGTTTGATCTAGGCGTTCTTCTTCTTCTAGATCTGTACTTTAAATACTTTTGGTGTCTTTATGACTTAAAGGCAAATAGCTTAAACTTAGCTTTTTCTTTTAAGGGTTTAAGGAGTGAGAGCAGAGTCAAGTCATGGAGATGCTGAACTTGCTGTCACACCAGAAAATGAGACGTGCAGGGTAGAGGGCAGGGACGATGCAAAAAGGACTACTCAGATCATTTTTAAGATGGGAGAGTAGCCACAGAGGAACAGAGTAAGAATCTCAACGAAGTAAAGTAGTACGGGCATACGTTCTACTTCAGGGCACAGGAAAAGTTACAGAATGACAAAAGAAGTGAGCAAGGAAATCTGCATGGTGGCTGTTTTGAATTTACTACTGGTTTAGTTTAGAGGAGGTCTAATCACTTGGACGTGGGGTATGACAATCCAAATACTTACAACTTTCATGGTGCTAGAAATCTTAATCAGGCAAATGTTTTTCACACTTGTTCTTGTAACAACACTTGACTTGCTTCTGGCAGAAAAGACAGGACTGTGGTGGCCAGCCTAAATGATTGATAAGAAATTTAACCTCCTGTGACAAAAAATCAGCACTAAGGACTTTGAAGAAGTTTTTACTTAGATGTCTTGGGCAATATCAACGTCTTGACATGCAAAACTTTGACAACTACTAAACAAGAAAATAGACACTGAACAGAACAATCAACATAAACAATTGACTTTAGGGCATGTAAACAGTTATGACAGTTTCTTCCTTTTTTTTTTTTTTTTAGACAGACAAGGGGAGGGGGTCCTGTGATGAGATCAGTCAGATGCCTGCCTGGCCGCTCCCCCTGAGGGAACTTGGGCTCCTCTTAGCATTGGCAGGCCGGTATAAACTTCCGGCTCAGATCGAGATATGCCTGATGCTGCCTTAAGCCTTATGAGGTCGCCACGGAACCGCAGGTGAGGGCCCACTTGAACTCCGTAGCTTTCACCGTGGAGCTATAAACTGGAGGACAAGCGCAAGCCCTTGTCCTCCCTCATTCATTCATTATTCACACAGAGTTTATAACAGTTTTTTTTTTCTTTCTTTCTTGGAGATTCTTCAAGAAACTTGAACAAGAGAAAGATGAGAGATAGAAAGAGAGAGAGAGAGAGAGAGAGAGAGAGAGAGTGACCGGTCTGCCAGAAACCAGGACTCAGTCCTCCAGCATCCTGGGATGTGGACTGAGTCAAGGGAGGGCCCCTGTCAGGGCCACTTCCCTCCTAGACAGAGACACAGACGTGCCTAACAGAAAACCAGGGCTCTACCTTCTAGCATCCTAGGGAAATGGGCAGAGTCAAAAGAGGGACGTCGTCATCAGGGCCGCTTCCCTCTTACTAGAACTGAAGTCAAATCTGACCTACCTGACCTCGGGGTCACAAGTTGAGGACTCAGAGGTGGAATTTTTGTGGGCACCCACACGGTAGTCGATCTGCTCTCCTCCGGAAGACGGTCACCTTTCGGGGACCTGAAAATTTTTTTTCAGGTGGCGCCCCCATTACAAGCCGGCCGTCCTTCCGGGGGGGCCCGGAGCAAGCCCGGCTCTCGCCTGGTGGCGTTTCTCACTAGGGCCTCCAAATGTTGTACTTGAGCGAGTTAGAGAAAATGCCACAATTTGAGACGAATTATGAGTCTTTATTTAGCCGGTGGCCAAGATACGGCTAATGCTTAAAGTTCTCTCAGCCCCGAAGAAGGGGCTAGATTTTCTTTTATACTTTAGTTTAGAAAGGGGAAAGGGGTCTAGTTAAAACAATTTTACAGAAGTAGGCAAAGAAGTTAAAAGGATAAATTGTTACAGGAAAGTAAACAGTTCTAGGTCTAAGGGCTTTAAGACTATTACAAAGTGATAGACACGGGGCTTTAGGCATTATCAATCAGACGAATTCCTAGGAACTGTGGATATTGCTCGCCCCACAGTATCTTATCAGTTAATTGCATTCTTAGATGTGCTAAGAGTCAGCTTGCACAAGTTAAGTCCTTGAGGAAGGGGCTGCCAGTGAAAAAGCCAAGATAAAGTCTGTCTAGCTCTCTTAGCTAAAAGAAAGTCAATTCAGGTAGAAACAAGGCTAAGTGATTAAAAGAAAAGGAACGTCTACGAACAAAGTTAATAAAAACAAGGTTAGGCTTTACAGATGGGGTCATCCTTATATTCAGCACAGTGTTTGTTCTGAAACTTCAATGGAGTGTTCCTAGTTTGATAACTTGGGCCATGCCAAATAAATTGAATTTCTCTTTCTTAACAACAGATGTTTGAATACAGCCCCGTGTCCCTCTCTGCTCCTTCCTGCCTTCCTCCTCTCCTCTTCCTTCCCTTCCTTTTCAAGAGCAGGCTTTGTAAAATTTCTTGAAAGCATCAGATAGTAAATATTTTAGAATTCATGGGCCATACAGTCTCTTGTAGTAGTTACTCAACTCTGCCACCCATAGCATGAAAGCAGCTGATATAGGGTGAATATGTCTCCCCGCCGAAATCTCATGTTGCAATGTAATCCCCAGTGTTAGAGGTGGGGCCTGGTGGGGACAGATTGGATCATGGGGGTGGATTTCTCATGAATGATTTAGCATCATCCCTTTCGTCCTGTCCTTGCAATAGTGAGTGAGATCTTGCAAGATCTGGTTGTTTACGAGTGCGTAGCACCTCCCTCCTCACTCTCTTGTTCCCACTTCACCTTCTGCCATGATTGTAAGTTTCCTGAGGCCTCCACAGAAGCTCAGCAGATGTCAGTGTCATGCTCCCTGTACAGCCTACAAAACTGTGAGCAAATTAAGCCTCTTTTCTTTGTACATTACCCAGTCTCAGGTATTTCCTTATAGCATGAGAGAACAGCCTAATCCAGCAGCCATAGACAATATGTAGCAAATGGGCATGGCTGTGTTTCAATAAAACTTTATTGACAAAAACTTGTGCAGCAGGTCAGATTTGACCCATGGGCCATAGTATCCCATCCCCTGCTCTGGAATATTCTCTTCAGCCTGGATGGACATTTCTAGGTTTTTGTTTTTGTTTTTTTGTTTTTTTTTTTTTGAGACAAAGTCTCACTGTTGCCCAGGCTGGAGTGCAGTGGTGCAATCTTTGCCCACTGCAACCTCTGCCTCCTGGGTTCAAGCAATTCTCCTGCCTCAGCCTCCCAAGTAGCTGGGATTACAGGCACCTGCCACCACACCTGGCTAATTTTTGTATTTTTTAATAGAAATCGGGTTTTACCATGTTGGCCAGGCTGGTCTCAAACTCCTGACATCAGGTGATCCACCCACCTCAGCCTCCCAAAATGCTGAGATTACAGGCGCCCACCATCACACCTGGCTAATTTTTGTATGTTTAGTAGAGATGTGATTTCACTATGTTGCCCAGGCTAGTCTCGAACTCCTGATCTCAAGTGATCCACCTGCCTTGGCCTCCCAAAGTGCTGGGATTACAGGTGTAAGCCACTGCAGCTGCCCTCTAGATTTTTTTTTTTTTTTTTGACCATGGCTTATTTGGTTTGACTTTCATTTTCTTCCCCATTGTGGTAGCCATTTTCTGAATGCCTGTTAGTTTGTCCATCTCTCTCCTCTGTAGTCCCTAGAGTCAGATGAACTCCTCTGCAGGTGCAATGGTGTAACACTCTCTAGTGCTGAATTTTGAGCAGGAGAAAGAGAGCAAGAGTGACAAGCACTCTTGGAAACTCTGGCCTCCTGAGAATTTGGTGTCTTCTCTGCAAAGGCTGCAAACCTGTTACCCCACAGGCCAGAGAGAGAGAGAAGCCAAAAGCATGATCTGTTAAGCTTGAGTTTAATATTTGATGCACAGAGATCACTGTGTTTTTTGATGAGAATTAGAGGGGGAGACACGGCCACAGAGAACAATTTCTATCCCCACGTGATGACTTAGGAGATAATTCTGTGAACAGAACTTCCTGAGAACTGAGATGGGGGAAAATCGCTAGTGTTAGAAGGGTGAAAACGTCACTAATTAAGGCTATGACTATGTCTGAGAGGCGAAAGAAGAAAATGAGACTGCCAGGCATGAAAAATGAGAAATCTTTGATGGAATTAGCCATGCAGAGCAAATCTAAATGCATCCTCATTCCCCTCATAGTCAAAAGTTTTTGCTTAAGCTGGATGGGAAAAAGAGAATCCCATTTCACTAAGTATAAAAGAGGGGATTTTAGAGAAGGTCTCAGAAGAAAGAGATGTGGGGGTTTGGTGAAACTCACCAGAGGCTGAACCCTCTCCAGCATAACACAGGGATTGGGAGGAGTGGGGTAGCATTAGGCCAGGTGCATGGCCCAGTGCTGCTCTCTCTGGACTTTCTGCTCTCTCTGGACCTGTTTGCTAGCTGAGCTCATCCATTTGCATAATTTTCAGTGCCATTTCTCAGCTGATGAGTCCTGAACTTTTGTCTTGAGGCTAGACTTCTCCTTCAAACAGCAGTCTTAAACACTCAACTTCTTTCTTGTTTTTTCCACTTGTCAACCCATGAACACCTCAATCTTGTTACATCCAAAGCCAAACTCATGGCTTGGAGTGGTAAGTGATGGCTGTAATCCCAGTGCTATGAGAGGCCGAGGTGGGAGGATTACTTGAGGCCAGGAGTTTGAAGCCAGCCTGGAAAACACAGTGAGACTCCCTGTCTACCAAAAAAAAAAAAAAAAAAAAAAAATTAGCTAGGCATGGTGAAGTGCATCTGTAGGATCTGTAATCCTGCTGCTTGGGAGGCTGAGGCAGGAGGATTGCTTGAGCCCAGGAGTTTGAGGCTGCAAAGAGCTATGATCACACCAATGCACTCCAGCCTGGGTGACAGAGCCAGAGACCCTGTCTTAAAAAAAACCCAAAGCCAAACTCTCTTTTTCCTCCTTCTCCATGGGCTCTGTCTGTGCCATCTCTGTTCTGTAAATGGCACCACCCCCTACTGGGCTGCTCAAGGTGGTCATAACTCACGTGTTGTGCTAACTCTGCTTTTGCCCTCTTCTCCAGTCAGCAAGTCCCATGATTCTAAACTTTATCCAACTTGTCCACTCTCTCTATCTTCACTGTCGTTATCTTTGCCTAGGGCACTGCTATCCCAGCTGGGCTACAGCAGCAGCCTCCTAACTGGTCTTAACTGGTCCTCTGCACCTGATCTTGATGCTCAGCAATCCATTTCCCACCTGGCAGCTTCAGTGATCTTGAGGTGTCCATTGAGTCTCATCCCTGCCTTTCCTGCCCATGGCACATAGAATAAAATCAAGAGCCTGAGTCTTCTTCCTGTTCCTGCCACCTCTCCAGCCCTCTCCTATCTCCTCCCCTTGGCCTACTCTATTTCAGCCACTCTGGCTTCCTTTTGTTTTGTTGGACTTTCAAACCTTTTTCCACAACAGGGCCTTTGCACTTGCTGCTTCAGTCTGGAATGATTTTCCTCTGCACCTCCCCAAATTAGACCATCCTTTAGGTCTCAGCTAAAATGGTGCTTCCAACAGAGAGCTCTTTCCTGACCCCTTTATAAAGTGGACTTCCCTGCTCTTCTCCACCTTAGCCTCCTATTATTTCTTGTTGTGGGAAGTCAGGGACCCCAAATGGAGGGACTGGCTGGAGCTGCAGCAGAGGAACATAAATTGTGAAGATTTCATGGACATTTATCAGTTCCCAAATAATACTTTTATAATTTCTTATGCCTGTCTTTAATCTCTTAATCCTGTTATATTCATAAGCTAAGGATGTACATCACCTCAGGACCACTGTGATAATTGTGTTAACTGTACCAATTGATTTTAAAACATGTGTGTTTCAACAATATGAAATCAGTGCACCTTGAAAAAGAAGAGAATAACAGCGATTTTTAGGGAACAAGGGAAGATAACCATAAGGTCTGACTGCCTGCAGGGTCGGGCAAAAAGAACCATATGTTTCTTCTTGCAGACAGTCTATAAACGGATGTGCAAGTAGGAGAGATATCACTAAATTCTTTTCCTAGCAAGGAATATTAATACCCTGGGAAAGGAATGCACTCCTGGGGGGAGGTCTATAAATGGCCGCTTTGGGAATGTCTGTCTTATGCGGTTGAGATAAGGACTGAGATAGGCCCTGGTCTCATGCAGTACCCAAAGGCTTACTAGGGTGGAGAAAAACTCCGCCCTGGTAAATCTGTGGTCAGACTGGTTCTCTTGTTTTCTGTTGTTTAAGATGTTTATCAAGACAATACATGCGCCAATGAACATAGACCCTTATCAGTGGTTCTGCTTTTGACCTTTGCTTTGTGATCATTGCTGGACCCTTATCAGTAGTTCTGCTTTTACCCTTTGCCCTGTTCCCTCAGAAGCATGTGATCTTTGTTAGACCCTTAGTAGTAATTCTGCTCTTTGCCCTTTGAAGCATGTGATCTTTGTACCTACTTCCTGTTCTTACACCCCCTCCCCTTTTGAAACCCTTAATTAAGAACTTGCTGGTCTGAGACTCAGGGGGCATCATGGCCCTACTGATAGGTAATGTCACCTCCAGTGGCCCAGCTGTGAAATTCCTCTCTTTGTAGTGTCTCTCTTTATTTCTCAGCTGGCTGACACTTATGGAAAACAGAAAGAACCTATGTTGAAATATTGGGGGCAGGTTCCACCAATACTTCTTTCATGGATTTACTTAATTTTTGTTTATCTCCCTCTGTATCCTAGAAACTCCTGGAGAGCAGAGCCATGCCTGCCATTTCCATCATTGCATTACCACCACCCAGCACAGTGCCTGGCACAAAAGAGTTGCTCAATAAATAAATCAGGATGAATGGATAAATACACGGACAGGCACTTTGAACTACAGATGAGCTTAAATACTTTGTGTTTTTCTTAGTCAAACATGTGCAATTAAGCATGTGATAAATTATATGATGACCACACCTGTGTCTTGCCTGATGATCTTTGCAATCACTAAACAAAGTCAATTTTGCCTGTTTTGACAGTTCTGTTTTCAACCTAATCTGGTTCTTTTAACTTCTGGCTGTTGGCTTTGTTTGCGTTGTTAGCCTGACAAAGTGGCAGATATTGGTATAAGCTCTTTTGTTTAAATGCCACGAACTTTAAAAATGCCTTTGCTTTTGGTAAGAAACCCTAGTTAGGACAGTCTAGTGGTCAGGATGATTTGGGTTCTGGTGCAGTAACAACAATCCCCAAATCTCAGTGGCTCCATGCAGTGAGGTATTTGTTTGCTTGTTTGTTTTTGAGACAGGGTCTCACCCTGTCACCCAGACTAGAGTGCAGTGGTGCAATTTCAGCTCACTGCAACCTCTGCCTCCTAGACTCAAGTGATTCTCTGCCTCCTGAGTAGCTGGGATTACAGGCCCATGCCACTACTGTCTGGCTAATTTTTGTGCTTAGTATTGACAGGATTTCACCATGTTAGCCAGGCTGGTCTTGAACTCCTGACCTCAAATGATCCACCTGCCTTGGCCTCCCAAAGTGCTGGGATGACAGGCATGAGCCACCATGTCTGGCCACAGTGAGGCTTATTCTTGGTCATGTTACATGTCTGGGCTGTGTTAGGGCATTGTGGTGTGGTCTGTTCATTGTGTTCACTCAGGGATCCAGGTTGACAAAAGTCCCATCTCTGCATATGTCCTTGATCATCACTTCAGGGGAAAGGGAATGTGGTGGATCACAGAGCCTCTTAGCACTTCCACCTGGAGGTGACTCAAGTTGCTCCTGCTCATGGTTCATTGGACAAAACAGATCACAGAGTCATGGGCAACTTCTCTGTGCCTGGAAGGGGAACCAAAATATGAATAGCTACATTGATTTTCTCTAGCTAGTACACAGAAGGCCTCATTTAAACACAGTTACTTATTTGTGTTTTGAAGCTAATTGTAGTCCATCAACTTTCACAGAAGATATGTGCACTTCCAAGCTATTTTTAAGCACAGCTTTTTTTTTTTTCTTTTGAGACAGAGTGTCACTCTCTTGCCCAGGCTGGAGTGCAGTGGCATGATCATGGATCACTGCAACTTCTGCCTCCTGGGTAAAAGTGATTTTTGTGCCTCAGCCTCCCAAAGTGCTGGGATTACAGACACCCACCACTGCGCCTGGCTAAGTTTTGTATTTTTAGTAGAGATGGGGTTTCACCATGTTGGCCTGGCTGGTCTGGAACTCCTGACCTCAGGTGATCCACCTGCCTCAGCCTCCCAAAGTGCTGAGATGACAGGCGTGAGCTGCCGTGCCCGGCCTTGAGTATGATTTTTGATTGGGAACGTCAGAGTTTGGGATTTAGTCTGAGGACAGTATGACGTGAAGGTGAAAAGCAGAGCTTGGCTGTGAGTTTGCTGGGATTCCTGTGCTACTTCTACAGTTCTTTGGCTGTGTGAACATCACCTTTGGCAAGTTCCTTTACCTTTCTATGTGTTGGTTTCCACATCAATAAAATGGAAAAAAATAATCATAATCATAATATCTATTGGTGTTGGGATAGCCCAGTGGTTGACACATAAGGACTCAAAAATAGTATTTTTTTTTTTTTGAGATGGAGTCTTGCTCTGTTGCCAGGCTGGAGTGCAGTGATGCAATTTTGACTCACTGCAACCTCTGCCTCCTGGGTTCAAGCGATTCTCCTGCCTCAGCCTCCTGAGTAGCTGGGATTACAGATGCCTGCCACCACTCCCAGCTAATTTTTGTACTTTTAGTAGAGATGGGGTTTCACCATGTTGTCCATGATGCTCTCGATCTCTTGACTTCATGATCCACCCACCTCAGCCTCCCAAAGTGTTGGGATTACAGGCATGAAAAACCATGCCTGGCTCAAAAATACGATTATCAATTTTGGGGGGTAGTTACTATATTTTGTGAAAATCAGAGTTCAGTACCTTGTAACACTGGGTTGGGATCTAACCCTGAAAGAACAGGCTTCTAAAGAGGAAGGCATGGAGAGAGGGGCAAAATTTCATTGGATGTTGTAATGACTTTAGGTATATGGATCTGGGGTTGAGTTCTAGCTGGGCCACCAGATAGCAAGGTGGACTTTGCTAAATTCTATCACTTTCCTGGGCCTCAGACTCACTTGTTACAAATGGGGTTAAAGCATCCCTCTTTCAAGGCTAAGATAAAGATGATTAAGTAAGAGGGGATGAAAGCAACTTCCATCAATGCTCAAAAGTTATTCGTTTAACTTTTTTTTTTTTTTTTTTTTTGAGATGAAGTCTCTCTCTGTTAACCAGGTTGGAGTGCAGTGGTATGGTCCCGGGTCACTGCAACCTCCACCTCCTCAGTTCAAGTGATTCTCCTGCCTCAGCCTCCTGAGTAGTTGGGACTACAGTTGTGTGCCACCACACCTGGCTAATTTTTGTATTTTTAGTAGAGATGGGGTTTCACCATGTTGGCCAGGATGGTCTCGATCTCTTGACCTTGTGATCCACCCTCCTTAGCCTCCCAAAGTGTTGGGATTACAGGCATGAGCCACCACGCCCAGCCCACTTAACTTCTATATTACTTTCCTGTTGGTGGATTTACCAGTGCAAACTGAGCAGCTTAAACACCACCCAGTTATTATGTGTTTTCATGAGCCAAGGGTCTGGGCAGGGTTTAACTGGGTCTTCTATTCAGGGTCACAATACTGCAACCAGAGTGTCAGTTGGAGCTGGGGTCTCATCAGATGCTCAGGGTCCTCTTTCAAGCTTATTCAGTTTGTGGACTGAATTCACTTTCTTCCAATTGTTGAATGAAGGCCCTCAGCTACTAGAGCTGCCACCTCCAAAGACAGCTCACAGCAGGGCCATTTGTGTCTCCTTGGAGGCTAAGAGTTGAATCTCTGAAACTTCACCTTTAAAAGGCTCACCTGATTAGGTCTGGCCCACCTAAGATCATACTGCTTTGGATGAACTCAAAGTCAGATGAGCAAATGTGTTTAACAAAGCAAGTGTGACCATAATTACATCTGCAAAATTCCTTCCCCTTGGCCAAATCACAAGCTCTGGACACACTCAAGAATAGGAGATGATACAGGGAACAGATATAAGGGAGTGGGTCTCTTGGGAGCTGTCCTAGAATTCTGCCCATTACAACTTCCTTTCTCGAGGAACAGCAGGCCTGGGGAGAGATGATCATGGATGAGAACAGCCCACAGGTGGTGAGCACCTGGTGCTGGGGTAGGATGCAGGAGCCTGCAAAGCAAGTATGAAAAGCCTTCTCTGGGCTGGGTGCAGTGGTTCACGCCTGTAATCCCAGCACTTCGGGAGGCCGAGGTGGGCAGATCATGAGATCAAGAGATTGAGACTATCCTGGGCAACCAACATGGTGAAACCCCATCTCTACTAAAAATACAAAAATTAGCTGGGCGTGGTGGCGCACATCTCTAATAACCCAGCTAACCAAGTGAGCAATTCCTGTCCCTTTTAAGGGCTCACAAGTCTAAGGGGGTCCATGTGAGAGGGTCGTGATCATGAGAGGGTCGTGATCGGTTAACCAAGCAGGTAGTATGTGACTGGGGGCTGCATTTGGCAAACTCCATCTCTACTAAAAATACCCAAATTCAGCAAAGTCTCAGATACAAAATCAATGTGCAAAAATCACAAGCATTCTTATATACCAATAACAGACAGAGAGTTAAATCATGAGCAAACTTCCATTCACAATTGCTTCAAAGAGAATCAAATACCTAGGAATCCAACTTACAAGGGATGTGAAGGACCTCTTCAAGGAGAACTACAAACCACTGCTCAAGGAAATAAAAGAGGATACAAACAAATGGAAGAACATTCTATGCTCATGGGTAGGAAGAATCAATATCATGAAAATGGCCATACTGCCCAAGGTAATTTATAGATTCAATGCCATCCCCATCAAGTTACCAATGACTTTCTTCACAGAATTGGAAAAAACTGCTTTAAAGTTCATACAGAACCAAAAAAAGAGCCTGCATTGCCAAGTCAATCCTAAGCCAAAAGAACAAAGCTGGAGGCATCATGCTACCTGACTTCAAACTATACTACAAGGCTACAGTAACCAAAACAGCATGGTACTGGTACCAAAACAGAGATATAGACCAATGGAACAGAACAGAGCCCTCAGAAATAATGCCACATATCTACAACTATCTGATCTTTGACAAACCTGAGAAAAACAAGCAATGGGGAAAGGATTCTCTATTTAATAAATGGTGCTGGGAAAACTGCCTAGCAATATGGAGAAAGCTGAATCTGGATCTCTTCCTTACACCTTATACTAAAATTAAGTCAAGATGGATTAAAGACTTAAATGTTAGACCTAAAACCATAAAAACCCTAGAAGAAAACCTAGGCAATACCATTCAGGACATAGGCATGGGCAAGGACTTCATGTCTAAAACACCAAAAGCAATGGCAACAAAAGCAAAAATTGACTAGTGGGATCTAATTAAACCAAGAGCTTCTGCACAGCAAAAGAAACTACCATCAGAGTGAACAGGCAACCTACAGAATGGGAGAAAATTTTTGCAATCTACTCATCTGACAAAGGGACCCATGACTTTCTTATAACCAAGAGAATATGGCAGAGGTGATGGGATGTGGTGATTATGTTAGATAGGATGTTAAGTTGTCTTGCTAGGAGGCTGTCTGACTTGCTGGCTTTGAAGATGTGAGCTGCCATGTCATGAGCAGCCAGATGGAGAGGCCCATGTGGCAAGAAGCTGAGGGCAGCAAGAAACTGGGGCCCTGTGTCCAGCAGCCTGCAAGGAACTGGATTCTGCCAACAACCAGATGAGCCGGGAAGCAGATCAATCACCAGTCACGCCTCCAGATGAGAACCAAGCCATGGCTGACACTATGGCTGCAGCCTTGCACTGAACACAGCTGAGTCATGCCTGGATTCCTGACCCACAGAAACCGTACAGTGATAACTGTGTGCTGTCTCAAGCCACAAAGTTTGCAGTAATATTGTTGCACAGCAATAGATAACTAATATAAAAACTGTCTTACATCATGTACATTACTGAGGGAAATGTAGAACCTGGATTTGAGCTCTGATTTCAGAGTTGTGGCCTCAGTCTCCCCAGGAAGACCTGTCCTGGGAGACAGTTATGCTAGGCTGTGATGCTGTGATTGTTCTCTTCCTACCCAGAAGCTTTCAATAGGCATGTCAAGCATGTGACCCCAGCTACATATACCAAATGTATTTCTGACAAATGCCAGGATATCGTGAACTTTCTTGTTTTACTGAGAGCTCCATAAAGGAAGGACCATCTCTGTCTTTTTTTTTTTTTTTTTTTTAAGAGTCTCACTCTGTCACCCAGGCTGGAGTGCAATGGTGCGATCTCGGCTCACTGTAGTCTCTCCCTCCTGGGCTCAAGGGATTCTCCAGCCTCAGCCTCCTGGCTAGCTGGGATCAAAGGCGTGCATCACCATACCCAGCTAATTTCATATTTTTGGTAGAGACGGGGTTTTGTCATGTTGGCCAGGCAGATTTTGAACTCCTGGCCTCAAGTGATCTGCCTACCTCAGACTCCCAAAGTGCTGGGATTACAGGCGTGAGCCACTGCACCTGGCCTGTCTTTTTTATGCTATGTCCACGTGCAACAGCCCAGTGGTCAGCACACAAATGGGTCCAAATGTGAAAGGAAAGGGCAAACACAGGGGAAACATAGGGGTGTTCAGAAATAGTTCCCAGGTCACTGCCTGTTTCAATATGTACAGTCCTCGGCCCCACCCACAAGATTCTGACTTGGCAGGTCAGAGTTGGAGATGGGAAGCTACCTGGTTATGAGGGATCCCAGTGCATTTTGAGGCAGCTGGTTGTTAGACTGCATTGTAAAAATTACTCCCCAAAGATGTGAAGTGAAACAGAAAGGCAAAGGCAGGCTAGAAAACAACACAAGTAAAACATGAACAAGTTCATTCCAGAAGGAGATTCTCAACCACAGCTGCACATCAGAATCAGCTGGGGAGATTTTGCAAACCCAGTGCCCAGGCTCTGCAACCCAGATCAATTATTACAGAATCTCTTGGGGATGAAACATGGGCATCAGTATTTTGTGTGTGTTTGTGTGTTGTTTTTTTTTTTTTTTTTTTTTTGAGATGGAATCTTGTTCTGTCACCCAGGCTGGAATGCTGTGGTGCAATCTCAGCTCACTGCAACCTCTGCCTCCCGGGTTCAACCCATTTTCCTACCTCAGCCTTCCGAGTAGCTGGGATTATAGGCATGCACCGCCACGCCTGGCTAATTTTTGTATTTTTAATAGAAATAGGGTTTCACCATATTGGGCAGGCAGGTCTCAAACACCCAGCCTCACGTGATCCTCCCGCCTTGGCCTCCTAAAGTGCTGGGATTACAGGCATGAGCCATTGCTCCTAGCAGTATTTTTTTAATGAGGCAAAATTCACATAACATACAAATCCCTGTATGAAACCATACACTTCAGTATCATTAAATACATTCATAATGTTAAGCAATCATCATCTCTGTCTAGTTCCAAAACATTTTCATTAACGCCCCCCGCCCCCCCCAAAAAAACCCTGTATCCATCAAGAACCCCACATCCCCTCCCCTTTCCCCCAGCTCCTGGCAACCACTTACCTGCTTTCTGTCTCTATAGATTTGCCTATTCTGGACCTTTCACATAAATGGAATCATGTAATATATATAATAACCAAAAGGTAGCAACAACCAAGCTGGCCATTTGGTTGATGAA
The DNA here is from genome assembly GCF_000001405.40 of Homo sapiens. NCBI lineage: Eukaryota > Metazoa > Chordata > Mammalia > Primates > Hominidae > Homo > Homo sapiens. The sequence goes on from NC_000003.12 coordinate 75,518,927, forward strand.
TGAATAAACAAAATGTGCTGTATCCATACAGTGGAAGCACTGGTGCCTACTACATGGGGATGGACCTTGCAAACATCATGCTAAGTGAGAGAGAGCCTTGTTATTGTCTCATCTCCCCAGGAGATTCCAAGGTGCAGCAAAAGTTGAGACCCACTGACAAGCAATGGATATGGTTGGGTGCAGATGAAATAAGGCAGCCAGGGACAGGAGGGACTTCTCATTGAAGATGACTATTTGTGGATGCCTAGCAGGGGTGGGGATGAGGTATGATAACAGCAACCCCAATCTCAACACAGCGTGACCGATTTTATCTTCAGTCAGCTGATACACCTCATGGGGTGTGGACACAGGACACTTCTGCCTCCCAGGCTCAAGTGATAACTCCTGCCTCAGCCTTCTAAGTAGCTGGGATTACAGGCATGTACCACCATGCTTAGCTAATTTTTGTATTTTTAGTAGAAACGTGGTCTCGTCATGTTGCCCAGGTTGGTCTCAAACTTCTGGCCTCAAATGATCCACCCACCTCAGCCTCCTAAAGTACTGGGATTACAGGCATGAGCCACAGTGCCCAGCCTCCAAATTCTATTTGAAGTTTGACTTTCCACCTCCAGAAAATCCAAACCTTTGCCCAAGTCACAGTGGGACACCCCGGAGTTAATTTGAGAGAAATGTGCTTTTAAAAACAACTCCAGGCCAGGCGCAGTGGCTCACACCTGTAATCCTAGCACTTTGGGAGGCCGAGGCGGATGGATCACGAGGTCAGGAGATCAAGACCATCCTGGCTAACACGGTGAAACCCCGTCTCTACTAAAAGTACAAAAAATTAGCCAGGCATGGTGGCACATGCCTGTAAGCCCAGCTACTCGGGAGGCTGAAGAAGGAGAATCGCTTGAACCACGAAGGCGGAGGTTGCAGTGAGCCGAGATCGCACCACTGCACTCCAGCCTGGGTGACAGAGTAAGACTCCGTCTCAAAACAACAACAACAACAACAACAACAACAACAATGATAAAAGGTCACCTTTACTGAGCACACACTATCTCAGTCCATCTCTACATCAGCCCTGTATTTCACCAGTGAGGAAGCTGGGACACAGAGTAGTTACGTGGGATGCCCAAAGTGGGACCACTCCTATGAAGTTTCAACACCCTAATGTGAGACCCTCCATGACCTAGCCCCTCTCTTTCTCCAGCCTCATTTCCTGATTCTCTCACTTGCCCTGCAGGCTTCAGCCACACAAACTTCTTGAAAGTCCCTTAAATCTGGCTGAGCGCAGTGGCTCATGTCTGTAATCCCAGCACTTTGGGAAGCTGAGGCGGGTGCATCACCTGAGATCAGGAGTTCGAGGCCAGCCTGGTCAACATGGTGAAACCCCATCTCTACTAAATATCCAAAAATTAGCTAGGTGTGGTGGAGGGTGCCTGTAATCCCAGCTACTCGGGAGACTGAGACAGGAAAATTGCTTGAACTCAGGAGGCAGAGATTGCAGTGAGCCAAGATCACACGACTCCACTCCAGCCTGACCGTCAAGAGCGAAACTCTTTCTCAAAGAGAAAAAAAAAAAAAAAAGTCCCTTAAATCTGCTCTATGCCTATCACCCTCAGGGACTTCACTGTGCTGTTCCTCACCCTGAAATGCTTTTCCTCATTTTCTACCTAGTGAATTCATCCCACCCCCTACACCTCTCCTTAAGTGTCATCTCTTCAAGGAAGATTTTATTTTTAATACAACTATTAAAATATAATTCAGGTACCGTATGATTTGCCCATTTAAAGTGAACAAATCAATGGTTTCAGTGCATTCACAGAGCCTCAGCAACCACTATTATGATCAATTTTAAAACATTTTCATCACCCCAAAAAGAAACCCTGTATCCATTATCAGGTACCTGCCATTTCTTCCTCCCACTAAGCCCTGACAATGTACTTTTTTTGAGATAGAGTCTCTGTCACAGGCTGGAGTGCAGTGGCACAATCTCGGCTCACTACAACCTCTGCCTCCCGGGTTCAAGCAATTCTCCTGCCTCACGAGTAGCTGGGATTACATGCATGTGCCACCATGCCCATCTAATTTTATATTTTTAGTAGAGACAGGGTTTCTGTCTTCATAGACTTGCGTGTTCTGCACATTTCATATAAATGAAATCTTATAATATGTGACCTTTTGTGACTGGTTTCTTCCACTTAGCCTAATATTCTCATGGTTCATCCGTGTTGTAGCACGTGTTAGTACTTAATTCCTTTTGATGACTGAATAATATTCCATTGCATGGTGAAACCATGTTCTATTACTCCACTCATCAGTAGACAAGCATTTGTGTTGTTTTCAATTTGGCGTTATTGTGAGTAATGCTGCTATGAGCATTTATGTACAAGTTTCTGCATAGACATATATTTTCATTTCTTTCATAAACTGGAGTGGAAGTGCTGGGTCATAGAACTCTGTGTTTAAGCTTTTGAAGAAATGCCAGACTGTAAGAAAGAAAGCCTTTCCTCACCCTGCAAGACTGAGCTCCCTCTCTCCATTTATGTGTTCTCTTTATGCCCTTTGCTTCTCTTTCAGAGCAATTCACGTTGACCTGGGTCACCCTCAACTTAAGGCTCATAACTCCCCTAGACCCTCAGGGCCCACACTAAATGTGATGAAATATGATGCAAGCCACACATTCACTTTTGCATTTTGTAGTAACCACATTTTAAAAAGTAAAACAAAAGAAGTGAAGGTAATTGGAATAATATCACAGATTTAAATAAATCTATCCAAAATACCAGGTCTACGTGTATAAAATATTTTAACATTAGTAAAATACTTTGCTTTCTTTTTATATTAAGGCTTCACAATCTAACGTGTATTTGACACTTCTCGCCCATCTCAGTATGATGGCAGCACCCCATATGGGAGGCCCTCCCATGATGCCAATGATGGGCCCTCCTCCTCCTGGGATGATGCCAGTGGGACCTGCTCCTGGAATGAGGCTGCCCATGGGAGGCCACATGCCCATGATGCCTGGGTGCCCAATGATGAGACCTCCTGCCCATCTCATGATGGTGCCCAGTCAGCCCAGAATGACTCGACCAGACAGATAAGGATAGAGTGGAAGCCTCATTACATCAGTGTTTGTTGTTGTTGTTGTTGTGTTTTTTTGTTTTGTTTTTGAGACAGAGCCTTCCTCTGTCACCCAGGCTGGAGGGCAGTGGCACGATCTCAGCTCACTGAAACCTCCACTTCCTGGGTTCAGGTGATTCCCCTGCCTCAGCCTCCTGAGTGGCTGGGACTACAGGTGTGCGCACCATGCCTGGCTAATTTTTTTAATTATAGTAGAGACAGGATTTCACCATGTTTGCTGGGATGGTCTCAATCTCCTGACCTCGTGACCCGCTTGACTCAGCCTCCTAAAGTGCTGGGATTACAGGCGTGAGCCACTGCGCCCGGCCTATATGAGTTTATATTTACCTGCTCCCTTCACCAGGAGATCATGCGCTGATACTGGGTTTTCTTAACAGCATAAGGAACACTTGCCCCCTTACCCTATCAAAGAGAATAGTTTTGGAGGGGAGAAGTGGGACCAAAAAAGACGCAGTTTTCATTTGTATTGGGAAATGTGAAAATAAAATTGTCAACTCTTTTAGTTAAAAACAAAAAAAAAGAAAAGAAAACAAGATGTGGGGCTGCCATGTGCAATACCGTGGTTTCCAAGGATCTTCTACTCTGGAGGCAAAGATTATCTTTCTTTGCTGAAGCCAGACCAACCTGACACAAAGACCTTTTGTTTTTTTAATGTGACTGTGTTTTATTTTACAATGTGTAATTCACTTTAGAAGAGCAAAGTACACGTTTGGGGAAGACTATTTAATTTCCTGCATTTATTTAGAATATTGGCTGATGTTACTATGAAGGGAAACAGCTCTAACAAGTGAGTGCCCCCCACATAGGCACAGCTCATGAGTTCAAGGGGCAAAGGAATTGAACAGCAGCTTCCTAATAGCCGGCCTTCTTTGTGGTATGGAAATAATTATCAGCATGTAAAAGACTATATATATATTCAACAATTCTGACCCCCTGCAAAATTCAAATCTACAACTGATTTGCTTCCTGGGCTCCTGAAAACAACTTTGTCATAACTGTTCAGAAATAAAATCACCCAATCGTTGCCCCTTGGGGACGCAGGACAAAGCAAGTCAGCCATGACCAATGTGGAGTCGGCCGTACACAATTACATGCAGACCTGCAGGGCATTGAGTCCCTGCTATGGTCCCTCCCCAGTCAGGCCCCCATTGCCTGGGCTGCAGCAAGAAGGATTCAGGCACAAGTGCATTCAACAAATACTTATTTAATTGTATTGGTGGTTAGAGGGTTGCCGTTGATTAAGGTACATTAATGGATCCATGTCCTCCCTGTATCCAAGACTCTGTCATTTGTCTCTGCAGTTCCTCCCACTGAAGAATCGGAGTATATTTCTCCAGCCGCTAATGTTGGATTTAGTCATGTGTCTAGCTTTGGCCACTGGAATATTAATCTGCATGACCAAAAACTTGGAAAGTGTGCATTCATTTGTGCTCGCTCACTCCTGCTATCACCATGAGAACAAGCCGAGGCCAGAATGCTGCTTCCAGAAGAAGACAAGAGACATCAAGTGCAAAGTCAAGCTTCCCAGACATGCTCATGCCAGATTAACCAATCCTCAGCTGACCCATAGATCCATGAAAATAAACAATTGTTGTATTAAGCCACTGAGATTTGGAGTGACATGTTATGCAGCATTGTGTGACAACAACTAATGGATACAAGGGTCACCATCCTTTATCTCTGTAGATTTTAACCAATTTTTAATAGCTAGATGGAGATCTTCTAGTTGCCCTTATTTATAATGAATATGACTGTAGAGCTAATTTGGCCTGACACTACCAGTAACCTACCCAGAAATTCAGAAATACTTTCTTCTCCAACCCGCCCCAACCAACCTTTTTTTTTGTTTGTTTTTGGGTTATCCTTCTTTGCCTAGGCTAGAGTACAAGTGGTACAGTCAGAGCTCACTGTAACCTCAAAATCCTGGGCTCAAGTGATCTTCCCCTTCAGCCTCCTGAGTAGCTAAGACTACAGACATGTGCCACCATGCCTGGCTAATTTTTTTATTCTTTGCAGAGACAGGGTCTCAGTATATTGCACAAGTTGGTTTCAAACTCCTGGCTTCAAGCAGTCCTCCTGCCTCATCCACCCAAGGTGCTAGGATTATAGGCATGAGCCACCATGCCCAGCCTCTTCTTCTTTTTAAATAGAAACACTATTTTATTCTGACAGTGGGTTGCTTTCTTTTTTTTTTTTTAAGAAAAAGTTGACCCAGCCCCAGGGAATAAATTCTGACTGTTCTAAACAGGGTTGGCAAACTATAGACCAGGGGCCAAATCTGGCCCTCTGACTGTTTGTATAAATTAAGTTTTACTGGAATAAACCCAGGTCCACTCATTTATGCATTGTCTACATATGCTTTTAGGCTACGATGGCACCACTGCGTCACTGCAACAGAAGTTATCTAGACCAAAAGCCTAAAATATTACCGTTTGCCTCTTTATGGAAAAAGTTTGCCATTCCCTAGTCTAAGGTTTAGAGTCTGAGCTTATCATTTTAGCCTAATCCCCCTTACCAGTGACTGGCTCAAAACAAGTCTGTGATTCCATTCTGACTGTTCTACTGAGGGAATTCCCCCTTCTTCTCATGCAGAGCTGATGAGGGTAAGTTGTATTAATAGGACATATGCTCAGGTTTTCTGAAAAATACTTTTATCTAGAAATGCATAGGAATATGCTGGTGCCTGAATGTACCATCTGGGGGCCTGGAGATTGACTCACACTGCCTCCAGAGCTAGTGCTCACACTTACTACTGAGAGGCCTGAGGAAACGCCTGCCTACCCACCACCAGAACCTGCACACATCACCTGGAGAACTAGAGATCAGACTGCCACACACACCACCCAGGAGCCCAGTGGCACACCTGCCCACCTGGCCCAGTGTTGCCACTGCCAGCAACCAAAGAAGCCACCTGGGGACCCAAGGATTGGCACATGCAGACAGGCTATCATCAGTGCCCATATACACTGCCCATGGTCCCTAGTATTGACCAACCTGGTCCACCACCACTACCACTGATGCTGAAGGACAAGACTTCCTGGCATCCCTATCCTCAGCAAAGCCTCACCACATCCTCCAATAACAACTGTGGTCTGTCCAGGCATGGTGGCTCACCCCTGTAATCCCAGCACTTTGAGAGGCCAAGGTGGGTAGATCATGAGGTCAGGAGTTCGAGACCAGCCTGGCCAACATGGTGAAAACCCCGTCTCTACTAAAAATACAAAAATTAGCTGGGCATGGTTACACGTGCCTGTAGTCCCAGCTACTCAGGAGGCTGAGGCAGGATAATCACTTGAACCCAGGAGGCAGAGGTTGCAGTGAGCTGAGATTGTGTCACTGAACTCCAGCCTGGTGACAGAGCTAGACTCCATCTCATCAACCACACACACACACACACAAAAACCAAAAAAAAAAAAAAAAAAACTGCAGTCTAAGCCACTGAATGACTCAGAGACACCACTCAGGCCAATTACAGCTGAAGAAATCATATGCAGACTATACCACTGTACCCACCCAGAATCAAAGCCAAAGTGTGGTATCCAATGAACATTGTAGATACAGCTATAAGAAAAGGTCTTTCCCATATAAAAGCCAATCCATAAAATTGGAAGAAGTGACTGTTATGTCAGAGGCACAGATAGTCACATAAGGATGCAAGAAATATGAAAAAGGAAACATAACATCTCCAAAGAAGCACAATAATTCTCCAGCAACAGATTCCAATGAAAAGAAAATCTATGAAATGCCTGAAAAAAATTAAGAATAATGTTATTAAAGAAACTCAGGGAGATACAAGAGAACACAGATAACGAATACAAAAAAATCAGGAAAACAATTCATGATCTGAATGAGAAATTCAACAGAGATAGACAGCATAACAAAGAACCAAACACAAATCCTGGAAGAGAATAAATCATTGAAAGAAATACAAAAGATAATTGAAAGCTTTAACAACAGACTAGATCAAGCAAAACAAAGAATTTCTGAACCTGAAGACTAGTCTTTTAAAATAATCCAGTCAGACAAAAAGAAAGAAAAAAGAATGAAGCAAGGCTACATGACATATGGGACACATATGTGACCAAAAACTGAAATTCTGGGAGTTCTGGATGGAAATGAGATGGGTAAAGGCATAGAAAACCTATTCAATAAAATAATAACTGAAAACTTCCTGAAAGCTTCCAAATGCAGGAAGCTCAAAGATTACCAAATAAATACAACTCAAAAAGGTCTTCTCCAAGGGACATTATGGTAAAATTGTCAAAAGACAAAGAGAAAATGCTAAAAACAGCAAGAAAAAAGCATCAAGTCACTTAGAAGAGAATCTCCATCAGGCTAACGGGATTTCTCAGCAGAAACCTTACAGGCTAGGAGAAAAGGGGATGTATACTACAAGCAAAAAAAAAAAAGAAAAAAATGTAAGCCAAAAATACTATACGCAGCAAAGCTATCCTTCACAAATGAAGGAGCCTGGCACAGTGGCTCACATCTGCAATTCCAGAGACTCAGAAGGCTAGGCAGGAGGATCATTTGAGCCCAGGAGTTCAAGGCTGCAGTGAGCTATGATCATGCCACTGTACTCCAGCCTGGGTGACAGAGTGAAACTCCATTGCTATAAAAAAATAAATACATAAATAAAAAAGTATTTCCCAGATAAGAAAAAGACTGTTTGGGTCTTGTTTGTTGTGGTCCTAGGGGAAATGCTTAAGAGAATCCTACATTGGGAAGCAAAAGAACAATATCTACCCTCAAGAAAATAGATGAAAGTATAAAACTCAGTGGCAGAGCAGACACACAAAGAAGAAAGGATTCAAACAACACCACTAAAGAAAACCACTGAACTGCAACCATAAATAATGAGAGAAAAAAGGAACAAAGGTGTATTAGTCTGTTTTCACACTGCTGATAAAGACATACCTGACTGAGACTGGGCAATTTACAAAAGAAGGATGTTTAATGGACTTACACTTCCACATAATTGAGGAAACCTCACAATCACGTTGGAACGCAAGAAGAAGCAAGTCATGTCTCACATGGATGGCAGCAGGCAAAGAGAGAGCTTCTGCAGGGAAACTACCCTTTTTAAAACCATCAGACCTTGTGAGACATACTCACTATCATGAGAACAGCATGGGAAAGACCAGCCCCCATGACTCAGTTGCTTCCCACCAGGTCCCTCCCACAACATGTGGGAATTCAAGATGAGATTTGGGTGGGGACACAACCAAACCATATCATTCTGCCCCTGGCCCTTCCCAAAACTCATATCCTCACATCTCAAAACCAATCATGCCTTCGCAACAGTCCCCCAAACTCTTAACTAAGTTCAGCATTAACTCAAAAGTCCACCATCCAAAGTCTCATGTGAGACAAGGCAAATCCCTTCCGCCTCTGAGCATGTAAAATCAAAAACAAGTTAGTTACTTCCTAGATACAATGGGGGTATGGGCATTGGGTAAACACAGTCATTACAAATAGGAGAAAATTGCCAAAACAAAGGGGTTACAGGCCCCATGCAAGCCCAAAATCCAGTGGGGCAGTCAAATCTCAAAGCTCCAAAATGATCTCCTTTGACTCCATGTCTCACATGCAGGTCATGCTGATATAAGAGATGGGCTCCCATGGCCTTGGGAGAAAAAAGGCCACAGCCCCACTCCTGTGGCTTTGTAGGGTATAAACCCCCTCCTGGCTCCTTTCATGGGTTGGCATTGAGTGTCTGCAGCTTTTCCAGGCACACAGTGCAAGTTGTCAGTGAATCCACCATTCTGGGGTCTGGAGGATGGTGGCTCTCTTCTCACAGCTCCACTAGGTGGTGCTGCAGTAGGGACTCTATGAGAGGGCTCTGACCCCACATTTCCCTTCTGCACTGCCCTAGTAGAGGTTCTCCATGAGTGCCCTGTCCCTGCAGCAAACTCCTGCCTGGATGTCTAGGCATTTCCATACATCTTCTGATATCTAGGCAGAGGTTTCCAAACCTCAATTTTTGACTTCTGTGCACCCATAGGCTCAACATTATGTGGAAGCTGCTAAGGCTTGGGGCTTGCACCCTCTGAAGCCATAGCCCATGTTGTACCTTGGCTCCTTTTAGCTGCAGCTTCAGTGGCTAGGACTCAGGCACCCTAGGCTGCTCACCGCAGGGGGGCCCTGGGTCCAGCCCAGAAAACCATCTATTTTTCCTAGGCCTCTGGGCCTTTGATGGGAGGGGCTGCCATGAAGATCTGTGACATGTCCTGTATACATTTTCCCCATTGTCTTGGGGATTCACATTTGACTCCTCGTTACTTAAACAAATTTCTGCAGCCAGAATGAATTTTTCTTGAGAAGATGGGATTTTCTTTTCTATTGCATTTTCAGGCTGCAAATTTTCCAAACTTTCAGGCTCTGCTTCCCTCATAAAACTGAGGGCCCTTAACAGCACCCAAGTCATCTCTTCAATGCTTTGCTGCTTAGAAATTTCTTCTACCAGATACCCTAAATCATCTCTCTCAAGTTCAAAATTCCACAAATGTCTACAGCAGGGGCAAAAAGCCACAAGTCTCTTTGCTAAAACGTAACAGGAGTCACCTTTGTGCCAGTTTCTGACAAGTTCCTCATTTCCATCTGAGACAACCTTGGCCTAGACTTTATTGTCCATATAACCATCAGCATTTTGGGCAAGTCTCTAGGAAATCTCTTCCCAATTTTCCCACATTTTCCTGTATCCTTCTGAGCCCTCCAAACTGTTCCAACCTCTTCCTGTTTCCCAGTTCCAAAGTCACTTCCACTTATTCAGGAATCTTTTAGCAACACTCCACTTCTGGTACTAATTTACTGTATTAGTCCATTTTCACACAGCTGATAAAGACACATTCAAGACTAGGAAATTTACAAAAGAAAGAGGTTTAATGGACTTACAGTTCTACATTGCTGGGAAGGCTTCAAAGTCATTGCGGAAGTCAAGGAGAGGCAAGTCACATCTTACAGGGATGGCAGCAGACAAAGAGAGAGCTTGAGCAGGGAAACTCCTCCTTTTAAAACCATCAGATCTCATGAGACTTATTCACTATCAAAAGAATAACATGGGAAATACCTGCCTCCATGATTCAACTACTTCCCACTGGGTCCCTCCCACAACACATGGGAATTCGAGATGAGATCTGAGTGGGGACATAGCCAAACTGTATCAAAAGGATATACAAAATAACCAGAAAACAATGAACAAAATGACAGGAATAAGTCCTCACCTATCAATAATAACTTCGAATATGGGTTAAATTACCTACCTAAAAGATAGAGACAGGCTTAATGGATAAAAAATGACCCAACAACGTCTACAAGAAACTCACTTCACTTGTAAAGACACACACAGACTGAAAGTGAAGGGATTGAAAAAGATATGCCACACAAACAGAAATCAAAAGTAACCAGGAGTAGCTAAACTTACATCAGATAAAACAGACTTTAAGTCAAAAACTGTAAAAAGGACAAAGAAGGTCATTATATGGTAATAAAGGGATCAATTCAGCAACAAACTGTAACAATTCTAAATATGCATGCAACCAACACAAGCACATCCAGACACACATAGCAAATATTATTAAATCTACAGGGAAAGATAGAGTCCAATACAATGATAGTTGAGAACTTCAATATCCTACTCTCAGCACTGGACAGTTCATCTAGACATAAAATCAACAAAGAAACATTAGATTTAAGCTGCACTTTAGACCAAATGGAGCTAACAGATATTTTCAGAATATTTCATCCAGCAGCAGCAGAATATACAATCATCTCATCAACACATGGAACATTCTCCAGGATAGACCATATGTTAGGACACAAAACAAGGATCAACAAAATTTTAAAAATTAAAATCATATCAAGTATCTTCTCAGACCACAATGGAATAAAACTTGAAATCAATAAGAAGAAGAAATTTGGAAACTGTACAAATACATGGACATTAAACATGCTATTGAATGACCATTGGATCAATGAAGAAATTAAGATGGACATTAAAAATTTTTTTAAACAGAAAACGGAAACACATCATGCAAAACCTATGGGATACAGCAAAAGCAGTACTAGGAGGAAAGTTTATAGCAATAAATGCCTACACCAAAAAAGTAGAAAGATTTCAAATAAACAACCTAATGATGAACCTCAAGGAACTCAAAAAGCAAGAACAAACCAAACACGCAATTAGTGGAAAGAAAAAATAATAAACAACATAGCAGAACCAAATGCAACAGAGACAAAAAAGAAATGCAAAGAATCAACAAGATAAAAGTTGTTTTTTTGAAAAGTTAAACAAAATTGATAAACCACTAGTGAGGCTAACCAAAAAAAAAAAAAAAAAAAAAAAACAAAAAAAAAGGAGACCCAAATAAATACAATCAGAAATGAAAAAGGAGACACTACAACTGTTACCAAGGAAATAAAAAGGATGATTAGAGGCTATTATGAACAACGATATCCTAACAAATTGGAAAACCTAGAGGAAAGGGATAAATTCCCAGACATACACAGCCTACCAAGATTGAACTAGGAAGAAACAGAAAACCTGAACTGACCCAAAATGAATAGCAGGTTTGAATCAGTAACAAAAAGTCTCCCAAAAGAGAAAAGCCCTAGACTAGGCTTTTATGCTGATTTCTACCCAATTTATAAAGAAAAACAAACACCAATTCTTCTCAAACTATTCCCAAAAATTGAAGAGGAGGGAATTCTTCCTAACTCATTGTATAAGGCCAGCATTACCCTCATATCCAATCAAGACAAGGACACAACAAAAAGAGAAAACTACAGGCCAATATTCCTAATGAACACAGATGGAAACATTCTCAGCATAATACTACCAAGCCAAATCTAATGATGAATGAAAAAGATAATATACCATGATCAAGTGGGATTTATCCCAGGAATGCAAAGATGGCTTAACATACACAAATCAATACATGTGATACATCACATCAACAAGATGAAAGGCAAAAACTATCTGATCATCTCAGCAGATGCAGAAAAATCACTCGGTAAAACTTACCGTTCCTTCAACATGAAAACTCTCAACAAATTATGCATAGAAGGAACACTTCAAAATAAGAAAAGGCATATATGACAAATCTACAGCTAACATCCTACTCACTGGGAAAAATTGAAAAGCCTTTCCTCTAGGAACTGGAGCAAGACAAGGATGCCCACTTTCACCACTCTTTATTCAACACAGTATGGGGCATCCAAGCCAGAGTGATCAGACAAGATAAAGAAATAAAAGGCATCCAAAATGGACAAGAGGAAGTCAAATTGTCTCACTTTGCAGATGACATAATCTTATACTTGTAAACAGAAAACCTAAAGACTCCACCAAAAAACTCTTAAAATGGGTAAATTAGGCTGGGCATGGTAGCTCATACCTGTAATCCCAGCACTTTGGGAGGCCAAGGTGGGTGGACCACCTGAGGTTGGGAGTTTGAGGCCAGCCTGGCCAACATGGTGAAACCCTGTCTCTACTAAAAATACAATTAGTCAGGCATGGTGGTAGGTGCTTGTAATCCCAGCTACTTGGGAGGCTGAAGCAGGAGAATCACTTGAACCCCAGAGGTGGAGTTTCAGTGAGCCAAGATTGCACCACTGCACTCCAGCCTGGGCAACAGAGTGAGAGTCTATCTCAAAAAATAAAAAATAAAAAAATTTTTAAAAAACGGATGTATAATTCAGTAAAGCTTCAGGACACAAAATCAACATACAAAAATCAGTAATGTTTCTATATACCAGTAACAAACTAGCTAAAATAGAAATCAAGGAAGAAATTCTATTTATAATACCTACAAAAATAAAATACCTAGGAATAAACTTAACCAAGGATGGGGAAAAAAAAAAAAAAAAAAACCTCTGCAAAGAAAACCACAAAACACTGATAAAATAAATTGAGAAGGACAGGAAGAAATGGAAAGGAATCTCATGCTCGTGGGTTGGAATAACTAATACTGTTAAAATGACCATGCTACCCGAAGCCATCTAGAGATTCAGTATAATCCCTATCAATTATATTCTTCACAGAAACAGGAAAAAAAACCCTGAAATTCATATGGAACCAGAGAAGACCCCAAATAGCCAAAGCAATACTGAGCAAAAAGAACAAAGCTAGAAGCCTCACATTACCTGATTTAAAAATATACTGTAAAGCAGCCAGGTGCGGTGGCTCATGCCTGTAATCCCAGCACTGTGGGAGGCCGAGGCGGGTGGACCACAAGGTCAGGAGATCGAGACCATCCTGGCTAACATGGTGAAACCTTGTCTCTACTAAAAAAAAAAAAAAAAAAAAAAAAAAAAAAAAATTAGCCAGGTGTGGTTGTGGGCGCCTGTAGTCCCAGCTACTCGGGAGGCTGAGGCAGGAGAATGGCGTGAACCCGGGAGGCAGAGCTTGCAGTGAGCCAAGATTGCGCCACTGCACTCCAGCCTGGGCAACAGAGCAAGACTCTGTCAAAACAAAACAAAACAAAACAAACAAACAAACAAACAAAATATATATATATATACTGCAAAGCTATAGTAACCAAAACAGCTAGTATTGGTATTAAAACAGACACAAAAACAAAGGAAACACACTAAAGAATCCAGAAATGAATCCACATATTTACAGCTAACTGATTTTCAAGAAAGCTGTCAAGAACATACATTGAATAAAGGACAACCTCTTCATTAAATGGTGCCAGGAAAACTAGATATCCAAACACAGAAGAATAAAACTAGACCCTTATCTCTCATCACTTACAAAAATAAACTCAAAATCAATTAAAGACTTAAGTGTAACAGCTACAACTATAAAACTACTGGAAGTAAACACAGGAGAAACGCTTCAGAACAAACAATGTATGGCTAACACTTAAAAAGTACAAGCAACAAAAACAGACAAATGGGATTATATTAAATTAAATACCTTCTGCATATCAAAGAAAGCAATCAACAGAGTGAAAAGACAACACTCCTTCCTTACACCATACACAAAAATTAACTCAAGATGGCTTGAAGACTTAAATGTAAAACCCATAACTATAAAAACGCTGGAAGACAACCCAGGCAATACCATCTGGTACATAGTGATGGGCAAAGAGTTCATGGTGAAGATGCCAAACACAATTGCCACAAAAGCAAAAATTGACAAATGGGATCTAATTAAATGAAAGAGCTTCTGCACAGCAAAAGAAACTATCAGAAAATAAAGACATTTCTCAAAAGAAGATATACAAATCACCAAGTTTATGAAAAAATATTCAACATCACTAATCATCACGGAAATGTAAATCAAAACCACAATGAGATATCATCTCACACTTGTTAGAATGGTTATTATGAAAAAGACAAAGCACAACAAATGCTGGCAAGCATGTGAAGAAAATTATTGTATATTGTTGGTGGGAATGTAAATTAGTACAGCCATTATGAAAAAAATACAGAGATTTCTCAAAAAACTAAGAACAGATCTACCATATGATCCAGCAGTCCCATTCCTGGGTATATATCCAAAAAAAAAAGGATATCAGTGTATCAACGGGATATCTGTACCCCCATATTTACTGCAGCACTATTTACAATAGCCAAGATATGGAATCAATCTAAGTGTCAAACAATGGATGAATGGATAAAGAAAATGGGAATATACGCACAATAGAATAGTATTCAGCCACAAAAAAGAATGAAATCCTGTCATTTTCAGCTAAATGTATGGAATTAAAGGTCATAATGTTAGGTGAACTAGGCCATGCACAGAAAGAAAATCATTGCCTGTTCTCACTTATATGAGCGGTTTATGCTCCTGGAAATCAAAGTGGGGGCCATGTTTCAGGTCAGTAGGGTCAGGGATAGAGACCGCAGTTATGGACTTGTGTGCCCTGGAGCTATATAAAATTGACATCATGGAGATAAAGAGTAGAATGATAGTTACCAGAGGCTGGGAATAGGAGGGGTTTGAAAAGAGGTTGATTAATGGGTATAAAAATATATAACAGAAGGAATAAGATCTAGTGTTCATTATCACAGAAAGTGACTACAACAATTTGTTGTATATTTCTTTTTTTTTTTAATTTCAATAGTTTTTAGGGAACAGGTGGTATTTAGTTACATGGATAAGTTCCTTAGTGGTGATCTCTGAAATTTTGGCATACTCATCACCAAAGCAGTTTACCCAATGTATAGTCTTTTATCTCTCACCCCCTCCCACCTTCCCCCTGAGCCCCCAACGTCCACTGTTTCATTCTTGTGCCTTTGCATCATCATAGCTTAGCTCCCACTTACAAGTGAGAACATGCAATGTTTGGTTTTCCATTCCTGAGTTACTTCATTTAGAATAATGGTCTCCAACTCCATCCAGGTTGCTATGAATGCCATTATTTCATTCCTTTTTAAGGCTAAGTAGTATTCTATGGTATATATATATATACATAAAATACATTTTCTTTATCCACTAATTGATTGATGGGCATTTGGGCTGGTTCTGTAGTTTTGCAACTGTGAATTTTGCTACTGTAAACATGTGTGCAAAAGCATCTTTTTCATATAATGACTTATTTTCCTCTGGGTAGATACCTAGAAGTGGGATTGCTGGATCAAATGGTAGATTTACTTTTAGTTCTTTAAGGAATCTCCATACTGCTTTCCATAGTGGTGGTACTAGCTTACATTCCCACCATAAGTGTAAAAGGGTTCTCTTTCACCACGTCCGTGCCAACATCAATTTTTGCTTTTTTTGTTTTTGTTTGTTTTTTTTTTTTTTTTTTTTTTTTTTTTTTGAGATGGAGTCTCACTCCGTTACCCAGGCTGGAGTACAGTGGTGCGATATCAGCTCACTGCAACCTCTGCCTCCCGGGTTCAAGCAATTCTCCTGTCTCAGCCTCCTGACTGGCTGGGATTACAGGTAACCACCACCATGTCTGGCTAATTTTTGTATTTTCAGTAGAGACTGGGTTTCACCATGTTGGTCAGGCTGGTCTCAAACTCCTGACCTCCTGATCCACCCACCTCGGCCTCCCAAAGTGCTAGGATTACAGGTGTGAGCCACTGCACCCGGCCCTATTTTTGTTTATTTTACACGTGGTATTGCATTGTGGTTTTGATTTGCATTTCCCTGGTAATTAGTGATATTGAGCATTTTTTCATATGTTTGTTGACCATTTGTATATCTTCTTTTGAGAATTGTCTATTCATGTCCTTGGCACACTTTTTGATGGGATTATTTTTTTCTTGCTGATTAGAGTTCCCTGTAGATTCTGAACATTAGTCCTTTGTCAGATGCAGTTTGTGAAAATTTTCTCCCACTCTGTGGGTGATCTGTTTACTCTGCTGATTATTTCCTATGCTGTGCAGGAGGCTTTTAGTTTAATTAAGTCCCATCTATTTATCTTTGTTTCTGTTGCATTTGCTTTTGGGTTCTTGGTCATGAACTGTTTGCCTAAGCCAATGTGTAGAAGCGTTTTCCAATGTTATCTTCTGAATTTTTATGGTTTCAGACCTTAGATTTAAGTCTTTGATCCATCTTGTGTTGATTTTTGTATAAGGTGAGAGATGAGGATCCAGTTTTATTCTTTTACATGTGGCTTGCCAATTATCCCAGCACTATTTGTTGTATAGGGGGTACTTTCCCTACTTTGTTTTTGTTTACTTTGTCGAAGATCAGTTGGCTGTTAAGTATTTGGCTTTATTTCTATGTTCTCTACTCTGTCCCATTGGTCATGTGCCTATTTTTATACCAGCACCATGCTGTTTTGGTGCCTATAGCCTTGTAATATAGTTTGAAGTTGGGTAATGTGATGCCTCTAGATTGGTTCTTTTTGCTTAGTTTTGTTTTGGCTATGCAGACTCTTTTTTAGTTCCAAATGAATTTTGGCATTTTTTTCTAGTTCTATAAAGAATGATGATGGTATATTGATAGGAATTGCATTGAATTTGTAGACTGCTTTTGGCAGTATGGTCATTTTCACAATATTGAGTCTATGCATCCATGAGCATGGAATGCGTTTCCATTTGTTTATGTCATCTATGATTTCTTTCAACAGTGTTTTGTAGTTTTCCTTGTAGGGGTCTTTCACTTCCTTGGTTAGGTATATTCCTACGTATTTTATTTTTACAGCTATTATAAAAGGGTTTGATTTGATTCTCAGCCTGGTAGATGTTGGTGTATAGCACTGCTACTGATTTGTGCACATAGATTTTGTATCTTGATAAATGGATTTATTGTATATTTCTAAATAGCAATAAGATTTGAAATATTCCCAACACAAAGAAATGATCAATGTTTGAGGTGATTAATATCCTAAAGACCCTGATTTGATCATTACACATTGCATGCATGTACCAGAATCTCACATGGACCCCATAAATGTGTACAATTATTCTCTATCAAAAACGTTTTTAAGAAACATGCAGGAATACACTGTACCTCTTCCTTGCTGTCTCTGGATATTGTCACAGGAGGACTTGACATGCGGATTGTGGCAGCCTCTGTGACCAAGAGCAGAAGACAATAGCAGCATAGAAACCTCAAATGAAAAACCTAACATCTCAAGCTACTAATTTAGCCAACCTTGGCATCAGCTATCTCTGGTCTTAGTACATGAGGTGATAAGCCCCCACTGTTCAAGTTGGGTGGCCATCAATTGCTGCAGAATAGAAGTTAATGAGGCTTCCTCCTCCTGGATCCCCTACTAGACCCTGACATACCCATTCAGTCACAGGCAGAAAGGGAAGCAGAGGGTAAGGAGACCTGGCTGGCTGTGCCAGACGCAGATCTTACCTGTCCTGCTTAGAACACTCAAAGCTCAATTGGTTAACAAAAAAAGGAAAAACACAGTAAGGAGTATAACACTCCCCAGATGCAACTTAATCTAACACTCTATACTTTAAATTTTCTGAACATACATAGAAATCAGACCACTACTTCTGCAGAACATTTTACTGGTAAAAAGAACAGCCCACATGAGGGAAAACTGATTTGGTGGAAAGACAACAGAAACAAAATATGGGAAATAGGTAAGGTGATAACATGGGGGAGAGGTTTTTCTTGTGTTTCACCAGGAGAAAATCAGCTTCCTGTTTGGATACTCACTAGACATTTGAAGTTCTACAATGAACCCATCAGAGATGCAAATGAAAGTGCCTCCGCAGAGACAGAAAACCCGTAATCGAGCATCATCGACTCGCAGGGTGAACAAAATGGTGATATCAGAAGAACAGATGAAGTTACCATCCACCAAGGAAACGGCACATGTGGAGAGCCAGGGAGAGGAAGAGAAAGAAAAAGAGACAGAGATCAGAGAGAGACACAGAAAGTGAGACTGGGGAGAGAGGTAGTGTAAAAGAGAGAGAGAGAGACTGTAAGAGAAGGGAGACAAAGATAAAAGGTGCGAGTCAGCAGGTGAGGAGAAAGACTGAAAACTATGAGAAATAGCAACTAAGACACAAAGGACATGGGAGACTGCCTGCGTGCCGCAGCACCCACACCGTCCTCTTGCCCCCTGTCACTTGGGTTAAGACCACTGGAAGTTCCACTATTGTAAATTTTGTATTAATCCTTGTATGTCTGTCCTTTGTATTGTTACTCTACAGGTGTATCCAGCAGCTCAAGAGAGACATCGACCAGCGAGAAGGGGCCATGATGATGGTGGTGGTTTTGTGAAAACGAAAAGGGGGATATGTAGGGAAAAGAAAGAGAGATCAGACTGTTACTGTGTCTACACAGAAAGGGAAGACATAAGAGACTCCATTTTGAAAAAGACCTGTACTTTAAACAATTGCTTTGCTGAGATGTTGTTAATCTGTAGCTTTGCCCCGGCCACCTTGCCCCCAACCACTTTGACCCAACCTGGAGCTCACAAAAACATGTGTTGTATGAAATCAAGGTTTAAGGGATGTAGGGCTGTGCAGGATGTGCCTTGTTAACAAAATGTTTGCAAGCAGTATACTTGGTAAAAGTCATCGCCATTCTCTAGTCTCAATAAACCAGGGGTACAATGCACTGTGGAAAGCCGCAGGGACCTCAGCCCTTGAAAGCTGGGTATTGTCCAAGGTTTCTCCCCATGTGATAGTCTGAAATATGGCCTCGTGGGATGAGAAAGACCTGACGGTCCCCCAGCCCGACAACCATAAAGGGTCTGTGCTGAGGTGGATTAGTCAAAGAGGAAAGCCTCTTGCAGTTGAGATAGAGGAAAGCCACTGTCTCCTGCCTGTCTCTGGGAACTGAATGTCTTGGTATAAAACCCGATTGTACATTTGTTCAATTCTGAGATGGGAGAAAAACCGCCCTATGGTGGGAGGCGAGACATGTTTACAGCAATGCTTCCTTGTTATTCTTTACTCCACTGAGATGTTTGGGTGGAGAGAAACATAAATCTGGCTTATGTACACGTCCAGTCATAGTACCTTCCCTTGAACTTCATTATGACATAGATTCTATTGCTCACATGTTTGTTGCTGACCTTCTCCTTATTATCACCCTGCCCTCCTACTACATTCCTTTTTGCTGAAATAATGAAGATAATAATCAATAAAAACTGAGGGAACTCAGAGGCCGTTGCCAGTGCAGATCCTTTGTATGTTGAGCGCCGATCCCCTGGGCCCACTGTTGTTTCTCTACACTTTGTCTCTGTGTCTTATTTCTTTTCTATCTCTCATCCCACCTGACTACAAATACCCACAGGTGTGGAGGGGCAGGCCACCCCTTCATTATGAGATTACAGGCATTAATAACCCCCCCTGGCCACCTAACTCACTCTTGAGAGGCCAGAAGTGATGCTGGAACTTTCTTCCTCTGTGGGTTAAAAAGGGAAAATTAGGGAGAACACAAGGCATGAAAGATGCAGCGATGGATATGTCTATATGGAGCTTCTGTCTGCATCCAGTAGAAAATTCATTTCTAGGCACCAGGTTTAAGAGCGAAAACCTGGAGTCTTGTCTGTTAGCATTCTCCTTCCCCACAAACCAGAGAGGGAATACATTTTGCTCCAGCACACCCGGATGTAGGAAATGTCACATTCCTATTTCTGTAACTTCAGTTAAATCTGCTCTGAGTTCCTGGATGCCTGGCAGGTGGAGAATTCAATCTTGTCATTACCAGCATTCCTTTCCCTTCTCCATGGGCTTACGTAAGAATTCTGGGCATACACACTGTTGGAAACCCTGGCAGGAACTACATCCCCCGAACTCTCCATTCTTCCAGCTGCTCATGATCCGTCAGCCTTTTTTGGGCCATCTGCTATAACAAGACCCTCCTCACAGCATCATTCCACTGACCCACAGGCTCAGCCCCAGGGACCCTCACTATAACAGGTCTCCACTATGCATAGGAACTCACAAAAACCTTCTCTTCATCTTGCCTTCCTCTGATATCCAGCCACTCCCCCACTTCTCACCTTAAACACAGATGGCAGCTCCTTCCCATCGTTCCAAGCCTTGGGGATTGTCCAGCCAAATTCTCTTCAGACACCAAAGCTTCACCCCGCCCTCTTCAGGGAGGTGATGCAAGGGCATCTGAGATCTTTGGAAGCCCAATTCTGGCCTCTCTTTGGGGTGGGCTGAGAGTGGGAACTAGATTCTCTTTTCCAAGTGCCATGTTTATCTTGTTCATCATTATATTATTTCCAATGCCTGGCACAGAGTAGGCACTACAGACTGAAACATAGTAGGTGCTATTAGTGTCTGCATAATGGGACTCTTGAGGTTGAAGCTATTAACAGAAACCTGCCAAGCAAAAGGATGGAAAACCAACCACCAAAAAAAAAAAAAAAAGAAAAGAAAAGAAAAGAAAACAATCGTGGCTTTGAGCTCTAAACACACAAGGCACCAGCCCAAGTTTGGGCAATTTTAATACAACAGCCACTTTGACTCCAAACAAACTGGCACTGGAAACCTCCCTCTGCCTCTTAAAGAGAACCAGTTTCTCTTTCTCTAAGTGGGCAGCATTTCTCCCCGGTGGCAGTACCCAGCCCACTGCCACCAGCAAAGGACTGCAGCCAGGAACCAAGAGCTTGATAGTTTAAAGAATGTATTTTATAGGGAAAAACAAAGTAACAGCCACATAAATCTGGAATTACCACCACTTTCCAGAGGCCGAATCCCATTTGTGGAGTCTCTTGCGTCTCAAGCACCTTGCAGTCAGCTCAACTACATACTTTTGGGATTCGTTGCAGAGAAGAGTGAAGGTTATCTGCAAAATAAAGGAACCAGGGCTCAGAATTCCCAGAGCAATCCATGACAGAGGAGGTGAGTAGAAAAGGGAAGGGTGAAGTCAAAGGAGAGAAGTCAATGAGTCGGCCAACACCAAGCAAGGACCATGGGACCCTCTCCCTGGCCCCACATCTCAAATGCAGTCAACAAAACCCATCAGTGCTTGGTGTAAGTGTTGTATGCTCCCAGAAATGAAAGCAGGGGCCACATTTCAGGTCAGTAGGGTCGGAGATAGAGGCAGCGGTCATGGACTTGTGGGCCCTGGAGGATGGGATGATTCTGAGACATTGAATCCCTACATTGATCTCAGTAGAAATCTCAGGTAGGGCTTCAACATTCGTGGACCAAGGACTCTGCGGGCCTGAGAGCAACAGCCTTGGTGCATGTCCCATCTCCATCAACCTCGACTGGGGCTTTGAACAAGTTACTTATTTTTTAAACTAACGTTATTTTAATTGACAAATCATAATTGTACACATTTATGTGATGTTTTGATATGTGTATACAATGTGGAATGATGAGATCAAACTAATTAACATGTCCATCCCCTAATTTACTGACAATTTTTATGATGAGACATTTGAAATGTACCCTCTTAGTTACTTTGAAAGATACATTATTATTGACTATAGTCACGCTGCTGTGCTATAGATTTCAAAGCATATAATCCAGCAACCCAACTTCTGGGTATAGTAAAAAAAAAAATCGAAATCAATATGTCGAAGGGATCCCTACGTTCCTATGTTCACTGCAGCACTATTCACAATACCCAAGATACAGAATCAACCTAAGTGTCCATCAGTGGATGAAAGGATAAAGCAAATGTACTATATACACCCAATGGAATACTATTAACCCTTAAAAAAGAAATAAATCCTGTCATTTTCAACAACATAAATAAACTTGAAAGACATTCTGTTAAGTGAAATAAGCCAGGCACAGAAAGACAAATACTGCATGATTTTACTTATATGTGGAATCTAAAGAAGTTGAACTCACAGAAATAGAGAGTAGGACAGTGGTTATCAGGGGCTGGGGTGGAGGAAAGGTAGGGGATAGGAGACACTGCTCAAAGGGTACAAAGTTTCCAATAGGAAGAATAAGTTTTGAAGAAGCTAAACTCTTCTGAAAGCTCAGTTGCTCATCTGTAGAGCAGGGACACATCATTAACCTTCTAAGGATGTTGCTGTGAGTAAGAGATGATGTTCAGCACAATACCTAACGCACAGTCAGGTCTCCTTAAGCTTGAACCTGCATCGCCATGACCTCTACATCTCAGGACAGAAAGGCTCACAGCCAGTGTATCAGTTCCCAGTGAAAAGTGGATCCCAGACCAGGCTGAACAGCAGGATCCCTAGGGGATACCCCACCCTACTGAGTCAGAATCACCAGAGGTAGAGCCTGGGTTTGTATGTATGTATGTATGTGTGTGTGTGTGTGTGTGTGTGTGTGTGTGTGTATGTATGTATGTATGTATGTATGTATGTATGTATGTATAAGAGACAGGGTCTTGCTCTGCAGTCCAGGCTGGAGTGCAGTGTCACAATCATAGTTCACTGCATCCTCAAATTACTCCTGTCCTCAAGCTATCCTCCCACCTCAGCTTTCAGAGTAGCTGAGATTACAGGCGCATGCCACCAAGCCCAGATACTTTTTTTTTTCTTCTTTCTTTTTGGAGAGAGTCTCACTCTGTTGCCCAGACTGGAGCGCAATGGTGCAATCTTGGCTCACTGCAACCTCTGTCTCCCAGGTTCAAGTGATTCTCATGCCTCAGCCTCCTGAGTAGCTAGGATTACAGGCATGCACCACCACACCAGGCTAATTTTGCTTTTTTCATTGTTGTTTCTTGTTTGTTTTTCACAAATAGTACTTCTTATTTGCCACTGTTTTAAGTCTGAACTTTAAACAGATTCTTGGACTGGTGGTTCATATCCATCAGCTCATTCAACTTTAGCATGTGTCTCATCCCTAGTGGGTTTTCCAAAACTACTACCGTCACCACGAAGCTCCATGCCTTTCAAACCCAGGGTTCTCCAGCATTTTTACTTTTCTAATGAAGACATCATGGAGAGGATAAATTGGCAAGCCTTTTCTACATCTTTGCCAATGTTGTCTGGAATCAATTTATTAACCACTTCTTTCAAGTCATTTGTCTGCACCTCTCAGGTCATGATTTCCATCATCTTCTTCTGGATTTGGCAGACTGTTGGTGCTGAGCATAAGAGGTCTTCAGTATCTGATTGTTGTGTTTTTTAGTAAAACCAACACAAAACAGATGAAAGAAGTAACCATCGGTAGTCTTGACATCAACATGAGCTTCAATCATTGTTGAACATTTTTCAACCATGGAACATATTTTGTCACAGGTAAGAACCATGCCATAGAAGTTAGTCAGGCAGTTTTTGCCCTGAACATCTTCAGTAATCAGCTTGAATTTTCTAAATGCAACTTCATCATTCTGCACATCAGCAAGACTCATTTCAAACACAAGACCCTTGAGACCATCAGATGCAATTTGGGTTCCTTGGGTCCTGGTGACCAAGTCTTTCCAATATTTCTTATATTGAACATAGCAGGTGCTTTCACATCATACTGATCTTTCTTAGAAAATGGATCAACTGTTTTCTTCTTAACTCCCTTTTTGCCACCTTTCATAAGGCACTTGTTCTTAACAACCGCCATGGTGCTGCTCAGAGTACCAAAAGGCTAAATTTTTTATTTTTCATAGAGATGGGGTTTCACCACGTTGGCCAAGCTGGTCTTGAACTCCTGATGTCAGGAGATCTGCCCGCCTCAGCCTCCCAAAGTGCTGGGATTACAGGTGTGAGCCACTGCACTCAGCTGATATTTATTTTTTCTTTTTTTGTAGAGAAAGGGTCTTGCCATGTTGCCAAGGCTTGCCTGGAACCCCTGGCCTCAAGCAATCCTCCCACCGCAGCCTCCCAAAGCACTGGGATTTCAGGTGTGAGCCACCATGCCCAGCCTGGAATCTATTTTTAAAGCCAATCAAGTGTTGAATAAAATTGCAACTTGGGCTGTCTTTTCTTTGCATTTTTTACATTTCAATGGTTTTTAATATATTCAGAGATATACGCAAACATTACCAGTCAATTTTAGAACATTTCATGACCTCAAAAAGAAACCTCATACCCTTTAGCTAACACCCCCTATCCTCCCATGCCCCTACCAGCCCTAAGCAACCACTAATCGACTTCCTATTTCTATAGATTTTCATCTGAATGAAATCATGTAGAATGTGATCTTTCATCTGTTTTGAAGGTTCATCCACGCTGTAGTGTATGTACTTTCCTCCTTTTTGTGATCAAATAATACTCCACCATGTGGGTAGACAACAGTCGGTGTATCTCTTCATCTGGTGATGGGCATTTGGATTAATTCCCTCTTTGGGTTATTAGGAGTGATGCTACTGTAATTATTCATGTACAAATTTTTGTGTGGGCCTGTGCTTTCATTTTTGAATATGAAAATATGGCACATCTCCACGGAAGACATATAAGTGGCCAATAAGCACATGAAAAGATGCTTAATGAAATTCATCATCAGGGAAACAGAAATCAAAACCACAATGCAATACCACGTCATACCCATAAGCATGGCTAGAATCAAAGATAGAGAAAATTGGTCTGGTGCAGTGCCTAATGCCTGTAATCCCTGCACTTCGGGAGACCGAGGCAGGTGGATCACCTGAGGCCAGGAGTTTGAGACCAGCCTGGCCAACATGGTGAAACCCTGTCTCTACTAAAAAAATACACAAATTAGCCAGGCATGATAGCAGGTGCCTATAATCCCAGCTACTCGGGAGGCTGAGGCAGGAGAGTAACTTGAATCTGGGAGGCAGAGGTTGCAGTGAGCTGAGATTGTGCCACTGCACTCCAGCCTGGGCGACAGAGCAAGACTTTGTCTCAAAAAAAAAAAAAAAATACAGAAAATAACAAGTGTTGGTGAGGATGCAGAGAAACTAGAACCTTCATACACTGCTGGAAGGAATTAAAATGGTGTAGCCACTGTGAGAAACACTTTAACAACTTCCCAAACAATTCTACATAGAGTTACCAAATGACGCAGCAATTGTGCTCCTAGGTATAGGTCCAACTTGGGCTCTTTTAATCTGTGGAAAATGAACTGTGGGTACTTGGCAAGAACAAAGAGGGAAAGAGGCAGAAATGGTGCTATGAGGGCACATTGATTGGACTCTAGTACACACGGTTCCTACTGCAAATGGTCTCTAAATGACTTCATCAGTTGCTCATAAAAAAAATCACCCTCTGCTCCAATCATGGAGGAAGAAGTATGGATTGGACCTGGTGAGCCACGGTAAGACTGACTGCTAAACTTTATGAATGATGAGGGGATTTGCACGTATAATCTTGACTGTACTAGATTTTTTATTTTATCCACTGTCTTTGAAAACCTAACTCTTGACTAAGAACTGACTTTCCTGAAGTTGTTGTTGACTCTAAGTAAATTTCCAATTCCACATAGCCCAAAGATAATGTGATGAAAAATCTCTCAAAGGAAAAATGCTAAGAATACAGGAACAGTTATACGGCAAATTTTGCAGAATTAACACAAATTGTACTTGTAGGTACGAAGCACAAAACATTTTCATGGGTAAAGAAAAGAGTGCTCTTCACTCTAGTAGAGGCTGCAGGATGAAGCTGATCAAGGTGCTTGCCCAGCCAGGCCTTGGGCTCTTACCAAGTTTGTGTTAGAGTCAACTCTGATGGAGTCTCTATCCCAGTCATCTTTTTTTTTGACATGGAATCTCGCTCTGTCTCCCAGGCTGGAATGCAGCGGTGTGATCTCAGCTCACTGCAACATCTGCCTCCTGGGTTCAAGCAATTCTCCTGCCTCAGCTTCCCAAGTAGCTGGGACTACATGTGCATGCCACCATGCCTGGCTAAGTTTTGTATTTTTAGTAGAGACATTTCATCACGTTGGCCAGGCTGTGCTCAAACTCCTGCCCTCAAGTGATCCGCCTGCCTTGGCCTCCCAAAGTGCTGGGATTACAGGCATGAGCCACCATGCCCAACCTCAGTCATCTTTTTATCCTCCACACCTGGCAAGTTCTAGACTCACTGTGGTTCCATACAAGTTTGTTGAATAAATAGGAGACAGATAGAAAGTGGGAACTCTGGAAGTAGAGAAGATTCCAGAAATTGTGCATATTTCCCAGAGACTGTGGCCAAATTCCTCAGTCCTGCCAGAGTTTCTCTATCTCAACTCAAACCTTATGAGTGGTCCCAGGCGCAGTGGCTCACACCTGTAATCCCAACACTTTAGGAGGCTGAGGTGGGCAGATCACTTGAGGCCAGGAGTTTGAGACCAGCCTGGCCAACGTGGTGAAACCCTGTCTCTACTAAAAATACAGAAATTAGCCAGGCATGGTGGTGTGCATCTGTAGTCCCAGCTACTCGGGGGGCTGAGGCACAAGCATTGCTTGAACCCAGGAGGCAGAGGTTGCAGTGAGTCACAATTATGCCACTGTACTCTAGCCTGGGCAATAAAGCAAGACTGTCTCAAAAGAAAAAAAAAACCCTTATGTGTGGGCCTTGTTACAGAATTAATGTTTATATGGACAATATGTACATGGGTGTATGTTAAGAGCATGAGTCATCCACAAGATTTTAGCAAAGTCCATTTAGAAATCTCAATGCTTTGGGCTTCCAATTGCTTTGCTGCCTCTGTCCTCAGAAGGAGGCCTCATCCTTGCATGTAACCAGCAAATCCTTTATGCAGAGGTGTACACAACACAGTCCTCTCCTTGGCTATGACACCTTGAAAGGCTCCTCTTGGTGGCCCCTGGTGCTCATTTCAGAGTAGTTCAAATTAAGGTGATCAGCTTTCATTCCAATCACTCTACAAATCACTCCTATTATGACCAATTTTTCTAAATGCTTTATTGAATTATTACTTAAAGAAATGTGCACACAGAAGAGGTCAACACAGTACTTTTCTTAAAAACCAAACATACTGCCCAGAAGCAGTGGCTCATGCCTGTCATCCCAGCACTTGGGGAGGCCAAGGTGAGCAGATTGCTTGAGCCCAGGAGCTCGAGACCAGCCTGGGCAACGTAGTGAGACCCCCCTCTCTACAAAAAATAAATAAATACAAAAATTAGGCAACAGTGATGGCACATGCCTGTAGTTCCAGCTACTCAGGAGGGCTGAGGTGGGAGGACTGCTTGAGCCCAGGAGGCAGAGGCAGCAGTGAGCCATGATGGTGCCACTGTGCTCCAGCCTGGGTGACAGAGCAAGATCCTGCCTCAAAACAACAACAACAACAACAACAACAACAACAAACCTGAACATCTCCATATTACCGACACCCAATTCAAGAAACAAAATATTGCAGCCCCTTCCAGGATATTCCTGGGGTCTCTTCCATCTCTACTAACCCCTGACTACAAACAGCCTCCACCTATTTCACCTGACATTGTACTTTATGAAAGCAGCAGTTCTCAGATGGGGCTATTTTGCCCTATGGGGACATTAGGCAATATCTGGAGACGCTGGGGTTTGTCTCTACTTGGGGGGAGTTGTGTTACTGCATCCAGTGAGTCCAGGGATCCAGGGATGCCGCTCAACATCCTAAAATGCACAGGGAACCCCCACACATAGAACAGAGAAATTGCTGAGCCAAAATGTCAGCAGTGTCACAGCTGACACCCTGACATACACACAATCACACACTGTCTGCTCTTTCGTGCTCAGGATCTCTTTCATTCTAATCATCTCATAGGAAACAGAAATGTCATCTGGAGGTAGGTAGAGTCCAAAACAAAGAAGATCCAGAGTTTTTTTTTTTTTTTAATCAGCCTGGTGTCTTTAGAGCTAGGATTTAGTTTCCATTCTTTCTGTCTCATTTTCAAGTGATTTTTCTTCAAATGGCATCTGCTGGGCTCAAGACCTGGAGATCCCCACAAAGCTGAGATTCACATGGGAATTTTTTACACACCCACACAGGTATACACTGCCATTTACATGCAGACATCCACCCACAGATACACACATCCGGAGACCAAGACAGAAAGCAAACTCCACCATAAAAGCACGGTTCCCCAAACACGAGAAATGCACCATTCACTCCAGGGAGGTACCTATTTGTTTAATTCAGCCTCTGATAGTCAGGCTGTTGCCAAGCCCATCTCTGAAAGTCTTCCCCTCTAGGAAAGAGAGATGGATTTTTTCTTTACTCAAGAATATAGATCTAAAAAAAACAAACACTTCTGCATCTCAAAGCAGGCTCTACCTCCTGAGCTACACATATCGATCAGCATTTTATTGCCAATTTTCTTTTATTTGAACTGGAGAAAATTATAACCTAATTATGTTCTTACTGACACTTTGGAATCAGTTACACTAAATCCAATTCTTTGGGTTCTCATGATTAATTTGTTGAATTTGGGGGACAACAAAGCAAAATCATTGGTCGTGTTTTAATATAATTAGTACAGGATATATCTAAGGGGTTCAAGTATCACTGTAGCAAGAAGCTCATTCTGCAGTAAAAGGGGGATTCTGCCACTAGGATTGAGTGAGGGTGGTTCATGGCTGCACCGTTTCATCAATGTCTCTTCAAGAGTCCATGGAATGTGGAATGGGAAAGACTGAAATAGTCCAAGTTTTGGCTAAGCTTCTATTAAGGGGTGTTAGGAGCTGATAAAATAACCTGGTCTTTATAGACATCCACACTATAGTTCTCTAAGCTACAGATTCTCAGATTTTTCTATTTTATAAACCAGTAAAAATATTTTTTTAATTTGAGAACCAACATAAGGTTGCAATTTTTTTTTCTTTTTGGTAAGAAGGAACTTTTTTAAACTACCAGTTTCACACACACACACACACACACACACACACACACACACACACACACACACACAAATTCCACCATGATTGGTCAGAATAGGTGAGGTTTTGCTGCAATAACAAACAACTCCTAAATCTTGGTAACTTCAAACATCAGAAGTTGTTTTTCTCAGTCATGTTACATCTGCAGGGAGGTAAGGGGTGCTCTGTTTTCCATCAAACTTGCCCTAAGACTAAGGCTAATGGGGGTTGCATTACCTCGAGTATCACCAAGCAGGGAACAGAGGGAGAAGAATGCTAGAGAGTCTTGTACTAAGAATTAAATGCCCTAGGCTAGAAGTCTCACACTACACCTCTGCCCCCAGCCTCTTGGCCAGAACTAGCCACAACCCCTCCCCCACCACAGGGCAATGCATGCAGACAGGAGAATTGGATACATTACAAATTTCTACCCCATGGCATTTCATAAAAGGGAAAAAAATGCAAATACAAAAATGTTTTAAAAGAATAGAATATATACATTTTTAGAATACAGAACAATCCTCCAAAAAGGACAGCTGGTGGTCTTTCACCAATGGGCACATTTCTGTGACATTTTCTCTGTTTTTCCATTTTATCCTTGACCTATGAACATTTTATACAGATGGTCCAAAGAACACCATTTGGGGACCACTGCTCTAATCAGGTGATGAAAATGGCCCCAAGAACAGAGCACACTTTCTTTAGCAAAGACCCAGCAGGGCCAGGGTGACCATGTTCTCACCATCAATGTGCAGACATCCACCTGCAGCATCCTCACATCCCAACATCAAACAGTGGCTCTTTATAGCTTGATTCTAATGCCCTTTGATCTTCATAATCACTGTAAAGCTCTCTGGCCCCAAGATCTAACATCGCCACTCTAGCTACATCCCGCAACTGTTCACCTCTCCTGCCTCCTCATCCCTCTAAACTTCTCTTCACAACCTCATGTTTCCTTCTTGCTTTACCTTCCTGCTCAGCCTGGACCTTACAGTCACCTTCTTCTTGTAATGTGCTCCTAAACTCGTTCTTCCCTGCTTTCAACCACACCCACCTGGAAAATCTCCATACCCCATTGATGACTTGCCTCGCAACTGCCTAAGGGCTGCTGAATGATACTGGAGAGAATCACATCATGGATCTTGTAGTTCCACTAAATAATCTCACCATCCAACTCTAGGATAGACTTCACTTCTGTTCAGCAATATTTTTAAGCATCACAAATAAATTCCAAACCATATTTGCTATAACAATTGACTTTTAACCTCTTCCATATCTCAAAGCCCCCCAAACCCATCCCTAGGGGTTTCAGAGCCCAGAGTTGAGTTCTCTCAACTCACTTCCATCTCACCCCTAGATCACTGTATCTTGACCCTCTTCCTCTGCCTTTCCCATCTTATAAGGAGAAACATCCTTCTCCTTTCCCAAGCTACCTTCTCCACTTGTGTCTCATTTGAGACCTCCCTTTATCACCCATTCCCTTGGAACTCCCATGACTCACCACCTTCACTTGTCATTTCACTCATAAATATTTTTCACGATGTATGTGCCAGGCGTTTAATATATAATCATGCTTAAGTCTCCACATGCTAACAAGAAAAACCTTGATTATCCCTGCTATGCCCTCAAGTCATTACCCTCCCCGCTCCTTTCCTGTGTTCCCAAACTTTGTTGATCTTCATCAATCCCTCTGATGCAGATGGCTCCGAAGTTTGCACCCTATTAGGTTGGTGCAAAAGTAATTGTGGATTTTGCCATTAAAAGTAATGGCAATCATAGCAATTATTTTTGTACCAGCCTAGTATCTTTTCTCCTTCTACCAAACTTTGTCCCTGAGCCATCTCATCACCTATAACTACCTCCTCCATGCAGTTGATTCCCAGATCTGTATTATTCTACTGAAAGTCCATTACCAAACTTTCTCAGCTAGAATAACAGAAGCCCAGTTAGAATTCATGATACCATTTTCCCACCACCACCACCACCACAACCATCGCCCTGTCATTGTTAGCAAAACCATCTCTTCAGTGGAGCTCAAAGATTTGTAATCTCCCACTCCCCAGAAAGATAACTTCAGACTCAGCCTAGAAGTAAGGATCCTCCAGATATGGCCTCAATGACCCTCCAACCCATGTCCCCAGTGCATCCCTTTGATGCCCCCTTCAGTGGAGTCAAAATGGAGTGAGTGTTTTTCTTTTCACATACTCCTGGTGTTCTTCCACGAATACAATTTTCACCTCTTGAATATTTTCAAGGATTCTCCATGCTACACACAGTGAAATCCAAACTCCCCATCAGGACCCCAGTCTTCCCAAAACCTCTTTGCACTTTTCTGCCTCCACACTTTTCCTTGGGTCATCCTCTTCTCTAATATAACCTTGTGTATTACTCTAGGTTCTCCAGAGAAAGAGCAGAGAGATAGAGGTAGAGCTATACACATAGAGACAGATTGATTTGTTGTAAGGGATGGCTCACATGGTTATGGAGGCTAAGGAGTCCTGGAGTCTGCAGCCAGCAAGCTGGAGACCCAGGACAGCCAATGATATAGTTCCAACTCGAGTCCACATCTAAAGTCAGGAAAAGATTGATGTCCCAGCTCAAATATAATCAGGAAAAAAGAGCAAATTCTCTGTGACTCCACCTTTTTGTTTTGTTCAGGCCTTCAGTGGATTGGATGAGGCTCACCCATATTGGGGAGGACAATCTGCTTTATTCAGTCTACCAATTAAATGTTATCTTCATCCAGAATACCTCAGAGACACACCCAGACTAATGTGTAGCCAAATATCTGGGCACCCCACAACCCAGTCAAATTGATACATAACATTAACCATCATGTCTTGCTTCTACTCTCTCCCCATTACTGCATGTCCAAATCCTTCTCTTATTTCAAGGCTTAGTTCAAATGTCACCTCTTAACTAAGCCTTCCCTGCTAACCCCAAATATTAATAGAATTGGTTTCTCCCTTCTCTGATATCTCAAAATACTTTGTGTGTTTCTCTTTTACTGTATTTATTACAAACTCCCTTATAAATTGAGACAGTGATTCCCAGACAAATTATCAAAAGAGTATAAAAGAAGCCTTCTTTGAGTGTGAAATATCTCATGGAATTTAGCACATGGCCTCTTCATGAAGAAACTACTGGGAGAGAAGAAGACAAGCTGGAAGAGGCCAGGGAAAGGGGGTTAGTACAAGGGAGGTTAGTACAAAACTTTTCTTCGTCTCTCATCCTACCCGACTAGAAATACCCACAGGGGTGGAGGGGCAGGCCACCCCTTCATCTGGCGCCCAATGTGGGGCCTTTCTCTAGGGTAAAGGTACGATAAGAACATGAGCATTGAGGACAGCCGACAAGAGATTCCCGAGTACGTCCACAGTCAGCCTTGCAGTAAGCTTGTGCGCTCGGAGGAATCCAGGGTAACAATGGGGCAAACTGAAAGTAAATATGCCTCTTATCTCAGCTTCATCAAAATTCTCTTAAGAAGAGGGGGAGTTAAAGCTTCTACAGAAAATTTAGTTACGCTATTTCAAACAGTAGAACAATTCTGCCCATGGTTTCCAGAACAGGGAACTTTAGATTTAAAAGATTGGGAAAAAATTGGCAAAGGACTAAAACAAGCAACTCGGGAAGGTAAAATCATCCCACTTACAGTATGGAATGATTGGGCCATTACTAAAGCAACTTTAGAACCATTTCAAATAGAAGAAGATAGCATTTCAGTCTTTGATGCCCCTGAAAGCTGTGTAATAGATTGTGAAGAAGAGGCAGGAACAGAGTTTAAGAAAGGAATGGAAAGTCCACATTGTAAAAATGCAGTACAGCCTGTAATAGCTCAGTCAATGCAAAATGTTGACTATAATCAGTTACAGGAAGCAATATATCCTGAAACATCAAAATTGGGGAAAGGAGGTCCAGAATTATTTGGGCCATCAGAGTTTAGACCATGATGGCCACCATCTCCTTCTCCCGCGGTTCAGATACCTGTGACATCACAATCTCAAATGCTAATCCAGGCACAGTATCCACAATAGCAGGCAGTAGAAAATAAAACCCAACCATCGGTAGTTTATCAACACCAGCCGCCAGCCGAATTTCAGTATCGGCCGTCTCCAGAGGTTCAGTATGGATCTCAGGTGGTGCGTCCTGTGCTAAATAGCAAGACACTATATCAACAACCCACGGCGATGGCGTTTGATCCTACAGCACCACCTAGTGGACAAGATGGTGCACTGCATGAGACCATTGCTACAGCCAGAAAACAGGGAGATCTTGAGGCATGGCAGTATCCGGTAATTTTACAACCCATACCGGCCAGAAAAGGGAGTCAAACAGGAGCATCTGTCTGAACTGAGGCTAGATATGAATCTTTCACCATGAAAATGTTAAAAAATTTAAAGGAAGGATTTAAACAATATGGACCCAACTGTCCTTATATGAGAACATTATTAGATTCCATTGCTCATGGAAATAGACTTATTCCTTAAGATTGGGAAATTTTGGTTAAATCTTCCCTCTCACCCTCTCAGTATCTACAGTTTAAAACCTGGTGGATTGATGGGGTACAAGAACAGGTATGGAAAAATCAGGCTATTAATCCTGTTGGTTATATAGATGCAGATCAGTTGCTAGGAACAGGTCCAAATTGGGTCACTATTAACCAACAATCAGTAATGCAGAATGAGGCTATTGAACAACTAAGGGCTATTTACCTCAGGGCCTGGGAGAAGATTCAGGACCCAGGAACCTCCTGCCCTTCTTTTAGTTCAATCAGACAAGGCTCTAAAGAGCCATATCCAGACTTTGTGGCAAGGTTGCAAGATGCAGCTCAAAAATGCATTGCAGATAATAACGCCCGAAAAGTTATTGTAGAAATAATGGCTTATCAAAATGCAAATCCAGAATGTCAATCGGCTATAAAGCCATTAAAAGAAAAGGTTTCAGCAGGAGTTGATGTAATTACAGAATATGTGAAGGCTTGTGATGGGATTGGAAGAGCTATGCATAAAGCAATGTTAATGGCTCAAGCAATTACAGGGGTTGCTTTAGGAGGACAAGTTAAAACATTTGGGGGGAAACTGTTATAACTGTGGTCAAATCGGTCATCTAAAAAATTGTCCAGGCTTAAATAAACAGAGCAAAAAAAAGGAGGCACCTGGCCTGTGTCCAAGATGTGGAAAAGGAAAACGTTGGGCTAAGGAATGTTGTTCTAAATTTGATAAAAATGGACAACCATTGTCGGGAAACGGGAAGAGGGGCCAGCCCCAGGCCCCACAACAAAGTGGGGCATTCCCGATTCAGCCATTTGTTCCTCAGGGTTTTCAGGGACAACAACCCCCACAGTAAATACCACCATTTCAGGAAATCAGCCAATTACAACAATACAAGAGTTATCCCCCGCCACAGCAGGCAGTGCTGCAGTAGATTTATGTTCACTCAGATTATTTCTTTACTCCCTGGAGAGCCTCCGCAAAAGATTCCTACAGGGGTATATGGCCCGCTGCCAGAAGGGATGGTAGGCCTTATTTTAGGAAGATCAAGTCTAAATTTAAAGGGAGTCCAAATTCATACTGGGGTAATTGATTCAGATTATAAAGGGGAAATTCAGTTAGTGATCAGCTCTACTGTTCCCTGGAGTGCCAATCCAGGTGAGAGAATTGCTCAATTACTGCTCTTGCCTTATATTAAAATTGGAGATAGCAAAACAGAAAGAACAGAAGGGTTTGGAAGTACCAACCCTGCTGGAAAAGCTGTTTATTGGGCTAGTCAGCTCTCAGAGAATAGACCCTTGTGTACAGTTACTATTCAGGGAAAGCAGTTTGAAGGATTAGTGGATACTGGGGCTGATGTTTTTATCATTGCCTTAAATCAATGGCCAAAAAATTGGCCTAAACAAAAGCCCGTTGCAGGACTTGTTGGTGTGGGCACTGCCTCAGAAGTGTATCAAAGTGCCAAAATTTTACATTGTCTGGGACCTGATAATCAAGAGAGTACAGTTCAGCCTATGATTACTTCTATTCCAATTAATTTATGGGGCCGAGACATATTAGAACAGTGGCATTCAGAGATTACTATTCCAGTCTCCCTATACAGCGCCACTAGTCAAAAAATTATGACTAAAATGGGATATCTCCCTGGCAAAGGACTAGGGAAAAATGGAGAAGGCATTAAAGTTCCAATTGAGGCTAAAGAAAATACAGAAAAAAAGGGATTAGAGTATCCTTTTCAGGAGTGGCCACTGTAGAGCCTCCAAAACCCATTCCATTAACTTGGAAAATAGAAAAGCCTGTATGGGTAAATCAGTGGCCACTACCAAAACAAAAGCTGGAGGCTTTACACTTATTGGCAAAGGAACAATTAGAAAAGGGACATATTGAGCCATCATTTTCGCCTTGGAATTCTCCTGTGTTTGTAATTCAGAAAAAATCATGCAGATGGCACATGCTAACTGATTTAAGAGCCGTTAATGCAGTAATTCAATCCATGGGGCCTCTCCAACCTGGGCTGCCCTCTCCAGCCATGATTCCCAAAGATTGGCCTTTAATTATAATTGATCTGAAGGATTGCTTTTTTACCACTCCTCTGGCAAAACAGGATTTTGAAAAATTTGATTTTACTATACCAGCTATAAATAATAAAGAACCAGCCACCAGATTTCAGTGGAAGGTGTTGCCTCAGGGAATGGTTAATAGTCCAACTATTTGTCAGACTTTTGTAGCTCAAGTTCTTCAACCAGTTAGAGACAAGTTTTCAGACTGTTATATCATTCATTGTGTTGATGATATTTTGTGTGCTGCAGAAACAAGAGACAAATTAATTGACTGTTACACATTTCTGCAAGCAGACGTTGCAAACGCAGGCCTGACAATAGCATCTACTAAGATTCAGACCTCCACTCCTTTTCATTATTTGAGAATGCAAGTAGAGGAAAGAAACATTAAACCACAAAAAGTAGAAATAAGAAAAGACACATTAAGAACATTAAATGGCTTTCAAAAATTGATAGGAGATATTAATTGGATTCGGCCAACTTTAGGCATCCCTACTTATGCCATGTCAAACTTGTTCTCTATCTTGAGAGGGGATCCAGACTTGAATAGTAAAAGAATATTAACCCCAGAGGCAAATAAAAAAATTAAATTAGTTGAAGAAAAAAAATCAGTCAGCACAAGTAAATAGAATAGATCACTCAGCCCCACTCCAACTTTTAATTTTTGTTACTGCACATTCTCCAACAGGCATTATTGTTCAAGATACAGATCTTGTAGAGTGGTCATTCCTTCCTCACAGTACAATTAAGACTTTTACATTGTACTTAGATCAAATGGCTACATTTGATCAGGCAAGATTACGAATTCGTAATCAGGCAAGTTTACGAATTCGTAATCAGGCAAGATTACGAATAGTAAAATTGTGTGGAAGTGACCCAGATAAAATCATTGTTCCTTTAAATAAGGAACAGGTTAGACAAGCCTTTATCAATTCTGGTGCATGGCAGATTGGTCTTGCTGATTTTGTGGAAATTACTGATAATCATTACACAAAAGCAAAAATCTTCCAGTTTTTAAAATTGACTACTTGGATTTTACCTAAAATTACCAGACATAAACCTTTAGAAAATCTTCTGACAGTGTTTACTGATGGTTCCAGCAATGGAAAAGAGGCTTACACTGGACCAAAAGAACGAGTCATTGAAACTCAATATCACTTAGCTCAAAGAGCAGAATTGGTTGCTGTCATTTCAGTGTTACAAGATTTTAATCAGCCTATTAACATTGTTTCGGATTCTACATATGTAGTACAGGCTACCAAGGATATTGAGACAGCTCTAATCAAATATAGTATGGATGATCAGTTAAATCAGCTGTTTAAATTGTTACAACAAACTGTGAAAAAAGAAAGTTCTCATTTTATATTAGTCACATTCGAGCACATACTAATTTACCAGGGCCTTTAACTAAGGCAAATGAACAAGCTGATTTGCTAGTATCATC
The DNA here is from genome assembly GCF_000001405.40 of Homo sapiens. Lineage (NCBI taxonomy): Eukaryota > Metazoa > Chordata > Mammalia > Primates > Hominidae > Homo > Homo sapiens. Next base: position 75,556,095 of record NC_000003.12, read on the forward strand.
TGCCTTCATGGAAGCACAAGAACTTCATATCCTGACTCATGTAAATGTAACAGGATTAAAAAACAAATTTGATATCACATGGAAACAAGCAAAAAATATTGTACAACATTGTGCTCAGTGTCAAGTCTTACACCTGCCCACTCAAGAGGCAGGAGTTAATCCCAGAGGTTTATGTCCTGATGCACTATGGCAAATGGATGTTACACATGTACCTTCATTTGGAAAATTGTCATTTGTCCATGTAACATTGATACTTATTCACATTTCATATGGGCAACCTGTCAGACAGGAGAAAGTACTTCCCATGTTAAAAGACATTTATTATCTTGTTTTGCAGTCATGGGAGTTCCAAAAAAAATTAAAACAGATAATGGGCCAGGATATTGTAGTAAAGCATTTCAAAAATTTTTAAATCCATGGAAAATTGCACATACAACAGGAATCCCTTATAATTCCCAAGGACAGGCCATAGTTGAAAGAACTAATAGAACACTCAAAGCTCAATTGGTTAAACAAAAAAAGGAAAAAGACAGTAAACAGTATAACACTCCTCAGATGCAACTTAATATAGCACTCTGTACTTTAAATTTTTTAAATATATATAGAAATCAAACCACTACTCCTGCAGAATAACATTTTACCGGTAAAAAGAACAGCCCACATGAGGAAAAACTGATTTGGTGGGAAAATAACAAAAATAAAACATGGGAAATAGGTAGAGTGATAACATGGGGGAGAGGTTTTACTTGTGTTTCACCAGGAGAAAATCAGCTTCCTGTTTGGGTACCCACTAGACATTTGAAGTTCTACAATGAACCCATCAGAGATACAAAGGAAGGCGCCTCTGCAGAGACAAAAAACCCACAATCGAACATCATCGACTCGCAGGATGAATAAAATGGTAATATCAGAAAAACAGATGAAATTGCCATCCACCAAAAAGGTGGAGCTGCCGACCTGGGCCCAGCTAAAGAAGCTGACACAGTTAGCTAAAAAAAGCCTGGAAAACACAAGGGTAACACAAACTCCAGAGAATATGCTGCTTGCAGCTTTAATGATTGTATCAACAGTGGTAAGTCTCCCTACGTCTGTGGGAGCCGCTAGAGCTAACTATACTTACTGGGCCTATGTGCCTTTCCCACCCTTAATTCGGGCAGTCACTTGGATAGATAATCCTATTGAAATATATGTTAATAACAGTGTATGGGTACCAGGCCCCACAGATAACCGTGGCCCTGCCCAACCTGAAGAAGAAGGAATGATGATAAACATTTCCATTGGGTATCATTATCCTCCTATTTGCTTGGGAAAAGCACCAGGATGCTTAATGCCTACTATCCAAAATTGGTTGGTAGAAGTACCTACTGTCAGTGGCACCAGTAAATTTACTTATCATGTGATAAGTGGAATGTCACTCGGGTCACAAATAAATAATTTACAAAATTCTTCCTATCAAAGATCATTAAAATTTAGGCCTAAAGGGAAACCATGCCCCGAGGAAATTCCAAAAGAATCAAAAGACCCAAAAGTCTTAGTTTAGGAAGAATGTGTGGCTGATACTGCAGTGGTACTACAAAACAATAAGTTTGGAACTATTATAGACTGGGCCCCTCGAGGCCAGTTATATTATGATTGTATGGGCCAGACCCACTCGTGTTCACAGGCTCTATCTGTCTGGCCCCCTAATCCAGCCTATAATAGTGATTTAACTAAAAAACTAGACCAAGTTTATAGAAGGCTAGAATGACCCTATCCATGGAAATGGGGTGAAATGGGGATTTCATCACCCCGACCAAAGTTAGTTAGTCCTGTTGTTGTTCCTGAACACCCAGAATTATAGAAGCTTACTGTGGCCTCATACCACACTAGAATTTGGTCTGAAAATCAAGTTATGGGAACAAAAAATCATAAGCCATATTATACTCTTAACCTAAATTCCAATCTGACAATTCCTTTGCAAAGTTGTGTAAAACCCCCTTATATGCTAGTTGTAGGAAACATAGTTATTAAACCAGATTCCCAAACTATAACCTGTGAAAATTGTAGATTGTTTACTTGCATTGATTCAACTTTTGATTGGCAGCATCGTATTCTGTTAGTAAGGGCAAGAAAAGGTGTGTGGATCCCTGTGTCCATGGACCGACCGTGGGAAGCTTCTCCATCTGTACACATCTTAACAAAAGTATTAAAAGGAGTTCTAACCAGATCTAAAAAATTCATTTTTACTTTGATTGCAGTGATTATAGGTCTTATTGCAGTCACAGCTACTGCTGTGGCTGCTGGAATTGCTTTACACTCCTCTGTTCAAACTGCAGAATATGTGAATAAATGGCAAAAGAATTCCTCAAAAGTGTGGAATTCTCAGACTCAAATAGATCAAAAATTGACAAATCAAATTAATGATCTTAGACAAACTGTTATTTGAATGGGAGATAGGCTCATGAGCTTGGAATATCTTTTTCAGTTACAGTGTGACTGGAATATGTCAGATTTTTGTATTACACCTCAAGTCTATAACGAATCTGAACATCACTGGGACATGGTTAGACACCATCTACAGGGAAAAGAAGATAATCTTACCTTAGATATTTCTAGATTGAAAAAACAAATTTTTAAAACATCAAAAGCCCAGTTAAATCTGGTGCCAGAAACTAAGGCAATGGTAAAAGTTGTTAATAGCCTCACAAATCTTAAGCCTGTCACTTGGATTAAAACTATTGGAAATTCCACTATTGCAAATTTTGCATTAATCCTTGTATGTCTGTCCTCTCTATTGTTAGTCTACAGGTGTATCCAGCAGCTACGGAGAAACAGCGACCAGCGAGAACGGGCCATGATGACGATGGCGGTGTTGTCAAAAAGAAAAGGGGGAAATGTAGAGAAAAGAAAGAGGGATCAGACTGTCACTGTGTCTATGCAGAAAGGAAAGACATAAGAGACTCCATTTTGAAAAAGACCTGTACTTTAAACAGTTGCTTTGCTGAGATGTTGTTGATTTGTAGCTTTGCCCCAGCCACTTTGACCCAGGCACTTTGGCCCAACTTGGAGCTCACAAAAACATGTGTTGTATAAAATCAAGGTTTAAGGGACCTAGGGCTGGGTAGGACGTGCCTTGTTAACAAAATACTTACAAGCAGTATACTTGGTAAAGGTCATTGCCATTCTCTAGTCTCAATAAACCAGGGGCACAATGCACTGTGGAAAGCTGCAGGGACCTCTGCCCTTGAAAGCAGTGTATTGTCTAAAGTTCCTCCCCATGTGATAGTCTGAAATATGGCCTTGTGGGATGAGAAAGACCTGACTGTCCCCCAGCCCGACACCCGTAAAGGGTCTGTGCTGAGGTGGATTAGTAAAAGAGGAAAGCCTCTTGCAGGTGAGATGGAGGAAGGTCACTATCTCCTTCTTGCCCCTGGGAACTGAATGTCTCGGTGTAAAACCCGACTGTACATTTGTTCAACTCTGAGATAGGAGAAAAGTTGCCCTGTGGCGGCAGGTGAGACATGTTTACAGTAATACTGCCTTGTTACTCTTTACTCCACTGAGATGTTTGGTTGGAGAGAAAGATAAATCTGGCCTACGTGCACATCCAGGCATAGTACTTTCCCTTGAACTTAATCATGATATAGATTCTTTTGCTCACATGTAATTTGCTGACATTCTCCTTATTATCACCCTGCTCTCCTACTACATTCCTTTTTGCTGAAATAATGAAAAATAATAATCAATAAAAACTGAGGGAACTCAGAGGCCGGTGCCGGTGCAGGTCCTTGGTGTGCTGAGCGCCGGTCCCATGGGCCCACTGTTGTTTCTCTATACTTTGTCTCTGTGTCTTATTTCTTTTCTCCGTCTCTCATCCCACCTGACTAGAAATACCCACAGGTATGGAGGGGCAGGCCACCCCTTCATATGAGGAATTCAGAAATGGTTTGATCAAGGTTGAAGACCTAAAAAGAGGCTTTTCTCTCGGACACCAAGTCCCCATCTCATGCGTGGTTGAGTTAGTGGAAACTGAGGATGATGCTTCTTCCTCCAGCATTGGTATCCCATGGTTTTTGTTCAGTAGATGAAGTACCTCCATCCCCCAACATCCCCAAGCTCAATCCCAGTTTCCTCACATACACATTTTTTTTTTTTTTTTTGAGATAGAGTCTCGCTCTGTCACCCAGGCTGGAATGCAGTGCAGTGGTGAAACCTCAGCTCACTGCAACCTCCACCTCCCAGGTTCAAGTGATTCTCCTGCCTCAGCCTCCTGAGTAGCTGGGATTACAGGCATGCACCATCATGCCTGGCTAATTTTTGTATTTTTAGTAGAGATGACGTTTCATCATGTCATCCAGGCTTGTCTCAAACTCTCAGCCTCAAGTGATCAGCCCACCTCAGCCTCCCAAGTGCTAAGATTACAGGTGTGAGCCACCGTGCCCAGCCTCCTCACTTACACTTTTACAGAAGATCTGATCATACCCACTCCGCAGAAGTCAGAATGGCCCCCACGTGGTGTTAAATGGGAGTGAAAATTTGAGTTCAATCAACTGAGGGTGACACAGAAACATTTCCCCCAAAATGCTTTTGGCAGCTCTGCTGATCCATAACCTGGCTCCATTTCAGGGCAAGACCTCCACTTAAGCTGCACTGGCTTCCACTAGAGTAAATCACATTAACTCATGGCAAACACAACTGAAGGGCAAAAAGATTTTTTTAAAATGATTTTTGTCTCTCACTTACCAACACACGCTGGCCTCCCTACAGCCTGACTCCATTCAGCACCTGTTCCACTGAGCACCCACTGAAAGCTCAGCTCATGAGCTGAGATGATGCAGACATCAAGGAGTTTACAATCCAGGGGAAGAACAGAACTGAATACAAGTGATGACAATACAAGACGGAGTCAAAGAGCCCAACTTGAAGTTTCAGCAGAATAGCACCAAAGACTAGTTCCCAACCCAGCTCCCAGAGCCAGAGCCAGAGCCAGAGACAGGCTGGCTGCATGAGATCAGATGGGAGCTTTTGCAAACATAGGTCCTAGCTGAGCCCCTAATCATCAGACTGGGAGTCCCTGGGAGTGAGCTCCAGGAACTGGTTTATTTAATAAGCACCCACACACACATGATTCTGATGTTCCTAAGGGTAGTAGAAACATGGAACTATAGAAAACACTAAAAAAAAAAGGCGCTAAAAGAAACCTATAAATATTCACTACCATCCCAGGCATCATGAGGACGCTCCACGTCCACTATTTACAATACTTAGAATAACCTGCAAGGGAAGCATTCATTCATGACGATGGGCTTTATCAGGATCAGAGCTAGCCCTGGGAATGCTTGAACCTGTGCTGAAGGTCACCCCCTCCTCCCCACAGGAGGGGGCTAACATTAAGGAGCAGGGGCCAGATGGGAAATGGAGTGTCCTTTTATTATGAGACCACAGTGAGAGACTTTTTTTTTTTCAAGAGTCTCATTCTTGCCACCCAGGCTGGTGTGCAGTGGTGTAATCTCAGCTCACTGCAACCTCCACCTCCTGGGTTCAAGCGATTCTCTTGCCTCAGCCTCCTGAGTAGCTGCGACTATAGGCGCCCACCACCATGCCTGGCTAATTTTTGTATTTTTAATAGAGACAGGGTTTCACTATGTTGGTCAGGATGGTCTTGATCTCTTGACCTCATGATCCACCTACCTTGGCTTATTAAGGAATTACTGGTAATTTGATTAGGTATGACAATGATCATATAAAAAATGCCCTCATGTTTTTAGAGGGAAAGTAAATTATGTAGGGGTGAATATCATGATGCAATTACATAACTACTGTAAACCATTTTTTAAATACTTCAGAAAAACAAATGGAGTAAATATTGCAAACGTTAATAGTTTTTAAACCTATGTGATGGGTATATGATAGCTCATTAAACTAGTCTACTTTTATGTATACTGAAAATTTTTCATAATAATAATAATAAAAAAACCTTGGCCAGGCACAGCAGCTTATGCCTGTAATTCCAGCACTTTGCGAGGCTGAGGCAGATGGAGGACTGCTTGAGCCCAGGAGTTTGAGACCAGCCTAGGCAACATGGTGAAACCTTATCTCTACAAAAAATAGACAAATTAGTCAGGCATGGTGGTGTGCACCTGCAGTCCCAGCTACTCAGGAGGCTGAGGTGAGAGGATCACCTGAGCCCAGAAGGTCAAGGCTGCAGTGAGCCAAGGTCATGCCACTGCACTCCAGCCTGGGCGACAGACCCTGTCTCAAACAGACAAACAAGCAAACAAAAACTCTCTTGATCCCATTTCCCAAAAAAAATGATTTTTTTGACATGTTACCATCTCCTGTCTTGGTGCAGAGTACAGGAAATCAAGACAAAGTATAGTACACAAGGAATAAGGAGGGAGGGAAGTGTGGGGGAGGCTGACACTGTGGATTCTCCCAGCTCAGTCGACCCATGCACTTTGCTTCATGGAAGAAAGGAATGGAAGATGAATCCCGCCTTTAACACACAGTGACCTTCCTCACTAGTAAATGTGCCTCCAAAAGTGTCCAAGAACTCAGTGCCAGAGCCAGGCTGGCTGCATGAGAATCACCTGCAAGCTTTTGCAAATATAGGCCCCTACTGGGTCCAAATGTATTCATCTCTTGGAGAGGAGGAGAAAGGCAGAACCAGGAAAAGGATGGGAAGAGACCAGCCTTGTGCACAGGAGGATGCTGGGATTCCTCCTGCGCGTTTAGCGCAATGCAGCCTATTTTACAAGGTCACAGAAGCTCAAAGAGGTAAACCTGCCCAGGTTCTCATAGTTTGTAACTGGCAAAACCTGCCCAAATCTCTGTCTCTAGAGATATTTCCACTTGCTTCAACTCTGGAGCTGTCTTAGTTGTAAAGATGACAGATTCCACTCATCACTCACTTTTGTTTGCAGATATTGCCTAAGGTCTCTTGTGAATATTTAGGTCAGGGCTGTTTTTTTGAGTTTTTTGTTTGTTTGTTTCTTGGTTTTTTTACAAAGCAATCTTGTGGAAAGAACCCAAAGTGGCTCCCCCATTTAAGATCCTATAAACAGGGAGACCAGAGTCTGGAGTCCTAGTCTGGTTTCCACACCTTCCTTAGATTTCCCTGTGTGTAAAATCCAACAACAATCTTTGACAAATTACCTCCCCTAGGGGAGAGATGGAGGAAGTGTTAACTTTGCTTTTTTTTTTTTTTTTTTTTTTTCTATTTTCAGACAGAGCCTCGCTCTGTCGCCCAGGCTGGAGTGCAGTGGCGCCATCTCAGCTCACTGCAACCTCTGCCTCCTGAGCTCAAATGATTCTTCTGCCTCAGCCTACTGAGTAGCTGGGACTACAGGCAGATGCCACCACACCTGGCTAATTTTTGTATTTTTAGTAGAGATGGGGTTTCACATATTGGCCAGGCTGGTATCGAACTCCTGGCCTCAAGTGATCCACCCCCCTTCAGCCTCTCAAAGTGCTAGGACCACAGGCATGAGCCACCATGCCCAGCCACTTTGCTATTTTTTTTTAATAGACAGCTTCGAGGTCCAGTATGATTTCACAGATTAGGAAACATCACAGGCAAAGAAGAACACTTTGCATTCAAACAGCAGAATGTTTTCATTTTCAAAGAGCTCTCACCTGCCATCTAATCTTGTCTTCCTAGCAGTCCTGGGAGAGAAGCAGATGTGGTTTCCAATCCTACTTTCCAGAAGAGGAGACTGAGGAAGAGGCTTTGCAGATACACAGAGGACATGTGTGGACAGGTGAAGGTCATGATCATTGTCAGCCTCCTCCCCCAACTTGACATTCCCAGATCTGGTGGACTTCCAGCCAGAGGAGACAGAAGGACTGGATCACTCAACTCTGCCATGGGTGCCAGGACCAAATTTTTCCCTGGCTAACTCGGTCACATCCCGTCTGGGATCTCCAACTACTACCCATCCAACAGGTCTCAGCTAAAACAGCAGTTCAACAAGGAACTTTTTTCTGAGGCTACAGGATTGGGCCAGGCCCTCTCCATGGCTCTCTGCCTTCCCTCTACTGAAGAACTTAGCACCTATATGTCACTATTGGTTCAAACATGTGTCTTTCGTATGCTCTCCATGTCATCTGCAGCATCTGCCAAGAATAATAATGAATGGTAAAACCTAATCTCTATTGAGTGTCGATGATGCACTTTTAACGTGACATCTTATTTAATCCTCACTATATCTGCAAGAGTAGAAGCTATTAATAGCCAATTTTCAGGTAAGAAAATCAAAGCACAGTTTCTATAACTCACCCAAGCAGCTAACTAGGAGGCAGCTCAGTTTGAGCCCAGGGAATCATATTCTAGAGACCGTGTTCTCAATTACTAGAGCAGGTACCTCCCCCAGAATCTAGCAGGTGGTTAACGAGTCTTTGTGGAATAAATGAACAGAAGGACAAGCAGATGGATGGATACATAGGTGGGTGGGTGGATAGATGGGTGGATGGAAAGATGGATGGGTGGGCAGATGGGTGAATGAATGGATGGTTGAGTCGGTGAAGGGATGGCTGAGTGGGTGGAGAAATGGATGAGTGGGTGAGGGGGTGGAGGGATAGATAAATGGATGGACCGGTGGGTGGATAGATGGGTAGATGAGTGAATGGGTGGATAGATGCATGGTGAGTGGATGGATAGATGGGTTGGTGGGTGGGTAGGTGGATAATAGTTAGGTGCATAAGAGAGTGGGTTGGATAGATAGATGGGTGAGTTGGATAGATAGATGGGTGGGTTGGATAGATAGATGGGTGGGTGGGTGGATGGATGTATGCATGTCTGGATGGATGGATGGATGGATGGATGGAAGGAAGGGTGGACGGATGGATGGACAGATGAACAGATGGACTTGAGCATTTATTCGGGGTCCTCCAAATAATTGATTGATTTCCTAGGGTGTCTCATCACCTGTAGGTGGGTGGGCAAGGGGGCTTGCCTCTGTAATACTCATGGTTATGGGTAGTGCTCAGCCTTAGTCACCACTCTCAGAACACTTTATTGACTAGGAAAGTCAAAACTGGCATTGGCAACTAATGCAAATTACAGGTATAACTAAAAGAAGATGGTGAGCTGATGACAGCTGAGCAACCAATAATCAATAACTTGGCTGTGTCATGTTACTGCTATGCTGGGCTGGTAGAGCCAGGGGTTCCTTAATCCCTCCATCACATTGAGGATGCTTATCAAGACTTCCCCAAACATGGGGACAGGGATCTTATCAAACACTTGCAGTTCACCCCAAAAGGCTCACCCTCTTCGTTCCACCTGCACATGACCTTCAGCTCAAAGACATTTCCAGTCCTCCAGGTCAGCCCTTCTTCCCGCCTTTGAATTAACCCTGATGACTGCCTGCCCATTAGGTATCTTCACCTTTCATCACACAGCCTTTTCCAAGGCTTTCCTTCAGTCCAGCCCTCACTAAACGCTGGAACTCTTGTTGACAAAATCCAGAACAAGCTGGCTGGGGGATACAGGTGGGAAGCAGGCTGTAGTAATGGGGAAAAATTCTAAGCAATCTCGAACACAGAAAAGCAACTGAACAGGTAAGAGAGAGGCAGTCAAGAGAAGAAGTGTTAATTTTGCATAACTGAAGCTGAAGAAGATCAGAGGGGCATGGCAGACCACAAGATAAATATGAGATAGACTCCTTTTTAAAAAAGTATAAACACCCACCCTTTCCTATTGACAACTGTGCTTCAAATATTGCTAAGGTCTTAACTAAAGGCGAGTCAGAAAAACTGAGTATTTTAGGTAATACAGTAAGAAGGCCCATAGGCAAGCATGTCCCTGACACCACCTTCTAGGATAACCCCTGGGATTCTGGTTACACCTGTCCTAAAGTTGTCTCTCACTCCTGCCATTGGAGAGCTACCATGAGAGAAGAACCATAGTGAATTGGTTAAGAGTGTGCACCCAGCGACCAGCCAGATGGCTTCAAACCATCACTACCTAATACTGAGCAAGTTACATAATGTTCCTGAGCCTCAACTTTCTCATCTGTAAAATGGGTATGACATCATTCATTAATCAAATTATAGGTGAGCATATACTAAACACCAGAGAAACAAATGAGAATCAGGAACAGCCATGGCCCTGGTCCTCATGGTGACCACAGTCTTGAAGGGGAAGGATGACATGCACAGAAATAGGAATCCATAGCTGAGCTAGTGTCTACCACAGAGAGGCACCTCGTGTCATGAAAGCAGATAACAGGGGGTTGCTGTGACTGAGTCAGTGTGGCCAGGCGTCCCTGAGGATGTAGTGACTCCACTGTCAGATGAGACTGTGACCAGGTGAAGAGGCAGGGAGAGGGAAAATCTTTCTAGGCAGAAAGAGCAGGATGTGCAAAGGCCCTGTGGCAGGAAAAGAGCAAAGGAAGTGCAAGAGCCTGAAAGAGGCCAGAGAGAACAAGTGAACATGTGGATAATCACAGCACCCACCTCATACAGGACTTGCAAGAAATTGAGACCCTGTCTGTAACAGATTCAGCAATGACTAAATAGAAACTATCTCCTAAAAGCACAGGATGAGGCTCCTTGGTGGTATTTCCCATGTGAGGCTGCCATGGACTCAGAGGCCAAGTTCAACCTGCCTGTAGACAACCTCCAAGCCAGCTGGACACACATACACCCTCAGGCTCAGGATACCCAGGACAGAGTCCTGGATGCTTGAAGTCATGATAAGTATCCAGAATGACACAGAATTCCAGCCAGGCATGGTGGCTCACACCTGTAATCCCAGCACTTTGGGAGGCCGAGGTGGATCACCTGAGGTAAGGAGTTCGAGACCAGCCTGGCCAACATGGTGAAACTCCCTCTCTACTAAAAATACAAAAAAAATTAGCCAGTTATGGTTGTGGGTGCTACTCAGGAGGCTGAGGCAGGAGAATCTCTTGAACCTGGGAGGCAGAGACTGCAGTGAACCGAGATTGCACCATTGCACTCCAGCCTGGGCAGCAAAAGTGAAACTCTGTCTCAAAAAAGAAAGAAAGAAAAAAAGAATGACACAGAATTTGCTAAAGGGGGAGAAAGGGCTTTCTTCCAAAGCTGGGCCTGGTTTCTACAGAGAGTCTTCCAGATGAAAATTAAGCAGCTCTTCTCAAGCACCTCAGAGGAGAACCCCTCACCCTGATGAATCAGGCACACAGGCGGATCCAAGACAATTGGCTGTGTGCGTGTGAACAAGCCTATGGTGGAAATGCAGTGCTTTATTTGTTTGGGGTGGTTTAATCACCAGGAGGGAGAAGCTTCTAAAGCAGCATTCAGAGGTGGCTGTTGCCTGGGTTTTCTGGAAGGGGGAGGTGGTGAGGATGAGGGCTTCCATTTCATCTGCAGGTCCCTTGCAGAAGGAGCTGGGGAAAGCTTTGCAGCCATCTGCACACTGTTTGCCATCTTGTCTGACTGGGCAGCCGAGCTCCAGATGGGGGCGGATGGGATAGCTCTTGCCACCGTATTTGGAGAGAGATGGCAGGGAAGTCAGCCCCCATGAAGAAGACAGGAGCACACAGGTGCTGGACAGTGCTGTCTAGGCCCCTGGGGCTGAAGTGTCCAACCCCGCAGCCTCTAGGTGCCACTAAAGCAGCCCAAGAGGGTCTTCTCTGTCCATCTCCATCCTGGCACCTACAGACACTTGGAGAGAGTCCTTCACATGGGAACTCGCAAATGCACACTGATAACCCCCACACGGAACTTTCATATGTAGCAAGTGAAAAGACAGGATGCCAGTTAAACTTGAATTTCAGATAAACAACAAATCATTTTTTAGGGTAAGCAGGTCCCAAATATTGCATGGGATATATTTGCACCAAAAAAAAAAAAAAAGGTTAATGAGAAACTCAGGTTTAATTGGACCTCCTGTATTTTACCTGGCAAGCCTTACCCTGCATAAACACATCCTCAAGCTTGAAACTCAGAGAAGCCACGGCCGTGCTTACACACGTGCACAAACCCATATACCTTACAGAGTCAAGGGCTGTGATGAGGGGGTCCCCACCATTGCACACTTCCCTGTCCTCTGTCTGGGCTCAGAGTGAACAGGGGGTCACCTGGCATCCACGTCTAAGCTGGGCTTGGAGGTGTCCTAATGAAGCAGGATGCTGACCTGCACTTCCCCAGCTCAGCGGGGGCTGCAGCCAGGCCTAGCTTCCGGTCTCGGGCCTAGAACACACAGCACAGCCCCAGACCTTGGCAAGAAGTCTTCATCTCAAGGGCCACTGGCTCAGGACCTATTAGAAGCCCCACTTCTTTCCTCTGTTTCTGCTGCCATTGCCTCCATCTCTGACCCTGCCACCCAATCACTCTATAAACACAGCAGGTACTAGGGGTGGCTCTGGGCTCGGCACTAAAGACAATGCCCCTGGTAAAGCCTCAGTCTAGCAATGACAGTCAACAACGTATCAGCAACAGCCCTGACCCACACGTGCTGACTGCGCACAAGGGCGGCGCTGTGAACGTGCTCTCAACAGTGATCTCACTGAACCCTCATGGCAGCTCTAGGATGCAGACAGTAGCATCACATTATCCCCATTTTACTTATGAGAAAACTGAGGCCTGAAGAAGGCAAACACAGGCCTAGGGATTTGCAGTAACATTGTCAGGAATGTTTGAGAAAGCAAACTTCTCCAGAGTGAAGCAGTCTGCCAAAGCTCAGAAGACAGAGTCCCTGTTAGCAGGCGCTGGGGGTACTGGGGACAGACAAGCGGGTAGGGGCTGGACCCCCCCAGGACACCAGAGTGCAGACTGGTGTGAGTAAAAGAAAGAGAGGCGGTCGTGCCATCATCTGCAGAAGATGATGTCTACAGAGGACAGTACCATGTGAGCCCTTGGGGAGCCGGATGACTGGATGGAATTTTGCACAGGATGCAAATTAAGCACAGATCCCCCTCTGACCTAGACAGCCCACCTCCAGGAACATCTCACAGAAATGCACGCACAGAGCACCAAGTGATGTGTGCAAGGAAATTCATCAGAACACCGTCTGTGATTGGGAAAAGGCGGAAACCATCCAAAGACGTATCGGTGCGGGGCTGGTTAAACGAAACGTGGTGCATCCACACGTCAGAATAACTGCTGGGAGAAGAAGGTGGTACCCAGGTTCCAACATGAGACAATGTCAAAGACATGCTGCCTGAAAACCAGGCTTTCCAAAGAATAAATATAGCACTATTCCATTTTTATTTTTTTAAAAAGGTTACAATAAACACTTATGTGCAAATACATGTGTTTGCGTGCAAGGAGGGAAAAGGTGTGGACAGGAACAGAAAACCAAACTCTGCGTGTTCTCACTTATAAGTGGGAGTTGAACAATGAGAACACATGGACACAGGGAGGGGAACATCACACACCAGGGCCCATCGGGGGTTGGGGACAAGGGGAGGGAGAGCGTTAGGACAAATACCTAATGCATGCGGGGCTTAAAACCTAGATGACGGGTTGATAGGTGCAGTAAACCACCATGGCACATGTATACCTATGTAACACACCTGCACGTTCAGCACATGTATCTCAGAACGTAGAATAAAAAATAAAAAGAAATCAAAGAAAAAGGTGTGGAGAGGTATACCCCAACCCTTCCCAGTGTTACCTCTGAGAAGTAAGATCAAGAAAATCAAATCAAGAGGAAGTTTTGTGTTTTGTTTCCTATATAAATTTTTTATTTTTTTTATTTTTTTTTTGGAAACATTGTCTCGCTCTATTGCACAGGCTGGAGTCCAGGGACACAATCTCGGCTCACTGCAACCTCCTCCTCACTGCAACCTCCTCCTCACTGCAACCTCCTCCTCACTGCAACCTGCTCCTTCTGGGTTCAAGTGATTCTCTTGCCTCAGCCTCCCAAATAACTAGGATTACAGGCACGCACCACCAAGCCCAGCTAATTTTGTATTTTTTGTAGAGACAGGGTTTCATTTTTTTGGCCACCTGGTCTTGAACTTCTGGCCTGCCCGCCTTGGCCTTCAAAACTGCTGGGATTACAGGTGTGAGCCACCATGTCTGGTCAGCATTGCTTGAATTCTTAGACCACATGGACCCTCTCATCTGGCCCAATTGCAAGAGTCCAAGGCAGGAAAGGCAGAAGACAGGGGCTTACCCCTCCATCAGGACAACATAGAACAGAGTCAAAAAAGAAAAACATGAATGGGTCAGTCAAGAGGGCCGTGCACGTGCCCTCCCAGGCACCTACACCTTGCAACTTAAGCCGACAGGCTTTCAAGCCACAGAGTCTTCCTCCCCAGAGACTAGCAAGGACACAAGCCCTGGCCAGGCCCCTCGAGGAGGATGGTCTGAGGGACAAGGTGGGGTGCACAGTCAGGGGTGGCAGGAGGAAAAGGGGACAGGAAGCCAAGGAAACTAGGGCACCCCATGCTTCCTGAAGGCCACCAGAACAGGGCGCCACACAGAGCCCCTGCATACCTATTTCTACAACAGCCTGAACACAAGGAAAAGGAAAACAAGGAAAATACACAAAGCCCCGACTCACCTGGAGCAGGTTAAATAAAGGTGTGTGACTTTGTCTTCATGTCCTTTGGAATTGGAAATCCAAGCTTCCTCTCCTGTGCCTTTAAGGCCCTGGCTGCTGCCCCACAGCTCCCTCCTCTTCCTTCCTCCTCCTGTCCTCTTTTTTTTGAGATGGAATCTTGCTCTATTGCCCAGGCTGGAGTACAGTGGCACAATCTCAGCTCACTGCAACCTCCACCTTCCGGGTTCAAGCAATTCTCATGGCTCAGCTTTCCGAGTAGCTGGGATTATAGGTGTCATCACTTCTGGCTAATTATTGTATTTTTAGTAGAGACAGGTTTTCACCATGTTGGCCAGTCTGGTCTCAAACTCCTGGCCTCAGGTGATCCCCCAACATGCCTCCCAAAGTGCTGGGATTAAAGGTGTGAGTCACCATGCCCGGGCCTCTTGTCCTAACTCTGCCATCTCTTTGCAGTCTCCCCCAAGCAGCTTTTCCTGGGCCCGCCCTGCCCTCCTCCAGAGCTGCACTCTCAAACCACCCCCCAATGCCCCCTGGCCCTGGCTCCTGTCCCGGGGCTCTGATCCTCAGCTGGTGAGGTCTAGAGGGTCAGAGGGAGCCAGACTCCCTAGAGAAGCTAAGGCAGGAGCCCTGTGCTTAGGCAGGAGCTTAGCTAAGCTCAGGCAGCTTAAGCTAAGCTCAGCTAAGCTCAGGCAGCTTAAGCTAAGCTCAGCTAAGCTCAGGCAGCTTAAGCTAAGCTCAGCTAAGCTCAGGCAGCTTAAGCTAAGCTAAGCTCAGGCAGCTTAAGCTAAGCTCAGCTAAGCTCAGGCAGCTTAAGCTAAGCTCAGCTAAGCTCAGGCAGCTTAAGCTAAGCTTAGCTCAGCTAAGCTCAGGCAGCTTAAGCTAAGCTTAGCTAAGCTAAGCTAAGGCAGCTTAAGCTAAGCTTAGCTAAGCTAAGCTAAGCTAAGGCAGCTTAAGCTAAGCTTAGCTAAGCTAAGCTAATCTTAGGCAGGAGGTAAGCTAAGCTAAGGCAGGAGCCCTGTGGGTAACCTGCCCCCTTCCAGCTGGGGCTGAATAGAAGGGGGAAAGGCTGCCCCCAGAATACAGGGCTCTCAGAGGCCCTGGGGATCTGTGCTGGCAGTCAGGAGGACTGTCACCTCAGCGCAGTTGCCTGCAAGGAGGGCTGTGCAGGAAGCTGCATATTGCTCAGAGAACAAAAAAAGGAAATTAAATGCACCATCTGGTTATTAGGATGAGCTTTTGAGGCAGACACTTAAATATGCATGCCTAGACATTATAAAACTTGGGGGAAAAGTTAATTTCAGTAACGCCAGTTCTTGTGCTCGCAGAAACCATTCTTTTATCTCCCTTCCTAGTAATCTGGGGGCTCCATCCCTCAGAGTGGCAGCGCCAAGACAGCTGGCCTCACTGGGTTTTGTAAGCTGTGCAAGGTGAGATCCCAAGCCCTTGCCTGGAGACCCATCTTAGGAAAATGTTAGAACAGGGCAACAAATTGCCATTTCTTCCCTCTTATCTCTTCCCCATACAAAAATCAGAAAGCACCCTAGCCCAGTGCCCAGCCACAGTGGTGAGGAAACCCCACTCAAAATCCTGGGTTGTGCCCCTGACACCAAAGACCTGCAAAATTGGGACTCACCTGCTGCAACCCTAGCCCAGACCTGTGTACATTTCAAGGGTGGCTGGACTCATGGCCGCCTGGGACATCAGGGTGGTACAAAGTCCTCTTAACCTAAGACTGTCGGGGTACAAGGATCAGCATTTTTTTTCCTTTTTCTTGAGGGCCAGATGGTAAATAGTTCAGCTTTGCAGGCCATAGGTCTCTGTCCCAACTATTCAACTCTCCATTGTAGCAGGAAAGCAGCCACAGACAATATGCACTGAAATGGGTGTGGCTGTGTTCCAATAAATCTTTATTTGTATGAACAGGCAGGGGGCTGGTTCTGGCGTGTGGGCTACAGCCTGCCTCCTCTGCTACAGCGTGATCTCCAAGGACCCATCCCTCTCGTAGACCAGCAGCTGGCACACAGGAGCTGCTCAGATACTTGAAGGAGGAATGGAGAAGGCAAACAGCCCCCAGTGCGCAGACGTGAGGGTCTCCCAGCAGCACCATCCTTTGCCATCTCATGCCGAGGGACAAAGCCAGAGCAGGGCTCTCCACCAAGGCTGGGTTCTCCTCCAAGGAAATGTGATAACAGGACAGAAAGCATCGTGGAAGGATAGGGGCTTTGCAGTCCCACAAACCACAGTTTGCAAGACCAGGAGCAACCTGAACTTCCTTGCACACACCCTGGGTGGGTGCTGGAGCATCTAGACTTAGAGTGAATCTTTTCCCCCTCCTCCCCCAACTGGCCTCCATTACTCTTCCAGCAACAATGTGGTGTATGTACACAATGGAATACTATTCAGCCTTCAAAAAGAAGGAAATCCTGCCATTTGAGACAACATGGATGAGCCTGGAGGATATTATGTTAAGTGAAATAAGCCAGGCACAGAACGACAAATACCACATGATCTCACCTATATGTGGAATCTAAGAAAGTTAAACTCGGCCAGGCACGGTGGCTCATGCCTGTAATCCCAGCACTTTGGGAGGCTGAGGCTGGCAGATTGCTTGAGCCCAGGAGTTCGAGACCAGCCTGCATAACATACAAAGACCCCATCTCTACAAAAAAATACAAAAATTAGTGGAGCATGGTGGTGAGTGCCTATACTCCCAGATACTCAAGAGGCCAAATTAGGAGGATTGATTGAGCTTGGGAGGTCAAGGCTGCAGTGAGCCAAGATCACAACCCTGCTCTACAGCCTGGGCAATAGAATGAGATTGTCTCAAAAAAAAAAAGAAAGAAAAAGAAAAGAAAAAAGTTGAATTCACAGAAGCAGAGTAGAATGATGGTTGCCAGGGTGGGGAAGTGGGCAGATGCCAAAGGACACAGAATGTCATTTTTAGAGAAGAAGAATAAGTTCAGGATATCCATGGGGCAACATGGTACCTATAGTTAATAACAACATATCATACACTTGGAAATCACTAAGAGAGTAGATTTTTTAAGTGTTCTCACCACAAAAAAATAAGTCTGGGAGGTGATATGTTATTTAGCTTGATTTAGCCATTTTGTAATGTATACATACTTCAATCACATCATGTTGTATACCCTCTTGTACATAATTTTTGTCAATTCAATAAATTCAATAACTCCAAAAAACAAGATATTCTCTTTACAAAAATAATTATTAAAAATAAAATTCAGAATTCTATTTTATTTATTTATTTATTTTTGAAACAGAGTCTCGCTCTGTCACCCAGGCTGGCTGAAGTGCAGTGGTGCGATCTCGGCTGACTGCAACCTCTGTCTCCCAGGTTCAAACGATTCTCCTGCCTCAGCCTCCCAAGTAGCTGGGATTACAGGTGTGTGCAATCACACCTGGCTAATTTCTGTATTTTTGGTAGAGACAGTTTCGCCATTTTGGCCAGGCTGGTCTCGAACTCCTGACCTTAGGTGATCCGCCAGCCTCGGCCTCCCAAAATGCTGGGATTACAGGTGTGAGCCACTGCGCCTGGACAGAATATAAAAGATTGTTTAATTCAACTAAAACATTAAAACATAGATTATTTCTATAAGTGGTAATTCTTCTAACATGTTTTGGTCAAAATAGTCTCCTTACCCATCCACAATTAAATGGTTAATTGACATTTGATTGGATTTTGATAAAGTTTTCAAATCATGATTGACTTTTCCAATGTACAGTAAAATGTGTTTGAAAATATTTCATAAAAATTAATATTTAAAAATGGTCAGGCATGGTGGCTCATGCCTATAATCCCGCACTTTGGAGGCCAAGGTGGGCCGATCACTTGAGGTCAGGAGTTTGAGACCAGCCTGGCCAAACCTCATCTCTACTAAAAATACAAAATTAGTCAGGCATTGTGGCACGCACCTGCATTCCCAGCTACTTGGGAGGCTGAGGCAGGAGAATCCCTTGAACCTGGGAGGTGGGTTCCCCAGGCTTAGAGCAAAACCCCCATCTTGTCTGTCTCCACTCTCATCCCAGGCAATCGTGGTCATTTCCACAGCCTCAACCACTGTCTACCTGGGATGCCTCCCAAGCCCGAGTCTCCAGCCCAAACCTGCCTTCCTAGCCCCAGACCCATCTGTCCTGGCACACATTGCCCCCTGGGTCCCAAGCAACCTCAGCCAATGAGTCCAATGTCAACTTCCTGTCCTTGCCTGACACTGCCAGCCCTGAGATCAGACTTGACCATTCACCTCCAGTACCTGAATAGGTCTATCAGTGCTTTGGAACATATCCCACAAACATTCCCCAAACCAGGCACCGGACTCCACACATCAACACTGTCATGTGAGTCACCAGCATCCCTGGCAGGGACCCCTGTCCCAGCCTCCAATTCATCTCCTTCCTGTCCCTTGAGTTCTGTGTCACATTCCAGAGGCCACAAGAAGAAAAATGACCACCTTAATGAAATTAAAAGAATTGAGAAGACA
Organism: Homo sapiens; assembly: GCF_000001405.40. Lineage (NCBI taxonomy): Eukaryota > Metazoa > Chordata > Mammalia > Primates > Hominidae > Homo > Homo sapiens. The sequence continues at coordinate 75,575,067 of NC_000003.12, forward strand.
TTTCCCTATGGTCCAAAGTCTTTCCAACTGAGAAACACATATCAAGATCCAGCCTGCCAGCCCTGCGGTTAAATGTTCCTGAAATAATTAAAGCCCAGGACAACACAGCCCCCACTCCACAAGTACTCCCAGCACAGTAAGACTTGCTTCTCTGCAGGGGCTTGAAATGTCCAGTGTGTACCCTGCCTCTCTCTGTCATAGCTAACAGGAATGTGCTCCGTGTCTTCTTCCTGCTCAAAGTACCGTCTACCAACCTGCACAGGCAGCACTTTCAGCCGAGGGGGATGCGAGAACTTCCCACCATTTCCCACTTATGCACTGCATTCCTCAGGAACCTGCCTCACAAATTACAAGAGTGCCACGGCAGACACACCACGTTCCAGCGGGTGGCCATGTCTTCATGTCAGCTTGAAAGATCTTCGCCAGGGAAATATCTATATCTCGGCAGAGAGAGCTTCAGCCTGTGTAGTCCAGCTGTGCTCAAATGGAAATCCAGAAACCCAGATCTTGGTCAAAACACCCTGTCTTGGAGAGCCGGCTCTGCAGGTCCCGAGCGTGGGAGTGAACTGGGTGGGCCACCTGCCCTGCCTGCCCACATCCCTGCCTCCTGGAATCCTGGACCCTGAGAACAAGGGGGATGTGGTGGGGAACAGGCAAGTCTTGTGCAGGAAGCCAAGATGCCACCCAAATCCACTCTGCAGTATAGGTGGGTGATATTCTGGTCTGCACCACACCAGCGCATGAGGGGATGGAGGATGGAGTCTAGACAAGCCAAATGTAAAAAGATATTGCCCAAGTATTTTGTGCTTTGTCTGTGTTACAATGCTATGCCTAGCCCAGCATGGTGGCTCACACCTGTGATCTCAGCACCTTGGGAGGCCGAGGCAGGCAGATCACCTTAGGTCAGGAGTTTGAGACCAGCCTGACCAACGTGGTGAAACCCCATCTCTACTAAAAATACAAAAATTAGCCGGGTGTGGTGTTGGGCACCTGTAATCCCAGCTACTCTGGAGGCTGAGGCAGGAGAAACACCTGAGCCCAGGAGGTGGAGGTTGCACTGAGCGGAGATCATGCCACTGCATTCTAGCCTGGGCAACAGAGTAAGACTCCGTCTTAAAAAATAAATAAATAAATAAATTCTATGCCCAGCATTTTCCATGTACTGTCTTATTATCTCAGTAAATCCCATATAAACTTCCTATGAAAGTGTATCTCGTTTATCTCCATTTTATAGATGAGAAAACTGAGGCCCCTGGAGTAGTATTAATTTTCCAAGACCGCATTGCTCATAAAGGGTACAGCAGGGACCCAAGCTCAACACTCTCACTCTCAAAGATTTCCACAAGTGTAGACCAATGGCTCTCAACTGGGGTGGTTTTGCTCACGTACAACTCCCTTGCTCCATGATATTTGAAACCGTCTGGAGACATCTGGGGTAGCCATAGCTGGGAGGGTAGAATGGCACCTAGAAGATGGAGACCAGAGATGCTGCTAACCATCCTACAATACACAGGACAGCCTCACCACCACCACCACGAATGGTCTGACCCCAAATGTTGTGACTGTGCTAAAGCTGAGAAACCCAGGTTTCTCCTCAGCAAGAAGGGAAAATACCTGCAACATGGATGCACCTCTACAGGAGCCCCAGGCTGACAATAACCATCCTGATCTGGTTTCAACCCTGGATGCTTTTACCTGGTGCGTCCATCGGGGATTTCAGGGACTCCAACGAGTTACCCTTGAATGCTCGGTTCCGCCTGACAACCCAGAAATCTCTGCCGAGGTGCCTGGTCTTGAGGAAGGCTCAGCAATGGTTGAGGTTGATAACCAAATACCTAGGAGAGACTTTTCTCTCCCTCCAGGAGGAGCTGTGGGTCAGACACACCCTGGGATCATTCACAAGCGGTCAATAAAGGCTTGGGAAGGGCCAGGTTTTCTAGGCCTTTTCAATGGGGTGGGTGTTTGTGGATACACAAGAAGCCTGTGAAACTTCTGATATTGGCAGGAAATCAACACCCCCCACCCTCCACACTCCACCCCCCCCCACCTCCCCACCATAAACACATGCCCTGCAGCAGGACTTGGCACTCAGGGGCTCCTGGGGGCCTGATTTACCTGTTAAAACATCCTCTAGCCACCAGCGAATAAAGCAACCCCTTGCCACCCAACCACAAGATCACAGCCTGGGAGCCACTCCAAGGGACATCCAGTCACATTAAAACCTCAGCCATCCAGAGCACCAGGCCTGGGGATGAGAAAGAACATTTTATCCTTAAAAGCATCTGAATGCCCATGCTGCTTCTTGCAAAGAAAAGTCCAAAATAATCTATTAAAGAACGAGGATGGTTTCGACATTTTTACCAAGTTAATGGTCTACGCAGAAAAATCTCATAAAAGGGCACTCTGTTCTTCTTGATCCACTCAGACATGGCCTGTGAGTGAAGAAACAGGCTCTCCTCCTCAAAGAAACGGCTGCTGATCCTCACACCAGCCTGACACTGCTTCATGGGTTCTTCAAAGAGAGTATTCCCATAGAAACTAAAAGGGAAGAGGAATGTGTCTGGCGGGCATTGTGGGCAGCAGTGGGCTTTGGGCCAAATTTTAAATTTGAAAATCAAGATTCCCTCTTTTCGAGCGGCTGCTGGACGAGCAGATACAGACACCGTGAAAAGAGGGTGCCATATTCAGATTCAGGAAACAAGGATGGTTTCTGTTCAGTTCCTGCATCATCCTTCAGGTCATGCGATTCCCATTTCCCTCTGTGGACCAAGAAATTCAGTGGGGTTTCTGCCTTTTAAATATTTCATTATCAATATGTCATTCTTTCAGCCTCCAGAAAGCATTTTAACATGGAGATTCTGGCTTAAGACACTTGTGGGTCTGTCTCTCTCTCTCTCTCTTTTCCTTGAAACAGGGTCTCACTTTGCCACTTAGGCTGGAGTGCAGTGGCATGATCACAGCTCACTGCAGCTGGACCTTCCAGGCTCTAGCAATCCTCCCACCTCAGCCTCCCAAGTACTTGGGATTACAGGCACACACCACCATACCTGGCTTTTTTTTTTTTTTTTTTTTTTTTTGGTAGATATGAGGCTTCACCACGTTGCCCAGGCTGGTCTTAAACTCCTGGGCTCTCAAAGTTCTGGGATTATTGGCTTGAGCCACCACACCCAGCCAAGAACCTTGTCTCTTGTGATGCACCCCAGAACAAAACTTCACTGCAAAAACAAACCAAGGCATGAGTTTCAGTCCTAAGTCCCATTTATCCACCATACACTATGTGCCAGGCACAATGCTAAGTGCTTCTATGGACGAGCTTCCCTTAATCTCATCAGTAACAAACCCAGGCAATGGGGCCTGTTGACCGATCCATCTGCCACTGAAGACAGTAAGGCTCAGAGAGGGTAAGTGGCTTGTGCCATGTCAGCCAGCTAAGGAGGGGCAGAACCGGGATGCAAACCCCAGCCGCCTGGTTCCAGACTCGCGTTCCCAAGGTCCCACTACACTTGGTCACTCCACTGCATTCTGGTATCCTGGTCTTTGGCAGTGTCCACGTAAAAGAGGGAGGTAGAGAGAGTGAGAGGGACTTCAGGCAATAAAGTTTTCCAGCGTTACACTGCCACCGTAATTGTGTCCCCGACCAGGACCTCTCCCTTCTCATCCTTTCCGTGATCGGCCCTGGAAAACCTTCCAGAGAACTGTCCTCCTTCTCCCGGGATCTCAGAGAAAATTCACCTGAGTTCAGTGTCCAGGTGACCCAAGCTCTGAATGCAGTAAAGTGCACGGGGAGATGAGGATGTCACCATGAGCAAGCCTCCCAGAGAGCATCCAGGGGCAACCCCAAGACTGGGCAGCGGGGGCTCTGATGCAGCCCATGGCGAAGAGGGCTGCCCGTGCTGCTTCAATGGGTTCAGAATGAAGGCCGCCCTCTCTCCCATGTGGGGCTCATTAACCACGAATCAAATTATTAAGACGAGCTCAGCTGAGCAAATGGTCAAACATAAAAACATGTGGAAGGAACAAAGAGGTCAATCCCATTATCCATCAAAAACCATCAAGGTGGCGGCCCTCACTGAGGGGTACAGCTCTCCAGTGGGCCCTCATCTGCCCTCCAAACCCACGTGCCTCCCACTGGAAGGCCAGCAAAGCCACACAGGAAGAGTTGGGGTAGGAAAGCAGAAAGTGAACCCCAGGAGGACAGGCTGACCACAGAGCCCCATCGCACACACACAGGCCCGGTGACTCAGGGGCCCACGTGTGCAAGACACCGGGAGCTCACAGGGACAGCGCCCCGGGGGATGCAAGGAACTTTGCCTCTCTGTCCCTCTCTGTAGGGATGGAAAGAGGAGAGCGATTTTTGGGATGGAAGCCATCTGCCTCCTCTCAACTCTCGCTGCTCAACAAGAAAGGGAAGAAAAACAGGAAGATGCGGGGCAGGTGAGGAGCTGGGTGAGCGCCGCCAGCCCGCAGCCCAGCAGAGCAGGGCTTGGCCAAGCCTGGCGCCAGGGACTTTCCCCCTACCCCCACCACAAGCCCCTCGCCAGGTGAGAGGCACCGACAGAGTCCCAGACAGATGACCCAGACAGGATGCCCAGAGCAACCCCCGCCCCTTCCCCTGCTGGGGGCCCCCAGGACGCGGGGCTCCCCCTCCCCTTTTGGCTAGCCGCAGAGTCCAGCTGGTCTCCCGGCCAGGGACGTCGTGGGAGAATCAGGAAGTCGAAGCCACACAGCCGAGAAGGGACAGCTGACATCTCGGAGGCCGTCACGAGCTGTCACTCCGCGCCCGCCGGAGTTGCCGCTCAGTTACCAACTTCAACCCGGGGCCGGCCACGGAGCCTCCCGCCGCCCCTACCCCGCGTCCCCAGCACCCCCGCGCCCCCGGCACCCCCGGACCCCTGCGCCCGCGTCACTTACTCCTCTGCCGTCGCCACCTGTCTGGGTGCCGGTCTCCTCCCTGCCCGGCCGCGGCGCGTCCTCTCCGTCCTCGCAGTCCTCGGGCTGTGCCCTTCCCCCCTCCCTCCAGCAACAGCCGCAGCCTCTTCTCCTCGGGAGGGACGTCGTCCTCCTCCCTCCTGGGCCGGCCATCCCTGCCTCGGGTCTTGCCAGTGGCTTCGGAGCTGCCGGAAGGACTGGCCATGGCTCCGGGGGCTCTGCCTGCACTTGGGGAAGAGGAAGGACCCGGCGCGAGCGGCCTCTCGGCTGAGCTGGGGCATCTGAGCGCGGGCTCGGTGGGTCCGCGCGGCGCGGAGCTGGGCATCGGGGCCGGCGCGGGCTCCTCCGCGGGCCGCTCCTGGCTCTCTGGCGCCCTCTGCTGGCCGCTCGCGCGCACCGCGGACACGCCGTGCCAGGGCCTGCGCCGCGCTCACCTGCCCGGCCTAGGCGGTCGCTGTCCCCTGCCCGTGGCCAGGCCCGCTCCGGCCAAGCCTTGCACCTCCTCCCCGCCCCAGCCAGGTTGCACCCCGATGGTCTCCCTGCCCAAGGAGGAGAGAGGAGAAGGGACGCCCCGAGAGGGTGGACATCGGCCACAGCCACCTTGTCTTTGCTCTTACCCTGTGTCTTGCATGGTTTGGAGGTGGTGGGAAAACCGAGGCTGCTCAAAACTCGTGGAGAATTCCGCCTGCAGGATGACATGAATGCACCTTCGCATTGCCTACCAACAGACCTTTTTTGAGCATCTCTGTGGACCAGGAGTGGTGATGGGGGAGGGGATATTGTGGTGAACATGACAGGCATTGCCTTCACCCAGTGGGGCTCAGCGCTGGGTGAGAAGGCATTGAGAATGGACATTGTCAATTGGGCAAAAGGAGGCCAAGGAGAAGTGCTGGGTGCATGGGAACTGAAAAAGACAGGAGGCTCAGCAGGTCTTGGAGCTGGGAGAGGGACAGCAGCAGCGGCTGTTCCAAAGGAAGCAACAGCTGAGAGAGATCTCAGAGAGTTGTTCTCAGCCCAGTGGAGCATGTTCTTCGGGCAGAGGGAACAGCGTGTGCAAAAGCCCAGAGGCTGGGAAAGAAGCAGAAAGAGGACTGTGGGGCTGGAGCGTGGTGGGCAAGGGGAGAGAGGTGTGGTGGGCAGACAGATTGCCTGGGACCCAGCCGTGCAGGGACAGAGGAGATAGGGGATCCTTGCAGGCCCCCAGCCAGGGCTCAGGCACAGAGACAATGCAGGTGGGCAAAGGGAGGAGATGTGGGGAAATATTTTGGAGGCATGCCCTGATGAATGAGCCCAGGATGCACCCTTAGTGTCAGTGTGGAGCTCCTTCCTTGGCTGTGTGATGAGCTTCACCCGGGGGTATTTTCTGGACATTGAGGTGCTACACCCAGAGTCCAGGACAGGCTAAGTGAGCACCAGCAGCTCCTGGCCTACCTCAAAAGCAGGAGAGACAGGGGAGACTGGGGAGGCCGGGAGGAAGGGGAATCCAGGAAGGCAGGAGAGGCCATGGAAGCAGAGGAGGCCAGGGAGGCAGTGGAGGCAGGAGAGGCTGGGGAGGCTGTGTCCTTTCCATGATTCTGCCCAGGATCCTAGGCCCCTGTACTCCCTGAGCTTCCCCACCCCCAGCACTGGAACCATGTTGCACAATGGTCTCTCCACTAAGATCCTGATGGCGGCCCCTATCCTGCTGTGCTCCCTATTTCAACCCTAACAGCTCTCACAGTGGGCAGCACATAGTAGGTGCTCAGGAAACACTGGTGGGAGAGCACATGGGTCTGCTTAGCACCTTCCTCTCTCCTCCAGCTCTCCCCTGTCATGAAATAATTCTGATAACGACACATGGCCTTTGAGACCCTCTTCTATTACTTTCCATATGCTAATCCATCTATACCTCACAGCAGCCCTGGGGGTGGGTGCTATTACGATGCCCATTTTACAGAGGAGGAGACTGACGTATAAAGAGGGTAAGTGACATAGGCACACTACAGGGGCCGGGGCCAAGTGATTGCAGCACTCAATCCCCAAAGGCAAGGTGGATGCAGTTACCATAAAAGACAGCAGAGTCAAAGCTGCAACCAGAATAGCCTGACTCGCAGAGACCTATGGTGCCAGCTGATTGTGGCATTCCTAGAAGTGAAATAGATAAGAAGCCTGCCACATTTTTACTTGATCTGTGTTTGCAGAAGAGTTCTAGGTCAGGTGAGTAGAAGTCTAATCTGAATCATAGAGTCACAGTCCCCAGTCAATTCCCAGAAATAAGCCAGTTCACAGACCCAGAGTCCCGTGTCCGAATGGGAAGCCAGGTCCCCTCCAGAAAGGACTCTGCTCCACTGCCAAAAATTTATACTGTCAATTTTTCTCCCAGCCTGCCCCCAAAGGAATACACAGCCTTTTACCAGGCTGACTGAACAGGGGAAAAGGAACTAATGAGATCTGTGCAGGATCACTGGACACAGGCTGTGAACTGGCACTAGGGCGAGACTAGGGTCTACTAGTCAGAATAGGCATTTTGGAGGTCAGGTGAATATTAGTGCAAGTTCATGTCATGATAGATCCATTGGGTCCCCAAATCCATTCTCTGGTTATATACAAAGGGGCCATGCTGAGATTCAAATTCAGGGCATCCAACATAGAGGCTGTGCTCGTACTCATGAAACATTCTGACACTAGTAACCTATTTAAAAATGCAAACACCTCCTGGGGCTAGCCAGAGTCCTCCAAACAGTCATGTAAATTGGTTCTGTCAAGGATTTCCTCCTACCCCCTGCTGAGAGCCAGTTGCAAGGAGAGACTAGGGAAGGGCATTGGGTAACTTTGTTGCTAAAAGCTGTTTTGGATAAAGACGTTTGGGAAAAGAAGCAAATAGAGTTCAGCAGAAGATGTAAGAAAGTAAGTTTATGTTTGGCCAGGCACGGTGGCTCACACCTGTAATCCCAGGACTTTGGGAGGCCGAGGTGGGCAGATCACGAGGTCAAGAGATCGGACCATCCTGGCCAACATGGTGAAGCCCCATCTCTACTAAAAATTCAAAAATTAGCTGGCCATGATGGCACACGCCTGTAGTCCCAGCTACTCGGGAGCCTGAGGCAGGAGAATCACTTGAACCCAGGAGGCAGAGGTTGCAGTGGGCCGAGATCATGCCACTGCATTCCAACCCGGCAACAGAACAAGACTCCGTCTCATAAAACAAACCAAAACAAACAAAAAAAAAGGAAGCTTATTTTTAAGCCTGAACAAGTGTAGTGGTTTAGGCGTTCTGCAAATACGGCCCCAATCAGGCTACAAGATGTTGTGGCAGGAACACTTACACCCAGTCACTTCTGGCCGCCTGAGCCACTTTTCAAAACACACTTGCACAGCTGTGCAGAGCGGCTGGATCCACTGGCAGCCGGCAGAGCCATAACTCACACTGTCACCACTCCCCTCAAACCCTTTCAGTAAGCACTTTATTTATTTTTTTTGAGACGGAGTCTTGCTCTGTCATCCAGGCTGGAGTGCAGTGGCGCAATCTCAGCTCACTGCAAGCTCCGCCTCCCAGGTTCATGCCGTTCTCCTGCCTCAGCCTCCCAAGTAGCTGGGACTACAGGTGTCCACCACCATGCCTGGCTAATGTTTTGTATTTTTAGTAGAGACGGGGTTTCACCGTGTTAGCCAGGAGGGTCTCGATTTCCTGACCTTGTGATCCGCCTGCCTCAGCCTCCCAAAGTGCTGGGATTACAGGCTTCAGCCACCGCGCCCCTCCTGGTAAGCACTTTTAATCAATGCAACAGGAATGAACATTTGCTGCAGAGCGGCAATGTGCAGGGAGGAACATTGTTCCACTCAGGCTCAGAAAGCAAAACCTCCTGGCTGTTTGCATCTATGCGAGAGCTCACAGGAAAAGCCCTCTGTGTGGCTGCCAGCCTCACACACTCCCCCCAAGGGATGAGTTTCTCTTTCCATGTTAATCTATGCCCTGACGTGCCATCTGTCAACCACCACACCATTCTCAGTTGACATTTCAAAGCATCTTTGCCCTGTGAATAGTCACCAGCCCTGCCCTGCAAGCCCCCAGGTGACATTGAACTTAAATGAGAGAGAAAACAGGTTTCGGGGTGGATTTCAGTTCAGCATCTTGGATTCTCTGTGTGGACATGAAATCTGTCTCCCCAGCTGTGGGCTGCATCCTTGTTTGTCATCTGGTTTGGTTCTTGGGGACTTGGAAACACGTGGGCAGCTTTGCAATTTGTCAAGAAACTGCACAGCCCTTCCAACAAAAGCAAGCAATAGGAACAGAAGCCCAAGGCTTCAGATCAAGGTGCTACTTAAAGCAGCCTCAGTGTAAAAGCAAACAGGAGTCAGAGGGATGCTTAAGGCAGAGTCTAGTCCCCAGGGCAGCTATAAGGCAAAGAGAAAGAGAGAGAGATAAACAGAGACAGAGACAGAGACAGAAAGACAGAGAGAGATGGGAGGAGACATGAGGCACCCAGGCCTCTGCATCAAAATCCCTACAAGAGGGGCTTCCTAAAAATGCAGGAGGCTGAGGTGGGCGCACACAGAAGTTCAAGACTAGGCTGGGCAACATAGCAAGACCCTGTCTTTACAAAAAATACAAAAATCAGCCAGGTGTGGTGGTGTATGCCTGTGGTCCCAGCTACCCAGGAGGCTGAGGTGGGAGGATGGCTTGAGCCCAGGAGGTAGAGGCTGCAGTGAACCGAGATAGCACCACTGCACTCCAGCCTGGGCAATAGAGTGAGACTTCATCTCAAAAAAATTTTAAAAAATCTTTAAAAAGGATCACCCTGGCTACTTGAATGGATGATAAGAAGGTAAGAAGAGCAGAAGCAAGGAGACCAGCAATGAGATTCTGCAGGTGAGAGTCCACAGTGGCTCAGACCAGGCTGGCGCTGAAGACCGGCTGGATTCTGTATATATTTTGATAATGAAGCAACTCATTGACTCTTGAAGAGTGGGCTCTAGGAGAATGTATTTTTAACAAGCTCTCAGAGGATTCTAATGCAGGCTGAAGTTCAAGAACTCCTGATTTAGGTGAAGCTTCTGTTTCATCCTTGGGGAAGTACCTACTGACTTTTCTCCAAGGCACCTCAAAAGAGGGGCTAGACAAGAAGTGCTCCAATGTCTGAACATGTGTGCACAGCTCTAGAGCCGACCTCAGGACACTGAGTTAAAGGTTAGGAGTACAACAGTGAACAACCACCATCCTCTTTTCAATGAGCTTTGCATTTAATGAGAGAAATAAAAGGCAAAAAAAAAATCATTTTCAACTCAGAATGGTAAGAGTTATGGTGACAGTATGCCTGGGGCAATAGGAGCACAAAGAAGGGGCACCCAATTGGCCAGGTGCAGTTGTTCATGCCTGTAATCCCAGCACTTTGGGAGGCCAAGGTGGGTGGATCACTTGAGGCCAGGAGTTCGAAAACAGCCTGGCCAACGTGGTGAAATCCTTTCTAAAAATACAAAAAAATTAGCCGGGTGTGGTGGCGGGCACCAGTAATTCCAGATACTCAGAAGGCTGAGGTGGGAGAATTGCTTGAACCCGGGAGGCGGAGATTGCAGTGAGCCAAGATCCTGCCACTGCACTACAGCCTGGATGGCCAGAGCGAGACTCGTCAAAAAAAAAAAAAAAAAAAAAAGCCAGGAGATAGGTGGGCATCCAATCTATATCAGGTGGTCAGAAATACTTCTCCATCACAGTACTCCTAAGTTGAAGACTAGGAAATGGTAGGAATTAGCCAGGTTGATAGGAGAGGTGTGGAAGATCATTCCCAGCAGAGGGAAGAGCTTGTGCAAAAATCAAGACATGAGAGGGTGAGGAGCTGAGAGATGTTCATATAATTGTAAAAAGTGACTAATATAGAGGTAAGTTAGAGCCAAATCTTAAAGGCTCTTTGTCATGTTTATCCTGTAGACAAAGGGAGACAGTAGATGTTTTTAGGCAGGGGAGTAATGATCCACTTTGTGCTATAAAAAGAGTAGTCTGGCTGGAGGAGAGTGGGAGGTGAGTAGACCAGGTAGGAGGCTGCAATACACCAAGTGAGACAAGATGGTTGGCTGGACTAAGGCTGTGGCAGTGAGGATGGAGAGGAGACAGTAGACTAACTTGACTGAGAAAGAGGGAGGAATGCAGGATGAGGCCCAGGTGTTTTGGAAGCTGGGTGGATGGTGGTGTGAATCTGATGTGGTGAGCCCAGGCAAAAAAGGAAATCAGGAGAGGAAAGGTAAGATGAGGTCAATGCAAGACAGACAGCCAAGTGAAGATAACCATTGGGCAGTTGGATTCATCAGCCTGGAGTTATACAGAGAGCTCTGGAATGGAAATAAAGAGGAAAGGACTTTGGGAATACGTGAATCCTCCCTGAATAATATGTAGAGAAGGGAGAATAAAACACAGGGGACAGAGAAAGGGAAGATATTTGTTATTAAAACCAACCATCCATCAGACATCTTGTAATAAAACACTTGTTAGAGGTTTCCTCAGTGTGAGTTATTCAGGACCAGAGCTAAAGACCATATTCCCAATAAAATCACTGCTGGGAAGGTCTTCATGAAAACATTTAATGCTGCTTTTAAAACAACAACAACAACAACAACAACAAAAAGGCTTTAGCTACTGCACAGACCCTGCAGCAACTTTTCGGCAAGAGTCTATCAAACACGAATCTGATCTGACTCAAGGAGGTGTCATACCAAGTGTAAAAATCCAATTCCAATGTCCATAAGAGCCTTTCTGCCAGGTACAAGACCCTAATCCAATTGACGTGATTTTCTATTGATTAATAGGCTGAGAATACACAGGTTGTTGGTTTTTCAGATTTCCCTCCCTGTGCCTTCATGCCAGCTGTGAAAGAGTCAAAAGGCTCCCAACTGTCAAAATAAAAATGACACTTGGTCACAGAGGAAACAGATTATAGGTCAATCACCTTGATGACTTTTTAACTATGAGGAGCCATTAATGTTACTGAATAAGCAAATCTGTTTGCATAACCAGATTTTTATAGGCTCCTGGGAATAAAGGCTTTCCTAAGTGGGTGATTTGTACAAAGATAGCCTTTGGGTCTCTGATGGAACAGCTCTGATGAGGAAATGTTCCTTTAATTATATGGAAGGCCAATTACCACGTTATAGCAACATTGTTTTGCATATTGCATATAATTTCACCATTTCCATAGCTTCAGAACTATAATTCTGGAGAAAACTCAAGCACCAAGAAGATACTTGAGGCACATTATGCTGGAGATAAAGATGTTTTAGCGAATTCAATTTAAGCTGCAACATTAAAGTTATTTTGTTGGATAAAATGTAATGCAATAATGAGCTTGTGTATGTCAACTCTATAGTGGAGGTAATAATAGCTAGAGAGAGTATGTCCCATCTCCTCTTTTTCATGCTCATTCAAGTAATAGATAATGCTATAGAGAGAACATTTCTCTAATATGTGCTTCATCTCAGGCTAAGCGTGTTTTGTGCAACTGCGCTTCATGAAAAACAAAAAGGTAAAGGAACTAATTTGGGAGCCATTCACAAAAGTGCTACCACTTGATGTTATTTTATACTCTGAGATTTCTTATTCCCAGTGCCTACCAGGAATGGACTTTCTGGAGAAGCTCAGATTAATCACTCCTTATGAGAGGTGACAGCGTGCTGGCAGAACTCACAGCCCTCACTCGCTCTCGGCACCTCCTCTGCCTGGGCTCCCACTTTGGTGGCACTTGAGGAGCCCTTCAGCCCGTGGCTGCATGATGGGAGCCCCTTTCTGGGCTGGCCAAGGTTGGAGCTGGCTCCCTCAGCTTGCAGGGAGGTGTGGAGGGAGAGGTGCGAGCCGGAACCGGGGCTGACCCCGGCGCTTCCCTGCCAGCTGGAGTTCCAGGTGGGCATGGGCTTGGCTGGCCCACACTAGGAGCGGCTGGCCGGCCCTGCCGGCCCCGGGCAGTGAGGGGGCTTAGCACCTGGGCCAGCAGCTGCTGTGCTCAACTTCTCACTGGGCCTTAGCTGCCTCCCCACAGGGCAGGGCTTGGGACCTGCAGCCCTCCATTCCTGAGCCTCCCCCACTCCGTGGGCTCCTGTGCGGCCCGAGCCTCCCCGACGAGCACCACCCCCTGCTCCATGGCGCCCAGTCCCATTGACCACCCAAGGGCTGAGGAGTGCGGGCGCATGGTGAGGGACTGGCAGGCAGCTCCACCTGTGGCTCCTGTGTGGGATCCACTGGGTGAAGCCAGCGGGGCTCCTGAGTCTGGTGGGGACTTGTAGAACTTTTATGTCTAGCTAAGGGATTGTAAATACACCAATTGGCACTCTGTATCTAGCTCAAGGTTTGTAAACACACCAATCAGCACCCTGTGTCTAGCTCAGGGTTTGTTAATGCACCAATCAACACTCTGTATCTAGCTACTCTGGTGGGGACTTGGAGAACCTTTCTGTGGACACTCTGTATCTAGCTAGTCTAGTGGGGACGTGGAGAACCTTTGTGTCTAGCTCAGGGATTGTAAACGCACCAGTCAGCACCCTGTCAAAACAGACCACTCAGGCTCTCTGTAAAATGGACCAATCAGCAGGATGTGGGTGGGACCAGGTAAAAGAATAAAAGCAGGCTGCCCGAGCCAGCAGTGGCAACCCACTGGGGTCCCCTTCCACGCTGTGGAAGCTTTGTTGTTTTGCTCTTTGCAATAAATCTTGCTGCGGCTCAGTCTTTGGGTCCACACTGCCTTTATGAGCTGCAACACTCACTGAGAAGGTCTGCATCTTCACTCCTGAAGCCAGTGAGACCACGAACCCACCGGGAGAAATGAACAATTCCAGACGGGCCGCCTTAAGAGCTGTAACACTCACCACGAAGGTCCACAGCTTCACTCCTGAGCCAGCGAGACCACGAACCCCACCAGAAGGAAGAAACTCCAAACACATCCGAACATCAGAAGGAACAAACTCCAGACACACCACCTTTAAGAACTGTTAAACTCACCGTGAGGCTCTGCGGCTTCTTTCTTGAAGTCAGTGAGACCAAGAACCCACCGTTTCTGGACACATTTTACTTGGCACTGGGAGGTCTGTATGGAGCAAGTGAAGAAATCAGCAGAGTGAAGATAGAGGGAGAACAACATGATGGGGGAAAGGCAAAGTTACTGCCATATTGGTTTCAATTCTGCCACTGATGAGTGAGACCCATGACCTCCTCTCTCTAGGACTCTGTTGTTCTTATCTGTAGAGTGGAGGAATAGAGAGGCCTTTTAAAGTATTAACATTTCCTGACCTATCTGTAAAATACTTTTATTCAAACTGATGGGAATCTTGACTACTTTGCCAAGAGGACATAATAATCATCAAGCTGAATGCACCAAACAACATTGCCTGAAACTATCTAAGCAAAAACTGAGAAAGTTACACAGGACAGACAAACCTCCTATAAGAGTAAGAACTCTTTAGCACATGCTTAGTGTGTCAAAGACAATGCTGTGTTCACACCATTCCTCTTCCTGGACATGCAGAAAGGCTACATTTCCGAGCCTCCCTTGCAGTTAGTTTGGAGCCAAGTGACTGCATTTCCACCAATACGAATGTAAGAAATCACTTCTGGGCCAAGGTTATCAAAGGCAAGTTTGAGCTATGTTCCCTCTCTTCCTATCCATATGGCTACAAGTGAAAAACTCTGAGATGGCAGAATTAAAAGATGGAAACCTCCAGAATCTCTGAATCACTGTTGGACAAGGGCCCCCAAGGAGAACCCCTGCCCTGCACCAGACTATGCTATGGGTGCCAACCCACTGAGAATTCATGGTTTATTTGTCTCAGAAGCAGTCTATTGTTACACTGATTAACATCCTAAGGTTTGAGAGATCTAGCGTATTGTTAATTGAAGCTAGATTTCAATTACACTGAGAACCTCCTAAAAAAAATAATCCACATTCGTTTTAACCACATGTGGCACATTTGCAAAAAAAAATAAAATAAAATAAAATAAAAAAAACTGGCCACATATTAGGCCATAAAGAAGTCTCAACAAAATCCACTATAGGATTGACATTGTCCAGACCACGTTTCCCTGACCATAATGCAACAAAATTAGAAGTGAACAGCAAGAAGATAGCTAAACACAAGCATACATTTGGAAAATTAAATTATCCTTTCATGAGTTAAATGAAAAATCACAATAGAAATTACTAAATATTTACAACTGAACGAAAACAAAACTTTATATATATATAGATATTTTTTGTGAGTCTTCCAACTTTGTTCTTCTTTTACAAGGTTATTTGGGAAATTCTGGGTCTCCTACAATTCCTCATACAGTTTTATGCTGTTTGTCAATTTCTGTGGCTGGGATGAACTTGTCGTAGTTCTCATAGACCAGGGTCTGCATGTCGCTGTCTAGAGCCTGGATCTGCCGCACCATGTCTGTCTCACTGTCCATCAGCTGGGCCAGAGGGCACTCTCTATGCAGCTTGTCTAGGTAAACTTCCGGGTCGAAATGCGCCCCGTTCAGATCAGTGGGGTCCAGGGGGTTAGGCCCCATGGGGAGTCCCACCGCCTCCCCTTCAGAGAGGCCGTAGTAAAGCTTTAGCAGCCTGTGCGCCTTCCGCCGTCGCTCCGTGAGGCTCCCCCTCGGGCCCTTCTGGGGAGTTCCCAGGTCCACACCCCGGGCTAGGCCCAGCGGCAGCTGCCACCACCATAGCTCCAACTGCAGCCCACGGGCGTAATTTTTATATTTTTAAGTTGGATACATGGAGCTACTTGGCTTTTGCTTTCATCACATCATTGAGGAAAGAGGTGGTTGCTTATGGTACCCCTGTTTTTACTGCAACCTGTAATAGATGAGAACCTCCCTGTTGCAGAGAGCAAAACACTGAACTAAATTGTACTGTAACACAGCCCTGTGTTGGGGGATTGGGAGTGATCATGCAAACGCTTGCAAGTTTGCACAGTGACAGAGACAATTGTTTGGGCAGCTGTTCTCTATATGAAAGGCAATTGACCAAAAGTCAGTTACTGAGATATCTCAATAATTTCATTTTATTTTAACTTTTGGCAGCAGGGTGCAATTAAAGGAGAGAAAGAAAACAAAGTGGTAAATGTAAGATAATGTACACACATGTGTACAAGAAAATAACAAGACAGGATGACTATTTGTCTCCTGGTTAGCTCCTTGGGCTCTATATCTCCTTCCTCAGAGAACCTCGCTTTCCTTTGTCTAGATTTGTTAGGGTGGATAATCCAGGTGCCTGCTCCCCCATGATGGAAGCCAAAGACGTCCCTGGAGCCGCCTCCCGCTGCATCCTTTCCTGCACTGCCCACATGGACACAACTCAGCTGATTAGACTTCCTCTCAGAACTTTAGTCTTGAGCAAAGGGATTAAAGGGTGAAGTGACTGAAGGTATGCCCTTCCAAAGTGGTACGTGAGCTGATGGCTAAAGTTTGCCAAGCCCTTCCAAGCACTTTTTTTCGTAATTTTTATTTATTTATTTTTTTGAGAGAGTCTTGCTCTGTCGCCCAGGCTGGAGCGTAGTGGCGTGATCTTGGTTCACTGCAACCTCTGTCTCCCAGTTTCAAAGGAGTCTCCTGCCTCAGCCTCCCAAGTAGCTGGGATTACAGGCATAGGCCACCATGCCTGGCTAATTTTTTTTTTTTTGTATTTTTAGTAGAGACAGGGTTTCACCATGTTGGCCAGGCTGGTCTCGAACTCCTGACCTTGTGATTCACCTGCCTTAGCCTCCCAAAGGGCTGGGATTACAGACGTGAGCCACTGCGCTCAGATTCAAAAAGTTTTAAGCAGAGCTCAGAGATCTTAACCACAGGCACATCTGAGGAGCATTTTTGAAACACTTTCCAGCTTCCTCAATAGGAATGGAAGCCAAAATCCGAATTGATGACTCCTTTGAGGAAGTCGAGAGCTGTATGGAAAGCCAGGAACAGGGGCAAGGGAGAGATGTGTCCCGAATGATCCTGTGCCAATTCTTTCTAGAATCCTTGATGTGATCTCAGCTGCCCTTTCTATACTTGACACAGTGATTGTGGCACCCACTGGTCTAGCTGTGGTCTACAAGGAACCCCCAAAGGGAAGGGCACAGTGAGCAGGGGCATCAGCCTGAATGACAAGGATTTGAGAGGGCAGGTTGGATGCACGGAGAGGACTGGCCAAATGCCATGTGTCTGGACTTAGACTGCCTGGTTCACCCCTGACTTCAACCTTTTTGACTTCATGATCTGGTAGAAGTTGTATGAAAATGCGTTGCTCCTTTTCTAGTGTGTAAAATCATCATGAAATGTGCACTAATAACTGGGAGACTACGCAGATGAAATGAAACAAGCTGCATAGAGCACAGAGCTCAGAGGCTGGCCTTCAGGAAGCCCTCAGTAAGGGTTCATGATGCCATGGTGTCTGTCATCATCCTCTTTATCCTCATTATCACCTTCATAATGTTTTTGTTGTTCTTAGGGAATAGTTGAGAGGGACTGATTCCCTGCTATCATGGGTGAGATGTCTATGAAAAGGAGAACCAGTGGGGGAGGAAAGCAAAATTTTGAATAAGATTTCTGAGACCCCCACCACAACCAAGAACAGAAACTCCACAGTCTGCTGAGCGGACAGTTTGCACATTGGTCTCTCACATCTGCACACCACACTCTCCTGTTTGTCCTGAAGATGAGGAAACAAACAAGGCTCCCAACCGTCCCTCAGCACTCACTTGAAGGGGTGGCCTGCCCCTCCACACCTGTGGGTATTTCTAGTCGGGTGGGATGAGAGACTGAGAAAAGAAATAAGACACAGAGACAAAGTATAGAGAAACAACAGTGGGCCCATGGGACTGGCGCTTAGCATACCAAGGACCTGCACCGGCACCACCTCTGAGTTCCCTCAGTTTTTATTGATTATCATTTTTATTATTTTAGCAAAAAGGAATGTAGTAGGAGGGCAGGGTGATAATAAGGAGAAGGTCAGCAACGAACATGTGAGCAATAGAATCTATGTCATAATGAAGTTCAAGGGAAGGTACTATGACTGGACATGTACATAAGCCAGATTTATGTTTCTCTCTACCCAAACATCTCAGTGGAGTAAAGAATAACAAGGCAGCATTGCTGCAAACGTGTCTCACCTCCCACCATAGGGCTGTTTTTCTCCCATCTCAGAACTGAACAAATGTACAATCGGGCTTTACACTGAGACATTCAGTTCCCAGGGGCAGGCAGGAGACAGTGGCCTTCCTCTCTCTCAACTGCAAGGGGCTTTCCTCTTTGACTAATCCACCTCAGCACAGACCCTTTACGGGGGTCGGGCTGGGGGATGGTCAGGTCTTTTTCATCCCATGAGGCCACATTTCAGACTATCACATGGGGAGAAACCTTGGACAATACGCCGCTTTCAAGGGCAGAGGTTCCTGCGGCTTTCCACAGTGTATCGTGCCCCTGGTTTATTGAGACTAGAGAAGGGCGATGACTTTTACCAAGTATACTCCTTGTAAACATTTTGTTAACAAGGCACGTCCTGCACAGCCCTACATCCCTTAAACATTGATTTCATACAACACATGTTTTTGTGAGCTTCAGGTTGGGTCAAAGTGGTTGGTTCAAAGTGGCTGGGGCAAAGCTACAGACGAACAACATCTCAGCAAAGCAATTGTTGAAAGTACAGGTCTTTTTCAAAATGGAGTCTCTTATGTCTTTCCTTTCTACATAGACACAGTAAGAGTCTGATCTCTCTTTCTTTTCCCTACACTCACTGAACTGCCCTTCGCCTCTGCTGGGCCATGACCACGGAGAACAGGTCCACTGTCCTCCCTGCGTGGTGCACGATGGAGGCTCAGACTCTGTCCTCAAGGCTGGCAAGAAGACAGGGTGAGATATGAGCCTCCTGATACAGGTAACGGGTGTGGAGCCTACAGGACTGGAACCTCCCACTGCAGGGCTGAAGGCACAGACTGAGTATTTACTATTCTGTGGCCTGGGGGGCTCAAGGCACAGAGTTCCTCATTAGCCAAAATCGCCCAAGTTCCCCAAGCTCTAAGGACTTCCTCATCATCATGCAAGAAGAAGAGAAAAGTGAGTGTCCATAGAAGCTTTGGGGCTCTTCCTCTAATCAAGAGAAAGCTGGTATGTATTCTTCACTTCTTTCTTTTTAAAGATCCAACTGCTTTAATTTTCATCTGTTATGGGACAATATACCACGTATAAATATTAAAAATTATAAATATACATTAGTTCATATAGAATGGCCAGTATAAATATTTACAATTTCCACTCTTTTTCAGTTTACAGTTTAATGACATTAAGTACGTTCACATTGTTTAGCAACCATCACCGCCATCGTCTTCGGAACAGTTTTATCTTTCAAAATGGAAATTGCACCCATTCACCAAGCTCTCCATTCCTCTCTCTCGCCTACCCCTGGGGGCCACCTTTCTAGTTTGCAACTCTATGAGTTTAACTACTCTAGACACTTGATAGATAAGTGGAATCATAACGTGTTTAATTTTTTTGTTTTGGAGGCAGAGTCTTTCTCTGTCACCCAGGCTGGAGTGGCAGTAGCATGATCTCTGCTCACTGCAACCTCCACATCGTGGGTTCAAGAGATTCTTGTGTCTCAGTCTCCCGAGTAGCTGGGATTACAGGCGTGCACCACCACGCCCAGATAATTTTTGTATTTTTAATAGAGACAAGCTTTCACCATATTGGCCAGGCTGGTCTCAAACTCCTGATCTGAAGTGATCTGCCTGGCTGAGCCTCCCAAAGTGCTGGGGTTACAGGTGTGAGCCACTGAGCCTGGGCATGTTTATCCTTTTGGGATTTATTTATTTCACTGACGATAATGTCTTCAAGGTTCATCCATGTTGCGGCCTGCTTCAGAAGTGCCTGTCTGGTTTTTTTGTTTGTTTTTTGTTTGCTCGTTTGACTTTGTTTTGTTTTGTGTTCCCATGGAGTCTCACTCTGTCGCACAGGCTGGAGTGCAGTAGCACAATCTGGGCTCACTGCAACCTCCGCCTCCCAGGTTCCAGCGATTCTTGTGCCTCAGCCCCCGGAGTAGCTGGGACTATAGGCACACGCCACCACGCTCGTCTCATTTTTTGCATTTTCAGTAGAGACAGGGTTTCACCAAGATGGCCAGGCTGATCTTGAATTCCTGACCTCAGGTGATCCGCCCACCTAGGTCTTCCAAGATGCTGCGATTACAGGTGTCAGCCACCAAACCGGCCAGAGGTGCCTGCCTTTTTAAGGCTGAATAGTCTTCCACTGTGTGAAGGAACTGCAGTGTGCTTTTTCATTCATCTGTCCACGAACCCTTGGGTTACTTCCACATTTTGGCGGTTGTGAATAATGCTACTACGAATATGGGTGTACAAAAATCTGTCTTCCACTCCTGGCTAATTCTTTTTGGTAGGTACCCACAAATGCAACTGCGGGAACATCTGATCATTCTGTTTCTAATTTTTCCAGTACACGCCATACTATTTTCCTCATTCCTTCACGGTTTTACATTCCCTCCAATCACATTGGAGCATTCTTACTTCCCTCTAGTCTCACCAATGCTTGTTTATTTATCATATCCATCCTAATGTGTGGTATGACATTCTTGGTTTGATTTGCACTTCCCTACGATTAGTGATTTTGAATATCATTTTAGATGCTTCTTGGCCATTGCTATATCTTCTTTAGGAACACATCTACTCGAGTCTTCTGACCATTGTTGATGGGATGCTTTGGGTTTCTTGTTGTTTAGTTCTAGCTGTTCTTTATATATGATGGATATCAGCCTCTTTTCAGATATATGCTTTGCAAATACTTTTCCTAATCCATGGGTTATCTTTTCACTCTGTTTGCAGTGTTTTTTGCTGCACAAAAGTGTCTGTCATTTAGATGTAATCCAAGGAATCTAATTTTCTTTTGTTGCCTATGCTTTTGGTGTCATATCCCAGAGAGCATTGCCCAATCTGATATCATGAAAGTGTGGCCAATGTTTTCTTTTAGGCGTATGATACATTTAGTGCTTGGGGTTAGGTCTTTGATCCAGTTTGTGTTAATTTTTGCACCTGGTGTGACATAGCGTCCACCTTCATTCTTCTGCATGTGGAAATCAAGTTTCTCCAACACCAATTCTTGAAAAGGCTGTTTTTCCACCAATGAGCTTTCTTAGCACTCATGTTAAAAATCGTTTCAACATATAGGTGAGAAGTTATTTCTGGGCTCAAAAACAAACAAGCAACAACAGACAACAGATAAGGATACAGCTTGGGCCGGGCGCGGTCGGTCGTTCACACCTGTAATCCCAGCACTTTGGGACGCCGAGGTGGGCGGATCACCTGAGGTCAGGAGTTGAAGACCAGCCTGACCGAAAGGGAGAAATCCCCATCTCTAATAGAAATACAACATTAGCTGGGCGTGCTGGCGCATGCCTGTTATCCCAGCTACTCGGGAGGTGGAGGCAGGAGAATCGCTTGAACCCAGGAGGCAGAGGTTGCAGTGAGCCAAGATTGCACCATGACACTCCAGCCTGGGCAACAAGAGCGAAACTCCATCTCAAAACAAAAAAACAAAAAACCAGCATGATTTCAAGAGCAAAAAGAGAAGAGCTGAAAAACCAGCATAATGAGAAAGTTAGGAAGCTTCTTACCAAAGCATCAGGAAATATGCAAGAAATTCTTGTGAACTAAAATTTTCATACTGTACTATCAAACACTAGAACTCACTTATTCTATCTTTCTGTATGTTGGGACCCAATTATCCACTTCTCTTCATTCCCCATCCCACCCCTTTTCTTCCTAGCGTCTGCTAACCACCTTTATACTTTCCACCTTCCTGAGATTCCTTTTGTGTGTAGGTGTGTGATGGAGTCTCTTTCTGTTGCCCAGATTGGAGTACACAGCCACAATCCGGGCTCACTGCAAGCTCCGCCTCCCGAGTTCAAGCGCTTCTTGGGCCTCAGCCCTCTGAGTAGCTGTGACTACAGGCACGCTTCACCACACCCGGCTAATTGTTTGTGTTTTCAGTAGAGACGGGGTTTCACCATGTTGGCCAGGCGGGTCTCAAACTCCTGGCCTCAAGTGATCCGAGCGACTCGGCCTCCCACAGTGCTGGGATTACAGGCCTCAGCCACCACACCCGGCCAAGGTTTCCTTTTCTCTTCCTACATAGAAGTGAGGACGTGAAATATTTGTCATTCTGTGCCTGGCTTATTTCATTTAATATACAGACCTGCAATCTCATCCATTTTGTCTGCAGCGGAGAGGATTTTCTTCCTTTTTAGGCTGAATAATACTTCATTGGGTGTGTATACCACAGTTTCTTAATTGAAAAAATTTCTAAAGAGCAAATATTTTTAAAGTCTCGGAATATGAAACTTCAGGGATACTGTGCCTATTTTATTCTTTTCTATTTCCCATCTTATGTATATGCAAGTGTATAACAAAGCAGCAATCAATGTGTGTATAAATCTATAACTTCAACAAATGTAAAATGTAAATGCTAAATGGTGGCTGGGCGCGGTCGCTCATGCCTGTAATCCCAGCACTTTGGGAGGCGGAAGTGGAAGGATCACCTGAGGTCGGGAGTTCAAGACCAGCCTGACCAAAATGGAGAAACTCTGTCTCTACTAACAACACACACACACAAAAAAAATTAGCCGGACATGGTAGCGCATGCCTGTAATCCCAGCTACTTGGAAGGCTGGGACAGGAGAATTGCTTGTATACGGGAGGCAGAGGTTGCAGTGAGCCGAGACCATGCCATGGAACTCCAGCCTGGGCAACAAGAGTGAAACTCTGACTCAAAAAAAAAAAAAGGAAAAGAAAGAAATAGAAAATGCAAAATGGTAAGAAACAACAGCATAATAAACATTTGTATGGTGTTGATGGGCAATGCATTTGAAGATAATATTTGAAGAAATCATATTGCAATTAATTTCTGTTCTTACTCATTGGAGCTTGATGCCTCTAAAAACTTCATCATTGGAACCACCTCTGGTGCTTTAAAAGAAAAAAAAAAAAATCCACATACTCACACAGGTGCAAGGAAATCAGAATCTCAGGTATTGAGACCCAGGCCTCATCATTTGTAAGCTCCCCAGGTGATTTGATTAAGGGCCAAGATTGAGGAAGGGCGACATGGATCTTTTCACATAACCTGCCTAAATAGATTCTCTAGAAGCAGTTTATAAAGAAATTCCACATGAACTGTGGAAGAGGATATGAATTTGATGTACAGTATGTCCTCACTTAACATCTTTGAAAGTCTCTTGGAAACTTCACCTTGAAGCAAAATTATGTATAGTGAAACCACTTATTTTTCATCAACAGTATAACTACACAACTTTGAACAACCAATGGTGTTGGAGAACCTCCTGTACATTGTTTCCATAAAGTCAGTTTTCAGGGAATTCCAAAATGAAGTGAGGACTTCGTGTATATAAAAAGATGGTTGTGATTCCACCTGGATGACCGGGTTATTGCTCAGAAGCTAAAAGTGGCCGCCTAGGTATAGAGGATTCTGTCATGAGATTTCTGCTAAACAAAGGATCCCAGAATCCTCACCCATTGCAGTTAAAGGCATAACGAAGAAAGCAATATTCACAAAGCAAATGCGGAAAGGAATAAAAGCCATCAAGCCACAAAAATAATGTGACTAAAGGGCAGGATTTACAGATGTAGAGATTTAATGTGGTTGCCCTTTCTCACCCACACAAGAAAAAGGATGGAACATATCATGAGATTCGACTGTTCTGCTGCACAGCCTCCGCAGGACACTTTGTATATCCCTCTTTCCTAGGCTGTAGATGAAAAGGTTCAGCATGGGGGTGACCACAGCATACATCACTGACGCCACCACACCATTCCTGGGGGGTGGTGACACAGCTGAAGTCAGGTACATGCCAATGCCTGTTCCATCAAATCAGCAAACAACTGCCAGGTAAGAGCCACAGGTGGAGAAGCCTTTATACTTCCCATCTGACGATGACATCCTTAGAATGGAGGGGACAATTTTATAGTAAGACAAAAGGATCCCTGAAATGGGAAGAAAACCAAACATAGTACTATCGAAATATATGAATATGTTATTGATGACGCTGTCAGAACAAGCAAGGTTGAGAAGTTGAGAGGGTTCACAGACAAAATTAGTGATTTCCACATTCTTGATGATGGTGAATAGTAACACAATCCAACTGTGCAGCTGGGAATCCAACGGGCTAAGGAAAAAGGACACCAAGACGAAGAAGACACAGAGGTGAGGATTCACGATGACTGGGTAGTGCAGAGGGCGACAGATGGCTACAAAGCAGTCATAGGCCATCACAGTCAGGAGCATGTCTTCCATACATGCAAAAAGGACAAAGAAAGACATCCGTGTCAGGCAGCCCTCATAAGAGATGACTCTGCTATGCGACTGCATGTTCACAATCATCTTGGGAACCATGGCCAAGGTGAAACCGATGTCAGCTCAGCACAGTTTGGAGAGGAAGAAGCACATGGGGGTGTGGAGCGGGGAGTCAGAGCTGACAGCCAGGATGCTGAGCAGGTTCCTCAGCACCGTGACCATATACATGGACAGGGACAGGGACAGCAAAGCGAGGACCGGCTGCAGTTCTGGATCCTCTGAGAGTCCCAGGAGGAGGAATTCTCAGACACCTGTGAGATTCCGTGGCTCTGTGTGACTTGGACACCTTGAGAAGTAAAGAGGATTGGAAAAATAAAAGATAAAAACCAGCCCTTAATGCTGGATGCAAGCAATTCACAAGGAACATTTTCACACTTGTGGACCATACACCGCCAGCAATGTTTCTCAGATGTGACAATTCCAAAAATATCAGAGTTATTACGTGATTTACTTTTTTGCTATAAAAGTCTTTGTGTATATACTACTTTAGAGAAAATCCACTGAAGAATATTACAAGACCAAAACGTCATATATAACAAATACGTGATCTCAGTAAAATACGGCCTACTCTTTTCAGAAAAAAATACAATGCAATGAAAATGTCCTTCTCTCTTTAAGAAAAAGATCTCAGTCTAATTGAAAGAAATTAAGAAGCCATGAAATACACTCTATTTTATTCTGACACCATGCTACAAATTCCTTTGATGTAGAATATGTAAAAGGACGACACAATAGCTAGGACGCCATTATCTAAAAACGAAATCGAACCTTATAGTTCTCAATCGGAAGACCTTTTCACATGCCTGTTACTTTTCATATTTATTATCATCCTTAGGTTTTCTGACATCATTTCTTCATAAAAGTACATGCACACTCAAATATGGGAGATGTGTTTCCAAATGAATTGAATATATAACTCTTGGCCCAGCACCATGGCTCACACCTGTAATCCCAGCAATTTGGGCAGCCGAGGCTGATGGATCACCTGAGGTCAGGAGATCCAGACCAACGTGGCCAACGTGGTGAAACCCCGTCTCCAGTGAAAACAAAAAAAAATTAGCCGGGCGTGGTGGCGGGTAAACCTAGCTACTTGGGAGGCTGAAGCGGGAGAATCCCTTAGAACCTGGAAGACAGAGATTGGGCACCCTGTGATAGGATTTTTCACGTCCTAGGGAGATACTGCTCCTGACAGCAGAGTGGGTGTACACCCTGTGATATTATTTGTAATATCCTAGAAAGATATTGCTCCTAATATCACGGTGGCTCTACACCCTGTCATATTAATTGTAATATCCTACAGAGATAGTACTCCTAATAATACAGTGGGTGTACACCTTGTGATATTATTCATAATATATTACAGAGATATGACTCCTGATATCACAGTGAGTGTACACCATGTTTGTACACCCTGTGATCTTATTCGTAACAACTTAGAAAAATATTACAGCTAATATCAAAGTGGGTGTACACCTTTCGAGGTTATTTGTTATCTACTAGGTAGATATTACTCCTAATATCACAGTGAGTGTACACCATGTGCGTACAGACTGTGAAATTATTCGTAATACCCTAGGAAGATATTACTCCTAATATCACAGTGGGTGTACACCCTGTGATATTATTTGTAATCACCTAGGGAGATACGATTCCTAATATTACAGTGGGTGTACACTCTGCGATGTTATTTGTAATGTCCTACGAAGATATTACTCCTAATATCAAAGTGGATGTACACCATGTGTGTACACTCTGTGATATACTTCGTGATATCCCAGAGAGATATTTCTAATATCACAGTGGGTGTACACTCTGTGATATTATTTGTACTATCCTAGAGAGATATTGCTCCCAGTATCACCGTGGGTGTACACCCTGTGATATTATTCATAATATCCTAGAGACATATTACCTCTAATATCACAGTTTCTGTACACCCTGTGGTATTATTCATCATATCCCAGCGAAATATTATCCCTAACATCACAGTGCGTGTACACCATGGGTGGACACCCTGTGATGTTATTGGTAATATGCTAGCGCGATATTACCCTTAATGTCACAGTGGGTGTACACCATGTGTGTATGCACTGAGATGTTCCTCGTAATATCCTAGGGAGAAATTACACCTTGTGTTACAGTGGGTGTACACCATGTGTTTCTATTCTGTGATGCTATTGGTAATATCTTAGAAAGTTATTAGTCCTAGTGCCACAGTGGGTGTATACCATGTGTGTCCACTCTGTGATGTTATTCGTATTATCCTAGGGAGATAGTTCTCATAACATCACCGTGGGTGTACATCATGTATGTACTCCCTGTGGTCTTACTGGTTATGTCCTGGGTTGATAGTACTCCTAATATCACCGTGGGCGCACACCATGTGTGTACATTCTGTGATGGTATTCGTAATATCCTAGGGAGATATCACTCCTGATGTCATAGTGGGTGTACAGCCTTGTGATATTCTTGGTAGTATCCTTGGGATGTATTACCCCTGTTATCACAGTGGGTGTACACCCTGTGATACTATTTGTAATATCCTAGGGAAATATCATTGTATACCCTGTGATATTGTTTGGGACATTTGAGGGAGCTATTTCTCTTAAAGTCAGAGTGGGTGTACACCCTGTAATATTCTTCCTAATATCACAGTGGGTGTACACCGTGATATTTTTTTCTAACATCCAGCGGGGGAGAGGATGATATTGCTTCCAATATCACAGAAGGTGTACACCTCCCTGTGATATTGTTCCTAATATCCAGGGAAGGAGAGGATGACATTACTAGCAATATCACTGGGGGTGTACCACCTCCCGCTGGGATATTGTTCTTAATATCCGGAGGTGGAGAGAATGATGTTACTCCCAATATCACAAGGAGTGTACACCACCCCTGTTTGTAAACAACCCCTGTGATATTGTTCCAAATGGCCTGTAAAAGAGTAAATATGACTCCCATTATCGCGGGGGGTGTTCAGCCCTGATGATATTGTTTTCTGACATCCAAGGAAGGAGAGTATGCTATTACTCCCAATATCGCAGGGGTTGTACATCCTTTTGTGTTTTTGTGCCCAATATCCAGGAAAATAGAGGATGATAGTACTCCCAATATTGAAGTAATTGTACAAAACCCCTGTAATACTCTTCCTAATATCCAGAAAGGAAAAGAATGATATTACTCCCAACAGCGAAGGAAACGTATACCCGCGCTGTGGTATCTTTCCCAGTATCCAGGTGGGGAGAGGATCATATTACTTCCAATGTCGCAGGGTGTGTACACCCCCTCTGTGATCTCATTGCTAACATCCAGGTTTGGGGAGGATGACATTACTCCCAATATCGCAGGGGGAGAACATCCCCCCCGTGACCTTGTTAGTCATTTCCTGGGTGGAGAGGATGATATTACTCCCAATATCGCAGGAGGTGTACAAACCCCTGTGAAAATCTTCCTATATTCAGAGGGAGAGAGGATGATATTACTCCCAGTACCGCAGGGGGTTTACACAGCCCTGTGATACTCTTCCTAATATCCACAGGGAGAGAGGATGATATTGCTCCCAATATCGCAGGAGATGTACACACCCCTGTGATATTGTTCCTAATATCCAGAGCGAAAGAGGATGACATGACTCTCAATATCGCAGAGGGTGTACACCCCTCCTGTCCTATTGTTCTGAATACCCTGGGAGGGAGAGGATAAGGTTACATTGAATATCGCAGGGAATGTACACCCTCCCCCTCTGATACTCTTCCTAATGTCCAGGGGAAGAGAGGAAAATTTTATTCCCAATATCGCAGAGGCAGTACACCCCACCTGTGATGTTGTTCCCAATATGCAAGGGGGGAGAGGATGATACTACTCTCAATACCGCAGGGCTATTCACATCCCCAGTGACATTTTTCCTAATATCTAGTGGAGAGACAATTATATGACAGCAAAGGTCATGGGGTCTGTGCATCCCTTCCTGATATTGTTCCTAATATCCAGGGGGGAAGAGGATGATATCAAGTATGAAAGGGGATGTACACCCCCACCCCTACGATATTGTTCTTAATAATCGTGAATGGAGACGGTGATATTACTCCAAATATCGCAGGGGTTGTTCACAACCCCCTGTTATATTGTTTCTGATATCCAGGGGGGGAGAAAATCATATTACTTCCAGTATTGCAGGTGGTGTATACCCCACCTGAAATATTGCACCAAATATCCAAAGAGGGAGATGATGGTATTAATACCAATATCAAAGTGTGGGTACACGCCCCTTGTGATATGGTTTTTAATATCCAGTGGGCGGGAGGATGATATTATTCCCAACATCCCATAGGGGGTACACTACCCCTGTGATATTGTCCCTAACTTCCAGAGGGCAGAGGATGATATCACTCCCAATATCTCAGAAGTTGTACATCCCCCGTGATATTGTTCATCATACCCAGGGAGGCGCAGGATGACATTCCATTGAATTTCGCGACAGGTGTACACGCACAGTGTGATACTGTTCCTAATATCCAAGAAGGGAGAGGATGATATTACTCCCAATAAAGCAGTGGGTGTACATACCCCTGTGTTACTGTCTCTAATATCCGGGGGCGCTGAGGGCGTGGGGGAGAGGATAACATACCCTCCAATTTAGCAGGTGGTTTGATGCCCCTTGTGGTGTTGTTTTAAATATCCACAGGTGAAGACAATAGTACTATTTTTGATAGTCCGATTCATCCGCTCCACTTTTCCAGAACTCTGAGGCCGGGAGGCGGCATGCAGTTTCCATGTGATCCCCAATACCTTTGCCGTCTTCTGTACCCAGGCAGCCAAAAACGCAGGCCCGTTATCTGAGCCCATCCTTAAGGGCAGTCAAAATCTAGGAATCATACCTCAAAGAAGCACAGGGGTTACTTCACTAGCTTTCTCAGTTCATGTTGGATAGGCCTCCACCCACCCAGAGTAGGTACGCCCAAGAACTAGTAAATACTTGTTACCTCCACACTTTGGCATCTCTGTGAAGTCTACCTGGAGATCTTCAAAGGGGGCTTCTCCGTAAGCTCGTATGCCGGGCGGAACGGCTGGACCTTGCCTAGCATCATGCTGTCGGCAGGTAACACACGGCTGCCTCACCGTTTTGGCAAGGGCTGGGAAACGCAAGATGTAGAAATACCGGGCTAACAACTTTTCCAGTGACTCCTGACCTACATGGGTGGTTTCTTGCACAGCCAGTACAACTGCGGCTCCTGGCAGCTGTGGCACAGCTACTCTCCCATCTGGTAACCGAATCCATCTTCCTCCATCACTTGTCCTTCCCTCTACCTGGAGAAAGTCCTTTTCTTCTTTAGAATAAGTACATCCAAGATCAGGTGCTTGAGGGAACACTGATGTCCAGAAGGGGGCAGATGCTGCTTTTGGAGCCTCTGAGTCAGCGCAGGAATTCCCCAAACCCAGCAAGGTGGAAGCTTGCTGGTGTCCTCTGCAATGCATAACTGCCACCTTGTGGGGTTTCCATACTGCTTCTAATCATTGCAAGATTACTTGTTGATATTTTCTGTCTTTTCCCCCAGAGTTCAATAGGCCCTTTTCTTTCTATCATGCTCCATGCACTTGAAGGGTTAAAAAGGCATACGGAGAATCAGTGTAAATGTTTACAGTCTCACCCTTATTGAGTTCTAAGGCCCGAATTAAAGCAATGAGTTCAGCTTTCTGGGCTGAAGTGGCCTGGGGCAATGATCTGGCTTCAACAACAGTGTCCAGGTTACCACTGCATACCCTGCACCTCTCTTTCCTTGGGCGTTGAAGAAGCTGCTCCCATCCACGTATAGTTCCCAGTCTACTGATGCCCAAGGCTGGTCCTGGAGGTCAGGTCTGCTAGAGTCAATTGAGTCCAACACTTCTACACAATCAGCCTGGACAGGGCTCTCTGATACCGGGAGCAAGGTGGCGGGGTGTAGGGTGTTACAAACTTCAATGGTTATACGGGGATTTTCACAGAGCAAAGTTTGGTACTTGGTGAGTCTAGCATTCGTTAGCCAATGATGTCCTTTAGTATTCATTAAAGTCACCACAGCATGGGAGGCCTTTATGTTCAGGTTTTGCCCAAGAGTCAGCTTATTTACTTCTTGTACTAGCAGGGCAGTTGCTGCCAAGGCCCTCAAACACAGGGGCCATCCTTTAGAGACCCCGTCTAGTTGTTTAGAGAGGTAGGCCACCGGCCTCTGCCAGGGCCCCACAGTTTGGGTTCAAAGTCCGGCTGCCATCTTTTCTCTCTCTCTGACACATAGGTTGTAAAAGGCTTTGTCAGATCGGGTAGCCCTAGGGCTGGGGCTGCCAGACGTTTTTCCTTTAACTCATGAAAGGCTTGCTGTTGTTGGGATCCCAATTCAAAAGGTTCCCAGTCCCCGCCCCCTTTGTGATCTCATACAAAGGCTTGGCTAATACTGCAAAGTTTGGGATCCACAGTCTACAAAACCCCACAGCTCCTAAGAATTCTCTAACCTGCCTTCTACTCTTAGGCTCCGCTAGATTGCAAATTACCTGCTTTCTTTCTGATCCCGGGCTCCGTTCCGACCCCTGTTGGATAGTAAATCGCAAGTAACGTACCTGCTGTCGGCAGATCTGAGCTTTCTTCTTGGACACCTTCTACCCACAGCCCTCCAGGTGCCAGTGTAGGGCATCTGTTCCCTTGGCACACCTGACTGCCGTGGGGTGTCCCAGCAGAAGGTCATCAACCTACTGAAGCAACATGCAGCCTAGGTCTCTGGTGGGAAACTTCTGGAGGTCTCGAGCCAACGCCTCCCCAAAGATGGTGGGAGAGTTCTTGAACCCTTGGGGAAGCCCGGTCCAAGTGTACTGAGTAGTGACACCTGACTCTGGATCTTCCCACTGAAAGGCAAACAGCTTCTGCCTCTCAGGGGCTAATCTGATAGGAAAGAAAGCGTCTTTCAGGTCCAAGCAGGTGAACCAGCTGTCCTCAGCTGGCAGCAACCCCAACAATGTGGACGGGTTAGGTACTATTGGAAGTAAAGTCAGTGTAGCTTGATTAAGCAAGCGCAAATCCTGTCCTGGACTGTAGTCCTTGGTCCGTGGCTTGGGAACAGGCAGGAGGGGAGTGTTCCATGGAGACTGACAAGGAACAATAATTCCAAAAGTTCTTAGGTGTTTGAGAGGGGCCTGGATACCTTGAAGAGCTTCTCTGGGGACCGGGTCCTGTTTTTGCCTAAGCGGCTGGGCCCCAGTCTTAATTGGCCAATCCCAGAGGGTTGTCTTCTGCCTGTACTCTGGGCCACCACTCAGCCAGAGCTGGTCTTCTCTCTTGGCCCGGCTCAGTTAAGAAAAGTCTTCATTCCTCCTCTCAGGGGACCATAAGTGTCATAATGACTGCCGTTCTGGGTAACTTTAGCAGCAAAGAGCCATGCTCTGTCAAAGAGATAGTGGCTCTCAGCTTGCTGAGCAAGTCCCTTCCCAAAAAGGTCAAGGGACAGTCAGGCATGTACCAAAACTGATGAATGACTTTAAGTCCTCCTACAGTACAAGTCCGAGGAAAGCAGAAAGCTTGCTTTGCTGAACCCCCCGTGCCTCCGATGACGTCAATAGTCTTTTTGGATAAGGGGGTGACCGGGGCGGTTACTAGCAAATGTTCAGCACCGCTATCTACAAGAAAGTCAATGTCTCTACCTCCGACTGTCATTCTGACCAGAGGCTCTTTGGGGACGCTTGAGCCCGGTCTCCCTCAGTCCAAGAACCCTTCTGCCAGGTTGAGCAGGGCCCCTTCCTCCTTGTCCGGAGCCTCCAGCTCTGAGTCACCTTGTTTTCTTTTGAGCTCAGGGCATTTGTTCTTCTACTGTCCTATTTCTTTACCATGAGCACACTGGTTATGCTGCAAACTCTGACAGCCAAGCTGAGTTTCTTTCCCAGGGCCCCCCTTCCCTTGCCTCTTTGGGGGGGCCCCTCTGATTGCTGCAGCTAACAAACAGGTCGGTGTTTCGCTGGGCCTGACCTCCATTCTCTTTGCCATTTTCCTTAGGGCTTACTGCATCCCTGTTTACAAACACCTGCTTAGCTATTTCTCATCAATGTGATGTATTCATCCCTGCAAGTCCAGCCTGCTTCTGCAGTTTTCTTCTAACCTCTTCCGCGCTTTGACGGACTAAAGCCATGTGAATCATGCGCTGATTTTCAGGGTTATCGGGATCAATGGGGAGTATACATACCATAAGCCTCACACAGTCTCTGGTAGAATTGTGCTGGACTTTCTTCTTTTCCCTGAATGACCTCAGAGACCTTGTTAACGTTTGTGGCCTTCCGAGCTCCCCTCTTGAATCCTTCCAAGAGAGCTTCCCTGTCTCGGTTTAGCCTTTGCATATCCTCTCTTTCATGTGGGTCCAACTGGAAGTGGGTTCCTGGTGACTGGGTCCTTCCACACTCTTGGGGGTTTTGATAATCAGCTGGTGCATGTTCCTCTAACCACTTAGTTGCTACGTGGAGCCCTCTCCGCCTTTCACCTTTCATCTCTCTTAAAGAGGAATATGAGCAACCGGTGGCGATCAGCCCAGGTGGGGTTGTGGGTCTGGAAAACAGTTTGGAGCAAATCAATTAGGGCTTGCGGCTTTTCTCTCTAGGACTGGGTATTGTTTTCCCAGTTGAGAAGGTCGGCCGAGGTGAAGGGCTGGTACATAAAAACATGCTTCTCCACCACGTGACCATCCTCCTCTATCACAGTATACCGCTGCTCTCTCAGGGGCATTTGGATCCCCGTTTTGGGTCATAAACGAGCTGCCGAGGGAGGGGTGGAATGGCGCAATGTGACTTACCGCAATTAATAATCTCAATTATTAATTGATACTAATAATTATCAATATTAATAACTGATCATATAATTCTTAAAATCAATACCGATAATAATGAAAATTCCTATTACAGTGTTATACTCACAATAACAATAAATGATTAATATTAATGATTAATGACGCCTGGTATTAAAGAGTGATATTGATCTTATTCATTAGAAAACTGTCATATTAGCTCCTAATAATTAATATTAATATTAATAATCAGAACACTATTAGCAATGATTTATTATATTAATATTTATATTGGTAATACATATTCATGTAAATAATAAATGAGGAAGAATTAATATGAATATTATCTCTAATACCTCAGTGGGTGTACCCCCACCTGTGATATTGTTCCTAATGTCCAGGGAGGGAGAGAGCATGATATGACATTGAATATCGCAGTAGGTGTACACCCACCCGGTGATATTGATCCGAATATCATCTCCAGGGGATGGCATATGACGTTACTCCCAAGATAGCAGTGGGTGTGCATCCACCCGGTGATATTCCTCCTAATATTCCCGGAAGAAGAGAATGCTATTACTCCCAATATCTCAGGAAGTATACACCCCTTCTGTGACATTGTTCCTAATATCCGGAGGGGGAGAGGGTGATATTACTCGCAATATCGCAGGCTGTGTACACCCATCCTCTGATATTGTTCCTAGCAGCCAGGAAGGGAGAGGACGATATGACTCCCCATACAGCAGGAGGTGTACACCCATCCTGGGATATTATTCCTAATATCCATGGAGAGAAGAAGCTGATATGACTCCCAAAATCGCAGGGGTCGTACATCCAGTCTGTGATATTGTTCTTAATATTCAAAGGTGGAGAGGTTGCTATTACTCCCAATATCACAGAAAGTGTACAAACCCGTGTACTATTGTTGCTATTATCCAGAAGAAGAGAAGATGATATCACCCGCCCATCGCAGGAGGTGTACACTCACTCTGTGATATTTTTTCCAATGTGCAGGGCAGGGGAGGATAATATTCTTCTTAATAGCACAGGGTGTGTACAGCCCCACTGTGATATGGTCCTTAATATTCCAAGGCGGAGAGGATGATCTTACTCCCAATACCGCAGAAAGTGTACACAACCCCAGTGATATGGTTCCCATGATCCAAGAGAGAAGAGGATGATGTTACTTTCAATATCGCACGAGGTGGACACACCCCCAGTGATATTGTTCCTAATTTCAACGTGGGAGGGATGATACTACACGGAATGCCCCTGGGGGTAAAAACACTCCTGTGATATTGTTCTTAATATCAAGGGGAAAGACGATGCTATTACTCCAAAGAATGCAGAGAATGTGCACCCGTCTGTGACATAGTTGGTAATTTCCAGAGGCGGAGAAGATATTATTGACAATAAGGTGAACACGCTGTGTGACCACCGTGGATCGTCATATCCAGGGGGGGAGATGGGGGTGATATGACTCCCCGCATCGCGGGGGGCGCCCGCCCCCCTGCGATGTGGATCATCATATCCAGGGGGGGAGAGGGGGGTGATATGACTCCCCTCATCGCGGTGGGCGCCCGCCCCCCTGCGACGTGAATCGTCATATCCAGAGGGGGGTGATATGACTCCCCGCATCGCGGGGGCCTCACCCCATTGCGATGGGGGTCCTAAGAGCCAGGGGGAGATAGGGGCTGGCTCTTACTCCCCGTACCGCCGGGGGGGGGGGCCTCACCGCCCTGCGACGGGGCTCCTTAGAGCCAGGGAGGGGGAGGGGCTGGCTCTTACTCCCGGTATCGCAGGAGGTGTGTACAACCCCTGCGATATTGGGAGTAATATCATCCTCTCCCCCTGAATATAAGAAACAATATCACAGGAGCATGTACACCCCCTGCGATATTGGAAGTAACATCATTTTCTCCCCCTAGGGATATTCGGAACAATATCACAGTGGGTGTGTACAGCCCCTGCGACATTGCCGCTAGTATCTCCCTCTCCCTCCCAGGATAGAAGGAAGACTGTCACAAGGGGTTGTATACCCCGTGCGATATTGGCTGTAATATCTTCCTCTCCCCCGCTGCCCTTTAGGAGCAATGTCACACAAGGGGTGTACATCCCCTGCTATATTGGGAGTGATATCATCCTCTCCGTCCCTGGATATTAGGAAAAATATCCCTAGGGAGTGGACACCTCCTGCAATATTCAGACTAATATCATCCTCTTGCCGCCTGGATGTTAGGATCAATATCACAGGGGTGGTTTGCACCCCCGCCGAAATTGGAAGAAATATCATCCTCTTCACCTTTGGATTTTAGGGACAGTATCACGGGGGAGGTCTCCGCCCCCTGCGATATTGGGAGTCATATCATCCGCTCCCACCCAGGATATTAGGAACAAGATGACCGAAGGGATGTACACCCACTGCGATATCTTCCATAATGTCATCCTCTACCCCCTGGCTATTAGGAGTAACATCATAGAGGGGTGTACACTTTCTGTGGTATTGGGAGTCATATCCTCTCACCTACGGATATCGGGAACAGTTTTATTAATTATTAATATTAATAAATATAATAATTAATAGTAATCATCGATATTAATAACTACAGTGGAGACAGTAAAATTTAATGCTGATTAAAAATATTAATGATTATGATTAATAATTAATAACCATATCACTATTAATAACAAAATAATGATATCAGTAATTAGTCTTACTTAAATCCATCATAAGTGATGTTGGTAATAAAACAATGATTAATATTAATACTAATAACTAATATTATTTGAAATGACATTAATAGTAAGAATTAATTTTAATCATGCATAACCATGTTTTTAAAATAATGATTAATGACTAATAACGTTACACTATTAATTAATATTACCATTGATAATCATTAATGAGACTGATGTTTAATAATTCAGAATGTTCTTACTCCTAATACCGCAGGGGTTGTACACCTACCTGTGATATTGTTCCTAATATCCAGGGATGGAGAGCATGATATTAGTTTTAATATCACAGTAGGTGTACACTCACCCTGTGACACTGATCCCAATATCCAGCGGGTGGAGTATGACATGACTGCCAACACAGCAATGAATGTACAGCCACCCGGTGATATTGCTCCTAATATTCACGGAAGAAGCGTATGATATTACTCCCAATATCGCAGGGAGTGTACACCTCTTCTGTGATATTGTTCCTAATAACCCGACGGGGAGAGGATGATAATAATTCCAGCATGGCAGGCTGTGTTTACCCACCCTGTGATATTGTTATTAATACCCTGAAAGGGAGGGGATATTACTCCCAATAATAGATAGATATTACTCCTCATAATAGAGCAGGAGTTGTACACCCACCCTGTGATATTCTTCCTAATATTCAGAGGCTGAGAGGTTGATATTACTCCCAATATCGCAGGCATTGTACACCCCCTTGTGAGATGGTCCCTTCATAATATTCCAAGGCGGAGGTGGTGATGTGACTACTTGTATCGCAGAAAGTGTACACCCCCCAGGGATATTGTTCCCATGATCCTGGAGGGAAGAGGATGATATTACTTTAAATATCACAGAAGGTGGACACGCCCCCACTGATATTGTCTCTAATTGCAACATGGTAGAGGAGGATATGACACGCAATATCGCAGGGAGTAGACACACCCGTGTGATACTGTTCTTAATATTCAGGGAGGAAGAGGATGATATTACTCCCAATACAGATGGGTGTACACCCGTCTGTGAAGTAGTTCATAATTTCCAGAGGGAAGATGATATTACTCACAATATGGTAAACAGGCTGTGAGTCCACCGCGGATCCTAAAAACCAGGGGGGGAAGAGGGGCTGGCTCTTACTCCCCGCATAGCGGGGTGAGCCTCACCCCCCTGCGATGGGGATCATGAGAGACGGGGGGGGAGGGGGGCTGGCTTTCACTCCCTGCATCGCGGGGGGTGCCTCACCCCCCTGCGATGGGGGTCCTAAGAGCCGGGGTGGGGGGTAGAGGGGCTGGCTCTCACTCCCCGCATCGCGGGGGGTGTGTACAACCCCTGCGATATTGGGAGTAATATCATCCTCTCTCCCTGAACATAAGAAACAATATCACAGGAGCTTGTACACCCCCTGCGATGTTGGAAGTAACATCATTTTCTCCCCCTCCGGATTTTCGGAACAATATCACAGTGGGTGTGTACAGCCCCTGAGACATTGCCGCTAGTATCTTCCTCTCCCTCCCAGGATAGAAGGAACAATGTCACAAGAGGGTGTACACCCCCTGCGATATTGGGGGTGATATCTTCCTCTCCCCCGCTGCCTATTAAGAACAATGTCACAGAAGGGTGTACACCCCCTGCTATATTGGGAGTGACATCATCCTCTCCGTCCCTGGATATTAGGAACTATATCCCTAGGGAGTGTACATCTCCTTCAATATTCAGACTAACATCATCCTCACACCCCCTGGATTTGAGGATCAATATCACAGGGGTGTTGTGCACCCCCGGCGAAACTGGAAGAAATATCATCCTCTCCACCTTTGGATTTTAGGGACAGTATCACGGGGGAGGTCTCCGCCCACTGCGATTTTGGGAGTCGTAACATCCGCTCCCACCCAGGATATTAGGAACAAGATGACCGAAGGGATGTACACCCACTGCGATATTTTCCATAATGTCATCCTCTACCCCCTGGCTATTAGGAGTAACATCATAGAGGGGTGTACATTTTCTGCGATATTGGGAGTCATATCCTCTCCCCTACGGATATCGGGAACAGTTTTATTAATTATTAATATTAATAAATAGAATAACAATTAATAGTAATCATCGATATTAATAACTACAGTGGAGACAGTAAAACTTAATGCGGATTAAAAATATTAATGATTACAATTAATAATTAATAGCAATATCACTATTAATAATAAAATAACGATATCAGTAATTAGTGTTATTTAATCCATTGTAAGTGATGTTGGTAATAAGACAATGATTAACATTAATATTAATAACAAATATTATTAAAAATGACATGAATAGTAAGAATTAATTTTAATCATGCGTAACCATATATTTAAAATAATCATTAATGACTAATAACGTTATACTATTAATTAATATTACCATTGATAATCATTAATGAGACTGATGTTTAATAATTCATAATGTTATTACTCCTAATACCGCAGGGGGTGTACACCTACCTGTGATATTGTTCCTAATATCCAGGGATGGAGAGCATGATATTAGTTTTAATATCTCAGCAGGTGCACACTCACCCTGTGACACTGATCCTAATATCCAGCGGGTGGAGTATGACATGACTGCCAACATAGCAATGAATGTACAGCCACTCGGTGATATTGCTCCTAATATTCACGGAAGAAGCATATGATATTACTCCCAATATCGGAGGGAGTGCACACCTCTTCTGTGATATTGTTCCTAATAACCCTACGGGGAGAGGATGATAATAATTCCAGCATCACAGGCTGTGTTCACCCACCCTGTGATATTGTTATTAATATCCTGAAAGGGAGGGGATGATATTACTCCCCATAATAGAGCAGGAGTTGTACACCCACCCTGTGATATTCTTCCTAATATTCAGAGGCCGAGAGGTTGATATTACTCCCAATATCGCAGGCAGTGTACACCCCCTTGTGAGATGGTCCTTCATAATATTCCAAGGCGGAGGGGGTGATATGACTACATATATCGCAGAAAGTGTACACCCCCCAGGCATATTGTTCCCATGATCCTGGAGGGAAGAGGATGATATTACTTTAAATATCACAGAAGGTGGACACGCCCCCACTGATACTGTCTCTAATTGCCACGTGGGAGAGGAGGATATGACACCCAATATCGCAGGGAGTAGAAACACCCGTGTGGTACTGTTCTTAATATTCAGGGAGGAAGAGGATGATATTACTCCCAATACAGACGGGTGTACACCCATCTGTGAAATAGTTCATAATTTCCAGAGGGGAGATGATATTACTCACAATATGGTAAACAGGCTGTGAGTCCACCTCGGATCCTAAAAACCAGCGGGGGAGAGGGGCTGGCTCTTACTCCCCTCATTGAGGGGGGTGCCTCATGCCCCTGTGATGGGGGTCCTTAGAGCCAGTGGGGGAGAGGGGCTGTTCCCTACGTTGGGGCACTGAGGTCCCTGTTTTCTTTTAAGCTGCCATCGGGGACCACTCTCGGCATCCACAGGCCCCCTTGTATGTGGCCCCATGTCCACTTGCCCTACTCCAAGCCTGCAGAAGAGCACCTCTCTGCCATGTCCCTTTCTTTTAAAAGACTTGCCTGACTGGTTCAGGTCCACTTAGGTAGCATCCCATGTTATTAGCTCAAAAGTACTGTAGCCCATCACATTCACTCACAGGAGGGCATTAGCGGAGTGTGGACACCAGGCAGTGAGAATCTCTCAGGCCAGTTTAGTATTAAGTTGGTCAGCCAGGATCGGTGGCTCACGCCTGTAATCCCAGCACTTTGGGAGTCCAAGGTGGGCAGATCACCTGAGGCCAGGAGTTCGAGACCAGCCTGGCCAACATGGTGAAACCGTCTCTACTAAAAATACAAAAATTAGCCAGGCGTGATGGTAGGTGCCTGTAATCTCAGCTACTTGGAAGCCTGAGGCAGGAGAATCGCTTGAACCTGGGAGGTGGAGGTTGCAGTGAACCGAGATCGTGCCATTGCACTCCAGCCTGGGCCATACAGCAAGTCTCAAAAATAAATAAATGCAAAGGCTGCTGAGCGCAGTGACTCATGCTTATAATCCTGTCATTTTAGGAGGCCGAGGCAGGAAGACTGCTTAAGGCCAGGAGTTTCAGCCTAGCATGGACAACACAGTGCAACTCTATCTCTAAGTAAAATAAAATAAAATAAAATAAAATAAAATAAAATAAAATAAAATAAAATAAAATAAAATAAAATAAAATAAAATAAGTAAAATAAGAATTCAGTTGGTTAAAAGAAACTCACTAGGTCCAGCCCACAATCAAGGTATGGAAATTACACAAAATTGTGAAGAGTCAAGGGTGGGAGATCGCTGGCAGCCCCTTATAGAAGCTGCCTATCTCACATACCTGTTGGACAGCTTCTCTCTCCTAGCTGCGGGTATTTGAAGCGGGTGTCGAATCCTGCTCTTTTTTATGTCTGTTGCCTTTTCTCGCGGTGATGTGTTTCCTGTGTGTTCTGTAATTTTGGATCGTGAGCTGAGCTTCAGAGGGGCTTTATGTGGGGAATCCTGGGTGGCCAGGTTTGAGGGAGCCACCTAGAGAGGTTTTCTCTTTGGCTTTTCCAGGGGCCCCAGGGTACCACTAAGCCAAGGCAACTTTTTGTTTGAGACGGAGTTTCACTCTTGTTGCCCAGGCTGGAGTGCAGTGGCACAATCTCAGCTCACTGCAACCTCTGCCTCCCAGGTTCAAGCTATTCTCCTGCCTCAGCCTCCTGAGTACCTGGGATTACAGGCACACAAGGTATGGCTAATTTTTTGTATTTTTAGTAGAGAGGGGGGTTTCACCATGTTGGCCAGGCTGGTCTCGAACTCCTGACCTCAGGTGATTCACCTGCCTCAGCCTCCCGAAGTGCCGGGATTACAGGCGTGAGCCACCACCCCTGGCCCAAAGCAACTTTTTAGTGCTAATATCTCAACTCTGGCATTCCTAGACCACACAGGTAGCATGACTTCATTGTAGGAGTTCCACATTTATATAAGAGAGGCCTGAAAACGCAACGATCTCATGGGAAACTTGTTCAACACCTAAAGCTCAAATTTTCTCACCTTTCTCTGTTCCCCTGGGTGGAAATTTTTCTGTCCCTTTCTCTAAAGGTGTTGCATTTCTGTGGCCCCAACTTCATCATGCTTGACTGTAACCCTGACCCCCTGCCTTCTAAGGGCTTCCAAGGCTCAACCCAGCCCTGCCCTCAGGCAGTTGCAGCACCAGCTCCTCTGTCCCCACCTTGGTTCTCACTTCCCTCTTCACTTCTGGCTTTAGGGGACTTAACTTATTTTCTGAAGAACTCAGCTATATATTTATTTTATTTTATTTTATTTTATTTTATTTTATTTATATATTTTTTGAGATGGAGTTTCACTCTTTTGCCCAGGCTGGAGTGCAATGGCGTGATCTTGGCTCACTGCAACTTCTGCCTTCTGGGTTCAAGCGATTCTCCTGCTTCAGCCTCCTAAGCAGCTGAGATTACAAGCGCCTGCCACCACTCCTGGCTGATTTTTGTATTTTTCGTAGAGATGGGGTTTCACCATTGGCCAGGCTGGTCTCAAACTCCTGGCCTCAGGTGATCCACCCGCCTCAGCCTCCCAAAGTGCTGGAATTATAGGTGTGAGCCACCTTGCCCGGCCTCAGCTCTATAGTTAAAATGACATTTGTTTCTTACCCAGCATTTCTAGGTGTTTTGAAGAGGGAGATTTCTCAGGTTATCTAACCTGCTACTGAGAACTTAAAGATAGGGAAAATCTTGGACTGGAGATTCTTGTAATCACATAATTGAAAAATCCCAGCTGGGCATGATGGCTCACGTCTGTAATCCCAGCACTTTGGGAGGCCAAGGCAGGGGGATCACCTGAGGTCAGGAGTTTGAGACCAGCTTGGCCAATATGGTGAAACTTTGTCTCTAATAAAAATACAAAAAAATTAGCCTGGCATGGTGGTGGGCGCCTGTATTCCCCGCTACTCGGGAGGCTGAGGTAGGAGAATCACTTGAACCCAGGAGATGGAGGTTGCAGTGAGCTGAGATCACGCCATTGCACTCCAGCTTGGGCAACAAGAGTGAAACTCCGTTGCAAAAAAAAAGAAAAAAGAAAAGAAAAAGAAAAATCCCCACAGTGCGGATCGACAAAATCACAGAGTTGCTTTGGGAGCGAGGGTGGCAATCAGACACGGAGGCCATGACACAACCTGTTCGTCCACTCAGGGGTCCAGAACCTCCACCCAGTCACCTTATCCGGGGGTGATGGGGACAGGGGAGGTGCCACATACGCCACTGTCATCCCTTACAATGAGCTCTTCTCCTGCTCGAAAAGAGCCAGCCTGCTGAGCTTGCTGCCAGGGCCCGTCGCACTGCCTGCGCTGTTTCCCGTCGCACTGCCTGCTCTGTGTTTCCCGTTGCACAGCCTGTGATGTGTGTTTCCCGTCGCACAGCCTGTGATATGTGTTTCCCATCATGTGTGCACGAGTGTTGTCATGTAGTGTCTGTCACAGGTGTTACCCATCACGTGTGTTTGCATGTTACATGTGTGTGGCCTATCAGGTGTACATATGTGTTGTCTGGCACGTGTCAGCATCTGGGCATCCTCCGTGTGCCAGGAGCAGCCAGGTGGCCTGTGAGGCCTTCTCATGGGAAATGCCCAGATAGGAAGAGCACAGCCAGGAGCCAAGCCCCTGAGTGGCCACTCCCTGTGCCTGGATCACCTTCAAGTCTGCTCAACACCAGAGCCTCTGTTCCTTGGCACCATGGACATTAGAATTGACTCGGAACTGGGAAGAGCTGTAGGCCCACAATCCAGGCACCCGCTCCCCGTTCGCCCAGCATCCCAGGGGCCCACACCCTTCCAAATATCACCTTGCCCTCCATTCAGAGGTGAATCATCCGAGCGTCAGGTTGCCCAGCTCCGACTGGTTTTGCTGGAGCCTGCCTGGAGGATGTCGCCAGCCACCTCCAGAGAACACTCAGTCTACAGATGCGGAAGGGGAACTGGAAGCACACAGCGCTGGCCTTCACCCAGCTTATGGTGGCACCTCGGGACCGCTTCTGAGTCTGCTTGTCATTGAAGGTCAGCGTGAGGCAGGCAGCGTTCCCTCCCAGATTTAGAAAATGTCAAGTCTCCCGCCGCACCCTTTTGTGTTTCTTACAGGCCCTGGGGAG
Organism: Homo sapiens; assembly: GCF_000001405.40. Lineage (NCBI taxonomy): Eukaryota > Metazoa > Chordata > Mammalia > Primates > Hominidae > Homo > Homo sapiens. The sequence continues at coordinate 75,618,039 of NC_000003.12, forward strand.
CTTGCAGCCGCCACACTAAGGGCTCCAACATGTTACCTCACACACTCAACAGAGAAGGAACCTGTGGCTCAGATGGGAGACTCCCTGTCCAAGGCCACAGAGTCTGGCCCCAGGGCCCACTAGAGGCTTCAAGAACCAAACTCACATGAGGGCAGAGAGGAGAGATGGGGTCAGTTTAGGGCTGGGAGAATCCATAGAGCGATGCTGAGGCAGGCATGGAGCCTGGAGGTACAGACGAGGGCCTCTCCAAAGTCAGGGGTAGAGAGGCTGTGGGGAGTGAGGAATGGTGTGGGCCAGCCCCGGGCGTGCTGGGGTGCAGCTGGGGGCTCCATGGCCCTCCCACGGCCCCCACTTGTCCTCACCCAATCGTTCAGAGCTCTTCATGGCGGGGGTGTCCCTCTCCTCTGGCCACAAGAGGAGCGGGTGGAGGAACGGCACCTTCAGGCCTTGTAGGGGGTCTGCCCCTCCACCAGCCTGTTTCTCGTGGGCATCGCAGCTGAGGCTGTAGCCGGGAAAGGGTAGTAACCGAGCATAACTGGCCTCCAGCCACCACTTCCAAGGCCCCTACTGGGCACAGGGTGACCCCACCGTGGCTCGGAAGTGGACCCTGTCCGACGCGGGGGTGGTCGCTGGAGGGCCGAGGATGCCTACACAGGCCCCTGGAGGGTGTGCCTCCGGAGTCTGTCGCGCCCTCAGGACCCATGGGGGACCAGCAACGCGGTCACACCCTCCTCTGTCTCTGCCAGCCGCTCCGTCGCTTCCTTCTCCTGGCTGGGATTGGCAAAGGCAGGCAGCTATGGGGGGCGGGGCCTCAGGAGGGAGGACAGGCTGGTGGACGGGGCCTACGGACACCTCGCCCCGCCCCCAGTGGTGCTCCGCACTCCCCACACCCCGCGGCCCCCCTAGGTCAGGGCCTCCCACCACCGCGCCCAGAGGCCGGGCCAGCCAGGCGTGCACCCCAGGGGCGCTCCGTCCCCCGCGGCCTGGGACTCCCCAGTCAGGACAGTACAAAATCTCTTTATTGCTCATTTTCTGTAAAAAATCGTGGCTCTCGGCGGACCCTGGGAATAGGAGGTGCAAAGCGCGCTCACACGCAGCCCAGGTCCGCGGCCGAGAGCTGGGGGGATCTGGAGCGGGGCCAGGTAGCAAGAAGACCCTGACCCTGCTCTGGGGCTGGGGCGCGTGCTAGGGGCCCGCGGGGTTTCAGCTGTATTTTCGAACCCCTGTGCTTGGCCGAGGGGTTCCCAAGGCTCCACTCCGCCTTGGAGGGGGCTGCGGAAGCCCAGAGGTGACCCAGGCTCTGGGAGGGGCGTCCCCAACGTGGGGGAGGGGAGACAGGGGCCTTTGAAGACAGCGCGGGACTCGGAGGGGGTCCCCCCGACCTAAGACGTGGTAAACTGAGGCCGGCGAGGAGGGAGGCTGAGTCCGGGGACCAGGCGGCCCCTCACTGCTCCTCCGGCCCATCGCCCCCTGCGCCTGTTCGTACGGGCAGGGCCGGCGGCCGAGTCCAGCGGGCTCGGGGCCAGGCCTGGGCCCTGCGGGCGGAGCCTCCGCCTCCGCCTCCTCGCCGTCCCCAAGATCGCCCTCCGCGTCGCTCTCGTCCGAGTTGTCCTCCTCCAAGTAGCGGTAACCGCGCACCTTGTGCTGGGGCCGCGGGATGCGGGGCTGCCGCGGGGCCACGCCCCGCCGCAGCTTCTGCTCCATCCGCAGGTAGGAGACCGTGGCCGCCACCAGCGTCACCAGCAGCAACGCCAGCTTAGCCTGGGCGTAAGGAGAGGGATGCCAGGGACCCGCGGCCGCCTCGCCCCACACCTTTCCCGCCTATGCCCCTCGCTGAGATAGGCCCTTCCCTCCTCCGGGAGCCTCCCGGGCCACGCGGCCCTCAACTTCTCCAGCCCCTCCACCCACTCTTCCTGGACCGCCTCCTGCAGGCGAGGCTCACATCCAGCACTGTCCCTTACAGTCACCATGCCCCTGGCGACCTCAGTGTCCCACGCTGTAAGGAGACAATGCAAATCCCTTTGCCTCATAGGGTGCATGTGCCAGTGTTGATAAAGTGCTGGCCACAGGCCCTGCCTTCCCAGGGCTCACAACACTGAGTCCCTGACACACCCGTGGGCTGTAGTGATGCTTTTCATGGGGTTTTGACTATAACCCGCAGTCAGGAATGATTTTACAACATAGCTCAGTACATACACACATATCTGTATGCATACTTCCGGCTATTTTCTTTTTTCGAGACACGGTCGCTCCGTTTCCCCACCGCTCCCCCTCCCTCCCTCCCCCCACCCACTGCTGGAGCGCAGTGGCATGCTCACTTCAGCCTCAATCTTTGAGGCTCAAGCCATCCTCCCACCTCAGTCTCCCAAGTAGCTGGAACTACAGGCACGCGCCACCACTCCCAGCTAATTTTTAAATTTTTTGTAGAGGCAGGGTCTCTTATGTTGCCCAGGCTGGTCTTGAACTCCTGGCCTCAAGCAATCCTCCTGCGTCAGCCTCCCAAAGTGTTGGGATTACAGGCATGAGCCACCATGCCCTGCCCACTCACTGCTTTTCTTTTTTCTTTTTTTCTTTTTTTTGGGAGACAGGGTCTCGCTCTGTCCTCCAGGCTGAAGTGCAGTGGCGCGATCTTGGCTCACTGCAACCTCCATCTCTCAGGTTCAAGCCATTCTCGTGCCTCAGCCTCCAGAGTAGCTGGGATCACAGGGACGCGCCACCATGCCCAGCTAATTTTTGTGTTTTTAGTAGAGACAGGGTTTCACAGCCTGTTACCCAGGCTGGTCTCGAACTCCAGACCTCAGGTGATACCCCCACCTCAGTGTCTCAAAATGCTGGGATTACAGGAATGAGCCACTGTTCCCGGCCCACTCCCTGCTATTTTTAGTTCTATTTTTATTTTTATTTTTATTTTTATTTGAGACGGAGTTTCACTCTTGTTGCTTAGGCTGGATGGAGTGCCAAGGCCCCGTCTCGGCTAACTGCAACCTCCGCCTCCCAGTTCAAGCAATTCTCCTGCCTCAGCCTCCCGAGTAGCTGTGATTACAGGCGCCTGCCACCACGCCCGGCTAATTTTTGTATTTTTAGTAGAGATGAGGTTTCACCATGTAGGTCAGGCTGGTCTCAAACTCCCTACCTCAGACAATCCACTCGCCTCGGCCTCCCAAAGTGCTGGGATTACAGGCGGGAGCCACCGCGCCCGGCCTTTAGTTCTATTTTTCAAAAATGTTTAGCAACTGGGACTTGCTAGACTGAGCCACCATCTTTTGGGAGCAGCGCCTGAGGAGCCTGCTCCCCTTCAGGCCATAAAGGGAGACAGACCCATCATCTGGAGAACAGGGTACCAAACAGCCCACAGGATGGCTGTGATGCACCCACAAATCCCCTCAGAGATGGGCAAACTGAGACTGGCTGGAGGTGGGCCAGTAAGTGGGTTGCTGAGTTGAGGGCCACCCAGTGGGCTGCAGGAATGAGGCTTGGCCCAGAGACTGGCTTGGGAAGGGGTGGCGTTTAGGAAGCTGTGAAGCCAGGGCAGGGGCTAAGGAAGTACCTGTCATTGGGCATGGGGCCCCCAACCCTGCCCAGTCTCACCTTCATGTGCAGGCTCGAGCCCAGGTACACGGTGAAGATGGCCACAGCCTGCCACCAGTGGTAGATGGTGAAGATGAAGTCCTGTCTCTCCTTGTCTTCATACAAGATTCCCAGGAGTGCTGCAGGCAGGCAGTACAAGGCAGGCAGGGGAGAGGTGTCACCTGGGGCCTGGGGCTGCCGAGCTACCATCTATGAACTTTACTAAGCCCTGTATGGGTCCCAGCCCCGGACCAGAGAGCACCTAGAAAGTGCTGTGAGCTGGTCCTGGCCTGCTCCCTGGTGGAAACCCTGGTCACCACACTGCTCACACGCTAAGCAGAAGTAGGAGCAGGTGCGTCGGGCTTTGTGGATGCAGGTGGTCCCGCTCCGCACCACATGCGTGGCCTCAAAAGAAGAAAGCTCTGTGCTTAGTCATATCCTGTCCACAACCCCAGGTGTGCAATGCCAAGCTTGCAGGCACTGTTTCTCCTCTTCAGCCGGGACTAGAGAGATCGAACTGTTTGCAGCTGCCAACTCTGCAAACCAAACCTGAAGCTAAGCATGGAGAGTGGGGCTTCCTTTCCAGTGAGTCCTCCCAGGGTGGGCAACAAGAGTAATGGATTGGGAGTCAGAAGATGCACACTCGTTCTCAGGACTGTAATGTTGGCTCTGTGGGTGATTTGGGTACTTAACTCCCCAGAGCTGTTTTTCCCAATGGTGAGATGAGCTTATGCCTATTCTGTGCTGTCTTCTGAAGTTCTAAAGTGAGAAAGTGGGCATGGCACCTGCCAAATCATAGGGACCACTGTTAACACCTTCACCAGGCACTCAGGACATGAACACTCCTGTCTTGGGGCCCTGCAGGGTGACTTTACCCCCACAGTGCTGCTATGAAGAGACAAGGATCCCCTGGGGTTGACCGGAGGAGATGGGATATGGAGCTGGGCAGAGGGGATGCCAGGACCAGACAGGGCACAACATGGGTCCAAGATACCCAGGTTGGACTCTGCCCAGAATTGGCTATCTTTGGGAAAAACGGCCAAGAGACTCTGGTGCAGTATGAGGCTCCAGCCCCTGCTACAGACAGAGACACCGAGCCAGCCTATGCCCTGCCAGCAGCAGGCATGACCTCTGCCACTCCACACCCCCAAGGATGATGTTCAAAACTGTTCACAGCTTTGGCCCATCAGAACAGACACTGACATGGGTGCCTCGCAGGACTGTGCCCATGTGTGCTAGCTGTGTGTCACTGCATGTGCCCATCTGTGGGCAGGGAGCATCCTGGAGCTGAACATGGGCCCACCCGCTGCCTTCTGCAAACAGGGCCCTGTTCCCCAGCAGCCCAGACCTGGGGCCTGGACTCTGGTACTGAGCAGAATGGGTTGGGGCTGCAGGCCTGCTCCTCTCTATACAAAGGCCCATGTCTGTATCTATGCCATGGATGTACAACGGGCCACTTGCTCCTACCACATGCTCCATGAGGCAGAGACCAAAACATCTGCTCCAAGTGTCATGACAATTATGCCAGGGTAAGCCCTGTCCCCTGGTATGAAAAGGGAGAATCCCTGATGTGTTTTTCAAACTGTCCCTAAGGGGTGTCCACAGAGCCCCACACCTGCCCCGTGTAGCCACGAGATTTCACACTGACACTCCAGTGTTGATGGGGCCCTGTGCCCGCCCTGGGGTATTAATGGAATGTCCATGGCGTGGAAACCCCATACCTCTCTCCAGGGTGTCCATGCCTTACCCATCTGTCCCCAATGTGTCCATGAGACTTCCCTTCCACCCCCAGAGTGTCCACAGGAAGCCCCACCTGCCTCTGCCATGTCCACAGGACCCTATGTGACCATGGGACCCCATATCTGTCCCTGGGATGTCTATGTCTAGCCAACCACCCACAGATAGCCATAAAGCCCCCTGCCCCGCCCCCCCCGCTCCCCCCCCCCCCCAGTGCACACAGCTATACTCACTGCTGAGTCCAGTCTTGTTCAGGGAGCTGCCCACAACCCAAAGGGCGGCTGCCACATAGAGGATCCAGCTGTGTTGCAGGACCCGAGGCACAGGGGCCCAGAAAAAGAGGATGAAGGTGAGCAGCAGGTGCACCCCTGCTCCAGCCACCAGGGGCACAGGGCGTGGCAGCCACAGGCCCAGCAGGCCCAGGAGTGAGGTGGCTGAGGCGCCCAGGCTGTAAGGCACGAGGAGGTAAGCCAGCCACTCCAGCCCCACCGAGCACACACCATAGCCCTGCGGGGGGACAAGGGGTGAGTGTTGAAGTCCGGAACAGCCCAGACCCCAGTCTCAGAGCCCTCCCCGCAGCGCGGGGAGTGCCTCACCCCCCTGCGATGGGGGTCCTAAGAGCCAGGGGGGGAAGAGGGGTTGGCTCTTACTCCCCGCATCATGGGGGGTTCCTCACCCCCCTGCGATGGGGGTCCTAAGAGCCAGGGGGGAAGAGGGGCTGGCTCTTACACCCCGCATCGCGGGGGGCGCCTCACCCCCCTGCTATGTGTGTCTCTTAATCCGATCAAGTAGATGCCTAAAATTAACCATCAGAATATTTATGCCTGATTCATGTCTGAAATTTCAGGATGAAAGCTATGAAATCTCTATTTGTGTTTGTATATCTGTTAAAGTATGTTATGTATATGTGATATATTCTTAACTCCGGAGAGCATTGCAAAATTCATTTATAAAGTCCTCTAAAAGTGCTCTATTCTAACTTGGCTTGGAAAAAAATAAGCATTTATAAATAAATATTCAGCAAACTCCTAGAAATATAGGAACTGATCAAATGTTTTTTAAGTTAACACGATTTGGATAAAACTTAGTTAAATAAGATTAATATAATATTTTTGGTATAATAAAACAACTATATCTTCAAAGTTATCACTATTGAATATAAAACAAGCATAAATTCCCATTCTGCTTGAGTTCTAGTCAAATAAGCTAATATTATAATTACTAGAAACATAAAATCTTAAAGCTTATAGATTTGATTCTAATTAAGTTGTCACTCTTATGAAAAACATTTTTTTATGGTGAAAAGATACACATATATTTAGAGTTAGCCAGCTGGACTCAGTTTAGATGATCCCAATTTTGTTGCAACATCCAAAGCATCATAATCAGGAGCGAGTCGAACATATGCCTTTTTCTCTTTATCAGGACAAATCAGGGTGGTGACCTTGGCCACATCACTGTCATAGAGCTTCTTCACAGCCAGTTTGATCTGGTGCTTGTTGGCTTTAACATCCACAATGAACACAAGTGTGTAGTTTTCTTCTGTCTTCTTCACGGCCGACTCAGTGGTCAGCGGAAACTTGATGATAGCATAGTGGTCAAGCTTGTTTCTCCTGGGGGTGTTCTTCCGAGGATATCTGGGCTGCCTCTGGAGTCACAGTGTCTTGGGCCACCTGAAGGTGGGTGACATGTGGATCTTCTTTTTGCATGTGGCTGTGGACACCTTTCAACACTGCCTTATTGGCCTTTAAAGCCTTCGCTTTGGCTTTGGCTTTAGGAGGAGCAGGAGCTTCCTTCGCTTTTGGTGCCATCTTGTGAAAAGCAAAAAACATTATTTCAAATATAATTTGTTTACAGTAAATCTGCCTAAGAATAGTCTCCAAAGTACTTTTGGTAATTTTTAACCTTAAAGTTAAGCTAAGTAAAAGATTTGCATTAAATATCTAGACCATTTATAAATAAGATACAATACTAAAACATTAATTACTGAACACAAGTAATTCAAGTTTATATACTTTTGGCTTCCTATTTTTACAGAGAGACTAAAGATATTTTGGCCCGTTAATAAACATGTTTTTTTCTGCCACACTGAGGAATTGTATTATGAGGAAACACTTCCCTCTAGATGTTGGGAGATGGTATATTCATACATTTTCTAACCTACTATAGAATGCTAATATATTACAGCTTATAACTGTCTACTTCCCAGTTTTCTCTGGAAAATAAAAGATTACTAAGTATTAAAATTATAATCAATATATGTAAATAAAACTACTAGAAATAATAGAATAACTAGAAACAACTCTATGCTAAGCATGCAAGAAAAGTGGGGCATGTTTCACAAGTAAAGTAGGTTGTATTTTTTATAAGGAAAACCATACATAAGATACAAATAAAAAGAGATACCTAACCTTCCCTGTGTTATATTTGTATGGGTAAAATGTTATGTTTTCAGAAATTATATAAAATTCCTGGAAATTTGTCAATGTCCTCCTTATCCATGCTATGTGCCACCATAGAGTAATGAGTCATAATTCCAATTATTATTTTAAATGTTGTGCCAGGCGCAGTGGCTCATGCCTGTAATCCCAGCACTTTAGGAGGCTGAGGCAGGTGGATCACAAGGTCAGGAGGTCCAGACCATCCTGGCTAACCCGGTGAATCTCTGTCTCTATTAAAAATACAAAAAATTAGCCGGGCGTGATGGCAGGCACCTGTAGTCCCAGCTACTTGGGAGGCTGAGGCAGGAGAATGGCGTGAACCTGGGAGACAGAGCTTGCAGTAAGCCGAGATCGCACCACTGCACTCCAGCCTGGGCGACAGAGTGAGACTCTGTCTCTAAATAAATAAATAAATATATGTTGTATGCCACAGAAAAAATCGAATATCCTTGTCAGTTGTGGTATAATGAACTCTCCTCAGATCTTTCATCACAGCCATTTCATACTTTTGGTCATTTAGATATTATTTCCCCCTGATGCTTTCCTGAAAGCTCCTGCAATCAGCTACAGGTCAGAATATTCGTCTCCAAGACAGGACTCCCTCTGAGACTCACAGAAAAGACTATGACAGGTACTCTGGTTATAGGCTTCTGATGATATTGCTTAAATAACTTTAAGACCATACGCTTGACTCAGTTAAGGTCTCCAGAAGTCTGGTTGGGAAATTGATGGGTTCCTGACACTGCTAACCCAAGATCCACAAGACTGGAATTGATTACATGGCACTGAATGAACTGATGAAAATTGATTATAATTTTATAGCTTTTTGGAGCATTGCTGGTTCTTTAATATTCTAGTTTCTGGATTTAAGAAATCTCTTTCTCTTACTCTAACTGTAACTTGCAACAATTTAGTAGATTATACTTTTGTAAACAGAAATGAAGCATTTATCTTTTTTTCCCTGCCTGATTTTTCCAGAATTTTGAAATCCTTACTGAATACTCTCATTTCCATGATGATATAGTTGTTAGCAAAAGTCCAATAAGAATCTATTCACCTTATAACAGGACATAATTGGAAATTTTGGTTATATTATCAAGATTTTTACTGGAATATCATATTTAGGAAGTGTACCTAAGATCAGTTATGACAAGCAATTTTAAGGAAGTAAGGTTGACTTTTATGGAGACAATGCTTACAAAGCACTGTGGAAAACTTTGAGGAAAGTTCTTCCTCAAAGATTATAAAGTCACAACTATCCACTATTTTTATGTGTGTGTGTGTGTGTGTGTGTGTGTATGTATTCCAAATCACTTGTCCTAGCTTGCTCCAGCATGCCTGGACAGAACTAGACAAGCCCCAGCCCATAGTACATGCAATTCCTTATTTGGAGATGCTTCCTTAACTATCCTTGGGCAACTTCCTTTTCTTTCTTTCTTCTATTCCCCTTACCTAATTAAGAAAGTTTTAAACTAACAGCCAATCGGGTAAAGTGTAAATTGTGAGGTCCTATTCCAGCCAATGGAAACTGGACACAGCAGTAGGGTAGATACATCAGGTTATAAGTAACTCTGTCTCCTTTGTTTGATGTGTTCTTGTGGCTGGACAGCTATTGAGTAGCACCCTTTCTGCAGAAAAGTAAAGTTCACCTTGCTAAGAGATCATTTGTTCCCATGTTAATTCTTTTTTTTTTTTTTGGAACATCAAAAACTTCATTCCCAACAGCACTCTGAGAAAAGCCAGCCTGATACCTAGATTACAGGGTTCACAGCCTTATAGGTTAGTAAGGAAGGTCATTTCATGGTAGGCCCAGGAATTTAGGGATATTTTGGGGCCTCAAGAAGAGAGGAATTCACACAAAACTATAAGGACTACAGCTGAAATTTGATAGTATGTTCTTGGCTTGGCTTTTAGCCTGAATAAGGGCTTTAAAAGTCAAATCTGAGATTCTGTATGAAAACTTCCAGCAAAGAAACCTGAAAGCACCTACGTGGTCATCTCCTGTTCTTGCTGCACTTACGTAAATAATCAAGCAAAATCTAACAAAACTAGACTTATTTTTAAAACAAGAATAGTCTTACTTTGATTGTGATCAAAAATGATGGTTACTACAGAGAGAAATTTAATGTTTCAATGGAAAAGTATAACATGGCCGGGCATGGTGGCACATGCCTATAATTACAGCACTTTGGGAGGCCAGGAGTTCAACATCAGCCTGGGCAACATGGTGAAATCTTGTCTCTACCAAAAATACAAAAATTAGATGGGCATGATGGCGTGTGCCTGTAGTCCCAGGTAATCAGGAGGCTGAGGAGGGAGGATCATTTGCACCCAGGAGGTAGAGGTTGCAGTGAGCTGAGATTGCACCTTTGCACTCCAGTCTGGGTGAAAGAGCCAGACCCTGTCTCAAAAAAAATTTTTTTAAAGGAAAACTATAGCCATTGTGGGTTATCAGATTCTAGTCTTGTTTCTTGTTTCTTGACTATTTTTACCTCTTTGCGAACTGGATCCTGCCATCTGATGAATTTTGTCCCACAATGATACTTGGGGAACAAGAAGCCAAGTATTGTCTCTCCTACTAATGCATCTATTGTCAGTTAATTTTAAGGTCTCCAACCCTGGAACAAAGTTAGAAAAGGAAGGTTCTGCTCCCCAAAATGCATAACCAAATTGTGGTACATTCATGTAATGGAATACTATTTAGCCATACAAAGGAACAAGCTATCAACTCACACAAAGACATGAGTGAATCTTACATGCACATTGCTAAGTGGAAGAAGACAGTCTGAGGAGGATACACACAGTGTGACCTCATTTAATGAGACACTGGAGAAGGCAAACTACACAGATGGGAAGCCATTGGCTCCATGGGGTGGGGGTTTGAAGCATTCCATATGATACTTTAATAGTGGGATATCTGCCACAATGCATTTTTCAAAATATGCAGAATTTTACAGGCAAATGGTTAAAGCAAACTCTATTCAAATTAAATAAAATTACTCAGGATGTGGAGTATCCCAGGACAGAATACATCATGTGAAAAAGAATTTATGCTACAAATTACTATGGTTTGGATGTGGTTTGTCCCCGCAAAAGCTCATGTTGAAATTTAACCCCCACTGTGTCAGTGTGGGGTGGTGGGGCCTAGTGGACAGTGTTTGGGTCGTGGGGACGGATCCTTCATGAATAGATTAATGTCCTCCATGGGGGTGAGTGAGTTCTGTTCTCACAGGAATAGATAATTCCTGCAGGACTAGGTAATTAAAAAGAGTCTGGCTTCCTTGGCTTCCCTCTTGCTTTCACTTTTGCTATGTGATCTCTGGTGCACCCCTTGCTCCCCTTCCACTTTCCACCATGAGGTGAAAAAGACTGAGGCCCCACCAGATGCAACTGCCCAATCTCAGACATCCCAGCCACCAGTATTGTGAGCCAAATGAACCTTTTTTACTTATAAATTATGCAGCCTCAGGTATTCTGTTACAGAAGCACAAAATGGACTAAGACACAAATGTAGGTAAAAACTCACTGAAGGTGTAGGGAAAATGGTGTTGACCTAAGTAACTTTGAAAATGAATAGAATCTGTAGGCTGATGGCAAATGAACTATACTTCATCATTGGATTCCATTTTATAAAGTTCTTTCCAACAGAAGCAATTGTGAACAATTGTAAAACCACGGTGTCTGTATCTGGAATAAAACAATGACTTACATAAGTCACAGATGGTGGGAACCAGGTTTCTCACTGTTGAAGTGGGAGGTTACAAATTAGCAAGGCGAGAAGGCTAGAATGATTCATGTGATAGTAGATCAGAGGTGGAGACATCAATGTAAACTTATGTTTAGTTTAATATAGATACACACAGTTCTACATAGAAAACTTTATAATTAGGTGTGTATAGGTAGGTTAGACACACACATATACTTCCTAGCATTGCCAATGAGGGACAAGATACAATGTGCTCATTCAGCAGCCAGATGCAAGTTTTCCTACCATTCTGAAAGGAATCAGGCTCTTTGAAGAAATGTCTGATACTAGAACTGGGACAGTAAATATAGGAGCCAGGATAATATAGGTCCAGGGGGGGCCATCGTGTCTCCAGAACCAGAACTGGAAGGTCCAACTTCCAGGGGGAGAAAGGAAGAGTGTCCTTAGTGAAGTGGAGGGCCTCACAGCAAGATGCCTGGCTTAATCAAACTTGGACATACCTGAAGCACGTTCAGTGACTAAAAGTGCCTACCATGAGCAGCTGGAACCCACTCCCTGAGAGCTTCAAGAAGCATGGGTACCTCTTGTACCTGTTTGTAATTACAGCCAAGGACCAGCAGGCAGCATTACTGCATCCACATGGGGCTTTTACTGGAACCAGTAAGTCTCTGCCAGCCCCTCACAGGCTCCTGGGATGCCACTCGTTCTGGGTCTGTGGACAGACAACCAGGACACTTGCTCAGTGCCCACCCACTCCTTGTGGCCCACAGCCCATCACTCAACCCCAGCCCCACCATCCCCTGCTTCCTAAGCCGTTCCTCATGCCAGAAGAAAAGGCAATGCCTTTGTCCCACAGCCTCTGCCTTGTGTCATGTCATGTGGGGGTATGGAATGAACCGGCCAGCCTAAACTCCAGTGCTTCTGCCTGAAGAATCTGTCCCCACTGTCTGAGTCGCCCTCTAGGGAGCTGTCAGTGGGGGAGAGAGCAGCCCTGGAAGAGAGGCCCACCTGCTTCTGTCTGACTTCAGGGCAGCCTCTCAGGGCAAGAACCCAGAGCAGATGGAGGCCTCACAGAAGCCTGTGGCAGGGCTCTGGGCTTGGTGGCTGAACATCTCCCTCTCTGCTGCCAGCCATGGGGCCCAGAACCACCCATTCAAGAGGGTCACCACCACATTGCAGGTGTGCAGCTGGACGGCTCCCCAGGCAGAGCCTGCCATGGACTCCATGCACACAGAGGATGCACACCTTGAGGCTGGACTATGAGGAGAACATTCCTGAAGAGGTGCATGAAGCCTGGTCCTGCCCTCACTGGGAACCCCCTTCCCTCTGGGTACCAGACAGAATTCTATGCACTTTCCTGGAGGCTCCATGCTGGTCTGTTCATTTGGAAGTTTGAGGCTGTCCATGAGGAAGTAACAAAAGAGATATCTCAGAGCAGGTTGTGGGGCACAGGCTGAGCCCTTGCCTAGTCCCTCCCTAGTCCCTTTGCAGAGCCAGGGCTGGAACAAGGACCTGTGGATAATGAGGGAACTGCTCTGCAATAACCGGCCTGAGCAGCTGCTTCAAGAAACAGCCACAATCAAGGCACCTATAGCCCCTGGTGAGTGACTGGCAGCCTCAGGCCCACCTGCCATCTGTGAGCAGGTTTTCTTGCTAACAGGATGAAAGCAAAGAAAGCTGGAATAAGCCCAGCCCTCTCAGGCACCTTGAAGTCTGTTGGGGTTCCTTGCAAAGCCTTCTAGCCTTCTGCTTCTTGGCAGCCCACCCAAGCACCTTTTTCTAGCCTCTAAGACTTTGATGCTCTGGAAGGAGAGGGCCCTACTTTCCACTAGGCTATGGGGCCAGGCCCATCCAGCTCCCTATTTCTACTAACAACCACAGGGCTCTCACCTGGGCACACACTGCCCAACCATAGCCCTTCTAAGGCAGAAGATCATTTGTCTTGCAGTTTCAGCTTGCTAGGGCTTAAAAGTTATCAGTGCTGTTATTAAGATAGAGAAGTGAGATCATCAGCACAGGTGACAGCACAGGCCGGGCTGCTGGGGAGGCTGAGGGAGAGTGTCCAGCCTATTCTGCCAGCTGGGCCTTCCCAGGGGTGTCTCGTGACCCAGTCCCTTAGAGAAGCATGAAGACATCTCAGCAAGGAGCTGGAAGGTGCAGATCAGGGCAGCCCAGCACCACTGATGGTAGAGGGGGGCTACCTCCAATCAAGCTGTGTCTCCACAGCTGACCCGTGGAGCCAGGAGGTGATTTACAACTTCTGCAAGGCAGTCAGCTCCGTCAGCTGTATGCCCTTCAACATTCACTTCAACTCAAACATCCCACCAGAAAGCAGTGGGGACTGGCGAATGCAGCAGCCCTGCAAAGTGGAACAGAGCATCCTGGGGTGGGGGATCTGGGGTCTGCCTGCTCATCTGAGCACTGCTCCCTGGGGGTGTGCTCTGCAGGCTCCCTGAAGGAGGGCTGGGAGCTCATCAGGGAGACCCTGAGCCTGTGGAACATGCCTGAGGCCATGTCCATGGGGATTTGTGCCTACTTGCACCTCCTTGCTCATCTCACTATGCTATTGGTGACTGTGCTGAGGTGGGTTTCGAGCATCCCCTGGGCTGTGTCAGCACAGGGCTCTGGGCCTGGCCTGGCATTGAGGGATGGCAAATAAGGGGCCTGGGTTTGCATTGTCACCTCCTATGATTCCAGAAAATAAGGAAGTCCAGACCTGCAGTACTGGAACCCTATCAAAGGGGTTAGGAGGCCGCTCACTTTCCCTCAGGGCCGCATGTGGAGGAGCTGAGGGAGGTTAAGGAGACCCTGGGGACTCACTTGTTCTGTCTGGGCTTCCCCCAGCTCCACCCTTTGATAACCATTTTCTGGGAAGAGCTCAGGAACCTCTTGTGCTCTAGTGAGGTGGGGCCTTCCCTCACAGGGTATTGGTGAGGAGGCATTCTGAGACTCTGTGAGTGAGAAGCTAACACAGTGCCTGAGAATACTCATGGGAGCTGTCATCCTCTGTGACCATCACGTGACCTCGTAGTGTTCAGACTGCCTGGCCTGGCCTTGGGCTTGGTAAGGCTGTTTTGGGGTCAGCTGCTTTAGACTCCCACTTTCTCTGCATTCAAACAGTGACTGTTTTAGTGTTTGCTTATGGGTTTAAAAAATCCTAATATTTCATTTATAGTAGTTTCAGCTTGTATGTGTGTATTTGTATAAATTTTATTAGAAGAAAGAGGGCTTAAGACAACAGCATTTTAAGAAGGTCTTAATGGGGCATAGACTTTTATGTCACAACAGCTAATACTGACCTCTTTTTCTACCTTTGCATAAAGTATACATAGAAAATGTAGCCAGAGGTGGTGAGGCTAAGTGTCTAGAGCTGAGCTGCTTGGGCTTGCTTGCTGGCCTGCAGTCAGGTGGACTCTGGCTGCGAGGCAGTGCCCACCCTGAACCTACACCCCCACCCTCTCTCCTTAGTCCCTGAGTAACCAACACAAGGCAGTGCTAATGAGCAGGGGAGTGATGGGCATCGGGAACCCCAATACTATCCGGGAAGATTTGAATGCCATCTGGGCTGGGGCTGTTGTGGGTAGGGGCTGTGGCTGCCTTGGCTTATCATGGTGCCACCCACAGATGTGCCTGCCCTGTGCTGTTTCTCCAGCAGCTGGCTGCCTGTGGCCCTGAGCCTTTAACAGCATGCGTGCTACCTCATGCTACTTGTGTTTGAAAAACCATCCCAACATGATGCTGCTGGATGTGAGTGCTGAAAAGGGGGCAGCACCTTTGTCCTGGGGGATTAGGAGCTGACCAGATTCCTCCTGACTCCCTCCCAAAACAAGTGGGGCTGGTGCTGCAATTAATGATGCCCCCCAGAAGATGTGTTTGCACTGGCTGAACAAGTACATGATACAGAGGCCTAAATGAAGACACATGAATGGGGACATCAGTTAGCAGCTGGGAAACAGGTGCCTCTCAGGCCTCTCATTCTTCAGCAAGTGTGGAATATGCCTGTGCCCTTGAGTGTATACATCTGGATTGTATACATCTGGCTGTTGCTTTTGCTGCCACTATCCCCAGGCCCAATCTAGCTTAAAGTCCAGGTTTTAAGTAAAAAAGATAAGAGGATTTTCTGTGTTCTGGGATAGGAAGCTAGGGATCTGTGTAGGGCTGGGGTTGGGTGCACATTAGTTTTGTGACAGGATGAGAGCTGCAGTGGTTTTATTAATCGTGATAGCCTGGCCTGGTTGTAGCTCCAGGTGAGGGGGAGGGAGTCAGCAGTGGTGGTCCCGGAGACATCCACCCGCCCAGCCCTGGCCTTCCTGCCCTCAGGCACAGCAAAAGGCACCGCCACAGGCCCCGACTTCCTTCCCTACTCTCTGCAGCCCAGATGGGAAAACTTGGAGGCTACAATCTGAATATATTTTTCTCCCATTTTAACCCGAGCTGCCTAACACACAGTGGGGGCAGGGTGGGTGAAGGGCCTGGGGAAAAGCAGGGCTGGATCATGGATCCCGGGGGAAATTTAGAGATGCAAAGTGGTTGTCACCTCTCTGTGGAACCCAGCTCCATACCTGGTCCTTGCCACACAGCCCTTTCTACAGAGAATAGCTCTGGGGCGTTTGGGGATCCCTATGGCCCCGGGTGGCTTCCTGTCCCCCGCTGCCTATGCTGCTTCCCTTGCCTGCTGTCAGAGCCCAACATGGAGGAGGAGGTTGCCGTCCTGGGAGCCTGAGGGAGCTCTTCCCTTGCCTGCTGGCAGAGCCCAACGTGGAGGAGGAGGTTGCCGCCCTGGGAGCCTGAGGGAGCTCTTCCCTTGCCTGCTGGCAGAGCCCAACATGGAGGAGGAAGTTGCCGCCCTGAGAGCCTGAGGGAGCTGTGTCTGACTGGGGCTTCTGCCTGGGGTTTTGCAAAGAGCTACTTATGAATATAGTCTCTCCAGATTCCTTGTTTCAAAGGAAGTGAGCATGAGCTAGCAAGTGTAGCAACCCCACAGCTGATAAACAACTTTGTCTTGGTTTTAAACCATCACATCTTCATTTCACATTGGAATAAAGTAAGTGAAACCTGCTACCCCAGCCTTGCCCGTGTGTTCTGTAACCCAGTCTCCTTTGGTTGTGAGGGCTGTTGTCAGAAATGTTATAAGAAAAGATTATGCATAAATGAAATCAAATGTAAAATTATGCTTATAATGTCACTTGAGTGAAAGGTAAGAGGGTAGAGTCACAGGCACTCAGCTGGGGTTTACCCACCCATCACTTACCACGCTCATGAGAGTGTGGCACAGGTGAATGTCACCTGACATTGGTGACAGAAGAGAAAAGGCCGGCATGAAGGCCAGGTAGGGGAGAGGTGCCAGGCTGTGGGGCCAGGCCCTGGGCATGCTGGACCTGTGAGGTCACTGAACATCTAACTGCCCAGGCACTGGCCCTTTTCACATCAGTTGAGGTAAGAGGATGGGGGAGCACTCTCTGGAAGTCACACTGCGCTGGGAGAATGGAGGAGAGTCTACAACTCACCATCCTAGTGTAGCTTTTAGAGTGAGATGGACTGTCTTGGAGAGCTAATGAGATGGGAGGAAAGGAGTCCCCCAGGTGCATCTGAGGGCCACAGCCTATGAAGTAACCGGTGTGTGTGGGAGTGGCCTGTCCCTGTGAGAGGAGAAGTTTAAAGCTATTACAGCTGGTGGCTGCTGCTCAGCCATCCCTCTGCAGAGCAGGCAGGTCCTCAGCTGCATGTATATCTGAATGTCTTTTGGAGTGTTTAGAGAATCCTCTATGTCTTAGAGATTTTGAAAAGAAAAACAAATTTCAATTCTAATGTTTATTAGTTTCCCTGAGCCAATTGGAAAAAAAATGTCCTTCACCTCGAAGTTTTAAGTGACACCCAAGGGTAGCCACCAGTGTCTCAGCCACTGAAGCCTTGTGCATGCTCCCACTACCAGTTTGATTTGCAGCCTCATGATTGTGTTGTACTAAATGTTCTTTCTTCTGGCCTTGTCCAGTGAAAACGGTTCACATGGCTAACACCACTTCTTAAGATACGGGCACCATGTAAAGCTGAGAATGGATTGGGTTTAGTTACTATTGTGCCTCCTCCTCACCCGAGAGGCCCATTTTTCCTGGTTGATTCATTAAGTGTATTAGTGCTGTCAGTCGCCTTTGGACAACTCAAATGACAAGTGGCTGTTGTTTCATAAAGAAAATGAAGGCTTTAGATGTGAAACCCTCCTTTTCTCTTCTGCTTCTCTTAGGTGAAAGATTTTATTTTTTTAAAAAAGGGTACATAGTGGTATCCCAGCAGGTGTAGTGTGATAACTGGCATGTTCTAGGCTATGGTTTCAGTGTGTATGGGCAATTCTTCAAGATGGAAAACCAAGTTTCACTGAGTTGCTGGAGCCGCACTCACCTTTCTCCACATCCCCCACTATGGGCTTTCACTTTTCTCCCGGGCTTGAATTTTTTTCACATCCATATTGATTATACATACACACGCACACACACACACATCTGTCAGTGAAGTGGCTGAATCATGGGTCAGTGCAGCCTCAAACTCTTAGGCTCGAGTGATCCTTTCACATCAGCTTCTCAAATAGCTAGGACTACACTACAGGCATGCAATGCTACACCCAGCCAATTTTAAAATTTTTTTTGTAGAGGCTGAGCCTACTTATATTGCCCAAACTGGTCTTGAACTCATAGGATCCAGCGATCATCCCACCTTGGCCTCCCAAATTGTTTACATTACAGGTGTGAGCTACCAAACTCAGCCAAAAATATTTTTTAAAGAACAGTTACAACCAAATTATGAGTTATGATTGTGCCACTGCCCTCCAGCCTGGGCACCAGAGCAAGACCTTGTATCCAAAAACAAAGCAAAACAAAACAAGAACAAAAAACCTTATAACCAAATTAAACTTCAAAGATTGTGTCATCTGTGTCCCTCTCTGCCCTCCAGTTATCACTGTTAAATATAATGGTTATAGAGAAAACGGTTAGATATTATTAAGAAATTTCTATATCTACTCCAGCTGAGAATAGGTATTCTGATGTGGCCAAAACATTTTCTCACTGCTACCTTCAGGGTCTAAACTAGCAAACCAAATCAGGACACCTGCAGAGGACAGTTGGCCATTTTCAAATAGAAACAGAAATACCCCTATTAATGAGAGTAATCCAGTGATTTTCAAAAAGACAAGTCAGACTGAGATGCAGCACAGTCAGGGCACAATTACCCTGGAATAATCACTTCACACAGAATGGTTGTGGAGCCTTTCTAAGATGAGCAAATATGGGCAACATTATTCTTGCTTATTTATTCCCAGCCCCCGCTGCCTGCCTGATTCTGGCCTGATTCTGGCCCGCCTGATAATGGCCACCCCACGATGTGGTCAGCAGTGAGGTGCAGCGTGGTGAGAGAGGGGCTCAGGGATGGGATGAGGGTCTTTCCCGCATTATGAAAATGCCTAATAAGTTGTTAAAAAGATGTCCAAATGTTCTACTTCCTACCCTTAAATAGCTGCTAAGATGCATGACACAACAGATCCTGGTAAGGGAAAGAGCATGCGCATTTCAAGTCTCAGCTCACTTCTTAATTAGCTGTGATACTCTGGGCATGTGACCCCAACTATTCGAGCCTGTTTGCCTGTCCACCCAAGACAATCCTAAGCAAAAACAACAAAGCTGGAGGCATCATGCTACCAGACTTCAAACTATACTTCAAGGCTACAGTAACCAAAACACCACGGTACTGGTACCAAAACAGATATATAGACCAATGGAACAGAACAAAGACCTCAGAAATAACACCACACATCTACAACCATCTGATCTTTGACAAACCTGACAAAAACAAGCAATGGGGAAAGATCTTCTATTTAATAAATGGTGCTGAAAAAACTGGCTAGCCATATGCAGAAAACAGAAACTGCACCCCTTCCTTACACCTTCCACAAACATTATCTCAAGATGGATTAAAGTCTTAAATGTAAAACCCCAAACCATAAAAACCCTAGAAGAAAACCTAGGCAATACCATTCAGGACATAGGCATGAGCAAAGACTTCATGACCAAAATACCAAAAGCAATTGCAACAAAAGCCAAAATTGACAAATGAGATCTAATTAAAGAGCTTCTGCACAGCAAAAGGAGCTATCATCAGAGTGAAAGGCAACCTACAGAATGAGAAAATTTTTGCAATCTATCCATCTGACAAAGGTCTAACATCCGGAATCTACAAGGAACTTAAATGAATTCACAAGAAAAAAAATCCATTAAAAAGTGGGCAGAGGATATGAACAGACTCTTCTCAAAAGAAGATATTTGACTGAGTGTGGTGGCTCACGCCTGTAATCCCAGCACTTTGGAACGTGGAGGCAGGTGGATCATGAGGTCAGGAGTTTGAGACCAGCCTGGCCAACATGGTAAAATCCCGTCTCTACTGAAAACACAAAAAATTAGCCAGGTATATTGGCAGGTGCCTGTAGTCCCAGCTTCTCAGGAGGCTGAAGCAGGAGAATCACTTGAACCCGGGAAGCAGATGTTGCAGTGAGCCAAGATCCTGCCACTGCATTCCAGCCTGGGTGACAGAGCAAGACTTTGTCTCAAAGAACAAGAAAATGGAGAAGAAGAAGAAGAAGAAGAAGGAGAAGAAGACATTTATGTGGCCAACAAATATTAAAAAAAATCTCATCATCACTGGTTATTAGAGAAAGGCAAATCAAAACCACAATGAGATACCATCTCACGCCAGTTGGAATGGCAATTATTAAAAAGTCAGGAAACAACAGATGCTGGTGAGGCTGTGGAGAAACAGAAACGTTTTTACACTGCTGGAGGGAGTGTAAATTAGTTCAACCATTGTGGAAGACAGTGTGGTGATTCCTCAAGGATCTACAAGCAGAAATACCATTTGACCCAGCAATCCCATTACTGGGTATATATCCAAAGGAATATAAATCATTCTACTATAAAGACACATGCACATTTACGTTTATTGCAGCACTGTTTACAATAGCAAAGACTTGGAACCAACCCAAATGCCCATCAATGATAGACTGGAAAAAGAAAATGTGGCACATATACACCATGGAATACTATGCAGCCATAAAAAAGAATGAGTTCATGTCCTTTGCAGGGACCTGAGTGAAGCTGGAAACCATTATCCTCAGCAAACTAACACAGGAACAGGAAACCAAACACCATATGTTCTCACTCATATGTGGGAGTTGAACAATGAGAACACATGTACACCGGAAGGAAACATCACACACCGGGGCCTGTTAGGGGGTTGGGGTCAAGGGGAGGGAGAGCATTAGGACAAATATCTAATGCATGTGGGGCTTAAAACCTAGATGGCAGGTTGATAGGTGCAGAAAACCACCATGGTACATGTAAACCTATGTAACAAACCTGCACGTTCTGCACATGTATCCCAAAACTTAAAGTAAAACAAAGAAACAAACAAAAATGCACTAACGCTCAGGGTGAGTGGGGTAGGGGCCGGGGTGGGGCGCGGGTGGGTGGGTCCTGGTGTTTTATTCAATCAGTGGCGCTGGTGTGGGAACCACCCAATCAGGCACACAGTTTGAGAAGAGAGGAGGGTGTGGCTTCCGGCGTTTGGTGGGGCCTTTGTCTCTCGCTGGTGCTGGTGCAGGAGCTTGAGATCCATCTCCTTTTTTACCTCCTCCACCTTGGGAAATCCAGACAACTCCCTCACAGCCCCTGTTGCCCTGTGATCTGTAGGTCCTTGGGGACGCATAGTTAAGGTGCTGTTACCATGGGGCGGTCCTTGCTCCCAGAGCTCCCAAGATGGTGGCAGGCCACTTCCTTAATTTTGGCAGACCATTTCCAAGATGGTGGCAAGCCTCCTGTTCTCTGACCTGGGGCTCTTGGCCTCACGGATTCCAAGGAATGGAATCTTGAGCCATGCGGTGAGTGTTATAGCTCTATTAGAAGCTGTGGGTCACGGAAGAGAACCGTGGAACCCAGTGACTAGTGTTCAGCTTGATTAGGATGAACCCAGGCACTTAGCTGTGCAGGAACAATGGCAAGCCTTTAGCCCTATTGGGAGTGACAATGGGTGCTTCGCTGGATCAGGAGCACAGCGGACACCTTGCTAGCCAGGATGGTCTTGATCTCCTGACATCGTGATCCGCCCGCTTCGGCCTCCCAAAGTGCTGGGATTACAGGTGTGAGCCATCGCGCCCAGCCAAGAACTGTCTTCACAAAAATTGGTGCTGGGGAAATTAAGCACCCACATGTAAAAGAATGAACCTGGGCCCTTCACTTATACTGTAAGAAAAAATTAACTAACTGGATCAAATACCTAAATGTAAGAGCTAAAACTACAAAATTCTTAGAATAAAATATAGGGGAAACACGTCATAACACTGGATTTGGCAGTTTTTTTTTTAAACAGGACACCCAAAACACAAGAAACAAAAGAAAAATTGACGAATAGGAATCTATCCAGAATATGCAAAGAACAATTCAGCAACAATAAAACAAACTACTTGTTTAAAATATTGGCAAAAACTTAAGCAGACATTTCTCTAAAAATTATGTAAAGTGGCTAATAAGCACATGAAAAGACGCTCAACAAAACTCATCATGAGTGAAATGCAAATCTAACCCCAAATGACATATCACTTAATACCCATCAGCATAGCTACTACCAAAAGACAAAAAACAAAACAGAAAATCAGAAGTGTTGGTGAGGACGTGGAGCAATTAGAATCCTTGTACACTGTTGGTGGAAATGTAAAATGCTGCAGCTGCTATAAAATAACAACACAATAACTAAAAAATTTACACATAAAATCACCATACGATCCAGCAATTTCATATCTGGGTATGCAGCAAAAGATATGAAAGCAAAGACACAAAATAATACACATACACCTAGGTTCATAGCAGCATTACTCACATCACCAAAAAGGTGTTTGAATTACTCAAGTGTTGTTTGAATTACCATCAATGAATAAATAGATAAAATGTGATTTATACATACAGTGGAATGTTATTCAGCTATGTAAAATAAGGAAATTCTGACACATGGTACGTCATGCATGAACCTTAAGGACATTGTGCAAAGTGACATGAGCCAGTCATAAAAGGACAAATACTGAATCATTCCACTTATGAGATACTTAGAGTAGTTAAATTCTAGAAACCCAAATAGAAGAGTGGTTCCTAGGAGCTAGAGGGAGAGTAACAAGGAGCTTATTTAACGGGTATAGAGTTTTGTTTCTGCAAGTTGAAAGAAGGTCCCTATGAGTGGTAATGACAGTTGCAAAACAATGTGAAAGTAGTTAATTTTTCTGAGCTGCACACTTAAAATAGCTAAAATGGTTAATTTTATGTATACTTTACCACAATGTAAAAAATAATTTTAAATAAACTATAGCTATCTGCAATATCATGAATTAATATCATAAATATAATGTTGCATAGAAGAAAGTAGATGTAAAAGTATACATATTACACAATCTCACTTATATAAAATCCAAAAAGTGAACACAACTGAGCTTCTGGCTTCCAGTAATAATGAAGTAAAGTAATTTGTTGAATACTTCACAGATAACTATAACAAACCTCTTTGGTCACAGGGCTGCAGCACTGCAATCCCAGCATGCACCAGGCTCAGGGAGAGTGCGCTAATCACTGGAGGAAGGGACGAGGTTCCGCGCATCTCGCTGGTCTTGCTGGGAGATGCAGTCTCATAAACACTCCCAGCCCTTTGGTCACAGGGCTGCAGCACTACAATCCTAGAATGCACCGGGCTCCGGGAAAGTGCGCGTCACTGGAGGACGAGGCAGGGCTGTGCGCGCCTCCCTAGGATTGTTGGAAGATGCACTCTCATAAACACTCCCAACCCTTGGGTCAAAGGGCTACAGGACTACAATCCCAGCATGCACCAGGCTCCAGGGCGAGGGGCAACCCTGGAAGAAGGGGCAGAGTGGTACCCGCCCCACCTAATATGCTGGGAGCTGTAGTCCGTTAACTACTCTCAGCCTGTTTGTCGGTAAGCTTCAGAGCTATAATCCCAGCATGTACCAGGATCCGGGGTCCATAGCCCTGGAGGGAGGGGCAGAGCGGTGTGGACTTCCCGGTGTCCGAAGCGCTGCTGAGTTCTGATGCTCTGCCGACTCTTTGCAAGGAGAGTGAGTACAGAGGTGCACCTGGAGGGCAGGTCTGGGCTGAGCATTGAGGAGGGTATTACCCTACGAAGATACCTTACCTTTTCCCAAATCGGGCGGGTTGTCCTCACCTGCTTGGCCCTATCCTTCTCAGGTTCCTCTTTCAGTTGCACCCAGGGTTCTTTCCAGAGCAGTACATCTTTTGCAGCCCAGGGCGCTGCCTTCTTTCCCAAACTGCGTGAAAAATTTCCTGATGTCCAAGACACTGTCCATAGTGCCGCAGCCCTCTTTTTTCTCTAGCCAGAGCACGCACTCAATCGTTTTTGAGAGAAATCTTCCACCTGGCCTGCTTGTGAGCAGCTTCAGAGCTCTGCAGGGGTGACAAGGGCTGTGGCTTCCTGGAAAGGTCACTTTCAATGGCGCCTTTTTCACGAATGTGAAAGTCTAGGCATCAGAAAGGTTAATTATTGGGTTGCATAAAATCTGCTAAGAGCAAAGGAAAAACCCCATTTCCGAGGCGTGAGTCTTGTGAGCCATTTTCATCAACCCATTTAAGTGGACCAGCTCCAAAATGCAACCTGAAGCTACTATTTAGGCATTTTACACTTGAAATCATTGGTCTCATCTCAAGTCAGGCCTGGCTTGCCAGTGGCTCAGAGCCACAAATGGGACCTGATACCTCAGGAACAGATAGTGTTCCAGCTTTACGGGAGCAACTTTTAAGATGTGGAGCACTTGGGGTCATTTGAAACCCGCTATCTTCAGTAGGGACTTTTACTTCTACAGAGCATGTGCATTTTGATTTTATCTGTCCTCAAGCTGACCTTTGTTCATTTTAATAGTAAAAAACACATTCCTGGGTGGAGATTTAAGATGCTAGTGAGGCATGCAATGTATGCACAAATATGTACAGCTACTGCACATGTGTACCCAGAAGACCAGTCAGAACATGCTTACTATAACACTTCTTTCCACCTTCTTATGAAATAATCATGCAAAACTCCCATAAAGAGGGTTTCTCCAGCAATAATTAATGCTGTCTCACTTTTATGAGCAGGCTGCCCTGGAATCTCTTTCTCAGACTGTACCGTCTATTCTGCACTTAATTTTCAAAATATTCTCTTTTTTTTTTGCAATAAATTATGCTGTACTTCTTTTGCTGTGTGTCTCTTGTTTAAATTCTTTTAAACTAAGAAGATAAGAACCAAGGTATTACATCAGCCATCAACATTTCTGGTGCCATGACCTGGGGAGAGGTTTGTCTGCTTCATTAATTTCAGTTTCCCTTTACTTGCAGTGAATACTATGGCAGTTCCAGACTACCTGGTTAACTATCGCTGCTTGTTCCAGCGCTGTTTCAGTAAAGTTCTGGGGGAAACGTTGTTAAGTCACCTGCATTCTTTAGAGAGAGAATATATGTCCGCTCTCCTTTTCGCTGCTGCTTCTGTAGCATCGATAAATACGCTAACCACATGGGTTGCCCTCAACATTTCATATTTGGGCTATTTGCCGCTTAGTTTCACATCTTTCTGGCCACAGTTTGGACTCAGCTTATCGTTTGCTGTCCGTTCAGCAATACTCGATCGCCACCTAGTGGCTATTGTAATTTATTTTCTGGTCAGGTTTTCTGTTTACAAAATTTTTGTTTTGTTTTGAGCAGCACATTAAGAGAACCCTGTCCCTTCAGGCTTTATGCATTTCCCAGCTCCTTGAAATTGTTCTTCAGCAGGCTTTCTTTGCTGAACAAAAGATGCACAGTCATATAGATGCCCAGTCGTAGGGATTGCATCTGAGCATTCCAGGTGTTGTAATTGGGCGTCACAAATGGCAAACCAGTGAATTAGGGCAAGGCTTGTCAGCCAGACATCTGCCCCCCAGCCCGCAGTGGGGGTCATCTCGGTAGGGCTGGAGATGTCCACCGCTGGGGGGAGCTAGGACGGTGTATGGCAAATGCCTATGACCTCCTAGAGCTTCAGTTAATGGGGTTTCGAGGGGATGCGCTGGACCCCTTGATGTTTTCACTTGGCTCATGAGGATGCCCACAACCTCCTGGACTTCAGTAAATGTTCTGTCATTGCAGGATTCTCTCGGCACCGTGGGAGCCGCTTCCTCTACTGTCACTGAAACACCCCTGGGATGTATATCTAAAAATTAGAACAGCTTTTGGCTAAATGAACTTAGAAAAAAGAAAACCTTATCTTCTTTTGTAACACTATTTAGCCTGCCTACAGATTAGCTGACAAAACATGGCTGGAGAATGAGACTGTGAACTTTAACTCCATCCTACAGCTAGATCTTTTCTGTAGTAATCAGGGAAAATGGTCTGAAGTATCCTATGTGCAAGCCTTTCTGGCCTGACAACAAAATCCAGCTCTATGCAGCACCTGTGGGCTAAAGCCTAGTAAGCCAGAAAGCCCCTCAGAACAATGGGAAGATCATCTCTTATTAAGGGGAAGGGACCCCAGACCCCACAGCCCAACACCAGCTCCAGACAGGGGCCCTCAAGGGTCCACACCTCTTTTAGAATCCCCAGCATCCCCACACTATCAGAGTCTTCTGTAGAATCTAAGCTTGTTTCACCTCCTCCTTATGCTCCTTTCCATCGGCCTTTGCCAGGTACAATAGAGACCAGCACAGCTGCAGTTACTCACAGTGGGACTTCACACCATCCAGGGCCAGAGAAATTGCTCCCCTTACAGAAAGTCCCAAATGGAGAGAGGACCATCAGAGTGCTTGTTCTACTCTCAATAAATGATCTAATCCAATATAAGCAACAACTCTGATGGCCCTCAGACAACTTCAGCGTATTTACTGAAGGCTTCCAGGCTCTAACTTTGACCACCATTCAACTGTACCATCCACAAATGGACCGAATGACTGCTGCCAACTTAGCTGCACAAAATTTTGCTTATTAGCAAAAAATAGAAAATACTTAAAACGTTTGTTGCTTTCACCATTTTAATGCAAAATACTTTTGCAGCATAAATGTCACCATAAGGTGGAGCCTTGGGAATCCAGTATAAACTATCTCAGAAAACCTCAATGGGTCCGCAACAAGCAGCAGAGGGCCTCAATAGACTTCAACAATGTCTGGACTCCATGGACACTGTAGTCCGACAAAAGCAAAGAGCCTGGGATCTTCTCCCAGCCGGGCAAAGAGGAACATGTTTATATCTAAAAGAAGAATGCTGTTTTTGAGATCAATCAGCCCGGTTTAGTCCAAGAAAATATTAATAATATCATCACCCAGGCAGACAAAATTGAATCTCTAGGAACTTCCATGGGACCATGAAAGCAATGTCTATTACCTGCCTTACTCTCTTTAATAGTAACAGCCATTACTATACTTTCAGCTTTTACTTTTGTTCCAATTTTGTTTAAAATGTTAACTGATTTCTTGCTCTCTTGCTTACGGCAACTCCATGTTTGCATGAAGGTTTTGCAAGGCTTTCAACATTTGGCTGTCAACATCTTGCCCACTGGTTCCACGAATTACATGGTTTACACCCGGTTAGATCACACAGGAAGAAACTTTAGGGCCCAGACTAGGCAGAAATAACACCCACTCAGCAGGAAACAGCTCCAGAAAAAGTGACCTAGCCCCTCAACCTCCAATATGATTATGACCCTAAGATCTCTTAGGGGGAAACTGAGGCAGAATAGATCAGAATAGATAGTCAAGAAAATGACCATGATCTCGGGATACAGAAATGTGGGGAAAAGAAAGAGAGATCAGACTGTTACTGTGTCTATGTAGAAAGAAGTAGACATAAGAGACTCCATTTTGCTCTGTACTAAGAAAAATTCTTCTGCCTTGAGATGCTGTTAATCTGTAACCCTAGCCCCAACCCTGTGCTCACAGAGACTTGTGCTGTGTCAACTCAAGGTTTAATGGATTTAGGGCTATGCAGAATGTGCTTTGTTAAAAAGGTGCTTGAAGGCAGTATGCTTGTTAAAATTCATCACCACTCTCTAATCTCAAGTACCCAGGGACACAATACACTGTGGAAGGCCACAGGGACCTGTGCCTAGGAAAGCCAGGTATTGTCCAAGGTTTCTCCCCATGTGATAGTCTGAAATACGGCCTCCTGGGAAGGTAAAGACTTGACCATCCCCCAGCCCGACACCCATAAAGGGTATGTGCTGAGGAGGATTAGTAAAAGAGGAAGGCCTATTTGCAGTTGAGATAAGAGGAAGGCATCTGTCTCCTGCTCATCCTTGGGCAATGGAATATCTCGCTGTAAAACCCGATTGTATGTTCTATTTACTGAGATAGGAGAAAACTGCCTTAGGGCTGGAGTTGAGACATGCTGGTGGCAATACTGTTTTTAATGGATGGAGATGTTTGTATACATGCACATCAAGGCACAGCAACTTTTCTAACCTTGTTTATGACACAGAGACATTTGTTCACATGTTTTCCTGCTGACCCTCTCCCCACTATTACCCTATTGTCCTGCCACATCCCCCTCTCAAAGATGGTAGAAATAGTGATCAATAAATACTGAGGGAACTCAGACCAGCGCCAGCGTTGGTCCTCTGTATGCTGAGCGCCAGTCCCCTGGGCTCACTTTTCTTTCTCTATACTTTGTCTCTGTGTCTCTTTCTTTTCTCAGTCTCTCATTCCACCTGATGAGAAACACCCACAGGTGTGGAGGGGCAGGCCACCCCTTCATTGAAACTGTGGTAACTGTACAGCCAAGACAATGAGCCTTAGCATTCACATTGTAATTCGGCTCATTCAAGCAAAGCTATCTTCATTAAGGACTTTCTGTTCCAGAGAGCATGTGCATTTTGATTTTACCTGTCCTCAAACTTAACTTTTGCTTATTTTAATAGCAAAAGATACACCCCCCAGCTGGGCACGGTGGCTCACACCTGTACTCCCAGCACTTTGGGAGGCTGAGAAGAATGGATCACTTGAAACCAGAAGCTCAAGACTAGACTGGTCAACATAGTGAAACCCCATTTCAACTAAAAATACAAAAATTAGCCAGGTATGGTGGTGCATGCCTGTAATCCCAGCTACTCAGGAGGCTGAGCACGAGAATGGCTTGAACTTGGGAGGGAGAGGTTGCAGTGAGCAGAGATTGCACCACCACACTCCAGCCTGGGCAACAGAGCGAGACTCTGTCTCAAGCAAACAAACAAAAATACACTCCTGGCTAGAGGTCTAAGATGCTAATGAGACATGCAAAATATGAATAAGCATGTACAGCTACTGCACATGTGCACCCAGAAGACCACTCAGAACAGGCTTACTAGCAGCTCCTCTTCCCCCCTCCTTACTAATAATAATGTAAAACTCCCATAAGGGGGTTTCTCCAGCGACAATCCACGCTGTCTCACTCTTATGAGCAGCCCGCCCTGGAATATCTCTCTCACGGTGTACTGTATTCTGCACTTAACTTTCAAAAATTTTTTTTTCCTTTTCCAATAAATTATGCTGTACTTCTTTTCTGTGTGTCTCTTGTTTAAATTATTATAAACTAAGAAGACAAGGACCAAGGTATCACATCAGCTCTCAACACAGCCATAAATCAGCCTCCTTCCTGTGGGCATAGTCCATGCACAAAAGGAGTCACATCACCTAAGTGCTGGACCCAGAGATACGTCACAATTTATCCTGTGCACAAAGTTAAGGTAATAGAGGAGAGTCATATTAAACAGTTTCTGGGCCCAGGGATATGTCACAATGGCTCCTGTGAGCAGAGATCAAGCAGAATAATCACATAACCGGTGTGCTGGACACAGCGATAAGCCACCCTTTCATCTGTGGGCATGACCCAGGCAAGAAAGAAGAGTCACTGCATTTAGGTGCTTGCTGCAGAGGTACGTAACAATCTCTCTTATGGGCAAAGCCCAGGTAAGAGAGGAGAGTCACATCTCCAAGGTATTAACGTAGAAATATGTCACAAGAAACTTTTTAGGCAGGGCCCATGCTGGATCTTCTTATCTTCCAGATGTTAGGTGCAGGGATATGTCAGAATACCCAAAATACACAGGGCTTAGTCAAAAAAGGAGAACCACATCACCTAGGTGCTGGGTCTAGACATATGTCACATCTCTTTTATGGGAAAAGCTCAGGTGAAAAAGCAGTTCGCATCAAATAGTTGTTAGGCCCAGAGATATGTCACATTGCCTCCTGCTTGAAGCGTCTAGGCCAAAGACTCACATCTTCTTGGTGCTAGGCCCGTGTTCATATATAAACATTCAAGCAGAGTTGAAATGGTGGCTCATTTCTAAACCCAGCTGATAGGCAAGGGAGGACTCTCCTATCCTGACCTAGTTAACTGTAATGACGTTGACTCTCATACCCGGGCTTAATGCCACAGGTATGATCATGGGTCCCTACCAGCAGGAAGGTCTCAAAGTTGATTGCAACTGTCATTCATACTGTACAGTGCCATTGGGTAGTACACAGAGATTGCTAACTGCGCCGAGCACACAGGTGAGACTGTGGCACTCATATGCACACCCAGCCAACAGTAAATATTCTCATCCTCTCACATGAACACAGGTCACTGTTGAGGTTCTGAATCTCACACCTGTAGTCAGTCAAAGGTGGGAAAAATTGACATATATGGATACTCATGGGTTGGTGACTCTCAGACCAAGATTCAGCACAACTGTGAGGCTGTGACTTCACTAAGGTGACACGATCTGCAGAGGAATTGAGGCTCTCATGCACAAATCCAGTCTGGTGTTGAGATGGTTACTCGTGGGCTTAGACCCAACATACAGGAGGTGTTGAATGTCATGCCTACAACTGTGACAGTTGTGGGGTTGTTAATCTCATTCCTGGACCATTCTGCAGGTTTCATGATGAAATTTCCCAGTGCCTAGCACCTGAGTGACTTGAAGATCTTCCATGGACCCAGCCCACAGATGGGATATTAACATATTGCTGGATCCAGCACCTTGAGGGTGTAACTCTATTCTCCTTCCTTGGCACTGCCCACAGTGAGCATTTTGACATATCGCTAGACTTTGCACCCAGGCGATGTGAGTCTCCTCTTCTGCCTCGATGCTGCCCACAGGAAGCGTTGTTCTATATAGCTTGGACTGGCACCCAGGTTTTGTGACTCTCCGGCTTGTGCCCATATGGGACACTGTGGTATATTGCTGGGTCCACTACCCAGGTGATGTAACTCCTCTGCCTGGGCCCTGCCTACAAGGGGCATTGTGACAGATCTCTGTGCTCATTGGCCAGGTAATGTGATTCTCTTTTCCTGTCTGGTCCCTTTACACAGAAGGGATTGTGACATGTTGTTGGGCTTAGCACCAAGTTGATGTGAATCTTCTGCCTGGATCAAGTTCACAGAAGGCCTTGTGACATACCTCTGTGTCCATTACCTATTTGATGTGACTCTCCTCTCTTACCTGAACATTGCCCATAAGAGAGATTGTGACATATCTTTGGGCCAAGCACCAGGATGATGTGACTCTTCTCCCTGCCTCGGTCATGCCCACAGAGGGAAGTGTGACTTATAACTGGGCACAGCACACAGGTGAAGTGATTCTTCTGCCTGGTCCATACCTACAGGAGTCATTGTCAAATACCTCTGGGCCCATCATCTAGACTATGTGACTCTCTACTTCTTCCTAGGGCCTGCTCACATAAGGATTGTGACATATTACTCTGCCCAGTACCTACATGATGTGACTTTTCTCTCATGTCTGGGCTCCGTCTTGGAGATGAATGTGACACACAGCTAGGCCTGGCCCCTAGGTTATGTAACTTCTTTTTCAAAATCCTACTCACCAGGGGCATTGAAACATCTCTCTGGGCACTTCACTTAGGTAATGTTACCCTGTTGCCTGGAGCCTCCCCTCAGGGGGTATTGTGACACATTGCTGGACCCAGTACCTATGTGATATACTCTCCTTTCTTGCCTGGGCCCTGTATATGTTGTGTATTGTAATATATGGCTGGGTTCAATGACTAGGTGATGCAATTCTTATGCATAGGCCCTACCCACAGGGACACGGTGACATTTCTTTAGCTCTGACTCTCCTCTTCTGCCTTAGCCCTGCCAAAAACGGAGGTGGTGACATATAACTGGACCTAGCAACCAGCTAATATGGCTCTCCTCTTTTGCCTGCACCCAGCATATTTTGGGTATTGTGATGTATCATTTATCTCAAAACCTGCAGGATGAAAGGCTCCTGCCTGAGCCCAGCCATCAGTAAAAATTGTCATTCTCCCACATGGACACAGCCCATAATTGAGGTTCTGAATCTCACACCCAGAGGCAGTCAAAAGTTGGAAAGTTGGCTCTCATAAGTGGATGTTGTCCACAAGTGGGTTTATGACTCCCTGACCAAGATCCAAAACACTTGTGAGGCTGTGACTCCACTAAGATAACTCAATTTTCAAAAGGTATTAAGGCTCTCATGGAAAAATCCATTCCACCATTGAGAATGTGACTTATGTACATAGACACAACATACAGGAGGGGTTGACTCTCATACCCAGAACCGGCACTTATATGGGATTGTTAATCTCACCCGGGGACCTTCCTGCAGGTGTGATTCAGACGTACACCTCTATGTATGTTGCAGTGAGCCGAGATCGCACCACCGCACTCCAGCCTGGGCGACAGAGTGAGACTCTCTCAAAAAAGAAAAAAAAAAAAAAAAACAGGCAACGACCTTGCTTCCTGCCTCTGCCTGAAGTTAGGCATCCCTGACCTCTGCTGGCACCCAGCAGTCAAAGTGGATGGGGTCAGGGGTCAACTCTCAGCCAAGCACAGGCCCCTTCCCCTCTCGCTACCCTACACAGGTGAAGCTGCTGGTCATGGCTAACGTGGAGCTGCTCTGTGTCCCACAGTTCCCTGCTGAACCAGTAATATTTCTGGCGTACGGTGTGATGTTTCACTGCATCATACTACACGGTACAGTGTGATGCAGTGAAACATCACACTGTACTCCACAAACATGTAAAATTATGTTAATTATATGATGTGTCACTGCATCACATTGTACCATATACACTGTACAGTGATCCAACCAGAGTAATTAGCATATTTAACACTTTAAACATTTATTTCCTTGTGCTAATAAAGTTCAAAATCCTCGCTTCAAGCTATTATAGAATAAACGGTACATTATTATTAGCTATAGTCATCGTGCTGTGTAATAGAACACCAGGATTTATTCTTCCTAACTGTAACTTTGTAACCCAGTGACAAAGCTCTCCCCACTCCTTCATCCTTCTGCCATCACTAACCTCTGGTAACCACCATCCTACTGTCTACTTCTATGAGACGGACTTCTTCAGATTTCACATGAGAGAGCAAGTGGTCTTTTTCTTTCTGTGCCTGGCTTATTCCACTTAACATAATGTCCTCTAGGCTCATCCATGTTGACACAAATGACAGAACTTCATTCTGTTTTATGACTGAACATTATTCTGTCTGTGTGTGTGTGTGTGTGTGTGTGTGTGTATAACATTTTCTTTGTTCATTCTGTAGATGGGCACTTATACACTGTTGGTAGGAATGTAAATTAGTACAATCATTTCCCATTTCTATAGGGAGAACAGTATGGAGGTTTTTCAATAAATTATAAATAGAACTACCATATGATCCAGCAATCTCATTGCT
Source organism: Homo sapiens (assembly GCF_000001405.40). NCBI lineage: Eukaryota > Metazoa > Chordata > Mammalia > Primates > Hominidae > Homo > Homo sapiens. The sequence continues at coordinate 75,651,225 of NC_000003.12, forward strand.
GGGTTTATATCAAAGGGAAACAAAATAAGCATGTCAAAAAAGATAACTGCATTCTCATGTTTATTAAGCAGTATTCACCATAACCCAAACCATTATTTCTTCTAAGTATTTCTTAATTTACCTTTTTTTCATATATTACACCCTAAACTTTTAAAGGATTCATGTCTGGTTTCCAATTTCTGAAACTTATGAGTCACTGATTCTTTGTCGCCTTCCTATTTAGAGAGTCTGGTAAAACAATTAAATGCTTTTTATTTCTTCTCAATCTAATCTTCATATAAAAATACATTTATATTTTCTATTAATTTGCCTTCTATAATATATACGACTACATTAATTGTGATCAGCATTTCACTTTACTAGCCCTCTTTTTGGCTCAGCCTATTTTAATATGTTATTTGTATGTTGTACATTAAATTGTTTTACAACACTTTCAATACTTTACTTTGCATTTGCCTCTTTTCCAAAGATAGCTTGACAAGCTCTTAGTTTCTTTCCACATTATTTTGGTTTCTTGTTTTTCCATTATATTGACTTAAACATTTAAATATAAATTCAATATCTGAGATTTATGTGCCATATAATTTCTTCTGATGCTTCACCCCAGTAGCTCATCTCCTTGTGTGCAACATAATTTATAATTTAATCCTCACATATGGGAGACACCGCATTCCAATGCCTGCAGGCAGTTTCTCTTTGTTTATTCCATTTGCCTTGTCAGAAGGGAACAACCCACATGGACCTGACATTCTTGTAATCAGATGCATCTGAGTGGAGCCCTGGCCTCTTAGGTTGATTACTTCTCTGGATCATTACCTTTATTTACTTCCAGTCCTGGGAAGTTTTCGTAATTTCCTTTCAACTATATTATGCATTCTGTGAATTCTTGTAACTTCTTGGTGATTTTAATTGTCTGCATTAAGTGTTTAAAGTATATGATTTTTCTGAAAAGCAGAAATATCCATAGTTGCATATATGAGTGAAATATTTTGCATAGATTTTCTATGGCATCTATCACCATGAGAAATTCCAAGTTTTTTCATTTGAAACACCCCTCTCATCAATAGACCATATTGTAATAATTTGTAGAATGTGATTACTTTTATATCATTAGAAAATTAATTATATATTATGTACATATTTTTGAAATACTCCACTGCAATAAATAGTATATGGTCAGAAGTATTGTTTTCTCTAACATAAAACTAATATGAGTAAAATTATTTACCTGGATTCAGATCTTTTGGCTTCAACGGCCATTCTGCCTCATTAGCACTTCTCTGATCCATAAAAGACATCATTTGTATTTTTTGTTTAATTCATAATTTATTGAAATGAATAATTTAACATTATAAAGTTTTATGGCAATTTAGGACATTTTCAATAAATATATTGAGCTTGAGGCCCTGGCTAAGTATTCCTTTTGTACTCGAAATCAGATTTTTCTGGCACAACTTCATTGCCTGCAATGGTATTTATAAAAAGTATGAATGCCAGCACATGGACTATTTCAATACTGTACTCATTTGTTCATGTATAAACATTTGATTAGCTATGAAACAAACCAAATACAAATGCTGAATGTATAGTATATATCAACAAATTCAGATTCTTCACCGAAGAAAACAATAAAAGACAAATTTTCTGTGACATGTCACCTGTTCATTAGTTCTTTAATATGATTTAGACTATTCCAAATATAAGAAAATGTATGCATCACTATTCATGTTGTCTCAATATTTTTTATCTAGGTCCTGAAGGGCATAAACAAGAATGTATATTGTCAGATTTATTTTTATAGACTTTAGATGTTTCTTTTGCTGTATTTTCTGTGCATACTACTATGAATATATGGAGACAAGGACAAATGAGCATTTAAGTGGTTACATGAATTTTGCTTATATGGCTAATTGCTTATATGGATGTTGTAAATGACAAGATAAAATAGTAAAGTTTGATAAACTTATCTGTGCCCTGTGAACTTTAGTTCACTTACTGTATAACTTAATTCAGTCACTAATAATTAGTTTAAGAAGTGTTTTTTAAAAGCTGCAAACCACACTTTATTACACATTTCTGAATCAGGAAGGGGTAAACTGTGACACAGCTTTCTTGTGCCACTGACTTTTTTGGGGAGAGACATTCTGCAATAAGAGTTTCCAAACTCTATTTATAAAAAAGCTTGAGTTTTCTTTTGTGATTAACCTTCACTCCTCAGTCCCTTTTACCCAAGGAATGGTTCCTAGGTCATCTTTTTGAAGTTTAGTTTCTGGAAAGTTTTCAGCAAACCTCTCCTGTGCTTTGTCCCAGTTGTTGTTGTTGTTGTTGTTGTTGAAAGTTTTCAGCAAACCTCTCCTGTGCTTTGTCCCAGTTGTTGTTCTTGTTGTTGTTGTTCTTGTTTTGGAGAAGGTGAGTCTCTTTAATTGAAGACGGTTTGTCTGTCTCCAATCCTGCATGTGTTTGCCGGAGCTGAAGCTGTATTGGAGTTTTTATTCTCCCACCATCCTTCCCCAGACCTTCTCCTGTTTTCAACACATCTTTTTCAACATCTTCTGACCTTTGTCGCCATCAGTAATTTCAGAATGAACAGATGCAGGAGCATCATCTCTTTGGAAATTTCCTTCATTTCCAATCTGCTCCCTATGTTTTCCAGCTCTATCTTTACATTTTGGATTCTCCAGTATCTTATCATCTTTGTAGTCTGTATTCTGTAAACCATATTTTACTCATATATTTTTAAAATCCTTTTCTTCTTTCCAACTAGTTTCCTTCTTAGTTAGTGATGGACCAACCAATGATTCATCTTTTTTATCAAGGAAAAGGTGAGCTCTAACATGCCCTGGTTCACATCCAACACAGCTATTACTGCCAGGGTGAATGTAATAAGATAACACAGTGTCTCCAATTTTCACTTTATCTCCATGCTCAGGTTCATAAGGGTCACATTTAGTTTTCAGCTGAACAATCCATTTTACATTAACAATTGTTCCATTTTGACTGCCTGATCCAAAAGGACATAACTTTGTAAGTCATGGTCAAAATAAATTTCTTCATGAAACTTATACTAACTTCAGGGATTCGAAGAGTATGCTCCATGTCATTTTCTCTTCCAATTGTAGCAGATTTTACAGCAGTAATGATGAAGAATGATCCTGTCTGTAACACAGGTGATCTAATGACAATTACTCTCATATATGAGGGCCACACTTTTTCCTCATCTGCCTCCTCAGTATCTTTTGCAGTTGCATTGCCTTTACTGGTAATGCCTTCATCATAACTACCCTCGGTCTGAGAGTCTGTAATTTCACCTTCTTCTGGTTCACTATCAGTCTCTGTGATTTTCTCATCCTTAAAAATGAATTGAGATGTTTTCATTAAGAGGAGATTCCATAGTATTTCCACTAACTGGAACAGTGAATTTTGGGGGATTATTTTTGTGTTGAATACCTATTTTGGCTTTTTTTTTTTCACATTTGTGAAATTGTCTTTCCCATTGCCGCTTGTATGTTCAACACTGAAGGCTTCTTGATCCTCTGAATTCAAATCCTTTTCCTCATTTTTTTTTTTTTTTGTAGAAGAATCTGGATCCTTTCTTTTCTGAATTTTTTATTTTTGTTTTGTGCTATAAGTCTGATAAGGTTGCAAATCTACTCGAGAATGAAACCGATAGCGACCACTTTCCACATCACATTAGTAATAAATGAAATCATAATATATTCGATTCTCAGAATCTTAATAGAAACCAGTGCTGTGGTCAAAATACAGTCCAGTATTTTCATCATAACTAAATCCAGTCTGTGATAAAGCCGCTTCTGTTGCAGCTCTCAAACTTCCAGCTAATGACGAACCTTCTAAGGACGTATCTTGCTGCTAATGCAGATGCTGGCTCCTGTGAATCTGAGGCAAATGACCCTCTTGTCTACATTTAACATTTGGTGTCCTATCAGTACCAGGGTGAACATCATTTTCTATTTATAACTGGTCGTTAGAATTGAAAGCAGGAGTTTCAATATCCTGATCTTGCTGATTTGACAGTTCAGTCACTCACTGTATTTGGAAGACTAACATCATTACAGTAGATCTGATAATAATCTGAGATTGACCAAGGAGCATGGTTCTCTGCGAGTACTTCTACATCAGACTTTTATTATCTCCATTTTTCCCACAGCGGAGTACATTACTGAGTTCTTCCAGCTGCGTGCGGAGCTCCTGGCGGTTGCTCCTGTCGCTCTGAGCAGCCGTCCTGTGCGAGGCCATAGCTTCTCCCGTTCCCGCACCTGCCGCCTGCAGCTCCGCGTTCGGGTTCCAGCTTCTCCGCCCTCCTTCTCTGCTGGGCCAGCTCGGGCTGGGGGAGGGGGAGGAGGGGCCACAGAGAAGGCGCTGGTGGCGGGTACGGGCCCGAGGCCGTGAGTTCGGGGCCAGAGGGCTGCGGCCTCGGAGGGGCTGCGCGGGGCCGAAGCGGGGGCCGGCGGAGCCACAGCCACGGGGGCGCGCGGGCAGCCACAGGCAGCCTCCCCGGCCAGGAGGCCCCGAAACGCGGAGCCTAACGGGGCTGCCGCAAGAGCAAGGGGACAGCGATGGCCCTGCCTGATCTGTGCGGCCTGGAATCCTGGGAACGACTGTACCTTCCCCAGCCACGGGGGCCGCGAGAGGAGCGTCGAAGTCCAGGGGCCAGAAGCGCTCCCGCTGTTCCCTAGTTGAGCTGGAAACAGTGGCCAAGCGTGTTTTAAATCGAGTTTCCGTGTGGCTAGATATTATCTGCTGGTTACTCTTATTTTTTTTCTCCATTCGTTGAGCTATGATTGACAAATTGAAAAGTGTGTATTTTTAGGGTGTACAATAGAGTGTTTTGAGATGTCAGTAGTCTTTAAATTACCTCAGTTACGCTAGTTAGCATATCTATCCCCTCACATAGTGAATACGTTTCTGTGTGTGGTGAGAGCACCTGAGATCTAGTCTTGTAGCAAATTTCAAGTACACAGTATTGTTAACTATAGTCACTATTCTGTACATTAGGTCCCAGCGGTTACTCACCTTGTAACTGAAGGTGCGCCCCTTCCATGGAAATCTCCCCACTTTCCCCACTTCCTAGCCCATGGGAACCACTGTTCTACTGTTTCCATGGCTTTTTATTTTTTATTTTTATTTACTTTTTTAGATTTTACATACAAACGAGATCATGCAGTAGTTGTCCTTCTGTATTCGGCTTATTTCACTCAGCATAATGTCTTCAAGATTTATCAATATTGTTGTAGATGAAAGAGTTTCATTTTTATTAAAGCCGAAATTAGGTATCCCTCAGTTTATTTATCTGTATCAGAGGAGTGCAGATAACCTTGATGATCCTGATTTTATGTCCTTTGGCTATATACTCCGAATTGGGATTAATGGTAGCTCTAGTTTAAAAATTTTAAGGAACCTCCATACTGTTTTTCATAATAGCTGCACCAATTGACATCCTCAGCAACAGTGTACAAGTGTTCTCTTTTTCTACACCCTAACACTTTTTATCTTTTGACTGTTTGATAATAGGCATCCAAACACCACGATAAGGTGATACCTCATTGTGATTTTGACTTTAATTACTCTGATAATTAGTGATGTTGAGCATTTTTTATATACCTGCTGGCCATTTGTATATCTTTGGAAAAATTGCTATTTATATATTTTGCCCAATTATTAATCAAGAAATTGCTTTTAATTCTGCTGTGGGTTTTTTGTATTGATTAGTATGATATATATTTTGGATAGTAACATATTATCCTACATATGGTTTACAAATATTTTCTCCCATTCCATATAATGCCTTTATATTTTGCTGATTGTTTCCTTTATTGTGCAGAAACTTTTTACTTTGACATAGTTCCACTTGTTCATTTTTGCTTTTGTTGACTGTGTTCTTGGTGTCAAATCCAAAACATCATTGCCATGACCAGTGTCAAGGAGGTTCCCCCCCTTTTTTTTTAGAGGATTCATGATTTCAGTTCTTATGTTTAAGTCTTTATTTCATTTCAAATTCATTTTGTGATGACATGAGAGAAAGGTTCACTTTTTTCTGCGCATATCTAGTTTTTCCTACACCACTCCTTGATGTGTTTATCCTTTCTCCATTCTGTGGGATTGGTTGACTGTATATCTGTGAGTTTATTTCTGGGTCCTCTATTCTGTTTTATTGGTTTTTATGTAGGTACTATACTATATTAATGACTACAGCTTTGAAATATAGTTTGAAATCAGGAAGTGTAAGGCTTTCAGCCTTTTTGTTCTTCTCAGTATTTGGCTATTTGAGGTCTTTTGTGATTCCCTACTAATTTTAAAATTGTTGTTCTACATTTTTAATAAAATGGCATTAAAATTTTGAAAGAAATTTAACTCTGTAGATCACTTTGTGTAGTATGGATATTTTAATAATATTAATTTTTAGAATCCATGAACACATATTTCCCATTTTGTATTTTTCATTTTCTTTCCTCAACATTTTATAGTTTTCAGTATGCAGATCTTTCATATTCTTTGTTAACTCATTCCTAAGTATTTCATTCTATTTGATAATATTGTAAATGGAACTATCTTTATTCCTGTTTCAGATATTTTGTTGTTACCGTAAAAAAATGCAACTGATGTTCATATGTTAATATTGTATCCTGAAAATTTACTGACTTAGTTGGTTAGTTATAACAGGTTTTTTTTTTCTGGTAAAATGGTGGGTATTCTGAATTCTGGTTAAACTTTAAATTGATAGTTGCTATTATCATTTCAAAATTATTTAAAATATGACCAGATGGATTCCTGCTTTCATGAATTCAATGGAATTCAAATCTTCCCATTTAAAATAATTTTGTCTGGTTGACCTAGCCCCAGGGATCCGGAGCACCCCGTGGGAACCCGGAGATTCGCTTGGGGGTGGGAGGGAGAAGCCGTCAGAGAGGGGGCTGAGCTGGGGAAGCAGAGAGGGGCTCCGGGGACAGCCGGGAGGAGAGAGGGTCGTGTCGGAGGTGGGGAGAGAGAATGGGCTAGAAAAGGAGGAAGGGTGAGAGTGGGCAACAGGACGGCTTCCCGGCGCGGCAGGGAACTTTGCTGAAACTGCGGGCCCCAGGGAACAGCGCGGGCAGGGTGGGAGGGAGTAGAGAGGACCCAGCACACCCCAAGGTCAGTGTGGAGAAAGGGACATTTCCCGGTTCCTTCGCCTCTGCCCAGGGTTCTGCGGGCATGGCCCACCCCCCCAGGGGCAGGGGAGGAGGTGGCTCCCGGCAGGCTCGGAGAACTAAGGGGCGCACACCCGCTTCTCAGGGCCGGGGTGACAGGGGAAGCCTGAGATGGCTGCGGATCTCGCTGGCCCAGTGGGTGGGCGCGGGGGACGCGGGAGGGGCCGAGCTCACCGGGCCAGCGCCGGGGCCTGCAGGTGGCCCTGGAGGAATCTTCAAGCACCCGCCCGTGCAGCGGGCCTTCCGGGAGACCAGTGTGGACAGCGCCCTGGACACGCCCTTCCCAGCTGGAACATTTGTGAGGCTGGAATTTAAGCTCCGGCAGACAGAGAAGCGGCCGGAGGAAAGACTGGAAGAAACCCAAGTGCAAAGTCCAGCCCGAGAGGAGGAAGCAGAAATGCCTGACCTGCGTCAAACTGGAATGTGAGGATAAGGTTCTGGGCAGGATGGTCGCTGCCCTCCAGAGGCGCAGACTCGGCGGGAGCCTGAGGAGCACCAGGAGGCCGGGTGCAGCCGGGCGGGGCGGGCGGTGAGGACCCCACAGCTGCTGCTTCCCTGCACAGTTCGCCTTCTCCAAGGCCCGGCCCCCAGCGGAGCCCAGCACTGAATCGCATGGCGCCCCCTGGAGCCCTGGCGGGGGTAACCAGTGGAAGACCCCACCTCCCAGGGAGAGGACCCCACTGTAACCCCAGATAATGAAACTGCTCTCTCCCCCAAAAAAATAAATAAATAATTTTGTCTGGTCTTTGAAAATGTGTATCCTCTGTGTACTGGTCAAAATGCTACCCATTTATCTATATGCCTAATTAGTCAAACTTTTTAATGAAGTTATTTAACATTCTTTTTTATTATGAAACAAAACAGTAAATTTGTTAATGGTTTTAATATCACCTAATATGATTGAAAAGATGTCAATTTGTCATTGTCAATGAATCTTTGTGTTATTTATTTTATTTTGTTACCTATTCTGTCCATAAAGGTCTAAGTGGCTTAGAATCTTGCCTAATATATTGTATGTGCTAAGTACTAACAACTCTAATTCATCAAATTATCTTTCTATACCATTCTTAAAATACAATATTATTTTTTATTTATTTTTGTTAAAATTTTTTTGCTTAATCTATTTATTTATGAAAATTATGAAGTCTATTCAGTTTGTCCTCTTGATAAAAGCCAAAGTTTTTTTTTTCCTCTCTTTTTTTTTTTTGAGACGGAGTCTCCCTCTATTCCCCAGGCTGGAGTGCAGTGACGCAATCTCGGCTCACCACAACCTCCGCTTCCCGGGTTCAGGTGATTCTCCTGTCTCAGCCTCCTGAGTAGCTGGGACTACAGGCGTGCTCCACCATGCCCGGTTAATTTTTTTTTTTTTTTAGTAGAGACGGGGTTTCACCTGTATTGGCCAGGCTGGTCTTGAACTCCTGACCACGTGATTTGCCCGCCTCAGCCTCCCAAAGTGATGGGATTATAGGCTTGAGTCACCGCGCCAGGCCTTTTTTTTTTTTAATCTCTTTATTAATACTTTAGAGAGTACAAATGCAGCTCCCTTACAGAAGCATGTTGCATAGGGATGAAGTATGGGCTTTTGGTGTGACAATCATCTGAATGTTGTTTATTGTCCCAATTAGTTATTTTCTCATTCCTAAACCCTCTCCAACCTTCCATCTTTCTGAGTCTCCAGTGTCTATTTTTCCAGTCTCTATATCCAAGTGTATGCATAATTGAGTTCCCACTTGCAAGTGAAAAAATACAGAATTAGATTTTCTGTTTCTGAGTTTTTTCACTTACAATAATGGCCTCTGGTTTTATTCATGTTGTTGCAAAAGACACGATTTTATTCTTCTTCATGGCTGAGTAGCATTCCATGTTATACTTGTATAGCACATTTTCTTTATTCGATTATTGATCGATAAATTTAAATTGATTTCATGTATTGGCTATTGTGAATAGTGCTGTGATAAACATGTGAGCATGGGTATTTTCTTTATGTAACAAATTATTTTCCTTTGGGTATATACCAAGTAGTGGGAATGCTGAATCAAATGGAAGTTCTATTTTTAGTCTATTTTGAAATCTCCATACTGTTTTCCATAGAGATTGTAGAAAGTTACTTTCCCGCAAACAATGTATAAGTGTTCTCTTTTCTCTGTATCCTTGCCGATAGCTCATTTTTCTGCTTTTTAGTAATAGCCATTCTGCATAGTGTAAGTTGGTATCTCATAGTGGTTTTTAATTGGCATTCCTCTGATCATTGACAACGTTGAGCATCTTTTACGTGCTAGTTGACCATTGACCATCAGTGTCTTTTTTTTTTTTAATGTTCATGTTCTTTGCTTGCTTTTTAATGAGGTTATCTTTTTTATTTTTGTTAAGCTGTTTGAGTTCCTTGTATATTCTGGACATTAGATCTTTGTCACATGCAAAACTTGTAAACGTTTATCTCATTCCATAGGTTTTCTGTTCACTGTGTTAATTAAAAAGCTCATTTTCAGGAGCTTTTTAGTTTGAGTTCCTTTTGTCTATTTTTGTTATTTCAATGTCTAGAAGAGTTTATCCTAGAGTTTCTTCTAGCATTTTTATAGTATCAGGTCTTACATTTTAGTCTTTTAATCCATATTGAGTTGATTTTTGTATATGGTGGGACATAGGGGTCCCATTCCATACTTCTGCATACGGCAATATGATTTTTCCAGCACAATTTATTGAATAGGATGTCATTTCTCCAGTGTATGTTTTTGTTGACTTTGTAAAAGATCAGTTGTTTGTAGGTATGTGGCTTTATTTCTAGGTTCTCTATTCTGTACCATTGATCTAGGTGTCAATTTATATCAGTACCATGTTGTTTTGGTTACTACAGCCTTCTAACATAATTTTAAGTCAGATAATGTAACATCTCCATCTTTATTCTCTTTGCTTAGATTTGCTTTGGCTATTCAGGCTCTTTTTGTGGTTCCATGTGAATTTTAGTGTTTTTTTTTTCTAATTTTATAAAAAATAACATTGGCATTTTGGTAGGAATTGCATTTAATATGTAGATTGCTTTGGGCAGTAGAGTCATTTTAATGATCATAATTCTTCCAATCCATGAGCATGGGATGTTTTTCTCATTTGTGTCATGTACAATTTCTTTCATCAGTGTTTTGTAGTTTTCCTTGTAGGGATCGTTCATCTCTTTGACTAATTGTATTTCTAAGCATTTTACCTTTTTTGTAGCTATTGTAAAAGGAAGTGACTTTTTAATTCAGTTCTCAGCTTGATCATCATTAGTGTATAAAAATGCTACCAATTTTTGTACATTGATTTTTGCATCCTGAAACATTATTAAATTTATTTATCAAATCTAAGAGTTTTTTTGGTGGTCTTTAGAATTTTTGTATATATGATATTATATAATTATCAAAGAGGGACAATTTGACTTTCTAATTACAACCACATAGATGCTCCCACCAAGACCAATAGACAGAGTCTCTGGGGAGGGCACAGGTGATGGTATTTCTTTAAGCTGGCCGTGTGATTATGACTGGAAGCATGGGCTGAGAGCCACTTAGCTAAGCATTGCCTCTCAAGTTTTTCTTTCTTTTCTTTTCTTTTCTTTTCTTTCGACAGAGTTTTCACTCATTGTCCAGGCAGGAGTGCAGTGGCACCATCTTGGCCCATGGCAACCTCCACCTCCCAGGTTTGAGTGATTCTGCAGTCTCAGCCACCCGAGTAGCTAGGATTATAGGCAACAGCCACCACATCTGGCTAATTTTTGTATGTTTTAGTAGAGACATGATTTGACCATGTTGCCCAGGCTGGTCTTGAACTCCTGACCTCAGGTGATCTGCCCACTTCAGCCTCCCAACTAGCTGGGATTACAGGCGTGAGCCACCACATTCAGTTAATTTTTTTTTTTTTTTTTTTTTTTGTATTTTTAGTACAGATGGGGTTTCCTTATGTTGGCTAGGCTAGCCTTGAACTCCTGACCTAAGGCGATCCACCCGCCTTGGCCTCGCAAAGTGCTGGGATTACAGGCATGAGGCACCGTGCCTGGCCAGACCTGAGTTTTGCCTGAGAATTTCTCTTTCTAAGAAAGTACATCATATGGCAGTTACAAGGTCTCTTTTATCTAAAATATATAGAATTTAATAAATAAAAATTTAAAAAATTTACCTGAGATTAAAGGACAAATCAAAACACATATGTAATATGTTGTCTGTAGGAGTATATTTTAACAGTGACATAAATTATTAATAATCACTAAATGTTATAATAATTTATTAACTAAAATGAACAAAATTCCTATTATGATATCTATGAAAATACTTCCTTAGAGTAAAATATTCTCATATCTTGAGAGGGCACTGGTTAAAAACAGCAAAGATGTGGAAGTCGATGTCTTATCAAGTACTTACTATCAAGTAAGTAGCAGACCCCCTTCACACCTTTTACAGAGTTATCCAAAAAGCAGTCATTTACACAAGAGCAGACAATTTTCCTAGCTTTCTATTGAGTTTATATGTTAATATTGTTAAAAAATGTAACTCAATTTTCTTATAAAATTACCTGACCAAATTTTATATATCATATCAAAATTTATTTAGATGTCAAATAAATTTTATAATATTATAATATATAATGATATCATATTATGATAAGTTCCATTTACATTCAGACAATTTCACTAGGCAGTGTCTGTCTACCACTAATTCTTTTTTGGTTCCACTATTTGCACAGGCAGCACAGCTGGGAAAACACAGACTCACCCAACACAGTCTCTTCCCCGTGTCTTTCTCCTCCTCAAGGAATCATTTCATCAGTCAATCAAGTCATTTGGGACTGGAGGCCGAGTACTCCCTAACATAGAAAGTCTCATTCCTGCATGCTTTCCTCAGCAGAGGGGGAGAGAAGAAGGTCCTTTTAGGGGACACTTGCTTGGACGTAGCCTAGGCTAGTTGGAGGGCTCTGACCAGCAGAGACAGACTCCGCCGCAGTAGGAAGGGATGAGGCAGCTATTCTGAACCTGGAGCTCCACCACACTTTGTCCCGTCTCACTGAGGCAATTTTGAGAGGCTGCCCTGGAATATGGTGGTTGTTGAGAAATAATGTGGGCTTTGACGGGATTCAGGTGGTGTCTGCGGTGTGAAGACAGGAGCTGAATGTTTAGAATCTAGGCTGTTTTTCTTGTGATCAGCTGGGTTACCTGTTTGCGACCAAGTCCATTTTTACTAGGGAGGCTGAATAAATTCCACAGAACACAATGGCCCTCCCAGGATGACTGAGGAAGGGTGAGAAAGGGGGAAAGTTTTTCCACCTAGAATCAGGGGCTGATTAGGTTAGCACTGGCTCAACCTAATCAATGCAATTTTATTGCATTTGATCTAATTATCTTCCCCATTTTTAAGGTAGGAAGGGCCATTTCATTTGGTATTTATTTTTTCTCTGCACTTTTATTTCATCATCTATGTGTGGATCTAATAGACTCAACCATAATTTGACATTTGTTGTTTCCAAGCATTTAAGAAATTATAATATCTATGCATACAACGTTAACACTATGTATAATAAATTCTCTTTCTGTGCAAAATATATAACATATGTCAATATAGACATGTTTAATTGTGCATCTTGAAAGGTGAACAGGATCATAAATACCTCCAGGTAGGAACTGGGACAGAAATCGGAAGAAATGATTCCCTGATCTTCCGGTCCCTGTGCTCCCGGTTCTTTGTTTTCTTGACACTATGACAAGATCCTGAAAATGTCTCCCCTTAACTGTGTCTAGGTCCCCAGTAGAACTACAGCAAGAAACTTCTGATTGAGGCTCTAAGAAGCGGCAGGAATGAGAAAACTCTTCAGCCAATAAGAGTAAGCCACGCCCAGCCGAGGGACGTATAAAAGGCAGGTCTAGCAGACTAACCCACACTCTGCCTTTGGACATGTGAGAGAGCGCACCTTTCACTTGAGCTTCAACATGGGAAAGGGAAATGAAGACCCCGATCTCCACTGTTCCTCCATCCAGTGCTCCACTGACCAGCCCCCTTTCCAACAGATCTCCTTTACAGAAAAGGGCTCAGATGAGAAGAAACCATTCAAAGGAAAAGGCAAGACCGCCTTCTCCCATTCCAGTGAGAAGCACACACAAAGGCAAGGTAAGGCCTTGGGCTGCTCCTATGGAGGCTGGAAGGAGGGTTGGAATCAGGGATACTGAGCTATGTGTCTTTAGCAGGGTTTTATTTTGAGATTTGGGGATGGGAAATGGCTTAGTGCCCTTAGGGGACTTTGAGAAATGTGTTCACTCATGACACTGGCAGAAGAGCTTCACATGAAAGACTGATTCTCAAAAATGCATGAGAGATAGACTATGGGACTCTGCCTAGGGAGAGGTGAGCCATCTAAACCTTCTCTTGCAGCAGGATCAGATCCCAATCCAAACAAGGAGAATTCTGAGGAAACCAAGCTCAAGGCCGGGAACAGCACTGCTGGATCAGGTAAGATTTGACTCTTTCAAGGTGAGAAGGGACAGGGCAGCAACACAGGCTCCCCTGGCAAGGAAACTGGGAGCTCCTTGGCAGCCAGGGCAGTACAGATCCTGGACACTGGAGAACAGAAGAGAGCTGGGGTTTGGCGGTAACCTCAGCTCCTGTGTGTCCAGGATGGACTAGGAATTTCAGGGTGTTCAGTTGGAGGCACTTTCTCAAACTCTCATTGTGTTCACAGAACCAGAGTCCAGCTCATATCAGGAAAACTGCAGGAAAAGAAAAATCAGTTCCAAGGATATCTGCCAAGACAGAGCAGGTAGAATCTTGGTGTTTGTTGTTGTTGGTGGTGGTGGTGGTTTTTTTGTTTTTGGTTTGCCCCAAAAGGCAAATAATCAGGAAACTTTTATACGAGGCTTGAGCGGAAAGGGAATTACTTATTGACAAGTAAATTTTTGAGATCCTAGCACTCTGAGAATATTTGGGGACTCACAAGTGGTTCAGCCTCACTTCATTCCAGTCCTGAGATGGTCAGGAAGGAGTGGGAGAGACAAATGGGGTTCACCTGGGTGCACAGGGGGTTCTGGAAATGAGGGTCTGTGGGGACTGCTCTGGTGAGTCTCTCACATGCTTTCTTTGCAGGGAACTGTCCAGAAGAGGAGTGCAACTTGACGTTGAATAAAAAATCAAGATCCTCCACTGCTGTGCACAACAGTGAAATCCAGGAGACCTGTGATGCCCACCATAGGGGAAGTTCCAGGGCTTGCACTGGGCGCAGCAAGCGGCATAGGTCTCGGGCCCTAGAAGTCCAAACACCGTCACTTCGAAAAAGCTTGGTGACCTCTGTGCGAGCTATGTCGGAGGCTGTTTATCAAGACCTAGCCCAGGTGTGGGCACAGCAGATCCATTCTCCACTGACCTGTGAGCAGCTGACACTGCTCACTCGGCTCCGGGGGCCTCTGTGTGCCCAGGTGCAGACCTTGTATTCCATGGCCACTCAGGCAGCTTATGTCTTCCCTGCTGAGAGCTGGCTTGTCCCAGCCACACTGCCTGGTCCTGGGGATTCAGCCCTGGATAGAGAAGCCCATCCCTTCCCTGGGCAGGAGATAACTGAGCCTGTCAGTGGATCAGATGAGGCTAAGCTGGGAGCACCCTGACCCTATTCAGCAGAGATGCAGCTCTGGGAATGAGAACAAGGACCTGCTTCTTCTCAGATTCTTCCAGACGACCAGCAGTGACAATTTTAGATGCACTGTGTTAATAAATGACAGAACCTGAAGAAGTCATAGGAAAGAAACTTGAGCGGTATACTCAGAATGGTGAGCCCTGAATTTTGCAGACCGCTAAGGCTATAGACAAATTTTATATTTCATGTTAGACATTTGATACCTTTTGGATGTCTGATGACAGTCGTGCATTTCTATATAATCAGAAAAATATTAGGTTGCAATCGTGAATTTTCATATTTTAGATTGTAGAAAAGTAAATATAAAATTATATGCTCTTTTTTTTTTTGAGACAGTCTTGCTATGTCACTCAGGCTGGAGTGCAGTGGCACAATCTTAGCTCACTGCAACCTCTGCTTCCTGGGTTCAAACAATTCTCATGCCTCAGCCTCCCAAGTAGCTGGGACTACAGGCATGTACCGCCATGCCTGGCTAATGTTTTTTTCTTGTATTGTTAGTAGAGTTTTGTCACGTTGGCCAGGTTGGCCTCGGACTCAAGTGATCCACCAGCCTCCACCTCCCGACGTGGTGGGGTTACAGGCATGAGCCGCTTTACCAAGAAATTGCTTCTCTTTTAATTCGGAAAAGGTTGTAGGCTCTTCCAGCCTGAACCCATGGAGTACTAACATCCACAAACCATTAATAGCACTCCCTGTGGGAAAATGTTTATACATTTTTACAGTTTGCATAGTAAAATTACTATGCAAGCTGTTTACTTTTAATATTTCTACATAAAATTTAAGTCAAGATATATTAAATGGTAAATGATTGTACTTATTTATTCATCTGCCTCATGTTTTATTTCATTTTAAACATCCTGAATTTATATTTTATTGTATTTCATACATTTCAATTGATTGTACTGTATTGCAGGATATGGAGATTTCATCACATACTACAATACAGTGTATTTTGTTATATTTGACGTATATTCTACTTGTATTTTGTACTGAGATCATACAATCTTTCATTATCTAAGTGTATTAATGACTTGTTTGGTTGCTTTATAATTTTCATTTTATGTAATAATGAAATAAACATTAATGTTGTTTGGAATTTTAAATTTCTTTCATATGGAATTTGTATTTAATAAAGATGTGAAAAAGAGAATGTCTTATCTTCACTTCTGCATCATCCTAACCCTGACCTCCCCACAGCCCACAGCTCTTGTCATAGTCTGGGAATAGTGTTCTATCACTACAGGAAATGGGGCCAATTTAATGGTAATACACAGATATAAATTGGAGATATAGAGATTTTATTCTCGACCACTGCAGTATAAAAGAATCACAGTAACGCGAGTCACACAATTTTTGGGTTGACACTGCTTATGAGTTATGCTTACACTATGCTGTAGAATAACTCTGAAATAAATTTATGTCTATTAAACAAATGCACACACATAAATAACATGTCTAAATAACAATATACATATCTTAATGAAAATGAACTTTATTGCTAAAAATGTTAACACAGATACACACAATGGGATCATATAATGTTGAAAAATAGAGATGGGGAGAGGAACAGAAACAGAGAGAAAGGGAGGAATGGAGCGAGAAAAGGACAGATGGACAGAGGGATATTGGAAAGGAGAAAGTAGGGAGGGGGAGGAAGGGAGGTGGGGGGGGAGGGAGGAAGGGAAGGACAGAGAGAGAAAGGGAGCAAGAGACAGAGAGAAGAAGGCAGAGAGAAAAGCGGTCTTCTGCCTCCAGGACCAGCAGGACCTCGCACTCCGGGAAAATGTTGGGTGCCCAGTGCAGGCTGAGTGCTCGGCCCACAGCCACGTCTGCCTGCGGGGCGCGCACGGGCCCTCCGGATCGCCAGCCTGGGTCACTTCATCCCGGAGCGATTCAGACGAATTCCGCCTCCCAAGGAATGAGCGAATTGCCCAGAGAGCAGTGAGCTGAGACTCGGGTGATTGTCCGTTTTTCATCCACATGGTTCACAGATGACATAGCCCCACGTTGAGCCTGCAACAGAGCGCGAGGTGGATAGTCCCGTCCATTCAAGAGTCACACTCAGACCGAGTGAACCATGATTCTGGGTTCCACGTTCCTTTGCCCTCTGCAAGGGGGCCTGTTGTTCACGTGTCTCCGGCCCCCAAAAGCGTGACCATGTTGACTGTTTCCCGAGCTCTGTGGGGACCCAGAAACCTCCAGCGAAGCGTGGAAAAGCAGCATCCTGTCTTCGCTCTCCTTTCCAGTTTCCAAACAGGCCACAGTGGAGACTTCCCTTGTTGCAGGAAACAGGAATCCGTGGTCAGGCCGTGATGCACGGGACGTTTCTTTTCTCTGTAGTTTCGCTCTCGTTTTCTACATGAAAATGAACGAGTTCCACACCACTGCGTGTGTGAGACTATCACGGCAACGGCGACACCCACAGGCATTGCCGCCTTCACGGAGAGGGCATGGAAAACTCAAGACTGTCATGGAAGTTCAGTTCCACACTCCACCCTTCAGGGTGGTTTCTGCCTGAAAACTGTGGGAGTCAAGACAGCGGCTTCCAGTTTCCATAGAATTACTGGAGAACCTTAGAGTGCCAGCCCCCGAAGCCCCTTTTTCCCCTCCAATCTGGCCCTACACCCACCCACCCCACAAGGCCCTGGTCCCTGTGGTTTTCGGCTTTGGAGGGCGGGCTACCCCGGGACCTTGGGCCCCGAGTTCATGCATGTTCATAACGGGGTGGAGGTGGTAGGTCTTACTAAGGGCCTCCTGGCTGGACCTGCCTGCAGCGCAGAGGCCGGCTGAGGTGCACGGGAGCCCGCCGGCCTCTCTCCGCCCGTGTCCGTCGGTGAAATTCCGGCCGGGGCTCCCCGCGATGGCCCTCCCGACACCTTCGGACAGCACCCTCCCCGCGGAAGCCCGAGGACGAGGACGGCGAAGGAGACTCGTTTGGACCCCGAGCCAAAGCGAGGTCCTGCGAGCCTGCTTTGAGCGGAACCCGTACCCGGGCATCGCCACCAGAGAACGGCTGGCCCAGGCCATCGGCATTCCGGAGCCCAGGGTCCAGATTTGGTTTCAGAATGAGAGGTCACGCCAGCTGAGGCAGCACCGGCGGGAATCTCGGCCCTGGCCCGGGAGACGCGGCCTGCAAGAAGGCAGGCGAAAGCGGACCGCCGTCACCGGATCCCAGACCGCCCTGCTCCTCCGAGCCTTTGAGAAGGATCGCTTTCCAGGCATCGCCGCCAGGGAAGAGCTGGCCAGAGAGACGGGCCTCCCGGAGTCCAGGATTCAGATCTGGTTTCAGAATCGAAGGGCCAGGCACCCGGGACAGGGTGGCAGGGCGCCCGCGCACGCAGGCGGCCTGTGCAACGCGGCCCCCAGCGGGTGTCACCCTGCTCCCTCGTGGGTCGCCTGCGCCCACACCGGGGCGTGGGGAACGGGGCTTCCCGCATCCCACGTGCCCTGCGCGCCTGGGGCTCTCCCACAGGGGGCTTTCGGGAGCCAGGGAGCGAGGGCCGTCCCCGTGCTCCAGCCCAGCCAGGCCGCGCCGGCAGAGGGGATCTCCCAACCTGCCCCGGCACTCGGGACTTTGTGTTCCCTGCCCTAGCTCCTCCGGAAGTGGGACTGTCCCACCCTCAGACTCCTCGGAGGCCTCCGCACCCCAGTAAATGACAGGAGGACCAGGACCCGCAGCGCGACGGCCTGCTGGGCGCGTGCTCAGTGGGACAGCTTGGGCCCCCTCAAGCTGAGTCACAGGGGCAAGGTGTGCTTGCGCCACCCACGTCCCACCGGAGTCCGCGGTGGGGCTGGAGCCCCAGGTCGCCAGGGCGGCGTGGGAACCCGAAGACGGGGCACCTCCACCTCCGAAGCTCGCGACCCCGGAGGCCTCTGCGTCAAGCACAGATGCCAGCCATCCAGGCGCCTCCCAACCGCTCCAGGAGCCGGGGCGCTCGTCTGCACTCACCTCCAGCCTGTTAGATGAGCTCCCGTCAACCCCAGACTTTCAGCAAAAGGCACAACCTTTCCTAGATCCGGTGTCACTGGGGGAGCTGAAGGAGGTGGAAGAGCCTGCTCCGCTGGAACCACTCCTCAGCCAGGAAGAACACGGGGCTCTGCTGGAGGAGCTTTAGGACGCCGGGTTGGGGCGGGGCGGGGGCAGGGCGGCGGCCTCTCTTTGGCGGTGAACCTCTGGCTCGGTATGGAGAGGCGTGTCTTCCCTTCCAGTTGACCTGTCTAGGATCCCTGGGTTCCAGGTCCGGCGAGAGACTCCACACAGAGGAGGGCTGTCATTCTTTCCTGAGCATCCCGGGGATCCCAGGGCCCGTCCACGTACCGGGAGGTGGACTGTCTACTGCTCATGCGGGGGTTTGCAGGCAACAGCTTAGGTTTTCTAACCAGCCCAGGCGGAGCTCGCATCCCTTTTCCCCCCGCGTTCTTCAGTCGGGTTGGCGGAGACCTCAGTCCGCGAAACACTGGGTCGGGGCAGAAGCCAGGCCAGTTCTCCTTTCTGCGGCTCGATTCCTCTGCCTCTTCTCTCACTATCACTTGCCAACCCGTGTCCCACCAGCCTCCTCGCCAGCACCATGGAGCGCCTTGCAACTAAATGTAGACCCGAGACCCCGCGCAAACCGGGGTGCTGCCCTTTCCAGGCAAGAGGGAAGGCAGGCAGAGATGAGGACAGGAACGGAGACAGAGTGGGACGGAAGGATGGAGCTAGGAAAGGATGGATGGACGGAGGGACCCTGGAAGGGAGAGGAAGAGGGAGAGAGGGAGAAAGGGAGGAAAAAACCAGGGCAGGGAGGGAAGAACAGAGGGCAGGATGGACCGAGGGACAAAAGGAGCAAGAAACAGAGAACCGAAGGCAGACAGAAAAACGGTCTTCTGCCTCCAGAACCAACAGGACCCAGCAATCCGGGAAAATGTTGGGTGCCCAGTGCGGGCTAAGTGCTGGGCCCACAGCCCCGTTGGCCGGTGGGGAGCTCAGCGGCCCTCCGGATCGCCAGCCTGGGTTACTTCATCCCAGAGCGATTCAGACGAATTCCGTTTCCGAAGGAATGAGCGAATTCCCCAGAGAGCAATGAGCGGAGACTCGGGTGGTTGTCTGTTTTTCATCCACATGGTTCACAGATGACATATCCCCACGTTTAGCCCTGCAACAGAGCGCGAGGCGGATAGTCCCATCCACACAGAAGTCACGCTCAGGCCAAGTGAAGCGTGATTCTGGATTCCACGTTTCTTTGCTCTCTGCAAAGGTGCCTGTTACTCAAGTCTCTGCCGCCCCCGGAAAGCGTGACCATGTTGACTGTTTCCCGAGCTCTGTGGGGACCCAGAAACTTCCAGGAATGCGTGGAAGACCAGCATCGTGTCGGTGCTCTCCTTTCCAGTTTTCAAACAGGCTATATCGAAGACTCCCCATTTTGCAGAAAACAGGAATCCATCCTCAGGCCGTGATGCACGGGACGTTTCTTTTTCTCTGTGCTTTCGCTCTCATTGTCTACATGAAAATGAACGAGATCCACACACCTGCGTGTGTGAGACTATCACGGCAACTATGACACCCACGCGCTGGCAATAGAGTTGGCAGCCTGATCCCAGGACAAAGGTACTGACGGACATCCAGACACACCCCACCACAATCACTAGCAAACCCACTCCCAAACAGACACATACGGGCGCACGCGCGGGAACACAAGCATACACGCAGACACACAAAGACACAGACAGCTTGAAGAAGAGCAAGGGACAGAGGGATGGAGAGATAGAAACGGAAGGAGAGAGAGAAACAGCGATAGAGAGAGAGACAGAGAGGGACGGGGAAACTGCGAGAGAGAGAGAGAGAGAGAGAGAGAGAGAGAGACAGAGAGAGAGAGAGAGACAGAGAGGGACGGGGAAACTGCGAGAGAGAGGGAGAGAGAGAGAGAGAGAGAGCAAGGTGGAGAGGGAAGTAGAGAAAGGGAGAGGGTGAGGGAGCTAGAGAGGGGGAGCAACAGAGCCTTGGAGAGGGAGGCTCTGCTCTGGTAGACAGGGGACCCTTTGGCGAGGGTAGGGTGGAGGGTGCCTGGGCCGGGCTAGAACAGGAGGGCAGGGCCGCCCACGCGGGAAAACCAACGGAGCCCTGAGACGTGTTTTTACTTGGATTGGTTGGTTGCTTTGGGCGTGCGTTTCCTAGCGTCATTCCTTTGTTGGCTCCTCCCTGTCCTCTTGGTGCTGTGGGCCCTGAAAGTTGTCGAGTGCGCCTGTCCCTGTGGTGGGAGCAGTGGCGCCGAGCGTGCCCACGGGCCGCCGCTTGGGTTTCTCTCGTGTTCAGGGTAGTATGGACGTGGACAATGGCAGTGGCCCCTGGCTGGCCCAAGAGCCGGGTCCAGATACGCGCGCCTGATTCCAGGCGTCATAACCAACCCGGGGCCGCGAGGCTGGGATCAGGCACCCCGGAGCCGCTTGCCCGTGGCCGGGCTGCTCTCCCCCTCTAAGCCTAAGCACCGCCAGTCGCGGCGCTGCGCTTTCCGCCGACCTCCCAGAGCGTCCCGCCGTCGCCGGCGGCCAGCCTCGCGCAGGACCAGTGTGGCGCCGCCCTGCTGTTGCTGGGGGGCGCCCGAGGCCTCCATTCCTTGCCCAGGCTTCCGGCTCTCGGGGCGGCCTCCCTTCCGCCCACGCTCCAGGGCTTCCCCGGCTCCCGAGCTCCGAGCTTCCACCACATCGGCCGGCTCAGGACAGGTATGCTCA
The DNA here is from genome assembly GCF_000001405.40 of Homo sapiens. Lineage (NCBI taxonomy): Eukaryota > Metazoa > Chordata > Mammalia > Primates > Hominidae > Homo > Homo sapiens. The sequence goes on from NC_000003.12 coordinate 75,672,779, forward strand.
TCCCGTCACTTTTTAACTTTTTGTTGTTTCTATTTATATTTTATTGTGCTATGTCTTGAAATGTTGTTGTAGCTATTACTTTTGATTGGATATTATTTAATATTCCTACTTTGAATAAGAGTAGTTTGCACACCACACAGCTATAGTGTTATAATATTGTGTTTTGTTTTGTATCCTATTAGCAGTGAGGATTTTTTTACCTTTAGGTGATCATTTATTGCTCATTAATGTACTCTCTTTAGCATTCCTTTAGGACAGACATGGTATTCATAAAATACTTCAGCTTTTGTTTGTCTGGAAAAGTCAGTATTTCTTTTTATTTGAAGAACACTTTCACTGTATATGCTATTCTAAGGTAAAAGTTTTTTTCCTTTAGTACTTTAAATATTTATTGCTTCTCTCTCCTGGCCGGTAGGGCTTCCACTGTAAAGTCGGCTGCCAGACGTGTTGGAGCTCACCGGTATGTTACTTGTTTCTTTTCTCTTTCTTCCTTTAGAACTTTTCTTATCTTTGACTTTTGGAGGATCTACTGAACGCTTTGAAATAGTCTTTTTGGGGTTAAATCTGCTTAATGTCCTATAACATTTTTGTAGTTGGATATGGATATCTTTCTCTAGGTTTGGAAAGTTTTCTGTTATTATCCCTTTGAATAAATTTTTCTACCCCTGCCTCTGTCTCTACATCTTCTTTAAAACCAATAGCTCTTAGATCTGTCTTTGTGAGGCTATTTTTCTAGATCCTGTAGGCATGATTTGTTGTTTTTATTCTTTTTCTTTTGTCTCTTCTATGTATTTTCAAATAGCCTGTCTTCAAGCTCACTATTTCTTCTGCTTGATCCATTCTGCTATTAAATGGCTCTAATGCATTCTTCAGCATGCCAATTGCATTTTTCAGCTCCAGAATTTCTGCTTAATTTGTTGTAACTATTTCAATCTCTTTGTTGAGTTTAGCTGATAAAATTTGGAATTTCTTTACTTTGTTATCTTAAATTTCTTTCAGGTTTTTTTTTTCTTTTTACAGCTATGTTGAATTCTCTGTCTGAAAGGTCACATATCTCTTTTTCTCCAGGATTTGTCCCTGGTGCCTTATTTAGTTCACTTGGTGAGGTCATGTTTTTTTCCTGGATGGTGTTGATGGTAGTAGATGTTCTTCAGTGTCTGGACATTAAAATCTTGGGCATGCAGCACCATATGAGAGGTTTAAAAAATAAAATTAAAAAAGAGAAAAGGTGAGTATTTATTGTAGTCTTCACTGTCTGGGCTTATTTGTAGCTGTCTTTCTTGGGAAGACTTTTCACATATTTGAAAAGACTTGGGTCAAATATGGGTCAAATATGGCTTAGGTTGTGATCTAAGCCATATCTGCTTTATGGGGTACCTTATACCCAATAATGCTGTAATTCTTCCAGACTCAGAGAAATACCACCTTGACAGCCTTCAACAAGATCCAGGAGAATTTTCTGGATTACTAGCCAGAGACTCTTGTTCTCTACCATTATTTTCTCTCAAAGATACAGAGTCTTTCTCTCTGTTCTAAGCCACCTAAAGCTGGGAGAAGAAAGACACAAGCACCCCTGGCCACCACCACTATGACTGCCCTGGATCAGACCTGAAGCTAGCACAGCATCGGGTCTTGCTCAAGTCCTGCTGCATGAACTTTCTGATGACTGCCTATGTTCACTCAAGGCCTTTGGTCTCTACAATTAGCAGGTGGCAAAGCCAGCCAGGCCTGTGTTCTTTCCTTTAGGGCAGTGAGTGCCCTCAGTCCCTGGCTGGGTCCAGAAATGCCATTCAGAAGTCAGGGAGTACAGTCAAAAATTTTAGAAGTCCACTTGACATTCTATTGCATTGCAGCTGATCTGGCACTCAAACCACAAGACATAGTTCTTCCTATTCCTCCCTTCCTTTCCTAAAGGCAGGGTAGCCACCACCACCTCAGGCCACAGTGAGTACTGCCAGGCTACCACCAATGTTCCCTTAAGGCCCAAAGCCTCTTGTCAGCTTGTGATGAATGCTGCCTGGCCTGGGACTTGCGTTTTCAGGACAATGGGATCCCTACTGGCCCTGGGCAGCTTCATAAATGCCAACCAAAAATCAAGTCCTAGAATCAGGGATTCTGAAAGTTCGCTTGGTGCTCTACCCACCTCTGGCCTTGCTGGTACCTAAGGGGCAAGAAAAAGTCCCCTTTAATTTTCCCTCTACTTTTCCCAAGAAGAAGGAGTTTTGCCTCTTAGCCACCACAGCTAGTAATGTGCTGACCTCACCTAAATCTAGCAAGTCTATGAGGGTCATCCAAGGCCCTTGATGTAGTACCTGGGTATGGCTGCTGGTTATTCAGAGCCCAAAGGTTTTCAAGTTTGCAGGCGATAAATCCTGCCAGCACATGGTTCTTTTCTTCAAGGCAGCAGGTTTTTTTCTGGCCCAGGGTGTGTCTAGGAATGTCTAGGAGCCAGAGACTGGAAAGGAGGCTGCAGGATTCTGACCAGTGCACTACCTTGCTGTGGCTGAGCTGGTGCCCAGGATGAAAGACAAAGTACTCCCTATTCTTTTCCTTCCTCTCCTCAAGCAGAAGGATGGGGTCCCTTTTGGAGCCATGAGCTGTGCAGTCTGGTGTTAGCGGAGTGATAATGCCAGAACTCCTTTGGCTGCCCCAGCTGGTGTCTCAGTATGTTGCCTGCCCTCCCCACCCCAGTCCACTGTCCCTGGGCCCCATTCAGCCCTAGGCCTCACCTAAGAGTTACAGTCCTGATGGCCTAGGCTGCCTTTCAAGTTTTCTTAGACACACAGAGTGCGGGAGCCCTTAGTTGCCAGGTTTCCAAACACTGAAGTTCCAACCACTGGAATCTGATTCTCCTCTGGCTAGGGCTGGCTTAATTGATCACTCTGTGGATCAGCATTAACTGCACTTGGTCTGGTTTTCCTTTCTGCTCTAACAGGACAGCACTGAGTTCAGTGCCTCACAATTGCTGTGTTCTCTCTCCCGCAGAACCCAGAGTTGATCTCTGCAGCATGCCATCACTGCTGGGGATGAGGAAACGGTGATTTCAGGACTGTTTTTTCTGTCTCTTCAGTGCCTCTTTCAGTGATCTGAGGTTAAAACCAGGTACTTTGAGTACTCACCTGATCTTTGGTTCTTATGAATGTATTTTCTATGTGGATATTAATAGTTGTTCATCTGGTGTCCTTGCAGAGGGACAATCAGTGGAGCCTTCTTTCTGCCGTCTTGCTTTACTCTCACGCCCAAGAATCAGAATTCAGAACTTTTAATAAGAAAAGCTTTCAGAACTCAGGAAGGACAAGGAAGACATTCTGGTTCTCCATGCTTAACATTGGACTGTTTCTTCAACTGAGGTGCATAGCACTGACTAATCAGGGATTATCATAGATAGTTTGACTTGGACTACGCCGTTCATTCAAATTCTTTATCTAGACAATTTAAGTACTAGCTGATTTGGCATGAAAATCTGGCAAAGTATTTTCTTGGTATTCAATTGATTTTTATTCTGCTTGGGTTAGCAGTTTTATTAACCAGTTAGTCTCTTCATTAAAGTTCTGGGAATTCTTACCCAGTTCAAATAATATCATTCTAAAGTTCTCAAAAACCTGTATTCAAGAGTGCTTCTGAGGGCCTTCTCCATCCTTTCATGAACCTCCTTAAAGATACAATATTCCAGGATTTTGCAAGCTTGTAAAGTTTTCAGAAACTGCCTCAGAATTAAGCAATTTACTGTGGAAATGACTTTAAGTTGTCATAGTCAGACACAATTGACAAGAAAATTTTATTTATTTATAGGCATGAGCCACAGCGCCTGGCCTCTAAAGCTAATTTAATAAAACTTTATAAATGCATTTATCAAATGTTGTTATCTTTTAATCCCAGATTTTTGTGAACCTATGCTTTGCATTTTCCCCCAACTTTCTATATTTATCTAGTTTTATCTAGTTTTTTTTACTTCTTCAATTTGAAACCTTTAAGTAACTTCAAACCAAAAAAAAAAAAAAAAAATTAAAACACAGTTTTATGTCTTTATAAGTTTTATCATCAAAAACATATTTTCACAATCCTATAATCCCAACACTTTGGGAGGCCAGGGTAGGTGCATCACTTGAGGTCAGGGGATCGAGACCAGCCTGGCCAACATGGTGAAACTCTGTCTCTACTAAAAATACAAAAATTAGCTGGGTGTGGTGGCGAGCACCTGTAATCCCAGCTACTTGGGAGGCTGAGGCAGGTGAATCACTTGAACCGGGGAGGCAGAGGTTGTAGTGAGCTGAGATCATGCCACTGCATGCCAGCCTGGGCAACAGAACAAGACTCAGTCTCAAAAAAGAAAAATAAGGCATATCTTGCTTTTTATACACTCTATGCAGAATTGTTTCTCTCATATCTAGTAATTAAGTCTTAGGAGCCCCAATATTCAATGAAACCCTAAAAAGTTATTTTTCAACTGTCTTATATCAGTATTTTTAGATAAAAACCATTTTACAACTTTTAAGAAATATAGTTCTTCAAATTACTGTTTATTAACAGAACTAAAGATATTTAGGTTTTCTATACCATATACAAGAAACATGTCATGGTATATAGAACTAAACTAATTTTTAATGGTTAATATTTCACTATTTTAGCTTACAAATGACTCAAGATATTTTATGGCTATCTATTACTTAATTTAACGTGACTTTAAGATTTTAAATTACTGAACAGAATTTTGAAACCATGACACAGGTAGCATCCGTAATGTCTTCCCTCAGTAATTTTAGGTCCCAAGTAGCCACATGGCACCCAGGAAAACTGTGAAGATCAGGGCCTGCCTGAGTCCATTAGGACTAAAGACAGAGCTGTGAAGGCTATACCTGGAGGATCCAACCCCTCCTAAAATAGCCAGAAGGCAAAACAGGGAAAGCACAGAAAGAAGGGGCCGATTGGGCTTGATTCTGGCTTTTAGCTGCTGGTCTAGGCACTGAGAACATGTCTCCATACTTCATCATGGTCCTCTATCAAGACCCCCTGAATCCAGAAACTCTCAACAAAAGACATAAGCTCACAGTTAAATCAAGCAAATATCTAATTATATTTAATGGATAATTGTAAAGCCATTTCTATTTTACTAACGATTTAAGAACAAGCTTATTTACAAAATATTATCACATACACGTAACACATATAGACATACAAACACACAGAAGCAGATCTTATAGCTTTCATAAAGGATTTAAAAATGTTTTATTTTAGGCTCGGGGGAACATGTGAAGGTTTGTTACATAGACAAACTCGTATCTCAGGGGCTTGTTATACAGATTATTTCATAACCCAGGTATTAAGCCCAATACCCCATAGTTATCTTTTCTGTTCCTCTCCCTCCTCCCACCTTCCCCCCCTCAAGTAGACCCCAGTGTCTGTTGTCTGTTGTTTCCTTCTTTGTGTTCATAAGTTCTCATTATTTAGCTCCCACCTATAAGTGAGAACACATAGCTGCACAGTATTCCATGGTGCATATGTGTGTTCTGTGTGGGAAATGTGTGAGGAAAGAAGAAAAGAAACACACAATACTTTTAAGGGTAAACAGACTTTATCACAAGTATATGGCAATATAGATATAATAAGCAAATGATACAATAAACAAATTGTAATGGGAAGGGGAGAAGGGAAAATGTATATATATATGTGTGTGTGTATATATATGTAATATATATACGTATATATACACATATATGTATATATGTATATATGTGTATATGTATATATCTATATATACATATATGTATATATGTAATATATATATGTATATATATGTGTATATGTGTATATACACATACACATATGTGTATATGTGTATATACACATACACATATGTGTATATGTGTATATACACATACACATATGTGTATATGTGTATATACACATATACACATATGTGTATATGTGTATATATGTATATATACACGTATATATCTATATATACATATATATACGTGTATATATGTATATATATGTGTGTGTGTATATATATATACACACATATATATATATTTTTTGTTTTACACTCGCCAGACTATGGAGGATTCATCAACAGACCAGGAAGCAACAGCCTGGGCTCCAGAATTGACCAGTAGTCCGTGCACAGACGAGGAGAGGTCCCATGAAACTTCGGCGCAGTCTGGGAACCGAGCTCTTTTTGTAACAAGTTGTTTGTCAGGAGGCCCGGTCATGAAAGCCCTTCCTGACTGGGCTCAAGGAATACAAAAAGGACAACTTGTTTTTGCCATTGTCTGTTGTTTTTCAATAACTAGTTCTCCGAAACAGCACTGGATGAATGCCTCAAGGGGCTCACACAACTCGTTCCAGGACTTAGTGACCATTGTTTCTGTCCCTGTTCAATAGAGTTCAAATTTAATATTTAAATTTTGCTCCACAATGTGCCATATTATCTGTATCCAACCTGTCATTGGGCATTTAGGTTGATTCCATGTCTTTACTATTGTGAATAATGCTGCAATAAACATTTACGTGCTTGTGTCTTTATGATAGAACAATTTATATACCTCTGGGTATATACCCAGTAATGAGATTGCTGGGTCAAGTGATAGTTCTGCTTTTATCTCTTTCGAGGAGAGCACTGTTGTGCTTTCCACAATGGTGGGACCAATGTACACTCCCAAGCATCTGTCATTTTTTGACTTTTTCATAATAGCCATTCTGACTGGTGTGAGATGGTGTCTCACTGTGCCTTGGATTTGCATTTCTCTAATGATCAGTGATACTGAGCTTTGTATTCTATGGTTGTTGGTCACATGTATGTATTCTTTTGAAAAGCATTCATGTCCTTTGCCCACTTTTTAAACATTTTTTTATTTCCATAGGTTTTAGGACAACAGGTGGCATTTGGTTACATTAGTAAGTTCTTTATTGATTTGTAAGATTTTGGTGCATCCATCAACTCATCTGTATACACTGAACCCAATTTGTAGCCTTTTATCACTCACCCCCTTCTCCCGTTTCTCCCTGAGTCCCCAAAGTCTATTGTGTCATTCTTAAGCTTTTGCATCCTTATAGCTTAGCTCCCAATTATAAGTGAGAATATATGATGTTTGGTTTTCCATTCCTGAGTTACTTCACTTAGAATAATAGTCTTCAATCCCATCCAGGTTGCTGCAACTGCCATTAATTCATTTCCTCTTTATGGCTGAGTAGTATTCCATTGTGCATATATACCACGGTTTCTTCATCCACTCGTTGATTGATGAGCATTTGGATTGGTTCAACATTTTTGCAATTGCAAATTGTGCTGCTATAAATATATGTGTGCAGGTATCTTTTTTGTATAATGACTTTTTTTTCCTCTGGGTACATAGCCAGTAGTGGGATTGGTGGGTCAAATAGTACTTCTACTTTTAGTTCTTTAAGGAATCTCCACACTGTTGTCCATAGTGATTGTACTAGTTTACATTCCCACCAGCAGTGTAGAAGTGTTCCCTTTTCACTACATTCACATCAACATCTATTTTTTTTTTATTATGACCATTCTTGAGAGAGTAAGGTGGTATCACATTGTGGTTGTAATTTGCATTTCCCTGATCATTAGTGATGTTGAGCATATTTTCATATGTTTGTTGGCCATTTGTATATCTTCTGAGAATTGTCTATGACCATACTGCCAAAATCAATCTACAAATTCAATGCAATTGCCATCAAAAAACCATCATCATTCTTCACAGAACTAAAAAAAAAAATCCTAAAATTCATATGGAACCAAAAAAGAGCCCACATAGCCAAAGCAATACTAAACAAAAAGAACAAATCAGAAGGCGTCACATTACCTGATTTCAAACTATATCGTAAGACCATAGTCACCAAAACAGCATGGTTCTGGTATAAAAACAGGCACATAGACAAATGGAACATAATGGAGAACCCAGAAATTAACACAAATATTTACAATCAACTGATCTTTGACAAAGCAAACAAAAACAAAGTGGGGAAAGAACACCCTACCCAACAAATGGTGCTGGGATAATTGGCAAGCCACAAGTAGGAGAATGAAACTGGATCTTTATCTCTCACCTTATACAAAAATCAACTCAAGATGGATCAAGGACTTAAATCTAGGACCTGAAAGTATAAAAATTCTAGAAGATGACATCAAAAACACCCTTCTAGACATTGGCTTAGCATGGATTTCATGACCAAGAACCCAACAGCAAATGCAAGAAAAACAAAGATAAATAGTTGGGATTTAATTAAACTAAAGAGCTTTTTCGCGGCAAAAGGAACAGTCAGCAGAGTTAACAGAAAATCCACAGAATGGGAGAAAATCTTCACAATCTGTATATCTGACAAAGAACTAACATCCAGAATCTACAACGAGCTCAAACAAATTAGCAAGAAAAAAACAAACAATCCCATCAAAAAGTAGGCTAAGGACATGAATAGACAATTCTTTGGCCACTTTTTAATAGGGTTGTTTGTTTTTCTCTTGTAAATTTAAGTTCCTTATATTGAATATTAGATCTTTGTCAGATACATAGTTTGTAAATATTTTTTCTCATTCTACAGGTTGTCTGTTCACTCTATTGATAATTTCTTTTGCTGAGCAGAAGATTTTAAGTTTAATTAGATCCCACTTGTCAATAGTTGCATTTGTTGTTTTTGGTGTCTTTATCATGAAATCTTTGCCTGTTTCTATGTCCAGGATGGTATTGCCTATGTTGTCTTCCAGGGCTTTTTATAGTTTTGGGTTTTACATTTAAGCATTTAATCCATCTTGAGTTGATTTTTGTGTATGGTATAAGGAAGCAGTCCAACTTCAATCTTCTGCATATGGCTAGCCAGTTATCACAGCACCATTTATTGAATACGGCATCTTTTCCCCATTGCTTGTTTTTGCCAGCTTTGTCAAAGATTAGATAGTTGTAGGTATGTGGTCTTATTTCTAAGCTCTCTATTCTGTTCCATTGGTGTATGTGTCTGTTTTTGTATTAGTACCATGCTGTTTTGGTTACTATAGTGCTGTAGTACAGTTTGAAGTCAGGTAATGTGATGCCTCAAGCTTTGTTCTTTTTGCTTAGGATTGCCTTGGCTACTTAGGTTCTTTCTTGGTTCTATATGAATTTTTAAATAGCTTTATCTACTTCTGTGAAGCATGTCATTGGTAGTTTAATAGGAATAGCTTTGGGCAGTATGACCATTTAAATGATATTACTTCTTTCTCTCCATTATCATGGAATGATTTTTCATTTGTTTGTGGCTTCTCTAACTTCTTTGATCAGTGTTTTATAATTTTCATTGTAGAGATTTTTCACCTCCCTGGTTAGCTGTATTCGTACGTATTTTATTCTTTTTGTGGAAATTGTGAATAAAATTGCCTCTCTGATTTGGCTCTTAGTTTGTCTCTTCTTGGTGCATAGGAATGCTAGCAAATTTTGTATATTAATTTTGTATCCTGAAACTTTGTGGAAGTTGTTTATCAGCTTAAGGAGCTTTTGGGTCACAACTATAGAGTTTAGATAGAGAATTATATTGTCTGCAAACAGAGGTAGTGGGACTTCTCTTTCTATTTAAATACCTTTATTTCTTTCTCTTGTCTGATTGCTCCAGAAAGGACTTCTAATACTATGTTGAATAGGAGTGGTGAAAGAGGGCATCCTTGTCTTGTGCGGGTTTCAAGGAGAATGCTTCCAGATTTTGCCCATTTAGTATAATGTTGGCTGTGAATTTGTCATAGGTGGCCTTTATTATTTTGAGGTATGTTCCTTCGATACCTCGTTTATTGAGAATTTTTAACATGAAGCTTTGTTGAATTTTACTGAAAGCCTTTTCTGCATCTGTTGAGACAGTCACATGGTTCTTATCTTTCGTTTTATTTATATTATGAATCACATTTTATTGATTTGCCCATGATGGACCAACCTTCCATTCCAGGGAAGAAGCTTACTTCACTATGGTGAATTAGCCTTTTGATGTGTTGCTAGATTCAGTTTGCAAGTATTTTATTGTGGATTATTGAATGGATGTTCATCAAGGATACTGGCCTGAAGGTTTCTTTCTTTGTTGTGTCACTGCCAGGCTTTGGTATCAGGATGATGCTGGCCTCGTAGAACAAGTTGGGGAAGAGTCCCTCCTCCTCTATTTCTTGAAATAGTTTTAGTAGGACTGGTACTGGCTCTTCTTTGTACATCTGTTAAAATTTGTTAATCTATCAGGTCCTGGGCTTTTATGGGAGGTTGGTAGGCTATTTATTACGGATTCAATTTTTGGAGCTCATAATTGATCTGTTCAGAGACTGAATTTCTTCCTGGTTCAGTCTTGAGAGAGTGTAGGTGTTCAGGAATTTATTCATCTCTTCTAGGGTTTCTAGTTTGTGTGTGCAGAGGTGTTCATAGTAGTTGCTGGTTGTTATTTTTATTTCTGTGAGGTCAGTGGTAACATTCCCTTCATCATTTCTAATTGTGCTTCTTCGAATCGTCTCTCTTTTCTTCTTTATTAGTCTAGCTAGTGCCTATCTATCTTACTAATTTTTTCAAAAAACCTTGATTAAGTGATCTTTTGAACAGCTTTTCTTGTCTCAATTTCTTTCAATTCAGCTCTGATTTTAGTTATTTCTTATCTTCTATAAGCTTTGTGTTTGAGTTCTTCTTGCTTCTCTAATTCTTTCAGTTGTGATGTTAGGTTGTTAATTTGAGATCTTTCTAACTTTTTGATATGGGGATTACTTCTTATGCCCTACTCTAACTTTTCTCCTTCTCCTAGAAAACTCAGAACTATGCTTTCTAAACCAATTCAAACTTTCTCAGTGAATCAACCTGGTCTCCCTGAGGCAAAGTTAGCAATTTTCCATTACACATGGTTCTCTTTCTCTGTAAGAATATCTAATGCAACGATGCAAGTGTTTCTTTCCCTCCTGGATATGCGGGGAACTACTTTTGGCTGAGACCAAGACTTAAAACCTTGTTCTTTCAACATTAATGAAGATCTATTTAGAAAGCCTCCATTTTTACAGAAAAGATTTATAAATACCAATGAAAATAAATATAAAATTATATGGCATACAATTATATTGTGGAAAGACTGAACAAATAAGTGAACTAAGCTCTAAGAAAAAAAGATGATGATATAAAATGATATATAAGTAAAGTCCTGGGCTGGTATAGCATAATTAATGTATCAGTAAAGTATGTACACTGTAGAAGTGGCAGGAAGACAGCATAGAGAGTGAGACCTGACCAAAAGCTTTAAGGAAAGTTCTATACCCTTAAAAGAGATTAAAGTGGACTCAGGAAAACATGGTCCACTTTAGGAGAAGGACACATGTTCCAGACAGGCCAAAGCTCAGAGCATCTCTACCTTCTCCAGGAGGAAAGGGGCAGCAAAGCAGCAGGCAGAGGGCAGCAAGGCCAGGTCAGCACAGGGCACCCAGGCCAAACCAGGTGGGCTCCATCATACAGGTAGTGAGGATCCACTGCCAGGTGGGCTTTATTCATTAGTTTGTTTTGTTTTCTTCAGTAACTAAGACACGTGATCAAAGCTGACCTTTCTAAATATTGCTGCAGCTGAACATAAGATGGATAAAACTAGTGTTTTAAAAATTATGTTGTATACAGCATTAGCCCCAGTGAGATATTAGTGGAACACACAGGCACACACATGCACACACACTCACACTGAGCCCAGATTATTCTGGCAAATGCTGGGTTAAGCAAACTAAAAGAAACATCTTTAGCGCTGGACTTCTCAGAACCTGGAATGTGGCTCTATGGCTCATAAAACAGCAAGGTTAAGACAGAGCATGTCATTTTTTTCCCAGAAATGTTGAAACACTTTCCTTCCCTTGGCTTCAGTGTCACCTTTCTCCTGGTTCTCCATCAACCTCTTAGGCTGCTCCTTCTTGATGTCCTTCTTGACAATCTGCTGCTGCTCAGCCATTCTCTTTTCATTCCCCATGGATTTCTCAAGTGTGTTTCTATTCCTGCATATTAAACTTTCCTTGTTTTTCCTGACACTTCTCCTTGTCTGACCCTCCCCTGTTCTAAGGCAGGTGTTCCATCTGTGTGTGCTTTTGTCATCCTGGGATGCTCCCAGCATGTTCCCTACCACACTCCATCAGGTTTTCTCCCCAGACTCTGCGAGGGCAGCGGCCTTGTCTCCACCATTCCTTCAATGCTACGCACATAACACAGAAGCTGACTCCATAACATTTAGTTGGCCAACTGAGACTAAATGTATGTTCCTCTAGATCTTAAAAAGTTACAGAAACATAGCACAATAGTCAAAAATTCTCTTTAGTCAGGAGTTCTCTATATATGTACAACAGTTTGAAGTCATTATTAAGCAAAGTGAAACAAAACTGTCACAGAATTCCCTAAGATAAATTATTTTGCTTTAATCTTCAATTCATCATGTGAGATAATCAAGACCATGTGTTATTGTAAATATTTCTATCTCATAACACAACAACCTGATTTTTATTGTTTGAAATAACCGCAATATAAATCAGTTAATTTAAAATTGCATAAATAATCCTTTCAAATAAAATTCTGTCTAAATTTTACATTACTCATATGTTCAAATGATAATGAGCTCATAGGCTTTTCCAATACCTCAGTCAAAACATTGTACTGATTCCAGCTGTGGGAATAGTATCTGAAAGTTATTTTACAGATGGGGAAAACGTACTTATGTGACATTGGCCTTTGCACTACTGTGCCCTTTTGGGTCAGGAAAAATCTCTTCCCTTAAAATCCTAAAATCTCTTCTGTCAGGTCTGAAGGGTGGGTGGGAAACAGAGTTTTTTAAATCTAAGCCACAGATGTTTTATTCCTTGCTTAAAGCAGTGACTAGATAAAGGCCACTAGAAGAGCCTCCAATGCTTCTTCAGAAGCATGTGCCTGAGAACATCTTCCTGAAACACTCCCTTGTCTCTGCCCAAAATCACCTTAGGTAGGAAAGTCAAAACTCAGCAGGCTGAGGAGATCCAAGGGGATCACTGAGCTCTGAGGCTTATAAGAGAAGAGAGAGAGGTCTAAGTTTTTTGTGTATAAATTTATGGGTTACAAGTGCAATTTTGCTGTAAGCATGGATGGCATAGTGGTGAAGTCAGGGCTTTTAGGGTATCCATCACCAGAATAATGCACATTGTACCCATTAAATAATTTCTCACTGTTCACCCCTTCCATCCCCTCACCCTGCTGTGTCTCCATTATTATTCCACTCTCTACATCAATACCTACACATCTTTTAGCACCCGCTTATGAGTGATAAAATACGATGTTTACTCTGTGTCTGGCTTGCTTCACTTACAACAATGGCCTCCAGTTCCATCCATGTGTCTGCAAAAGTTATGATTCTATTTTTTGTGCCTGAATAGTATTTCATTTTGTATATTTTCTACATTTTCTTTCTCCAGTCATTTGTTGATGGACATTTAGGTTGATTTTATATCTGTGCTACTGTGAATAGTGTTGCAACAAATATATAAGTACAGTTATCTTTCTGATATACTGATTTCTTTTCCTTTGCATAGATACCCAGTGGTGGGATTGCTGAATCAGACAGAGCCAATAGACGATCAGTAATGGTGGCCAATCATCAGCTAGAAACAAAGTATTTAGCAGTGCTTGAAAACACCAAAACTCTGAGACCACTGACCTTCCAAAACTTCAACAGCCCTGAGTGAAAAGTCCAAACACATTTATCCACCATTCAAAGACCCTTTATTTTCTGTCCTCTGTGCATCTCAGTAGTCTCTTTTTACCACACTGTCTATATACTGCATGAGCCATTTACGTGAAACTATCTGACACTCCAAGGCATCTTATACTATATATTCAACCATGTATCCCTAGTACCTAGCACAGTCCTGGCATATAGTTTGCTACTAAACATTTGCAGAATGAAGGAATTATCTTGTATCCAGGTTCAAGTTTTAAGTTGATTCTTCACTAAACAAAGTATTACAGTTCACAAATAATCTACTTCCTTTTTTACAAATGGGATCGATCTTAATCTTATCCCCTAATAACATTACTTTCATTTACTCCCATCTAAATATACTGTCCTAAGAGAGCAATAAGAAAGAGAGTTGAAGCTGGAGCTTGAAGAATTGTACATGGTCCTGTGATAACCTACCTTGTTTTAACCTGAGTGACTGTCTCCTAGCAGAGAGCTGGACAGACTCCATTTTAGTTTCTTCATGTGCAGCCCCCTTTACCTCCCTCCCTTAAGGACATAACTAGTGTAAACTGACTCAAAGCATGTCCAGGAATCACTTACTGTTAAGATATTGAGGCAAGCTGCGCCAGCAGCTCCTGGGGATGCGCTCGGTGAATGGCACCCAAAACCCCTGCATTTCTCTCTTTGTGATAGTTTAAGCCCCTGCACCTGGAACTGTTTATTTTTTTGCAACTGCTTTTGTAACCAATTAATTTTTTAACTTTTTGCCAGCTCTGCTTCTGTAAAAATTGCTTCAGCCAAACTCCCCCCTCCCCTATTTAGACCACGGTATAAAACCAAAACCAACCCCTTCCTCGGGGCCGAGAGAATTTTGAGCGTTAGCTGCCTCTCGGTCACCAGCTAATAGAGGATTCCTTAATTTGTCTCAAAGTGTGGCATTTCTCTATAACTCGCTGGGTTACAACAGTCCACACTGTGGCCTGAGGCGCATCGCCCACCTGAGCTTCATCTGTTAGGTATGTCAGGGAAGATAAGCAGGGTAAGGATGGCCTCATCAGAGGGCCCCAGATCTCTAGCTCCCCCATCTGGCAAGTGCACCTCTGTGAACAAAGTCTTCAGAGCCAGATGACAAGAACGGCCCAATCAGTCCACCAGGGAAACCTGGGCCCAGTGTACGTCAATGCAGAGCATCAAGCACGGCGTAACAGGTGCACAGTTGCCTATTCCTGTTCAGAGATAACTGCATCCCACACACTGTAAAATGAGGAAATGCAGAGAAGCAGATGTAACTGAAGAAGACAGCAGGAGCAACAAGGAGGGACAACCACGACCTAGGAGGACACCATGCCAGAGAGGCCTGGACCCCACGCTAGGCTCAGTGCCTGTTATACTCTTGGGACCCAGCGCTTTCCTTCTCCATCACGTGGCATACTTGGCATTATTTGTTGTTTAAAATATTGTCCTTAGTTTTCACCTTTCCTAGGAGACACAGGCAGACCCTGTGACACTACAGCTGGCACACAGTAGGTGCATCACAAACATCTGCTGAGTTCACACACTCTTGCCTTCTCAAACCTTCTTGTCAAGTCTTCAGTGAAAAGGAATTGCTGATTGAGCAAGAATTAAACTTCTAGAGACTCCTGGATCCACTGAAGTTTGAGACAAGGTGAGATTTGTTTACTGCCATATTCCTAGCTCATAGCATACTGTAGTCACTTAAAAAATGTTTGTTGAATAAGTGAGTGAATTGATTCAATTGTCATACTTAGCTATATATTTTCTGAGTAAAACTGATAAATTTAATAGTTTACTTCTAGTATAATTTTACTTTACTTATTCAATGAACCTGACAATTCAACTAGGTGCCAGGCACACTGCTGCTGAAGAAAAAGAGGTATAAGATACAACTTCTGTCTATAAGAAAGCCACAGTCTAAAAAGTAGAAACATATGAACAAATTATAACAATAAATAGGCTAAATTCAAAATCAGAGGGATTTGTTTCTATTTTAAACAGCTCTAGTCAGGAAGTGTTAGAAAGTTCTAAACAGGAAATGTTCCAACACACCATCTAAGTATGAAGCAGAAGTCACCCATAATTGAGTTTGCTGCCACCAACCCCAATAGCAAGAATTCCAGTCCTGCTGCTGCAAAGTGTCACTCTGATTTTATTACTGCTGTGTAACCCAGTTTTAGACACTCTGGTTGTCACTTAATGTTCTAAAAAAGTATTAAAGAGAAAATATTATTATGGTGATGAGTCCATCCACTGCAGCCATCTCAACATCATACCAATTATAAACCCTATCATTTAAAAAGAAAACTGTTAGTTTAACTTATTTATCCAAATATCAGTAATACATAAGCATATTTGCCATCAGACTTTGGATTTATGGGTTAAATAGCATATAAATATGATTAGAGCCTTAAAGTTTACACTTTTCTGGTTCGCTCAAATGTTTTCCAAAATAGCATATGCCTTTCTAAACAATTGTTAGTATATTTTTTAAAATGAACATTAAAATGTATATTTTCTGAAAACAAATACAGCTCCCATTGGTGAATGATGATATTGAGATACGACAGGCAACTTCTCTTGGGAACCATTTAATCAGTGCTCACTTTTACACCCTTTTCCGAAATGTCAATGGCTTTAAAATATAGAAGTATATTATACAACTAAACTTAACACTTATTCAGTATTGTGCAATATTTAGTACTTGTTCTAGCTATCTCTTGCTGAATAGTAAGCCATTCCAAAACTTAAGGAATTATTTATTGTTTAATATTGTTTATTGTTATTATTTGTTTAGTAATTTTAAATAACATTATTTCTCATGGTTTTGTGGGTTGATGGGCACTACAAAAGTTCTCTTTTGGAGTGTTTCTTGCAGTTGTGGTTGGTTGGCTGCTGCTGAAGTCACCTGAAAGCTCAACTAGGCTAAAGAGCCTAGACAGGTCACTCACATGGCTGGCAGTGCATATTGGCTGCTGAGTGTGATGCCTATCTGTCCTCTCCATGTTACCTGGAGTCCTCACAACGTGGTAGTTGGTCCCAAGACACACAGGCAAATACCACAAAGCTTCTTATGACCTGGCCTTGGAGGTCCTAGAATATGACCTCTGCTGCATCCTATTGGTAAAGCAAGTCATTGTGACCAGCACAGATTCAAGAAATGGGACAGTAGACTCTACCTGTCAAGGTAAAGAGCAGCATGTGCATGCAGGGAGGAAAGAAATTGAGGGCATCATCTTGAAGACTATCATATCACACTATTATTCCAGCTAATGAACATTATGTTTTAGATGGGTAGTACTAGCTACTCATGTCTCCCCCAGAAACCCAAGCTAGGCATGGACATATTGAAGACTATCATATCACACCATTATTCCAACTAATGAACATTATGGTTTAGATGGGTAGTACTAGCTATTCATCTCTTCCCCAGAAACCCAAGCTAGGCATTGACATACTGAAAAGAATGTCAATACCATTAAAAAACTCTAGAAAAATTATATGTGATGACTGAGGTTAATTCAGTCTGTCAATTACATCAATATAATTCCCTTCTTGTAACACTAAATATGGTGAAACAGAATTGAATTCTACAAAAGTATTTCATCTGTTTTCCTATGGAATAATTAACAAACCAAATAAATGTATAAATAGTATGAAGTCCAATTTATCTTAGATTTTTACCTCTTAATTTCAAAGCTGATAGAAATCAGAGAACTAATCATCATAATCCATAATGCCTGGACCAGAAGTCCTTATTCTAAGACTATTTTGTGGCATGCTAAAAATGTATTACTAACTAGGAAATTTAAAACTTTTTTGTTAGCGATTTTAAGAGAGCTGACTAACTCATCAGCACAATTCACACAGATGAAAAATGGAAGTTAATCTGCTGAGTGGATTCATAGTGATCAGAAAAAAATCACAAAGAGGAAAGGAGATAGAGAAGGAGGGGAAACATACTGTCAATCCCTACAATTAAAGTGATTTTTCAAATGATTTGATTTTGTATTTGCAAAGGAAAGGCAGCTTATTGTGATAGAATAAGGATCCCACTTCTATATCTTTTTTTTTTTTTTTTTTTTTTGGGACGGAATCTCACTCTGTCGTCCACGCTGGAGTGCAGTGGTGCGATCTTGGCTCACTGCAAGCTCTGCCTCCCCGATTCACGCTATTCTCCTGCCTCAGCCTCCTGAGTAGCTGGGACTACAGGCGCCCGCCACCACGCCTGGCTAATTTTTTGTATTTTTTGTAGAGACGGAGTTTCACCGTGTTAGCCAGGATGGTCTCGATCTCCTGACCTTGTGATCCGCCCACCCCGGTCTCCCAAAGTGCTGCGATTACAGGCGTGAGCCACTGTGCCCAGCTCGTCTTCTTTTGAGAGATGTCTTCTTATGTCCCTTGTCAATGTTTTAATGGGTTGTTTTCTTAATGTTCAACATCACTAATCATCAGAGAAATGTAAATCAATGTGAGATACCATCTCATATTAGTCAGAATGGCTACTATTAATAAGTAAAAAAAAATCAAATTCTGGCTAGACTTCAGAGAAAATGAAATGCTTATACATTATTGGTGAGAATGTAAATTAGTTCAGTCACTGTGAAAAGCAGTTTGGAGATTTTTCAAAGAATTTAAAACAGAAGTACCATTCAACCAGCAATTCCATTACTGAGTATATATCCAAAAGAAAATTAAAAATTCTACAAAAAGAAACCCCACACGCACTTGCATATTAGTCATATTGCTATTCACAATAGGGAAGGTATGGAATTAACTTATGTGTGAATCAATAAATTGGATAGAAATATGTGCCACATATACACCATAAAATACTATGCACACATTAAAAAGAATACAGTCATGTCCTGTGCAGCAACATGCATACGTCTGGAGGCCATTATCTTAAGGAAATTAATACAGGAACAGAAAACCAAATACCACATGCTCTTGCCTATAAGTAGAATCTAAACATGGGGTACTCATGAATATAAAGATGACAACAATAGACACTGAGAACTACTAGATGAAGGAGGGAAGGAGGAGGGCAGGGCATGAGAAACTGTGGGTGCTATGCTTACTGCCTAGGTGATGGGATCAATTATATCCCACAATATATGCTCACTACCTTGGTGATGGGATCAATAATATCCCAGATAGCTCAGCATCACACAATATATCCATGTAACAAGCCTGCAAATATACTCCCTGAATCTAAAAAATTTAAGGCAGAGACAGAGTAAAAGGGCAGAATAGAAGCCTACACTCTCATCCCCCACACAAAAACACCAAATTTTCACAACTCACTACATTCAAGAAGCACTGTCAAAGGGACCAAACATTGGGTGAGCGATCACAGTACCTGGTATTGACTTCATATCACTGAAAGAGACATTGGAGAAGGCAAAAAAAAAAAAAAAAAAAAAAAGACGGTCTAGAAGCACGGATGCCACCTTTTTTTCAACCACCAGTAGTGGCTACATGGTGCAGAGATAGTATGTTTGGGAGAGGGAGAGCATAGTTTGTGAGGCTTTGCAATAAACTCAGTACTACCCCCTCACAGTGAAAAGCAGAACCAGACTGTACTCAGCTGACATCTGCCAATGGAGGGAGCGTTGTATTGGCCCTAGCAAGAGGATAATCTCCCATCCTAGTGTTGGGAGCTTGAGTTTTTACAAGTCTTGCCATCATTAGTTGACATGCTATTGGATTCTAAGAGAACTAAAGGGGCAGTCTAAGCCACAAGGACTTCAATTATTAGGCAAGTCATACTCCTAGCTGGGCTCAGAGCCAGTGGAATGTGGAGGGTGGGGAGGATGGGGTCTACTGAGACAGCAGCTGAAGCAGCTAAGGGAGTGCTCACAACACTCCTCCCCCACCCCCCACCCAGCAGCAGCCACACAACACAGAGAAACCTGTGAATTTGGGAGACGGAGAGCACAAGGACTGGAGGACTTTACATTAAACTCAGTGCTGCCATGTCAGTAAAGACCTGGCAGAATTCATCACTTGCTGACTAAAGAACCCCTGTACCCAGAATAAAAACCAGTGACAACCAGGAAATACACCATGGGCATTGGGCTGAGAAGTGCTAACTTCAGGTGAGACCCAGTGCATTTCTAGCTGTGGTAGCTATGGTGAAAGACTTCTTATGTTTGAGAAAAGCAGTGGGGAAAGTAAAGGGAACTCTGCGTTGCACCTGATATGCCAGCTCAACCACAGTGGGGTAGAGCACCAAGCAGATTCTTAGAGTCCCTGACTCCAGGCCTAGGGTCTTGGTCAGCATTTCTGCACTTGCCCTGGGCCAAAGGTTGAGTCCCAGGCATTGCAGAATTTATCACAAGCTAACTAAAGAGTCTTTGGGCTTTAAGTGAGAAAGTGATGATGATTTTGTGGAACCCTCCCATGGGCCAGTAGTGTTGGCAGTCATAGAAGAGGCTCTTCTGCCTGCAGACAGGGGAAGGAAGAGTAGAAAATACTTTCTCTTATTCCCTAAGTGCCAGGTTAGCTACAGTAAAATAGAAGAGCAGGTAAATTTTGAAGATTCTATGCTTTAATCTCTGGCTCCCAGGTAGCATCTGTGGACCGACTCATGGCTAGGGGAACTTGCCACCCTACAGGCAGAGACACAAACCTGGCTGGCTTTGCCACCTATTAATCACAGAGTACCAAGGCTTTGAATAAACTTATATGGTAGCCAAGTAGTGGTTACAGTGGGCCTTGGGTGAGACCAAGTTCTGAGCCTACTTCAGGTGTGAACCAGCACAGTCTCAGTGGTGGTGGCCCCAGGGGTGCTTATGTTACCCCGACCCCAGCTCCGTATGTCTCAGCACAGAAAGAGAGACTGCTGATTTAAAAGAAAGTAAGGGAAGAGAACAAGAGTCTCTACTTGATAAATCAAGAGAATTTTTCTTGATGTTAATCCAAGTCCACCAAGGCACTACCTCTACGTGTTTGCATAAACTACTGTGCTATTGGGTTTGGGACCCAAGTTTCTTTGAATACCTGGAAAGTGTTCCCAAAGATAATGGGCACAAACAAGCCCAGACTGTGAAGACTACGATAAAGACTGAACTCTTCAATACCCATGGATAGATGAACATCTACAAGTATCAGGGCCATCCAGGAAAACATGACCTCACCAAACAAGTTAAATAAAGCACCAGGGACAAATCCTGGAAAAACAGAGGTATGTGACCTTTCATACAGGAAATCCAAAATAGCTGGTTGAGGTAATTCAAAGAAATGCAATATAACACAGAGAAGGAATTCAAAATTCTATCAGATAAATTTAACAATGAGATTGAAATAAAAAGAATAAAGCAGAAATTCTGAAGTTAAAATGATATTGTCATACTGAAGAATGGATCAGAATTACTTAAAAGAATTGATCAAGGAGAAGATAGATTTAGTGAACTTGAAGTCAGACTATTTAAAAATACAAAGTCAGAGGAGACAAAAAAGAATAAAAAATAAAGCATGCCTACAGAATCTAAAAAATAGCCTCAAAATAGCAAATCTAAGAGTTATTGGCCTTAAAGAGGAGGTAGAAAAAGAGATGAGTTGAACATTTATTTAAATAAATAATATTAAATAATATTAAACAATTCCTCAACATTTGAAATCAACACTCGAGTAACAGAAACTTACAAAACATAAAGCAGATTTAACCCAAAGAAGACCACCTCAAGGCACTTAACTGAACTCCCAAAGGTTAAGGATAAAGAAATGATTCTAAAAGCATCCAGAGAAGAGAAAAAAATAACATTCAGTGGAACTCCAATACATCTGACAGCAGACTTTTCAGGGGAAAATTTACAGGCTGGGAGACTGGCGTGACATATTAAAAAAGCTCAAGAAAAAAAAGACTTTTACTTTAGAATAATGTATCTGGCAAATACGTCCTTTAAACTTGACGGAGAAATAAGAACGTTTCCCGACAAACAAAAACTGAGGGATTTCATTAACACCAGACCTTTACTACAGGAAATGCCAAAGGGACTTCTAGACCTAAAAGAAAAAAAGTTAGTGAGCAATAAGAAATCATCTGAAGGTACAGAACGCACTAGCAATAGCACATGGAAAAACACTGAATATTATAACATGGTAATTATTGGGTGCAAAAATCTCAACTAGAAAGAGTAAACAATAAACCAATGAAAATAATAACTACAACATATTTCCAAGACATAGACAGTAAAATAGGGAATGAAGAGAAACAACAAAAAGGTTAAAAGAATGGCAATAAAGTATAGTTTTTATTAGTTGTTTTGCTTGTTTCTTTGTTGATGCAATCAGTGTTAAATTGTCCACAGTCTAAAATCATGTATTATATTGTTTTCAAGCCTCATGGTAATTTCAAATCAAAAAGTGTACCACAGACGTACAAAAAGTAAAAAGCAAGAAATTAGATTATAATACAAGAGAAATCACCTTCACTAAAAGGAAGACAGGAAGAAAGGAAAGAAGGGAGGACAAAAATCAATCAGAAAACAAATAACAAAATGGCAGGAGTAAGTGCTTATCAATAATAACACTGAATGTAAATGAACTAAATATTCCAGTCAAAAGAAAAATAGTGGATGAACGGATAGAGAAGCAGGACAATAATCTGTGACCTACAAAAAACATACTTTACCTATAAAGATATATTTAGACTGAAAATAAAAGGATGGAAAAAGGTATTACATGCCAACAGAAACCAAAAAAGAGCAGAAATAGCTATACTTATACCAGACAAACATAGATTTCAACAAAAGACTGTAGGAAGAGATTAAAAAGGTCATTATATAATAATAAAGAGATCAATTCAAGAGGATATAATAATTGAACATATATATGCACCCAACACTAAAGCACCTAGATAAATAAACCAAATATTATAAGAACTAAAGAAAGAGACCTCAATACAATAATGGCTGGACACTTCAACACCCTACTTTAGTCATTGGATAGACCTTCCAAATAGAAAATCAACAAAGAAACATCAGACTTAATCTGCACTACAGAACAAATGAACCTACTAGATATTTACAGAAAATTTCATCCAACAGCTGCAGAATATACATTTTTCTCCTCAGCACATGGGTTATTCTCAAGGATAGACCATATGTTAAGTAACAAGTCTAAAGACATTCCAAAAAATTGAAGTAATATTGAGCATTTTCTCTGACTACAGGGAATGAAATTATAAATCAATTAAAAAAGGAATTTCAGAAACTATACAAACACAAGGATATTAAACAATATGCTCCTGAATGATTAGTAGGTCGATAAAAAAGTTAAGAAGAAAATAGAAAAATTTCTTGAAACAAATGATAATGGAAACAGCATAGCAAAACCTATGGAATATAGTAAAAGAGGTACTATTATAAAAGGAAAATTTATAACTGTAAGTGCCAACATAAAAAACAGAAAAGCTTCAAATAAATAACCTAACAATACATCTTAATTAATTAGAAGAAAAAGGCCAAGCCAAATCCAAAATTAGAAGAAATAATAAAGATTAGAGCGGAAGTAAATAAAGTTAAAATGAAGAAAACAATGCAAAAGACTAATAAACAAAAAGTTGATTTTTTGAAAAGTAAAACAATTGACCAATATTTAGACAGGCTAACTGAAAAACAGAGAAGATACAAATTAGTAAAATCAGAGGTGAAAAAGGAGACATTACAAGAAATGCTTCAGAAAATCAAAGGATCATTAGTGGTTACTATCAGCAATTGTGTGCCAACAAATTAGAAAACCTACAGGAAATTAATTCTTAGACAAACACAACTTACCAAGATTGAACTAGGAAAAAATCTAAAACCTGAACAGACCAATAACAATTAACAAAATTAAAGCCTTAATTAAAAAAGTCTGTAGGACCAGACTGAAAAATAGAAAAGGAAAGAACATTTCCAAACTCATTCTTTGAGGCTAGTATTACCCTGATATCAAAACCAGACAGAGACACATTAAAAAAGCAAACTACAGGCCCATATCTGAGAATATTGATGCAAAAATTTGCAAAAAACCTAGCAAACTGAATTAAACAACACACAAACAGGTAATTCATAATGACCAAGTGGGATTTATCCCAGGGATGCAAGGATGGTTCAACATGCAAATCAATCAATGTGATACATCACATAAACAGAATGAAGGGACCAGGCACAATGGCTCACGCCTGTAATTCCAGCACTTTGGGAAGCCGAGGTGGGCAGATCATCTGAGTTCAGGAGTTCTAAACCAGTATGGCCAACATGGCAAAGCCCTGTCTCTACTAAAAATACAAAAATTAACCAGTCACGGTGGTGGGTGCCTGTAATCCCAGCTACTCGGGAGGCTGAAGGAGGAGAATCACTTGAACCCAGGAGACAGAGGTTGCAGTGAGCTGAGATCACACCATTGCACTCCAACCTGGGTGACAGAGGGAGACTTCATCTCAAAAAAAAAAAAAAAAAAAAAAAAACAAGGACAAAATCCATATAATCATTTCAATTATACTAAAAAAATTTGATAAAATTTAATATTCTTTAATAATAAAAAACCCTTTGAAAACTGGGTATGGAATGAACATACCTCAACATAATAAAAGTCATATATGACAGACCAACAGCTAGTATCATACTAAGTGGGGAAAAACTAAAATCCTTTCCTCTAAAATCTGGAAGATGACAAGAATGTCCACTTTTACCACTGTTATTCAACATAATTCTGAAAGTCCTATCTGGAGCAATCAGACAAGAGAAAGCAATAAAAGGCATCCCAATTGGAAAAGAAGTCAAATTATCTTTTTTTTTTTACCAATGATATAATCTTATATTGGCAAAAACATAAAGACTCCTCTGATAAGGTTTGAATATGTGTCCCCTCCCAAATCTCATATTTAAATGTAATTCTCAATGTTGGAGGTGGGCCTGGTGAAAGGTGATTTAATCATCGGGGTGGATTACTCATAAATGGCTTAGCACCATCCCATTTGGTACTATCCTCATAATAGTAAGTGAGTTCCTATAAGATCTGGTTATTTAAAAGTGTGTAACAACTTGCACCTCTGTTTTTCACTCCTGCTTTTTGCTGTGTGATGTGCAAGATTCTGCTTCAACTTCTGCCATGACTGTAAACTTCCACAGGCCACCCCAGAAGCATATGCCAGTGCTATGTCTTCTCTACAGCCTGTAGAACCAGGAGCCACTTAAACCTCCTTTTTTAAAAATAAATTATCCAGTCCCACTCTTATAGTGATGCAAAAATAGCTTAATACATAAAATTGGCACCAAGGAGTGGAAAATTGTTATAAGAATACCTGAAAATGTGGAATCAGCTTTGTAATTGGGTAAATAGGCAGAGGTTGGAAGAGTTTGTAGGATTCAGAAGAAGACAGAAAAATGAGAGAAAGTTGAGATTTTCTTAGAGACTGGTTGAATGGCTGTGACCAAAATGCTGATAGTGATCTGGACAGTGAAGGCTGGGCTGAGGAGGTCTCAGATGAAAATTAGAAACTAATTAGGACCAAAACAAAGGTCACGCATGTTGTCTTAGCAAAGTGGTTGGCTGAATTTCTGTCATGCCCTAGGGATATATAAGAGTTTGAATTTGAAATTGATGATTTAGGGTTTCTGTTGGAAAAATGTCTAAACAGCAAAGCATTTGAGATGTGGCCTGGCTGCTTCTAACAACCTATGCTCACATGTTCTAGCAAAAAAAAAAAAAAAAGGTTGTAACTTAAGCTTACAAGGGAAGCATAGTGTAAAAGCTTGAAAACTTTGCAGCCTAGTCATGTGGCTGAAAAATAAAAAGCTTTTATAAGAGAGGAACTCAAGCAGGCTATGGAGCAACTACTTGTTAGAGATATTTGTATAACCTAAAAAAAAAAGCAAGTGTTGATAGCCAAGACAATGGGAAAGAGGAATTGAAGGCACTTTAGAAATCTAAAAGGCAGTCCCCCATCATAGGCCCTGAGGCCTAAAAGAAGAGAATAGTTTCTGGGATCAGGCCCAGGACATGCTGCCTTGGGTAGATTTGGAACATGGCTCCCTGCATCCTGGCCACTGCTTCAGCTCCAGGTGTAGGTCAAATTGACTCAGTTACAACTCCAGTCACTGCTTCAGGGGGTGCAAGCCATAGCCTTGGTAGCTTCCATGTGGTGTTAGGCCTGTGGGTGTACAAAATGCAAGAGTTGAGACTTGGGAGTCTCCACCTTTATTTCAAAGGATGTACGAAAAAGCCAGGGTGTGCAGGCAGAAGCATTCTGCAGGGGTGGAGCCCTCATGGAGAACCTCTACTAAAACAATGGAGAAAAGAAATGTGGGGTGACAGTCCCTAGGCAGGCTCCCCACTGGGGCATGGCCTAGGAGATCTGCGAGGAGAAGATCACTGTCCTCCAGACCCCATAATGGTAGATCTAGCTACAGCTTGCACCCTGCACCTGGAAAAGCCAGAGGCACACAATACCAGCCAGAGGTACACAATGCCAGCCCATGAGAGCAGCTGTGGGGGCTGAACCATGCAAAGGCACAAGGTAGAACCTTCCCAAGGCATTAGTGTGCCCTGAAAATGGGACACAGAGTGAAAAATAATTATTTTGGAGCCTTACAATTCAGTAACTGCCATTCTGGGTTTCAGACTTTCATGGGTCCTGTGGTCCATTTCTTTTGGCTGATTTCTTCCTTTTAGAATAGGATTATTTACCCAATGCCACTGCCCCATTTGTATCTTGGAAGTGCCTAACTTGTTTTCTATTTTACAGGCTTATAGGAGGAAGGAACTAGCTTTGTCTTAGATGAGACTTTTGACTTTTCAGTTAAGGCTGAAATGAGTTAAGACTTTGGGGATTATTGGAAAGTCATGATTGTATTTTGAAATATGAGAAGGATATGAGATTTGCAATGGCCAGGGGCAAAATGATATAGTTTGGGTGTGTGTTCCCACAAAAATCTTATATTGAAATGTAATCCTCAATGTTGGAAGTGGGCCTAGTGGGGAGGTGATTGAATCATGACAGCAGGATTTCCAAGAACAGTTTGGCATCATTTCCTTTGGTGCCATTCCCACAATAGTTAGCTTTCATGAGAGTTGGTTATCTACAAGTGTGTGTAGCACCTCCCCCCTGCCCTCACACTTACCATGTGATGTGCAAGCACCAGATTTATTTTTCACCTTGTCAGTTGTCAGAGGCTTCCCCAGAAGCAGAAGCCAGTGCTATGCTTTCTGTATACCCTGTAGAACCATGAGCCAATTAAACCTATTTTCTTTATAAATTAACCAGTCACTGATTATTTTTTATAGCAATGTGAGAATGGCCTAATACATCCACCAAAAAACTATTAGAAGTAATAACTTGAGTAAATTTGCAGAATACAAAATCAACATATACAAATCAGTAGGATTTCTATATGCCAAGAGTCAACAAACTGAAAAAGAATTCAAAAATGTAATACTATTTGCAGTAGCCACAAATGAATCAAAATGTGTGGGAATTTACCAAAGAAATAAAAGTTCTCAACAATTGAAACTGTGAAACACTGACAAAAGAAATGAAAGAGGACCCAAAAATTGGAAAGATATTTTTATGTTCACAGATTGGAAGAATCAGTATTTTTTAAAATGTCCATACAATCCAAAGCAATCTATACATTTCATGCCATCTCTATCAAAATAACAGGCCAGGGGCAGTGGCTCATGCCTGTAATCCCAGCACTTTGGGAGGCCGAGATGGGTGAATTATGAGGTCAGGAGTTCAAGACCAGCCTGGCCAACTTGGTGAAACCCCATCTCTACTAAAAATACAAAAAAATTAGCCGGGTGTGGTGGCGGGTGCCTGTAATCCCAGCTACTCAGGAGGCTGAGGCAGAGAATTGCTTGAACCCAGGAGGCAGAGGTTGCAGTGAGCCAAGATCACATCACTGCACTCCAGTCTAGGTGACAGAGTGAGACACCATCGAAAAAAAAAAAAAAGACATTCCTCACAGAAATAGAAAAAAAAATTCTGAACTGTATATGGAACCATCGCAAAACACCGTAATAGTCAAAGCTATGCTGAGTATATAAAACAAAACTGGAGGAATTCCATTACCTGGTTTTAAATTATACCACTAAGTTATGGTAATTAAAACAGCATGACACTAGCATAAAAACAGACATAAAGACAGATGGAATGAAATAGAGACCTTAGAAACAAACTCATACAGCTAAACTGAACTTACTTTCAACAAAAGTGCCAAGAACATACAATAAAAAATAAGACAGGTTTTGTAATCAATAGGGCTGGGAAAACTGGCAAGCCATAGGCAGAAGAATAAAACGAGAATCCTATTTCTTGCCACATACAAAAATCAAATTAAAATGAAATAAAGACTTAAACATAACATCTCAAACTATCAAATTTTTACAAGAAAACATTGGAGAAACTCTTTAGGGCATTGGTTTGGGCAAAAATTTCTTAAATAATGCCCCATAAGCACAGACAACCAAAACAAACATGGACAAATGGGATTAAAGCAAGTCAGAAAGCCTTTTTAAGGTGAAGGAAACAATAAACAAAGTGAAGAGAAAATCCACAGAATGGGAGAAAATATTTGTAAATTATCCATCTGAAAAGCAATTAATAGCTACCTGATATGATTAGGCTTTGTGTCCCCACCCAAATCTCATATTGAATTGTAATCCCCAGATGTTGAGGGAGAGACCTGGTAGAAGGTGATTGGATCATGGGGGTGGTTACCCCCATGCTGTTCTTCTGATAATGAGTCAGTTCTCATGAGATCTGATGGTTTTATAAGGGACTCTTCCCCCTTTGCTTCACATACATGCTCTCGTCTGGTGTCATATAAGAGGTGCCTGCTTCCCCATCTGCCATGATTGTGAGTTTCCTGAGGCCTCCCCAGCCATTTGGAACTGTGAGTTAATTAAACCCATTTCCTTTATAAATTATTCAGTCTTGCCAGGTGTGGTGGCTCACGCCTGTAATCTCACCATTTTGGGAAGCCGAGGCTGCTGGATCACTAGGTCAGGAGTTCAAGACCAGCCTGGCCAAGATGGTGAAACCCCGTCTCTACTAAAAATACAAAAATTAGCCAGGCATGGGGGCAAAATTTAGCTGGGTGTGCGGGCAGGTGCCTGTAATCCCAGCTACTCAGGAGGCTGAGGCAGAGAATTGCTTGAACCAGGAGGCGGAGGTTGCAGTGAGCAGAGATTGCGCCACTGCACTCCAGCCTGGGCAACAGATCAAGACTTCATCTCAATAAATAAATAGATAACCCAGTCTCGAGTATTTTTTTATAGCAGTGCAGAAACAGACTAATACACTACAATATATTGAGTTCAAAAACTTATATAGAAAATATATAATAATCTAATTAAAGAGTGGACAAAAAATTTAAATAGACATTTATGAAAAGAAGACATGCAAATGTCAAACAGGCAAATGAAAAGGTGCTCCACATTACTGATCATCATAGAAATGCAAATCAAACCCAAAATGAGATATCATTTCACCCCAGTTAAGGTTGTTTTTATACAGAAGTCAGTCAAAAACAAATGTTGGTGAGTATGTGGAGTGAAGGGAACCCTTGTACACTGTTGTTGGGAGCACAGTTAAGAACAGTTTGGATGTTCCTGATATAACTATAAATAGAACTACTATATGGTCTAGCAATCCCACTGCTCAGTATATGCCTAAAAGAAATAAAATTGGTAAATCAAAGACATATTGGCACTCTCATGTTTGCTTCAGCAGGGTTTATAATAGCCAAGATTTGGAAGGAACCTAAATGTCCATCAACAGATGACTGGATAGAGAAAATGTGGTACATATACACAATGGAATACTATTCAGCTATAAGAAAGAATGAGAGTATACCATTTGCAATAACATAAATGGAACTGTAAGTCTTTATGTTAAGTGAAATAAGTCAGGCACAGAAAGACAAATGTGACACGTTCTCACTTATTTGTGGGTGCTAACATTCAAAACAATAGGTGTCATAGAGATGGAGAGTATAAGGATGGTTGCCAGAGGCTGGGAAGGGCAGTGACGGAACAGGGGGATAGTGGGGGTGCTAAATGGGTTAAAACAATTGTTAGAAAGAACGAATAAGACAGTATTTGATAGCACAACAGGGTGATTATAGTAAAACATAATTTATACATTAAAAAAACTAAAAGAGTATAATTGGATTGTTTATAACACAAGCTATAAATGCTTGAGGGATGGATACACCATTTTTTATTATGTATTACTCATTGCATGCCTGTGTCAAAGTATGTCATGTACCCCCATAAATATATACACCAACTATGTACCCACAAAAATAAATTAAAGATTGAAATTAAAATTAAAAGCAAAGGGAGGAGAGTATAATGAGGCATGTGTGACCCATGGCTTGAACTAGCTTTTAAGGTTAACTTTGGAATGTCCTTATCCAAGAAGAGGGGTTCATTTAGTCAATAGGGGCTTAAAAATTTATTTTTAGTTTATAAGTGGAAAAAAGAAGGATTTTTAATCCTAAGCCATAGCTCTCAGTCAATCAATCCCTGCAGGGAACCCTGTTCTTTACTCTGGAGACAAACACTAGTTTTCTTTTCCACTGAATAACACATTTCAAAACGAGGGGAAACATCTTGAAACTAAGAGGTACAGCCTTATTAAATTTGATTTGGTTTCAATTGTAGTTAATTTAATCACATGCATTCTAGAGTTTGTCCTCAGTCTTCTCCTACTTTAAGCCCATGAATCTGTTGAATTTGCTCAGCTCCCTGCTCAACAGCAGGAAATCAGAATTATTTTAAAACCTCATTGTGGCTGGGAGCGGTGGCTGATGCCTGTAATCCCAGCAATTTGGGAGGCCAAGGTGGGCAGATCGCTTGTTTTCAGGGGTTTGAGACCACCCAGCCAATGGAGTGAGACCCAATCTCTACTAAAGATACAAAAATGAGCTGAGTGTCATGATGCATGCCTGTAATCGCAGCTACTTGGGAGGCTGAGGCAGGAGAATTGCTTGAATCTGGGAGATGGAGGTTTCAGTGAGCCAGGATGGTGCACTGCACTCCAGCCTGGGCAACAGAGCAAGACTCTGTCTCAAAATAATAATAATAATAAATAAATAAATAAAAATAAAAATCTCATTGTGTTTCAAACAAAATTTCTTTTGAATATCAACTGTATCAACTTCCATATTAACTATCATTTTGTTTATATCCAATCTTGAGAAATCTTTGAGGACTAATTTTACTGTTTTCTGCCATTTTGGTAAACATACCAAATTCCATCAAACAAAATGCACAAAGTTCCTAAGAAATACATTTTCTCCTTGAGGAGTAGACTTGCTGTGTTAGAGGGACTCATGGCTACCAACCTTCTAGTTTAACAAACATGACCAGAATACTCTATCTTAATATGAGTAGCTAGGTACTCACAAGGCATCTAGAAGGTTAATACTCATGGTCTGAAAATAGCCACATTTTTTAGCTGGCCACAAATTACAATTGCAGAATATCTGTGGCCATACAAGACATCTTCCACCAAGCCTGAAAAATGTATAAATGTCCTAGGAGTGTAGCATTTTTTGTAAGGATAATATTAATGAGCTAGCTTAGGACAGTGGGTTAATGGTCATTGTTAAAACCAATAGCCTTGACTTTAGTGAGTACATCTGCACCTTCCAAGTTTAATTATAACTCTTTCTCTTTATAGTTACTTATAAGTAGAGACACTAACAAAAGACAATGCACTCCTGCTCTTGTTTTCTGAGGATGTCCAACTCTGTAATGGAGTCATTTCTAATAAACTTGCTTCTTTCACTGTGCTCTCTGACTCACCTCAAATTTTTTCTGCATAAGATCTAAGAATCCTACTTTTTGGTCTGTATCAGGACCCTCTTTTCCAGCAACATCTTTCGGCAATATCATGAAGGGACGCCAAGACAAGACCCCCACTCCAAGGAAAACAATCCACACAGAATCAATCAGCTGGCAAGTGGGCCATCTTTTAGAGTCGTGAAGCCATTCAGGCGGGCAAGAACGATTATCCACTATTATTTAAGTGAGAGACCCTAGGGCATAATGTTAGGGTGAGAGACTCAGCCCCAAAAGTTAGAGGCCCAGGGGCATCATATTCAGATTAGAGGCCAAGCTCACAGGGTTAGAGGCCCTTGGGAATACTGAGAAGAATGGGTTTGGCTAAACAAGATGTTTGCCACTTTCTCTTTTTGGACTGTCCACCTTCCGCTCTCTGTCCCTCACCTGAGTGCTCTGCATCTTGTCACCTCTCTGCTCAGCGCCTCAGTTTTGTAGTAGCCTGGAGGCTGCCCCAGGAAAGAGGCCCCAAACAGTTTAGCTTTTACTTTCCTCAACTATCCTCTGACTTTTATCTGATTGCTTGTTTAATTTGCCACTGGTCCAAGTGACACTGAAAAAAGAGAGATGTCTTGGAACCTAGTATTTTTGTACCTTAATTATCAGAAAAGATCAGCAGTAACCTCTCCATCATTATGACTAGAAGTTGAAATGTGGTATTTAACAGCCCTACATGATAAGATCAGATATGCCTGTTTAGTGGCAGCATCTTTTATGACAACCCTCTGCAAACAATTAGCCTCAAGATGGAGAACATAATTTTTCTTAACAGTTTTCTCTCATTTCTTAACCATAAGGTCATCTTTGATGAGCTGGTATAGGGCAGCTGTACCCTACTTTCTAAACCCAGCATGTCACTTTTTTCCTGAAAGAGTTTTGTCAGTTTTGTCACAGCAGTGTGAAAATGGACTAATACATTACAATGTACAAGTTACAGCCTTCCCATTTCCCCGTTCGATCTGACTCCTATTTTGCAGCTTAATTTGTTTTACAGAAGAGAAACTAAGTGGGAGGAAATACATTATATACAGGCTTCTCTGATGCTTGGTCAGGATAAAAAATTAAAATGGGCTTCTATATGTTTGATGGAGGAAAAGACAAAATAGGGATGGCACATAATTGATTACCCTTTTAATGCAAGTGCCTCTTAATATCAGGCTTTTCTTGGCTGGGGCTGAACTCCCCCTGCCAGTTCAAGCACCCCATAAGAACCCAGTCAGACTCCTTCCAGTTCTGGTGAGGTGTGCAACGCGTTATTAATTTCTTCTAGTTTTCCAGGGTTATCTAGTGTTTGGTCATCCTCTTCTCCCTCCCCTTCAAGTCTTGTCTTACATATATACCCCACTCTCGAAACACCTGAGCTTCACTGGAACAACATGCAGTAGGGCCTCTTATCAGCTGGCAAAGTTGAATGTTTGCCCTCTCTGGGAAGTGACAGATGATAATAGGGACACTGTATAGGTATATGTACCCTTTTCTATGTCTGAATTAGCCATATGCAAGGAAAAACTAAAACAATTTTCAGAGGTTCTGGGAAAATTCATAGACAAATTTAAGAGGCTAACCTTGATGTATAATCTGACCAGGCAGGATTTGCATATATTTATGTTTACCTGCTGCATGGTAGAAAAGCAGTGCATTATGGGAGTGGCTAGAGTACATGCTAATAGGGTGGCAGCCTGCAACCAGGGACATGACACCTATCAAATAGGAGGCACACCAGTGCCTGACCAGGACCCAGAAGAGAACTAGAATCTAGAAAAGACAAATGAATTAGGAAGAAAATGGGATATAGAGAGAAAAAATTACAATCATTTGACTCCTTGAAGGAATAAAAAAAAAGTGTGATAAAGCTTTTTAATTTTTATAAAGTCTGGAAAATTACTCAGGGAAAAGATGAAAACCTAGCATTATTAAAACGGTGGATAATTTAGACTTTGAGGAAATACACTAACACTGACCCTGACCCCAAGAAGGGACAGGCATTGCTAGCAGTTTATTTTACAGCCCAGTCTGCTTCTGATATCTGCAGGAAGACACCAAAAGCAGCCTTAGGCTTCCAGACTCCCATGGATCAGATTTTAGACTTGGATTTTGCAGTTTTCCATCACAGGAATAGGGCAGAGATAACATAAAATAAAGCAAATCTCCCAAGAGGCCCAGCTTCTAGCTGCAGCCTTGTGCTCTCCACCACTTCAGAGGCAGCCCCTGGGCCCCAGGCCTCACAGAGGAGGTGAGAAGGTGAAAGTCCCACTCTGTGCCTCTGAGCCACTGTGCCTTGGATACAAATCAATGTGCCTTCTGTAAGAAGGTCAGCCACTGATGAAGGAAATGCACTGTGCTTCCAAGGGAGCCATCATCAGAGCCCAGCAGACTCAAAAGTGATAGGGTCTGATACTTCCTACCTCTGCTCCCATTGGACTATTAGCTATCGAGAGATGGAGGAGACTCAGGTGACTCTTGAAGTGGCAGATAGGAGTATTAACTTCATATTAGGTATGGGAGCAGATGACTCTGTCCTGATTCAATACAATGGGCTCCTGTCTTCTCATGATGGACAAGCCCCAAAACACTGCTTATCATATCTTCTAAGTTGTCCTCCAGGGCCTCTGGGCTTCTCACCTGCCTTTTTAGTACTGTCTGAATGCCTGACCTCTTACTGGGGAGAGGTTTATTGACTCAGAAGACCAAGTCATGGTCAACTTCACAGATCATAAAGCATAGAAAGTGTTACTTTTGTTCCTGACCCCTCAGGGGAAGTTAAGAATGAGCTGTCACATTTACTGCCTGAAGTGTTGTCTCAAGTAAATCTTGAGGTTTGGGCCACACAGGCTCTGGGAAACACACTAAACACCTTCCCCATTCAAATCCAACTTCAGCCTAGTGCTCCTCACCCTCAGAAAAGACAATACATATTAAGGCAAGAAGCATGAGGGGAAATTCAACCCCTTAGCACCAAATTCTTGCCATATGAGTTATTAAGGCCATAAGAGTCCCCTTACAATACTCCCATGTTACCAGATAAAAAGCCTAATGGCAAGTACAGATTTGTCAGAACCCTCAGAGCATTAAGAAATGCAGTTGTCTCCATACACCTCATTGTCCCCAATACTTACCGAGTCCCAGGGGATGCAAGCTAGTTTACATTCTTAAATCTGGGGTGGGGTGGAGCCAAGATGGCTGAATAGGATTGGCTCTGGTCTACAGCTCCCAGCATGAACGACGCAGAAGATGTGTGATTTCCGCATTTCCATTTGAGGTACCGGGTTCATCTCACTAGGGAGTGCCAGACAGTGGGTGCAGGACAGTGGGTGCAGTGCACGGTGCACAAGCCAAAGCAGAGTGAGGCATTGCCTCACTCAGGAAGCTCACGGGGTCAGGGAGTTCCCTTTCCTAGTCAAAGAAAGGGGTGACAGATGGCACCCGGAAAATCGGGTCACTCCCACCCTAATACTGCGCTTTTCCAATGGGCTTAAAAAATGGCACACCAGGAGATTATATCCCGCACATGGCTCAGAGGGTCCTACACCCACGGAGTCCCGCTGATTGCTAGCACAGCAGTCTGAGGTCAAACTGCAAGGCAGCAGCAAGGCTGGGGGAGGGGCGCCTGCCATTGCCCAGGCTTGATTAGGTAAACAAAGCAGCCGGGAAGCTCGAACTGGATGGAGCCCACCACAGCTCAAGGAGGCCTGCCTGCCTCTGTAGGCTCCACCTCTGGGGGCAGGGCACAGACAAACAAAAAGACAGCAGTAACCTCTGCAGACTCAAATGTACCTGTCTGACAGCTTTGAAGAGAGCAGTGGTTCTCCCAGCACGCAGCTGGAGATCTGAGAACGGGCAGACTGCCTCCTCAAGTGGGTCCCTGACCCCCGAGCAGCCTAACTGGGAGGCACCCCCCAGTAGGGGCAGACTGACACCTCACACGGCTGGGTACTCCTCTGAGACAAAACTTCCAGAGGAATGATCAGGCAGCAGCATTTGTGGTTCACCAAGATCCGCTGTTCTACAGCCACTGCTGTTCTGCAGCCACTGCTGCTGATACCCAGGCAAACAGGGTCTGGAGTGGACCTCTAGCAAACTCCAACAGACCTGCAGCTGAGAGTCCTGCCTGTTAGAAGGAAAACTAACAAACAGAAAGGACATCTACACCAAAAACCCATCTGTACGTCACCACCATCAAAGACCAAAAGTAGATAAAACCACAAAGATGGGGAAAAAACACAGCAGAAAAACTGGAAACTCTAAAAAGCAGAGTGCCTCTCCTCCTCCAAAGGAACGCATCTCCTCACCAGCAATGGAACAAAGCTGGACGGAGAATGACTTTGACGAGTTGAGAGAAGAAGGATCCAGACGATCAAACTACTCTGAGCTACAGGAGGAAATTCAAACCAATGGCAAAGAAGTTAAAAACTGTGAAAAAAAAATTAGACGAATGGATAACTAGAATAGCCAATACAGAGAAGAGCATTGCTGTAAAGAAATACCTGAGGCTGAGTTATTTATAAATGAAAGAGGTTTAATTGTCTCATGGTTCTACAGGCCTTGTAGGATGCATGGTTCTGGCATCTGCTTCTGGTGAGAGCCTCAGGAAACATTTATTCATGGCAGAATTTGACGTGGCAGCAGGCACATTACATGGTGAGAGCAGGGGCAACAGAGGGAGGGGAGAAGTGCCACATCTTTTCTTTTTTTTCTTTTTCTTTTCTTTTTTTTTTTTAGATGGATTCTCACTCTGTCACCAAGGCTGGAGTGCAGTGGTGTGATCTCGGCTCACTGCAACCTCTGCCTCCTGGGATCAAGCGATTCCTGTTTCAGCCTCCTGAGTAGCTGGAATTACAGGCTCATGCCACCAAACCCAGCTATTTTTTTGTATTTTTAGTAGAGATGTGGTTTCACCATGTTGGCCAGGCTGGTCTCAAACTCCTGATCTCTAGTATTCTGCCCAACTCAGCCTCCCCAAGTGCTGGGGTTATAGGTGTGAGCCACTGCACCCAGCCTCCACACACTTTTAAACAACCAGAACTCACATGAACTCTGGGTGAGAACTTATCACCAAGGGGATGGTGCTAAACCATTCATGAAGGACCTGCACCCATGATCCAGTCATGTCCCCAGGCCCCACCTCCAACACTGGGGATTACATTTCAACATGAGATTTGGAGAGGGCAAACACCCAAATCACATGAAACACAAAGGTTTTCAAAGGAAACAATGAGGAAGGTTACATAATTGTTTTGAAATAATTATCCTTGGCTACAAAAATCAATAACAATCGTGATGCCAGTCCATGGTTGGAAGGCAGTAGTTACTGGGCAGATGTCCTTACAGAATTTTTTTTTTGTATAACGTTGTCACGGACTTTGTGCAAGGTTGTAATTTTTGTAGAATCTTTTTCATCATCAGGCATACACGCATGAGAATGCTCTCTTCATGGCCTTCCCCAGCTCGAGCTGTCAGAGTTTTCTTATTACTAGTGACTCCATTTTGATTCAGACAACTTTCACGTTTCCCTTTTGTGCTCCAGATCTTTTTCCAAAAGCATCACTGAT
Source organism: Homo sapiens (assembly GCF_000001405.40). Lineage (NCBI taxonomy): Eukaryota > Metazoa > Chordata > Mammalia > Primates > Hominidae > Homo > Homo sapiens. The sequence goes on from NC_000003.12 coordinate 75,709,852, forward strand.
CAATCATCTTTAAGTTTGGTTTTGATGGCCCTTGGTGCTAGGATGGACCTATTTTGGTTTTTGTTCTCATCCCACATTGAGGCAGGGGGTAATTGGCACCTAAGAGTCAGTGTCAAAATCCTTTTAGGCATATTTGGAGCAACAAGGGAAATTTGAAGGGAGTAGTTTTCAGGCTAAGTCTACCTGGAGTTCATTATTAAGTTCGATTTTGTCTGTTCTGTAGTCTTTTGCTATCATCTTAAAGTGCTGTACTGGTATTATTCTGTTAGGAGTTGTACTTTTGAAAAAAAACTTAAGTAATGGATACACAGTTTAAAAAGGGAAATTATGAAGTAAATAGTAATAGGACAATTCTAGTTTGCATAATGGCTTTGAGCCATTAACCTAGGCTTACAGACAACTAATTGAATAAATCAAATGATCACAAGGAATCAGGTGAGATGGTGTAACCACATGGCCTGTCTTCTTCTTTTGTGTCTATAAATTTCTAATTTCATAGAGAAATTTATCCAGGTACAGCATATAGTATTGACAATAACACAGTCATTTTCTCATTTAACCAAAGGATACTTATGAGCAGAAGCTATTGATTGTGAATTTTCATTCACATCATTATTCTGCCAAGTGAAAAATGTAGCATTAAGGAGGAGGAGGGGTAAAAATCTCATCACGTGGAGTCTTGTTCTAATGACCTGGGAAAATCTGTTCTAATGACCTGGGAAAATCGGCATGAAAACATTAACTTCTCCTGCTTTGTAGTTTGAATGTCTTTGGTCATGACATCAGTTGGTTTGGTGCACTCTTTCTGTGATCCATACATCAGGCACAAGTTTATTCTTTAAAATTTATCTAGTTTCAGCTCATAGGGCTTTAGTAACAGAGCAGCTTTTGCCTTTAGTTGGAGAGTTGTTGCCAAATTAGGAGAAATACATTAGGAAAATTCAGGATCTAGTATAATCTACATGTAGATAACAAGAACTTGAAAAGAATGCACACATTTACAATCTACTAACAGAGGCATTATAGTTTTTCTTTAGAAACAGAACTTTCTCTCTACATTAATTTACAGAAAGTTCAGGTTTAAAAACCTCTTGAGGCCAAAGCAAGGGAGGTTTTAGATTTTACTTACAATCTTAAAGTTTTTGGGCCTGCCAGGAAGTGACAATTTTTACTCATTCACTGTCAGGCTGGAAGCACTGGAAGCCAGGCATTTTATGCACATTCTTAAATATGATATTTCAGTCAAAGCCTTAATAATATAACCAAGGTTTTCAATGGTATTCTGTTTATGAAGAGAAACAGATATTTATTGAGTAAAAATAGAAGAATACTCACAAATGGTTTCCAAATTTTGGAGGAATCAAGTAGGGAGACAAAATGAATGCTTCCATCTTTGTTCAAAAAATTATACTTTACTGAATTTTTGTAAACTATAGGTAGCTTACGAGATAAAGTTTTCTTAAATCTGGAAAACAAAATATTTCAGAACCAATAATGTTTCAAATAAAAGTCATAAAAACATCATCTTCGTGAACCACTTAATTTCATGTAATTGTTTTGTTTTGTTTAATCTTGATTAACAGTTTTATAAATCCATCAGCTTATTTATTTGAGCTCTGGAGATTTTTATTTAGTCTACTGATCTTAAATTATCAAAAATTTTGCCAGGCACAGTGGCTCACATCTGCAGTCCCAGCACTTTGTGAGGCTGAGGCAGGTAGATCACTTCAACTTGGGAGTTTGAGATCAGCCTGGGCAATATGGAGAAATCCCATCTCTATAAAAAAAATACAAAAATTATCCAGGAGGCTGAGATTAGAGGATTGGGAGGTTGAGGATGCTGTGAGCCAAGACTGTACCACTGTATACCAGCTTGGGCAACAGAGTGAGACCCTGTCTCAAAAAATTTATTGGAATTCTGTGTTCAAGAGTATTTGTTATTTTCTATGAAAAGCAGTTTTGGACTACAGCAGATTGCAAACACTTTTGGAGAAATTTTCAAAACAACTGTGAATGACAAAAACTTGGAATAGCCATGGTTTAAAATCTGATCAAAGGTCCTAATTGACAATGAAACTTGGTTATTTTTATTTCATGCAACCAGAATCATGACTGACTACATCACATCAGGACAATCAGACTTTTATTAATTTCAAGTTATGTTGGAGTAAAACACTGTTTTTCTAGATTTTTCAGGACATATATTTCACCATCAGGACATAACAGCAGAGTTGGAACCACAGAAAAAAAGTTACAAGAGTTGACAAAAGGTTGAAGGAAAGTTATCACCTCAGCCAAGCACAATGTTATGCCTTTTTAGGCAAGAAAAAAGGGGAGCTGAATCTCCATCCTCAAACTAGGCAAATTAAATAGATCTCAGAAAGATATTTGACAGAAATGGAAATTGTCTGTAGTTTAGAAGATGGCTGTTAAGGGAACAGATTTCAGAATTAAAACTCAAAACCTCTTGCAACTTTATGAAAACTAAATCAATACTTTAAGAAAACCTTGTTGTTCTAACATAGGGGACCACAGTTTTTCAGGTTTGTATTAGTGTATTTTTAATGCCAAAGCTTAATCCTTAGAAAGACTTTTCTAATTTTATTTAGAAAACTAATAAATTAATTTTCAGAAGAATTTAATTTTCTTCTGATTGTAACCAACTTGGTCACATGCAAAACATCTTGCATAAATTCCCTTTCACAAATGAGTTACTCAGACCATTGGTGACATTCTTGGGCTTTCCACTTTGTCCTGTACTTTCCCTCTTAAATAACTAGACATTTTAGTTTAGGATGAAAATTTACCACACAAGATTCTTTGTCATGTGAAATATTTCTTTTCTTTTCAACCTTCTCCTATCTCCATCTCCCTATCAATAACTTTCTTCACATCTCTCTCTTCTACTTACTGGTTCTTCTTTAACATTTCACTGTTTTTTTGCTGAATCAATATTTTGAAACAACCTTTAAATAACCTCCAAATTATATAAAATTATTACTTCTTTCTCAATAAAGAGCATATTTGTATGCATTTCTTATACATTTTTTCTTATTAAAAATTCATCCTACTTTTTAAGGCACACTTTTATATAGAATTATATATATTAGTTAGGCTAGGCATGGTGGCTCACACCTGTAATCCCAGCACTTTGGGAGGCTGAGGCAGGAGGATTGCTGGAGCCCAAGAGTTCGAGGTTGCAGTGAGCTATGACCATGCCACTGCATTCCAGCCTGGGTAACAGAGTGGGATCCTGTTCCCCCACCCCACAAAAAGAATTATCCATATTAATTAAAATTTTATTATTTTATTTTATTTGAGACAAGTCTCAATCTGCCACCCTTGCTGGAGTGCAGTGGCACAATCACAGTTCACTGCAGCCTCAACCTCCTGGGCTCAAGCAATCCTCCCACCTCAGCCTCCCCAGTAGCTGGGACTACAGGCATGTGTCACCATGCCTGGCTAACTTCTGTATTTTTTGTAGAGATGGGGTTTTACCATGTTGCCCAGAGTGGTCTCAAACTCCTGGGCTCAAGCGATCCACCCACATCGGCCTCACGAAGTGCTGGGATCACAGGCATGAGCCACTGTACCTGGCCTATATTAATTAGAATTTTAAACTTGTAGTAACCTTAAATTATAGTGAAAACTTAGGAAGCAGGAAATCTGTCACATATCAGTATTATCAGTATTTTATGGGTGAGAACAATTTTATAGCAATATAGAAAGTCATATGGGTATAAAAATCCATATAACATATCCACATAAATATAACTCTAGGCAAAAGTTAACATAGAAAACAAAATTATGACTAATAATGTAGGGACCAGCCCCACAGGGTCTGTGGGTTTTTCTCCCCATGTGTGGAGATGAGAGATCATAGAAATAAAGGCACAAGACAAAGAGAAAGAAGAAAAGACAGCTGGGCCCAGGGGACCACTACCACCTAGACACAGAGACAAGTAGTGGCCCCAAAGGCCAGGCTGCGCTTTTATTGGATACAAGACAAGGGGGCAGGGTAAGGAGTGTGAGCCATCTCCAATGATAGGTAAGGTCACATGGGTCATGTGTCCACTGGATGGGGGCCCTTCCCTGTTTGGCAGCTGAGGTGGGGAGAGAGAGAGACAGAGAGGAGACAGCTTATGCCATTATTTCTGCATATCAGAGACTTTTAGTACTTTCACTAATTTTGCTACTGCTAACTAAAAGGTGAGCCAGGCATACAGGATGGAACATGAAAGCGGACTAGGAGCATGACCACTGAAGCACAGTATCACAGGGAGATGGTCAGGCCTCCGGATAACTGCGGTGGGCCTGACATCAGTCAGGCCCTCCACAAGAGGTGGCAGAGCAGAGTCTTCTCTAAACTCCCCCAGGGAAAGGGAGACTCCCTTTCCTGGTCTGCTAAGTAGTGGGTGCTTTTCCTTGGCACTGACACTACTGCTAGACCACGGTCCGCTTAGGTCACGGGCATCTTCCCAGATGCTGGCGTTACTGCTAGACCAAGGAGCCCTTGTCTTCTGGTAACTTCTCACTATGTCCCCTCAGCTCCTATCTCTGTATGGTCTGGTTTTTCCTAGGTTATGATTACAGAGTGAGGATTATTATAATATTGGAATAAAGAGTAATTGCTACAAACTAATGATTAATGATATTCATTTATAATCATATGTATGATCTATATCTAGTATAGCTATTATTTTATATATTTTCTTTATTACACTGGAACAGCTCTTGCCCTCAGTCTCTTGCCTCGGCACCTGGGTGGCTTGCCGCCCACATAATAACAGATTTCTAGAAGAGACAAATATAAAACCATCTGACCAGTAAACCCAGGTAAAATGTACACTGGCCATTTTGAAGATATTTCTATTTTTATTTTACCACTAATTTTAGAACAGTTTATTTATCACAGATTTAATTAAGTCACATGAATTAAAAAGCATTTAGGTTAATTATTGTATATTTCATGAGGCCATTTATCTAAACAGACTTTCTTAAGGGATTTCTGAATCACTACACCAGATTTTACCATGTAGACAAAACATATAACAAAATACATGTGTATATGCACAAACACATCTGACCACATATACACACACAAATAACAGATCTTATGGTTCTTTTATTTTAGACTTTTAGTCATGAGATAGTAAAATAATCCACCAGTTTATAAAAGACAGTTGAACCCAAATTATATTTTTTGGCAAAATGTAAAACATGGCTAAAATTTATTTGCCACGATAGGTAATCTAATAAGTGCTGTGAACCACAGTTTGGGTAAAGCAGTTTCCATGGCAGTTTGACTTTTTAAGAAACTTTTTTCAGCTTAAGTTTCAAATGAGTTTAGGGTTATATTTTCAATGTTTACATTTAAGCTGGGACTCAATAAATTGTATAAGAAAAATAAAATCTCCATGTAACCTTGAATTAGTAGCAAATCTATTTTCTGTTTGCCAGTGTGATTTGCTTGACTAGCAAGTCTGGACAGGAAAGATTTTCAGCGGTTTTAAATTATTTATAATTTTTATTTTTTGCTTTTGCATGGCAGAAATAGCAAAATTTTTGTGCTAGACATACCTTAGATTATTGCTGTAAGGTCAAGATTTTGACCTGTTTGATCTGAGAGCCTAATTTCATAAATATTTTTCTAGTTATTTTTCTCTTATATTAACTTCTAATTAAGTATTCTGTCATTGTACACAATTGTAAGTCAGGTAAACCTAAATTTATATTTCTTATTTTTTCTTAACACACGGTATTTTAGAATTAAATTTATATTTCTAAAGATTATCTCACTTGATATCATGAAGCTGTTGTAATTTATAAAGCCATTAATTTGAAAACTCTTTAAGATTTGGGACACAGGCCAGAATTCCATAAACAGTGAATGGGCAGAAGAAGGACAGAGAGAGGTATACAGAGAACTTAGAAAACTCTACATGTTAACTCTATAATTGCAGGTTTTTCAAATAATGACTATTGGAGATCTGAATTTTCCTTGATGTAATTTTCCCAGCAAGTTAAAAATATGAGCCATAATATATAACCAGGTGGAGTCCCAGAAAACCTAGCATGCCTTAATGTTTGAGAATGCGATTCTGGTTTTTTTTGGTTTGTTTTTTTGTTTTTTTTTTTTAGATGGATTCTTGCTCTATCACCAGGCTCTCATGCAGTGGAACAATCTCGGCTCACTGCAACCTCCACTTCCCAGGTTCAAGTGATTCTCCTGCCTCAGCCTCCCAAGTAGCTGGGACTACAGGCACATGCCACCATGCCTGGCTAATTTTTTTTTTTTTTTTGTATTTTAATAGAGACGAGGTTTCACCATGTTGGCCAGGATGGTCTTGATCTCTTGACCTCCTGATCCACCCACCTTGGCCTCCCAAGATAAGATTGTTCACAAAAATTTTAACCTAGACATGCAGATCAAAATATTAAACTAGGCATGCAGACCAATTTGAAAGTAAATTCACTAGAATATATGCCTCACAGACAGAATGTAAAATCTGTAGAAACCAAGACTAATCCAGAAAGACACTGATCTTTATTCCAGAAAGGACTTACCAGAAAAGACAAAAAGTCTTTTATCATCTCTGGAGGGATGTGTCGTCCTTCATTAAGGTAGCTTATCCAAACCAGTTCCCAAATGGTATAAAAAAGCCTCTACCAAAAGGAGGGAGGCTTAGCCTGAAAGAAGACAGGAAAAACAGGCAGGAAAAAACAAGCTGTGAAAGAAAGCAAGGAGCTCAAAGGGCTCAAAGGTGAGTACTGCACACTGGTTCTGGGAGTAATTCCTCTCAATCTTGGTTTCTGAACAAGAACTCAGTGAAAAAATAAAGTCAGCAAGATTCTTGGGGGTGGTAAATAATTATACTTTCTGTGGTTAGTTAGGGAGAACATCTGTGGGCTTTTGGGTTAAAGGACCACTGACATGAAAACCAGGGCAGCCTCTCCCAAGAATACTATGTTCCTCCTTGTCTTCTTCATTCACAGAGAGGATTCCCTTCATCTGAGAAAGCCAGTTTTCATCCAAAGGATCCACCTCACACAAGTCCAGGGTAATTACAATGTATTGGCAACACCCATTCACTATGTTGTACATTTTGAAAAAGCTATTAATTTCACTACATCTGCATTTAACAGTTCAGCACACAATTGCAGACACTGTGCAGTCTTTTTCTTGGAATGCTGGTTTCCTGGGCTCAGTGCTTTCTCCAGAGGTTTTGCACAATTTGGGGATTTTCTCTAAAGAATGGAGAAGGCTTTTTTTGCTAAATACAAAAGACAAGCTCTTGAGAGGAAAAATCATGTTTCTATATAAAAGTAAATGTGATTCCCAAAGGCCTACTTTGAAAGAAAAGGGACAAAACTGAGGTGTCATTCCAGACAGTGTGATAGGTATGTCAACAAATGATAGGTATGTCCAACAGACACATCCAAATACACGCTTCCTAAAAATGGATCAATATTTTTTTATTCAAGAAATCTCTGTGAGCTGCTTTCCAAATTGGCAAAATCAGTTATTTTGAACGGGTAGAAAATCTTCAAATTTTGAGGGTAAATTGGAAGTTGAAGAACAATCAAGTCATTCACAGCAGGGTCTGATAAGTCAGGAGGATGAATGAATGGAAAGAATGCTGTTGGTGTCCAAAGGTAAACCTGGCTTGCTTCTGGCAGGTGTCATCTAAGGCACATACAATGTGACAGCTTTGAAGGGCAGAGGGTCTTGACATTGACTCTCCACAATGATATGGAGATCAGTGTGAGTGCCGGCATGTTGACTCCTGGGAGACTACTAAGCATTTGCCACCTCTTCCAAGGTGGAGGCCCACAAAAAGGCTACAGAGTCATTCACAGGTGTTGGCAACTTCTAGCGTCAGTGCAGCTCTCCTTACCTGCACAGCTAGAGACACAGACAATATTGGCAATACAGTATTCTTGTGGGATTTGTTTGCTTCCAGCATAACAGATGAATTTTTCTCCAGCAAACACAACAATTCATTTTCAACAGGCACCAGTTCCTCCTAAATATGGATGATTCACCACGTCTCAGTGTGGGTTCCCCCAGGAGCAGAACTTAAGACAAAGATTTCAGTGCACGTAGTTTATTTGGGACTTGATCCCAAGGAGACTGGAAGCATTGGTCAAGGAGGGACAGAATGGGACAGGGAACAGGGAGAAGACAAAATAAGGATGTGTTGCCAAGTGAGTTACACTGCAGATGACTGGTGCTTACTCCCATGACAGAACTCTGGGGAGCCACGTCGAACATGGACCTCAGAGTTACACAGCCAGGGGACAACGGAACTGAGGCATGCATTCTCCAGTCCAGTCAGTAGTAGAAGGCTTTTCTGCGGTGGGGAATGGAACCCAGGCCAAGTGGGTTCTAGCTGCAGAGAAGGGGATACACAACCTTAGGTAAGAGGGTGCACATCCCAGCCATTGGATGTGGGGCTGGAGGAAGACATTCGGCTGGGCTCCTACCGTTTATACTTATTATACCGTTACGGTCAGTAAGAGACAGGTGGTGATGACGTTGTCAGTTAAGAATAGCCATCATTTGCTTAGTTAAGTGTGGAATTGTCCTGGGAGTCTAACTTACTAAGTTAATTTCACACTTAACTCCCACAGCCTGTCCACACCTAATTTCAGGATATATGTCAAAAGGAAAGAATAAATGTGATATACAGTTATATAAGTTACATCAGTGGTCCCCAGCCTTTTTTGGCACCAGAAATGGGTTTCCTGGAAGACAATTTTTCCACAGATGGCAGGGAGGATAGTTGCAGGATGAAATTTTTCCACCTCAGATCATCAGGCATTAGATTCTCATAAGTGCATGTAACCTAGATCCCTCACATGTGCAGTTCACATTGGGGTTCGTACTCCTATGAGAATCGAATGCTGCAGCTGATCTGATAGGAGGCGGAGCTCAGGTCATAATGCTCACTCAGCCACCACTCACCTCCTGATGTGCAGCCCGGTTCCTCAGAGGCCACGGGCAATACCTGTCCATGGCCCAGGGATGGGGACCACTGAGTTACATTATATATACTATTAATATCTGGCTGTACCAAAAAGTATTGTGAAAATATTTATAGTCCTGTTTGAGGGTCTTTTCTGAAGCTTTCCATTTACAAATAGAAAAGAATATTAAGGCCAGGCACGGTGGTTCATGCCTGTAATCACAACACATTGGGAAGCTGAGGCAGGAGGATCCTTTGAGCCCAGGAGTTTGAGACCAACCTGGGAAACATGGCAAAACCCTCTGTGTACAAGAAAATACTAAAATACACCAGGTGTGGTGTCACATGCCTGTGGTCTCAGGTACTTGGGAAGCTGAGGTGGGAGGATTGCTTGAGCTCAGGAAGTTGAGGCTGCAGTGAGTTGTGATTGCACCAGCCTGGGTGATAGAGTGTCACCCTGTCTCAAAAAAAAAAAAAAGAATATTAAAACAGATACTGTGGTTTCTATCTATCTTTTTGGTCCTCTCATAGCAAAAATCAACAAAAGAAACTAATGTATAACCTAGCAAAATGCAGCAAGCACTAGGAATTTTCTATTTCAGTGCCTTAGGCAATCTGACAGATAATGTAGTTCAAAAAAAGTGTTTGCTGTACTGTGAAATGTACATTTAGATATGCAGACAGCCTCTTGACACAGACATTGCTATAGTGGTTTCTAGCATAATTTAAGGCTTTTTGTTCTTGATTAACAGTGAGATGCCATCCGCCTCAGTGTGTGCCCTAAGAAATTAAAGAGATGCCAGGAAGGAAAAGTATTAATGAGGAGTACAAAATTCTACTTTAGAAAACATCTTGGCCAGATGCAGTGGCTCATGCCTGTAATCCCAGCACTTTGGGAGGCTGAGGCAGGTGGATCGCCTGAAGTCAGGAGTTCGAGATCATCCTGGCCAACATGATGAAACCCCGTCTCTACTAAAAATACAAAAAATTTGCTGGGCATGGTGGTGCATGTCTGTAATCCCAGCTACTCGGGAGGTTGAGGCATGATAATCACTTGAACCCGGGAGAAGGAGGTTGCAGTGAGCTGAGATGGTGCCATTGCACTCCAGCCTGGGCAATAAGAGTGAAACTCCATCTCAAAATAATAATAAATAATAATAATAATAATAATAATAATAACCACGGATTTTTGCAAGGCTACAGAGAAAAGGGAATGCCTATACACTCTTGGTAAGAATGTAAATTAGTTCAGCCACTGTGGAAAGCGGTTTGAAGATTTCTCAAAAAACAGAACTATCATGAGACCCAGCAATCCCATTACTGGGTGTATACCCAAAAGAAAATAAATTATAATTATTCTACCCAAAGACACATACACTAATATATTCACAATAGCAAAGACATGGAATCAACCTAGGTGCACATCAATGATGAACAGGACAAAGAAAATGTGGCATATGTACACCATGGAATACTATGCAGCCATAAAAAAGAATGAAATAATGTTCTTTGCAGCAACATGGATGCATCTGGAGCCCATCATCCCAAGCAACTTAATGCAGAAACAGAAAACCAACTATCACAGGTTCTCACTTATAAGTGGGAATTAAGTCTTAGGTACACACAGACGTAAACATGGGAACAATAGACACTAGGGACTTCAAGGAGGGAGGAGGGAATGGGGCAAGACCTGAGAAGCTTCCTATTAGGTACTATGTTCACTATCCTTTTGATGGGATCAATAGAAGCCCAAACTTAAGCACCATGCTATATACCCTTATAACAAATCTGCACATGTACCCCTGAATCTGAAATAATAAACAAAATAAAAATGTTTTATTAGTCTAAAACCTGTCAATATGACATAAAAATAATTATTAAGTTGGGCACAGTGGCTCATATTTGTAAACCCAGTGCTTTGAGAAGCCGAGGCAGGAGGATCACTTGAGGCCAGGAGTTCAAGGCCAGCCTAGTCAACATAGCAAGACCCCATTTTTACTAAAAAGAAAAAAAAGAAAAGAAAATACTCAAAATAAAAAGCAATCGCCTTTCTTACTCCTTCTTCTCTCTTCATTCCTACACCAGTCTTATTTTTCTAAATGAAAATAATTATCAATATTTATTAAGATTGTGAAATTCTAGTACTTTTCAATAATAAATATCAACTAATTGCATTGTTTTTAAAATCAATATTTTTAAAACAAATCAATATTTCACATGGCTATAAAAACACAAAATATTGATTAAAGTTTAATAAAAACATGAAAATAAATTATTTCAACTAAATATAAAGTTAATATAATTTAATTGAAGGAAAAACTACTTGAAAATAATTAAGGTTGTTCAGGTTCAAATCAACAAATTCCATGATCAACAATTTAAAATATTAAGGTCTGGTAAGTGATAGAATTAATGCCTAAATATGCCTAAATGACAACATTGCTAACTGATGTTTTTGTTTATTTATTTATTTATTTTTCAGATGGAGTCTTGCTCTGTCACCCAGACTGGATTGCAGTCGCACGATCTCAGCTCACTCCAAATTCTGCCTCCCACATTCAAGTGCTTCTCCTGTCTCAGTGTCCTGAGTAGCTGGGATTACAGGCGAGCGCCAGCACGCCTGGCTAATTTTGTATTTTCAGTAGAGACGGGGTTTTGCAATGTTGGCCAGGCTGTTCTTGAACTCCTGACCTCAGGTAATCTGCCCGCCTCAGCCTCCCAAAGTGCTGGGATTACAGGCGTGAGCCCCCACGCCTGGCCTGATGTTATTTAATTTTTATTTTAAAGAACAATCCCTAAGCAATTCATGGTGCTAAGTTCAAATAAGTCAAAAATAAAGCAAATAACTTTTTTTTCTGCAGGGCTTCACAATTTAGTTGGGATGAGAAGATTAAAAATAATAGTGATAAACCCTATGATAGAAAGAAAAAATGAAACTAAAGGAGTGTGGAGGAATAAGGTCTCTATTTTAATTTATGAGTTTTGCAGCCACTTTGTAGACATGACACTTGAATTTTAAATAAGTTAAAAGGAAAAAAAAATTGACAACTTCCAAATCTTTCTCTCTCACCCAACTTTATTCATATGTATTATTTCTATTAATGATTACATAAGAGAAATTAGGACTTCTAAATTAGTAAATATTTGCCGGGTGCGGTGGCTCACACCTGTAATCCCAGCACTTGGGGAGGCCGAGGCAGGTGGATCACAAGGTCAAGAGATCAAGACCATCCTGGCCAACACGTTGAAACCCCATCTCTACTAAAAATACAAAAAAAAAAAAAAAAAAATTAGCTGGGCGTGGTGGTGGGCGCCTGTAGTCCCAGCTACTCGGGAGGCTGAGGCCAGAGAATCACTTGAACCAAGGAGGTGGAGGTCGCAGTGAGCCAAGATCGTGCCACTGCACTCCAGCCTGGAGACAGAGCAAGATTCCACTTCAAAAAAAATTAGTAATATGCTTAAAAATAATAAATTCAGTTCATGCTAACAAAATAGTACTTTAAAATAAAACAAGTCCCCAAATAGTTTGAAGAGTTGTAATGTTTTTACATTTTTGCAAAATGTCTGGCTTAACTGAAGACAGCTTTATACTCATATCTGCTTCTGAATTCAATCTGTTGCAATATGTTGTTTTGACTAAGTGTGTGAAGAAAATAGTGCCCCACACAGACATGAGGTTGTAGAAAGGAAGAATAATTTAAAAGAATTTTTGGATGAGGTGTGGTGGCACATGCCTATAATCCCAGCACTTTCAGAGGCTGAGGCGGGCGGATCACTTGAGGTCAGGAGTTTGAGACCAGCCTGGCCAACATGGTGAAACCCCGTCTCTACTAAAAATACAAAAATTAGCCAGCGTGGTGGTGAGTGCCTGTAATCCCAGCTATTTGGGAGGCGGAGGCAGGAGAATCGCTTGAACCCAGGAGGTGGAGGTTGCAGTGAGCCAAGATTGTGTCCAGCCTGGTGACAGAGTGAAACTCCATCTCAAAAAAAAAAAAAAAAAAAATTTAAGTATTTTTGGCCAACTATTGTTCTTCTTCTTTGATCTCCAAAGAAATGCTTTATTCAGGTTATTGCAATGGGAGGCATGACACCACATCATATGCTTTTTCTGCTATATCACATTAAAACCTATAGGTCTATTTTCAATGTTAATGGCTCTTTTACCGATCATGATTTTTATCATATTGGCATGGCCATTGGGAAAATATTGGTTCATCGAATAATGCAGATGTTCCAAATATTGATACACTTTATTACAAAATATTTTGAAATTCAGTAATATTGCCCTTGATCTCCTCAGAAAAACCCGTGTTTTGAAAAATTGTCATGTTCAAGAACGCAGATACGTTTTCCATATTTTAATTTTCACTTGAAAACTTTTTACATTTTCAGTAACAGCTCAGTTATTTTTCTTTAAGACAATCTCACTTTTTTTTTTTTTTTTTTTCAGACAAGCTCTTGCTCTGTTGCCCAGGCTGGAGTGCAGTGGTGCAATCATAGCTCACTGCAACCTCTGCCTTCCAGGGCCAAGTGATCCTCCCGCCTCAGCCTCCCCAGTAATAGACTGTGGGCAGCAAGCCACCCAGGTGCCAACGCAAGAGACTGAGGGCAAGAGCTGTTCCAGTGTAATAAAGAAAATATATAGAATAAGAATACTTGTACTAGAAATAGAATATAGATGATGATATGTGAATATTAATAATCATTAGTTTGTAGCATTACTCTTTATTCCAATATTATAATAATCTCTGTTCTACAACTATAACCTAGGAAAAACCAGTCCATACAGAGATAGGAGCTGAAGGGACATGGTGAGAAGTGACCAGGAGACAAGAGTGCGAGCCCTCTGTCATGCCCGGACACAGCCACCAGAGGGCTCCCTGGTCTAGCGGTAACACCAGCGCCTGGGAAGACGCCTGTTACTGAGCAGACCTTGGTCTAGCGGTAGCTCTAGTGCCTGGGAAGGCACCGGTTACTTAGCAGATCGGGAAAGCGAGTCTCCCTTTCCCCGGGGGAGTTAGAGAAGACTCTGCTCCACCACCTTTTGTGGAAGGCAACATCAGTCAAGCTCGCCCGCAGCCATCCGGAGGCCTGTCTCCCTGTGATGCTGTGCTTCAGCGGTCACGCTCCTGGTCTGCTTTCATGTTCCGCCCTGTACACCTGGCTCGGCCTTCTAGATAGCAGTAGCAGAATTAGTGAAAGTACTAAAAGTCTTTGAAATGCATTGAAGAAATAATGGCGTAAGCTGTCCTCTCTCTCTCCCCACCTCGGCTGCCAAACAAGGAAGGGCCTCCAACCGGTAGACAGGAGACCCACGTGACCTTACCTATCATTGGAGATGGCTCACACTCCTTACCCTGCCCCCTTGCCTTGTATCCAAAAAATAACAGCGTGGCCAGGCATTCTGGGCCACTACTAGTCTCCACGTCTTGGTGGTAGTGGTCCCCCGGGCCCAAATGTCTTTTCCTCTATCTCTTTGTCTTGTGTCTTTATTTCTATGATCTCTCATCTCTGCACACAGGGAGGAAAACCCACAGACCCTGTAGGGCTCATCCCTACAGTAGACTACAGGCTTACATCATCACCCCTGGCTAATATTTTTTGTAGAGATGGGGTTTCATCATGTTCCTCCAACTGGTCGCAAACTCTTGAGCTCCAAAAGTGCTGGGATTACAGGTGTGAGCCACTGCACCCTGTCACACTTAGTTCATTTTTAAGTAATAAGTGCTCTATGAGTTCTTACCATTTTATCAAACAGAATACTGAAAAGACATACTTGGGGATCTAGATTTAATGAAAATTATATTTTTTACTGCTTCATCAAGGATATTCTTAAGTAACATGAAAATAAAATTGGCATGTTTATTTAAGCAACCACGTGAGTGTAAATAATAGAACTGCTACTATTGTTTGGAGCCACTGTCTTGTTTTGTGCTACGGTTTTACTTACTATTGCATTTGCACCAAAGCAGAGAACAAAAACAAGCGAAAAAGACAAGTAACATATCTGTATTATGATAGAAAGAGTATTATTTTCATGGAGCACTCTGAGATCCACTGTTCCAGGTATAGCTCTCTCCCAGACCCATCACACCTGTTCTGGCACAAAGTTTTATTAATTCTACTTCTTAAGTATTCTTCTACTCACTGCTTCCTCTCCACAACTTTATGACTCAGTGAAACCCTCACACTCTCTCATCTGAAATATTTCCATTTTCCATCATGTTCCCATCAGCCTGCACTCCTCGACTCAGTGAAACCCTCCCTCCCTCTCATCTGAAATATTTCCATTTTCCATGTTTCCATCAGCCTGCACTCCTCGACTCAGTGAAACCCTCACTCTCTCTCATCTGAAATATTTCCATTTTCCATCATGTTTCCATCAGCCTGCACTCCTCTCACTTCCCGTTATCTTGTTCGCTTCCAGACTATATCTCTAAACAGGTAACTGTGTTCCTCAAGGACTTAAAAGCACTTAACAACAGCTTAAAACTTAGGTTCTCACTCTTTAGCAAGGACTTGAAGACTTCTAATGATTCAGCTCCTGTTCACAAATCTAACCACTTTTTCCCACATCAACCCTGAACAGAAGCTAAGTTCCACTCATATACAAAATCTTTCAATTTTCCTGAATAAAAAAGATTATGTAGCCATCACCCATAATCTGACTCCAGAACTCTGTTTCTGCACCTTCCTGTCAAACTCATAATAAGTCTCCGTATTAGTCTATTCTCATGCTGCTAATATGGACATGCCCAAGGCTGGGTAATTTATAAAGAAAAATAAGTTTAATGGACTCACAGTTCCACATGGCTGGGGAGACCTCACAATCATGGCAGAAGGCAAAGATCAGGTCTTACACGGCAGCAGACAAGAGAGAGCATGTGTAGGGGAACTTCCCTCCATACAACCATCAGATCTCATGAGACTTATTCACTATCATAAGAACAACACAGTCCTCATGATTCAATTACCTCCCCCCAGGTTCCTCCCACAATATGTGGGAATTATGGGAACAACAATTCGAGATTTGGGTGAGGACACAGCCAAACCATATCAGTCTCATAATAAGGACCAAAGGCCAAGCCTTCCCTAAGTCGTCCTTAAGAGACTCATGCAGATTTCATAATTTGCTCCCAGTTGGGCCTTTTCTCAAGACCTTGACATTCTGATCTAGACTCAGATGGCTTTGTGGCTCATTATGAAACCCATCTGTGTTCTTACGCTAGACTCAGTAAGATAGCTACTCTTTCATCAATTCGTGTCATTATTTATTAATTCTTTGCATAACTGGACTTCAAAATAGGATTTTAAAATAAGTTTTGACCGTGTGCTCTTCACAATGAAGATCACTAGGCATTTGTTATGTGATTCTTTCTTTCCTATCATCTGGGAGAAAATAGCATTGGGCTGTGTGCCCTGAGAGGGAGGGCACATTTAGATATTTTAGGAGTTGTAAATAGAAGACCAAACATCAGAGAGAGAGACTTTGCTTCACCTGTAGTTCAAATATTTAGTTAGGACAGGCACAGTGGCTCATGCCTGTAATTCCAGCACTTTGGGAGGTTGAGGCAGGTGGATCACTTGGGCTCATGAGTTCAAGACAAGCCTGAGCAACATGGTGAAACTCTGTCTCTACAAAAAATAGAAAAACTAGCCAGGCATGGTGATGCACGGTATTATGAGGTTGCACTTCACTGAAAAACCAAAGTTGTTTAGCACTTCCATGTGAACCACACCATCTCAGAAGTATGAGGTGTAGCAGAAGTCCAGTCCCAAGGACACAAAGAAGACACACCATGTTAATGGAATGACATACTGCAGTGTATCTAGATAAACGATCCTGGGCCTTGATGAGAGAGATAGATGCAGTCTTGAAGGAACTGATTATGCAGTGATTCTGCATTTAAATATTTGACCTAATTTTAGTAACAAAAATGTATGCACCTTTCATTTTCAAAGTGCAGTTGTTCCTCAGTATCCGTGGGAAATCAGCTCCAGAATACCCCCACAGACACCAAAAACCACTGATGCTCAAGTCTTATATAAAATGGTATTTTGCATATAACCCATGCTTATCCTTCCATATGCAGTCATGTGCCTCATAATGAACATTTTAATCAATAATGAACCATGTATATTACCATGGTCCCCTAAGATTATAAACACATGTAGAAACCTTCTTGCGGGAAGTCAGAGACCCCAAATGGAGGGACTGGCTGGAACCGTGGCAGAAGAACATAAATTGTGAAGATTTCATGGACATTTATTAGTTCCCAAAATTAATACTTTTATAATTTCTTATGCCTGTCTTACTTTAATCTCCTAATCCCGTCATCTTCATAAGCTGAGGATGTATGTCGCCTCAAGACCCTGTGATGATTGCGTTAACTGTATAAATTGTTTGTAAAACATGTGTGTTCAAACAATATCAAATCTGATTGTAAAACATGGGTGTTTGAACAATATGAAATCAGTGCACCCTGAAAAAGAACAGAATAACAGCGATTTTCAGGGAATGAGGGAAGATAACCATAAGATCTGACTGCCTGCAGGGTTGGGCAGAATACAGCCATGTTTTTCTTCTTGCAGAGGGCCTACAGATGGACGTGTGAGTAAGAGAATATCACTGAATTCTTTTCCCAGCAAGGAATATTAATAATTAATATCCTGGGAAAGGAATGCATTCCTGGGGGTAGGTCTATAGATGGCCGCTCTGGGAGTGTCTGTCTTATGTGGTTGAAATAAGTACTGAAATACACCCTGGTCTCCTGCAGTACCCTCAGGCTTGCTAGGATTGGGAAATTCCAGCCTGGTGAATTCTAGTCAGACTGGTTCTCTGCTCTTGAACCTTGTTTCCTGTTAAGATGTTTATCAAGACAATGTGTGCACAGCGGGACACAGACCCTCATCAGTGGTTCTAATTTTGCCTTCACCTTGTGATCTTTATGGCTCTTTGAAGCATGTGATGCTTGTGACCTACTCCCTGTTCGTACATCCCCTCCCCTTTCAAAATCCCTAATAAAAACTGGCTGGTTTTGTAGCTCAAGGTCGCCATCATAGTCCTACCAATGTGATGGCACCCCCAGAGGCCAAGCTGTAAAATTTCTTTGTACTCTTTATTTCTCAGACCAGCCAACACTTAGGGAAAATAGAAAGAACCTACATTGAAATATTGGGGGCTGGTTCCCCCAATAAAACCTCACATGTGGGACTTGATACTAGCACTGCAGATCAAGTAGGGAAAGTGACTGATATTCAATGATGGTGCTAGAACATATGGTTTCTCCTATGAAAAAACATAAACATATACACCATCTAGGGTTATGTAACTACACTTTATGATGTTCACAAAACAAAAATATTGCTTAGTAAGCATGTCTCAGAACATACACATGTCATTAAGCCATGCATGACTGTACTTTATATCATCTCTGGAACACTTCGGTCAATCAAGAAAAATGACCAAGACAAATCTCAATCACTTTAGGAGGTTTATTTGCCAACGTTAAGGATGCACACCAAGGAGACAGGTCTATGCTTTTCTTCAAAAATGATTATGAGGGTTCCAAATTTAAAGGGGAAAGGGTGAAATATTGAGAAATACAGTTTTCATGTAAGACTGGGGTAAGGGGAAAACATTCATTGATACGGTTTGGCTCTGTGTCCCCACCCAAATCTCACCATAAATTGCAATAATCCCCATGTGTCAAGGGTGGGACCAGGTGGAAGTAATTGGACCATGGGGGCAGTTTCCTCTATGCTGTTCTCATGATAATGAGTCACATGAGATCTGATGGTTTTATAAATGTCTGACATTTCACTCATTGTCTGCTTGCACTCATTGTCTCTCCTGCCACCCTGTGAAGAGGTGCTCTCTGCCATTATTGTAAGTTTCCTGAGGCCTCCCCAGCCATGCAGAGCTGTGAGTCAATTAAACCTCTTTCCTTTATAAATGACCCAGTCTTGAGTATTTCTTCAGAGCAGTATGAGAACAGACTGATACAGTCATTCATGCCTTTGTCTCAGTGAATCTCATTTATACATAACATAGACAAACAGGGAGGGGGAACAATCAGATATGCATTTGTGTCAGGTGGGCAGAGGGGTGAGAACAGACTGCTACAGTCATCCATGCCTTTCTCTCAGTGAATCTGCATTTATACATAACATAGACAAACAGGGAGGGTGAACAATCAGATATGCATTTGTGTCAGGTGGGCAGAGGGGTGAGAACAGACTGCTACAGTCATCCATGCCTTTGGCTCAGTGAATCTCATTTATACATAACATAGACAAACAGGGAGGGTGAACAATCAGATATGCATTTGTGTCAGGTAGGCAGAGGGGTGAGAACAGACTGATACAGTCATCCATGCCTTTGGCTCAGTGAATCTGCATTTATACATAGCATAGACAAAGAGGGAGGGGAACAATCAGATATGCATTTGTGTCAGGTGGGCAGAAGGGTGACTCTGAGTTCTGTCCTATGCACTGTAAAGAAGAGCTATCAGACCAGGTGTGGCAGCTCACATCTGTAATCCCAGCACTCTAAGAGGCTGAGGTGGGTGGATCACCTGAGGTCAGGAGTTCGAGACCAGCCTGACCAACATGGAGAATCCCCATCTCTACTAAAAATACAAAATTAGCCAAGTGTGGTGGTGCATGCCTGTAATCCCAACTACTCAGGAGGCTGAGGCAGGAGAATCATTTGAACCCGGGAGGCGGAGGTTGCGGTGAGCCGAGATTGTGCCATTGCACTCCAGCCTGGGTGACAATAGCGAAACTCCATATCAAAAAAAAAAAAAAAAAAAAAAGGATAAGCTATCAATTTACATTGCTATGATGAATTTTAACAGAAACACTTTAAAGATCTTAAAGCACACCAGAAATTTCCTTGTGGGAAAAATATGATGGAGGGGGCTACAAGACAAAAAGCTTTTTATCTTGGAGCCATCTTATTTAGGAACCAAAAGAAGGAGGCAGGTTTGCATGACCGAGTTCCCAGCTTGACTTTTCCCTTTAGTTTAATGAGTTTGGAGTCCCAAGCTTTATTTTCCTTTCACACTTAGAAGACCAAATACAATGTGGATGTAAATAGTTGTGTTGTTTAGGAAATAATGACAAGAAAAAGTCTGAATATGTTCACTACAGATGCAAGCATCTGATTTTATTTCAAATATTTTGCATCCAAGTTTGCTTACATACACAGATATTAAACCTACAGATACAAAAAGCTGAGTGTACTTACAAATTAATAACTGTACACAGGCAGCATAAAATTCTCTTTGTACATGACAAAAACATTCCGTGTCCACCCAGGGTGAACACAGCCACTTCACAAACAGGGTGTAAATAAGGAGGTTCACTAAGTACAGGAAAGTTACAAGACCATATTGGCATTTTAACAGCCATTCCTGAGAAAGAGAATGGGAAAGGGCTTAAGAGTCAGAGGAGAGGAAAAGAGGAAAACAGATGACCTCCTACATCAGGAGATGGAGCAGTGAGAATACAGAATAGGGAAGCAATAGTTAAAAAAAAAAAAAGTAGAAACAGGATTTGATGTCAATTTGCTGTGCAAAGGGTAAAAAGGGGAGTTTTATTTCCAGGCTATCTGCCATGATCACAGCTAGTTTGTTACTGGTGATGTGAAATTTGGAAAAATAAAAGAACAATATGATGGCCAGAAGTGATACAGACTTGGACACATCATGTTTGAAATATCTGAGGTCCCATACGTAGGGATGTCCAATTGACAATTGGGAATACAGTTCCAGAGTTCACAAGAGAGATCAAACCTGGAGATAAAAGATTTTGAAACTATCAGAATTTCAATGGTACCTGAATCCATCAGACCAAATGAACCTAAGAGAATGAAAGGATAACAAGGAACAAGTACAGAATCCACAGAAATACTAATATTTACAAACAGAAATAGACTGTTAAAACCAAGAAGGAACTTTCTGAGTTTATTTCACAAATTAAGAAAAGCTCAATATTAGAAAGTCTACTAATACAATTCATCATATTCAGAGTCCTGAGGAGAAAAATCCTTTAATTGTCCACATAGGCATTAAGAAGATAAGTCTTAGAAACAGATTCCAGGTTCTGATTTCTGCATGTAAGAAGCTTAGAAGTAGCCAGGTGCAGTGGCTCATGCCTGTAATCCCAGCACTTTGGGAGACCGAGGTGGGCAGATCACCTGAAGTCAGAAGTTCAAGACCAACCTGGTCAACATGGCAAAACCCTGTCTCTACTAAAAATACAAAAATTAGGCTGGGCATGGAGGCTCACACCTGTAACCCCAGCACTTCGGGAGCTTGAGGTGGGTGGATCACATGAAGTCAGGAGTTTCAGACCAACCTGGCCCACATGGCAAAACCCCATCTCTACTAAAAATACAAATATTAGCGAAGTGTGGTGGTGTGTGCCAGTAGTACCAGCTACTTGGGAGGCTGAAGCAGAAGAATTGCTTGAACCTGGGAGGTGGAGGTTGCAGTGAGCCAAGATCATGCCACTGCACTACAGCCTGGATGACAGAGTGAGCTCTGCCTCAAAAAATTAAAAAATAAAATAATAATAATACAAAAATTAGCCAGCATGGTGGTGGGTGCCTGTAATCTCAGCTACTCAGGAGGTTGAGGCAGGGAGAATCACTTGAACCTGGGAGCCAGATGTTAAGGTGAGCTGAGATTGCACCACTGCACTCCAGCCTGAGCAACAAAGTGAGAGTCCATCTCAAAAAAAGGAAGAAAAAAAAAAAGAATGGAAGTAATCAGTCCACCTTAACAACACATGAAAAGCTGAAAAGGTCAGGTGTGGTGGCTCATGCCTGTAATCCCAGCACTTTGGGAGGCCAAAGCAGGAGGATCCCTTGAGTCCAGGAGTTTGAGACCAGCCTGTGCAACATAGTGAGACCCCCAACTCTAAAAAAAAAATTTAAATAAAACAAAAGCTGAAGAGACTGAAAAATCAACAATCCTTTTTGGATTTGAATGTGAAGAGAGGACATAGGGCAAACCACTGCCCCCAAGATTGGAGAGATAGAGAAGTGAATATGGGAATTTATGGCTTACAGGAACAGAGACTCACTACTGAAACCACCTTAGGAACCAGTGCTGGAGTAGAAAATCTTGAACTATAACTGGTGAATTGCTGAAGGTTCCATATGGACAACTCAAGGAGGTAAAAACACCAGGGAGATCCAGTTATGAGGGAGCATAATATTGTAAAATTTACCTCCTGGAGCTCCACCAGGCTCCTGTGGCAAATACCTGAGAAAACTTGCTTCTTGCTTCCACCTTTGGGAAGGAAAAAGGAAAACCATCTTAAAATATGCCAGAGCAACCTGTTCTTAACAAGGCTTATCCTCAGGAGAAATTACTGAACCTCAGCCTAACCTGCTCTCATATAACCAGATCCTAAATGACCTGCTGGAAGGGAAATTCCCAACTCCAGCCTACTCCAGTCATCCCTAAAGGGGAAGATAAAAACAGAGAAACACATGTGAAGTTCATAGTCCAAAAGCAGAGACTCACTTAAACAATGAGGCCCAGTCGTAAGACTCCAGAACTCTTCTGCTACAGTCTGAATATCTGTTCCCTGCTGGACCCCCTGCAAAATGTGCCTGTTGAAACCGAGTCTCCAATGCACTAGAATTAAGGGGTGGGACCTTTGAAAGGTAATGGCAAAGCCAACCTGATTGGGATTAGTGCACTTATGAAACAGGCCAAATGAAGCTTCTTTGTCCATTTCAACATGAGAGGACATATAGCTGGCACCATCTACGAGGAATGGGTCTCATCAAACACTGAATCTCCTGGAACCTTGACCTTGGATTTTCTAGCCTCTAAATTGAGCAATAAATTTCTGTTGTTTACAAATTACTTGCTCTAAGTTATGCTGGTGGATGGACTAAGACAGCTTCCCCTCCCCTCCACAGCTTCCCATCATTACTGGATGCACTGTTACAGTAGTTCCTTTTACCTGGTATCTCATATCTAGGAATAAAGAAAAAGCACAAGGCATACTAAAAGGCAAAAAACACAATTTGAAGTGACAGATCATCAGAACCAGACACACCTATGATATTGGAATTATCAGACAGGGATTTTAAAAAAAAATCTCTGAGTAGTATGCTAAGGGCTCTGATGAACAAAGGAGACAGCATTCAAGAACAGATAGGCAATGTAAGCAGAGAGATAGAAGTCCAAGGAAAGAACAAAAGAGAAACAGTAGAGATAAAAAAAATACTGCAAAAGACCTGAAGAATGTCTTTGATTGGCTTATTAGTAGATTGAACACAACAAAGGAAAGAGTCTCTGAGTTCTGGAAACTTTGAAAGAAACTTTAAAAACTGAAAAGAATGGAATGTAATATCCAAGAACTGTGGGACAGCTAGAAAAGGTGTAACATAGAGTGATGAGAATACTAGAAGGAAAAAGAGAGAAATAGAAGAAACATCTGCAACAATCATGTCTGACAACTTCCACTGTTAATGTCAGACACCAAACCAAAGATCCAAGAAGCTCAGAGCACACCAGGCAGGATACATGCCAAAAACCTACACCTAGGCATATTATTCTCCAACTGTATAAAACATCAGCTCCAAAAGAAACCAAAGGTGGAGTGGACAACATCTTACCTATAGAGAAACAAAGATAAGAATCACATTCAGGTTGAGCTCGGTGGCTCATGCCTGTAATCCCAGTACTTTGGGAGGCCAAGGTGGGTGGATCATGAGGTCAGGAGATCGAGACCACTCTGGCTAACACGGTGAAACCCCATCTCCACGAAAAAATACAAAAAATTAGCCAGGCGTAGGGGTGGGAGCTCATAGTCCTAGCTACTCGGGAGGCTGAGGCAGGAGAATGGTATGAACCCGGGAGGCAGAGCTTGCAGTGAGCTGAGATCACACCACTGCACTCCAGCCTGGGTGACAGAGCAAGACTCTATCTCAAAAAAAAAAAAAAAAAAAAAATTACATTCAACATCTCAGAACCATGAAAGTAAAAAGAGAGTGGAATGACATATTAAACATGCTGAGAGGAAAAAAAAAAAACCATCAACTAAGATTTCAGTGCCCTGTGAGATCTTCTTTCAAAAGTAAATGAGAAATAAAACATTCCCTGGACAAACAAAAGTTGAGGAAACTTGTTACCAGCAGATGTGTCATGTGAGAAAATATTAAACATTATCTAGAGGAAAAAAAAAGATACACATCTGAAAACTGAACCTACATTTTATTTATTTTTATTTATTTATTTTGAGACAGAGTCTCTCTCTGTTGCCCAGGCTGGAGTGCAGTGGCACATTCTCGGCTCACTGCAACCTCTGCCTCCCAGGTTCAAGCAATTCTCTGCCTCAGCCTCCCAAGTAGCTGGGATTACAGGAGCCCTCCACCACGCCTGGCTAATTTTTTTGTATTTTTATTAGAGACAGTGTTTCACCATCTTTGCCAGGCTGGTCTTGAATTCCTAACCTCATGATCCACCCATCTCGGCCTCCCAAAGTGCTGGGATTACAGGTGTGAGCCACCACACCTGGCTTGAATCTACATTTTAAAAAGAACATTAGAGAAGGAATAAGTGGTGGTAAAATGGGTTTTTTTTGTTTTTTTGTTTTTTTTGTGAGATGGAGTCTCACTCTGTCACCCAGGCTGGAGTGCAGTAGCGTGATCTCAGCTCACGGCAAGCTCTGCCTTCCAGGTTCATGCCATTCTCCTGCCTCAGCCTCCCGAGTAGCTGGGACAACAGACACCCACCACCACACCCGGCTAATTTTGTTTTTGTATTTTTAGTAGAGATGGGATTTCACCATTTAGCTAGGATGGTCTCAATCTCCTGACCTCATGATCTGCCCACCTCGGCCTCCCAAAGTCCTGGGATTACAGGCATAAGCCACCGTACCTGGCTGCTTTTTATTCTTAATTGACCTAACATATAACAGTTTGTATATAATAACAATGTATGCAATTATATATATATATATATATATATTTTTTTTTTTTTTTTTTTTTTTTTGAGAGAGTCTTGCTCTGTCACCCAGGCTGGAGTGCAGTGGTGCAATCTCAGCTCACTGCAACCTCCACCTCCTCCCTGGTTCAAGCAATTCTCCTGTCCAAGCCTCCCGAGTAGCTGGGACTACAGGCGTGTGCCACCACGTCCAGCTAATTTTTTGTATTTTTAGTAAAGATGGGGTTTCACCATGTTAGCAAGGAGGGTCTCCATCTCCTGACCTCATGATCCACCTGTCTCAGCCTCCCAAAGTGTTGGGATTACAGGCTTGAGCCAAGGCACCCAGCCAATTACATACTTTAATATATACAAGGCTATGTATGCTTACATATAAGTGAAACAAATGGCAACAATAACACAAGACATAGGAATATGAGAGAAACTGGTATTACATTTCTATTAGAAGGCAGTCGAAGTAACTGAACTGGTATAGTGTTATTTGAAGGTGGACTTGGATTTGTTGCAAGTCTATACTGCAAACTCCAGGGCAACTAGTAAAAACCAAAGTATAGAAATGCTAAAAGAGAAAACAGGCCAGGTATAGTGGCTCTTGCCAAGGTAGAAAGATGGCTTGAGTCCAGGAGTTAGAGACTATCCTGAGCAATACAGTGAGACCCTGTCCCTACAGAAAAGAAAAGGCCAGGTATTGTGGTGCATACTTGTAGTCCTAGCTAATTGCATACTTGTAGTCCTAGCTAATTGGGAGACTGAGGTGGAAGGATCACTTGAACCCATGAGGTTGAGGCTGCAGGGAGCCATGATCACACCACTGCACTCCAGCCTGGGTGACTGTCTCAATAAAAAAAAAAAAAAAAAAAAAAGCAACGAGAGGAAACAAAAATCGTATAAAATCATCAACTCCATAAAAGGCAGAAAAAGAGTGGAGGACAAAGCAAGATCAAAGAATAATAGGAGTTAATGGAAAATGATATGGCAAAATTAATCCAACTGTATAATCACTTTGAATGTCAATGGTCTAAATGCACCCAGAAAAGACAAATTGTTAGAGCCCATCAAAATAGAGGCACATCTCACTTTGAGCTTCACTTTATTTTGCTTGGCAACATCACCTTTTTAACAAATTAAAGATTTGTGGCCACGAAGTGCTCAGCAAGCCTGACCAGCACCATTTTTCCAACACCATGGGCTCACTTCACATCTCTGTCACATCTTTTGGCAATCCCAATCTTTCAAAGATTTTAGTTATCACATCTGTTATGATCTGTGATCAGTGATTTCTGATGTTACTAATGGAATTGTCTCAGCGTGCTGGAACTCTATGGAAGATAGCAAACGTGATGGAAAAATGTTGTGTTTGACTGCTTCATTGACTAGTCATTTCCCTGTCTCTGTTTCTCTCTTCTAGCTCCCCATTCCCCAAGATACAACAATGAAATTAGGCCACTTCACTCTGCAGTGGCCACCATGTGTTCAATTGAAAAGAAGTGTGCACACCTGTCACTTCAAATCAAAAGGTAGAAATCATCGAGCTTAGTGAAGAAAGCATGTTGGAAGCTAAGACAGGCCAAAGCTAAGCTTCTTGCATCAGCTACTCAAGTTGTGAATGCAAAGAAAAAGTTCTTGAAGGATGTTATAGGTGCTACTCCAGAGAACACATGAATGATTTTTAAAAAACAAAACAGGCTTTTTACTGACACAGAGAAAGTCTGAGTGGTCCACATAGAAGATCAAACCAGCCCCAACATTCCCTTGAGACAAAGCCTAATCCTGAGAAAGGCCCTAACTCTCTTCAATTCTATGGAGGAGAAGAGAGGTGAGGAAGTTGCAGAAGAAATGTTTGAAGCTGGCAGAGGTTGGTATATGAGCTTCTAGGAAAACAGCCATATCTGTGACATTAAAGTGCAAAGTGTGCTGTAAAAATGGGAACAACAAAGCCTGCATGATAGGACTTCTGTTACAGCATGGTTAAGACCTTCTTGTTGGTAGGCCAGGAGGTAATGGTCACCATTTGTGTCCATATTCTCCTAGACTGAGCATGGAGAAATCTGTAATAGTAGCCAGAGAGGTGTAGGTTGTGTGTTCAAGGGAAAAAAGAGTGATTTTGAGGGAACACATAGCCTGCCTCAGCTACGTCAGATTTCTCTCCTATATGGGTTTGTTGATGCCTGCTGAGGTGTGACTTCTGGCAAAAGGTTTTCCCACATTCCTTACATTCATAAGGTTTTTCTCCTGTGTGTGTTCTCTGATGTATACTGAGGCCTGACTTCTGGGAGAAAGTTTTCCTACATTCATTACATCTAAAGGGTTTTTCCCCTGTGTGAGTTCTGTGATGTACAAAGAGTTTTGACTTCTGGGAGAAGGTTTTCCTACATTCTTTACATTCAAATGGCTTCTCACCTGTGTGAGTTCTCTGATGTATGGTGAGAACTGTCTTATCGTAAAAAGTTTTCCTACATTCATCACATTCATAGGGTTTCTCTCCTGAGTGAGTCCCCTGATGCGTACTGAGGTTTGACTTGTGACAAAAGGTTTTCCCACACTCATTACATTCATAAGGTTTTTCTCCGGTATGGGTTCTATGATGTACAGTGAGGACTGACTTCTGACAAGGTTTTTCCACATTTGCTACATTCATAGGGTTTCTCCCCCGTGTGAATACCTTGATGCTTCTGAAGATTTGCCTTCTGATGAAAGGATTTTCCACATTCATTACATTCATAGGGCTTTTCCCCGGTGTGAGTTCTCTGATGTATAATAAGGTATGATTTCTGACAAAAAGTTTTTCCACATTCATTACATCCATACGGTTTTTCCCCGTGTGAGTTCTCTGGTGTATGGTGAGGAATGACTTGCGATGAAAGGTTTTTCCACATTCATTACATACGTAAGGTTTCTCTCCTGTGTGAGTTCCCTGATGGGTGCTGAGATTTGACTTCTGACGAAAGGTTTTTCCACATTCATTACATTCATAGGGTCTTTCCCCTGTGTGAGTTCTCTTGTGTATCCCAAGGTTTAACTTATTGATAAAGGTTTTCTCACATTCATTACATTCATAGGGTTTTTTGCCAGCATGAGTTCTCTGATGTATAGTTAGGAATGACTTACAGTGAAAGGATTTTCCACATTCATTACATTCATAGGGTTTTTCCCCTGTGTGAGTTCTGTGATGTACTGTAAGGTATGACTTGTGGCTATATGTTTTTCCACATTCGTTACATGCGTATGGTTTTTCCCCAGCATGAGTTCTCTGATGGACAGTGAGGAATGACTTACAGCGAAAGGTTTTCCCACATTCATTGCATTCGTAGGGTTTTTCCCCTGTGTGAGTCCATTGATGGATAGTGAGGAATGACTTACGGTGAAACGTTTTCCCACATTCATTGCATTCATAGGGTTTTTCCCCTGTGTGAGTTCTCTGATGTAACCTGAGGTTTGACTTATTGATAAAGGGTTTTCCACACTCATTACATTCATACGGTTTTTCCCCTGTGTGTGTTCTCTGATGGACAGTAAGCCTTGACTTATGGCTAAATGCTTCTTCACAATGGTCACATGCATAGGGCTTTTCCCCTGTGTGAGTTCTATGATGTATTGTGAGGTATGACTTCTGGCTAAAGGTTTTTCCACATTCACTACACTGATAGGGCTTTTCCCCTGAGTGAGTTCTGTGATGTAAAGTGAGAAGTGACTTACAGTGAAAAGTTTTTCCACATTCAATACATTTGTAGGGTTTATCCCCTGTGTGAGTTCTCTCATGTAAAGTGAGGAATGACTTACGGCGAAAGGTTTTACCACATTCATTGCATCCATAGGGCTTTTCCCCTGTGTGAATTCTCTGATGGATAATGAGGCTGGACTTATAGCTGAACAATTTTTCACACCAGTTACAGGCATAAGGTTTTTCCTCAGTAGGCATCTTGCACTGTAGCATAAGGTCTGATTTGCTAATGGAGGGTTTCTCACATTCAACACATTCATAGGGTTTCTCTCCTGTGTGTGTCTGCTGATGTTTAGTGAAGTCAGACTTTCTACAGCAAGTTGGCTGTCCTACCTGAGTTATCACTTGGACAATAACAGCTGAGTTATTACAGGCTTTCTCATATTCATTATATTTACCAAAGGTCTGTACTATATGAACCCTCTTATGTATAAAGAACATTGCCTCCGTGTTGAAGGTTTTCCCTTGTTCATTACATTGAAAAGTCTGCAGCAGAGTTTGAATCTTGTGATGCTGAGTAAGATGTTCATGATGTCTGTGGGATCTCCTGGTTATATCACAGACATGAGGTTTCTCTCCAGACTGTGTCTCCCCAGGCTTAATAGGGAAAAGCATGTTCTGGCAATCATTAAACTGCCCAGGCTTCATTCCTGAACTGTTTCCATTATTTATAATCAGATTTAAAACATGGTTTGAGTTCAAATTAAATGTTTTTCCTAATTCAACTCTCTCCTGAGTTGATGTGTTGCTGTTGGTGATTACAATTTGCCAGAAAAATCTATCATGACTTTCATGGCTCCTTTCAATAAGGTCATCAATGATCTGGACAGCTGAAATGAGAAAAAAGGTATCCATGAACCACACATGAGCATGTCTTACAGAATGCTTGTGTAAAGGTAAAAAAAATTACTTCCTATCTCAGTGGAGTAAGATTTGACAAAAATAAATATGGGTATTGGTTTTATATGCATATGGTTTCTGTTCCTACTGACATAATGTAATAAATCAGTATATTTTCTAATGTTCAATTGAGTTTTTCTTTGCATTTTGAAGTTTTCCTGTTCTTTTTTATTTCACAAAGAATTATTTGGTAATAATATGCATCTACTTCCTACTCATAGGTTTTAATAAGTGCTCATTATTGTCATATGTTTTCTCTCTTTTTTTTTATTTATTCATATAACAATAGTGGCTGTTTTAATAGCTGCTATTTTTTCTTTATTCTTCTTTGAAGATAGCCAGTTTTTCCTGGGTCAGCAACTGGTAGGTATAGGAGATGGCCATTTTTCTGTCTCCTAAGCATGGAAGCAGCTTGTGGACAGGATTTTGCCTATATGTTAACCTTTCACTCCTCCCTGAGAATGGTTAAATGTGTCTGGAGGTTTTCCAAGCAGAAAATCTCTTATTCCCCATGTTAAACAAAAACAGATCCTGGCAAATTCCTACTTAAACATGACATCCCCTGCTTCCCAGAACCATAATAGGCACAGAAGCTCCAGTCAAAAAACCACACTGGTGATCTGAAGGATTGGTTCTGCAACTCAGGCTGTGCCCGTCATCTTCGAAAAGTGTATTTCTGGTTCCTTCTGAGATCCACAGCCGTGCCCCTCTCCACTCACCAATCGCTGCTTGATAATTCACCATTTTTGAAGGGTTTTATTTTGTGTTTTGGAGTTTCAGATGTCACACAGTTTTATATAAAAATGAAGTTTCCTGTACATTTCTCATCTTCCAATGGTAACTACAAACTCCACTCTCAAACAGAAATCTGAGCCCTTCAACAGGAAATAATTAGTTTCTTTGGACTTGAGACCCAGAATCTTCTGGTTCTCCTCCCAAGTCCAGCACCACCCCTATCCAGGCCCCTATGATGGGTCCTCCTCAGCTTCATAATTTCCTTCCGAGACAGGATCTTACTCTGTTACTGAGGCTGGAGTGCAGTGTTGCTATCATAGCTCACTGAAGCTTGAAACTCCTGAGCTCAAGCAATCCTTCCATCTCAGCCTCCCAAGTATAAAAACTGGGATTACAAACCCTTGTCACCGTACTCAGCTATTTTTTTTTTTTTTTTTTGTAGGTGGTTGTCTACGAGGATCATTTAAGGCCAGAAGTTCGAGACCAGCCTGGGCAATAGAACAAGACCTCATCTCCACAAACAATAAAAAATTAGCCAGGTGTGGTGGCACACACCTGTAGTCCTAGCTACTTGGGAGGCTAGGGTGTGAGGAACACTTGAGCCCAGGAGTTCATCATTACAGTGAACTATAATCATGCCACTGCACTTCAGTCTGAGAAATAGAGTGAGAATCATCTGTTTAATAAAAAATAAAACAAGAATAAAGCTATAGCTTAAAAAGAAACACCATTTTCATCATCGTTATAATGACTGATTCTTAAAAATCACTTAAGATACATTCAAAGGATAAATAAATGCATGAATGTCTAAAAAAATTTTTAAGATACTACATCAGAATAGAGGAAAAGGGGGAAACAGAGAAAATAAATAGCAGAGAAAAAGGCCTAAGGAGAGGATGGCAGGGATTGGATTTGGGGTAAATAGAAGAAGATACTCAGAAAAATAAGAGACTGGGATATATGCATGAGAGTTACCCCTGGGGACTATATAATGCACATTTAATGCAGACCAACAGCCTTCAGGTCGAAGACCTAGGGAAAAAAGTGGTGAAAACAAGATAACACTACAAAAATTTGCTGGGCATTACTCCTCCAGGCCTCCCTGCCTGGTATTCACTGACTGACCTGAAAGTCTCAGGTTTGGGGTTTCTTCTACTATCCATGGCTCTGCTCCTTGCTCTAGCTTGAAGATCATCTCAGGTTTGGTAATGTAATGCCCTGGTAATGAGAAACAATGGAAGACTTTGTCAAACCACTAAGTCAAATCCTTTTCAGAATGACGACAGCTGGGCTTCAGGGACTGTGCAATGAAGGAGCCAATTTGAACATTTCATTAGAGTAGTGACACATTTTTCATCAACTGGAAGCTTACAAGTAAATATTATTATACCTTAAAAGGGTTCCTATATTTACCAGCAACAAAATACAATCCTGGGAGTTACTGGCAAGTTTCACTCACCCAATGATACCAGGCTGCTGTAGGTCTCCAGCATCACGTCCCTGTACAGGGTCCTCTGAGCATCATCCAGGTCCTGCCACTCCTCCCAGGTGAAGTGCACAGCTACCTCCTCAAAGGACACCAACTCCTGTAATGATACCAGGCTGTTGTAGGTCTCCAGCATCACGTTCCTGTACAGGGTCCTCTAAGCATCATCCACGTCCTGCCACTCCTCCCAGGTGAAGTGCACAGCCACATCTTCAAAGGACACCAACCCCTGTAATGGCACATTTTTCCTCAAGTCAAAGCATCAGCCCAAAGATTCTTGTCAAAAGAACAAGAATCTGGGAATTCACTCTTTGGTGTGTCCATGTGTCTTATGTATTTTACATAAGATGTAGTTTGTTTTGCACTGTTTATGGTGGGAGAAGGAGTAATCACAGTAGAAATATGCTTCCACTGTAATAACTTATGAATTAATAAAATTGTATTACAAAGTTCACCTTATAGATCTAGAACCACCCTTATTGCTAGGGATAAAAGTATAAACAAAATGCAAGACCCTGTCTCTACAAAAATAATAAAAAAATATAGGCATAATGCTGCATGCCTGTAGTCCTGGCTACTCTGGAAGCTGAGGCTGAAGGATTGCTTGAGTCCAGGAGTTTGACAGTGCAGTGAGTTATGATCACACCACTGCACTCCAGCCTGACCAACAGAGAGCCTACCTCTCAAAAAAAAAAAAAAAAAAGAATAAAATTCTACTCCTCAAAGGAGCTCATGATCTGGTTATGAATATATAAGTATAAACACATACTGGGAATAATGTTTAGGTGAACTCATTGAGACACAAGTTCAATGCAGACTAAGATAAGAGAAGGAGAAAATAAGTTTTGTTTATTTTGCACCATGAGGTTCCACTTTACTGAAAAATCAGGTGTTTGGCTCTTCCACATGAACCATGAATTCTCTGACTATGAGAAAGTATCAGAAGTCTACTCACAAAGGCAAAGAGAACACACACCACTTTAATGGAACTCTGGACAGCACCATGCCTAGATGAATGATCCTGGACAGTGATGAAAGCTAAATGCAATATTTAAGGAACTGATTATGCAGTGATTCTGCATTTAAATATTTGACCCAATTTCAAAAATTCTTATGCACCTATCGTTTTTACATTATATTACTTCCTCAGTATCCATGGGGACTGATTCCAAGATACCCCCAGATATCAAAATCCACAGATTGGATAACTCTCTTATATAAACTATTCTCATATTTGCATATAACTTATGCACATCCTCCTGTATACAGTCATGAGCTGCATAATAACATTTCAGTCAATGATGAAACATGTATATCACAATAGTCCCATAAGATGATGATGAAACATACACAGAAACCTGATATTGGCATTGCAGATGAAGTGCAGAAAACGATATTCAATAATGGCTCTGAGCCACCTAGTTACCTATATACCAAAAACATATAAATAAAAATATACATATCATGTAGGTTTTCATAATACTATGATCTTCACAAAACAATGAAATTACCCAAAGATGCATTTCTCAGAAAGTAATCCCATCAGTAAGCCATGCATGACTGAACTTTAACTCTTTAGATTACATATAATACTGAAGACAATGTAATGCTACATAAATGGCTGTTATACTGTACTGTTTAGGAAATAATGACAAGAAAAATTTCTGCAGATGCTCTTCACAGAGACAATCATCTATTTTTGTGGGAATATTTTCAATCTGAAGTTGGCTGAATCCACAGATGCAAAACCCATGGATACAAAAGGGTGAATATACTTAATTAAAAGCATATACACTGGCATTTCAAAATTTCCTTTCTACGGGACAAAAAATTGCTGTATCCACCCAGGGTGAACACAGCCACTTCACATACAGGTGTAAATAAGGAGGTCCAGTAAGGACAGAAAAGTTACATGACAATATTGGCATTTTAACAGCCATCCCTGAGGAAGAGAATGGGAAAGGGCTTAAGGGAAAGCCAGAAGGGAGTAAAGAGGAAGACAGATGACCACCTACATCAGGACATGGAGTGTAAGAATACACAATAGGGAAGTAGTTCTTAAGAGGAAAAAAATGTAGAAACAGGATTTGGTACCAATTTGCTGTGCACTGGGTAAAAAGGGGAGTTTTGTTTCCAAGTTATCTGTCATCATCCAGCTAGTTTGGTACTGGTGTTGTGAAGTGAAATTTGCAAAAAATAAAAGAATACGATAACCAGAAGTGACACAGACTTGGACATATCATGTGTGAAACATCTGAGGTTCCATATGTGGGAATGTCCAACTGGCAACTGGGAAAATGGCTCCACTGGTTCAGAAGAGAGATCAAAACTAAAGATAAAGATTTGGAAATTACCAGAATTTCAATGGTACCTGAATCCATCAGACCAAATGAAAATAAGAGAATGAAAGAATAAAAGAAACAAGTACAGAATCTACAGAAACACTAACATTTACACAGGAAGAGAAATAGACTGTGAAGACCAAGAAGGAACTTTCTGAGTTTATTCCACGAATAAAGAAAAGTTCAATATTCGGAAGTCTACTAATATAATTCATCATGATCATAGTCCTGTGGAAAAAAATCCTTTAACTGTGCATATAGGCATTGAGAAGATAGTTTTAGAAACACCTTCCAGGTTCCTATTTCTGCATGTAAGAAGCTTGGAAGTAATCAATAATTACTTTACAATAATTAATTTTAATAACAATCTTAACAAATTAATATGACACAATTAATCTTAACAACAAATAAAAAGCTGAAGAGACTAAAAAATCAACAGTTCTTTCTAGATTTGAAACTCAGGGGAGGACACAGGGCAAACCACTGCCCCCAGGATTGCAGAGACAGAGAAGTGAATATAGGACTTAATAGCTTACAGGAAAATGGACTCACTACTGAAACCAACTTTGGAACCCGTGCTGGAGTAGAAAAACTCAAACCGTAACTGGTGAACGGCTGGAGGATCCGCGTGGACAACTCTAAGTGTTAAAAACTACAAAGAGATAGAGTTATTGTCGGGGAGGGGGCACAATACTGTAAAATTGTCTCATGGAGCTTCACCAGGCTCCTGTGACAAACACCTGACAAAACTCCCCTCCTGCTTCAACCTTTCGGAAGGAAAAAGGAAAACCATTTTGAAATATGTCAGAGCACCCATTTCTTAACAAGGCTTGTCCACAGGAGAAACTACTTAACTTCAGCCTAATCTGCTCTAGTATAATCGGAGACTAAATAACCTAGGGGAAGGGAATTATCCCCTTCCACTGCAGCCCATTCTAATCATGTTCCGCCCAAGGTGGAAAATTAATTAAACAGAGGAACACTTCTGAGGTTCACAGTATAGACCCAATCATAGCATTCCAGAACACGGCTGCCGGGGTCTGTGTGTTTGTCCCTCACATATGGTACCAAAACACTGCTCCTGAGGTCTGAATGTTTCTCCCTCACATAGAATTCCAGAACACTGCTACGAGGGTCTGAATGTTTGTCCCTCACAACACTGCTGCTGTGGTCTGTTGTTTTTTTTTTTCTTTCTGTCTTTTTAAAATTACTTTATTAATATTTATTTTTAATTGACATATGACATTGCAAGTTTTTGTAATGTAAAATGTCAGGGACAAACATTCAGACCAATGCAGTAGCGTTCTGGCATCCTATGTAAGGGAAAAACATTGAGACTCTCGCAGTAGTGTCCTGGAATCCTATCTGAAGGACAAGCATTCAGACCCCAGTAGCAGTGTTCTGGAACTCTATGTGAGGGAAAAAGTACGCATACATTGTGAAAAGGTCAAATCTAGCTAATTAACAAATACATCAATTCGCATAGCTATCATTTTTCTGGTGAATACACGTAACATTAACTTTCTATTTCTCAAGAATGCAATAGGTCATCATCAATTACAATCACCTTGCTCTACATCTCCTGAAATTTATTCCTTCTATCTAACCCTAAGTATGTATCCTCTGATTAACATCACTGCAACTCCCCTTTACCCCTAGCTCTGATACCCACCATTGTACTTTGTAACTCTATGAGATCAACTTTTTTATATACCAGTAGGAGTCATGTCATGATATATTTGTCTTTCTGCACCTGGCTTATTTCACTTAACATGTTGTCCTCCAGGTTCATCCATGTTGTTCAAAAATGACAGGGTTTTCTTTTTTTTTTACTGCCAAATAATATACCACATTTTCTTTCTTTTTTTAATATATTTTCCATATTGAATTATTTATATATATTTTTTTATTATACTTTAAGATCTAGGATACATGTGCACAACGTGCAGGTTTCTTACATATGTATACGTGTGCCATGTTGGTGTGCTGCACCCAGTAACTCGTAATTTACATTAGGTATATCTCCTAACGCTATCCCACCCTGCTCCCCCTACCCCACAACAAGCCCCGGTGTGTGATGTTCCCCTTCCTGTGTCCATGTGTTTTCATTGTTCAATTCCGACCTATGAGTGAGAACATGTGGTGTTTGGTTTTTTGTCCTTGAGACAGTTTGCTCAGAATGATGGTTTCCAGCTTCATCTATGTCCCTACAAAGGACATGAACTTATCATTTTTTATGGCTGCATAGTATTCCATGGTGTATATGTGCCACATTTTCTTAATCCAGTCTATCATTGTTGGACATTTGGACATTTCAGTTGGTTCCAAGTCTTTGCTATTGTGAGTAGCACTGCAATAAACTTACGTGTGTATGTGTCTTTATAGTAGCATCATTTATATTCTGTTGGGTATAATTCCAGTAATGGGATGGCTGGGTCAAATGGTATTTCTAGTTCTACGTCCCTGAGGAATCACCACACTGTCTTCCACAATGGTTGAACTACTTTACAATCCCACTAACAGTGTAAAAGTGTTCCTATTTCTCCACATCCTCTCCAGCACCTGTTGTTTCCTGACTTTTTAATGATCGCCATTCTAACTAGTGTGAGATGATATCTCATTGTGATTTTGATTTGCATTTCTCTGATGGCCAGTGATGATGACCATTTTTTCATGTGTCTGTTGGCTGCATAAATGACTTCTTTTGAGAAGTGTCTGTTCATATCCTTCGCCCACTTGTTGATGGGTTTTTTCTTGTAAATTTGAGTTCTTTGTAGATTCTGGATATTAGCCCTTTGTCAGATGAGTAGATTGTAAACATTTTCTCCCATTCTGTAGGCTGCCTGTTCACTCTGATGTCTTTTGCTGAGCAAAAGCTCGTTAGTTTAATTAGATCCTATTTGTCAATTTTGGCTTTTGTTGCCATTGCTTTTGGTGTTTTAGACATGAAGTCCTTGCCCATGCCTATGTCTTGAATGGTATTGACTAGGTTTTCTTCTAGGGTTTTTATGGTTTTAGGTCTAACATTTAAGTCTTTAATCCATGTTGAATTAATTTTTGTATAAGGTGTAAGGAAGGGATCTGGTTTCAGCTTTCTACATATGGCTAGCCAGTTTTCCCACCACCATTTGTTAAATAGGGAATGTTTTCCCCATTTCTTTTGTCAGGTATGTCAAAGATCAGATAGTTGTAGATGTGTGGTATTATTTCTGAGGGCTCTGTTCTGTTCCATTGGTCTATATCTCTGTTTTGGTACCAGTACCATGCTGTTTTGGTTACTGTAGCCTTGTAGTATAGTTTGAAGTCTGGTAGCGTGATGCCTCCAGCTTTGTTCTTTTGGCTTAGGACTGACTTGGCAATGTGGGCTCTTTTTTGGTTCTATATCAACTTTAAAGTAGTTTTTTCCAATTCTGTGAAGAAAATCATTGGTAGCTTGATGGGGATGGCATTGAATCTATAAATTACCTTGGGCAGTATGGCGATTTTCACAATATTGATTCTTCCTATCCATGAGCATGCAATGTTCTTCTACTGGTTTGTGTCCTCTTTTATTTTGTTGAGCAGTGGTTTGCAGTTCTCCTTGAAGACCTTCTTCACAACCATTGTAAGTTGGATTCCTAGGTAACTTATTCTCTTTGAAGCAAATTTGAATGGGAGTTCACTCATGATTTGGCTCTCTGTTTCCCTGTTATTGGTGTATAAGAATGCTTGTGATTTTTGTACATTGATTTTGTATCCTGAGACTTCGCTGAAGCTGCTTATCAGCTTAAGGAGATTTTGGGCTGAGATGATGGGGTTTTCTAGATATACAAACATGTCATCTGCAAACAGGGACAATTTGACTTCCAAAAAATAACTAAGATCAGAGCAGAAGTGAAGGAGATAGAGACATAAAAAACCCTTCAAAAAATCAATGAATCCAGGAGCTGGTTTTTTGAAAAGATCAACAAAATTGATAGACCACTAGCAAGACTGATAAAGAAGAAAAGAGAGAAGAATCAAATATACGCAATAAAAAATGATAAAGGGGACAGCACCACTGATCCCACAGAAATACAAACTACCATCAGAGAATACTGTAAACACCTCTACGCAAATAAACTAGAAAATCTAGAAGAAATGGATAAATTCCTTGACACATAAACCCTTCCAAGACTAAACCAGGAGGAAGTTGAATCTCTTAATAGACCAATAACAGGCTCTGAAATTGAGGCAATAATAGCTTACCAACCAAAAAGAGTCCAGAACCAGACGGAATCACAGCTGAATTCTACCAGAGGTGCAAGGATAAGCTGGTACCATTCCTTCTGAAACTATTCCAATCAATAGAAAAAGAGGGAATCCTCCCTAACTCATTTTATGAGGCCAGCATCATCCTGATACCAAAGCCTGGACGAGACATAATCAAAAAAGAGAATTTTAGACCAATATCCCTGATGAACATCAATGCGAAAATCCTCAATACAATACTTGCAAAACCTAATCCAGCAGCACATCAAAAAGCTTATCGACCATGATCAAGATGGCTTCATCCCTGGGATGCAAGGCTGGTTCAACACATGCAAATCAATAAATGTAATCCAGCATATAAACAGAACCAAAGACAAAAACTGCATGATTATCTGAATACACGCAGAAAAGGCCTTCAACAAAATTCAACAGCCCTTCACGCTAAAAAACTCTCAATGAATTAGGTATTGATGCGACATATCTAAAAATAATAAGAGCTATTCGTGACAAACGCACAGCCAATATCATACTGAATGGGCAAAAACTGGAAGGATTCCCTTTGAAAATGGGCACAAACAGGGATGCCCTCTCTCATCACTCCTATTCAACATAGGGTTGGAAGTTCTGGCCAGGGCTATCAGGCAGGATAAAGAAATACAGTGTATTCAATTAGGAAAAGAGGAGGTCAAATTGTCCCTGTTTGCAGGGGTCTCTTTGCCCTCACATAAGATTCCAGAACACTACTGCTGTGGTCCGAGTGTTTGTCCCTCACATAGGATTTCAAAACACTGCTGCTGTGGTCTGCTTGTCCCTCACATAGGATTCCAGAACACTGCTACAAGGGTCTGAATGTTTGTCCATCACGTAAGATTCCACAGCACTGCTGCTGGGGTCTGAGTGATTGTCCCTCACATAGGATTCCAAAACACTGCTACGAGGGTCTGAATGGTTTGTCCCCCGCATAGGATTCCAGAACACCATGGCGAGGGTCTGAATGTTTGTCCCTCACATAGGCTTCCAGACCACTCCTGCTGTGGTCCGAATGTTTTTCCCTCACTTAGGATTACAGAACACTGCTAGTGTGTTCTGAATCTTTGACCCTTACATAGAATTCCAGAACACTGCTGCTGGGTTCCAAGTGTCTGTCCTTCATATAGGATTCCAGAACACTTCAACGAGGGTCTGAATGTTTGTCCCTCACATAGGATTCAACAACACTCCTGCTGTGGTCTGAATGTTTGTCCCTCACATACGATTCCGGAACACCGCTGCTGGGTTCTGAGTGTTTGTCCCTCACATAGGACTCCACAACACTGCTGCTGTGGTCTGAATATTTCTTCCTCACATAGGATTCCAGAACACTGCCACAAGGGTCTGAATATCTGTCCCTAACATAGGATTCCAGAACATTCCTGCTGTGGTCTGAATGTTAGTCCCTCACATAGGATTCCAAAACACTGCTGCTGGATTCTGAGTATTTCCCCTCACTTAGGATTCCAGAACACTGCCATGAGGGCCTGAATGATTGCCCCTCACTAGGACTCCAGAACAATGCTGCTGGAGTCTGAATGTTGATACCTCACATAAGACTCCAGAACAATCCTGCTGTGGTCTGAATGTCTGTGACTCACATAGGATTCCAGAACACTCCTGCTGTGGTCTGAATGTTTGTCCCTCACATAGGATTCCAGAACACTGCTGTTGGGTTCTGAGGGTTTGTCCCTCACATAGGATTCCAGAATACTGCTACGAGGGTCTGAATGTTTGCCCCTCACACAGGATGCCTGAACACTGCTGCTGGGGTCTGAATATTTATCTCTCACATAGGATTCCAGAACACTGCTACGAGGGTCTGAATGTTTGTCCCTCACATAGGATACCAGTACCCTGCTGCTAGGGTCTGAATGTTCCTCCCTCAAATAGGATACTAGAACACTGCTACAAGGGTCTGAATGTTTGTCCCTCACATAGGATTGCAGAACACTCCTGCTGTGGTCTGAATGTTTGTCTCTCACATAGGATTCCAGAACACTGCTGGTGGGTTCTGAGTTTCTGTCACTCACAAAGGATCCCAGAACACTGCTATGAGGGTCTGAATGTTTGTCCCTCACATAGGATTACAGAACACTGCTGCTGGGGTCTGAATGTTTGTCCCTCACATAGGATTCCAGAACTATGTTACGAGAGTCTGAATGTTTGCCCTCACACAGGATTCCAGAACACTCCTACTGTGGTCTGAATGCTTGTTCCTCACATACAATTCCAGTACACTCCTGCTGTGGTCTGAATCCTTGCCCCTCACATAGGATTCCAGAACACTGCTGCTGGGTTCTGAGGGTTTGCTCCTCACATAGGATTCCAGAACACTGCTACGAGAGTCCAAATGTTTGCCCCTCCAACAGGATTCCAGAACACTGCTGCTGGAGTCTGAGTGTTTGTCCCTCACATAGGATTCCAGAACACTGTTACGAGGGTCTGAATGTTTGACCCTCACATAGGACTCCAGAACACTCCTACTGAGGTCTGAATGTTTTTCCCTCACATAGGATTCCAGAACTCCCCTCCTGTGGTCTGAATTTCTCCCTCACATAGGATTCCAGAACAATGCTGCTGTGTTCTGAGTGTCTGTCCCTCACATAGGATTCCAGAAGACTGCTATGAGGGTCTGAACGTTTGTCCCTCTCATGGGATTCCAGAACACTGTTACGAGGGTTTGAATGTTTGTCCCTCACATAGGATTCCAGAACACTCCTACTGTGGTCTGAAAGTTTGTCCCTCACACAGGATTCCAGAACACTCCTACTGTGGTCTGAATGTTTGTCCCTCACACAGGATTCCAGAATACTGTTGCTGGGTTCTGAGTATTTGTTCCTCACATAGGATTCCAGAAAACTGCTATGAGGGTCCGAATGTTTGCCCTTCAAATAGTATTCCAGAACACTGCTGCTGGTGTCTGAATGTTTATTTCTCACAAAGGATTCCAGAGCACTGCTAGGAGTGTCTGAATGCTTGTCCCTCACATAGGATTCCAGAACTCTCCTGCTGTGGTCTGAATGTTTGTACCCCATGTAGTACTCAAGAACACTGCTGCTGGGGTCTGAATGTTTGTCCCTCACATAGGATTCCAGAGCACTGCTAGGAGCATCTGAATGCTTGTCCCTCACATAGGATTCCAGAACTCTCCTGCTGTGGTCTGAATGTTTGTACCCCATGTAGTACTCAAGAACACTGCTGCTGGGGTCTGAATGTTTGTCCCTCACATAGGATTCCAGAACACTGCTGCTGGGGTCTGAATGTATGTCCCTCACATAGGATTCCAGAACACTGCTGCTGGGTTCTGAGTATTTGTCCCTCACATAGGACACCAGAACACGCCTGTTGTGGTCTGAATGTTTATCCCTCACATAGGATTCCATAACACTCCTGCTGTGGTGTGAATGTTTGTCCCTCACATAGGATTTCAGAACACTCCTGCTGTGTTCTGAATATTTGCCCTCACATAGGATTCCAGAACACTGCTGTTGGGTTCTGAGTGTTTGTCCCTCACATAGGATTCCAGAACAATGCTATGACTGTATGAATGTTTGTCCCTCAGATAGGATTTGAGAACACTGCTGCTGGATTCTGAGTGTTTCTCCCTCACGTAAGATTTCAGAACACTACTACGATGGTATGAATGATTTTCCCTCACACAGGATTCCAAAACACTGCTGCTGGGATGTGAATGTTTGTCCCTCACATGGGATTCCAGAACACTGTTATGAGGGTCTGAACGTTTGTCCTTCACATATGATTCCAGAACACTCCTACTGTGATCTTAATGTATGTTCCTCACATGGGATTCCAGAACACTCCTGCTGTGGTCTGACTAACCCTCACATAGGACTCTAGAACACTCCTACTGTGGTCTGAATATCTGTCCCCCACATAGCATTCCAGAACACTACTGCTGGGTACTGAGTGTCCCTCACATAGGAATCCAGAACACTGCTACGAGGGTCTGAATGTTTTTCCCTCACATAGGATTCCAGAACACTGTTGCTGGGTTCTGAGTGTTTGTCCCTCAGATAAGATTCCAGAACACGGCTACGAGGGTCTGAATGTTTGTCCCTCACATAGGATTCCAGAACACTGCTGTTGGGGTCTGAATGTTTGTCCCTCACATAGGATTCCAGAACACTGCTTCGAGGGCCTAAATGTCTGTCCCTCACATAAGATTCCAGCACACTGCTATGCGGTTCTGAATGTCCTCACATAGGATTCCAGAGCACTCCTGCTGTGGTCTGAATATTTGTCCCTCACATGGGATTCCAGAACACTGCTACGAGGGTCTGAATGTCCCTCACATAGGATTCCAGAACACTCCTGCTGGGGTTTGAATGTTTGTCCCTCACACAGGATTCCAGAGCACTCTGCTGTGGTCTTAATGTTTTTTAATCACATAGGATTCCAGAACACTGCTACAAGGGTCTGAATGTTTGTCCCTCACATAGGATTCCAGAACACTCCTGCTATGGTCTGAATGTTTGTCCCTCACATAGGATTCTAGAACATTCACATTGGGGTCTGAATGTTTGCCCTTAACATAGGATTTCAGAACACTGCTCCTGGGGTCTGAATGTTTGTCCTTCAAATAGGATTCAAGAACACTCCTGCTGTGGTCTGAAAGTTTGTCCCTCACATAGGATTCCAGATCTCTCCTGCTGTGGTCTGAAAGTTTGTCCCTCACATAGGATTCCAGAACACTGCTGCCATGGTCTGAATGTCCCTCACATAGGATTCCAGAACACTTTTGCTGGTGTCTGAATGTTTATACCTCACATAGGATTCCAGAACACTGCTATGAGGGTCTGAAAGTTTGTCCCTCACATAGGATTCCAGAACACTGCTGCTAGGGTCTGAATATCTGTCCGTTACATAGGATTCCAGAATACTGCTGCTGGGTTTTGAATGTCTGTCCCTCACATAGAATTCCAGAACACTGCTGCGAGTGTCTGAATGTTTGTCCCTCACATGGGATTCCAGAACACTGCTGCGAGGGTCTAAATGTCTGTCCCTCACATAACATTCCAGCACACTGCTATGAGGTTCTGAATGTTTGTCCCTCACATAGGATTACAGAGCACTCCTGCTGTGGTCTGAATTTTTCTCCCTCACATAGGATTCCAGAACACTGCTGCTGTGGTCTGAATGTTTGCCTCTCACATAGGATTCCTGAACACTGCTACGAGGGTCTGAATGTTTGTCCCTCACATAGGATTCCAGAACACTGCTGCTAGGGTCTGAATATCTGTCCGTTACATAGGATTCCAGAATACTGCTGCTGGGTTTTGAATGTGTGTCCCTCACATAGAATTCCAGAACACTGCTGCGAGTGTCTGAATGTTTGTCCTTCACATAGGATTCCTGAACACTGCTACGAGGGTCTGAATGTTTGTCCCTCACATAGGATTCCAGAACACTCCTGCTGGGGTCTGAATGTTTGTCCCTCACATAAGATTCCAGAACACTGCTGTGTGATCTGAATGTTTGTCCCTCACATAGGATTCCAGAACACTTCTGCTGTGGTCTGATAGTTTGTTCCTCACATAGGATTCCAGAATACTGCTACAAGGTTCTGAATGTTTGTCCCTCACATAGGATTCCAGAACACTGCTACAAGGGTCTGAATGTTTGTCCCTCACATAGGATTCCACAACACAACTGCTGGGATCTGAATGTTCGTCCCTCACATAGGATTCCAGACACGGCTACGAGGGTCTGAATGTTTTTCCCGCACACAGGATTCTAGAACACTCCAGCTGGGGTCTGAGTGTTTGTCCCTGACATAGGATTCCTGAACACTGCTGCTGCCACTAGAGTCGTTGCGAGTGTCTGAATGTTTGACCTTCACCAAACACCAAATGTTCTGGCACTTTAGTCTTGGACTTTCCAGCCTCCAGATCTGTGAGCAATAATCTCTGTTGTTTATGAATTACTCAGTCTAAAGTATTTTGTTATAGCCACCTAAAGAGAAGAAGAGAGCATCACCTGCCCTGACACCTCATTACCACATTACTGAAGCTATATTAACAGCAGTCACTTTTAGTGGGTACTTCATGCCTGGAATTATGGGGAAAAAATTACAAGGCATACTAAAAGGCAAAAAAATAAAAAAAAATACAATTTGTAGCAACAGAGCAAGCTTCAGAAGCAGACAAACCTATGATTTTGGAATTTTTTTTTTAAACCTCTGGAGAATATGCTAAGGGCTCTAATGAATGAACTAGACAGCATT
Organism: Homo sapiens; assembly: GCF_000001405.40. Taxonomy (NCBI): domain Eukaryota; kingdom Metazoa; phylum Chordata; class Mammalia; order Primates; family Hominidae; genus Homo; species Homo sapiens. The sequence continues at coordinate 75,754,486 of NC_000003.12, forward strand.
CAACTGTAGATGGGTAATGTATCCAGAAAGACATCATTAGAACCATCAACGTAATTTAGTGATAAAAAATGTGGTAAATAACTGAAGAATACCTCTGATGGCTTATTAGTAGACTAGACTCAGCTGAGTAAAGAATCTCTGAGCTTGAGGATTTATCAACAGAAACTTCAAAAACTAAAAAAGAAAAACACTGAAATGAACAAAAGATGATATCCAAGACTGTGGGACAACTACAAAAGGTGAAACAGGGTAATGAGAATACCAGGAGGAGAAGAAATAGAAGAAAGATCTGCAACAACCATGTCTGAGAACTTCCAGTATTAATGTCAGACACCAAACCAAAGATCCAGGAAGCCCCGAGAACACCAGGCAGGATAAATGCCAACAACCTACACTTGGACATAAAATTTTCAAACTATATGAAATAAAAGACAAAGGAAAACTCTGAAAGAAACCAGAGGTGGGGCAGAAAACACCTTACCTACAGAGACACAAAGATAAGAACTGAATTCAACATTGCAGAAACTGTGAAAGCAAGAAGACAGTGAAATGGAAAATTCAAAATGTTGACAGAAAAAAAACCCACCAACCTAAGTTTCTGTACCCACTGAAACCACCCTTCAAAAGTGAAGGAGAATTAAGGCCTTCCTCAGAAAAATAAAAATTCAAGAAACTTGTTGCCAGGAGACCTGTCTTGCAAGAAATGTTAAATGAAATTCTTTAGAGGGAAACAAAAGATATATAACTGAAACCTGGATCAACATTTTTTTAAAAAGAGCATTAAAGAAAGAATTGTGGTACAATAAAAACTTATGTATTTATTCTTAATTGATCTGACCAAGAAGTTTATAGATAATAATAAATACACACAGATAGATTATGTATGCTTATACACAAGTGAAATGAGTAACACTAATAAAAGGAATGGAATGGAAGGATGGGAGGGAGGAATTGTGGTACAATAAAAACATGTATTTATTCATAATTGATCTGACCAATAAGCTTGTAGATAATAATAAATACACACAGATAGATTATGTATGCTTATACACAAGTGAAATAAAGAATAATAATACAAGGAATGGAATGGAAGGATGGGAGGGAGGAATCAGGTGTTTTCTTTGTTAAGCAGGTAGTCTTATTTGTGGGACAGTGGGATAGTGTTATATGAAAGTGGACTTGAATTGGTTGTAAATGTATATTGCAAATTCTATGGCAACTAGTTAAAAAAAGTTTTAAAAAAAAGAAGTACATGCTAAGAAAGACAGGGAAAATGTAGTCATCTAAAATCATCAATGAAAACTGCAAAGGGCAGAAAAAGAGTGGTAGACAAGAGAATGAAGACTAAGGAGAATGAATAGAAAACAGTAACAAACACAGTAGATATTAATCCAATGATATCAATAATCACTTTGAATGTTAATGGTATGAATGTACCAATTCAAAGACAGAGATTGTCAGAGTCTATCAAAAGACAGACACATCTCGTTTCACTGCACTTGCTTTATTGTGATTTGTGACCATGTTTTTTACATATTGAAGGTTTGTGGCCACCCTGCAATAAGCAGGTCTCACTGGCACCATTTTTCCTACAGCACGTGCTCACTTCACGTCTCTGTCACATTTTGGTCATTCTCACAGTAATTTAAGCTTTTTATCATTGAATCTGTAATGGTGATCTGTAATCAGTGATCTTTAATGCTACTATTGTCATTGTTTTGGGAACCACAAATCACACCCGGATAAGACAGCAAACAACTGACAAATGCGTGTGTTCTGACTACTCCACCAACGGGCCATTTCTCTTTCTCTCTTTTTCTCAGGCTTCTTTTTATTAATATTAAATTGTGGCCAATTAATAACCCTACAATAGCCTCTATGTGTTCAAGTGAAAGAAGAGTTGCATGTCTGCCACTTTAAACCAAAAGGAAGAAATAATTAAGCTTAGTGAGGAAGGCATGCTATAAGCAAGACAGGCCAGTAGCTAGACCTCATGCAACAAACACTTAGCCAAATTGTGAATGCAAAGGAAGTGTTCTTGAAAGAAATTTAAAGTACTACTCCAGTGAACACATGAATGATAAAAAGCTAAACAATGTTGCTGCTGTTATGAAGAAAGTTTAATTGGTCTAGATAGAAGATTTAAAAAAAATTCCATTAAGCCTAAGCCTAACTCTCCTTTTTCTTTTTTTTTTTCTGTTTTTTTGAGACGGAGTTTCATTCTTCTTGCCCAAGCTAGAGTGCAATGGCGCGATCTCGGCTCATCGCAACCTCTGCCTCCCAAGTTCAAGCCATTCTCCTGCCTCAGCCTCCCGAGTAGCTGGGATTACGGGCATGCGCCACCACGCCCGGCTAATGTTTTGTATTTTTAGTAGAGACGGGGTTTCTCCACGTTGGTCACACTGGTGTCGAACTCCCGAACTCAGGTGATCTGCCCGCCTCGGCCTCCCAAAGTGCTGGGATTACAGGCGTGACAGCCACAGCGCCCGGCCTCTCTTCAATTCTATGAAGGCTCAGAGAGGTGAGGCAGCTGCAGAAGAAAAGTCTGAAGCTAGAAGAGCTTGTTTCATGAGGTTTAGGGAAAAAAGTCATCTCCATAACATAAAAGTGCAAGATAAAGCAGCAAGTACTGATGGAAAAGCTGCAGAAAGCTATCTAGAAGATAACTGATTAAGATGGCTACACTAAATAGATTTTCAATGGAGACAAAACAGCCTTCTGTTAGAAGGAGATGCCATCTAGGATATTCCCAGCTAGGGAGGAGTTGATGCCTGGCTTTAAGGCTTCAAATGACATGCTGACTCTTTTGTTAAGGGCTAATGCATCTGGTGATGTTAACTTGAAACCAATGATGATTTACTATTCTGAAAATCCAAGGGCCCTGAAGAATTATTATAAAACAGCTCTGCCTGTACTCTACAAATGGGAACAAAGCCTGGATGACAGACTATCTGTTTACAAATATGGCTTACTAAATATCTTAAGCCCACTGTTGACACCTACTGCTCAAGAAATAAGATTTCTTTCAAAGTATTACCGCTCAATGACAATGCTCCTGGTACTCAAGGGCTTTTACAGAGATGTATAAAGAGCTGAATATTGTTTTCATGCCTACTAACCCAACATTCATTCTGCTGCCCTTGGATCAAAGAATAATGTCAACTTTCAAGTCTTATCACTTAAAAAATATATTTCATAAAGCTATAGCTTGTCTAGAAAGTGATTCCTTTGATGGATCTAGGCAAAATAATTGAAAATCTACTGAAAGGATTCACCATTCTAGATGCCATTGAGAACATTCATGATTTAATAAAGAAGATCAAAATAGCAACATTAGGAGAAGTTGGGGCCGGGCATGGTGGCTCACGCCTGTAATCCCAGCACTTTGGGAGGCCAAGGTGGGTGGATCACAAGGTCAGGAATTTGAGACCAGCCTGGCCAACATAGTGAAACCCTGTCTCTACTAAAAAAAAAAAAAAAAATTTATCTGAGCCTGGTGGGGGATGCCTGTAATCCGAAATACTTGGGAGGCTGAGGCAGGAGAATTGCTTGAACTCGGGAGGCGCAGGTTTCAGTGAGCTGAGATCGTGTTGTCACTGCACTCCAGCCCAGGCAAGACTCCATCTCAAAAAAAAAAAAAAAAAAAAAAAAGAGAGAGAGATAAGTTGTCAAGATTATTCCAACCCTCACAGATGACACTGAGGGGTTCACGACTTCTGTGGAGGAAGTAACTGCAGATATAGTGGAAATAACAAGAGCACTAGAATCAGAGACAGAGCCTGAAGATATGGTGAGACTGCAGCAGCCTCGGGAGAAAACGTGAGTGGATGAGTTGCTTCCACAGATGAGCAAAGAAAGTAGTTTCTTGAGATGAAATCTACTCGTGGTGAAGACAGTGTAAACACTGTTGAGATGACAACAGATTTAGAATAAACTCAGTTGGTACAGCAGAAGGAGGGCTTGACAGGATTGAACCCAATGATTTACAATAATACATAAACTTAGTTGGTACAGCAGTACGAAGGCCTGACAGGATTGAATCCAATTTTGAAAGTTCTACTGTGGGTAAAAAGCTCTCAAACAACATCGTATGCTACAGATCATTCTTTTGTGAAAGGGAGAGTCAATTGACACAGCAAACTTCAATGTTGTATTATTTTAAGAAATTGCCACAGCTACCCCAACCCTCAGCAATCACCACCTTACATTAAGGCAAGACCCTCCATCAGCAAGAAGACTGCAACTTGGCCAGGTGCAGTGGTTCACCCCTGTCATCCCAACACTTTGGGAGGCCAAGGTGGGGGGATTGCTTGAGCCCAGGACGTCGAGGCAACATGGCAAAACACCATCTCTACAAAAAAAAAAAAATTAGCTGCACATGGTGGCACGCACCTGTAGTCCCAGCTAGTCAGGAGTCTGAGGTGGGGGTTTGATTGAGCAGGAGGTTGAGGCTGCAATTACTCCAGCCTGAGCCACAGAGTGAAATCCTATCACACACACAAAAAAAGATTGCAGCTTGCTGAAGGCTCAGATGACTGTTAGCACTTGTTAACAATAAAGTATTTGTAAACTAAGGTGTGTACACTTTGTAGACATATGCTGTTGCACACTTTATACAGCACAGTATAAACATACTTTTACATGCACTGGGAAACCAAAAGAAATTGTATAACTCACTTTATTGCAGTGGTCTGGAACCAAACCCACATATATCTCTGATGCATGGCCGTCCTGTATTGTACACTTAAAAAAAAAACTTAAGAGGGTATATTTTAGGTGAAATGGTCATCTAATTTTTTTTTTTTTTTGAGACGGAGTCTTGCTCTGTTGCCCAGGCCATAGTGCAGTGGCGTGATCTCGGCTCACTGCAAGCTCCACCTCCCGGGTTCACACCATTCTCCTGCCTCAACCTCCGGAGTAGCTGGAAGTACAGGCACCCGCCACAACGCCCCGCTAATTTTTTCTATTTTTAGTAGATACGGCATTTCACTGTGTTAGCCCGGATGGTCTCGATCTCCTGACATGATCTGCCTGCCTCAGCCTCCCAAAGTGCTGCGATTACAGGTGTGAGCCACCGCGCCCAGGCAATTTTTATTTTTTTGAGACAGAGTCTCACTCTGTCACCCAGGGAGGAGCGCAGTGGCACTATCTTGGCTCACTGCAACCTCTGCCTCCCAGGTTCAAGCAATTCTCCCGCCTCAGGCTCCTGAGTAGCTGGGACTACAGATGCATACTATCACACCTGGCTAATTTTTTGATTTTTAATAGAGATGGGATTTCACCATGTTGGCCAGGCTGGTCTCAAACTCCTGACCTCATGTGATCTGCCCACCTCAGCCTCCCAAAGTGCTGGGATTACAGGTGTAAGCCACTGTACCCGGCAATTTTTAAATATATATAATTAAAAATTAATGAAAAACAGGTATTTGCAGGTTTCCGTTTTGGTATAGGTTTATTTATCTTTATGTCAGGTTGCTGTGTCAATACACTTAGGAGATCATAGTTTCTAAATTGAAATACATACAAATATGTCTGAAATTTTTTCTTTCTTCTTTTTTTTTGAGACGGAGTCTCACTCTGTCACCCAGGCTGGAGTGCAGTGGTGCAATCTCAGCTCACTGCAACCTCCGCCTCCCAGATTCAAGTGATTGTCCTGCCTCAGCCTCCACGGTAGCTGGGATTACAGGCATCCGCCACCACACCTAGCTAACTTTTATATATTTTTTTTTTCTATTTTTAGTAAAGACAGGGTGTCACCATGTTGGCCAGGCTGGTCTCCAACTCCTGACCTCAGATGATCCGCCCGCCTCGGCCTCCCAAAGTGCTGGGATTGCAGGTGTGAGCCACTGTGCCTGGCCTGGAATTTTTTTCTAAAGTTTACATTTCTGAGTTAAGAATGCTTAAAATATTATAAAAACAGAAGCACAATTCATTATGTGTTTCATTAATCACCTTTATTAAAAACAACGCAATTATATTACAATAGGACAAAAAAATGTTTAGGCAAATGAAAACAAAATCATGACATACCCAAACTCAGGAGGAGGCAACAAAGGCAGTGCTAAAGGGAAGCTTACAGCTGCAGATGCTTAAATTAAAAAGAAGAAAGATCTCAAACCCATGCTAAAGGGAAGCTTACAGCTGCAGATGCTTAAATTGAAAAGAAGCGAGATCTCAAACCCATGCTAAAGGGAAGCTTATAGCTGCAGGTGCTTAAATTAAAAAGAAGAAAGATCTCAAATCAATAACCTAACATTACACCTGAAGGGAAAAAAAAACTAATGACAAACCAAGCAAAAGGAAGAAAATAACAGATTAGAGCAGAGATAAGCAGAATAAGACCAGAAAAAAGAAAGGAAAAAAAAACACTGAGTTTGTTTTTTTAAAGATCAATAAAAATTTTAAAACTCACAGCCATATTAAGAAAAAAAGAGAAATCTCAAATACTAAAATCATATATAAAAGAGGTGACAGTACAACAGATGCCACAGAAATGAAAAAGATTACAAGAGACTAATGTGAGCAAACCATATGCCACAAAACTGGGCAACTTAGAATAAATTTATAAATTCCTAGAAACACAAACCACCATACTGCATCATGGAGAAATAAAAAATCCAAAGAGACCTGTAACTAGTAAGAAGATTCAACCAGTAATCAAAAACCCCCCAAAAAAGAAAATTCCAGGTCCAGATAACTTCACTGGAGAATTTTACCAAACATTTCAAGAAGAATTAATGCCAATGCTCTGCAAAATATTCAAAAAATGTTCAAAAACCAGGAGGGGACATTCCAATCCATTCTATCAGGTCAACATTTATCTGGTTCCACAGCGGGATGAACACCTTTCATAATAAAAACACTCAAAGAATTAGTAATAGATGGAAACTCCTCAGTAAATAAAGATCGTACATGAAAAGCTCACAGCTAACATCATACTCAATGGTGAAAAACTAAGAACTTTTCCTCTAGGATCAGGAACAAGATAGCAACATCTCCTCCTGCCACTTCTATTCACCACAGTACTGGAATTTCTACTCAGAATAATTAGGCAAGAGAAAGAAATAAAAAGCATGCAAATTGGAAAGGGAGAAGTATAAAATTTTGTTCACAGACAACAGGATGTAATGTGTAAAAATCCTGAAATTCCACAAAATACTGGTAGAATAATGAAATTCAACAAAGTTTCAGGATACAGTAACACACACAAGTCAGTTGCATTTCTGTAAACTAACAATGAACAATCTGCAAATAAAATTTTAAAAACAGAGGCCAGGTGCAGTGGCTCACGCTTATAATCCCAGCACTTCGGGAGGCCAAGGCGGGTGGACCAACTGAGGTCAGGAGTTCGTGACCAGCTGGGCCAACCCCATCTCTAATATAAATAGTAAAACTCTGTCTCTATTAAAAATACAAAAATTAGCTGGGCATAGTGGCAGACACCTGTAGTCCCAGCTGCTTGGGAGGCTGAGGCAGGAGAATTGCTTGAACTTGGAAGGTGGAGGTTGCAGTCAGCTGAGATTGTGCCACTGCGCTCCAGCCTAGGAAACAGAGTGAGACGCCATCTCAAAAAAAAGAAAGAAAGGAAAGAAAGAGAGAGAAAGAAAAGAAAAAAAGAAAAGAAAGAAAAAGAAAACAAAAGAAAAGAAATTTTTAAAAAGAATGACATTTGGCCAGGTGTGGTGGCTCATGCCTGCAATCCCAGCACTATGGGAGGCCGAGGCAGGCAAATCACCTGAGGTCACAAGTTCAAGACTAGTCTGGTCAACATGGAGAAACCCTGTCTCTACTAAAAATACCAAAAAATTAGCTGGGCATGGTGGCGTGCACCTGTGATCCCAGCTACTTGAGAGGCTGAGGTTGGAGAATCGCTTGAATAAGGAAGGTGGAGGTTGCAGTGAGCTGAGACAGTGCCACTGCACTCCAGCCTGGGAGACAGAGCAAGACTCCATCTCAAAAAAAAAAAAAAAAAAAGAATTACATTTACAACAGCATTTTAAAAACTAGAAATTAGCTTAACCAAGAGGGCAAAAGATTTGAACACCAAAAACTACAAAACACTGTCGAAAGAAACTAAACACAAATCAATGAAAAGAAAAGCTGGGTTTGCAGATGAGATGATTTCATCTTGGAATGATGTCAACACTACTCGAAGTGACCTAGATTCAATACAATCCTTATAAGGATTCCAATGACATTTTTGATAAACAGAAAAACCCATCCTAAAACTCATATGGAATCTCCAGGGCCCATGAATAGGCAAATCAATCTTGAAACAGAACAAAATTAAAGGTCTCAAAACAATTACAAAACTGCAATAAGCCAAAAAAAAAATGTAGTCATGACATAAAGACACACGAGAAACTTATGGACCAACACAACAGATACCTCATAAACCAATCCTGGCATATATGGTCCAATGATCTTCCACAAGGATGCCAAGACCACTCAATGGTGAAGGACAGTTTCTTCAACAAATGGTGTTGGGAAAACTGTATATCCACATGCAAAACAATGAAGTTGGACTCTTACCTTACACCACGTTAAAATTAATTCAAAGTGAATTATAAACCTAAATGTGAAACTAGAATTATCAAACTCCTAGGCAAAACAAATTTGGAAAATGCTTTATGACAATGAATTTGTCAATAATTTTTAGGATATGACATTAAAAGCTCAGGCAGTAAAATCAAAAACATATCAAACCTAAAAGTTTCTATACCTCAAAGGTCACAACCAACAGGGTAAAAGGAAACTGTAGAGTAAAAGAAAATACCAGTTGAGCGTCCCTTATTTGAAATGCTTGGGATGTGTTTCAGATTTTGTAATATTTGCATTATTCTTACTGGTTGAGCATCTCAAATTCAAACACCTGAGTCTGAGATGCTCCAATAAGCATTTCCTTTGAGTGTCATGTTGGCATTCAAAAAGTTTCAGACTTTGGAGCATTTGGGATTTCAGATTTTTGGATCAGAGACATTCAACCTATAGCTGCACATCATGTATCTCATAAGAAGTGAACATCCAGAATACGTAAAGAACTCCTACAGAGAGACTACCAGAAGCAGAGAGGAGCAAACACATTTTCACACTGGGGCACCTCCTATCTCTCCTGGATTCCAATTAGGGCAGAGTAAGTGCTAGTTCTCTGCCAACCCAGGATTAGGCCCTGCAGCTGCAGTGAAAATAATCACAGAAGAAAACTAAGAAATAAAAAATGGAGAAAGTGAGACATCAAACTAAAATTACTAGAAACACCTAGGAAGAAGGAAAAAGAAACCAAGAAAACAGAAAAACAATCAAACCAGTTAATTAAACCTTGGAGTGACCAGAAGATCAGAGTTTCCTAAAGGAGTGGAAATTTACTGATTTGAAGAGGATTTATTGATTACTGATTTGAAGAGGAAGAAAAACCATTAATGGTCTAAAGCAACAGCCTAGTGCCTGAAGAAGTCAGTAGGGTGAAAACAAGAGCTGACCAGAATGTCCACAGATGGTGACAAGTTTGCAAAATCTTTACTAGACTACTCGTGAGGCTAACTAGAGGCCAAGGAGCCAACCCTGCCCCTGTCATTACAGAGAGACCCTACACAGGATTCCCAGATATAGATGGAAGGACAACATCTTATCAGGTCCTCTCTGTGCAGATGTGGTTGTTATTCCAAATAATGAGCTCCAGCCCCAAGCCTGCTCCATCCTCAATTGCTTTTGAGTGGCCAATGTGGGCTCTCTGCACACGAGCTACATGTAGGTTCCTTGGGTACCCAGATGGGAGCCGTGAAACACAAATCCTCCATGGTCAGTTCCGTATCTGTTTCCTGCCTTTTTCCCAGCAGTTCCCAGGCCTCAGTAGCAGTGGTCTACCTCTGCTGATTCTCATTCGGAATCTAAACTTAGAGACAATTAGAACCTGGACCCCAATTCTACCTGAAAGTAACAGAATAACATAATCTATACCATGCAGCATGACTGTTTGCCCAACGTAATGAGGATGAACTGTGATATAATGAATGATCATGACCCTGGCCCAACGTAACGAGAATGAACTGTGAGATAAATGATCATGACCAAAAAACCCCGCTACAACCCAACAACAAAATAAAGTGATTAAAAAGTGGACAAAGAACATTTATCCAAAGATGCAAAGATGATATACAAATAGCCAACAGATACATGAGATATATGAGAAGATGTGTAACATCACTAATCATTAGAGAAATGCAAATAGAAACCACAATGGGACATCACTTCAAACCCAACAGAAAGTAACAAGTGCAGGTGAAACTGAAACCCTTGTACACTGTTGGTGGAAATATGAACTGGCTCCTCAAAAAAAAAATAAAATGACCATATGATCCAGCCATCCAACTTCTACAGAGAGACAGAATAACTAGTAGCAGGACCTCAAACAGATATGTGCACACCTATGTTCACAGCAGCATTACACAGCCACAAGGTGGAAGAAACCAAAACGTCCATCCAGGAATGGACGGATAAACAAAAGGATATATATATATATATATATATATATATATATATATATATGTATATGTGTGTGTGTGTGTGTGTGTGTATATGTACAAAGAAATGTTATTCAGCCATAGAAAGGAAGAAAATCCTGACACATCTGACACATAACATGAAACCTACTTAACAAAACAACAAATATTATATAACCCCAGGTATATAAGCCAAATTTTTAGAAACACAAAGTAGAATAGTACTTGCCAGGAGGTGGAAGGAGGGGGAAATTAATAGTTGTTGAATGGGTATAGAGCTTTCCAAGATAAAAAAAAAATCTAGAAATCTGCTACACAACACTGTAAATATTCTTAACTCTATAAAACTGTATACTTACAACTGGTTATGATGGTAAATTTTAAGGTATGTGTTTGTCACCAAAATTCGAAATAATAAATTATTTATAAAAAATGATCTTTTTTGATACAGGGTCTTACTCTGTTGCCCTGGCAGGAGTGCAATGGCATGATCACAGCTCACTGCAGCCTCGACCTCCCAGGCTCAAGCAACCCTCCCACCTCAGCCTCCCGAATAGTTGGGACTACAGGTGCACACCACGATGTCAGGCTAATTTTTGGTTTGGTTTTTTTGTAGACAGGGTTTTGCCATGTTGCAGGCTGGTCTCCACCTCCTGGGCTCAAGCAATCCACCTCCCCTGGCTTCCCACAGAGCTGAGATTACGAGCATGAGCCACCATGCCCAGCCTATAAAAAATTATTTGAAAAAGCCAAAAGATTAACCGAACTGGAATATTTACAAATATTTAATTAACCCAAAAGAAGTTAGGAAAGAATATATAGAAGATCAAAAGACAGACGAAGGCCAGGCATGGTGGCTCATGCCTGTAATCCCAACACTTTGGGAGGCCAAGGTGCGTAGATTGCTTGAGCTCAGGAGTTCAAGACCAGCCTGTGCAAAATGGCAAAACCCTATCTCTACAAAAAATATAAAAATTAGCCAGGTATGGTGCCATGCACCTGTAGTCCCAGCTACTCAGGGGGCTGAAGTGAGGACTGGTTGGGCCTGGGAGGCAGAGGTTGCAGTGAGCCAAGATTGCACCATTGCACTACAGTCTGGGTGACAGAGCAAGACCCTGTCTTAAAAAAAAATAAACAAACAAATAGAAAATAAGTAGAAAAATGGCAGACCTAAATCCAACCTTAGTAATGATTAGTTACAATGTAACTGGACAAATACTCTACTTAAGACAGAGACTGCCAGACCTGAGAGGAAAGCAAGACCCACAATATGGCATCCACAGAGACACAATTTAAACACAAAGACACAAACAAACTATGAGAAAAAATATGCTATGCAGACACTAATCATAAAAAGATGGTATCCAGACACTAATCATAAAAAGCTTCAATGGAGATGTTAACACTAGATGAAAGAGGCTTCAAAACAAAATATATCACCAGAAATAAACAGGGTACTTTCATAAAAGTAAAAGAATCAGAGAGGATGATATTAAAATTATAAATTGTGCCTCAAAGTGCACACAAAGTACACACACACACAAAACCTCAAAGTACGTGAATCAAAAACAACAGAACGAAAGCAGGAAGTTGACAATCCACAATTATAGCTGGTGAATTAATACTGCTCTCTCAGTAACTGACGGAACAACCAAATAAAAAAATAGGGAAAATACAGATCTAAATGACAAAATCCTGACCCAAATGGTATTTATGAAGCACACAGTTGAGCACTACCAAGACAGACTGTATGTCCATCTATTGAGAAAAGGTTCAAGCCTGAAATAGTATGCAAAGTATGTTGTCTCAACACTTGAAATTAAATTAGAAACCAACAACAAATAGATATCCAGAAAAGCCTCAAATGTCTGAAAACCAAGTAATAAACTTTGAAACACCCTGTGAGTCAAAAAAAGTATTCACAAGGGGAACTGGAATGTATTTGGAACAAACTTGTTATAAAAATCACATTTCTGGTAGACTAAAGGTGACAACTTCTTTCCTGCTCCTCTCTCTGTGAGAACCAATTCCCCTGAACCTTGCCCAGACTACTGACTTATTTGGCCAACAGAAGGTGACAAAGGTGGTATTTGGGGACTTCAGAAGCCAGGCTGAGAGAACGGAACACTTATCCAGGAGAAAGCCAGTCACCAGGCAGGAAATCCCACTTCCCTGAGACCCCCATGATGGAAACCATACGGCCAGTCCACGACTAGCTACACTCATTGACAGCCCCCACTGAGCCTCCAGCAACACCCACTCCCAACAACTAGTGAGCCACCCTGCACACCACACCGCTGTGCTTTCAAACAATCCAGCTCGGCTGCTGCCCTGCTGCAACTATGTGTGAGATGAGCTGGCCAACAAGACTCTCTAAGCCAAAAAACAAGTAATAATGAGTTGTTTTAAGCTGCCAAGTTTTGGGGATGGTTTCTTCAGAATAGATAACTGGAACAGAATATGGCAGCTGGAAATGAGCCGCTGTGGTAATCAGAAGCTACAACATGTGCCACAACTGTGAGGCTGAGCTGTAACTGGGCCTCAAGGAGACCATTCATGCAAGCTGGAAGGGCATCAAGACTCTTGGTGAGGGCCTGAAGGACAGTGAGAAAATGTCATTGGAAACTGGAGAAAAGGCCTGGGAGTTACGTGCTGAGGGACTGTGGGAAAACTACAGCCACAATACGGAAACTGAAAGGGCACTGCACCATCTCAGGGATCTGCCTAAGGAGACATCTGAGAAGAATGTGGAAAGTGCTACCAGCCTCCCCTAACTGTCACTGAATAAATATGACAGGAGAGGGACATGATCTAAAGAAGGAGGTTCAGTTTTCAGACAGAATTTAGAGAAAATATAAAGAAATAATTTATTGTCTCAAAAGGCCAAAGTAAAAAAAAAAAGGAAAGAAAACAAAAGGAAAAAAAATGAAAAAGAAGCCACTCTATTGACCATAAGAAAAAGGCAGAGAAAGTTGGTCAACGGCAACCCAGGCACTGAAGGAAAAAGAACATGGAGAATGACAAGAGCCCAGAGGGAGGAGTAAAAAGGCACAAACGCCATTCTCAGGGACCAGGACTGAGCGTCATTCTCAGGGACCAGGACTGGGCACTAATCAGAGACCTGCAACAGGTGCCCCATGGGAATGACCAACCGTTAGACAGGGCCTGCAGGGCAGCACCTACCTCCTGCCTTCCACCAACCCCATCTAAAGAGAAATGCTGACTGTTTTCACACCAGTCCCCTCACTGCGGCTGAGTGTGTGGGTGCAGATGACAGGCCACCACAACCTGATTCAGTCCTCACTGTGGCTGAGTGTGTCGGGGGGCAGATGACAGGCCACCACAACCTGATTCAGTCCTCACTGTGGCTGAGTGTGGGGGGGGGGGGTAGATGACAGCCCACCACAACCTGATTCAGTCCTCACTGAGGCTGAGTGTGTCGGGGGGCAGATGACAGGCCACCACAACCTCATTCAGTTCTCACTGTGGTTGAGTGTGTGCGGGGGCAGATGACAGGCCACCACAACCTCATTCAGTCCTCACTGCGGCTGAGTGTGTGGGGGGGTAGATGACAGACCACCACAACCTCATTCAGTCCTCACTGCGGCTGAGTGTGGGAGGGGGGTAGATGACAGCCCACCACAACCTGATTCAGTCCTCACTGCAGCTGAGTGTGTCGGGGGGCAGATGACAGGCCACCACACCCTCATTCAGTCCTCACTGCGGCTGAGTGTGTGGGGGGTAGATGACAGGCCACCACAACCTGATTCAGTCCTCACTGTGGCTGAGTGTGTGGGGGGACAGATGACAGGCCACCACAACCTCATTAAGTTCTGTCACTGAGTGTGTGGGGGGACAGATGACAGGCCACCACAACCTGATTCAGTCCTCACTGTGGCTGAGTGTGTGGGTGAAGATGACAGGCCACCACAATCACAACCTGATTCAGGATTCAGATGGGCTCCAGCCAGTGCCATAAGGAAAACCATTCTGGGGCTCTTGAGAGGGGCAAAGCATAATTTGCATGTGGGAGAAATGTTAATAGTTTGTGGCCAGAGGACAAGCTGTGGTTTATTAGACTGCTGCAGGTTCCTACTATGCTTCTCATCAAAAGGGGGAATCTAATCACCTTCCCCCCTTGAATCGTGGCTGGTCTCAGTGATGAGTATGACTGGACAGTGTGACAGGAGAAATGCTCTGGGACTTCTGAGGGGCGATCATGAGAGGCCTTACAGCTTCTGCCTGGGCCTCTTGGACACACACCCTGGGAGAAGCCAGACAAACCTGACTACCTGACGATGCCAGACTGGGAGGAAGTCTGTGCTGGCCACAAAGAGAGGGCTGGGTGCCTACTCCACGTCCCCAGCCACTAGAGTCCTTCTGGGTGCCTGCTCCACGTCCCCAGCCACTAGAGTCCTTCCAGATGAGACCAGAGACATCATGAAGCAGCCAACCCACACCACCCTGTCCAGTGTCTTGACCCAGAAAATTGTGATATGTAAAAGGATAAATTCCTGGTTTAAGCCAGCAAGGTTACTGGTATGTTGTTACATCACAGATAATTAAAACGTTGAAAAACTCATGAGAGATCACAAGTAGAACCTTGATCTGAAACATGGCATGTGGAGATTTATATTGAGTATTAGGTTAAAAATGCAAGAATGGAGCATAGTTAATATTTTACGTTAAAGCTAAAACTACAATTGCCTACTTAAAATTTTCAGTTAATTAGGTTGTCACTTTTTGTTCTTAACCAAGAAATCAACTAGTTTTAGTCCATAAACACTTAGAACTGATGCACACATCCGTTTTTCCTTACTCATTTTAAGCGGCTATCTGAAATAGGAAGTGTAATATAACCTTTAAAGAATCTGAAAACATGACAGAAATGTTTAAACTATAAACATATATTGTATATGTTAGCATATTGTATACATTGCATATTAACATAAGCTAGAATCATTGACATAAATTTATATAAACAAGAGGTAGAAAATATGACAATGTGCTTCTTGGTTTTTGTCTTTGCATATTTCTTTATTGGCCCTTGTCAAACGTGTCCCACTAACTCCTGAATGCTTTCTCTCTCCCCATGGATTCCTAAGGATGTCATCACAGTGCTGGCCAGATGCACAGGTCACAGGGGACTGAACCTCACCACCCCACAAACACCCCCTTCAGGTTTTGCCAAGAATGACACTGTAAATGTAACAAAGCTTCTGTGCTTGTTAGTGAACACCAACTCAGCTCTTCTCCTGTATTCAGAAATCAGGATGAAATGAAAACAAGAAGCAGGCCGGGCACGGTGGCTCACGCCTGCAATCCCAGCACTTTGGGAGGCCGAGGCGGGCAGATCACCTGAGGTCGGGAGTTCGAGACCACCCTGATCAAAACAGAGAAACCCCATCTCTACTAAAAATACAAAATTAGCTGGGCGTGGTGGCACATGCCTGTAATACCAGCTACTCAGGAGACTGAGGCAGGAGAATTGCTTGAACCTGGGAGGTGGAGGCTGCGGTGAGCCAAGATTGCACCACTGCACTCCAGCATGGGCAACAAGAGCGAAACTCTGTCTCAAAAGAAAAAAAAATTGAAAATAAAAGAACAACCAAACAAAAGTAACAGGGCTTGACACCAGATGAGCCTGAATCTAAGCAAGAAAAGCCCAGAAGAAATCCCATTTTGGGTCACTGGCTGCATGGTAGTAATACCATACACATAAGGGAAGAGAGGACGATGTGGCTTTCACTTTGAATTTTTTGAGCTTAAGGTAACTTTTAGATAGCAACAAAGAAGCATTCAACAGAGAGTTAAACCTATGATGGAAAGACTAAAGAGGTCTAAGCTGTAGAGAAACAGGACTGCAAACCACAAAGGGCTGAATCAGTCAAGGAGAACTGCAGGGCGGGATGAACAGGGACCAACAGAACATTTGGATAAGCTGTTGAGAAGAAAGGAGAATTCAGAGAAAAAGAACTGTCAGTGAGGTCATAATAGGAACTGTCACAGTGAACTAAATATGGCCTGGGAAGGACTCTGTAATTCTAGATTTGAGTCCCTGTGGACAAACTGCAACCTAACTTAATAGGTAGAAAGACTGAAAACCTAACTTAAGAGTATGTGCCTGTAACAACAGCTGAGTCCTGGCCAATCCCAACAGCCAAACTTCTGCCACTCACACACTGCTGAGTGTTCAGCTGTGTTCAAATAAGGCAAATGCTAAGCACTGTAACCAGTCCAGTTGTTTCTGGACCTCACTGCTGAGAACTGTAATGGACCCAGTTGCTTCTGGACCTCACTCCTCACTTCAGATTTCTGTACATCACATTCCCTTTATTGTCTATAAATCTTCCACCATGTAGCTGTGCTGGAGTCTCACTGAATCTGCTGTGATTCTGGGGGCTGCCTGACTCCTGAATCATTCATTGCTCAATTAAGCTCCTTTAAATTTAATTCAGCTGAAGATTTTCTTTTAATAGTTGGTGTCAGAAGTGGGATCTGCCAGAGCAGGACTGCTAGGGCCTCCGGAGCGATAGTGTGGTGAGCAGGGTTGCTAGGGCTTCTAATGACCCCCAGGAGTGCTGAGGTACAAGCAAGGCACCTGCAAGGACCCCTTTGTGATGTCAGCAGGCGCCCAAGTGGAGCAGTCGCTACGGAGACACTGGCTGCAGTGGGGAGGAGTGGCTGGGGCTGTGCGCTCCTCGAAGCTGGTGGGAGCCAGGAACGGGTGGGAGCCCTGCCCCTTCTAAATTGGCAGGCAGGAGCCCCACCCTCCCAGGCACAGCTGCAGCCATCCAGCCATGACTGCAGACCCGGGCATCTCTGCACTCTCAGAGGCCCAGCAAGCCCCCCTGCCCCTGCAGGCTCAGTCATACCTGGTCCTGCCACCTGGTGTCTCTCTGCTCCCAGAGCCCACTCCAAATTTGGATCCAAGTTGAGGCCAAACCCAGGCACAGTCGCAACCCGGCCCGGTGTGTGCAAGCTCAGGGCAGTGCTGACATGCCAGCCCCCTGTCACCTCGCCCCCCTCCAGACTTTGGGCACTGACGAGCACAGGAGGGAGGTTGAGGTGGGGCTAAGGATGGCTCAGCACTGGCCTGCAGGCACTCCTCAGCTCAAACAGCCTGGGCACTGTGGGCACAGCTACCCACCATGGGTCTCCTCTCAGCTGCTGAGAGCTGAACAGACATTGGGATGACCTGACTGCAGAAAGGAGCTACCCCCTGCAGGTCTCCTCTGAGCTGTACTGTTGCTCAATAAAGCACCTCTTCACCTTGTCACCTTCTACTTGCCCACGTACCTCATTCTTCCTGGATGCAGGAGAAGAACTCGGGACCTGCCAACCAGCAGCGCTGAAAGAGGTGTAACATAAACAGGGCTGAAACGTGCCCCTTGCTTGCCAAATTGCAGGCAAGAAGGAGAGAAGAGCTGTGGCCCTTCAGGGAACCCAGACTTAGGAGCTCCCCAAGCCAGGGCTATGACACCTTCTTTGGGGCTCTGCAGTTCCTGCATCTCCAAGCTTCTGGGCACCACTGCATTCCCTGATACCCACAGTGGAAGCTGTCTGCAGTCAGCCTGGTCCAGCTGCAGCCTCACAGGAAGCTGGCACCTGTGCCAGTGCCTGGAGCTGCCCACCCCACCACAGCTGGCATGCTTGGCTGTGTGCAGTGGCCAGATCCCATGCTCGCTTGCTCACACACCCCTCACTGCTCTGTACCCAGCTCGCCCTTGGCAGGCGTGGGATCCAGACAACTAGCATGAGCCGAGTGGACAGAACGAACCCAGTGGGCCTGAGCAAAACACAGGTAAAGGCGGCACCAGCCAGAGGTTTCAGGCAGAAAAGTGACACCCCAGGATTCAGTAACACTTGTGCCCTTTGACCTCTCAGAGCAGCTGGGGATTGTGGTAAATTCTCTCTCGGATTTCAGACCTCCATGGATTTGTGTTTTGAGCTGAGTTTCTTTGAGCAAATTTCTGTTCCAAATAGGCTTTAGAAGTTATAACAGAAACGGGACTGGGTCCAGGATCAGATTTGATCCAGTAGTTAACTGGCTTGAATCCAGTTCCAGTTAGAGGCCTCCTACATCTGATTGGGTCAGAAGGAAAGTGGAGTAAATGATAATATTGGAACGGTTGTAAAATTTGGCTTTTGAAAATTCACAGGGATTTTTGTGTTCTACCCCATTGTTTCATTTTTCTCGCATGCTTAGGTAGGAAAAAAAAAATCATTGGCTAAGTTAATCAAGGGAACCTAGGAGTAAAGCCAATATTTTAGGTAAAAATAGGATCCTTAATTTCTGGAAAACTAAGTTCCTTCTGGCTAATACGTTAGGCCTGGGAAGCAGCAAAGTCTTACAGAAACGGCAAAATCTTACTAAAGATAACTTACAGTGGAACATTCCAAATGAATAATGCCCTGAAGTGCATTTAAAAATGAGGGCTCCCAAATTAGTCTCATCTAGGGATGCCTATTAATATGCAGAAGCTTCTAAAAAGATTTAGAGATGGCACGGCCCATCTGGGAGCAAGTTTGAGTCTTACCAGTTTGATACTGGGTGCCAAGCAAAGTGGCTCATATCTGTTTTGTCACATGTATTTTGCTCTGGACAGAATGAAAAATGTTAATTTGGTTACTCCAAGCAACCCCTTGAACAGCATCTTGCAAAGCTGAGTGGATTCTTCCTGTGGTTCCATGATTTTCCATTGTGATGCAGCTTGGCCCCCAGAGCTATAATGTGGTGAGGAGGGCGACAGAGCAAGACGCTATCTTTAACAAAAAAAAATGGCCAGGCGCAGTGGCTTACACCTGTAATCCCAACACTTGGGGAGGCTGAGGCAGGTGGATCACCTGAGGTCAGGAGTTCAGGGCCAGCCTGACCAACAAGGAAAAACCCCATCTCTACTAAAAACACAAAATTAGCTGGGCATGGTGGTGCATGCCTCTAATCCCAGCTACTCAGGAGGCTGGGGCAGGAGAATCTCTTGAACCCAGGAGGCAGGGGGTTGCAGTGAACCAAGATCACACCATTGCACTCCAGCCTGGGCAACAAGAGGGAAAATCCATCTCAAAAAAAAATAATAATAATAGATTTGTCTATAAGGTTTTATGAAAAATTGGGTGACATTTGGCTTTCTCTCTTTAAAGAAGATTTTCAGGTAATATTAAAAAATAATGAAAAATTTGTTTCCCTTGTAAATAAACTACCAAAAAAAAAAAAAAGGAAAAACAAGAGGCAGATTGTTTGGGAAGGTAAGTCTTCCCTCTATCAATGAGTAAAGATTTTTGCCCTTTAAAAATTTTTTAAGTCATGATTTTAGGTAAATGAATGACTTACGGTGACCTGGAATTCTATTTCATAACATCAAGTGTTTAAACCTTTAATATATTTAATAGGCTTCCCAAAATCAAATTTCAACTTCAAAACTGTCTTCTCTGACCTCTAACTTTGGGATGCTACAGAGGCCCCTGAAACACCCAAAAGAGAGGTAAACAGGACTATTTGACATGTTAAGTCACGTGGGAAGCACTGTCAAAATAAAAAATAATGTTGAACCTTCTTCAGGTTATATTTAGTGTATGTCATCAATCCATTCTAAAATTGTATAGAATTTCTAAAATTCTTGTGGTTTTTTTTTTTTTTTTTTTTTTTTTTCTGAGACAGAGTCTTGCTCTGTCACCCAGGCTGGAGTACAGTGGTGCGATCTCGGCTCACTGCAAGCTCCGCCTCCCGGGTTCACACCATTTTCCTGCCTCAGCCTCCCAAGTAGCTGGGACTACAGGTGCCCACCACCACGCCTGGCTAATTTTTGTATTTTTAGTAGAGACGGGGTTTCGCCGTGTTAGCCAGGATGGTCTTGATCTCCTGACCTCGTGATCCGTCCATCTCGGCCTCCCAAAGTGCTGGGATTACAGGCGTGAGCCACTGCACCTGGCCAGGATTTCTAAAATTCTAATATGTCTATATGCTATCTATCATAATTACCTGTTTTGTTTTGAGACAGAGTTTCGCTCTTGTCACCCAGGCTGGAGTGCAATGGTGTGATTGAGGCTCACTGAAGCCTCCACCTCCTGGGTTCAAGCGATTCTCCTGCCTCAGCCTCACAAGTAGCTGGGATTACAGACACCTGCCACCACACCAGGCTAATTTTTTTTTATTTTTAATAGGGACAGGATTTTACCATGTTGGCCAGGCTGGTCTCAAACTCCTGACCTCAGGTGATCCACCTACCTTGGCCTCCCAAACAGCTGGGATTACAGGCATGAGCCACCACATCCACCCTAATTATGGTTATTAAGTTATTGTAGACCACACAAATAACCAAATTTCCTTGTCAATTGTCTTTAACTATAACTATTTAAAGTCATTTCCACAGTTAATTGCTTAATGGTGATGCAGTTTCTAAAAACTTCACAAGCATGCAAAATTCTAGAATATGGTGTCTCTTAGAAGATTCATGAAAGAATGAAAAGGACCCTGAAAAACACTCGTGAGCACAGGTTTCTAATAACTTGAATATCATGGGTAAATATTCCCCATAAGTTCCCCGATTCCCCAAGAATTGGACTGGTTAAGAATTCCCAAAAGTTATGCTGGGCACAGTGGCTCACGTCTGCAATCCCAGCACTTTGGGAGGCTGAGGCCAGTGGATCACTTCAGGTCAGGAGTTTGAGACCAGCCTGGCCAATGGTGAAACCCCGCCTCTACTAAAAATACAAAAATTAGCCGGGTGTGGTGGTGTGCGCCTGTAATCCCAGCTACTCGGGAGGCTGAGGAGGAGAATCGCTTGAACGCAGGAGGCAGAGGTTGCAGTGAGCCAAGATCGTGCCACTGCACTACAGCCTAGGTAACAGAGTGAGACTCTGTCTCAAAAAAAAAAAAAAAAAAATTCCCAAAAGTTTAATAAAAAGACCAACTGGTTTATAAAACTGCTAACCCAAGTAAAACAAAAATTGAATACCAAGGAAATATTTTGCCAGATTTGCATGCTAAATCACCAATACTGAAATTGTTTAGACATATAATTTAAATAAACTCCATGGTCTAAGTCAAATTACCTATAACTCTTCAGTTACCAGTGCCATGCACCTAATTTGGAGAAACAGCTGGTATTCAAGAGGATGTAAGTCTAATGTTAATTAAGCACGGACTTATGAAGAACCAGGATGGCCGCCTTGTCCTTCTTAAGTCCTTAAAGCTTCTGTTATTAAAAGTTTTGCATTCCATAACTCATCATGGAAAAGAGAAAATGATCCAAATTAAATATATTGGTGTGGTGATTTCTAAATTGCTAAAATAGTTTATAACCAATGTTTGGTTTGTCAAACCTATATTCCTAGGAAAACAATCAAAACTTCAGGTACATTTGGTTACCTGATGGGCCATTTAAACATTTTATAAAGGGATTTCATTCAGTTTTCATTTTCAGTGCATGTTTTCTGATTGTATAAAAGCTCTTCCATGCAAGAGGGTTGATGTTAAAACAGTAGATTATTATGCTGAAGTGTATTTTCACCAGCTAAAGAAAGCCTTTTATGGTTCACTGAGGACAGCGAACCCCTTCACAATCTAGAATCTGATGACTGGATCTTCTGAGAACATCAAAGAAGGACTGCCCTTGCCATCCACATGACAGCAAAACTTTAAAACCATAAACTTTGGGTTCATAGTCTCACAATTCAGAAGGGTCCCTCCACACTCAGAACCGTATACCCATTGGAACCCTTAAGGTAAAGCTAACAAGGACAGTTTCTCCCCCAGAAGAAGATGGCATCCTTAATGTGAACAGCTTTTACCAAGATCACAGTTCGAGGCTTCTCTACTATCATGAGACTCTTAAGTATCTGTGCAGCTGCTAACACTTATGGCATATGGAGAAAACATGGGGTATTATAAAGATTTGGTTGTAGGGAATTAACAAAAAACCGACTTAGTTAAGCAAGTAAACTCTTTATCTAACTCATTCTTTAATCTATTTGATTTTAGGTGGTTTGATTTACAGGGACCCTGAGTAAGGAGCATATGCCAAATTCTTGGTGATATCCCAGTAGTCGTAAGAGTCTCCCTGGTGCACTGTACTTCCTCAAATGTTTTAAGAGTTTGCATGCAGCCATCTCTAAAATGTCAAATGGTATCTCTTCAACTGGAATGACAAGAAATTAAGAAAAAATGTGCAACTATAAGGACACTGTAACCTATGAGTGACATGCTAAACCGGAAACCCAAAACAATGGGAGTGACATGCTAAACCAGAAACCCAAAACAATGGGAGTGACGTGCTAAACCAAAAACCCAAAACAATGGGAGTGACATGCTAAAACCGGAACCCAAAACAATGGCAGTGACGTGCTAAAACCAGAAACCAAAAACAAATGGGAGTGACGTGCTAAAACCAGAAACAAAAAACAATGGGAGTGATGTGCTAAAACCGGAACCCAAAACAATGGGAGTGACCTACTAAACCAGAAACCCAAAACAATGGGAGTGATGTGCTAAAACTGGAACCCAAAACAATGGGAGTGATGTGCTAAAACTGGAACCCAAAACAATGGGAGTGATGGGCTAAAACCTGAACCCAAAACAATGGGAGTAATCTGCTAAACTAGAAACCCAAAACAATGGGAGTGATTTGCTAAAACCGGAACCCAAAAAAATGGGAGTGATATGCTAAAACCGGAACCCAAAACAATGGGAGTGACTTGCAAAAACCAGAACCCAAAATAATGGGAGTGACGTGCTAAACCAGAAACCCAAAACAATGGGAGTGACGTGCTAAAACCGGAACCCAAAACAATGGGAGTGACATGCTAAAACCGGAACCCAAAACAATGGGAGTGTCATGCTAAACCAGAAACCCAAAACAATGGGAGTGATGTGCTAAAACTGGAACCCAAAACAATGGGAGTGACGTGTTAAAACGGAACCCAAAACAATGCGAGTGACATGCTAAAACTGGAAACCAAAACAATGGGAGTGACGTGCTAAAACCGGAAACCAAAAAAAATGGGAGTGACTTGCTAAAACCGGAAACCAAAAACAATGGGAGTGATGTGCTAAAACCAGAACCCAAAACAATGGGAGTGTCCTGCTAAACCAGATACCCAAAACAATGGGAGTGACGTGCTAAAACCGGAACCCAAAACAATGTGACTGATGTGCAAAAACCAGAACCCAAAACAATGGGAGTGACCTGCTAAACTAGAAACCCAAAACAATGGGAGTGACGTGCTAAAACTGGAACCCAAAACAATGGAGCTGACGTGCTAAAACCGGAACCCAAAACAATGGGAGTGACATGCTAAAACTGGAACCCAAAACAATGGGAGTGATCTGCTAAAACCGGAACCCAAAACAATGGGAGTGACGTGCTAAACCAGAAACCCAAAACAATGGGAGTGATCTGCTAAAACCGGAACCCAAAACAATGGGAGTGATGTGCTAAAACCGGAACCCAAAACAATGGGAGTGATGTGCTAGACCAGAAACCCAAAACAGTGGGAGTGACATGCTAAAACCGGAACGCAAAACAATGGCAGTGACGTGCTAAACCAGAAACCCAAAACAGTGGGAGTGACATGCTAAAACCGGAAAACAAAACAATGGGAGTGACCTGCCAAAACCAGAAACCAAAAACAATGGGAGTGACTTGCTAAAACCAGAACCCAAAACAATGGGAGTGACGTGCTAAACCAAAAACCCAAAACAATGGGAGTGACGTGCTAAAACCGGAACCCAAAACAATGTGAGTGATGTGCAAAACCCGTAAACCAAAACAATGGGAGTGTCATGCTAAACCAGAAACCCAAAACAATGGGAGTGATATGCTAAAACCGGAACCCAAAATAATGGGAGTGAGGTGCTAAAACCGGAACCCAAAACAATGGGAGTGATGCGCAAAAACCGGAACCCAAAACAATGGGAGTGCTGTGCTAAAACCGGAACCCAAAACAATGGGAGTGAGGTGCTAAAACCGGAACCCAAAACAATGGGAGTGCTGTGCTAAAACCGGAACCCAAAACAATGGGAGTGAGGTGCTAAAACCGGAACCCAAAACAATGGGAGTGATGCGCAAAAACCGGAACCCAAAACAATGGGAGTGACCTGCTAAACTAGGAACCCAAAACAATGGGATTGACGTGCTAAAACCAGAACACAAAACAATGGGAGTGACGTGCGAAAACCGGAACCCAAAACAATGGGAGTGATGTGCTAAAACTGGAACCCAAAACAATGGGAGTGATCTGCTAAAACCAGAAACCCAAAATAATGGGAGTGATGTGCTAAAACCGGAACCCAAAACAATGGGAGTGATCTGCTAAAACCAGAAACCTAAAACAATGGGAGTGACGTGCTAAAACTGGAACCCAAAACAATGGGAGTGATGTGCTAAACCAGAAACCCAAAACAATGGGAGTGATGTGCTAAAACCGGAACCCAAAACAATGGGAGTGATGTGCTAAAACCGGAACCCAAAACAAAGGGAGTGATGTGCTAAACTAGAAACCCAAAACAATGGGAGTGACGTGCAAAAACCAGAACCCAAAACAATGGGAGTGTCCTGCTAAACCAGAAACCCAAAACAACGGGAGTGACGTGCTAAAACCGCAACCCAAAACACTGGGAGAGATGTGCTAAACAGGAACCCAAAACAATGGGAGTGACGTGCTAAAACCAGAACCCAAAACAATGGGAGAGTCGTGCTAAACCAGGATCCAAAGCAATGGGAGTGACGTGCTAAAACCGGAACCCAAAACCATGGGAGTGTCGTGCTAAACCAGAAACCCAAAACAATGGGAGTGATGTGCTAAAACCGGAACCCAAAACCATGGGAGTGTCGTGCTAAACCAGAAACCCAAAACAATGGGAGTGATGTGCTAAAACCGGAACCCAAAACAATGGGAGTGTCCTGCTAAACCAGAAACCCAAAACAACGGGAGTGATGTGCTAAAACTGGAACCCAAAACAATGGGAGAGATGTGCTAAACAGGAACCCAAAACAATGGGAGTGACTTGCTAAAACCAGAACCCAAAACAATGGGAGAGACGTGCTAAACCAGAACCCAAAGCAATGGGAGTGACGTGCTAAGCCAGAAACCCAAAACAATGGGAGTGACGTGCTAAGCCAGAAACCCAAAACAATGGGAGTGACGTGCTAAAACTGGAACCCAAAACAATGGAGCTGACGTGCTAAAACTGGAACCCAAAACAATGGGAGTGACGTGCTAAAACCGGAACCCAAAACAATGGGAGTGACGTGCTAAACCCAGAAACCCAAAAAATGGGAGTCACGTGCTAAAACTGGAACCCAAAACAATGGGAGTGATGTGCTAAACCGGAAACCTAAAACAATGGTAACTAACAGTAGTGCTAAGGCCCTACATTTTGGTCACACTCTCAACTAAGTGAGAACTTGACTAAAAAGGAGGAATTATTTTTTTTCTGAGATAGAGTCTTGCTCTGTCCCCCAGAGTGGAGTGCAGTGGCAAGATCTTGGCTCATTGCAAGTTCCGCCTCCCGGGTTCAGGCCATTCTGCCTCAGCCTCCCAAGTAGCTGGGACTACAGGTGCCCACCACCACGCTCGGCTAATTTTTGTATTTTTAGTAGAGACGGGGTTTCACCGTATTAGCCAGGATGGTCTCAATCTCCTGACCTTGTGATCCACCCACCTCGGCCTCCCAAAGTGCTGGGATTACAGGTGTGAGCCACCACGCCCAGCCAAAAGGAGGAATTTTTTAAGCAAAATTATGCGAGGCCATTGTTTTAAACTAAGCTCATGCAATAGGTCCCAACAGACCAAACCAAACCAAAATGGAGTTACTCATGCTAAATGTAACATAATCAAACTAAGACTTTAAGGAAACACATAAATCCTAGAACAAACCAGGTTTTGTTTTTCTCCTGTAAACAGGACGTTCCAGCATAAGAAGGTACCTTCTACTCAAGTCCTTGGTCCACCTTTTCAAAACTCACTGGTCTATTTCCCAGTGGGTTTCTAAAGCAAGTAAGTACATTTGCAATGGTAATAGTGACACCAGTGACTGAAGTTTTGGCCAATCTCTCAAAATTGAGAAAATAACCAAAGGGAAGGAATTGTTAAAGTGAACTAAGTATGGCCTGAGAAGGACTCCATAATTCTATATATGAGTCCTTGTGGATGAACTGCAACCTACCTTAATAGGTAGACAAGAATGAAAACCTAACTTGAGAGTATGCACCTGGAACAACAGCTGCGTCTTGGCCAATCCCAGTGGCCAAACTTCAACCACTCAGGCACTGCCAAGTGTTCAAACTGTGTTCAAACAAGGCAAATGCTGAGTTGTTTCTGTACCTCACTTCTGATTTCGGTATGCCACTTCCCTTTTGTCTATAAATCTTCTTCCACCAAATGACTGTGCTGGAGTCTCTGTGAATCTGCTGTGTTTCTGGGGACTCTCCGATTCATGAATCGTTTATTGCTCAACTAAACTCCTTTAAAGTTTTTCTTTTAACAGAACTAACACAGAAGAATTTCCAGATCATGAACAGACATTTTGTAATACCCAAAGTTGTGTTAACATGAATAGACTCGTCCTTAGATACCTAACCTTGTTTTTAATATGAATAGACTCTCCCTTAGCTGAGAAAACCGGACAAACTCCATTTGGCTCCTTCATTTATAAGACATCAAGGGCTCCTTACCCACTCCCTTTCCTCAAGGACTTTAACTTGTGCAAGCTGACTTTCAACATATCAAAGACTGCAATTAACTGATAAAGCGCTGAGGCAAGTGATGTCTGCAGTTCCCAGCAATTTACTCAGAGATAGTATCATAAAGCCCGCACATTTGTCCGGCAGCTAACGCCCAGAGCCCCCTCACCTATCACTTTGTGGTGAATTTAAAGCCCCTGCACCTGGAACAGTTTGTTTTCCTGTAACCATCTGTCGTTTTAACTTTTTTGTCTGTTTTTTCTTCTGTAAGGTTGCTGCAGCTAGAATCCCCCCTCCCCTCTCTAAACCAAAGTATAAAAGAAAAGCTAGCCCCTTATCCGGGGCCGAGAGAATTTCGTGCGTTAGCCATCTCTCAGTCGCTGGCTAATAAAGGACTCCTGAACTCGTCTCAAAGTGTGGCGTTTCTCTCTAACTCGCTCGGATACGACAGTTTCAACTATGGTAGAAGACTCGAGTAAGGCAATCACAGTCCCCCTAAATTTGACTATTATTTAGGTTAATGGTGAGTTTAGAAGAAATAAGTTAGGACTACACAGAGTGGGCTAAAGTGCAAATAAACACTGGAAGTATTTCCCAGAAAATATAACTTTGAACAGGCTGCTGCACACCCTGCATGTAGAGATAAACTAAGATAAAGGTGTGGAGAGTTATTTAAGGACCTGTGGTTAACTCAGTTCTCAAGATGTTCCAGGTTTCATCCATGAATCAAGGAGCACCTCCCAAAAGCTGTTTGGGACCACACTCTTTGAGCAAGGAGCATACCTTACAATGGAAGCTGTGCTTTGGCAGCAGATGCCCATTTCCACTGCACAACAGGCCGTGCTTTAGTGGAAGATGACTGTTTCCACTGCACAACACTACAAGTGTTTACTGCCAGGCTGGTGTGAAATATGTTCCACCACAGCAAGGAGCATACCTTATGATGGAAGCTGTGCTTTAGCGGCAGATGACCATTTCCACTGCACAACACACTGTGCTTTAGCGGCAGATGACCATTTCCACTACACAACACACTATGCTTTAGCAGCAGATGACCATTTCCACTGCACAACATGCCGTGCTTTAGCGGACGATGACCGTTTCCACTGCACAACACACCGTGCTTTAGCGGCAGATGACCATTTCCACTGCACAACACGCCGTGCTTTAGCGGATGACGACCGTTTCCACTGCACAACATGCCGTGCTTTAGCAGAAGATGACCGTTTCCACTGCACAACACTACAAGTATTTACTGCCAGGCTGGTGTGAAATATGTTCCAGCACATAACCTATGTCACCACCGAAGGTGGTGGTTCAGACTTGGTGCACACAAGCTTTCCTGTCCCACAAGAACACAGCATGCTCTCTTCGCGGGTTCCATTCCAATCACGTAACAACCATGACTGACTTTTTTGTCACTGCATCAGAAAGATCAGAGGAAAATTTGCACTCAACTTAGACAACTCTAAGCTCTTACAACCTGTCTATATCTACAGGTCAGCTTTATCTTATTTATGTATATTTCCTTCAACCTGAGTTTTACTTATTTCCACTTTTCTTTTTTAATTCACAGACACCCATAAACTCAGAAAATACAGTGTAAAACAAAGTGAAGAACAAATAAACAACTCACCAGAGATTTATTCTTTTCTTGTAGCTCTTGGAAACAGCCAGAGAACACTGGAAACATAGCTGAGAGAGAAGGCAAATGACGTGAATTAAGGAGAGAACTGGTGTGGTGTGGTCCCAGATTCTTCTGCCCAACACTCTAGACACATTACCTGGAAAAGCCCTCCTCCCTCCTGAAAAAGAAAAACTTCCCCATGGGAGAAGAGTCCTTCAAGCCTCATTAGGGGCAGCAAAGACTCAAGATAAGATACATCTACAAGTACATTAATTGGTAGACATTAGATGCACAATTTATTTTGAATAAAAATATGTATTACCTACTAATTTAGCAACAATATTACCTAAAGATACAATCTAATAATTTAATACAAAGAAACATTATAAGTTCACTAAAATAAATGTTATAGAAATATACTGGGCTGTATTAACTATTTTCCTATTAATATGTGGATTCCACAAATAACTTCATATGAGTGTTCCCATGACAGTACATCTTGCTTTTCTATACCTGAACATCATGGAAAGTGCATCTTGCAACCCAGCAATTTTGGCCTACAATTACTTTTTTTTAAATGTACATAATATGTATTTCCTGCAGTACACCATTCTACTCATGTTTCCCAATAACACCTTTCCCTGTATCCAAGCCCTCATATTATGCTCTGACAATAAATTGGGCTTTTCCATCTGACTTGTCCAGTGAATGGACAATGGAAAATGTGATGCAAATATCCATTGGTTCTTGCCTTTTTGGACACAGTCATATTGTGAGGAGGTCTGGAGCTACCCTGGTGGAGACACAGGGCCTAGCCAAGAGTCACCACAAACCGCCAGATTGTGAAGGAAACTATCTTAAACCAACCAGGCTCAGTCAACCCACCATGTGACCAAGGCCTCTTTTGTGATCCAGGCAACATAAATATATCAACTACCCAGCTGAACCCACCACACCAAAATGCAGATCCACAGAACTTCAAACAAATAAAATGGTGGTTGTTTTTTATAAGCCAGTAAGGTTTAATTAGTTCCTTAAACAGCAAGTATTAACTGTTACACCTAAGTGAACAGAATTCAATATGTTTTTAACAAAATTACGTAGGGGGAGAAAGTCTTAAATTACAAATCAAATACAATCGATAGAACTTCACAATCTAATGCTAAAGCTAAATTTGGTGATGGACTAGGTTTAATATATCTCAAACGCTGGAAACAACGAGGAAAGGTTGAAGGAATGGGACTGTGTTTGGAGAGTATTTTAATCTTCTCAGGTATGACAGGTCACTCCTGTACCCCAGACCACACTTTCAGGCCCCTTCAAATAAGGAATATTTCCTAGGTCCTTGCCTGTTCTTCTCAGCCGAATTCACCTCAACCTTCTGAAAGTTCGTCCAAACCTACCACTGTCACCTAGTCTTTGCAAATCTTGTGCATTCTAGGGAGTAGAATTAATATTTCCCGAGCGAGGAAAACTGGGATCTTCACCTGTGACCTTTTATCCTCCTCTGAAGCACCAGTGGGAGGTTAGACCAGAGGGCTGTTCTTTCAAGTGCGCTTCTTATTCATAGGGAACCCTCCCTTTCAAACCTTATAACACACGGTTAAGACTGAAGTACCCTTAAGGCTGAAGACCATCATCCAGTACCCCATCTCCCTCGCGGCATCAGTGAGTTCTTCCCTGGAAACTAGGTCTCGTATAAACTTCTGTAAACGCAACCCAGGAGGACTAGGCAGGTCACACAGTGAAGGAGGGAACCAGAAACTTCACTTGCTAAAGAGACACCGGGAAACCCAACTAATACAAACGCCCAGTTTAAGACTCGAGGCGCACGCGTTTCGCACTACTCCTCTGGGAATGGGGAACGTCTCCCGAGAACTGTGTGTTCGCACTGGGACAGATGGGCAAACTGAGCGTCATGCGGGTTGGTAACCGGCTCCCTCAGCGGCAGGACAGGAGCGCGGCCTGCAGACTCCGGGCCCAGGGCCACCGGCCTCGCCTACCCGCTCCTGCGCCTCTAGAACCCGCTTCACTGCCGGGACCCCACGCCTGTCCTCCCAGCCCCCGCCAGGGTCCGCGGCCTGCACCTGCACTTCAGGCCCTGCCCGCCCGCGATGCGCCCACGCGTCTGCTCCCACAACTGGGGAACACTGGTCCGGCCCCCCGGGATCCCCCGGGCCCACGGGTTCCTCTTCGCCCTCGCACCGACCCGCAGGGACATAGAACCAAGCCCCAGGCTGGCCCAGCTACAAGACCGCCTCTGGGTGCCGCACTTCCGGAGGAAAATGGCGGAGTGGGCGGGGCGGCGCATGCGCAGAGAGAAAAGCTGGTTCCCAAGGTCCTTGATGGTAACATCATTGGAAGGTGACACTACATTTCCCATGAGGCTCTGCGGTCCCCGGTTAGGAACCCAAGCCGGACATTCTGTTTTGCCCAGCAGTGAGTCCAGTTACCCAGAGACCCGGACTTAATGGATCAGGACTGGTCCCTACCCAGGTGACACAGATGTGGCATTCTGGTTCTTTATTAAATCCTGGTTTCACAGCCTGGCACATTGTGAAAATAATGGAGAAATTTCAATAGAGGCCAATTGGTCTATGCTATTAATGAGTAACTTTTTTTTTTTTTTTTTTTTTGAGACGGAGTCTCACTCTGTCACCCAGGCTGGAGAGCAATGGTGCGATCTCGGCTCACTGCAACCTCCGCTTCCCGGGTTCAAGCGATTCTCCTGCCTCAGCCTCCTGAGTAGCTGGGATTACAGGTGCGCGCCACCACACTCACCTAATTTTTGTATTTTTAGTAGAGACGGGGTTTCACCATGTTGGTCAGGCTGGTCTCGAACTCTTGACCTCGTGATCCGCCCTCCTCGGCCTCCCAAAGTGCTGGGATTACAGGCGTGAGCCACTGCGCCCAGCCCTCAAGTCTATTTTTTATAAATGCATTCGAAAGCATGAAAAAAATCATGTCTCTATTTTACTTTAAAATTTTAAAAACACAACTAATGAATATGGTAATTCTCTTCCAATCCGTTATCTTTTCTCTCACTAAACTAATTTATAAGCCTTCAATTTACACAGTTACAAAAAATGCTCTAGTGCATATACTGGGATAAAATAACAGGGTCATAAGACAGGTGCACTCCATAATCTTTGTGACAACTTACACTTCCAGTGTCTGATAAATATTTGCCCATAAACTCCCACGTTTCATCCATCCACCAATCAATCAAATCTAGCTATCTTTATTTATTTATTGTGAGAAAGACCTGAACTTTGCCTTTCCTTCCCTGATTTCTGCCACAAACTAGGCAAGGATTTCTGCCTAGGGGTTTCTCAGAGCTCCGGCCACCACCGAGGTTCCTAACAGGGAAACGCAAGCTTGAATGCTCAGGGTTGATGTGGGAGTGCGTGTGAAACGGGGTTGGGGTGAAAGGGCAGTGAAGTTTGTAGGTGGGCAGATGAGGGTGTGAAGGGCTTTCAGGTAAGAGGCACGCAGGAGACTGGGAGAGGCAGCGAAAGCACCTCACGCCTCAGATCACCAGAAGACGCTTCCACCAGTGCCGTGACAGTTTGCCAATGCCACGGCAGCACGGGAAGTCCCCACCCCTTGCCATGGAAACAGCTGGAAGTTACTGCCCATTTCTAGCTATTTCTGAATAACCCGCCCCTTAATTAGCATGCCATTAAAAGTGAATTATAAAAATGACTGCAAGCCACCCCCAGGCTGCTACTCTGGGAGCACAACCCACGGAGGGCTCCCTGCCCTGCAGGAGTGGACGCAGGGCTGTAACACCGCCAGTGCCTCCGTAGAGCTGCTTTCTTCCACCACAGGCTTGCTTTTGGATTCCTTCCTGAGCGACGCCAAGAACCTGCCCTTCCTCAGTGTGACTCTTGCCTAAAACCTATCCCTGGTTTTCTCTTTTCCTAAGCATGCCCTGACTTGTTCTTTCATCTCCTCGGATCTTGCAATTGCTCCTCAGTGACTCTATTCTGCAGATCCAGAAAACTCAACCTTAATCTTCCCAGAGCCCTGTTGTCTCCAATATCGGAATCTCTAGCCTTGCTTTCTCAGACGCCTAGATTACAGGCCTCTCTCTTGAACACCTATTGGTATGGTATCTGGGGATCCTTTAAATACACGATGATTGGCAGGGGTTACATAGCGGAAATCAGTGCCTGACAATTTGCCTTCCAGGATATGGACTGTCATTCCCTCTCTTGGTGGGCCTCAGTCTCTTATCCATAAAAGTAGAGATTGTAATACTCATTTGAATTGCAGATACCTCAACCTGAACCCACCTAATATAACGTAAAAGCCAAGACTGCAACCCCTTTCCTCACCACGTGAAGGTGAAGTCCTCAGAGCCAAGGAGAGAAGGCTCAGGGATGATACCTGGGTGTCTCCGACGCTAACCATGTATTGCAGTTTTTAGTGTTCAAGTTTAAGCTTCCCCAGCTTTAATTCTATTGTAACAAGATTTATTTTTGTAATTCCATTTTTGGATTCTTGATTTCTTGGTAAAGAAATACAGTTATTTTTGTATATCAATCTTATATAGTGTTACATTCTTAAATTTGTTCATGAGTCCTAATACTTTTTAGTAAATTTCTTACGATTTTCTAAATGCAAGATCATGTCATCTGTACATAAAGATAACTGTACTTCTTCCTTTCCAATCTAGATGCCGTTTATTTATTTACGTTGCCAAGTTGTCCCAGCTACCACTGTTATCAAGTAAAAGGGTCTCACTGCCCAAAGCACTAGAAGCCGGTACCACGACACTGAGTTTTCGAGAAAAGAAAAAGTTTAAAGTCAAACCAAAACCTATGGGGTACAGGCCGGGCGCAGTGGCTCATGCCTGTAATCCCAGCACTTTGGGAGGCTGAGGCGGGCGGATCGCGAGGTCAGGAGATCGAGACCATCCTGGCTAACAGAGTGAAACCCCGTCTCTACTAAAAATACAAAAAACAAAAATTAACCGTGCGTGATGGCGGGCGCCTTTGGTCCCAGCTACTCAGGAGGCTGAGGCGGGAGAATGGCGTGAACCCGGGAGGCGGAGCTTGCAGTGAGCCGAGATCGCGTCACTGCACTCCAGCCTGGGAAACAGAGCGATACTCCGTCTCAAAAAAAAAAAAAAAAAACCTATGGGATACAGTAAAAACACTACTACAGTACTAAGAGGTAAATTTATAGCAAAAAGCACCTGCATCAAAAAAAGTAGAAAAGCTTCAAATAAACAACCTAATAATGCATCTTAAATAATTGGAAAAGCAAGAGCAAACCAAAACCAAAATTAGTAGAAGGAAACATAGCAAAGATCAGAGCAGAAATAAATGAAATTGAAATTTAAAAATATAAAATATCAATGAAATGAAAAGTTAATATTTTTTAAAAGACCAACAAAATCAACAAACATTTAACCAGACTAAGAAAAAAGAGAGAAGACTCAAATACATAAAACCAGAGATTAAAAAGGAGATACTACAACTGATACTGCGGAAATTCAAAGAATCATTAGAAACTATTATGACTGACTATATTCCAATAAATTGAAAAACCTGGAAGAAATGGCCAGGCACCGTGGCTCATGCCTGTAATCCCACCACTTTGGGAGGCCAAGGAAGGTGATCACCTGAGGTCAGGAGTTCAAGACCAGCCTGGCCAACATGGTGAAACCCCATCTCTACTAAAAATACAAAAATTAGCCAGGCATGGTGTCATGCACCTGTACTCCCAGCTACTCCAGAGGCTGAGGCAGGAAAATCACTTGAACCTGGGAGGCAGAGGTTGCAGTGACCTGAGATTGTACCACGCTCCAGCCTGGGTGACAGAGCAAGACTCCATCTCAAAAAAAAGAAAACAAAAAAACAACCAAACAACAAACCTAGAAGAAATGGATAAATGAAATTGAAGCCATAATAAAACATCTCCTAGTAAAGAAAAGCCTGGATCCAATGGCTTCACTGGCTTCACTGATTAATTTTACCAAACATTGAAGGCAGAATTACTATCAATCCTACTTAAACTATTCCAAAAAACAGAGAAGGCTGTAGTATTTCCAAACTCATCCTATGAAAAAGACC
Organism: Homo sapiens; assembly: GCF_000001405.40. Lineage (NCBI taxonomy): Eukaryota > Metazoa > Chordata > Mammalia > Primates > Hominidae > Homo > Homo sapiens. The sequence continues at coordinate 75,789,380 of NC_000003.12, forward strand.
ATTCATCATGTCTAAGTGGGATTTATCCCGAGGATGCCAACATGGTTCAACATATGCAAATCAATCAATGTGACACATCATATCAACAGAATGAAGGACAAAAACCATATGATAATTTCAATTGATGCTGAAAAGCATTTAATAAAATCCAACATCCCTGTGATAAAAAGAAACCCTCAAAAAAAAACTAGATATAGAAGGAACATACCACAACACAATAAAAACCATATGCAACAGACCCACAGCCAGTATCATCCTGAACAGGGAAAAGCTGAAAGCCTTTCTTCTAAGATCTGGAACAAGACAAGAATGTCCACTTCCAACACACAGTACTGGAAGTCCTAGCTAGAGCAATTCAGACAAGAGAAAAACAATAAAAGGGATCCAAATTGGAAAGAAGTAAAATTATTACTGTTTTCTTGTTTGCAGATGATTTGATCTTATATTTGGAAAAACCTAAGGACTCCACCAAAAAACTATTAGAACTGATCAACAAATTCAGAGTCACAGGATACAAAATCAAACTACAAGAGTCGGTAGCATTTCTAAATGACAAAAATGAACAATCTAAAGAAGAAAATCAAGAATGTAATCCCATTTACAATAGCTACAAATAAAATAAAATATCTGGGAACAAACATAACAGAATAAGTGAAAGATCTCTACAATGAAAACTATAAAACACTGATGCAAAAAAATTAAAGAGGACACCAAAAAAAATGGAAAGATTGTCCATGTTCATTGATTGGAAGAGTAAATATTGTTAAAATACCTATACTTCACAAAGCAATCTACAGATTCAATGCAATCCCTATTGAAATACCAATAACACTCTTTACAGAAATAGAAAAAAAATCCTAAAATTTATATGAAACCATAAAAGACCCAGAATACCGAAAGCCATCCTGAGCAAAAAGAACAAAACTGGAAGAATCACATCACCTGACTTTAAATTATACTACAGAGCAATTGTAAACAAAACAGCATGGTACTGGCATAAAACAGACACATAGACCAATGGAACAGAATAGAGAACCCAGAAATAAATCCATACATTTACAATTAACTCATTTTCAATGAAGGTGCCAAGAATATACATGGGGGAGAGGACAGTCTCTTCAACAAATTGTGCTGGGAAAACTAGATATTCATTGGCAGAATTTTTTTTTTTTTTTTTTTTTTTTTGAGATGGAGTCTAGCTCTGTTGCTCAGGCTGGAGTGCAGTGGCGTGATCTGGGCTCACTGCAAGCTCCACCTCCTGGGTTCACACCATTCTCCTCCTCAGCCTCCCAAGTAGCTGGGAGTACAGGCGCCTGCCACCATGCCTGGCTAAATTTTTTTTTTTTGTATTTTTAGTAGAGACGGAGTTTCACCGTGTTAGCCAGGATGGTCTCAATCTCCTGCCCTCATGATCCGCCCACCTCGGCCTCCCAAAGTCATTGGCAGAATAATTAAACTAGAACCCTCTCTTGCACTATATACAAAAATCAAATCCAAATGGGTTAAAGACTTAAATCAAAGACACGAAACTGCTGAAAGAAAACATTAGGGAAACTCTCCAGGAAATTGGTCTGGGCACAGATTTCTTGAGTAATACTCCAAAAGCTCAGGCAACCAAAGCAAAAATGAACAAGTGGTATCACATCAAGTTCAAAAGTTTCTCCATAGTAAAGAAAACAATGGGCAAAGTGAAAAGACAATCCACAGAATGGAAGAAAATATTTGCAAACTATATATCTGACAAGGGATTAATAACCAGAATATATAAGGAGCTCAAACAACTCATAAGAAAAAAACTAACAATCCAATTATTTAAATGGGCAAAAGATCTGAACAGACATTTCTCAAAAGAAGGCACACAGGTCAGGCACAGTGGCTCACACCTGTAATTCCAGCACTTTGGGGAGCCAAGACAGGTGGACCACTTGAGCCCAGGAGTTCAAGACCAAACTGAACAACATAGCAAATAATTTTAAAAACTACCTGGGCATGGTGATGCATGCCTGTGGTCCCAGCTACTCAGGAGGCTGAGGTGGGAGGATTGCTTGAACCCTGGCAGTCAACACTACATTAAGCCATGATCATACCACTGCACTCCAGCCTGGGTGACAGACTGAGACCCTGTCTCAAAAAATGAGCAAAAACAAAAAAGAAGATATATAAATGTCAAATAGGGATATGAAAAGATGCTCAATATCATTGATCATCAGAGAAATTGAAATCAAAACTACAATAAGATATCATCTTACCCCATTAAAATGGCTTTTATGCAAAAGACAGGCAATAAATGCTTGCAAGAACGTGGGGAAAAGGGAACACTCTTACTCTGTTGGTGGGAATGTAAATTAGTACATTCACTATGGAGAACAATACGGAGGTCCCTCAAAAAATTAAAAATAGAACTATCATATGATCCAGCAATCCCACTGCTGGGTATATACCCAAGAGAGGGAAAATTAGTATATCAAAGAGATATCTGCATTCCCATATTTATTTCAGCATTATTCATAATAGCCAAGATTTGGAAGCAACCTAAGTGTGCATCAACAAATGAAGGGATAAAGAAAATGTGGTGCATATACACAATGGAGTACTCTTCGGCCATGAAAAAGAATAAGATTCTGTCATTTGCAACAACATGGATGGAACTAAAGGATATTATGTTAAGTACAATGAGCCAGGCACAGAAAGACAGACTTTGCACGTTCTCACTCATTTGTGGGAGCTAAAAATTAAAACAATTGAACTCATCAAGATAGAGAGTAGACTGAGAGCTTCCAGAGGCTGGGAAGAGTAGCGGTGTTACGGGATCTTTGGAGTGTTACTTTTCTGGACAGAAACCTCTATGGCTGGTGGCACCTTTGCCTGCGTTTTGCTGGGCCCCACCCACTCAGCCTGGCAGGCTGTGCTCAGCTCATGCTACCAGGTTGGATCCCACGCCTGCCAAGGGAGACTGCATGGAGTGGCAAGGGGTGTGTGAGTGAGCATGGGGTCTGGCCACTGTGCAGTCAGACTTGCTGGCTGCTGCAGTGGGGCAGGTGGCTCCAGGTGCCAACACGGGCACCAGCTCTCTACAAGGCTGTGGCTGGACCACGGGCACCGCAAGCAGCTTCCACAGCTGGCACACTGGGAACACAGTGGCACCCAGAAGCTTGGAGATACCAGGAACCACAGGGCCCTAAAGAGGGAATCACAGCCCTGGCTCGGGGAGCTCCAGGTCTGGGCTCCCCAAAGGGCCACAGCTCTTCTTTCCTTCTCTTTGCCCACAATGTGGCAAGCAAGGGGCATGTCTCAGCCCTGCTTGTGTTACAGCTCTTTCAGCCTCTTCCCTAGATTTGCCATAATTAATTCCCATATCGTCTTATTTTTTTACATGTGTTTCAACTTCAGAAGATGTATGGATCTAAACACAACATGATGTGTTAGCTAGCTTCCATATGAGTTTCTCCCTGTTTCACCACTATGTAGCCTAAAGTTATTCCGTCATCCACGACTATCCTGGCTAAAGAGTCTGAAGATCTTTATTTGGTAGCTACGGCTTCAGCTAGTTCATTTGCTAAGTTACCTAGAGTGGTTGACAGATTTCTAATTATACGTTCATGAGAGTTACTCCCCACCATTGCAAGAGACTTCTGCCAAACATAGGCCAAAATTCATCTCCTTGGTTTGCAGGTACGGTTTGTCTAATCCTGGAAAATAATTTCGATGAACTACTTCAGTGTTCAGAAACATTGGAGTTATAAATAGAAAGAGGAAGAGCCACATAACCTAATAGACAATTACCTCTCATATGCCAGTGGTCAACACATTCATAAGCCCATGGGTGCTTGATCCAGGGACAACACAGGGTCCTTGACGGATTCTGAAATTTAAGGCTTTGGTTTACTGGTAACAGAGACAGGTTAAAGTACATGTCTTCAGTCTTGAGTAGAGTGTAATCAGTCTGATTTCTTTTTTTTTTTTTTTAATGAGACAAACATCAGGTAAAGACCTTGACAAGAAGGAAGAGAAATCCCGAGATTCTATAATCATAATAATCGAATTGTAATTGCTAGTTTAAGTAGTCCTTCAAAAATACATCTCATTCCTGACAGGAAAAAACAAGTTTTTTAAAATATGTTATATCTGGGTTAACTAGGGAACACTTGGAGCCAGGAAATAATTCAGGATTCAGCCCAAATTATAGGCAAATAATAAAAACTCGGAAACAATGATCAGGGCTGGAATCTAATAGCATATGTCATAGTTTTCTTTTGGAACATAAATTTTCTCTCTCTAGTCCATCATTTTATCAAAGACAAATCATAGTAGGACAAATTTGTGTGCAAAATAAGTTTTAGTCTTATCGTACCTGGTCTGATTATTTGCATAAAGTGCAGTAAGAATATTTATTGACCATATAGGCTTCTTAAAATTGGCTTTGTTGGAACTTTTTAATAAGGAATCTTAGACTTTTAAAAGCCTTGAGGCTAGCCAAGTCAAAGATTTGCATCAGACTGTGTCTGTAATACTTTTTTTTAACCTACTTTTTTTTTTATTATACTTTAAGTTCTGGGGTACACGTGCAGAACGTGCAGGTTTGTTACATAGGTATACATGTGCTGTGGTGGTTTGCTGCACCCATCAACCCATCACCTATATTATGTATTTGTCCTAATGCTATCCCTCCCCCCGCCCCCACCCCCCAACATGCCCCAGTGTGTGATGTTCCCCTCCATGTGTCCATGTGTTCTCGTTGTTCAACTCCCACTTATGAGTGAGAACACGTGGTGTTTTGTTTTCTGTTCTTGTGTTAGTTTGCTGAGAATGATGGTTTCCAGCTTCATCCATGTCCCTACAAAGGACATGAACTCATCCTTTTTTATGGCTGCATAGTATTCCATGGTGTATATGTGCCACATTTTCTTTATCCAGTCTATAATTGATGGGCATTTGGGTTGGTTCCAAGTCTTTGTTATTGTGAACAGTCCTGCAATAAACGCAGGTGTGCATGTGTCTTTATGGTAGAATGATTTATAATCCTTTGGGTATATAACCAGTAATGGGATTGCTGGGCCAAATGGTATTTCTAGTTCTAGATCCTTGAGGAATAGCCACACTGTCTTCCACAATGGTTGAACTAAGTTACACTCCCACCAACTGTGTAAAAGCATTCCTATTTCTCCACACCCTCTCCAGTATCTGTTGTTTCCTGACTTTTTAATGATCGCCATTCTAACTGGCATGAGATGGTATCTCATTGCGGTTTTGATTTGCATTTCTCTAATGACTCGTGATGATGAGCTTTTTTTCATGTTTGTTGGTTGCATAATTGTCCTCTTTTAAGAAGTGTCTGTTCACATCCTTTGCCCACTTTTTGATGGGATTGTTTTTTTTTTTTTTTTGTAAATTTAAGTTCTTTGTAGATTCTGGATATTAGCCCTTTGTCAGATGGATAGATTGCAAAAATTTTCTCCCATTTTGTAGGTTGCCATTCACTCTCATAGTTTCTTTTGCTGTCCAGAAGCTCTTTAGTTTGATTAGGTCCCATTTGTCAATTTTGGCTTTTGTTGCCATTGTTTTTGGTGTTTTAGTCATGAAGTCTTTGCCCATGCCTATGTCCTGAATGGTATTGCCTAGGTTTTCCTCTAGGGTTTTTATGGCTTTAGGTCTTAGGTTTAAGTCTTTAATCCATCTTGAGTTAATTTTTATATAAGGTGTAAGGAAGGGATCCAGTTTCAGCTTTCTGCCTAAGGCTAGCCAGTTTTCCCAACACCATTTATTAAATAGGGAATCCTTTCCCCAGTGCTTTTTTTTCTCAGGTTTGTCAAAGATCAGATGGCTGTAGATGTGTGGTGTTATTCCTGAGGGTTCTGTTCTGTTCCTTTGATCTATATATCTGTTTTGGTACTGGTACCATGCTGTTTTGGTTACCGTAGCCTTGTAGTATAGTTTGAAGTCAGGTAGCATGATGCTTCCAGCTTTGTTCTTTTTGCTTAGGATCGTCTTGGCTATTTGGGTTCTTTTTTGATTCCATATGAAATTTAAAGTATATTTTTCCAATTCCATGCAGAAAGTCAATGGTAGTTTAATGGGGATAGTAGTGAATCTATAAATTACTTTGGGTAGTATGGCCATTTTCATGATATTGATTCTTCCTATCTATGAGCATGGAATGTTTTTCCATTTGTTTGTGTCTTCTCTTATTTCTTTGAGGAGTGGTTTGTAGTTCTCCTTGAAGAGGTCCTTCGCATCCTTGTAAGTTGTATTCCTAGGTATTTCATTCTTGTTGTAGCAATGGTGAATGGGAGTTCACTCATAGTTTGGCTCTCTGTTTGTCTGTTATTGGTGTATAGGAAAGCTTTTGATTTTTGCACATTGATTTTGTATCCTGAAACTTTGCTGAAGTTGCTTATCAGCTTAAGGAGATTTTGGGCTGAGACGATGGGGTTTTCTAAATATATTATCATGTCATCTGCAGACAGAGACAATTTGACTTCCTCTTTTCCTAATTGAATACCCTTTATTTCTTTCTCTTGCCTGATTACCCTGGCCAGAACTTCCAACACTATGTTGAATAGGAGTATTGAGAGAGGGCATCCTTGTCTTGTGCTGATTTCCAAAGGGAACGCTTCCAGTTTTTGCACATTCAGTATGTAATTGGCTGTGGGTTTGTCATAAATAGCACTTAATATTTTGAGATACGTCCCATCAATACCAGTTTATTGAGAGTTTTTAACATGAAGGCCTGTTGAATTTTGTCAAAGGCCTTTTCTGCATCTATTGAGATAATCATGTAGTTTTTGTCATTGATTACATCTATGTGATGGATTACATTTATTGATTTGCATGTTGAACCAGCCTTGCATCCCAGGGATGAAGCCAACTTGATCATGATGGACAAGCTTTTTGATGTGCTGCTGGATTCAGTTTTCCAGTATTTTATTCAGGATTTCTGCATTGATGTTCATCAGGGATATTGGCCTAAAATTTTCTTTTTTTGTTGTGTCCCTGCCAGGTTTTGGTATCAAGATGATCCTGGACTCATAAAATGAGTTAGGGACAATTCTCTCTTTTTCTATTGTTTGGAATAGTTTCAGAAGGAATGGTACCAGCTCGTCTTTGTACCTCTGGTAGAATTTGGCTGTGAATCCGTCTGGTCCTGGACTTTTTTTGGTTGGTAGGCTATTAATTAATGCCTCAATTTCAGAACTTGTTATTGGTCTATTCAGGAATTTGACTTCTTCCTGGTTTAGTCTTGGAAGGGTGTATGTGTCCAGGAATTTATCCATTCCTTCTAGATTTTCTAGTTTATTTGCATAGAGGTGTTTCTTTATTAGTCTGCTAGTGGTCTATTTTGTTGATCTTTTCAAAAAACCAGCTCCTGGATTCATTGATGTTTTTTAAGAGTTTTCCTGTCTCTATCTCCTTCAGTTCTGCTCTGATCTTATTTATATCTTGTCTTCTGCTTGCTTTTGAATTTGTTTGCTCTTGCTTCTCTAGTTCTTTTAATTTTGATGTTAAGGTGTCAATTTTAGATCTTTCCTGCTTTCTCTTGTGGGCATTTAGTGCTATAAATTTCCCTCTACACACTGTTTTAAATGTGTCCCAGAGATTCTGGTACGTTGTGTCTTTGTTCTCATTGGTTTCAAAGAACATCTTTATTTCTGCCTTCATTTCGTTATTTACCCAGTAGTCATTCAGGAGCAGGTTGCTCAGTTTCCATGTAGTTGTGAGGTTTTGAGGAGTTTCTTAATCCTGCATTCTAATTTGATTGCATTGTGGTCTGACAGACTGTTTGTTATGATTTCTGTTCTTTTGCATTTCCTGAGGAGTGTTTTCCTTCCAATTATGTGGTCAGTTTTTGAATAAGTGCAATGTGGTGCTGAGAAGAAGGTATATTCTGTTGATTTGGGGTGGAGAGGTCTGTAGATGTCTATTAGGTCCACTTGGTCCAGAGTTGAGTTCAAGTCCTGGATATTCTTGTTAATCTTCTGTCTCAATGATCTAATATTGACAGTGGAGTGTTAAAGTCTCCCAGTATTATTGTGTGGGAGTCTAAGTCTCTTTGCAGGTCTATAAGAACTTGCTTTATGAATCTGAGTGCTCCTGTATTGGGTGATTATATGTCTAGGATTGTTAGCTCTCCTTGTTGCATTGATCTCTTTACCATTATGTAATGCCCTTCTTTTCTCTTTTGATCTTTGTTGGCTTAAAGTCTGTTTTATCAGAAACTAGGATTGCAACCCCTGACTTTTGTTGCTTTCCACTTTCTTGGTAAGTGTTCCTCCATCCCTTTATTTTGAGCCTATGTGTATGAGATAGGTCTCCTGAATACAGGACATTGATGGGTCTTGACTGTTTATCCAATTTGCCAGTCTGTGTCTTTTAATTGGGGGCATTTAGCTCATTTACATTTAAGGTTAATATTGTTATGTGTGAATTTGATCCTGTCATTATGATACTAGCTCATTATTTTGCTCGTTAGTTGATGCAGTTTTTTTCATAGTGTCAATGGTCTTTACAATTTGGTGTGTTTTTGCAGTGGCTGGTACCAGTTGTTCCTTTCTGTGTTTAGTGCTTCCTTCAGGAGCTCTCGTAAGGCAGGCCTGGTGGTGAGAAAATCTTAAAGCATTTGCTTGTCTGTAAAGGATTTTATTTCTCCTTCACTTATGAAGCTTAGTTTGGCTGGATATGAAATTCTGGCTTGAAAATTCTTTTCTTTAGGAATGTTGAATATTGGCCCCCACTCTCTTCTGGCTTGTAGGGTTTCTTCCAAGAGATCCACTGTTAGTCTGATGGGCTTCCCTTTGTGGGTAACTCAACCTTTCTCTCTGGCTGCCCTTAACATTTTTTCCGTCATTTCAACCTTGATGAGTCTGATGATTTTCTGTCTTGGGGTTGTTCTTCTTGAGGAGTATCTTAGTGGTGTTCTCTGTATTTCCTGAATTTGAATGTTGGCCTCTCTTGCTAGGTTGGGGGAATTCTCCTGGATAATATCCTTAAGAGTGTTTTCCAACTTGATTCCATTCTCCCGTCACTTTCAGGTACCCCAATCAAACGTAGATTCAGTCTTTTCACATAGTCCTCTATTTCTTGGAGGCTTTGTTCATTTCTTTTTACTCTTTTTTCTCTAATCTTGTCTTCTTGCTTTATTTCATTGAGTTGATCTTCAATCTCTGATATCCTTTCATCTGCTTGATTGATTCAGCTATTGATACTTGTGTGTGCTTCATGAGGTTCTTGTGCTGGGTTTTTCAGCTCCATCAGGTCATTTTTGTTCTTCTCTAAACTGGTTATTCTAGTTAGCAATTCATCTAACCTTTTTTTCCAGGTTCTTAGCTTCCTTGCATTGGGTTAGAACATGCTCCTTTAGCTCAGAGGAGTTTGTTATTATCCGCCTTCTGAAGCCTACTTCTGTCAATTCGTCAAACTCACGGTCTGTCCAGTTTTGTTCCCTTGCTGGCGGGGAGTTGTGATCCTTTGGAGGAGAAGAGGCATTCTGGCTTTTGGAGTTTTCAGCCTTTTTGCACTGGTTTCTCCCCATTTTTGTGGATTCATCTACCTTTGGCCTTTGATGTTGGTGATGTTGATACTATTCCTTTCTGTTTGTTAGTTTTCCTTCTAACAGTCAGGTCCCTCTGCTGCAGGTCTGCTGAAGTTTGCTGGAGGTCCACTCCAGACCCTGTTTGCCTGGGTATGACCAGTGGAGGTTCGGTTGGAAATGCATGAATCACCCGCCTTCTGCGTTGATCTCACTGGAAGCTGCAGGCCGGAGCTGTTCTTATTCGGACATCTTGCCAGCTGTCCTGTAATACTTTTATGAATGGGTGTAGTCCTCTCTTCTCAAGGTCCCCAAATATCTTGAGGTTCCTGGGCCCGTCAGAAAGTGACATTCTTTACTTCTTACCACAAGGACAGCAACTTTGTAAAGGACCCTTATAGACAAGACACCAAGCCAGTCATTCTAAGGGGCTTTGTATTGGTGCTATAAAGTCAACCTCAATTCCTTAAAGTGGTCTGGTTGTATCTGCCACTCAAGTTAAAGCCTTGATAAAACAAACAGTGTCTCCAATTGAATCCTGTTACCAAAAACAGATTCTTATTGAACTTATGCAAATAATTATATTGCTAAAATTTAAGAATGCTCATGAATGCCTTCTGAATTCTGGAGAAATCAGTTAGAGAGACAGATAAATGGCTCAAATTTTTGTTCACAATGTAGTTTATCTAATGTATTGTAAGTTAAAAATAGCTGAAAAGAAAAAAAGTTTCTTGACTTTGAAAAACAAAACATAAAGGGAATCAACAATGTTTCCAATGAAAGGGCCATGAATAGAATCTTTTCCCTCTTTTATAAGTTCAGTCCCATGTAACTAAATCTTGTTCTGCTGGATTTCAAATAGAAATTCTCATTCAGCTTTTTGTGTTTTGCTTGATTTCAATTAGAAATTCTCATTCAGCTTTTTAGAGTCCTGGAAGATTTTCCTAGTCCAATGGTATGATCCCCAAAGTTACCAGAAACCGTATTTAAGAGAACTTGTCAGAGTCCTTTCCATTAAAAGTAATTTAGATGATAGCTGATTTTAAAGGCTTTTTTTTTCTTTTTTTTTTTCTGAGACATGGTCTGGCTCTATCACTCAGGATGGAGCACAGTGGCATGATCTTGGTTCACCGCAATCTCTCCCACCCAAACTCAAGCCATCCTCCTACCTCAGCCTCCCAAGTAGCTGGGACCATAGGCATGCACCACCATGCTTGGCTAATTTTTGTATTTTTGTAGAGACAGGGTTTTACCATGTTGCCCAGGCTGCTCTCAAACTTCTGAGTTCAAACAATTCACCCACCTTGGCCTTGCAAAGTGCTGGGATTCTTATATGGGTGAGCCACCGTGCCCTGCACCACACCCAGAACCACGCCCTGCACAGTGTCCAGCACCGCGCCCGGCCTGTAAAGGGTTTCAGAGAAGAACTTTAAACAATCACCGTGGATGACAAAAACTTAGAATAGCCTTTGGTTAAAATCCAGTGGAAGTTCTCAACTGGCAAGAAAATTTAGTTATTTCTATTATATGTAGCATTTTAAGATAACAGCCAGAATCATGACTGATGGCAACACATCGGATCCATCAGACTTCCACAAATATTATATAATCTTTAGAATATTTATATTAATAATATATCTATACACATACAACTTTAGAAAAGATTTAACATCATCAAAATTATCACTGATACCATATTAGATTTTTATAATTTATATAACATTTAAAACATTTATATTAATAACATACCTATAAATGTAACCAAAAGAAGATTTAGGCCAGGCACAGTGGCTCATGCCTGTAATCCCAACACTTTGGGAGGCCAAGTTGGACAGATTATCTGAGGTCAGGGGCTTGACACCAGCCTGGCCAACATGGCGAAATATTGTCTCTACTAAAAATACAAAATTAGCCTGGCATGGTGGCATGTGTCTGTAGTCCCAGCTACTTGGGAGGTTGAGGCAGGAGAATCACTTGAACCTTGGGGCAGAGGTTGCAGTGAATCGAGATCATGCCACTGCACTCCAGCCTGGGTGACAAAGCAAGATTCTGTCTCAGAGAAAAAAATATTTTTTATTTTATTATTTTTTTGAGACAGTGTCTCACCCTGTTGCCCAGGCTGGAGTGTAGTGGTGCAATCATGGCTCACTGCAGCCTCAACCTTCCAGGCTCAGGTGATCCTCCACCTTAGTTTCCCAAGTAGCCAGGACTATGGGCACGTGCCACCACACCTACCTAGTTTTTGTGTTTTTAGTAGAGATGGGGTTTTGCCATTTTGCCCAGGCTGGACTTGAACTCCTGGGTTCAAGTGATCCACACACCTTGGCCTCCCAAAGTGCTGGAATTACAGGCATGAGCCGCTGCACACAGCCACATGTCATTTTTAAATAACAGCCATTCATTTAAGTAGCATGACAACCAAAAGACATCAAAAGCAACATAGAAGGTTACATGGATGTGAAAACTGAAAACCCTCAGTTTTCCCAAGTAATTAAAAAAACAATAAAGGCAACACATGGATTATTTTGATAAAACCTAAAATCTTTATTAGAGGCCAGTCATTTAAAGGGTAAAACCTCCTGTGGCATAATTGTGTCTTCTTATGGGAAGCTAATTTAAATCACTTGGAAGTCAAACCCGATGACAAGGAGACTTGAATTTAATTAGACATAGAAAGAGTGTGTCCAGGGCCATGAGTGAGCATAATATTACAGAGGAATGTAAACAGGAAAACCAGAGCATAGAGCAGTGGGGATCCATAGCTCACAGTGATAGCATGGAAGTTTCCTGGTTACATGAAGTAATTAAGACATATTTAAAAGCCAAGAGTACAAAGTTAGACCTGATGAAAAAGCAGAAGGAGTTATCATCCCAGCCAAGCAGAAAAGCCAAGCCTTCTCTCCCTTCTCAAGAAGGAACAGAAGACAATGATGTGATCTGTGACTCATGTGTAACATGAAAGTACAGGAAAAGTTGAACTTCTGATATACAAATCTGAAAAGTCTTTATAGTAACAGATTTCAGGATTAAAAGTCAATATTTATTACCTCTTATTAAGAGCAAATAAATACTTTAAGAAAACCTTGTTGTTTTAACCAAAATTTTTAGTTTTGTATCACTATGTTTTCGATATTACAGCTAATTTAAATAAACTTTATAAACAATCTATTTGATATCAATCAGTTTTGACCTCGAGGTAAGATTTACATAAACTTTTAATAGCCTTGTATAATTTTTTCCATCTTTCCCAACTTTTTATACACATTTAGTTTTATCTATCTTTTTTATTCCTTCAATTTAAAATAATCCTTAAAAATCTCTAAGCGAATTTACTTTCTCTGAAACAAAAACCGGTATACATTTTGCATACAGAATTGTTTCTCTTGTATCTAGTAGTCTTAATAACATACATCTGCCATGATATTAACACTTAGTAACCCTTATTTTAATAAAAAACCTAGGAAGCAAGAAATCTTGAATTGTCATATAGCAGTATCTTACAGATGAGAATGATTTCATAATTTAGAATTACATGTTCCTAAAACATATTTATTTTTTAAGACGGAGTTTCGCTCTTGTTGCCCAGGCTGGAGTGCAATGGCGTGATCTCGGCTCACTGCAATCTCCGCCCCCCGGGTTCAAGCAATTCTCCTGCCTCAGCCTCCCGAGTAGCTGGGTTTACAGGAACCCACCACCAAACCTGGCTAATTTTTTGTATTTTTTAGTAGAGATGGGGTTTCACCATGTTGGTCAGGCTGGTCTTGAGCTCCTGACCTCGGGTGAACCACCCGCCTTGGCCTCCCTAAGGGCTGGGATTACAGACGTGAGCCACCGCACCTGGGCTAAAACATAAGTTTTTAAATTGGAAATAACCCAGATATTTAATGAGTATCTATTATTTAATTTAACATAAGTAAAATTTCAAAAATAGGCTGGGCATGGTAGCTCATACCTGTAATCCCAACACTTTAGGAGGCCAAGGCAGGAGTATCATGAGACCAGCCTGAGCAAAATAGTGAGATGCTGACTCTACAAAAAAAATAAAACTTAGCTGAGCATGGTGGTGCATGCCTGTAATTAACAGCTACTAGGGAGGCTGAGGTGGGAGGATCCCTTGAGCGCAGGAGGTCAAGGTTGCAGTGAGCTGTGATCATGCCACTGCACTTTAGCCTGGGTGACAGACAGAGACACTGTCTCAAAAAAATTTCAAAAATACATTAAGATGTCTTGTATAGACATTTATCCATTTACATTTACTTATTTTTAACAGTTTATCTAGAGTGTTTGTGAGAACTGAGGTATTAGACAAAGCTAGTCATCATTTCTAGGTTATTTTCTTGTTAACCATGTTATAGCCTGTGAATATCAGGTGTTCACGTAAGTGAGGACTTCAAAGTTAAATACATGGGTATTTTACCAATAACTCAGAAAATTCCATTATTTTTGTTCAACAAACCGTATTAAATTGGTCTTATGTATTTAAAAAATCACACAAACAAATATTCTTTTTTTTCCTGTGTTTATAGCTTTATAACCTTCATGCCAAACCCTAGCACCTTAAAATATCTAGCAAATGTAAATATAAAACACCTTCAAAAATGTATGCTGACAATTCTGAAGACATTTCTATTTTTATTTTATCAATACTTTTTAAATTATTTGTATTTATAAAAGAACTCTTTTGTCTGGGCACAGTGGTTCATGCCTGTATCCCAGCGCTTTGAGAGGCTGAGGCAAGAGGATCACTTGAGCTCAGGAGTTTGAGACCAGCCTGGGCAACATAGTGAGACCCAATCTCTACTAAGAATAAGATAAAAAGTTACCAGGCATGGTGGTGCATGCCTATTGTCCCAGCTACTAGAGAAGATGAGGCAGGAGGATTGCTTGAGCCTGGGAGGTTGAGGTAACAGCTATGATCCCACTACTGCACTCCAGCCTGGGGAACAGAATGAGGCCTTAGAGAGAGACCTTGTCTCAAAAAGAGAAAAAAATAAAGAATTGTTTCATTCTTTTGTTTTTCTTTAGCCAAGTAACCTTGAATTGGTAACACCACAGACAGTAAGTTTCATCTCAACACCAGTAGACAAGTCAGCAGATTCAAAGTAGGCAGGGAAAAAAAAATAGGCAAAAGAACTGAGATTTTTTCATTTTAGGGTTTTTAAAGATAGTAACTATTTGAGTTCTGAATTTTCTTTCATGTAATTTGGCCATCAGGTTTAAAGTGTGCACTAGAGGCCAGGCGCAGTGGCTCGTGCCTGTAATCCCAACACTTTGGGAGGCTGAGGCAGGTGGATCACTTGAGGCCAGGAGTTCGAGACCAGCCTGGCCAACATGACAAAACCCCATCTCTACTGAAAATACAAAAATTAACTGGGTGTGGTGGTGTGCACCTGTAATCCCAGCTATTCAGGAGGCTGAGGCAGGAGAATTGCTCAAACCTGGGAGGTGGAGGTTGCAGTGAGCCGAGATTTTGCCACCGTACTCCAGCCTGGGCAACAGAGCAAGACTCTGTGTCAAAAAGAAAAAAAAAGTGTATACATTATATATATATATATATATATATATATATATATATATATATATATATATATATGTATAGGCTGGGTGCAGTGGCTCACGCCTGTAATCCCAGCAGTTTGGGAGGCCAAGGCGGTTGGATCTCCTGAGATCAGGAGTTTGAGACCAGCCTGACCAACATGGTGAAACTTCATCTCTACTAAAACCACAAAAATTAGACGGGCATGGTGGTGCACACCTGTAATCGCAGCTACTCAGGAGGCTGAGACAGGAGAGTCACTTGAACCTGGGAAGTGGAGGTTGCAGTGAGCCAAGATCGCACCACTGCACTCCAGCCTGGGAAACAGAGCAAGACTCTGTCTCAAAAAAATGTGTGTGTGTGTGTGTGTGTGTGTGTGTGTGTGTGTGTGTGTGTGACTAGAATGGTCCATAATATATAGCCAGCTCGAGTCCCAGAAAACCTAGCAAGCTTAAGGTTAGAGCTTCTCATTTTGGCCTTTTCAACATTAAATCTCCTTTAGTAAGCCCTTCCCCTCTAGGGAGGTACTTGCTGGAGCACTGCCTGAAGTTGATTTTCTGATGCCCTGTCGTTTCTGTTCTGAATGGTTTATTTCTCATTATAAGAGCTCAGCAAAGCAGGCAGAGTTAAAAAGCAGACATGAAGACTTTTTAAAATCGTGGACTTCACTCCTACACTGAATCTCAGGTCCCCAGAAAGAGAGAAACACCATGGGACCACAGCAAAGGCAGAAGGAGGAGTGAGAGAGGGAGGTGGACAGAACAACAAAGAGGAGTTGGCTCTCAATTTTTCACATCTGCCATTTTCTTAAGGTTTTTCTAGTTTATGGAGTCTCTTTGTTCCAATTGAGCACACAGATAAACTAGAGATCGCACAAGGCTTTTGCTGAGACCATCAAAGCCTTTAACCTCTGTTGAGCCAAATATTTTAGACCAAAAATACAGATAGACACACAAAAGCCAGAACCAGACCAGACTGAGTATCTCAGTGGCTGCAGCCTTTATTCCCTTTATTCTTTAGGATTCGAACTCAAACCAGATTCAGGGTTCTAACACAACCAGGACCCCCCTGGGGTGAAACTGAAACTCCACAGTCTAGACAAGGTTGGGGGTCTTTTTTTATTTTTTTATTTTTATTTTTTTGAGACGGAGTTTCACTCTTGTTGCCCAGGCTGGAGTGCAATGGTGCAATATCGCCTCACCGCAACCTCCACCTCTCGGGTTTAAGCACTTATCCTGCCTCAGCCTCCCAAGTAGCTGGGATTACAGGCATGTGCTACCATGCCTGGCTAATTTTGTATTTTTAGTAGAGACGGGGTTTCTCCATGTTGGTCAGGCTGGTCTCAAACTCCCAACCTCAGGTGATCCACCCGCCTAAGCCCCCCAAAGTGTTGGGATTATAGGCATGAGCCACCGCGCCTGGCCTGCTTGTTCTTTTCATTTCATCCTGATGTGCGAATACAGGAGAGTGGCTGAGTTGGTGTTCACTAACAAGCACGGAAGCTTTGTTACATTTACAGTGTCATTCTTGGCAAAACCTGAAGTTTTACCTGCTGGGTGCATGCCATTCTCCTGCCTCAGCCTCCAGAGTAGCTGGGACTATAGGCACCCGCCACCTTGCCCAGTTAATTTTTTGTATTTTTAGTAGCCATGTTAGCCAGGATGGTCTCGATCTCCTGACCTTATGATCCACCCACCTTGGCCTCCCAGAGTGCTGGGACTACACACGTGAGCCACCGCGCCCAGCCAGAAGCTCTGTAATTTCAATGATGATTGTGCTTTTAATCTCTTTCTCGGCATCTGGCTCATGATAAAGTTTCAGGTGTCTTGATGGTATCTAAATCAGCTGTTGATTTGGTCCTGGAGAAACACAAGCATAACCTCAATGCCAAGTTATTATTTTACCTATTTCCCAAATTTTTGTTATTGGATCTCTTCACCAAACCAGTTGTTCTGCTTCTGTCTTTGCAGCTGTTTTCTGTAGATGCTGTTCAGCTGCTGATAACATCTGGCCTTTGGGCAGGCTCAAAAATTTGAAAGTTAATAATGCTAGATTCAATTGTGTATGGGCTGTCCCATAATCCCTCTGTCTCCCCCTTTTTTGTTTTTATTATTAGTTGTTCATCTGTATGAAATCATAACTGAGCATTTTCAATTAGCTGTGTGGAATGAACCATGTATGAAGAATCAGAAATCACATTAATAGGCATATCAAAAGCAGTCAATACCTCAATTACAGCTATAAGCTCCGCTTTTTGAGCTGAAGTATAGGGTGTCTGGAAAACTTTACCTTTGATCCAGAATAAGAAGCTTTACCATTACTAGACCCATCTGTGAAACAATGAAAATGCTTAGCAGGCTGCAGGTTGTTTACTGCAGGAATTGTAAATGCAAACCGTTCAGTCTTGCTCAGCTAAAAGGGTAGTAAAAAAACAGTCTTTTAAATCTATGACTATTAAAGGACAATTTTTTGGAATTATAGTAGGAGAAGGCAATCCTGGCTGTTACACTCCCATAGGTTGTATAACTGAATTGATGGCTCTTAAGTCAATTAACATTCTCCATTTACCTGATTTTTTCTTAATTACGAAAACAGGAGAATTCCAAGGGGAAAATGTTGGAGCTACGTGCGCATTTTCTAATTGTTCAGTAACTAATTTCTCTAAAGCCTCCAGTTTCTCTTTGCTTAGCAGCCATTATTCTATCCAAATTGGCTTATCTGTTAACTATTTTAAAGGTATAGGTTCTGGAGGCTTAACAATGGCCACCATCAAAAATGATATCCTAACCTTTGGCAGGAACTTTGTCTTTCCACTTGAAGCAGTTCTTTCAAATCTTGCAAATTTTTTTCTACTCCCAAACCAGGGACATGCCCCATTTTGTGCATCATATGTTGACTTTGAGGGCCGTATAATTGTTATGGAATTAGAGCTTGTGCTCCCCGTTGTTGTAATAAATCTCTCTCCTATAAATTTATAGGTACAGAGGTTATAATTGGTTGAACAGTCCCAGGTTGTCCGTCGGGCCCTTCACAATACAAAATATAGCTACTTTGATATATTTCTGGGGCTTTACCAACTTTGACTATGTTAAATTGAGTGGGTTGAATTGGCCACGTGGACAGCCAGTGCTGTAGAGAAATGATTGAAATGTCCGCTCCTACCAAAAAAAATAGTATCTACCAAACCTTTAAAGTTCTTTCCCTGGATAGTTATTTCACAGGTAGGATGTTTATCAGTAATTTGGTTTACCCAATAAGCTGCTTTCCCTTGTTTATTTGTGCTTCCAAATCCTCCTGTTCATTTAATTTCACTTTTTCCCATCCCCACATACGGCACAATCAGGAGCTGTGCTATGCGCACTCCTGGCTCTGCTTTCCAGGGAACAGAAGTAGATATAACAATTTGAATTTCCTCATTGTAATCTGAATCAATGACTCCAGTGTGTATTTGTACCCCTTTTAAACTTAAACTAGACCTTCCTAAAAGTAATCCTATTGTCCCTGCTGGCAAGGGTCCACAGACTGCTGTTGGGACCTTTTGCAGGGGTTCCTCAGGCAGAAGGCTCACAGCTTTTGTGCAGCATAAATCTACTGTGGCACTATGGGCTGTGGCGGGGGACAGACAATGTATGGGGGTGAGGGAATGGCCTGAGCTGGAAATGCCCTGGTTTAGAACAGGGCCTGGGATGGGCCCCTCAGGGAGTTTCCCGAAATCAGGTTCCCTTCTTTATGAAACTTAGAGTGACACTGATTAGCCCAATGTTTTCCTTTTTTACATTTTGGACATATTTCAGGATCAGCAGTTTTCTTTTTTCCCTTATCTGGTGGCCTGACTCACTGATTTTTTCTATATTCTTTTTAGTATGACCATGCTTCCCACAGTTAAAACAAGCTCCAGGAAATGGAGTATTTCCTTTATCCACTCTCAGTCCTGCCATCGCCTGTGCCAACAAAGTAGCTTTATGCAGATTACCTCTGATACCATCACAGTCCTTGAAATAATCAACTAAATGTGCTTTCCCTCTGATAGGTCACAGAGCAGCCTGGCAATCGGGATTAGCATTGTTGAAAGCTAATGACTGCAACACTATATCTTGAGCAGCCAAATCTGTGATCATCTTTTTAAGAGACTCATGTAACCAAGCTATAAAATGCACGTGTGGTTCTCTTGGTCCCTGTTTTATAGCACTAAAGGAAGGGTATTGTTCCCCACCTGAAGTGATTTTTTTCCCAAGCTCTAATGCACGTTCCTCTAAGCTGTTCTATGGCATCATCCTGCCTGACCAGTTGTGCATCCAAACCAGCCCAGCCACCAACCCCCAAAAGTTGGTCTGCAGTTATATTAATTTAAGGTTAGGCCCAGGCATTGCAAGCAGCCTGAATGGAAGCTTCATCTGCCCACCAAGTTTTAAATTGTAAGAACTGAGCAGGAGTTAGACAAGCTCAAGTAAGAGCGTCCCAGTCAGTAGGAATCATCCAACTGGAAACAGCAACATTCTTTAACAGTCCCATTACAAAAGGAGAACCTGGTCCATATTGATTTATGGCTTGTTTAAATTTTTTGAGTAATTTAAAAGGAAAAGGCTCAAATGTAGCTAGAATATTTCCCTGTTGATCTGGAGGGTCTAACAGATCATTCTATTCTATTCTATTCTATTCTATTCTATTCTATTCTATTCTATTCTATTCTAACAGGGAACAGCCAAACCTCTAAATCCCACTCTTGTCTAGCTTGCTGAATTCCTGCCTGAATAGAACTAAGAGTGGTCGCTCAAGGCACTGCTTGAACAGTCACCAGGGCAACTACTTTTCACCCAGTGTCCTCCAGAAAAGAAAGATCTGGAGGGTCATTTTCTTCAAAATAATAATGAGGGGGTACAGAAGGGTAGGGATGAACCTCTCCCTCCTTTGCTGCTTCAGCTTTAGGTGGCAAATAAACCTGGTCTGTAACCTCTACTGTTACTTTGTTATACTCTCCTTCCTCCTCATCATCAGTGTGAAAAAGTTCCAAGGTAGAACGAACCACAGCCCACACTTGTCCCATTGTTACTCTGATGCTTCTGAGCTCCCCTTCTTACTCACCATGGGGATTGCTTTAAGAGTACTTGGGTGTCCTCCAGCTAGTTCCACATTCTCCAGCCATTGCTCTGGCGATCCTTCAAGCTGTATTCAAGCCCCCATGAATGGGCACCACTTGCCAAGACCAGGTTGGGGAGACTCTAACCCAGCAGCACTAGAGGAATTAAAGACACATACACAGAAATATAGAGGTGTGAAGTGGGAAATCAGGGGTCTCACAGCCTTCAGAGCTGAGAGCCCCAGAGATTTACCCACATATTTATTAACAGCAAGCCAGTCATCAGCACTGTTTCTATAGATATTCAATTAACTAAAAGTAACCCTTATGGGAAACGAAGGGGTGGGCTGAATTAAAGGAATAGATTGGGCTAGTTAACTGCAGCAGGAGCATGTCCTTAAGGCACAGATCACTCATGCTATTGTTTGTGGCTTAAGAATGCCTTTAAGCGGTTTTCCACCCTGGGCAGGCCAGGTGTTCCTTGCCCTCATTCCAGTAAACCCACAACCTTCCAGCGTGGGAGTTATGGCCATCATGAACATGACACAGTGCTGCAGAGATTTTGTTTATGGCCAGTATTGGGGCCAGTTTATGGCCGGATTTGGGGGGGCTTGTTCCCAACAGTTCCTCAGGGTAAGCATCGCCTAACTCCTGTGGGGACCTTCTTTGGTGGCTCCCCAGGAAGTAAGGAGATGGGAATTGTGCTGTAGAGGTCTACAGCAGTGCTGCTTGCTGAGGTGGGGGACAATTGTTGTACATTTGTAAGGGCAGTGGCTGTGCTGGGTATGCCTCGGTTTGTTGAGGGGCTCGAGGCGGGCCCCCTTCCTATTTCCTGAAAGAGGTTGTCCATCTTTGCCAAATTTAGAATGACACGGACTTGCCTAGTGATTGCCTTTCTTACACAGGGACATACACTGGGACTTTTCTGTTGATTGATGGTAGTAGTTTTTGTCTTTTGAGTTCCTTTCTACATTCCTTTCTTGTGTCCAATTTGCCCACAATTAAGGCAAGAGCCTGAGAAATGAAGCATACTTTTTCTTACTCTTAATCTAGCCATAGCCTGAGCTAAAAGAGTAGCCTTATGTAAGTTACCTCCAATGCCATCACAAGCCTTAATATATTTAGTTAAATGAGGCTTCTCTCTCAGGGGTCTAATAGCAGTTTGACACTCTGCATTAGCATTATTGGTATGCACGAAGCTGTATTACAACATCCTGAGCTGTTTTTATCATTTATGGCTTTATACACAGCCTCTTGGAGCTGAGCAATAAAATTAATATATGGTTCTTTAGGTCCTTGTCAGACAGAACTGAAATAAGGACACTTTTCCCCTGTAACATT
Source organism: Homo sapiens (assembly GCF_000001405.40). Taxonomy (NCBI): domain Eukaryota; kingdom Metazoa; phylum Chordata; class Mammalia; order Primates; family Hominidae; genus Homo; species Homo sapiens. The sequence continues at coordinate 75,810,857 of NC_000003.12, forward strand.
TATCCTTTTCTATGCCTGTAAGCACATGAAGCACAGCTGAACAATGGCAACATCTTCCATTACTGCTTGATTCTCTAAACAACCCCAGTTAGGGCCAACTCATATTAACTGATGAAAGAAAACAGGCACAGGTGGCTGCACTTGTGTGTTTTCTTTTGACTGAGTTTGAGCTTCATCAGCCTACCAAGTTTTAAACTGCAAGTACTGAGATGGAGTGAGAACAGGTTTTGTCAAAGTATCCTAATTATATGGTATTACTCTATTATCAAGAGCCATATTTTTTAATAAAGCTTGCACAAAAAGAGAGTTCAGTCCATATGAACTAATGGCTTGCTTAAATTCTTTAGTACCTTAAAAGAAAAAGCAGCCTAATTAGCTATATTCTGTCCTACTTGCTGGATTATAGTAATGGGAAATTGCCACGCTTCAAGGTCTCCCTTGGCTTTAGCTTTTTGAATAGAATTTTGTATAGCACCACCAATTGCTCCAGGTTTTAATGTTGCAACTACAGGAGCAGTAAGTTTTTCAGCTAATTTATTTTCTCACCCATTTAGGGGAGAGAGAGGAGGTGGCCATTCACTTAATTCAGCAGGTGGAGCCAACGGGCTAGTAAAACATACTTTTTAAAGTTTTTCTTTCTTTTCTTTAATCTCCTCCGGTAGCTGTTCCTCACACTCAGAATTTGAAGTTAGTTTTTTACACTCATCCTCCTCTTCCTCATCTGAATCTACCTCATGATCTGTTTGAAGTGGCTCAAGGGCTGCCTTTATTAGCGCCCACACTGACCACACAGAAACTGGAATTTCTGCTCCATCTTTATATGCCTTTTAAAAGTCTCTTCCAATTCTCTCCCATTCATCCAACTTCATAGTCCTTTGTTCTGGAAACCATGGGCAAAACTGCTTTACTGTACTAAAGAGTGATAACAAATTCTAAGTACTAACTTTCACTCCCGTCTTTGTAATAAATGCCTTAAGAAATTTAAACAAGCAGAATGTCTGCTTTCACTTTGTCTCATTGTTACCCTGGTTCTTCTGAGCACTCAGCTTTTCCGCCGAGCTTCTTTTAGATGTCCTCTGCTTTCACATGCTCTAGCCTTCCTTCACCGGGGTCTTTGTCACCCCATGTTGGGCACCAGGAATGTTGGGGTGATCAGACCCAACACTAGGTTGTGGGGGTGACAAAGTCCGGTAGAATCAAAGGAATGAGAAAAAGACAGTTTGAGAGAGAAAGTGGGGCCAGGGGACCATCACAAGTGTGGAGTCTGTGAAGTCCCCAAACTCTGGGAGCCCATGCTATTTATTGGTGCTCAAACAAAGAAACAGGTGGTGAGGATGTGGAGGTTGAAAGGAAACGGTGTATCAAGTGAATGAGAAACACATGGCCCTGCCTCAGCTCCTCTCCCAACACTCAGCTTTTCTCCCAACACATTCCCCTTAAGAACAGGAATAAAATAGGGATGCCTGTTCTCACCACTCCTGTTCAACAAGTCCAATCAGGCAAGAGAAAGAGATAAAAGGCATCCAAATAGGAAATGAAATCAAATTATCTCTCTTCACTGATGATATGATTCTACACCTAGAAAACCATAAAGACTGTGCCAAAAGGCTCCTAGAACTGATAAACAACTTCAGCAAAGTTTCAGGATTAAAAAAAATCAACATACAAAAAGAAGTAGCATTTCCGTACAGCAAAAATGTTTAAACTGAGAGGTAAATCAAGAATGCAATCCTGTTTACAATAGCAACCCCCAAAATAGAATAAAATAAAATAAAATAAAGCAAGAATATGTCTAACCAAGGAGGTAAAGGATATCTAAGAGGAGAACTACAAAACACTGCAGAAAGAAATCATAGATGACAAAACAAATGGAAAACCATTCCATGCTCATGGATTAGAAAGATCAGTATTGTTAAAATGGCTATACTGCCAAAAGCAATCTACACATTCAACACTATTCCTATCAAACAACCAATGTCATTTCTTACAGAATTAGAAAAAAACTATTCTAAATTTCATATGGATTTTTAAAGAGCCCAGAGAACAAAAGGAAACCTAAGCAAAAAAAAAAAAAACAAAGCTGGAGACATCACATTACTTGACTTCATACTATACTCTAAGGCCACGGTAGACAAAATAGCATGGTACTGATATGAAAACAGACACAAAGACCAATGAAACAGAATAGAGAACCCCAAAAATAAACACATGCACCTACAGCCATCAGCTTTCCCAGGGTAACACAGAGAGCCAAGTGGCACCTGCACATTACACTGTGGGAGAAAAACCCAAGCTCAAGAAACCCCAACTTGTATTATGGGAAGTTCACTTGGCTGTACCCTTCCCCAGAGGGAGAAATTATCTGCATTATACTGGACAGTAAATAAACTTTTCCTTTGTTCCAGAAGGAGGTAATAGTTTTCTATTCCAAGGCTGTTTTCCATACAAACATGCTTGAAAACGATCATTTGGAACAAGATAGTCAGCGTCCATACTTGCAAAATGTGCAGAAGTTAAAGAGACCCAAAAATTGTTTATCTACCAATTTCTATTTTTCAAAATCATAATTTCCCCATATAATATGCTTTTAATATGTGATCATATTCTGAAATTGTCTTAGCATTTACCCCCACTTTTGAGTCCAGAAGGATACAATAAATGTAATTTAATTTAGTAACACTTCAAATAGTAGTGATTGTAATAGCAGAGCTAGTTTGTAGCATAAAGAAAAAATAATAATATTATTAGGTGACACTTACAAATAATACTAGTCACCATTTGTAAGTGTCATGGTAAGTACAGTGATTATTTTCTTTTCTTCTGACTCTTTTTTATTTTATTTTATTTTATTTTTCCATAGGTTATTGGGGTACAGTGGTATTTGGTTCCATGAGTAAGTTCTTCAGTGGTGATTTGTGAGATTTTGGTGCATCCAACACCCGAGCAGTGTACACTGCACCGTATTTGTAACCTTTTATCCCTCACCCCCCTCCCTATTAAATAATAGACAAAAAATAATGGGTTTAGAATAAATGAGTTCAAATAAATTGTCAAACATATGTGGGAAAAGTGGAATCGGTTTCTGAGAAAAAGCAAAAAACTCAACAGAAATGCTGATAAAGCATCATCCCTTCATGGCTAGAGCTGCCAGGACACCAGAACACCAAAATCAGCTAGGGAAATTTTGTAGAAGTCCTACATGTATTAATTGTTCTGTGAATACACAGAGATTAATTATAACTGTTACCTGCATGTAGAGTAAAGATGAGAAGGCATTGGTCATGGTGGCAGCTACCTCAGGAGTTACAAAGCAGACGTGGTTCCAGGACAGTACATGTCAGGGTAGAGCTGTCCTCGGAGGCTATTAGGAGCTGGTCATGGCACAGACATTGTAAGTCAGATGGTCTCATTACTTTCAATGACAAAACCAAAATTACTTTTGCATCAGCCTAATACAACGGCCTGGCAAGAGCACAGAAAAAGTCCCTGTGCTGTTATGTGGGGACCTCTGATGCAGCACAATTCCTTCATCCTCTTCTCCAAAACTCCCTCTTCCAATTCCACTGAAGAGAAAATCTGATGGAAGTCCTGTGTAAGCAGGCTCAGATATATCTACCACTATAGATAGTAGAGGTGATTCACAAATCCAAGCCTATCAAATACATCATAAATAAGTTACACATTTAATTTTTTTTTGAAATTAGGGATCATGATATGAAAGTTATCAGAATCAAAACTGTCACTAATGTTTAAAAAGAAAAGAAAAAACCTGCACAAATAGATTCAGAGAAGGCCTTGAAGAGAGGGTTCTCATGCTTCTAGGCCTGATAACAAAAACTATCACAAAATACCACAAAAACAACAACCTTGCACACAGGCCATAGCAACCTTACACAAAATATACTTCTGTGAGGACATCTATCCAGCAACCGCCTCCCCAACCTTCAACTGACATCGACCTTGTTGTTGATCTTTATAGTCAAAGATAACTATATCAAAACAATTATATAAGCCTCTTCATTTTTCCTTTATTTATTTTTTTCTACTCCCCCGTACTTCCAGGTTGATCGTTTTTCTTTTAAAGACCTTGTCTTCCTTTACCATTTGAATCTACATAGTTTACTTTGTCATGCATATTCCCATTGAAATGCCCTCCTCCCTAAGATGTGTCTTTTTCCTTTAAAGAGCCTTTCTCTGTTTGTTATTTAGGTTTACAATGAGAAGGGGTCTAAAGTATGTTTGTAAAATTTTTACTGTCTTCCTAGGAAAAAATCACTGACTTAAAGTATTTATATTGACTTATTTACATTCCTGGGGATGAGGAATTAAAGATTTCACAAATTTTCTTATTGAGAAGATCCAAGTTTTCATGTGAGCAAAACCCAATATGTAAATTGATATGTAAATTATGCTGCAGATAATATAGTCAAATGTTTACTTGTATTTAATTTGTTACACATGAATATTGCATATGTAAGATAATATACTAAGAAATTATCACATTTAATGAAATGCTTTAATCAAATTCCTGATTGAATTTTTGATATCAATATCTTTTTCATTGTTTAATCCATCTTTAGAGTGAACAGGGCTGTCTAGGCCAAAGTCCTCACTTCTATCTAAATTTCTGAGTTACAGAACTTTTTGAATTTATTATGTTGTCACAGGAAGTTTCCTATTGCTTGTTTAAAGGAGTCCCTCTCAATATGATGCAGAATCCAAAAGCACTGAAGGGCATATATCCTGAGTTTCTGTTACTGAAGCCAAAGGTTGCCAATTTCTTGTAGATCCTGCTTCAGTTAAACTTCATTTACGTAATCATTAAAGCTGCATTTATTCCCTCACTTGAAATTTTGATTTCACACTATTAAGACTAATCCTCTAAGTCTTTGCTAAGTTATGTTCCTCCTTTTCTTGTAGCTTGACTCTGATGATCTCTATATGCAACATCAATTGACATAAATTAAAGTACATTCAGGGCAAGAGTTTCCTTAAATATTACATTGCTATTCAAAATAATCACAAAAGCACTCATCGTAGGAAAACTTGTGAGGATTCAAATATAGGGAAATACTTTTTCTTTCTAAGGCATAATTCTGTAAAGAAATTCACCTTAATTTGAATATATATGGGAAAATATCCTTGTTCACTAATAGTCTGTGTTCACTCTGTTTTCTTCCCTCATAGACCAGCCAGTTCACTATTATTCTCCAAATGATGTGTGCCTCTCTAGAGTCCAGACTATCTGCATACCTAATTTTTCCCACAAATTACTGTTTTAAATTGCACTGAATTCAATTTAAGGGGATGTCATTTATAAAAAGTGCAAATATATACTGCATGAGGGATCTTAGAAATCATATGCATGGTTTGATCCATAAGCTCATATGAGCGTGCAATGTCAACTTTTTTCATGTTTTTTTAAAATCCACTTAAATTCTATTTTAAGCCACCATCTGTCTGTGCTGTTAGGGCAGTTAGCCTTAAATCATTTTAAGATGCTCCGCTCTAAGTACTGTGATAGCGATAGAGATGTCACCAGTCAGGAGTCCTAGGAAGCTGACTCTGAGATGGAGATTTGCATGCAAGGAAGTTGAAATGGATATTCCCAACACCTGTGGGAGAGTGAAAGCAATAGGATTGGGCAGAGCAGGAAGTCGGCTGGAATGCAATCACTATCATGGCCGCAGCCCACTCTACAGGGATCTTGGTGAGTTTACCTAACGACCTCAAATTGGAGCACGCAAGCCAGGCCATTATATTTCTGTACCAAGCAGTTCTCGGATGTGGGATGCCTTGAGAAGGGACATGAACTTGGATGAAGGAACTTTACTGTGCTGTGAGTATTGTTGCCAGGAGTCAGCTGTCAACACTCCTAGGAGACGGGGAATTATGCTTTAGTCACTGAGGTGACATCTAGTGCCAGACCACAGCCTTGTTAAACAGAGCCAGAATTTGGAGGATGGATGGTGGGTTTAACATTTGGGGCTTGACGTCTTGTCCCCACAAGCTGCTGCTGGCCTCTTCCTTGTCCATTTCTGTGTGGCCTGTTTAGGCCCACTGGCTTCCTGCTGCTTCTTTACCAGTTTGGAATGCAAAAATCTACTCATAATTTGGCCCATGGTCCCTTCTGCTTAGACATATCCTTGTAGCTATTTTTTTTAAAAGATGACTATGCCTTCTAGAATATTTCTAAGAAACTGCTCACCACTGCTCACCAAGAGGCCTTTGCTTTTTCCTCTTAACCATGGGAAAGGAATGTAGGGGTGTAGGGAGTGGATATTTTCTAACCTGGAAAAAACTCATTTTACCCTACATATTTTTGTTAGCGAATTCCTTCTTTGCACTTACTCCACAGTCTTTCCAAATTCTCCCAAATCCTCAAGCTTTTAAAAACAAAAGACAGAAATGATAGCAGGTTATTATTTTTTTTCCACCAAACCTTTTCTTTCTATTCCTTCACATCAGTGAGCTTAGAATAACTGCTCCTGGAACTGGGAAAGGGACTTGGGAAAAGAAAAAAGCTCTCAAAGTTTAACATCACAAAACATTATAGTCACTGCTATTTTATTATTTATTTATTTGTTTGTTTGTTTGTTTGTTTTTGAGATGGTGTCTTGTTCTGCCACCAGGCTGGAGTGCAGTGGTGCCATCTCGGCTCACTGTAACCTCCGCATCTTGGGTTCAAGCGATTCTCCTGCCTCAGCCTCCTGAGTAGCTGGGACTACAGGCCTGTGCCACCACACCCAGCTAATTTTTGTATTTTTAGTAGAGATGGGGATTCACCGTGTTAGCCAGGATGATCTCTATCTCCTGACCTTGTGATCCGCCCGCCTCGGACTCCCAAAGTGCTGGGATTACAGGCGTGAGCCACCGCGCGCGGCCTTGCTTTGTAATTTTTACATCATATATCCCCTGTGTTAGACCAAAAGCTTGTAAAAGACAGAAGACATACACCATTTATAGTTCAATTAGAGATGTTTACTGATAAAACTGATTCTTCGATCTGAGGATGGCATTTGTAGTTACAGTAATGTAGATGACAATCTAAGTTATGTTCAATAAACTGTGTCACTGATATCTCAATCTACAGCTAACTTTAATTTTTGAAAAGCGAGGAGTGGGTTGTATAGGTTTAGAAATACATCCATTAAGCTAGTTAAGTGATATAGATTCAAACCTTCAACTCACTGGAATATTTACCAAATTAACTATTCATTATCTAAAGGAGCCATATAAACAAGGTACTTTTTAAAATTCAAAATTATGTAAGGTTTTATTTCCTTTTTATACTGTTATGAATTGGATTGTAGAGGTTATAAGGTAAAATTACTTTTACGGTAAAACATACATTGTCACAAGAGGGCAGCCTTTGAACATGAATTGCTTCTCAGGCATTCCTTGAAATTTTGAGACAGTTACTTTAATTCACACAACTAAATAATAAAACAGAGGATCTAAGAAGATACTTTGACTTATGCATATTGTTACTTTTTTATTACTGCTAGTGGAAGATGTAATCTGTAAGGAAGGCAAGGGCTGAATTTGTTTTATGTAAAAAGACAAATTTCTTTGGGTTGTAGCTTTCAAACATCAAGATAGTAGGTCAATGTCTAAATGAGTGTATCAAATTTCTCACACTAGCACATGTAAATCCACCTCTTATCTACCCAAAATTCTAACCAAGCAAAGGCAAGTTGGAAGAACCAGACAAATGTAAGTCCCTAGGATGCATAAATGCCACTGGATTTTATGTTTTTAATTTTCAACCTCCCAGGTTTCACTAAGAGACATGTTATTTGGAGAGGCTGCTCAAGTGTAATTGTATGATGTCTCTGTGTACGGTTGGTCTGGACCTCTCTCTGTCCAATGGTTGCCCTCAACTGATTAGAGCCACCTCTCTAAAGATCACGCTTATGTCCCTGGAGCAGTCCACAGCACTATCAATGTCTGACCTCCACCTTGTTCCAATTAAGATTTCTGTACTTACTGAATTGGAAAACATACAGGTGTTTTTTGCCTGGTCACTTGTGGTTTTACAACACTCCCTCGCTTCCCCACCACTGCCCCAGGTGATTTTGATGCCAGCCAAAATGTGAGAACTACTGGCAGCTGCTGGCAGACAGCAACAAAGGCCCAAATCCTCTGTGTGATTTCAAGACCCGTATCTGGTTTTCAGCTGTATTTCCTTCTCACAGCTGAGCCCCCTCCTCCTCCCTCACCACCTGTAGGCTATGCTTTCCAGCCTGTGTCCAGGATTAGTCCTGGGGTAAGGCACGTGGGGTTTAAGGCGCTCTCTCTTCAGTCTTATTTCTGCACCATCTCTGACAGATATATTCTAGTTGTAATCATGGGGCTACCTCCTTTTGTTTCCAGTCCCATGCTCGTTTTCTCTATCACATTCTACCTTGTAATAACCTAAATCTTCTGGTGGGCAAGCTTCTTCCTCAAACAAATTTGTGTTTATGAGTTACTGGTTTTGGGGATCCAGGTATTGCTACTGCCTTGAATGAGGAGACTGCATCCTTCTGTCTGGATTTCTTGAGTTTCTGGATCGTAAACCGTATTAGGGCCCATTTTTCCTAGAATTGGAGCCTCTACTTTGTTCTTGCTACTTTAGTTCACCCAGAAAGCACGAACTCTGCCTGAATTTCAAAGTGTTGGCTAGTTTAAATATCCTTTTGTGAGACTTTTGTCTTTCTTCGGGGTGATTTTTTCATCTTACATACCATTGCTAATCCTTTTATCTTGAATGTAATTGAAATAGTTTTAATCTGTGTTACCAGCAACAAGAACCCCTTTTATGAGATGAAGAAGGCAGGTCAATCTCATAACATGTGTCCCCCTCCGTGTGTTGAATTTATGTCAGAGGCAGGCTCTTTCCTATTTGATGTCTCTCACCAAATTCCAGTGTTTATGTCCTAGGAGGTGCCCAATAAATTCTAGAGTTGATACAAGCTGTAATTTTAGAGAAATTAAATTAAGTTGCTTAATTTAATTTAATTTAAGCAACTTTTGCTTAAATTAAGCAACTTAATTTCTCTAAAATTAAGCCCAAAGCAAGTAGAATTAGATTATATACAACCTAATCAACTTTTTTTTTTTTTTTTTTCCTGAGGATGACCAAGATTTGGGCTTCAGTAACAATAGTTGTCCCCTAAATATTTATACTCAAAATCTAGGATCACCAGTACAATGTTGAATAGAGGTGATGAACACACACATCCTTTTCTTGTCCTAATCTATGTGGTTTAAACATTTATGCTTTCACTCTTAAATATAATATTGTTTATATGTTTTGTTGTGGATGCTTTCCATCCCTTCGAAAAAATTTCTTTTTTTAGCTTGCTGAGAGTTTTTTTTTTTTTTTAATCAGCAATAGATATTTCTCCAAAGAATATATCCAAATGACCAACAGGTACCTGGAAAAAATGCTTAACATCACTAATCATCAGGGAAATGCAAATCAAAACTACAAAGAGATATTGCCTCAAACCTGTTAGAATGGTCTTAGAAAAAGATAACTAATGTTAACAATGGGGAGAAATTGGAACACTTGTGCAGTGTTTCTGGGAATGTAAAACTGTGCAGCCTCTATGGAAAACAGTACAGTGGTTCCTCAAAAAAATTAAGAAAATAGAACTACCATATGATCTAGCAATCTCACTTCAGGTTATTTATCTGAAAGAATTGAAATTGGGATGATTCTCAGGCTCATTGTAGCATTATTTACACTAATCAAAATGTGGAAATAAGTTTAATGTCTATTGGCAGATGAATAAAGATAATGTGGTATATTCATACAACGGAATATTATTCAGCTTTAAAACAAGAAAGCCCAGCAATATGCAACATGAATGAACCTAGAGGACAGTAATGCTAAGTAAAGTAAATCAGTCACAGAAGGACAAGCCGTATGATTCCACTTGTATAAAGTATCTAAGATAGCCAAATTCATTAGAATCACAGATTAGAATGGTGATAGCTCTTTAAGTTGAAATCAATTTTGCATTCCTGTGTTTTGTAGTTTTGGTGTCAGGATTCTGACTCATAAAACAAGTTTGGAATTTCCCCCTTCTTTATTTCTGAAATAATTTAAAATTTTTTTTTTAAACATTTGAAAGAATTCACCAGCAAAATTCTTTGGATCTGGAGTTTGCTTATTTTTTTATTTTCTTTAGTTTTATGTTTTTATGTGCAGGTATTTGACAATTAATTTAATTACTTTAATAAATGTCAATTACTTCAACAGTTCCATTTAATCTTGTGAATTTTTTTATGTTTTTTTTTTCAAGGAATTCACCCTTTCATCCAAGTAATGAAAATTGGTATAAAATGTTTCACAATATTCCATTATCTAGTTAATGTCTCTTGTGTCTACAAATGTACAATCTCATTAATCCCTGATATTTGTAATTTGAGTTTTCTTTCTTTCTCACAGAACTAACTTTTGGCCATGTTAACTTTCTCCTGTGTCTGTTTTCTGTCTCATTGATTTCTAATTTCTTTTTTATTTCCTTTCTTCTACTTGTTTTGGACTTAATTTGCTCTCTTGTTTTAGATTTTCTTTTTAAGGTAGAAAATTAGTTCACTTGTCAAGATTTTAGAATAAGCATTTATACAAAAAATTTACTTTGGGTCTGCTTAACTTTATCCCACACATTTTGATATAGTATATTTTTATTTGTCTTCAGTTCAATGTATTTTAAGGTGTTTCTTATGATTTCTTCCTTGAGCTAAAGAGCATTTTAAGGTGTATTTAAATCCTCCAATAGTGTGGACTTTCCTGGATAGCTTGTTTTTACCCATTTCAACTCATTTTCATTATGGTCAGAAAGCATACTTACTATGATTACAGTGTTTTGAAACTTCTTGAGAGATATTTTGTGGTCTATAGTCTATTGATAAATGTTTCATGTGTAGCATAATAGAACATATATTCTATCGTGTTGGTCAATATCGATTAGGTCAAGCTGTTGTCAAAATTATTTTATCTTAACTTTCTTTAATTATTCTATCAGTTAGCAATATAGCATTATATCTTCATAATTACTTGACATTTTATCATTATGAAATAGCTTTCTGTTGTAATATTGCTTGTTTGGAGGTCTACGTTTTCTTATATTAATATAGCCACATAAGATTTCTTGTGCTTGTTGTTTCCATGGTATACTTGGAAATTATTTTACTCTCAACTTATCTATACCATAATATTTGGCATGCATCTCTTATAGGTACTTTTATTATCCAGTTGGACAATCTGGTGTTTTATTTGGAGTATTTAAATTACATTTGAAATAATTATTGATAAGGTTGGATTTAAGCCTACTATTTTGCTTTTTTTTTTTTTTTTTTTTTTTTATTGAGACGGAGTCTTGCTCTGTCGCCCAGGCTGGAGTGCAGTGGCGCGATCTCGGCTCACCGCAAGCTCCGCCTCCCGGGTTCCCGCCATTCTCCTGCCTCAGTCTCATGGGTAGCTGGGACCACGGGCGCTGCCACCACGCCCGGCTAATTTTTTGTATTTTTAGTAGAGACGGGGTTTCACCGTGTTAGCCAGGATGGTCTCGATCTCCTGACCTTGTGATCCGCCCGCCTCGGCCTCCCAAAGTGCTGGGATTACAGGCGTGAGCCACTGCACCCGGCCTATTTTGCTCTTATGTTCTATTTGTTCTATCATTTTTTGCTCCTCTGTTCTTTCTTTCATGCCTTTTTATATCAACTGAACAATATTCAGTGTTCCATTTTAATTCCTTTATTGGCATTTTAGAAGAATATCTTCATATAATGTGGTGGTTCTCTGGGGATTATAATAAGCATCCTGGGCCTATCACAGTCCACTTAGTGTTAATAGTCAACGTTTTCATGTAACATGAAGAAATGTTGCAGCAAAATTGTTGTGTTTAGTCTTCTGTCAGAGCTGTTAACTTAGAATATTTTACTCTACATACGTTATCAATAGTACACTTAATTTTTTATTTAAACCATCAGTTGTTATAAAACTAAAAGAAAAAAGCCTTAGTTTTTCATGTTTATGCACTTGGCATTCCTAGAGCTTCTCCTTGCTTCCTGTAGGTCCTAATTTCCATCTGTTGTTATCTTTCTTTAGCCTAAAACATTTCCGTTTGCATTTCTTGTATTTAGGTCTGCTAATGACAAATATTCGAAGCTTTCTTTTATCTGAATAAATCTTTATTTTCTCGACAATGACTTTTTCTAGTTATAGAATTTGGAGTTGACAGGTTTTTTTTTTATTTTGAAGATGTAGTTTCATTGCTTTTTAAACTGTCATTTCTGATGACAGGTCATCTGTCTATTTGTTTCCATGTATGTAAATTATTTTCTCCCTCCCTTTAGCTACTTTCAAGATTTACTCTTTTTTAGCCCAGTGGTTTGACTATGGTATGTCTACATTTGGTTCTCTTTATTTTTATTCTGTTCTTTGAGTTTCTTAAACCTGTAAGTTGATATATGCTGACAGTTAGGAAAACTTTTTGTCTTTACTTTTTCAAATAGCTTTTTCTGTCTCATTTTGTTCTTCTCTACTCTTTCTAGGACTCCAATTATATTAGTTCTAGACTGGCCCTATTTTTATTATTTTTCTTCCTCTGTATTCTTAACTGTATTGGGAAATTGTTCTTGATCTGTTTTTAAGTGCACTGATAGTTTTTTCTGCCATCTTTAATTTGCTGGTATATGCATACAATGACATTTTTATATAAGATATTCTGTCTCTCAGTTCTAAAATTTGTCCTGTTATTTGTTTATCACTTTTACTTCTCTGTTGAGATTCTCCATATATTCCCTCTTATGATCATCTATTCCTTAAATCCTTGAATATGCTTATAATAGCTTATTTTACATTTCTTATCTTCTAATCCCAGCATGTGGACCATTTCAATGTCTTAATCCATTGTTTACTTTTTTTCTTATGCGTCATATTTTCCTGGTTCTATGTCTAGGCAGGTTAAATTATATGTTAGATTATGTGGATGATATTTTGTAGAGATAGGTTCTTTTATTTTCCTTTGAAGACTGACTCTTTTCTAACATTAGTGTTCTTTCTGTAGTCAAACACCAAACTTTCACTCCTGAGCTATGTGCAATGGTTGAAATCTCTGCTCTGTACTAGCAATTTAGCTGTTGTTTTCTGCTGGATTCTATGGAGTCTCTTTTTATGAATGTGAAATGTAGCAGCCATCATATATCTGAATGAAGTTTAAGTGCTGATTTTAGATTTTTACTCTGTGACATTCTCCTCTGTAACTTTCAGTTGTGTGAGATTTCCTCCCATGTCACACAGATTTCCCAGTTCTTCTTTTCTGTCAGCCTGGAACTCTGTGCTCTTATTCCTCAAGATAGTAAAACTCATCGCTTTACTCGTAGACATCTAATTTTGCACAGACCAGGGAGTGTCATCAGGTGTGAAGTTGCATTGATGCAAATTTAAATCATTGCAATTTTCTTTATTCAATGGTCAAATACTTCATCAGTGGTTGAATATTCTGGTATTTCTGCCTGTTTTCTGTTTCTCATTACCATCAAATGTGCATTTAATTTTTTTTAGAGTTTATAGTTTTTTTCCCTGCATTTGAGTTAGACATGAGCTACTACCACATTTTGTAATTCAAACTTTTTGTCTAACAATGTTTTAAAAAACTCTTTATTTGGAGGGAATTCTCAAATTTCTAAATACTCTACAAACATTAGGATCAGGGCTCACATTCCCAGTTTCCCTTGTAGCCAGATGTGCATATGCAACATGGCCTCAGCTAATTAAGCATACCCACATATTTGAAAGTAAGAAAAGTGTTAAGAGGAACTGTAGATATCATTTTAGTTGATGCAAGGGTGGGAAAAAAAAATAACCAACTTTCACTGGTGAACTTTGTCTTCAATCATTGTTTTCCTGTGGGTAAGTGGCTAATTTTCTGGCCTAGAGGTGGAATTGGTGTGTTGGTAACAATTGATTTGATGATAACCTGCTTTTGTCTTTTTAAAAATTGCTAATCCACCGTTGTCTCTGGTCCTGTTTTATACTTATGCAGTGTATAATTTCTCATGCAAAATTTGGTTCTTTGTTTCTCAGCTTAAACTGGATTTTGATGAGCAGTTTTCACCTTCAAATGAAAGAAATGGCTTTGGTTGATGTTAGACAAAAATAACAAGAGGGAATTAAAGAAATATGTTTGTCATCTTGTAACATTACATAAATGAAACTTTGAAAATTCAACAATTCTGCTTCATAAAAAAATAGAAAGTTTCTACTGTTTTTCATTATTTTCAAAGCTATATCATTAAATGAAATTTCTGCCTCATAGAAGATTTTTAGAACTATGTAATAACATACTGACCATTAGGAGAGAAATGAATAAAGACGGACAGAAGTAAGCACTGTGTGGTAACGTAGATGGTGCACAGTTGTGTGCATGGAGCCCTAATACATTTTACCATGGAATTTATACAATAAATGTTAGTTTCCTGTGAACCTGCTAATTAATATGACTTTCGCAGACATTTCATTAACCTAAACAGTTTAGGTTTCCTGTAGATAGACTGCATGTATTCTCATCTTTAACCTTTCCATAATGTTCCCTAATTACAGATGTCATTGGTTCTTAATAGCAAAAGAACAGCAGTAGCTTATAAAGTTATATTATTTGTTTTTTACTAATATGTGAAGTGATTTTGTCTTTCATTTCACCTCTAGAGCTAATTATGTATTCTAGGTTAACAAAAATTCCAGATTATACCATCATTAATTTAAACTTTACAATGAACTCATTATTTCCATTTATTACTAGCCTGCATTATAGCAATATTTAGCTAATGAATTCTCAAAATATTTCTTGAAAGGTGAAAGAGTACCTCAAGTAAAAGGTGTAATTAATTTATTTATCAGAATTTTAAATTAAGTGTTCTGTTTAATCTAAAAGGGGTACCAATGAAGTTAGGGCGTAAGGACCCTGTGGTTAATAAAATGGCAAGAATTAAAAAGGATTATTACATTTTTTCCTCATACTATGATGGCTATAATTTTTTAAAACAGTAGAAATGTTTAATTTTTAAAGGCTGCTAGTATCTATTTTATTCAAAGATGTGAGCTCTTCAGTTCAACTTGTTGTTTGAAATTTGAACAGCTTTTTCTTGCTCTTGTTCAATACAGTTATTAAACAGTCCAGGCAGGCCTCCGGAGTTACATATATGCATGTGGCTCTATGCGTATATATACATAGAAATACAAATAGCATATAATAAATTGACATAAGACGTTTGCTTTTGATGAAAATTCTTCTAAAAGTGAATATAAATTAATAGCATATGGAGCCTACAAAAATTGTCTAATAGGCAAGTAGGCAAAGATAATCTGTGAACAAAAAGTTTGCTGAAACATACTTTTTTTTACATGTAATAACTTTATACTGAAGGGTTTCCAGAAATATATAATGTTATAGGGCACTTATCCCAAGACACACGAAGGAGACAAGGGATACAGCTAGGATGGAAGTGAAAACAAAGGACAAATAGAGATAGACACTTAAGTGGAAACGAAACACCGCATGTTCTCACTCATAGGTGGGAAGTGAACAATGAGAACACATGGACACAGGAAGGGGAACATCACACACTGGGGACTGTTGTGGGGTGGGGGGAGGGGGGAGGGGGGAGGGATAGCATTAGGAGATATACCTAATGCCAAATGATGAGTTAATGGGTGCAGCACACCAACATGGCGCATGTATACATATGTAACTAAACTGCACGTTGTGCACATGTACCCTAAAACTTAAAGTATAAAAAAAAAAATCATCAAACAGGTGGTAATTTCAAAACATGGCTTTTCCAGGCAGCAAATTTTCTGAATGTATCGCAAAAGAAGATAAATCATGTGTCTATGTAAATCATGCCAATGAAATAAACAATAAAGGTTACTTATTAGAATATTGAAAGTAGTTGATAATAAATAAGTTATTTATATTTATGGTAAAAGCAATAAACTTGATTTTTAGTGGGTTCAATGACTTCCGGAAAATATCCTCTCACAGATTTTCTCAGAGTGTCTAGTTGGCAAAAGCACAGCTCCAAATAGCTATTTCTGTCAACGTCTACGGAACATTTACAGTTCGATTTCCGAAAGTTTCCATTTCTACTGACCTTACAAATTTGTAAAATGAATGCCCAGCACGACAAAATATTAAGTGATAAAATTAATTGGATCCTACAAGTGAAAATCTAGGCAAGGAAAATCTTCTTCCTTCTTAATGAATGATTTTTATGTCTCTTCATTCATGTCCTTCTAGGTAGAGCAACACTCTGGAGACCTTCCTTTGAGGCATTTCACCACCGCAGTAAGTGTGATGTATGACTAATTAGTCCACCCACAGGGGGCTGGTGAAATTAAATTGGAAGTTGTTTCCTAACTGGCATATCTTGGACTAAAATTAATCTAATAACAGCTTTCATAAGAGAGCATAAGCTTGAAAGACAACATTTTTCATTCAACTTTACCAAACAAAGTGCAAATTTAGGTCTCCAGTTGCGAAGTTTGGTTGTGTGTGGATTGTACAGTGAAGGTACCAGTGGACAACAGTTGCTCCTCAAGCAAGTTTATACAAAAGCTTTGGGAGAAGTCCAACTCTAGATAAAATTCTAATGTATTTCATGCTTGTGTTCAGAGTTTCTTTTTCTCTCTCCAAGGTAACCCACATATCAGAAGATGTATGGGTTGTGGGTAGAACTTCCTAAAATTGCTGGTGAAAACTGTGCCATGCATAGACATACTTCACTAGCTTGAATTTTCTATTAGTCTCACAGGCAACAATTACAATCCTGTATGTTTTTCTATCTCCACACACTCCTGTGCATAGAAAGACCAAGTAACATCCCTGGTTAAGATATGTACAGGTTACAAGACATGTCTAAACATATTCACCAAGAGGTTTATTATTTTCACAGTGGCATTCACTAAATCAGTTGTCAGTGTAGCAATACTCAAGGAATAAGCAGGGTCTTTACTTTATCGAAGTTTGGAGTCCACCCCAAGTTAGATCACTGAAACACATAACTATAGATAAGGTCACTCAAAAGCACAAATCCAGGTTATAAATATTCAGTAGTAATTTATATGCATTTAGCAATTTGAATGCTGGGAAGTGTAGCCCAGAAAATCAATCGACATGGAACTATTAAAGAGGCATGTATGGCACCTGTACTTTGAATCTCTTCAGACTCAGGTTAAACAGGAGACACAGTAGCTCATGTATACTGCAATAACCCTTCCTCATTGCCTTTTTATCTATGAACCTGCCCTTTTCAATGTTATCTAGATGCCTGAAGGTATGAATACCCTTGATCTTGGTAAAAAAAGGTACCACCAGTCAGCAAAATCTCACTGATCAGTGTCTATGTTACCTCACTGAGTTAGCCTTTTGTGTTGTCATGGCCCAGGATAACAATGTTGACACAATCCAAACCAGTAGTTGGAAAGTTAATGTTGGATGCGTCTTTGACAATTGATGGAATGACCTGAAATCAAATGTGAGGCAGTGGAGACTCAAGAATGCTATTCGGGCAGTTAGTGATCTGTGGAGATACTAAATGAAATATCTGGAAGGACTTGTAATCTTGCAACTATGCTTTTATGTGTTTTTTGACATAAACAGTTTCTATTTATGATGGAGCTGCAGAGTCCATTTCCCATGAAGTTCCCACAGTGTTAACTAATACAGTCATGTGTCACTTCATGACAGGGGTATGTCTGAGAAATGCATTCCTGGACAATTTTATTATTGTATGAACATGGCAGAGTTTACTTACACAAACCTAGATGCTATAGCTGATTACATACCTAGGTTATGTGGTATAGCCTATTCCTCCTAGGCTACAAACCTGTGCAGGATGTTACTGTACTGAATACTGTAGGCAATTGTAACACAACAGTTAAGTATATCTATGCTTACTTATATCTATACAGTAAGTGTATCTATACATGTCTAAACATACAAGAGGTACAGTAAAAATAGTGTTATGATTTTATTGCACCACTGTCATATATATGCACCATCCTTGACCAAAATGTTATGTGATGCATGATTGTAACAAAAGAATTAATTAAAGATAATATTGAAGTGCCTATTGAG
This sequence comes from Homo sapiens, assembly GCF_000001405.40. Taxonomy (NCBI): domain Eukaryota; kingdom Metazoa; phylum Chordata; class Mammalia; order Primates; family Hominidae; genus Homo; species Homo sapiens. The sequence goes on from NC_000003.12 coordinate 75,828,994, forward strand.
ATTTCAATGAAGAAAGGAATATTTGTAAATTCTGATTACCTTAAGTGAGAGCTGACTTTCTTCCTGTTTCCATGGCTGTTCTTGTGAAAGAGGATAGCTTTCCAAAGACCTGAAATCTCTGACAAATCTTGCAATTCTCTATTGCCTGCGTTATGAAGGTCACCTGGTATCAAATGAGGCAAAATGGTAGATTATAAAGACCTGTACTTTCTTGTCAGTTCCTAAACATAGCAAGCATTGGTCTGTCTTGAACACTTCTGCAGTTATAAACTAGCCTTGGGTCATGATTTTCTGCCTTTTTATCATAGACAAGATTTAATTTAGGAGATGTCCATTTAATGTGTAATGTGAATAGTAAGTGCCACTTATGAAGCCCTATTTTCTTCCAGCCATTTTAATTGTCAAATCTGTCCAGTCAAGATGCATTGTTAGAGGCTTCACTGACAACACTGTCTGTATGTGTGTCTGTGTGTGTGTGTGTGTGTGTATACATACATATGATTGAGCAGGATTTAATGTAAGTCAAATCAGTCTCAAATTTCTTAGGACAATACAGCTTCCTTGGCCATTCCCTTGGAGCTCCGGGTTGAGGAGCTGGTGATGTGTATTTCTTTTGCATGTTCTCCACATTATCCCTATGCAGGCCTTCCATGGGCTTGGTTTTGGAACCAGTGATGAGGAATATCATTAGAATTGTTGTGCTCAAAAAGATTCCTCCATTCTTCTGTACAAGCAACGGCAATTTTCCCAGACCAATATTTCTTCTTTTGAAATGGTAAATTTTGAATATTAACTGGTTACTATAATCCCATAAAATAACAAAGTTTGAGTCCTATGAACTGTGTTTTAGGCTAAAGTTGTGTTTTATGTTAAATCATCATTTACTCCTTGTATGATCTTTTTTTTTTTTTTTTTTTTTTTTTTTTTTTTTTTTTTTTTTTTTTGAGACAGAGTCTCACACGGTCACCCAGGCTGGAGTACAGTGGTGCAATTTTGGCTTACTGCAAGCTCCGCCTCCCAGGTTCACACCATTCTCCTGCCTCAGCCTCCTGAGTAGCTGGGACTACAGGTGCCTGCCACCATGCCCGGCTAATTGTTTTTTAAGATTAAGGGCAAAATCAAAGGTGCTCCCCTAAATTACATTCATAAATAAGGATGATTAAAGCAAGCTATTTATTTATTAGAAACACATACTCCAAATTTAGCGTCTAAGACATGACAGCCTTTCAAGAGACATCAATTTACTTTTTAGTGTCTATAGCTATCTTTGTATTCATGTTATTGGTGTCCATAGTATTTCATTAGATGTTCTGGGTAAATTGATAAATGAAAATAATGTATATGATAAGGAGAACAACCTAGGCCTCCTGGAGGGCCCCTTACAACTCAGCTGGTGTTAGCAGAAATGCTGGGTGTAATGGTGAGAAACAACCTTTCAAAAGTGTTGAGTAGTTTTTCAGGCAGAGGAATATGTATGCCAATCCAGGCAGCAAGATAAGTGGAGGTCAGTTAAAAGATCAGGCTGTGATTACACGTTATTTTTTAGGTTTCTACTGAGAGGAAATATAACACTCAGTTATTTTCTCCGTATATCTCTGGTTATTTTGTCACAACCTTTTATGTAAGCTGCTACCAAACGCTGGGTTATCCAAGATCTGTGGGTCGTATTCAATATTTGCTTTTCCCTCAACTACTAACACGTTTGATTCCCTTTGTAACTTTCTCCCCTATTTCTCCTTTCAACCTGTTTTCTCAAACCTCACTGAGTTAATGAGCCTCCCTGTATACTCTCATACCCTGTTTCATCTCTAAGCTCCCTTGACCTGAAGAGATTTCCTTTTCCTACTAGTATAGTCATCTCATTCCCTAATTTATTTCTTCTTATTTCTCTCTATATTTTTTATTCTTTTAGACACAGCTCATGTCTCATGACTTTCAAAAAGTTTTTCTTCTGATATTCCCAGCTTGAATTAGGTATATCCTAATCAGTTTCCTTAGACTTACCACTCTGCATATTATTTGCTTGCAATCTGTCTTAGGCTGGGAATTAGCTGCTTGTAGGCAGGGGCTAGAATTTATTTACTCTTATGTCCATAATGCCTGACAGAAGACCTATTCTCACATACAAATTGTAAGGCCATAATTCCTGAGAACATATGTATATTGTAGTGACTCATAAAGGCTTGAAATAAATTTTTAAAATGATGAATTGGGAAGTCCATGAACTTGATATCTCGATGTAGAAGAAAAGCAAGGGCAGATGAAGAAGTTATACAGGATACTTGAAATACCAGAAGAATATAGTCAGAGAGCAATAAATTAATCCTGGATTTTTAGATGTGAAGAAGTTCTGAGAAATATTTGAAGACATGACTCTAGGAATCAGTACATAACAGAGACCAGTAGCCAGAGTCAGAGCTTTTCAGAGTGAAGAAATTGCATTGCAGGGGGAAGGGCTGTTGTATACTAAACAGAAATTGTCATTAAATGGAAGACTAAGCAAGAGGCTGATGATCCATGGATGAGAGACGCAAAAAGGTGTGGAGATAGACGTAGATGCCATAATGTACAAAGAAGATATTTTTGTGCCAGGAAGAAAGAATAGATCTAGAATGTAATAAAAGATAAATCATTAACTATGTTGTAATGTGGTCTGAGAACTCACTGAAGGCATAGCCATTGATATTAACTTCCACTTTGCTTCCAGACAAAATATTTTATTTATTTTATTTTATTTTACTAATTTATTTTTTTAACGTATGGTTTTTTTTTTATTATACTTTAAGTTTTAGGGTACATGTGCACAATGTGCAGGTTAGTTACATATGTATACATGTGCCATGCTGGTGTGCTGCACCCATTAACTCGTCATTTAGCATTAGATATATCTCCTAATGCTATCCCTCCCCCCACCCCCCACCCCCCACCCCACAAGAGTCCCCAGAGCGTGATGTTTCCCTTCCTGTGTCCATGTGTTCTCATTGTTCAATTCCCACCTATGAGTGGGAATATGTGGTGTTTGGTTTTCTGTTCTTGTGATAGTTTACTGAGAATGATGATTTCCAATTTCATCCATGTCCCTACAAAGGACATGAACTCATCATTTTTTATGGCTGCAGAGTATTCCACGGTGCATATGTGCCACATTTTCTTAATCCAGTCTATCATTGTTGGACATTTGGGTTGGTTCCAAGTCTTTGTTATTGTGAATAGGGCTGCAATAAACATACGTGTGCATGTGTCTTTATAGCAGCATGATTTATAGTCCTTTGGGAATATACCCAGTAATGGGATGGCTGGGTCAAATGGTATTTCTAGTTCTAGATCCCTGAGGAATCACCACACTGACTTCCACAATGGTTGAACTAGTTTACAGTCCCACCAACAGTGTAAAAGTGTTCCTATTTCTCCACATCCTCCCCAGCACCTGTTGTTTCCTGACTTTTGAATGATTGCCATTCTAACTGGTGTGAGATGGTATCTCATTGTGGTTTTGATTTGCATCTCTCTGATGGCCAGTGATGGTGAGCATTTTTTCATGTGTTTTTTGGCTGCATAAATGTCTTCTTTTGAGAAGTGTCTGTTCATGTCCTTCACCCAATTTTGATGGGGTTGTTTGTTTTTTTCTTGTAAATTTGTTTGAGTTCATTGTAGATTCTGGATATTAGCCCTTTGTCAGATGAGTAGGTTGCAAAAATTTTCTCCCATTCTGTAGGTTGCCTGTTCACTCTGATGGTAGTTTCTTTTGCTGTGCAGAAGCTCTTTAGTTTAATTAGATCCCATATGTCAATTTTGTCTTTTGTTGCCATTGCTTTTGGTGTTTTAGACATGAAGTCCTTGTCCATGCCTATGTCCTGAATGGTAATGCCTAGGGTTTCTTCTAGAGTTTTTATGATTTTTGGTCTAACATTTTAGTCTTTAATCCACCTTGAATTAATTTTCGTGTAAGGTGTAAGGAAGGGATCCAGTTTCAGCTTTCTACATATGGCTAGCCAGTTTTCCCAGCACCATTTATTAAATAGGGAATCGTTTCCCCATTGCTTGTTTTTCTCAGGTTTTTCAAAGATCAGCTAGTTGTAGATATGTGGTGTTATTTCTGAGGGCTCTGTTCTGTTCCATTGGTCTATACCTCTGTTTTGGTACCAGTACCATGCTGTTTTGGTTACTGTAGCCTTGTAGTATACTTTGAAGTCAGGTAGCGTGATGCCTCCAGCTTTGTTCTTTTGGCTTAGGATTGACGTGGTGATGTGGGCTCTTTTTTGGTTCCATACGAACTTTAAAGTAGTTTTTTTCCAATTCTGTGAAGAAAGTCATTGGTAGCTTGATGGGGATGACATTGAATCTATAAATTACCTTGGGCAGTATGGCCATTTTCACAATATTGATTCTTCTTACCCATGAGCATGGAATGTTCTTCCATTTCTTTGTGTCCTCTTTTATTTCACTGAGCAGTGCTTTGTAGTTCTCCTTGAAGAGGTCCTTCAGATCCCTTGTAAGTTGGATTCCTAGGTATTTTATTCTCTTTGAAGCAATTGTGAATGGGAGTTCACTCATGATTTGGCTCTCTGTCTGTCTGTTATTGGTGTATAAGAATGCTTGTAATTTTTGTACATTGATTTTATATCCTGAGACTTTGCTGAAGTTGCTTATCAGCCTAAGGAGATTTTGGGCTGAGATGATGGGGTTTTCTAGATATACAATCATGTCATCTGCAAACAGGGACAATTTGACTTCCTCTTTTCCTAATTGAATACCCTTTATTTCCTTCTCCTGCCTAATTGCCCTGGCCAGAATTTCCAACACTATGTTGAATAGGAGTGGTGAGAGAGGGCATCCCTGTCTTGTGTCAGTTTTCAAAGGGAATGCTTCCAGTTTTTGCCCATTCAGTATGATATTGGCTGTGGGTTTGTCATAGATAGCTCTTATTATTTTGAGATACGTCCCATCGATACCTAATTTATTGAGAGTTTTTAGCATGAAGAGATGTTGAATTTTGTCAAAGGCCTTTTCTGCATCTATTGAGATAATCATGTGGTTTTTGTCTTTGGTTCTGTTTATATGCTGGATTACATTTATTGATTTGCATATATTGAACCAGCTTTGCATCCCAGGGATGAAGCCCACTTGATCATGGTGGATAAGCTTTTTGATGTTTTGCTGGATTCGGTTTGCCAGTATTTTATTGAGGATTTTTGCGTCAATGTTCATCAAGGATATTGGTCTAAAATTCTCTTTTTTGGTTGTGTCTCTGCCCAGCTTTGGTATCAGGATGATGCTGGCTTCATAAAATGAGTTAGGGAGGATTCCCTCTTTTTCCGTTGATTGGAATAGTTTCAGAAGGAATGGTACCAGTTCCTCCTTGTACCTCTGGTAGAATTCAGCTGTGACTCCATCTGGTCCTGGACACTTTTTGGTTGGTAAGCCATTGATTATTGCCACAATTTCAGAGCCTGTTATTGTTCTGTTCAGAGATTCAACTTCTTCCTGGTTTAGTCTTGGGAGGGTGTATGTGTCGAGGAATTTATCCATTTCTTCTAGATTTTCTAGTTTATTTGTGTAGCGGTGTTTGTAGTATTCTCTGATGGTAGTTTGTATTTCTGTGGGATCTGTGGTGATATCCCCTTTATCATTTTTTATTGCGTCTATTTCATTCTTCTCTCTTTTCCTCTTTATTAGTCTTGCTAGCTGTCTATCAATTTTGTTGATCCTTTCAAAAAACCAGCTCCTGGATTCATTAATTTTTTGAAGGGTTTTTTGTGTCTCTATTTCCTTCAGTTCTGCTCTGATTTTAGTTATTTCTTGCCTTCTGCTAGCTTTTGAATGTGTTTGCTCTTCCTTTTCTAGTTCTTTTAATTGTGATGTTAGGGTGTCAATTTTGGATCTTTCCTCCTTTCTCCTGTGGGCATTTAGTGCTATAAATTTCCCTCTACACACTGCTTTGAATGTGTCCCAGAGATTCCTGTATGTTGTATCTTTGTACTCGTTGGTTTCAAAGAACATCTTTATTTCTGCCTTCATTTCATTATGTACCCAGTAGTCATTCAGGAGCAGGTTGTTCAGTTTCTATGTAGTTGAGCGGTTTTGAGTGAGTTTCTTCATCCTGAGTTCTAGTTTGATTGCACTGTGGTCTGAGAGTTTGTTATAATTTCTGTTCTTTTACATTTGCTGAGGAGAGCTTTACTTCCAACTATGTGGTAAATTTTGGAATAGGTGTGGTGTGGTGCTGAAAAAAATGTATATTCTGTTGATTTGGGGTGGAGAGTTCTGTAGATGTCTATTAGGTCCGCTTGGTGCAGAGCTGAGTTCAATTCCTGGGTATCCTTGTTAACTTTCTGTCTCGTTGATCTGTCTAATGTTGACAGTGGGGTGTTAAAGTCTCCCATTATTATTGTGTGGGAGTCTAAGTCTCTTTGTAGGTCACTCAGGACTTGCTTTATGAATCTGGATCCTCCTGTATTGGGTGAATATATATTTAGGATAGTTAGCTCTTCTTGTTGAATTGATCCCTTTACCATTATGTAATGGCCTTCTTTGTCTCTTTTGATCTTTGTTGGTTTAAAGTCTGTTTTATCAGAGGCTAGGATTGCAACCCCTGCCTTTTTTTGTTTTCCATTTGCTTGGTAGATCTTCCTCCATCCTTTTATTTTGAGCCTATGTGTGTCTCTGCACGTGAGATGGGTTTCCTGAATACAGCACACTGATGGGTGTTGACTCTTTATCCAATTTGCCAGTCTGTGTCTTTTAATTGGAGCATTTAGTCCATTTACATTTAAAGTTAATATTGTTATGTGTGAATTTGATGCTGTCATTATGATGTTAGCTGGTTATTTTGCTCATTAGTTGATGCAGTTTCTTCCTAGCTTGGATGGTCTTTACAATTTGGCATGATTTTGCAGTAGCTGGTACCAGTTGTTCCTTTCCATGTTTAGTGCTTCCTTCAGGAGCTTTTTAGGCATGCCTGGTGGTGACAAAATCTCTCAGCATTTGCTTGTCTGTAAAGGATTTTATTTATCCTTCACTTATGAAGCTTAGTTTGGCTGGATATGAAATTCTGGGTTGAAAATTCTTTTCTTTAAGAATGTTGAATATTGGTCCCACTCTCATCTGGCTTGTAGAGTTTCTGCCGAGAGATACGCTGTTAGTCTTATGGGCTTCCCTTTGTGGGTAACCCAACCTTTCTCTCTGGCTGCCCTTAACATTTTTTCCTTCATTTCAACTGTGATGAATCTGACAATTATGTGTCTTGCAGTTGCTCTTCTCAAGGAGTATCTTTGTGGCGTTCTCTGTATTTCCTGAATTTGAATGTTGGCCTGCCTTGCTAGATTGGGGAAGTTCTCCTGGATAATATCCTGCAGAGTGTTTTCCAACTTGGTTCCATTCTCCTTGTCACTTTCAGGTACACAAATCAGATGTAGATTTGGTCTTTTCACACAGTCCCATATTTCTTGGAGGCTTTGTTCGTTTCTTTTTATTCTTTTTTCTCTAAACTTCCCTTCTCACTTCATTTCATTCATTTCATCTTCTATCACTGATACCCTTTCTTCCAGTTGATCACATCAGCTCCTGAGCCTTCTGCATTCTTCACGTAGTTCTCAAGCCTTGGCTTTCAGCTCCATCAGGTCCTTTAAGCACTTCTCTTTATTGGTATTCTAGTTATGCATTAGTCTAAATTTTTTTCAAAGTTTTTAACTTCTTTGCCTTTGGTTTGAATTTCCTCCTGTAACTCGGGGTAGTTTGATCTTCTGAAGCCTTCTTCTCTCAACTCATCAAAGTCATTCTCCATCCAGCTTTGTTCTGTTGCTGGTGAGGAGCTGCATTCCTTTGGAGGAGGAGAGGTGCTCTGATTTTTAGAGTTTCCAGTTTTTCTGCTCTGTTTTTTCCCCATCTTTGTGGTTTTATCTACTTTTGGTCTTTGATGATGGTGATGTACAGATGGGTTTTTGGTGTGGATGTCCTTTCTGTTTGTTAGTTTTCCTTCTAACAGTCAGGACCCTCAGCTGCAGGTCTGTTGGAGTTTGCTAGAGGTCCACTCCAGACCCTGTTTGCCTGGGTACCAGCAGTGGTCGCTGTAGAACAGCAGTTTTTCATGAACCGCGATTGCTGCTGTCTGATCATTCCTCTGGAATTTTTGTCTCAGAGGAGTACCCGGCCATGTGAGGTGTCAGTCTGCCCCTACTGGGGGGTACCTCCCATTTAGGCTGCTTGGGGGTCAGGGGTCAGGGACCCACTTGAGGAGGCAGTCTGCCCATTCTCAGATCTCCAGCTGCGTGCTGGGAGAACCACTGCTGTCTTCAAAGCTGTCAGACAGGTACATTTGAGTCTGCAGAGGTTACTGGTGTGTTTTTGTTTGTCTGTGCCCTGCCCCCAGAGGTGGAGCCTACAGAGGCAGGCAGGCCTCCTAGAGCTGTGGTGGGCTCCACCCAGTTCGAGATTCGTGGCTGCTTTTTTTACCTAAGCAAGCCTGGGCAATGATGGGCACCCCTCCTCCAGCCTCGCTGCTGCCTTGCAGTTTGACCCAGACTGCTGTGCTAGCAATCAGCGAGACTCTGTGGGCGTACGACCCTCTGAGCCAGGTGCAGGATATAATCTCCTGGTGCGCCATTTTTTAAGCCCGTTGGAAAAGCGCAGTATTCAGGTGGGAGTGGCCCAGTTTTCCAGGTGCTGCCTTTCACCCTTTTCTTTGACTAGGAAAGAGAACTCCCTGACCCCTTGCACTTCCCGAGTGAGGCAGTGCCTTGCCCTGCTTCGGCTCACACACAGTGTGCTGCACCCACTGACCTGTGCCCACTGTCTGGCACTCCCTAGTGAGATGAACCCGGTACCTCAGATGGAAATGCAGAAATCACCCGTCTTCTGCATCACTGATGCTGGGAGCTGTAGACTGGAGCTGTTCCTATTCGGCCATCTTGGCTCCCCCTCTAAAAGACTTTAAATATCTTAAAAATTGCATTTGATATTGTATGATTCATCAAGACAGAAAGTAAAGCTGTAGTTGCCCTGGGAGGGCGGGGAATGGGGAGTCACTGTTTAATGGGTACAGGATTTCCATTTTACAAGACAAAAAGAATTATGGAGATGGGTCATGATGATGCTTGCACAACATTGTGAATACATTTAATAACACTGAATTGTATACTTAACAGTGGTTAAGATGCAAATTGTTGAGTGTATTTTGCCACAATTAAAAAATGGAAAACAATAGTATTTGAAGATATAGCCCATTTCATCTGGTAGCTAGCTGTATGTGTCTGCTCAGCTGTGGATAGATATTTATGCTGTCTCTGAACTGTAGGTTACTGGTATTCTCTAAGGTATAGGAAAATTGATCTTATGTGGCTAACTGAGGTGGATATAGTTGTATCAGTCAGACAGTAATGATATAATCATGATAGTTTACATTTAACAGAATTTACTTGTGTTATACTTTAGAAAGCACTTCATAGATATTATTACTTAATACCATTTTCCCCTTAACATATTTGTCTCTCCTTTCTCTGCTGACTTCAGAAAATGTCTCTTCTACACTACTCAATTCATCTCCTTATCTGTGTCAAAATTTTAAGTCTCAGAGTCTCCAAAAAAATTCCAGATAATCTCATCAGCTTTCGGTCATTGATTAATCGATGCCCTTAGAGGCTTTCCCTTCCCCTTCTCAATTTAACATAGCTTCCAAATACACTTGCCAGTAAAACAGAGTTGTTTATATGGTTTTGTATTTCTTCCTGTTGAATTATGAACATTTTTTCATATTGACATTTGTTTCCATCTGGCCATGAAATACTCGAGGTGAAGAAAATGAAACAAAATGGTTAATATTTATCAAGAGCCAGGTACTGTTTTAAGTTTCCTAGAAGCATAAACTAGTGTGATGCTCACCAGCTCATATGAGAGGCAAAAATGGATGAAACTATAAAACCAAGACACAGAGAGTTAAGGGAAATTTCCCAAGATCACACAGCCACTAAGGATATGAACTAGATTTTGACTTCAGGCTATTTACCCCAGAGCCTGTGCTTTCAACCATCATTTGTACTGCTTCCCTAAATTATACTTGACTAGACTGTGACATCAAATTTCACCTATGACACTGATTATCTGGGGAACTCTGCAACTTATTCTGAATATGACTCAGTTTCTTTTCTGTACAGAGATAAAGTCAGTATATACCTCATAGATTCGTTATAAGGATTATAAGAAATGACACATGAGAAGGCTTTAAAAGGACTTGGAAAGCAATAAGCTTTTTTGTTTTCAGTCATTTTTCAATAGGTTATCAGTGTCATGAATGGTTCATGAAAAATGACTTTGGGCTTAGTGAGTAACTGAAATGTTGTTGCTTAATAGTGTGTTTAATATTAATATAATAGTAATAAATGTTGTTATTGTTGAGTAATAGTTATTTTTCTTTTCACTGCTTTTCTTTCCCAGTATTTTAGTCAGAGACTTAAGCCTCCTCAAGTGTGTACACATTTCTTAAATTTGTTGAAAAGTACCAAATTTAAGTTATCTTGCATTTTTCTCTTCCTTAGTAAACACTAAATTCCATCACGCAGCAGAAAAAGGGCTCTGTTATTGTCAGTACAATGGTTTAATATTCACTTTTATTCCCTGTGTGGTAGTTCTGATTTAATTGCTATTTAGAATAAAACTTGTTCTTATTGCTTTCATAATTATAAAATAGTTATAATTGCTTTCATAATTATAAAATTTGTGTTTTAATGCCTTCTACACATATACTGTGCTTTTCTTTATTTCCTTATATCTTTTACTGTTTCATAATCCTGGTATTTCAAATCTCATTAAGTGTTATTTGGGGATTTGCTGGGAATGTCATCTACATAGGAATGTCATCTACATGGTAATGTCTCAAGTTTGTAGCATCTTTAAAACATAATAGGAGATGGAATTCACAGCAGAGTAATAAGCCTCCTGCTTTAGACAATGTATTTGTGATTGGTATGACTTTGTTCCCAGAGGGCAGTTAGCAACACAATATTATGTCTATGAGTACAAGGAAATCAAACAAATTCTTAAAAATCTCCTTTAAAAAAACAGTGCCCAAGCCTAACCAGTATCATGCATGGAATCCATTTCCACCTCTTCATATGGAAGCAACTCTGGGTGGACATCTAGAAAGTTGGATAACTATTTATCACATATGGTCTGCAAAGGGAGAGATTTATAAGAAAGTGTTAAATTTAATCCATAGGAAAGCAAAATCAAAAATCAATGAATTTTCCATTTGTAGTTTTCCCTAGGGGCTCTACTCTCAAGATGGCTTAAATGCATTAGAATTCAATGACTAGGCACAAGTGTTTGTTAGCGACATCAAAGCAAGGTAAACATTCCTGCTCTATGAGTCCAAGCACAGGGACACTTGGTTTTCTTTGGAAGGATATCATAAAGGCAATGTTTATGAGTAATCTCCCGTTGTCTTTTCTTCTGTAGCATTCAATGGTATGTACTATAATTTAGAAACGAAAACTACTTAAAGACCACTTGCTAAGTTTCATGTATTTCAAATTCTCAGATCGTGAGTGTTTAAATATGCCTATATTTCTTCATGAAAAAAACATAATCTTTGCCAAGTTAGAAAAAGAAAAAGTCATATTCCCATTTTTAACTAAATGTAGTCAGAAATTTGGACAGTTTTTAGCCTTCAATACATTATGTAATTTGGGTAATAGGCTGAATAAAAGTAAGGAACTTCAGTTAAATTCAGAGAGAAACTAGTAATTGTTTCTAAGACTCAAATGTATAGAACGGATCTCTGATAATAAGGATAAGACCCTCAAAGGTGACCCAAAGTGGGTAATTGTGGGATTCTTTTGGGAGGAATCATCATAGACTCTCACTGCTATAAATACAGTCAAATGTCAGATAAATATACTCCACTGAAATGTTTTCTAGGAATGATGTTGGAACCAATGTTGGTAATTTTGAAAGTCATGGAGACGATTTCAGATGATAGAAGTTGGGCAACTATCCCAGGTTTAATAAATAAGCAGATGGTGAGTTCCAAAATTGCTGTATCAATGAATCTTATATTGATCCTGAGCACAATTTCAGGAAGGTCCATTAAATGGGTCTTTTGAGAGCACTTAGGATAAAAGGCTGGCAGCAGGGATTCACTAAGAGCAATGGTGCCAAGCTTGCCTCTTTGACATTGTTATCTGACTGATAAAGGTAGGCTATAGCGGGACACAATACAGATATTTCCAGGGTAAGGCTGTTGAGCTGCTGTAATTTTCCTTGCCTCTTTGCTATCTTCTCCTATAGTCAACTCCTGAGGAAAGGATAGTTGACTTTTAATCTAGAAATGTATGTTAATTAGCAAAAACAAACAAATGAAACCATAAACTGTCCTTTAGGCTTCTCTCTGCTCAGTTATTAGATCATATGAATGTGCCCTTAGGAAACACAGAAGGCCCACACTATTATAGAGACAAATTTCTTACATTCTCTGCTGTTTAATGCTCTTCAAAAGACTTACATACTTCAGCAATTTGATTGCCAACTACTTGAACACAGGGACCAAAGTACTTATTAAAAATTTTGCATATTATTAGGGCATTAACTTTTAAGTATTCGATTGTTAAGACAATGCATATTATTATAAACCATAGAAGGCATACTTATTACCTCCTTAAGAACCAGTCTCTATTTCTCTGGTTCATAGAACTCCCAGGTCATAGAGGGATTGGACATTTGTGTCTTCATTTGGCCCTCTTCAGCCCTAGGATAAATAGTGATTAATCTAAGCCAATGGTTTCAGCTCTGTCTGACCCAATGCCTCTACTTCATAAGAAATTCTTCAAAGACCCGTTCACTATTCTAAACTATTAGTGAGAACACAATGTATGCATTCAAGTTGTTGAAAATATTAATGTTATGCTGCAGCTAACAAAGAAGAAATAATCTACTGTCAATATATAATCCAAAATGTAAATAATTGTGCCAGAATATTTACCTATCAAATACAATAGAACATGATGAAATTTTCATATCTTCACCCAAAGCTTGAAACATTGTAAATATAAAGCTACAAATATAGTTTCATTGAATAACCAAATACCAAAACTGCCATTTCTATTGTTGACATGATTGATCTGCATTGGTAAATGTAATAGATACTTTCTGTTTGCCGCTTGTCCCCTGTTATACTCCCCTATTTACTGGCTTTTGTCCAAGTGGAATGGTCCATATTGAATATCTCAATAGGTTCCCTTGCTCATTACCTTCTATGCATGTTCATGAGATTAAAGGGAAGGAGGAAATGGGATTGGGGGTTCTTGCCTAAACTCCCTCTCTGCTAGGTCTCCTTGACCAATCTTTTTCATAAGAAAATCAGTGTTTCCATGTGTGATCAGGGCAGTTTACTCCCCGGAACTCTGCCTGCTGCTACTAACCCAGAGTTATTGTGGGGTGTGATTTCTGTGATTCCTTCACCCTTCTCCCCTGATATTTTTGTAAGTAGTCTCTTTGGAAATAAACCCATGTTAAATTATCTTAGTTTGGGTGTGTTCTCTTTTTCCTATTGAGACTGTGAAATGAGTATCTAAATGAAAAAATCTACCATCTTTTCTCATGTACATTGTTTCATTCCTGCAAAATTCATGGCATATTAAAACCATGCAAAAGTACTTGGCACTTAGGCAGTTACATTTGGGTTTGTATAATTAAACAAAGCAGGTTATTCACCTTCATTACGTTAGAAAGTCATTCAGGACATACAGCAATCCTTGATTAGGAGCGGCTATCCCATGTTACTGGACATTTGGCATCTCTGTTTTCCAATCCTGAAAGTTCTTCCTTAAAGTTCCAAAACGCTCTCACTTATTCTTTCCTGCCATTGGATTTTGTCACATTCAGTTGTAAGGCTGGGAATGCCATAGCCATCTTGAAAACATAGCTAGAGAGATAAGAGAATCACAAAGAAGTGGATCATGTTGAATTAACTAACCACTGATACCATCTATTTGTTGTGCGATTTGGTAAAATTTGCTCCTTGTTTTTTTCTACAATTAGTTGACTATTCTGTTACTTGAAGCTAAAAACATTTTTTTTCTTTTCTTTCTTTCTTTTTTTTTTTTTTTGACAGAGTCTTACTCTGTTGCCCAGGCTGGAGTGCAATGGCATGATCTTGGCTCACTGCAACCTCTGCTTGTCTGGTTCAAGCAATTCTCCCACCTCAGCCTCCCAAGTAGTGGGATTACAGGCACATGCCACCACACTCGGATAATTTTTGTATTTTTAGTAGAGATGGGGTTTCACCATGTTTGCCAGGCTGGTCTCAAACTCCTGACCTCAAGTGATGCACCCGCCTTGGCCTCCCAAAGTGCTGGGATTACAGGCGTGAGCCTCTGAACCTGGCCAAAAACATTTTAACCAATAGCAAAGCACATTATTTCATTTCATTCTTTCAAAAGTTGCCAGTAATTTCAATTAAAAATATTATATAACATGCTTAATGCAATACAAATGCTTTTCAATGTACAATGGGGTTAAGTCTTGATAAGCTGATCATAAATTGAAAATACTGTAAGTTAAAAATGTATTTAATATGCCTAACATACTGCACATCACAGCTTAGCCTGGCATACCTTTAATATGCTCAGAACACTTACATCAGCTGACAGCTGGGCAAAATCATTGAATACAAAACCCATTTTATAATAAAGTATTGGATATTTTATGTAATTTGTTGAATATTGTACTGAAAGTGAAAAGCAGAATAGTTCTATTCAAAGCTATCACTTTTGCTTCATCATAATGTTAAAAAAATCATAAATTGAACCATTATAAGTTGGTGACCATCTGCGTATATGTATGTGCATGTGTATCTATATAAATATGTATGTTTATATATGTGTGCATATATATCCTCTGTGTGTGAGTGTGTGTGTGTGTGTGTGTGTATGAAATTGCAGGAAAGTAAAATTTCTTACCTTATAGATATAGCATTGTTAACATGTTGGTACCTATCCTCCTGAGATGTAAAATTTTACATGGATAGATGTGTACATTTACAGTTGTACACAAAGAGAAACATATTCTGTCGGCTCTTTATTTTTCTGCAGTTTCATTCAACACTATCTGGTTTATATGGATGATTACATATATAATGCTAGGATGAAGGTTCTCTATAACTTTGAAACTTCCTTGATTATCAACACTTGGCATATTCTTGGAATAGGATTATATTTTAGAATTAAGATCCTTGTTTCAGGACTCTAGCCTGTTAACACACAGAGCCAATAATTATTCAGAATGGTTGGGTTAGTTCACATTCCCACAGATGGGACTCAAATGTCCAGGCTGCACAGCCTCATTAACACTAGATTTTCTGGACATTTTATATAGTATTTCATCTGATATAAAAAGTAGAATTCTAATTTAATTATGGTTGTTAATTTATTTTTCTTTTTAGTCATTAGGAAAATGTTTAACTATATGAAAAGCCAGGAAAGGGTTTTTTTTTTAAAAGGTAGTACTTCAGAAATATTTGTGATACTTAATTTTTAAAAATTAACTCTAAAAGAATCTTGAAATGTCTCTTTAATGAAATAGGTCATAAATACTGGTCACATTAGTGAAAAATATGTGTTTAAAATTAAAATACCTGTAGCAATCCTGTAAATATTAATAATTTTTTAAAGAATGACATCTTCAAAATATAAATGTTCTAAACTTATAATTAGTTAAATATGTCTCTATTAGTACATATAGATATATATATCTAAATAAATTTGAAGATTTCAAATTCCAGGTACAATATAATTTTTTTCTATCCTGTGATTTGTCATTCAGGATTTTGTAATTTGAACAGTAATATTTTGCCCTAACCACATGTCTGTCTTTTCTCTTACCTAAAAATGTTATTTTATGAAAAATTGTTTTAAAGGTCAGTTTGCATGTTTGAAAAGCATCTTGTACAACGTTACATAATATATTGCATATTTGGTTATATTGTTTTAACTGTGTAAATATGGTTTAAATCTATGATGCTCTTTAATGCTGATCATGGTGCAAAGCAAACTTATCTGTATAAAAGGCTCCTGTTAATTTTTTTTTATTATTATGCTTTAAGTTTTAGGGTACATGTGCACAACGTGTAGGTTTGTTACATATGTATACATGTGCCATATTGGTGTGCTGCACCCATTATACTCGTCATTTGGCATTAGTTATATCTCCTAACGGTATCCCTCCCCTCTCCCTCCACCCCACAACAGTCCCCAGTGTGTGATGTTCCCCTTCCTGTATCCATGTGTTCTCATTGTTCAATTCCCACCTGTGAGTGAGAACATGCGGTGTTTGGTTTTTTGTCCTTGCGATAGTTTGCTGAGAATGATGGTTTCCAGCTTCATCCATATGTGCCATATTTTCTTCAGTCTATCATTGTTGGACATTTGGGTTGGTTCCAAGTCTTTGCTATTGTGAATAGTGCTGCAATAGACATATGTGTGCAGTTGTCTTTATAGCAACATGATTTATAATCCTTTGGGTATATACCCAGTAATGGGATGGCTGGGTCAAATGGCATTTCTAGTTCTAGATCCCTGAGGAATCGCCACACCAACTTCCACAATGGTTGAACTAGTTTACAGTCCCATGAAGAGTGTAAAAGTGTTCCTATTTCTCCACATCCTCTCCAGCACCTGTTGTTTCCTGACTTTTTAATAATCACAATTCTAACTGGTGTGAGATGGTATCTCATTGTGGTTTGATTTGCATTTCTCTGATGGCCAGTGATGATGAGCATTTTTCATGTGTTTTTTGGCTGCATAAATGTCTTCTTTTGAGAAGTGTCTGTTCATATCCTTCGCCCACTTGTTGATGGGGTTGTTTGTTTTTTTCTTGTAAATTTGTTTGAGTTCATTGTAGATTCTGGATATTAGCCGTTTGTCAGATGAGTAGGTTGCAAAAATTTTCTCCCATTGTGTAGGTTGCCTGTTCACTCTGATGGTAGTTTCTTTTGCTTTGCAGAAGCTCTTTAGTTTAATTAGATCCCATCTGTCAGTTTTGGCTTTTGTTGCCATTGCTTTTGTTTCCATTGCTTTTGGTGTTTTAGACATGAAGTCCTTGCCCATGCCTATGTCCTGAATAGTATTGCCTAGGTTTTCTTCTAGGGATTTTATAGTTTTAGGTCTAACATGTAAGTCTTTAATCCATCTTGAGTTAATTTTTGTATAAGGTGCAAGGAAGAGATCCAGTTTCAGCTTTCTACGTATGGCTGGCCAGTTTTCCTAGCACCATTTATTAAATAGGGAATCCTTTCCCCATTTCTTGTTTTTGTCAGATTTGTCAAAGATCAGATGGATGTAGATAAGCATCATTATTTCTGAGGGCTCTGTTCTGTTCCATTTGTCTATGTCTCTGTTTTGGTACCAGTACCATGCTCTTTTGGGTCCTGTAGCCTTGTAGTGTAGTTTGAAGTCAGGGAGCGTGATGCCTCCAGCTTTGTTCTTTTGGCTTAGGATTGACTTGGCAATGCGGGCTCTTTTTTGGTTCCATATGAACTTTAAAGTAGTTTTTTCCAATTCTGTGAAGAAAGTCATTGGTAGCTTGATGGGGATGGCATTGAATCTATAAATTACCTTGGGCAGTATGGCAATTTTCACAATATTGGTTCTTCCTACCCATGAGCATGGAATGTTCTTCCATTTGTTTGTATCTTTTATTTCATTGAGCAGTGGTTTGTAGTTCTCCTTGAAGAGGTCCTTCACTTCCTTTGTAAGTTGGATTCCTAGGTATTTTATTCTCTTTGAAGCAATTGTGAATGGGAGTTCACTCATGATTTGTCTCTCTGTTTGTCTGTTATTGGTGTATAAGAATGCTTGTGATTTTTGCACATTGATTTTGTATCCTGAGACTTTGCTGAAGTTGCCTATCAGCTTAAGGAGATTTTGGGCTGAGACAATGGGGTTTTCTAGATATACAATCATGTCATCTGCAAACAGGGACAATTTGACTTCCTCTTTTCCTAATTGAATGCCCTTTATTTCCTTCTCCTGCCTGATTGCCCTGGCCAGAACTTCCAACACTATGTTGAATAGGAGTGGTGAGAGAGGGCATCCCTGTCTTGTGCCAGTTTTCAAAGGGAATGCTTCCAGTTTTTGCCCATTCAGTATGATATTGGCTGTGGGTTTGTCATAGATAGCTCTTATTATTTTGAGATACGTCCTATCAATACCTAATTTATTGAGAGTTTTTAGCATGAAGGGTTGTTGAATTTTGTCAAAGGCCTTTTCTGCATCTATTGAGATAATCATGTGGTTTTTGTCTTTGGTTCTGTTTATATGCTGGATTACATTTATTGATTTTCATATGTTGAACCAGCCTTGCATCCCAGGGATAAAGCCCACTTGATCATAAGGGATAAGCTTTTTGATGTTTTGCTGGATTCGGTTTGCCAGTATTTTATTGAGGATTTTTGCGTCAATGTTCATCAAGGATATTGGTCTAAAATTCTCTTTTTTGGTTGTGTCTCTGCCCAGCTTTGGTATCAGGATGATGCTGGCCTCATAAAATGAGTTAGGGAGGATTCCCTCTTTTTCTGTTGATTGGAATAGTTTCAGAAGGAATGGTACCAGTTCCTCCTTGTACCTCTGGTAGAATTCAGCTGTGACTCCATCTGGTCCTGGACTTTTTTTTGGTTGTTAAGCTATTAATTATTGCCTCAATTTCAGAGCTTGTTATTGGTCTATTCAGAGATTCAACTTCTTCCTGGTTTAGTCTTGGGAGAGTGTATGTTTCGAGGAATTTATCCATTTCTTCTAGATTTTCTAGTTTGTTTGTGTAGAGGTGTTTGTAGTATTCTCTGATGGTAGTTTGTATTTCTGTGGGATCTGTGGTGATATCCCCTTTATCATTTTTTATTGCATCTATTTGATTCTTCTCTCTTTTCTTCTTTATTAATCTTGCTAGCGGTCTGTCAATTTTGTTGATCTTTTCAAAAAACCAGCTCCTGGATTCATTGATTTTTTGAAGGGTTTTTTTGTGTCTCTATTTCCTTCAGTTCTGCTCTGATTTTAGTTATTTCTTGCCTTCTGCTAGCTTTTGAATGTGTTTGCTCTTGCTTTTCTAGTTCTTTTAATTGTGATGTTAGGGTGTCAATTTTAGATCTTTCTTGCTTTCTCTTTGGGGCATTTAGTGCTATAAATTTCCCTCTACACACTGCTTTGAATGTGTCCCAGAGATTCTGGTATGTTGTGTCTTTGTTCTCGTTGGTTTCAAAGGCCTTCATTTCATTATGTACCCAGTAGTCATTCCGGAGGAGGTTGTTCAGTTTCCATGTAGTTGCGTGGTTTTGAGTGAGTTTTTTAATCCTGAGTTCTAGTTTGATTGCACTGTGGTCTGAGAGATAGTTTGTTATAATTTCTGTTCTTTTACATTTGCTGAGGAGAGCTTTACTTCCAACTATGTGGTCAATTTTGGAATAGGTGTGGTGTGGTGCTGAAAAGAATGCATATTCTGTTGATTTGGGGTATAGAGTTCTGTAGTTGTCTATTAGGTCTGCTTGGTGCAGAGGTGAATTCAATTCCTGGATATCCTTGTTAACTTTCTGTCTTGTTGATCTGTCTAATGTTGACAGTGGGGTGTTAAAGTCTCCCATCATTATTGTGTGGGAGTCTAAGTCTCTTTGTAGGTCACTCAGGACTTGCTTTATGAATCTGGGTGCTCCTGTATTGGGTGCATATATATTTAGGATAGTTAGTTCTTGTTGAATTGATCCCTTTACCATTATGTAATGGCCTTCTTTGTCTCTTTTGATCTTTGTTGGCTTAAAGTCTGTTTTATCTGAGACTAGGATTGCAACCCCTGCCTTTTTTTTTGTTTTCCATTTGCTTGGTAGATCTTCCTCCATCCCTTTATTTTGAGCCTATGTGTGTCTCTGCACATGAGATGGGTTTCCTGAATACAGCACACTGATGGGTCTTGACTCTTTATCCAATTTGCCAGTCTGTGCCTTTTAATTGGAGCATTTAGCCCATTTACACTTAAGGTTAGTAATATTATGTGTGAATTTGATGCTGTCATTATGATGTTAACTGGTTATTTTGCTCGTTAGTTGATGCAGTTTCTTCCTAGCCTGGATGGTCTTTACAATTTGGCATGATTTTGCAGTGGCTGGTACCAGTTGTTCCTTTCCATGTTTAGTGCTTCCTTCAGGACCTCTTTTAGGGCAGGTCTGGTGGTGACAAAATCTCTCAGCATTTGCTTGTCCGTGAAGTATTTTATTTCTCCTTCACTTCTGAAGCTTAGTTTGGCTGGATATGAAATTCTGGGTTGAAAATTCATTTCTTTAAGAATGTTGAATATTGGCCCCACTCTCTTCTGGCTTGTAGAGTTTCTGCCGAGAGATCAGCAGTTAGTCTGATGGGTTTCCCTTTGTGGGTAACCTGACCTTTCTCTCTGGCTGCCCTTAACATTTTTTCCTTCATTTCAACTTTGGTGAATATGACAATTATGTGTCTTGGAGTTGCTCTTCTCAAGGAGTATCTTTGTGGCGTTCTCTGTATTTCCTGAATTTGAATGTTGGCCTGCCTTGCTAGATTGGGGAAGTTCTCCTGGATAATATCCTGCAGAGTGTTTTCCAACTTGGTTCCATTCTCCCCATCACTTTCAGGTACACCAATTAGATGTAGGTTTGGTCTTTTCACATAGTCCCATATTTCTTGGAGGCTTTGTTCATTTCTTTTTATTCTTTTTTCTCTAAACTTCTCTTCACGCTTCATTTCATTCATTTCTTCTTCCATTGCTGATATCCCTTCTTCCAGTTGACCGCATCGGTTATGGAGGCTTGTGCATTTGTCACTTAGTTCTTGTGATGTGGTTTTCAGCTCCATCAGGTCCTTTAAGGAGTTCTCTGCATCGGTTATTCTAGTTATCCATTCATCTAATTTTTTTTTCAAAGTTTTTAACTTATTTGCCATTGGTTTGAACTTCCTCCTTTAGCTTGGAGTAGTTTGATCTTCTGAAGCCTTCCTCTCTGAGCTCATCAAAGTCATTCACCATCCAGCTTTGTTCCGTTGCTGGTGAGTAGCTGCATTTCTTTGGAGGAGGAGAGGTGCTCTGATTTTTAGAGTTTCCAGTTTTTCTCCTCTGTTTTTTCTCCATCTTTGTGGTTTTATCTAACTTTGGTCTTTGATGATGGTGACATACAGATGGGGTTTTGGTGTGGATATCCTTTCTGTTTGTTAGTTTTCCTTCTAACAGTCAGGACCCTCAGCTGCAGGTCTGTTGGAGTTTACTGGAGGTTCACTCCAGACACTGTTTGCCTGGGTATCAGCAGTGGAGGCTGCAGAACAGTGGATATTGGTGAACCACAGACGCTGCTGCCTGATTGTTCCTCTGGAAGTTTTGTCTCAGAGGAGTACCTGGCCGTGTGAGGTGTCAGTCCGCCCCTACTGGGGAGTGCCTCCCGGTTAGGCTACTCGGGGGTTAGGGACCCACTTGAGGAGGCAGTCTGCCCATTCTCAGATCTCTAGCTGCGTGCTGGGAGAACCACTACTCTCTGCAAAGCTGTCAGACAGGGACATTAAGTCTGCAGACGTTACTGCTGTCTTTTGTTTGTCTGTGCCCTGCCCCCAGAGGTGGAGCCTACAGAGGCAGGCAGGCCTCCTTGAGCTGTGGTGGGCTCCACCCAGTTCGACCTTCCTGGCCGCTTTGTTTACCTACTCAAGCCTGGGCAATGGCAGGCGCCCCTCCCCCAGCCTCGCTGCCGCCTTGCAGTTTGACCTCAGACTGCTGTGCTAGCAATGAGCAAGGCTCCATGGGTGTAGGACCCTCCGAGCCACGTGCGGGATATAATCTGTTGTGCCATTTGATAAGCCTGTTGGAAAAGCGCATTATTAGGGTGGGAGTGACACGGTTTTCTGGGTGCCATCTGTCACCCCTTTCTTTGACTAGGAAAGGGAATTCCCTGACCCCTTGTGCTTCCCAGGTGAGGCGATGTCTCGCCCTGCTTCGGCTCATGCACGGTTTGCTGCACCCACTGTCCGGCACTCCCCAGTGAGATGAACCCGGTACCTCAGTTGGAAATGCAGAAATCACCTGTCTTCTGCGTCGCTCACGCTGGGAGCTGTGGATTGGAGCTGTTCCTATTCAGCCATCTTGTCTCCACCCTCTAATTTTTAACTTTCAAAAGATTGGATGCATTCACCTTCTTCTGAATTTTAATTCCTGTTGGAAAGATTGTGAAAGCTCAAGAGGGTAATGAATCAGCTTCTGATTATATTCTGGAATCATGATTTGATCACCCATCCAAGAATGAGTATTCACTTTCCTTTACATTACACACATGCATAATACCATGCTGAGTGATGCTGGAAAAGGTGCGTCTTCAGTAATGCCTTCGTGAAATTACAGTCTCACTACACCGAGGTATTTTCGTTTTAACCCTTTCTTTCTTTTCTGCTGTGAATATGTGCCTTCTAAGAGATGAACAACTGGGAAAAACTGAAAAAGAACCTTCATCTAATTCAGTAACTAGCTTTTGTATCTTCTAAGAATTTTTGTCTCCAGAAAGCTCTGATTTTCATTCCTTTACAAGCTTTATTTCTCTCTCCTTTCGAACACCAGACTTTGCTGTGTTTGTTTTCTGTAACTTTTTTAGAGACGCCTACAATAGAAAAAAACTATGACATATTCAATACATCTGAAAATTTTGCGTTGCCATAGATAAGAATGAATTATCTGTTTATAAAGAAAAAACAATAAAAATATGAACCAAGAAAGCACAGAAGGTAGTAACCACATTTAGATGTTTATCATGGAATCATATTTATAATCCATCTGTTACAATTCCACAGAGCAAATTACAAGTAATTGTGAAGTTTCCCCTCATTTTATAGGTTTGGTCTTGTAAGGCATACAACACAAATTTTAATTACTTTTCTTTTTGGTATTTGGGTCTTAATTTGGTCAAGTGGCCACTGGGTAGATGATGGAGCCTCTTGAGACATGCAGTCTTCTTCTAGCTTTGTTGATGTAAATATTACTGTGTATTTTTCATTCATTTATTATTTTACAAGGCATGCTTCATTAAAAATATGTCAGCATCTCATTGACAAATCACTAAATTTAAAAGACACAAGAAAAAAACAATTTATTTAAAACATTCCTATGTAAAAGTAGTCACCACTCTTACTATTCTTCAAATATTCTTATTCTATTTAAACGCAAGCCTAGTTTTATCTCGAGCGTCTGACCTTGATGATATTGTACACTTTAAACTTAGAAACAATTGAACTCTATTGGAAATTTCCTACACATCAGCTTTTCTAGATGCCAAGTACCTTGTTTCAGCCACGGTGATGACAGCAAATTGGGTTCTCAGGGATTCTGGCCTCTGGCATCGTCTCAGTTGTTTATAATTGAAGTTGGCTCTGATGAGAACTCAGCTTAGATGCATGGTTGGACTTCTGGGCTTAAGACTGGCCTGCCAGGAGGTTGCATTGAGGTGTAACTAGGCAAAGAAAGAAGGAGTTTATTGCGGTACTACTCACAATAGCAAAGACTTGGAACCAACCCAAATGTCCAACAATGATAGACTGGATTAAGAAAATGTGGCACATATACACCATGGAATACTATGCAGCCATAAAAAATGATGAGTGCATGTCCTTTGCAGGGACATGGATGAAGTTGGAAACCATCATTCTCAGCAAACTATCGCAAGGACAAAAAACCAAACACAGCATGTTCTCACTCATAGGTGGGAATTGAACAATGAGAACACATGGACACAGGAAGGGGAACATCACATGCCATGGCCTGTTGTGGGGTGAGGGGCTAGGGGAGGGAAAGCATTAGGGGATATACCTAATGTAAATGACTACTTAATGGGTGCAGCACCCAACATGGCACATGTATACATATATAACAAACTTGCACGTTGTGCACAGGTACCCTAGAACTTAAAGTATAATAAAAAAAAATGAAAGAAGGAGGTTGGGCAAAATTACCAACAATCTTCAACTATGAATTTTTATGAGTAGGGGCTTCCCACACCATCAGGCACTCCGAGCTGCAGAAACAAGGGATGTTGAATTGAAAGTTTAATTTTTTAGGCTTGATAGTCAGATTAGGGAAGTTTTGGGTATACCTTTCCCACTCTAGAGCCCTCTCCCTAACTCAGGGCCAATTTGAGACATGGGCTAAATGGAAAAGAGTGCCGAGATCAATTAGAAATATCCACCATGAACACCGGAGGCAGGCATTCTGGCCAAGGGGTGCGTCTTCCCACTTTGTAATCCAGAGTGCGATTTCTTCTTGCTATCTGTCTCTCCATAAATAAGCGTTGGGCGGAGGACAAGCTGGTTACAATTGAGGATGGAACGAGATTCTAGCAGAATTGCAAAATGAACTGAGAGCCACAAAAATGTGCCTCTGTGAACCAGCAGAGACAGCTGTGGAAGGCAAAGGAAGAGGAGCCAAAAGGCCAGATAACATTCCTGCTTCCCCTACATTGTGGGAGTGAAATTGTCAGCAACCTATGTCAGTAATTAACGAGAGGCTTTTTAGAGAGTAAGACTTCTGATAGACACCTCAATAGCTGAAGTCGCTCTTCAGTGCTGCACATAACCTGTGGACAGATTTTCATCATCATTAATTCATTTATTCAACAGATATTAAATTCAAAGCATAGTTCTAAACTATGCAGTCAATTACAAAAAATAAATAATGAAGGGCATTAGCTCTGCCTCATAGGACGTTAAAACTCTAGCTGCTAAATGAGACAAATAGGGTTCCCACATCAAGTGCCTGCGCTCCTGTTATAACCTGGACTCTGCTTCCAATGGCTTCTCTTGTTTCTGTTTTGGTAAACCCATCATTTGGCTTAGTCCCTATCCTTGCCATGGTCACCCACCAGTAGGTGGACCTCCTTGACCATAACTACAGGCATAGATCTTTGATTGTTTCTTTTCAAATGTTTGCTTACTTTAGAGCTGCAGTCAAATGTTGTTTGGACCATAAGACTCTGAGGCTGTGTGTGGTTGAAACTGTCTTGAGACTCAAAGAGCTATTGAGGAAAGGATTTGGTGCCGAACTCTTGAAATTTTTCTCTGTCTCTCACACATCTGGGGCTGAATAGCTGAATATATTGTTTAATTTCTACATCGATGATAGTTTAATAGGCATTCATGCAAATCAGTTCTGCTGGGAGTTTATTATCCTACTCCAATAACAAGTAATGCATTCCTTAAATTTAATGTACATATAAATTCTACATGGTAAGTGAAGCTGTCTTTATGAATTGCTGCTATAGAATATACTAGATTGTGTAGGTTTTAGTACAATCTAGGTAATTATCAAGCCATTGTAATATTTTCAAGAAAGTGATCCTTTCACTTCAGTTTATGGAACTTGGAAATTTTTCAGTTGCCACCCACTAGTTAGATCATAAACTGAATTCTATATATCTGAATTTATTTTTCTATTTATAAATTTATCTGGATGCTTTCTCAAAGGTTTCCCAGATTAAAAACCTATGGCTTTGTAAAATTAAAAGAGAAGTAATAAGAATTGTGTTAAAAAACAGAATCAGACCAAGCATGGTGGCTTATGCCTGTAATGCCAGCACTTAGGGAGGCTGAGGCGGAAGGATCATTTGAGGTCAGGAGTTCGAGACCAGCCTGGCCAACATGGCAAAACCCCACCTGTAATAAAAAAAGATACACAAATTAGCTGGGCGACGTGGTGAATGCCCTTAGTCCTAGCTACTCAGGAGGCTAAGGCAGGAGAATCGCTTGAACCCAGGAGGCTGAGGTTGCAGTGAGCCAAGATAGTGCCACTGCACTCCAGCCTGGGTGACAGAGTGAGATCCTGTCTTTAAAAAAAAAAGAAAAAAAGAAAAGGAAAAGAAAGAAAACCAGAATCACACAATGAGAGAGGTTGTATAGCCCTTTTAATTATCCATAATGTATGTATTTCTTTTTCTGTGTAACAGTTTATCGGCATGAAAATTTTCTTTTTCTGTGTAATAGTTTATCAGCATGAAAAAAAGAGTCACTGAACACTGATAATTTTCTCTCTCTTTTTTTTTTCCTTTTTTTGGAGATGAAGTCTCGCTCTGTTGCCCAGGCTGGAGTGCAATGGCAACATCTCTGTTCACTGTAACCTTCACATCCTGGGTTCAGGCGATTCTCCTGCCTCAGCCTCCCAAGTAGCTGGGATTACAGGTGCATCCCACCATGCCTGGATAAGTTTTTGTATTTTCAGTAGAGACGGGGTTTCATCATGTTGGCCAGGCTGGTCTCAAACTCCCGACCTCAAATGATCTGCCCGCCTTAGCCTCCCAAAGTGCTGGTAATGATTTTCATTTAATGGTGTTCTACAAAGTGAGTTTAGGCAGTGAAAGGGCACATGTCCTCTATAATTTACCAGAAAGTAGTACCGGTCACCAGCGTTGAAGCATACTCCTAACCCTAGAAAATTTATTCAGCTGCCAGAATTAATCTCAGATTTTGAGACTGGAGCAAAGACTAATTTGGTATGTGTTCATTCAGATTAGTAAATCTCCATGGTGTTTGAACTGTATAATATCAAATCTAAAATAAGCCAAGAGAGTTGGACAATTTCTCATCTCTCAGAAAAAAATGCATCATTTTTAAGAGATTTAAGATTGAATTTAAAATCCAACTGCCTATTCCAGTGTATGTTTCTCCAGAATAAGGCCAAGCCCTACAAATTCCGGGATAGTGTCCTCCAAGTTGTGTTTTAGGTGATAATTGATAAATCTATAGTTTAGATACGTATGGGATTCCATATAACTCTAGCTCCTGCCTTTGCGAGTAAAAATTGGCAGTAATCATGGTCTTAATGGAGGCACGTGGCTAATTGGAATTTTCAGTACCAAAAGTCTTCTTGTTACTAGGTTATCAGGGTACCCTATAATAGTATCCATAACTCATTGCTCACTTGTCTATTTTGACTTCTTTTTTAAAAAGACAATTTTAAACTTAGAGGTTTTGTACCTCAATTTACATATGCAGCACATTTATAAAATAATCATGCCTTTGCATATTTTTCCTTTGATATCTTAACTATATATCCAAGCCATTTATGTTGTTTAATTGCCACAAATATCGCACTGAAATAGAGTAATAGGTACAAAAATGCCTGGTATAACATTTATTCTTGTTCTTGAAAGTTATTTTAATCCCTATGTTTAATATATTCCTAGACAATTATATGTAACTATAATTATTTCTGCTAGGTAGAAATATTTTTGTGGTCAACATTTGTGAAATGCCTTGTAAATAAAAATATGCTTGAGTAGAAATAGTATTTTGCAAATATAGCCCTAAATAGAGCTACTGATTTTACCAAGAATTAAAGACTCCAAACCCTGTCTTTTTCTTTCAACTTTGGTTTATAGGAACATCTAATTACAATGAGCCAAAAGCCTATCTGATCATTAATGAGGTAAATTTGACACTTCCAAATGATGCAGCTAATTTGTAATAGGTTTTTGAAGTGCAAATTACACGTTTCTGTTTAAATAATGACACTAAAATATGGACACTATCTATTCACACTCTATATATACAACTAACTCCAACTTGTCTCTAGAAGAAAGGTTTAATTTTTCAGGTCTCATCCACAAAATGAAGTGTTAATAAGCTGTATCTTTATTCTCACTTTTAAGTAATTTCTTCTTAACCATTGTATAACACTACTACAGTTTGTATGAGGATAAAATAACTAATGGTGAGAAATCCAGTTCTTTAAAGAAATCATTTTACCTTCAATCACTTTTAGGATATCTATGCTTTTAGAGTAAGGATGAAAATTTATAAACATTTGTTAAATTATGCAACTGTTTTCGAAGATGTTTCAAAATTACATTTTCCTTATCGTACAACTGGTTTTCACATATTCACAAATGAGACACGCGAGAGTTATTAATGCAAAAGCATAGCATATCAACAAAGTGTATAATGTAAATAGTTTAGTTAGGAAAGAATGTAATGAGTGAATTATCAAAGCTATTTTATTGGTTCCTAGATTTACCATAGAAGAAAATAACGCACCCTTATAAAAATTTCTCAGCGCTGAGTCCATTTAAGGTCTATTTTGTATGCTATAAGTTCTAAAAAATGTTATTGCTGGTAAAAATAGAGTGCCTATCTAAAATTGTCTTTTTAAAGGTTCTCTCTTATTCTTCTTCCCTTCCTATGTGTGCACAGAATACTATCATTGTCTTTATTGGAACACTGTCTGTCTTTCTCAGAGGGTGTACAGTTGTAGAAGGGAGAAAATATTTGTTAATTTTGCTTCGTATAAGATAAGGTCTCAATGGTTGAAGGTCAGTTAACAAACTTTTTGTTTGTCTTCATACTATTATTTTAGAATTACCAACTGGCTTCTATTTAGATTTTGAATAATGAAAGAAAAGAACTAGCATTTGTTAGAACTTACTGGGTTCCAAAAACTTTATTGATACCATTTCTTCTCATTATCACATTCATTCTTTCAATTAGTAGTTTTTTTTCCGTCTTAAGAAGGTGGGACCAGAGGCTTTGTAATGTCCACTAACCCACTGTGGATTTCATGGCTTGCAAGAGGAAGAAAGCATGGTGGAACTCAGGTTTGTCTGATTCCAAATTCACATGCTTTCATGTCTCCATGAAAAATAGAAAAGATAAACTGGGCTCTATTATAACAAGAGAAACACAATTTCCCATCAGATAAATGAATAATTCTTAAACCTCAAAAATAAAACACGTAGCAAAAGCTCAATTCAAGAGTAGACATAAAGGTTGTGACATGGGTAGCAGGGACATATGTCTAGTGACATAGATTTGCTATGCATATCTGACCAAATATCTCCCTCATGATTTTCAAATCAGATGCACAACTGCATTTAATGAGTTTCATGAATCATTAATATCAGGCTCTGAAAACAGGATCATTAAAAAGATTAAGATTTTCAACAACAAAGATCTTATCTAAATAGTAAGGAAATTATATTAGAGGGCTCCATTCCCTGGGCAGACTAGTTAACAATTCAACTTGTTCAAAGCTATAAAATATGGCAACTTAAAAAATTATGAAAGTTTTTCTAACTTTGTGCTTAAGGCCATTCTTCCTCTTGAGAATAAAAAGGGCAGATTTTCTGTCGAAGCATTTTGCTATTGCTTTTCAATTTCCATTTATGGGAAATAGATAAAATAACAATTTTTTAGTTATAAATTTAAAGTCAAAATGGAGATAATTAAGTAATTATCTCCATTAATTAAGTAAAGATTAATGTCTTTAAAAATAGCATTTACTAAATTCTAATCTCATCTTGATCTCTCAGTTCTACGAACACCTTTGATCTAATGATAATGTTTTCCAACAGAATTGTTTCTACTCAAACTTCTGAGATCAAATTTGTGGATTTAGTCTCACCCCAACCAATTCTTCAACTCTCAGGACACCAACTGGTGTCCTACAATTCAATTCAATCCTGAGACTATCTATCTGGAGATAGCATCAGATCCCACAAGTTCAGGGTTCAGACCCACAAGACTGCCCCCCCTCCCCCATCAACCATTACAGATGAGTTGTGGGCCTCCCACACTCCTGACCAACTGGCTATAAATTAGGACCTCCATGGATTCCTTCCCCAGGTTCTATAATTTGCTAAGATGGCTCACAGAACCCACAAAAGCACTTTGCTTACATTTACTGTCTGATACAAATCAGGAATAGTCAAATAGAAGACACACATCGGGCCAGGTATGGTGAAAAGGGACACAAAGCTGCCATATGCCTTCTCGGTATATCATTGTGTCACCCTCCCAGCACCTCAGAGGTGATGGAGGAGAGGGCTGACAGTTTCAACCATCTAGTTATGCCTTCATCTTTCTGGTGTCCAGCACCCACCCTGAAGCTATACGGGTCTGTAGCCACCAGTCATGTCATGTCAATAGCATAAACTCAGGTATGGCTAAAAGGGACTTATGACTAGTAAAGGATGGTCCTCTCATCTCTATCAGGAAATTTCAAGTTTTAGGAACTCTGTACCATGAACTGGGGAGGAAGACCAAATAGGACATACCCTAGACCAGTTGTGCTAACTACTGTGTGCCTCAAAATTGCCTACAGTTGTGTTAAAATAAGAGATTGCTGAGGCCTGCTATTGGAATTTCAGATTTGGTAGATCTGGGGGTGTAACCTGAGAATATGCAGTTCTAGTAAGTTCCCAGGTGATGCTGATGCTGCTAGCACAGGGACCACACTTACAGAAGGACTGAGTGAAGCATCGTCATTACTTATAACAGCAACTTCTCTCTAGTCACAATTTCATTTATCCCATTCTCTGAGCTCCTCCTATAATCATTCCCATTCATACCCTGACATAAAATCTTTCAATCTCTCTGAGACCTCCAAACTATTATTTTATCATATTCACAATGACCCTTACCTCCTTGATGTACTCTGTTGCCTGTTCTCCTGCCTAAATTCCACGGCCAACCATTCCCAGGAAACTTCAACTTTCTTGTTTCTCTTTCACTTTGCTGAATATAACCAGGAAAATAACCCTGGTTAGATCCAAATTTCCACCAAATCCCCACATATATTTGAGCAACTAGCTATATGGAGCAAATTGAAAAATATCCCACTTGAAACTGAGAATCTCAGTGCCGCCTATCAATCAATCATACTACGTATGTTCCCATCTATTCACTCACTAATTTACCTAGTTTTGTATCTTATCCTGTCTCTAATCCCTAACACTTCCCCAGAAATCCTCAATGTCTTTTTGGTTGTGCTTCCCTGAGAACATTGAATCACCCAAAGACAACTTCCACAGACTCCTGAAACCATTTAAACTCACTTTCCCATGTCTACACCCACATACTCTCCCTTTTCACCTATTATTGTCATGAACTAACTGGCCCCTGTCTGTATATTGTCTGATGATGATTTGTATATTACAGATGAAGAAAATAAGAATAGGGTTAGAGCTACTTTCTCATTATAGCATAGCTTAGAATCAAATCCATGCAGTCCACCACTGAAACTGGGGTTCCAAGTCAGTGTATTTGGAGAAGGAGAGCTAGTAGAAAAACAAGGATGAAAAGATCCAGGATGAAGCTTCTGATGGAAGAAAAGGACATTTTTACTATTATGAACCCCTTGAAGTAGACCTTTAGCATTCTCATCTGGACAAATATCCATTCATCCACTCCAGTGAGCTGATTAAGTTTTAGGATTTTAAGGGTCAATGAAAAATTATTCCTCATTCAGCAATTAAAGAAGGATTAATATGAATATTATCTTGGAGAAGTTTAATTTAAAACATATTTCATTGATTTTTGGCAATTGTCTTCTATCAGATCATTACCAATCCATATGAGTTGGGAGGAAGGGAGAAAACCCAAAACTTAATCAGATGCCTGAAGTTAGGGAACATTTTATAACCAACCCAGGGGGAAAAAAAGGCTCAAAAGGGGAAAGATGAGGACAGAAAATACATTTCAAAGATTTTAACTTTTTGACAAAATGTCAATTCTGTACAAGAAAAACTGATGATTGTGTGAATATAACTTTGTCATTTACATCTGCCAATGTGTTCAGAAATATATAACCTATAAGTTTTTTTAATAGTAGTTTGTTAACACAAAATTTATTCATCAAAGTATCTAAAACATTCTAAAAATACTAAAAATTTTCAATTTAAATATTAAGCTAAACAGCTCTGTATATATAAATAAGCTCAAACAAATGTGCATGCTCCCCAACAATAACACTGCTACAGATGTTGACTGGTGGTTTTGGTTTCATTTCATTTTATAATGGCAAATCTGGTTAAAACCCAGATTCTGAGCTGGGCGCAGTAGCTCACGCCTGTGATCCCAGCACTTTGGGAGGCCGAGGCAGGCAAATCACAAGGTCCACAGATCGGGACCATCCTGGCCAACATGGTGAAACCCCATCTCCACTAAAAAAACATACAAAAGTTAGCTGGGTGTGGTGGCACGTGCCTGTAGTCCCAGCTACTCGGGAGGCTGAGGCAGGAGAATCGCTTGGACCCGGGAGGCGGAGGTTGCAGTGAGCCCAGATTGTGCACTGTACTCCAGCCTGGTGACAGAGAGAGACTCCGTCTGAAAACAAAACAAAACAAAACCCCAGATTCTGAACTGAATCTCAGAATAAGGATCTCAAAGAGGTCAATATGTATGTAATCTATTCTTAAAGAAAATTTTTCTCCAGTTGTTTATTGAAATATCACACAGGCTCTGACTTTGTTTATACCCTTAAAAAGTATCTAGATTTATGTGTAGCTTTTGTAAAGTGAAAGCTCAGAATGTCTACTCTGTTCTGGTACCACTTTAGCTTAATTGCTGGAAAATATTTAATAAAAATGAATTGGTCAACAAATGGAAAATTTGAACTTTGCATACTAAATTTTTACTTCATATTATCAACTCTTGAAAAATAAGTGTGTATATTAGAAATGACACTCATTTGACTATACCATAATAGATTTCAGACTTTTTATCTTTACAGAATTTCTCCATCCTTTGAATTATGTTAGCGGGCTTTAGTTGCCCAGTATTGGTGATCCGCCTCCACTAATTCACAGCTCTATTGTATTACCCCTGGGGATGCATTTCCATAGTTCTGCCTTGTCATGAGTGTCATGTTTTTCTTCTGTTTTGTTGACTGCCATTCAAATATTTTTGGCTTTATCAGAGATTTTCACTTTATTGTTTGTCACCTCCTCATTTTTTTAGCCTCTCATAATTTACTGTGTTATATCTGCCTGGGCTTTTGGTTCCTTTACAGATTTGTTTCATTTTATTTTTAGCTTATGATACTTCTAAAGTCTGTACCCTTTTAATTTTCACTTGCTTCATCATCACATTCTTGTGTTTTGTTTTCATTTCAAAATACCAGAAAATAAAATGTCTCAGCAGTTTGGTGAGTGGAATAGTTCATTTATAATCCAAAAAAAACCCATACTTTTTGTGAGCTATCTGCTTATAAGTAAAAATTTTATATATAAATTCTTGAAAAAAAATCTTAAATTTCTGGGGGATTGAATGAGATTTTAAAAATCATTCTATACAACAACAGGTGCAAAATTTGTATTCCTCTACTCAAGAGAAATAATTAATGAACATTTGTTATTAGTTTACTAACATCTAAATGTTAATGTATTCAATTACACATTATTAAAACACAATTAAGCTTAAGAGGTGGAAAAGTATAAAACAAACAAGTGTATAATTTACCTTTATTCATATGAAATATCTTTTTCTCTCCTGAAAATAAAGATGAGCCAGTGGTGTGCTGGGGCGGGAGGGGGTGTGTTGGAGGGAGAAAAGCCATAATTTGTACAACTTGCCCATTTCCATGTTTTAAATACTCCCACCCTGGCCAATTTTAAGCTACCAGCAATTTGATAACCAGTTCACAACATTTTTGAAAATTTAATAATCAGCTCTCAAAAGCTGGTACAGGCCAGGATAAGCCAGCTTCAGCACAAAACTGAAAATGATTATTAATCTTTACTGGCTCCAGATATCTTTTAACATATATTGAAATCTATGACCCTTAAAAAGAAAACATATATACAGATTTTGACAAAACTTTGCAGTTCCACTCATGGATCCCTGTATAAGAATCCCCTTTCTATGTGTGTTTGTAATTTAAAGAGTTCAGACTTTATGATTCACAGGTGACAACTAATGATTTAACCTCAACACTTGGGCTTTTATAATTTGGGAGTCCGGTGTTTAACTGCTGGTAGCTGCTTCTTCTCAGAGAAACTTAGGAGCTAAGACCAGGGAAATGTCCCTTCGTCTGCAACACACCTCTTCTTTCTGAACATATTGTATAAGAAGCTAACTTTGTCCAAAGTTTATATGCCTTTTGCATTTTCAGTTACAAGCTATTTTCTTTTGGAACTGTAGGACTGGGAGAACTTTCCCTCTACCCTCTGAAGGTATGATAACTGAGTCTATGAAATAAATGGATAACAGGCATGTCAAAAGAAGAAAAGGTGTACACATTTATTACATGCATGGGGGAATCACAGGAAAGAAAAGTTGATGCAAAAACAAAACAAAACAAAACAAAACGCCACCAAGAAAAAACCCAGTGAGATTTAGGAGCTTATAGGGAAGGCAGGAGGGAGAATGTAGAAAACTTAGGGGAGAGCAAATGACTTTTGGGAAAGATGACCAGACCCTTAGCAGAATAGATGATAGTTTGTGACAGTCTGTCTTGGTGTGGTATGGACTCTTAGTCTTCTCTCCTGTGATAGGAGGAGTCAATTTTCCCTGGTTAATGAAACTCCTAGGAAGGAGATGAATGTCTTTGTGCTGACAAGACAATATCTTGAAGCTTTGTTTTCCATTTCAGTTCTAAATCTGCAGTGTATCAAAATCTCCTCATTATGCTTTGGATATTATGGTAGATAAATGGTATCTTCACAAAGATACATTCATTCTGGTACTGAAAGTTCCTTTTGGAGGGTCTCTCTTGAGGAAGGTAAAGGGAGTGCAGAGAAAGCATGTCCCGCATTTGTTGTTTTTCAAATATTTTCAGTTCGATGTAATCAGTACGCCAAAGCAATCCACTTAGGGCTGGCATTTCCTGAACACCTTCAGAACTCTTTTGGATCCCATGTTATTTCTATCAGATCATGTGATTTAAGAACAACTTTTACTTGCCACTTACATATATATTGAAAAGGCAAACTTTCCTTTCATAGTTTGCTAATTTTGGCAAAGTACATTAACAAAAGTTAAATTAAGTGAGTAAGTGAAATTTTCTTTTCTATTGTTTTGAAAACAATTCTAGAAACTGTCCTTGTAAGAACAGCAAAAAGAGAAAAAGGTAATTCTCAACTGTTGCTTCAACCATTCTTTGCTTAACAATGTATCTAATTAAAAGGCAGAACTCTCTATTTCAGGTTTATATGTATCAATTGCTTGATTAGAAAGTAAATTATCTACCCCATATAATCTGGTGTCAAAAAACTTATAATAAAATTACTTTGATTTTATTGCTGATAAGTTTGTGAATTTAAATCTCAACTTTCATGAATTTATTTGCTTTGTGCTGACAAGACAGTATCCTGAAGTTTTGTTTTCCAACTCAGTTCTAAATCTGCAGTGTATCAAAATCTCCTTATTATGCTTTGCATGTTATGGTACGTAAATGGTATCTTCACAAAGATACATTCATTCTGGTATTGAAAGTGCCTACTTAAAATTCTGCACGAACAGTTTTATTGAAAAAATATGTAGACAAGCCATTAATTATACACAGTGACTTGGAACAAATTCTTATAAGAAGCATAGCATGTCTTCCATTAAATGTATACATTTTATAAGAAGTTACTGAAAGTCTTCCTGAGGTTAAACAATAAATCTTTTAAATTTAACCACTGTGTTCCCTCAAAGGTAATTTTTTCTTTATGACACTCACTTAGGGCATACAGTCAGTCTCAGCCTACTTTAAACAACTAGGCAGTATTTTTAGTGCATTTTTCTGTTTGTTAAAAAGCTAGTTGTTGAGAATAAGTTGCTCAATTATCTTCCTCAATTACTTTTTGTTTTGTTTTGTAATTATTATCCTATTTTGGTTTTCCTTTAGAATTGTGAAATGTCTTGAATCAGAAATTGCAGAGAATATATAAATGAGTAAGCATGCACTCTGCAATCAAACTAGATCTCGAAACTGTTTTGTTGTAGTTTATACCTTGAATTCGAAAAGCCATTTTATACAAGGCACTTGAAAAATTTTCAAGCTCATATATTTCATAATAGTACAGAATTTATTATTCTTTTATTTGCAAGGAGATAGACCAGATATCACTTCATTTCTTACAGTGTTGACTTTGATATTCTAAACTTGTCAGTTTATACAGATTAATGAAGACTCCATACATGTAAAATTCACTATAATTTTTTTTCTGATATGAGAGTCCAAACAAATAGTAACTACATTTCAAACAGGTAAAGTAAAAATATACAATAGCTTGACAAAAAAAAAAAAGAAAGGAAAAAAGAAACCCCTATACATGCCTTAACATTCTTAAACTCTGAGGACCAAATTGGATTCAAAAGAAACATTTCTGGTGGGCAGGGAAAGGGCTAAAAAGCTGAAGTATATAATAAATAAATTCCTCATTGCTATCAAATATATGACCAGCATGACATTTCAATACATATGAAAGTTTTCTTAAAAAAGTTCTAGGATAATAGGATTTCAGCTTCTGATTCTACAGATATCATTCTTGTGATTGGTGTGGGAGAATCATCCTCTTCATGTATCAGTGGATTCAAATGAAAAAAAAATCAGGCAGCTAGTTCCTTTCCAAGAAGCCTTAGAGATTCTTGTACATAAAAATATGAGCCATATTTCTGATTCAAATTTTAAGTAGAGAATTCTCTTTATTCATTCTTCTGCATAAAATTATGCACTGGCACTCTGCTCTCCAGACAAGAGAAACTTCTTACATGCTGTCATTTGAGATACCCAAGACTCAGAACATGTTATTTCCTAGCTGAAAGTCCCAACAAACCTTCTCAGAACAAAAACAACAAAAAGTTAAATACACAGAGATAGGGTATAAAACAGTGGTTTCCAGGGGCTGGGGGTGATGAGAGAAAATGGAGATAGAGAATTCAAAGGATGCAAAGTTGCAGATATGTAGAATTAACAAGTTGAGGGAGCTAATGCACAACATGAGGACTGTAGGAATTAATATTGATTGTATTTGGCATTTTACTGAAAGGGTAGTTTGTAGGTACTCTTTCCTCACACACATATCCAAAAGAAAGGTAACTGAGATTTTCAAAGGGAATGCTTCCAGTTTTTGCCCATTCAGTATGATATTGGCTGTGGGTTTGTCATAGATAGCTCTTATTATTTTGAGATACATCCCTTAATACCTAATTTATTGAGAGTTTTTAGCATGAAGGTTGTTGAATTTTGTCAAAGGCCTCTTCTGCGTCTATTGAGATAATCATGTGGTTTTTGTCTTTTGTTCTGTTTATATACTGGGTTACGTTTATTGATTTGTGTATATTGAACCAGCCTTGCATCCCAGGGATGAAGCCCACTTGATCATGGTGGATAAGCTTTTGGATGTGCTGCTGGATTCGGTTTGCCAGTATTTTATTCAGGATTTTTGCATCGATCTTCATCAGGGATATTGGTCTAAAATTCTCTTTTTTTGTTGTGTCTCAGGCTTTGGTATCAGGATGATGCTGGCCTCATAAAATGAGTTAGGGAGGATTCCCTCTTTTTCTATTGATTGGAATAGTTTCAGAAGGAATGGTACCAGTTCCGCCTTGTACCTCTGGTGGAATTCGGCTGTGAATCCATCTGGTCCTGGACTTTTTTTGGTTGGTAAGCTATTAATTATTGCCTCAATTTCAGAGCCTGTTATTGATCTATTCAGAGATTCAACTTCTTCCTGGTTTAGTATGGGAGGGTGTATGTGTCGAGGAATGTATCCATTTCTTCTAAATTTTCTAGTTTATTTGCATAGAGGTGTTTGTAGTATTCTCTGATGGTAGTTTGTATTTGTGTGGGATCGGTGGTTATATCCCCTTATCATTTTTTATTGTGTCTATTTGATTCTTCTGTCTTTTCTTCTTTATTAGTCTTACTAGCGGTCTATCAATTTTGTTGATCTTTTCAAAAAACCAGCTCCTGGATTCATTGATTTTTTGAAGACAGGGATGCCCTCTCTCACCACTCCTATTCAACATAGTGTTGGAAGTTCTGTCCAGGGCAATCAGGCAGGAGAAGGAAATAAAGCATATTCACTTGGGAAAAGAGGAAGTCAAATTGTCCCTGTTTGCAGATGACATGATTGTATATCTAGAAAACCCCATCGTCTCAGCCCAAAATCTCCTTAAGCTGATAAGCAACTTCAGCAAAGTCTCAGGATATAAAATCAATGGGCAAAAATCACAAGCATTCTTATACTCCAATAACAGACAAACAGAGAGCCAAATCATGAGTGAACTCCCATTCACAATTGCTTCAAAGAGAATAAAATACCTAGGAATCCAACTTACAAGGGATGCGAAGGACCTCTTCAAGGAGAACTACAAACCACTGCTCAATGAAATAAAAGAGGATACAAACAAATGGAAGAACATTCCATGCTCATGGGTAGGAAGAATCAATATCGTGAAAATGGCCATACTGCCCAAGGTAATTTATAGATTCAATGCCATCCCCATCAAGCTACCAATGACTTTCTTCACAGAATTGGAAAAAACTACTTTAAAGTTCATATGGAACCAAAAAAGAGCCCGCATTGCCAAGTCAATCCTAAGCCAAAAGAACAAAGCTGGAGGCATCACGCTCCCTGACTTCAAACTATACTTCAAGGCTACAGTAACCAAAACGGCATGGTACTGGTACCAAAACAGAGATATAGGCCAATGGAATAGAACAGAGCCCTCAGAAATAATGCCACATATCTACAACTATCTGATCTTTGACAAATCTGACAAAAACAAGAAATGGGGAAAGGATTCCCTATTTAATAAATGGTGCTGGGAAAACTGGCTAGCCATATGTAGAAAGCTGAAACTGGATTCCTTCCTTACACCTTATACAGAAATTAATTCAAGATGGATTAAAGACTTAAATGTTAGACCTAAAACCATAAAATCCCTAGAAGAAAACCTAGGCAATACCATTCAGGGCATAGGCATGGGCAAGGACTTCATGTCCAAAACACCAAAAGCAATGGCAACAAAAGCCAAAATTGACAAATGGGATCTAATTAAACTAAAGAGCTTCTGCACAGCAAAAGAAACTACCATCAGAGTGAACAGGCAACCTACAGAATGGGAGAAAGTTTTTGCAATCTACTCATCTGAGAAAGGGCTAATATCCAGAATCTACAATGAACTCAAACAAATTTACAAGAAAAAAACAAACAACCCCATCAACAAGTGGGCGAAGGGTATGAACAGACACTTCTCAAAAGAAGACATTTATGCAGCCAAAAGACACATGACAAAATGCTCATCATCACTGGCCATCAGAGAAATGCAAATCAAAACCACAATGAGACACCATCTCACACCAGTTAGAATGGCAATCATTAAAAAGTCAGGAAACAACAGGTGCTGGAGAGGATGTGGAGAAATAGGAACACTTTTACACTGTTGGTGGGACTGTAAACTAGTTCAACTATTGTGGAAGTCATTGTGGCGATTCCTCAGGGATCTAGAACTAGAAACACCATTTGACCCAGCCATACCATTCCTGTGTATATACCCAAAGGATTATAAATCGTGCTGCCATAAAGACACATGCACACGTATGTTTATTGTGGCACTATTCACAATAGCAAAGATTTGGAAACAAGCCAAATGTCCAACAATGATAGACTGGATTAAGAAAATGTGGCACATATACACCATGGAATATTATGCAGCCATAAAAAATGGTGAGTTCATGTCCTTTGTAGGGACATGGATGAAGCTGGAAACCATCATTCTGAGCAAACTATCGCAAGGACAAAAAACCAAACACCACATGTTCTCACTCATAGGTGGGAATTGAACAATGAGAACACAGGGACACAGGAAGGGGAACATCACACACTGGGGACTGTTGTGGGGTGGGGGGAGTGGGGAGGGATAGCATTAGGAGATATACCTAATGTTAAATGAGGAGTTAATGGGTGCAGCACACCAACATGGCACATGTATACATATGTAACAAATCTGCACATTCTGCACATGTACCCTAAAACTTAAAGTATGATTAAAAAAAAAAGAAAGGTAACTGAGATGATGGATATGTTAATTTGCTTGACTATAGAAACCATTTTACTATGTATATGTGTATCAAAACATTAAATATACAATAAAAATGAATGAATATGACATTAACTTCTCATGTGCTGTCACTTTGGATCTAATCTTTTTGCCATTTCAGTCTGCTACTGAATAACAAAAGGTATAGTGATATAATAATCACTCACAATACTCTAGGTATTATGGAATATGTTGGGGGAGTAGTGATAGAAAAATGGGTAATTCACAATTATTAACCTCAGGTTGCTTGAAGTTGATCCTATGTGCCCTGTAGCTATATTTTCATTAATTCACGGGATAATCCCAACTGATACAAACATTATCAAGTTGCCAGTAGTGCCAGCCTTGAAGTGTTGTTCAAACTTTTGATTCTTGGCTGTATTCATTTGCAGGCTCTAGTTTCTGTTTTGTTTTTTATGTAAGTAAGTATATGGTTGTTGGCCTCTCATTCTTTAAATTACCTTCTCTTATAAGCTTCTGTGACACCATGTTTGCTTGGCTTACTTATGCCTCTAAGGTCTCCCATTGCTATTCTTTCTAGGCTTCTCTCATCAGCTCTTAAATTCTGGTGCTTCTTAAGAGCTGACTCTCTATCCTCTGCTCTTATAATCTGTAATCTCTTAATAGTTATTTAATTTGCAGCCATGGCTCCAGAAGCACCTGCCATTTTATTCCTCTTGAATCTGCACCTATATTTTCAACATTTCTTTCCTGCTAGAGACACACATGGGCCTCCCTTCTGGGCTTCCCCAGTGGGAAACGCCATGGTATTCACAAACTCCACATGCTCATTATGGAACTCCTCCTCTTCACTTCTCCCATACTTCCTCTTCCAACTTACTCCTCTCCTGCTTTGCACAGGCAAGTTATGGGAATACCACACACCTGGTTATCAAAGCCAGACACTCCGCCTTTATTTTTACCTCGTGTCCATTCATCTCACCCACTTCCTCCACTGAATCTGTTACATCGCCAAACCCACTTAATTTTACCGCTGATATAATTCTACTCTATCTAGCCTCATATTCCCTACTATCATCCTCTCTCACGTGGACTATATTATATTTTTTAAACTGGCCTTTTCCCCCTTTTCATTTTTATTCCTCTATAGTCCATCTTTCTGACATTGCTATGGCACTCAAATCTTCAGAATAAAACAAAAACTCTTTTTTGGAAATTTAGGCTCTTCAGGATTTAGAGACGGCAGCTATCATCCTTTGCTTGATATTCAAAATATCTGGGTAACTTTTTAAACATAGGCTCATAGGCCACTCCCTCTGAAATTCTGATTTAATTGGTCTGGAATAGGGTCTAGGCATAAGTAAGTATTTCTTAAACAAAAAAAACAAGGGACGGAAATATGCAGTAAGAGTATATGTAACAAATCTGCATGTTCTGCACATGTATCCCAGAACTTAAAGCATTAAAAAAACTTGTATTCATAGAAGAATAATGGTTCCCAGAGGCAGTGGGTAGGTGAGGAGTGAAGGAATGAGGAATTACTGGTCCAAAGTTACAAAGTTTCAGCTAGACAAGAGGAATAAGTTTTGAGATCTACTGCAAAGCAGGATGACTGTAATCAATAATAATATGTTGTATATTTCAAAATAACTAAGAGTAATTTCAAATGTATCACCCCAAAAATATCAAGGAAGTGAAGTGATGGATATGTTAATTAGCTTGATTTAATCACTCTAAATTGTAGACGTATATCAAAACATCACCTTGTACTACATAAATGTAATATAATTATGAAAAAAAAACAGACCTGATGTTTGAAATGATAATTATTTTTATAACCTCATTTCAGATTTAACAATCTCATATTATATCCTAGTATGTATCCATATTACCCACATGGGAACTACAGGTCTCTACAAAGTTAGCCAGGTGCGATATCCAAGATATTCAGTCAAGAGGGAGTGTCTAATTGTTATTTTGGTCTTCATTCAGGTTAGTAATGCCCATCCACAG
Organism: Homo sapiens; assembly: GCF_000001405.40. Classification (NCBI taxonomy): domain Eukaryota; kingdom Metazoa; phylum Chordata; class Mammalia; order Primates; family Hominidae; genus Homo; species Homo sapiens. The sequence goes on from NC_000003.12 coordinate 75,870,783, forward strand.
TTTGTACAATAGTTTTCCCACTTTACAATTTTAAAAACCTATCATTCTTGATTTTATTAACTAGCCCATTCTATCAAATTTAAACTTGTTATTTTTTAAAAGACCATGTCCAAGTGGCAATTCTATGTGTATCTCCCTCAAACGAGCATCAGTTGAAGAAATCTGAGAAATTCAACCAGCTCTGAACTCACATCACTATTTCAATGTCCGTTATTTGTTTATTATTATTATTTTTTGAGATGGATTCTCACTTTGTTGTCCAGGTTGGAGTACAGTGGTGCGATTTCAGCTCACTGCAACTTCTGCCTCCTGGGTTTAAGTGATTCTCCTGCCTTAGCCTCCTGAGTAGCTGGTATTACAGGTGCCCCCAACCGTGCCCAGCTAATGTTTGTATTTTTAGTAGAGACGGGGTTTCACCATGTTGGCTAGGCTGGTCTCATACTCCTGAGCTCAAGCGATCCACCTGCCTCGGCCTCCCAAAGTGCTGGGATTAGAGGTGTGAGCCACTGGCCCAGCCCCATGGCATTTTTTTAAACCAGGACTTCTGTATAATGAAGCTTTTGTCAATATCTTTTTAACCACATCCTCTTACTTATTACACCCATTCCAACTACCTGTCTTCATCTCATCACATTTAAGTACTCAAATTGTCCATAGGCTGCAGAATGAATTCATTAGGACTTTATATAATTTTTCAAATCATGAAATTGCATAATCTTTTGAATATGGAATTGGGAGGCCTTTATAGTTCATTCAGTAGAAAACTGGAACATTTTTGAAAGGTGATCTGCTTGACACTTTTCAAAGAGTACAAAACCTTGTGAAGTAGCAGATGCAATGATTACCAATGTACTTTATGAAATGACTTTCAGAGTTTGAGATTAAATTGGCTTTTCTGAAATATGTAAGTCTCTGGAAAAACACAACATTTCTAATCTTGCTTTGGAAAGCCTTTAGTATGTAAAAATCAATTTCTTATATCTTCTTTGAAATAAACATGGAATATCCTAAGGTTTTATTCATGTTTCATGAATTTCACAGCACTCATCATATTTTAAAGTTATTTTTAATTCTTTGCATTGTATTAAAATCTCTCTTGGAATAAGAGGCCTGAAAAACAATCATAATATACTGTTGTTGTCTAACAATATATCAAGTTTTTAATGACTCTTACAATGCAATATTTTTATCATTCTTGTAGTTTATCCACATGTATTTAATATTACTAGCAGAAATTTAGATTTTAGTAAATTAATTCTGATCTTTGTAAAATACTTTTGTTTTCAATCTATATCTATTAATTCTTTAGTCCATGAATCCATCTAACAATTATTATTGAACAAGTTCTAGGAGATAAGTACTATACAGTTGCTAAGAATTCTGAAAGATCATCTTATACCTATTATGCAGAAGCAGAGCGAGACGAACCAAAACTTACATAACACTGTGACATGTGTTTCAAGTTTAAACATCTTAAAAAATACACTTCATAAAACTAAAGATAAAACTTGATACTTCTTTCTACTACTTTTGGTTTTATATACTTAGGCATATTATTTTTGAGTCTGGTATTAAATAAGCCAATGTAAGTTTGCAGTCTATATCTTTATTCATGCCTTTGATTAAAATATTGAATAAGCAAGATCTAAAGAAAGGTAACATACTGAATATGCGACTAGAAACCTCTCTCCAAGTGACCAGGCTGGGCAAAATGCTGAAATTCCATCTCTACCAAAAAATAAGATGTGGTGGTGCACCCCTGTAGCCCCAGCTATGCTGGTGGCTACTCAGGAGGCTGAGACAGGAGGCTCACTCAAGCTCAGAAGGTAGAGGCTACAGTGAGCTATGACTGCCACTGCACTCAGCCTGACTGACAAAGTGAGACACTGTCTCACAAAAAAGGGAAGGAAACCTCTCTCTAAGATGAAAAAGGAGTAAGAGGGTTTTTAAGGCACACGTCCCCAGTGAGGCAGATTAAATCAATATGAGCTTAAAATCCTTCCTAAACAATATTTAGTTCACTTATATTGTTCTGTTATACAAAATCAAAGTATTCCTCTTAGAAACAATATTTACTAAATTTTCCTTTAGTATACCAACTGTGGTACAATTATGCCACTTCTCTTTAATCCTGCCTAGTAGTCCATGCTATCTGGTATAGTGTTCAAGTGTGCAGGCTTTGAGCCACACCATATGGGCACAAAAATTTCCTCTGCCACTTAAAATTGGGTGACTTACTTCACCTTTCTATGCCTCAGTATGACACTAGTTGCTACCTCCTATAGTTGTGAGGATAAAATGAGTGTATACAGGCAAAGCACCTAGTATTTAAATACAACTTAACTATAGTCATAATTATTACTATTACTGTGATTATGGTTATTGTTTGATTAACTCCCTCGATGAAAACAAAGCATAGGAAGTTGAATTAGAAAAGATTAGAATGGTGTTAAAGTTGGGTCCTGTGAAAAGAGAAGAGTCATGACAATTCCTTCGGCAAGAGAAGCCTCAAAATAGAATCTGGGTTTCAAAATCTACTTCCAAAGTAGAGAGATATGAAAGCTGGAAATGACATAAAGCTATTTAGGTAATCCAGTGAGTTTTCTTCTAAATCCATAGCTTTCTTCTAAATCTATAACAACCAAACAAATTAACCCTTTTCTTTACTGAGATACTTATTTTCAAAGTTAAGCCATTCTGGATGCAAATTCCTTTGAGTTTTGAGATGATCATGATGATCTTCACTCAGTCTTTCCCCCAGGTTGACATGTGGTTATTTCACTTAATCAGATTAAAATCAATACCTGGAAATACAAAGCAATGTATTTTTTAATTTATCACAAACTAATATTCACCGGTATGGAATGAATAATTGCATGCCTAGTTCTCTGTATACTTGCTCTTTTAAGTAATATAGCTTGGTTTGCTTTCTTTTTCTTTTCTATCTACAATCAAATCCAAACTGCTATCACTGGGTCATACATAATCAATCAAATAAACTAAAAAGCTACTGAAGGAATTTTCCATCGCTAAGCTGCCTTTTGGGAGCTGTATAATTGGTCTGCCTTACTAGACTGTCAAATGCATGCAAATGCGTTACTGCTCATGACTTGCTTCCAGGACATCCCTAGGCTTACACTGCCAATTCTTTTTGTCATTGTAGGTAGGTGACTTTATGTATTTTTGGACTTTTATTGTATAAAGATAGGGACAAGAAAAATAAATGTTCACCTAGGCGTCAAAGATAATTGTTAAGCCACTATTTTAAATGATAGTTAACTGTGGGATTCTACTGTTTTGTGAGGAATATAGAAAAATGTTTGGAATAATTACTCTTCCTGGGACACTTTGAGGGGTCAAATGTATTCTGTTTTTAAGTATCAGTTAAAACATCTTTTGCATTCTCTCTGATCTTAGTGTTTTGATGTTGTGTGCGATGAACCAAAACATTGCATTACAAAAAGAAATCTTTATACAGTTGACAGCTTGTAGGTCTCTGAGGAATCTATTCAATTAGTGTCATGTCCTGGTTCCCTATAGTATCAAAATTCACAGAGAATTGAGATGTTTTAGAAGTTGTATCTAATAAACCAAGAAAAGCATCAAGAAATTTTTTCCTTAAAATGAAAGATAGAAAAAAAATGTGTTTCTGCATAACTGATGTAAAAATGGCAGCCTAGAATCTGGCACTTAGTTGTTCGTCACTGAAATGTGTTATCTGGGTCTGCTAACTTGACATTATGTAGCTACAATTTAAATCAGATATATCAAAACCTACCTTGACTTTGACTCATGCTGCCTATATTTTTTCTCAAGGGAATCTGAGAAAATCCTATTTCTTGGGGAAGAAAGGACTTCAATTTGATATTATAGATTGAAGCCCAGCATTGGGATCATGTGGAATAGGATAGATGCTCAGTGTGGATGGGAATGAATAGAATCTTCAAGGTGAATGTAAACTGCTATCCATGGAAGGCACAGAAAACGAAGACTAGACCAGAAGCCATGTTGAACTTTATAAAGGCCTTTTCTTCATCTATTGAGATAATCATGTGGTTTTTGGCTTTAGTCCAGTTTATGTGATGAATCACTTTTATTGATTTGTGTATGTTGAACTAGACTTGCACCCTGGGGATGAAGCCTACTTGATCATGGTGGATAAGCTATTTGATGTGCATCTGGATTTGGTTTGCCAGTATTTTGTTGAGGATTTTTGCGTCGATGTTCATCAAGGATATTGGCCTGAAGTTTTCTTTTTCTGCTGTGTCTCTGCCAGGATTTGGTATCAGGATAATGCTGGCCTCATAGAATGAGTTAGGGAGGAGTCCCTCCTCCTCAGTTTCTTAGAATAGTTTAAGTAGGAATGGTTCCAGCTCTTCTTTGTACCTCTGGTAGAATTCAGCTGTGAATCCTTCTGGTCCTGAACTTTTTTTTGGTTTGTAGGCCTCTCAATAAAGTAGGTATTAAAGGAATATACCTCAAAATAATAAGAGCCATACATGCAAACCCAGAGCCAATATCATACTGAATGGGCAATAACTGGAAGCATTCCCCTTGAAAAACAGCACAAGATAAGGTTGTCCTCTCTCACTACCCCTATTCAACATAGCGTTGGAAGTCCTGGCCAGGGAAATCAGGCAAGAGAAAGAAATAAAGCATATTCAAATAGAGAAATTAAACTATCTTTGTTTCCAGACAACATGATCCTATATTCTAGGAAACCCCATCATTTCTACCCAAAAGCCTCTTAAGCTGATAAGCAAATTCATCAAAGTCTCAGGATACAAAATCAATGTGCAAAAATTACCAGCATTTCTGTATGCTAACAACAGGCAAGCCGAGAGCCAAATCAGGAATGAACTCTCCTTCACAATTGCTACAAAATGAATAAAATAGCTAGGAATACAGCTAACAAGGGAAGTGAAGGACATCTTCAAAGAGAACTACAAACCACTGCTCAAAGTAGAGAAGACACAAACAAATGGAAAAACATTCCACACTCATGGATAGGAAGAATCAATATCATTAAAATGGCCAAACTGCCCAAAGCAATTTACAGATTCAATGCATCCTATTAAGCTACCATAGACATTCTGCACATAATTAGAAAAAAAAAACTATTTTAAAATTTATATGGACCCAAAAAAGAGCGTGAATAGCCAAGGCAACCCTTAGCAAAAAGGACAAGGCTGGAAGTTATCACACTGCCTGACTTCAAACTATAAAACAGGGCTACAGTAACCAAAACAGCATGGTACTGGTACAAGAACAGACACATAGACCAATGGAACAGGATAGAGAACCCAGAAATAATGCCGCACACCTACAACCATCTGATCTTTGACAAACCTGACAAAAACAAGCAATGGGGAAACGATTCCCTATTTAATAAATGATGCTGGGATAACTGGCTGGCATCAGTTGAAAAAACCGGAACTGGACTCCTTCTTTATACCATGTACAAAATCAATCCAAGATGGAATAAAGACTTAAATGTGAAATGCCAAACTATAAAAACCCTAGAAGAAAACCTAGGCAATATGATTCAGGACACAGACACTGACAAAGATTTCATGGCCAAGATGCCAAAAGCAATTACAAAAAAAGCAAAAGTTGACAAATAGGACCCAATTAAACTAAAGCATTTCTTCACAGCACACACACACACACACACATACACAAAACAACTATCAACAGAGTAAACAGACAACCTACAGAAAGGGAGAAAATTTTTGCCATCAATCCATCTAGCAAAAGTCTAATATCCAGCATCTATGAAGAACTCAAACAAATTTACAAGAAAAGACAAATAACCTCATTAAAAAGTGGGCAAAGGACATGAACAGACACTTCTCAAAAGAAGACATACATGTGGCCAACAAACATATGCAACAAAGCTCATCAGTCATCATTAGAGAAATGCAAATCAAAACCACAATGAGATACCATTTAAAACCAGTCAGAATGGCAATTATTAAAAAGTCAAAAATAACAGATGTTAGTGAGGTTGTGGAGAAAAAGGAACTCTTTTACACTGTTTTTGGAAGCGTAAATTAATTCAACCATTGTGGATGACAGTGTGGCAATTACTCAAAGACATAAAGTCAGAAATGCCGTTCAACCTAGCAATCCCATTACTGGGTAATTCCCAAAGGAATATAAATTATTCTGTTATAAAGATACATGCACAAGTATATCATTGCAGCACTCTTCACAAGAACAAAGACACAGAATTTACTTAAATGCCCATCAACGATAGACTGGATGAAGAAAATGTCATACATATACACCATGAAATATTATGCAGCTGTAAAAACAAACCAGATCATGTCCTTTGTGAGGACATGGATGAAGTTGGAGGCCATTATCCTTATCAAACTAATGCAGGAGCAGAAAACCAAACACCACATGTTCTCACTTATAAGTGGGAGCTAAATGATGAGGACACATGGACACATGGGGTGAGGAACAACGCACGCTAAGATCTGTTAGTGGGGGGCAGGAGGAGGGAGAGCACCAGGAAAAATAGCTAATGCATGCTGAGCTTAATACCTAGGTGATGGGATGATCTGTGCAGCAAACCCCCATGACACACATGTACCTATGTAATAAACCTGCACATCTGCACATGTACTCTTAAACTTAAAATAAAAGTTGGAAATAAAAAAATCCATGTAAAAAAAGAAAATGAAGAGTAGAGAAGTTGGATCTACTACCAAGATCAAATAATGAACAAAGTTCTATGAATGACATTAAAATCTTACAAAAAAGTAGGTGGGGAGTTAAATATAGGCATAAAATAAAGAGCAAGGAACAAGTAGCAGGAGGAAGCAACCCAGGAATATTTTGTTTTTAGCTCCTCAAGCTGACTTTAATTGGTTATTGTCACTATATTGTATAGCCTTTTGGTTATTGATTGTGTAGTATTTGGTTGACAGGTTTGGCATAAAGGTACAGTTTTTACGTAGACAGCTTCCTTCCCAGGCTGCAATAACTGTGCATCTGCTCCCACCTGCTTGATACTGGCCGCTGCTCTTGGAGCATATAGAGTGACGGATGGCTGCTTATGGCACCATCGATGCCCTGATGGCTTGAATGATTTCTGACTCTACCTAGACCTACAGTCTGGCTCCTTCAAATCCTTTGATATTTTTTTCCTTTCTATGCCTATGTTCTTCTAGTTTTTCTTATTTACTGCCTGCTTAGATACATTTCTTTGTCTCAACTTCCATTTCTGGCATGATGTCAATTCCTGGTTGCCTACTTGCCTTGTGTGCAGGTGTATCTTGATCTCTACTCGGTTATTGGTCCTGACTCTGCTCTATTCAAGTGGTCACAATTTATCAACAGCCTCACACTTCGCTCTTCATTCAGTTAATGGGCCCACTATTCGCCAAATTTTGTTTTTATCTTATAATCCTAGAAAGTAAATAATTAAACAGCAAGCATAAAATACGTTTTCTCCTTTAATCAGAATTTGGTACCTGGAGACTAAAATAATGACTGTCATCCTGGCAAACAAATTGATGATATTTGCTGGTGGGAGAGTTCTTATTTTGGAAATACTTTTGGCAAAAGATGCCTGATTTTCTAGCATTGTCAATAGCAAACAGCCATGCATTTCAAAGATTTATGAGGCATGATTATCCAAAGACAAATGACTATATTTTATACCAAAAATTACTCCTCCTGTGTATGTGATGTGACTCCATATGTGTTCTGGAGAACTTCATATTTTAATCTGTGCCAGGTGTATCCTCATAGCATAAGAAAAGGCCTAGAGAGTTATGTTTGTCGTCTTGGACCCGTTTTTGTTTGTTCTTTGTCTCATGATTAATTGTTTCCTTTGAATAATTAGTAAAACTTACATTGGATAAGCTTTCTGATTCTTATGATACTGAATGTACAATCTAATCCTTTTTGCATTACTATTTACTCAATATCCTTTTGCTGTTATTAATCAATGTCCACAGTTCTAAGGCCGAAAAACTATTAAAATCTCCAAGAGTAAGATAGTTTCATTATAAAGTTCTGTCATGAGAAAATAAATCATTGTGAATATATGAAAGAACTTATTTGAGCACTGAAAGTCAGATCATGGTTTTTACTTAAAGTTATTTATTTGTAATATATAACTTCTGTAATCTCTCTCAGAAATATTCATCAAGAAAAACTACCAATTATGTTAGTGCCATTTCTAAAAAGCTACCTTTTCTTTTTCTAGAAATATGGGAAAGTTGTAAAAAATTATATTTCCTCAAAATTTTGGGTAAATATAATTGCATAATGCAACCTATGGCAAATATTTAAATCTTTATTAATCCAAAGGAAAATAAATTGGCTTTGACTAATAATTACTAAATATCTACTAAATACTAGGACATGTGCTATGATTAACATGTGTTAATTAAATCTCATATGCCCCACAATTTTTTTCAGGTAGCAATTATTTATAGGTGAGAAAACAGATTTGAGGAGTTAAGGAGTAGGTAGTCCGTGGATTATATTCACAAAATGACAGAGGACAAATTAAGTCAGAGCTAGTTTAATGAATGCCCATGATGTCTTTCCTACAGCATGCTATCTAATATTACACTGATATAAGCACACATTACTATACGGTAAACTCAGAAAAGAGTTGCTCTGGATTCTGTACAATTATTAGAACATTTAATAATAATTTTATAGTAACTATTGATTTTTAGTTTAAAATTCAAAACAATTGATAGCAACTCATCTTTTAATATTTTAAACACATTCAGTTACATTTCTGTTTGTAACTGAATCAAACATTGTCAAATTAATTCCAACAAAACTACATTATTTATCATTTGATATAAATTATTAATTTTAATTTATTGATTGTGTGGTTATACATGTATTGGATTTGTTTTATAATTGCATAAGAACTGTAAACATGAAAAGTTTGATAGAGATTTATAAAAGATTTAAGTCAACAGTAGGAGCTCAGACTTTTTTTTTTTTTTTGGAAAGGTGGGTACCTTGGACATTTTCAGAAACAGAGACTAAAATTCCTCGTGCTTTGACAATGATGGTGGCCAAAGCTAAGGGATTACAATTTGGCAGGGAACAGAATGCTCAGGCATTTTGGATCTTATGGTGGTTGTTTCTCAATGCAAATCAACAGTCTTTTAATTAAGTTATCTTTCCCAAATTTGTATACATTTTCAGTAGCGCAAGTTTCTTAGAGCCTGATTAGTTCTGGGCCCTCGTTTAAAAAGTGGAAGATGAGATAATAGAAAATGATCCCCTAATATTGTTTTTACTAGCCCACCTTCAACTCCATATTAAATCTTATACAAAAAGCTAAAAATTTCTAGGTTTTTAAGATGAGAAATTGAGGCACAAAATGTTTACTTCATCAAAATGGGGACATATGTCATACATGAATGGGGAAAGATGGAAGGGAGACAGGAAGCACAGGTAGAAAGAAAAATGTATCCTACAATTTGACTTGAATTTAGGCATTGGGATATGGGTGTTTAGACATTCGAGTTAAACAATCAGCTACCTGCATTCAATATTTCTTCCAAGTCTGGTTTTGCTTTACGTGGATGTTTATTTTTCTAATAGAATGAATTAGTTTGAGGGAAACTACCACCGCTCAAAATTGAGCTATCATTTTAGCTATCATTAACAGCTAACAAAGTAGGAGTATTTTTAAATTCCTGCATTTTTAACTCAATGTAATATTATGATGTTTCAGAAAGGTAGGTACTGAGATTATGCCCATTTTACTGATGGAGAAGTAGAGAAATAGAAGGATGATGTAATTTAAACAGACTGTAGGGATAAATTCAAACTAGTGTACAGCTCCTTAGTCACTATATTGTATAGCCTTTGCATGACCTGGCAAATGACTTTTGGCAGTCAATGGTTTGGCTTTTTTTTTTTTTTATTTTTTGAGACAGAGTCTGGCTCTATCGCCCAGGCTGGAGTGCAGTGGCGCGATCTCGGCTCACTGCAAGCTCCGCCTCCCGGGTTCCCGCCATTCTCCTGCCTCAGCCTCCCGAGTAGCTGGGACTACAGGCGCCGCCACCATGCCCAGCTAATTTTTTGTATTTTTAGTAGAGATGGGGTTTCACCGTGTTAGCCAGGATGGTCTCGATCTCCTGACCTCGTGATCCGCCCGCCTCCGCCTCCCAAAGTGCTAGGATTAATGGTTTGGCTTTTTAAAAGCCTCACTCGCGAACATATTTATGGTTGATTTAGTTTAAGACATGGAATCTATAATGGTTGCTATTAAAGAGTATTGATTGTTGGGTGTGTCACAGCTAACTCTTATTCAGCAACTAAAGCTGGTATGTGATGCCAAGGATTGAGCGCAGAATGCATGCCTGCTAGTCACGGTGATCTCTTTATAATACTATTCTAAGGACTGTGCATCAATATTTCATAATCCATAGGCTCAATATTTGATGAGATATTGTATCTCTATTATACTTTAAATAAAACTTATTTTGCAATTAAAATTTTTTAAATAAATGGGTTATTATTTTGCGGTTTATGCCTGTTAGGTTGAAAATGTTACAGTAATCCTCATGATTTTATGAGTAAAAATGAAGACTGTTTAAAGTGGAATGATTGGAAGTATGTACACACTGAGGCAGCCTTACGCTCAATATCTCACAAATCAGTTAGTAGAATTAACTTTTAACATGGTTAAAATTTTGACTAAACCTACATCCTTATTATAATTAAAAATGGGCTATGTATGAAGTGCAGTTTATATAAAGAAATCTAATCATATTTTATTTTCCTCATAGGAATATTTTATTTTACTTTGATTTGATTTCTATTTATAATTGATTTGTATCAAATAATGGTGCTTAAAATAATTATCATATTAATTAATACAAATAAAGTATCCCAATCATAAATTAATTCTATTTTCCTTTAGTAGATATTTCAAAGCATTTTGTCATTATTTATGACAGATACACAGATGTACATACACCTTCTTAACCTGTTAATTTTCCTTGTGGAGCCATCAGATTAAGCTTCTTTCTACTGAATTTCTAATTTGTGGTAGGTAGCCAGATGTAACTCTTTCAGTTGATTTAGTAGCAGGAAATAGATTCACCCACACTCCTTCTGCTAATATTATGGTGGTATAGTGAGAAGAGAGCTTATAAAAAGAAGCATGCATAGTATTATGATCAGATACTTGAAAAAAATTATAATGCCAGTGAAAAACTCAATGATGCTTCAGTATCCTTACATTCATTTCCAAATGCAAGTACCTTTTATTCCTTCACACAGGTGTCATATCACAGCTATGCTTTCACCAAACCAATAGCTGGCAAACATCTACTTCTGTGAGTAAACTCAGTAGTTCCATCTATAAACAGTTATTTCTATATCAGCTGCTTGGTTGTTAAAATTATTTAGCTGTTGTTGAAAGATTATGATCCTTGTTCTGTTAAATAAGTTGATATATATGTAAAACATTTTGACCAGTGCCAGGATATAGTAAGCAATATAGAATGTGATGTGTTACATTTTTTTCTCAAATTAAAGCTTGGCTCTGTTGGCAGATTTTAAGATGAGACAATACATCTAACTTTCTAGATTTAAAATATCATACACACACTAACACATATTATCTAAAATATATCTCTTAATTTCATCCAGCAACCCCAATACTGGGTATATCCCCAAAAGAAAAGAAATCATTATACCAAAAATACACCTGTACTTGTATGTTTATTGTAGCACTTTGCACAATAGCAAAAATATAAAATCAACCTGTATCCATTAATGGATGATTGGATAAAGAAAATGTGGTATATTTACACAACGAAATATTACTTATATTAGTCCATTTTCACACTGCTGATAAAGACATACCTGAGACTGGGCAATTTACAAGAGAAAGAGGTTTATTGGACTTACAGTTCCACATGGCTGGAGAGGCCTCACAATCATAGCGGAAGGTGAAAGGCACATCTCACATGGTGACAGATAAGAGAAGAGAGATTGTGTATGGAAACTCCCCTTTTTAAAACCATCAGATCTCATGAGATTTATTAGTGATCACAAGAACAGCATGGGAAAGACCCGCCCCCATGATTGAATTACCTCCTACCGTGTCCCTCCCACAACACATGGGAATTCAAGATGAGATTTGTGTGGGGACACAGACAAACCATTTAATTCTTCCCCAACCCCTCCCAAATCTCATGTCCTCATGTTTCAAAACCAATCATGCCTTCTCAAAAATCCCCCAAAGTCTCAACTCATTTCAGCATCAACTCAAAAGCCCACAGTCCAAAGTCTCATCCAAGGCAAGGCAAGACCCTTCTGCCTATGAGCCTGTAAAGTCAAAAGCAAGTTAGTTACTTCCTAAATATAATGTGGGTACAGGCATTGGATAAATACAACCATTCCAAATAGGAGAAATTGGCCAAAACAAAGGGGCTACAGGCCCCACGCAAGTCCAAAATCCAACAGGGCAGTCAAATCTTAAAAGCTCCAAAAAGATCTCTTTTGACTCCATGTCTCAATTCGAGGTCATGCCAATGCAAGAGGTGGGTTTCCATGGTCTTGGGCAGCTCTGCCCCTGTGGCTTTGCAGGGCATAGCCCCCCTCCTGGCTGCTTTCACGGGCTGGCATTGAGTGTCTGTGGCTTTTCCAGGTGCATGGTGTAAGCTCTCAGTGGATCTACCATTCTGGGGTCTGGAAGATGCGGGCCCTCTTCTCACAGCTCCACTAGGCAGTACCCCAGTAGGGACTCTCTGTGGGGGATTAGACCCCACATTTCCCTTCTGCACTGCCCTAGCAGACATTCTCCATGAGGGCCCTGCCCCTGAAGAAAACTTCTACCTGGGCATCCAGGCATTTCTATATGTCCTCTGAAACCTAGCAGAGGTTCCCAAACCTCAATTCTTGCCTTCTGTGCACCTGCAGGCTCAACACCACGTGGAAGCTGCCAAGGCTTCGGGCTTCCACCCTCTGAAGCAACAGCCCAAGCTGTACCTTGGCCTTTTTAGTCACAGCTGGAGTGGCTGGGACACAGGGCACCAAGTCCCTAGACTGCACACAGCAGAGGGTCCCTGGGCCCAGCCCACAAAACCATATTTTCCTCCTAAACCTCAGGGCGTGTGATGGGAGGTGTTGCTGCAAAGGTCTCTGACATGCCCTGGAGACATGTTAGTCACTGTCTTGGTGATTAACATTCAGCTCCTCTTTACTTACGCAAATTTCTGCAACAGGCTTGAATTTCTCCTCAGAAAATGAGATTTTCTTTTCTATTGCATTGTCAAGCTGCAAATTTTCCAAACTTTTATGCTCCGTTTCCCTTTTAAAACTGAATGCTTTTAATAGCACCCAAGTCATTTCTTTAATGCTTTGCTGCTTAGAAGTTTTTTCAGCCAGATACCCTAAATCATCTCTCTCCAGTTCAAAGTTCCACAAATCTCTAGGGCAGGGGCAAAATGACTCCAGTCTCTTTATTAAAACATAACAGGGGCCTCCTTTGCTCCAGTTCCCAAGAAGTTCCTCATCTCCATCTGAGACCACCTCAACCTGGATTTCATTGTCCATATCATTTTTAGCATTTTGGTCAAAGCCATTCAACAAATCTCTAGGGAGTTCTGAACTTTCCCACATTTTCCTGTCTTTTTCTCAGCCTTCCAAACTGTTCCAACCTCTGACTGTTACCCAGTTCCAAAGTTGCTTCCACATCTTTGGCTATCTTTTCAGCAGGGCCCCAGTCTACTAGTACCAATTTACTGTATTAGTCTGTTTTCATGCTGCTGATAAAGACATACCTGAGACTGGGCAATTTACTAAAGAAAGAGATTTATTGGACTTACAGTTCTACATGGCTGGAGAGACCTCAAAATTATAGGTGAAGGTGAAAGGCACATCTCACATGGTGGCAGAGAAGAGAAGAGAGCTTGTGCAGGGACTCCTCTTTTTAAAACCATCAGATCTCATGAGACTTATTAGTGATCATGAGAACAGTATGGGAAAGACCTGTCCCCATGATTCAATTACCTCCTACAGCGTGTCTCCCACAACATATGGGAATTCAAGATGAGATTTGGGTTAGGACACAGCCAAACCATGTCATTACTCAATGATAAAACATGGAATCATGTCTTTTATAGCAACATGGATTGAATTGGAGGCCATTATCTTAAGTGAAAGAAGTCAGAAACAGAGACAAATACCACGTGTTCTCAGTTATAAATGGGAGCCAAATAATGTGTCCACATGAACATAAAGTGTGGAATAATAGACACTGGAGACTCAGGTGGGTGACGTGGTGCTAGAAGCCAATGATGAGAAATTACTTACACAACGTACATTACTCAAGTGCTGAATACCCTTAAAGCCCTGATGTCACACTGTGCAATATATCCCTGTAACAAAATTATACAAGTATTTCATACATTTATAAAAATGAAGAAGTAACAAAAGTAATATACATGAATTTATTTTGGATTTCAATGATTGTTTTCATTCATTTTTAAAACACTGCTTCTTAGGAAAATATTATTATGAATTTATTCCTTATGCCAGAAATAACTAACTCATGAGTATCATCTTACATAAATTTCATAAAACATAATTGTCTACTTTAAGTATAGCTACTTTTCTTACACATACAGTACACTTTGTGAGGGTGTTTGCCTTGTGAACCTATGAAGTAATTCTGAAAACTTTGTATAATTAAAACTTTCTAGATGCCTACTTTAAAAAGCATACTATAAATATTTTATATAACATTTCCCCTTTTCTAGCAATGAATTTCACCCACAGAGATATGATTGGAAGTATGTATGGGTAAGCATGAGCATTGGGACTGTACACACTGTAATAGATATGTAGGGATTTGTAAATAACCATGTGGGAGCTCTGAATACAGATGAATTGAAAAAAAAATCCTGCTTTGTGCTAGCCAACATGAACTATGGCCCAAGCAACTAAAAGAAGGACTATATTTATATTTTTGCTGACCCCAAACTGCTATATAACAGAAAATTGCTGCTAAACATGATGTCAGCAGAAGCTACCTCTAATTTTTTTCAGTTGCTTTTTGCTGAAAAAAGTCTGTTTTTTTCAGATTAAAAACTTAACCCTCAAAATAGTTTTAAAAATCCAGTCCCAATAAATTTTGACTATTACCTGCTAAAGTTTATTTAACTGTTAAGATAAACAAAAAGAGAACTCTAACATGGCATTTCGTCACTCATCTTTATTTTTAAAATGGTTATCTTGCAGTCATCCGATTTTTTTTTTAATGAAGTAAGTTTAGGATACTCTTGTTTATTGTTTATCTAGGCTATGCTTTTAAAGTAAATGACTCATTTGTCATTCGAGATCATTTTGAAGCAAGCTAGATTTCAATAATAACAAAAAGCCATTATAGCTAAATTTATTTGTATTTTTTCTTTCTAAGTATGCATCATGATGCATGAACTAACCAGATTAATTATCATAGTACAGTATAGAATTTGTCCTTAATGGGTAGACTTCTATAGGCCCAGAAGTAGATTGATTCTATGATCTAAAAAAATCTACATGTGAGGAAAAATACATGAAGGCACGAGCATACTCAACTCAGTCAGCTTTTTATCTTAAGTCTCTAAGGATCTACCACTTGGGATGGAATTTGTTTACCTTAGGGAAACATCTCATGAGTAAATACTCATTATAAAGTATCATTTAATATGTTATCAATAAATTAAGAGATCTCCCCCAGAGTCCCCAGGTAACAGGCAACATAAAAAGCAATCAACGAGATGTAAACTTATTTGTAAATTCTGAAAATTGACATCTGCTCTGTAAATGGGTTAAAATGAATTAGGGAATAATGTCATTGAGTAAAAGGAGAAAGAAAATAGTGCAGATGTTAGTACCAACATTGAGAGTTAAGCCTACAATTCAGAGGCGTCTAGCTGACAACTTTCTAGCTGTGTGACACTGGTCAAGTTTCTAAACCTCTCTGAACTCAACTCCTCTCAGATATAAAACTTAGCTAATAAAATTCTTCTCATTGTGTTGGTACAAGACATAAATGAAGAGTACTTAGGTAAGTCTTGGTACACAGTTTGTACTCAATAAATCGAAGTTGTAATTGTTATTGTAATTGTTGTTATTAGTATAACATATTAGAGTTGGACATTTTTAAAACATATTCACCATTTCTGACAATGGATAAGTAATTTTAAAGATGAATTTTACAAACCTTTTTTGTCTATGGAGAGTGACTATTCTTTACCTACTTTTTAAAAAATGTATTATTTTACTCTCAGTGGCACTGTTGTCATAGCTTCTTGGATCTCCCTGCTTCCTCTTTTAACCTGTTTGTTCTCTAAAGTGACAGCTGTTTAAAAATTCTTCAATGGCATTCATTACTATGAGGGTAAAGGCAACTGTGTTTATCACAGTGACGAGGCATCCCAGCCTCACATCATTCATTACTATGAGAGTAAAGGCAACTGTGCTTATCACAGTGACGAGGCATCCCAGCCTCACATCATTCATTACTATGAGGGTAAAGGCAACTCTGTTTATCACAGTGATGAGTCATCCCAGCCTCACATCTTACTTGGTCCCTGCCCCAGGGCCATGCACTTCCTCTCTCTGGAAATCTCTTCTCTCCCACAAACTTTAATCTGAAACCCTAAGGACCACTGTACATGGCTGTGTGCTTAGTGTAACTTCAGTATCTTTCAAATCTTCTCCCAAACTCTATATTCTGAAAATTTTATTTAAAAATATTTATTTGCTGATATTTTTGACAGGAAAGAATTAAAACCCTCAAACTGTCTTTTCAAGATCACATATTTAATCACATAGGACACTAGGGTTTTCAGTTCTTCAGAGTCAACATCCATTCCACTCCATCATTTTAGGCAAACTTTGGTTCCTTTTATGCCATATGTTAGAAAGTCAACTTCTATAATCAGTCCCTATATGCTATCAATGACTTTAACAAGTTTTATTTCAGACTTTTATTTCTACTTCTGTATACCTGATTATAATTTATATTCTCCACTCCAGGTCTAACCCAGGAACCATTTAATCAGTTCCCTCCCCACATCCCAAATTTACATCAGTGCATAACACATCATGCTTCTGGAATAATCTTTCTAGCTTTCAGATCAAATATTGTCTCTCTCTTACTCTTAAAAAACTTAAAGTTTTTTCAAGATGTACAATATTAGCTTCTATCTACAGTTTTAGGTGTAACTAGATAACTCGCTGTATCTCCACTCTCTCCCACCTGACTGCGCTAAAGGGCAGGAATTGTGATTGCTCAGTTTTGAATGAACCCACCCCCCTGTAAGTACAGACTCAACCAGCCAGCCTCTAGCAAAGTGGCACCTACTGAATATTGCTCTTGGTAAACTTCATGATCACATAGCACTCTGATGTAAACTGTGTTGCTATAGTCAAATTCTAAGGAGAAATTTAATGCGTATTTAAAAATGGTTCTTTTGTAGGATGTTAGGCTTTAGAAAAAGCTATGTATAATCTTAATTCTCATATAAGCTGTAACCCACACTTTTCAAATAAGCAAACTCAGAATTGTGAACAAAAGAGAAGAAACAGCCTGAACAGGAGCAATTCCTGTGTCCTTTGTCTGAGAAAACCTAGGGAATAAAGCATCAGATCAAATGCCATTTCCAAACAGCAGGTTGAGTCAGAATAAATGAATAATTTAAGGAAACTTATTTTCTGGCTTTAATATCTTTAGTAAAGCATTAAGGTCTAGGCACCCCTCACCACTCTCCACTGCTGTCCCCACTCACCTTCAACAACAATGGTCAACAGCAAAGTGATTTGCTGCTGGGCATTTCAGCATATTAATATGACATTCTAATTAATCCAAACAAGAAGTCCTGGTGCTTTTAGAAGCTAATGATCAGAGGAAAGCCATGATTAGTCATGTCAGGTTAAAAAATTTCATCAGTCTCATACTTTCTTATATTACCAAATTGTCAGAAAGTGACAGTCCTTGAAAAAGATGACAGCTGTTTACCACTATTTCAGATAGAATCAAAACAAATCCAAACAGCACAAAACAGATAAAGGGAGATGAAGAAAAGGAGCAAGAGTAAAATAATGAGAAGAAAGGGATTATTTAGCTACTACTTTGTATCATGTAGTAGCAGCTTTACATTCCAAGTAGAAAAGTCTAAGACATCCAAAAATTCTCTTCAGCAGTTGGTGACACTTGCACCATATGCTCATCATTCGAGCCTTTTCCTATCACTGGAGTGTAGGACAGAACTAGCCAATCACACCAAATGTGCCTTTCAGAAGGAGGTCAACTAGTTCGCCATGATACAAGCATAAAATAATTAAAAGATGATGAGATTGATATAAGTAATTTTCAAATTATACTTAAAAATGTATAGCAAGGGTTTTATTCAATGATACTTTAGGTAAATATTTTTAAATATGAAAGTTTCATATTTTTTTCTTAAGAAATAAAAAAAGTTGACATGTGTTACATGGAATGCATAATTTTATTGTGCTAACTGAATTGTTAAGATTTGAAAATGTGTTTTTATGTTGTAGCACAATATTTGGCATTCTAACATGGTGAACATTAAAGAAATTGATAGTGACATTCACAGAGCAGTACTTAGTTTCTTACAAATTATTTATAGAAGTACATGTGGTGGATGCTAAGAAAGACCCCATGTACAGTCACGTAATATAAACAAAATTAATTTTTACTACCTAAAATTCCAATGGAAAAAACGCACTGAAAATAAAATGCAAAACATCTCCATCTAAAGAGCAAACGACTTCCCTTTTAAAGCAGCTTGAAATCACTCCTAACTAGCTCAAAATCAGGAATCACATTACCTAGGATATCTTGATCCAACTTCTTACAATGAAGATGTCCTCACATAGTTGCAGAATACTCCCTAGTTCAGCAAGTACTGCCAACAGTCAGCATGTTTAATTTATGGTGGAGAATGGGAACTGTGGTGGATTTTATAAAATAGCCTCCACAAATTTTTTAGAACTTTTTTCCTTTTATCAATGGTCTATGTTGCCTTCCCATGGAAATCTCAGCAGTCTTGAGCTGGCTGAGAAGAAAGTGACACAGCCTGTCATCTGAGGCTAAGTCATAAAAGGCCATGCAGCTTCCAACTGGTTACCCTGGAATGTTTGCTCCCGGAGTGGTTTGTCTTGGGTGTGTGCTACTGGGACACAACTGTCATGCTGTAGGAAGCCCAAGCCACACAAAGAGAATACATATAGGTGTTCCTGTTTATAGTTCTAGCCTTTGAGTGATTCTAACCTAGGGTCCAGGCAAGTTAATGAAGACAACTCTAGACAATTCCACCTACTTAGGTCTTCCCAGCTGAGGCCCCAGAGTTTGTGGGCAAATTACCTTCCTCTCTGTACCCCATCTACACTCCTGACCCTCAGAACTATGAGCATCCTAAAATATTTGCTATTTTATGCCACAAATTTTAAGGTGGCTAATATACATGAATAGATAACCAGGAAACAAAAAACTAATTATCAAGGTAGTTTTATATACTAAATCCGTGTATTTAGAATCGTACATATACTTCATTTAAACTTTACCACAACCTAAGAGACAGGTATTTTTAATCTGCTTACACATGGAAAATTCAACTTCAAAGAAGTTAAGCAACTTTCCTGAGAGCATTCTACTTTTAAGTGGCAAGGTTGCAATTACTCATGTCTGAAGTCTATTTTTAAAATGTTATTGAGTTTTTCTAGTCAGGTTTATAAAAACTAAAAAAAGAAATGGTCTTCCTAAGTGGTTATTTTAATGTTTCTCAAGCTCAATATTCTAGATATTGTCAAACATGATTCAAATTAACATCCCTCCATTTCAATGAAAAAGCACTTTTGCATAACATAATCTGAAAGAAGGGGCAGTTGCTGAGTTCATATTTTAATTAGTCTGATGTCTGACTCTTTTTAGTGGATACTTAAACATACTTCTTGAAAAGACGAATGCATGAATGAATGACTTAACCAGTTCATGTTAACCTTAGAGTTCTCTGAGGAATGTTCTAGCAGATTGCTTGATACTATCAAAGAAGCATGCAATAATCTTTCATGATCATATTTGCTTTGTCCTCCTCTATTTATTGTAAGATGAGAGTGACAGATATTTATTCCTTGCATTACTTCAAACCAGTAAAATATTTTATTTAAGTGAATACTTAATACTTTTTGATAATGCCTTAAACTAGAAAGTATAGAATGGAGATGCAGAATGAATCAGCATTATTGAGCCATTTCTTCTAAGTGAACTTGAAGTTACTGCACAGCAAGAATAGGGTCTTCCAAATCTCATGGAAGTGCTACAAGGTTAACAATGGTAAAACACAGGAAACATTTTTAATGTTTTGGAAGTTAAAATGCTGTTTGTAGTAATGTCTCTTATTAATATTATCATCATTAAAATATTGCCATCTTTAAAGAAACGATATTAACATGTTTGTTGAAGACTTTTTTGTCGATGTTTCTATAATACTAAAAATCAGATAAGTAAAGACAAAAGGTTGTAAGCCTCTACAAGTAGTTCAATACATCTTATATTATCATTGCTTAATTATTAGGTTAATGATGCTTTTAAGTGAAAAATAGCTCCAGGGAGTCATGGAGGCTAGAAAGGTTAAGCACTTAACTGACAGAAACCTGCCCCTTCATCTCAGATTTATCATGACCCAATCTCATAGTGATTTCATTTCATAATGGATTAGCTTAGCTTTATAAGATTTCATAGAGTGAAATTTTTCTATAAAGATATGGGCAAAACATTATTAAAAACATTTGGACTGTAGAGGAAAATTCTTAAAAGACACAATTCTGTTACAGAAATATGCAGTTAACAGATGTCTTCTGAAGACCTTTTGCTAATTACAAATACTACTTGCAAATATAATCCATCAAACAAACTAACAGAGATTAACACATTAATTAAGTAGCTACAGTTATTTTTAAAAAGTATTTCTGGTTTTAGTTTTTTCTTTGAAAAGTATCTACAGTCTAATTGGGGACCCAGATACTAAGCAATCATTTGAACTTAGTTGAGAACAAAGCTTAGAATCCAGGTACATATTGCTGTAAGAGTGTATTTAATAGGAGCATTTTACTCATTAAATGAAGTGAGTGGATGTTTGCTAAGAAGTTGCTATGCTGAATTAAAATACTGCTTCATCTGGCAGGGTTGAGATTAACTTTATTAATTAAAGGGTTTGAAATTCTTGGGGCACTACCACTAGAGGCTAAACAAAGTTGAAAACCTGTTTTTCTGCTCGTCAAAGTCCTTCCTCCCTGATTCTCATCTCCTTTCTGGGGATCGGTCTTTTCTTAAGATGATTTAAAGAAGAAAATATGATCTGTCTTTAAGGTAAATCTGACTCTACACACTGCAACCATATCCCAGCTGGCAAGGCCACAAACCTGTGAAATCGTACTCATTTAATGAGACCACGTCTAGTACATCAAGCATCCAGGCCTGGTGGAACTTTGCCATGCTGGGGTTCATTTTCTTACAATGTCTCTACCTGAGAAGGACGATCGATGCTCTTTGTCTTGTCTCCAGTGCTCTTTCTCCTCATTCCTTATTTCTAACTAATGACTCTACTTTACAAGTGCTTGAGAACCACCCACAGTTCATCATATCTACTACCACATGAGAACACACTTTCCCCAAAGAAGCTGCAATATCTATAGAACCGTAACTCTTTTAAAACAATTGAACAGCAATTTGAATTTCCTTCACAGCTGGATTTTTGGATTAAAGTATCCGCGATCAGGATATTCTAGTTTCTCTCAAGATAATGGGTCATATTTGCTTCACATATGTGTAAAGAAACGATTGATTTTTGCACTTTTCATAAAACCAAGGAATGTATTTCTCACATTTGAATTTGTGTCCACCTCTTCCTAAACTGAAATAATATATGGCTGTTAAATAGTTGTTTCTGCTCCAGGTACCTCTCAACATGGTTCAAAAATTTCAAGGTTGTTAGAGCCAGGACACACTTTGCTATTTACAAAATAATAAATTCTGAATTCTAACAGTGAGGAGGCAAAACTGATGAGCAAATTAAAAATTGAGTTCTATGTGGCAATACATTAAGTTACAAAGTACAACTCTGAACTGTAGACTTTTAAGTTACTGTTTGCGTATATAGTCTTTGCATATTTACGGTGGGAGAAATATAAATAAATATATTAGCTTAGATCATTCATTCTTTACATATTTTTATTTAGACACTGTAGATAGAAAGATGAATAAGACATTCTTAAGAGTTGATGGGTGGAGAGTTATATAAATAAAGAAGTATATCGAAAGACGTTTATAGAGTGAGAATGATATTTAATGGGAGCATTTTACTCATCAAGTATAGAGGTTATGCTGAGTGTACCCAGGTGAGAGCTGATCATTTAACCTGGAACCAAAGTTTAAAGGTCATAATAAATTAATTGAGGAAATGTTTTCAAGTGAAATATACATTTTTAAATATGACTGAGTCCTTTTATAATTATCAATGTTTTGGCTTTCATTAAACATTAAGTGCCTCTTTGGTACACTCTTTCTTAATTCTTCACTAGCTTTCCCTGCCACCTGCTACGCATTACGGTTCCCCCAACTACCAACCTTTTGTGCCCTATAAAATGAAACTCATCTTAATTTTAGATGAATAAAACATAATAAGCAGGATGAATCAGCCACCAGAAGCTCACGTAATATATTCCAGGAACAAATTAAAGTGACATTTGTTTAATAAACTCCTTTTATATCCATGAACTGGCTTGCCTTCATTGAAAGTAAATATTCAAAGCCACTGTGATTGAACTAAAAAGTCAGAGTAACACTTTTGGACTCTCCCAATTTATTCTTGATTAATGACTAAGGTATTCGGTTTCATTTCTTCTCAATTCCAATAAAAATTAACTTTTTAGTTTCTGCTAATGCCTTTTCATAAAATGTAAAATACTGATTACTAATGATTTTCTTGTGTTGTGTAATTAAAAATATAAGATTTAATTTTCCCAATAATAAGCATAGTTTAAATTTTTTTTTTCCACATAAGTTTATCATTCAAAATTTCAGAACTTGCTATAATTGCCACAAAAAAAGTCTCGATGTCACCTCCTCTGAAGACTATTTTAGGCAGAATAGATGGGCCAACCTGAGTCATAAACAACAACTGTGTCTTGTAACTCTATGTACTATGATCCAGAGTTTCTGCTGTGCCACAGTGGTGTCTAGAAGAGAGAAATTTTCCTTCCTCTGGTTCCGTTTAATTAAGAGGGCTCCATGTTGCAGATGAACTTAGTGTTCATTTAGTCAAATTCTTTGAATTCACTTGGCGTTCATTTCCCCAGTACACACCCTGCCAGTAGGATGGTTGGACTGGAAAGGATTGTGGTGTCAGCTGTTTTGCATATATCAAACTAACATTTCTTCTCCATCCAGCTTTTGTGGCAGAGAATTCATGAACAAATTTATTCTTTTCCAATTCCTACAATCAGTTCCCTAAGACACCTTATTTTCCTTTGCTCCCATTTGGCCTTGGTCAAGTATCATAGCCTATGTCATCAGCTAAGTTATAGTAACTGTAACCCATAAAGACATAACAGGTCGTGAGCCTGAGTGGCCATCTCCTCCCTATGTAAATTTGTGGGCACAAATAGAAATGTGCTCTTACTGAATACATCATAATCCTGTGTGTTCTACAAATGTTCTTAATTATTCAGGAAATTATTGACATTTTTGTGGCCTAACACAGCAGTAATTTTCATAATTATGCTATGAATACTTAGGAAATATAGATCCTATAAAGTATAGATTTTACTATATAGCTACTTGGTCATTCTTACTGATATTATTACAGGATCATTTCTACTTTATTTACGGGACTTTTTACTTTGTCAGAGGTGATTTCAAGTCTCTCTGTACGGTCATGCTTATTTCACTTTGTAGTTCTTGAATTTGTCCAGATTTTATGTATTTCTACAGTATCTTATTTGGGACATAAAGATTTCTAAATATTGTATATTTATTACAAATTATATCTTAAGATTTCCTAACTCTGATACTACAATTTCAATTCCTAGTTTCTTCTCTTGTTCTTTCCCCAGGTTATATTTTTTGCTATCATTTACTTTCTGCTTTGGGCACTCTTACTGGGTCTATAGTATATACTCGCTGTGTGTTGTGTGTGCTTTTGTGTTTTCATAACACACTTTAATGATCTGTTTTTCATGTTTTCCCCCAATTTTTGGTTGTAATAGGTGTTTTTTCAATTTCTGACATATGAAGGCTTTTTCGCCTATTTTTAATAGTTTCTTTCTATTTTATTTGACTCCATATTTGTCATACTGTTTTATTCCTATGTCATATTTTTTGCTATTTCTCAGTAATTTTAAAAGATTATAGGATTTTAAATATAATTTTAATAGTTTTACACTTTTCAATCATATGTTTAAATGCACATTTCTCAGTTTCATCATAGGAATGATCATTATTTGTAAAGTGAAGAAAGCTTATACATATACCTCTTCTTTGCCCCTTAATTGGGTGCAAATACATACTGAAGGCTTGACCACAGATTATTGAGCCTGTCAACTTATATCCTGTTTTATACCTCTAAGTATAATTTTTCTTTAAAAAGGGACTTAATTCTATTTACCAATACAATATTAACATCAGTACTTTCATCCTAACACATTTGTTGTGAGTTATTTTGCTCTATCAAAATAAAGTCATCTTCTAGTGGACACTTTGAGGGAGAGGGGTACATGGATAATAGACTTCCGGATTTTTATTTTTATTAAGCAAAGTTTTTCCATGATCTGGGAATATATAAATGTCAACTGCACTTGGCATAGAATATTTTGTTCTCATATTAAGGCTTTGTCAACATCTTTTCATTTGTCTTTTGACATCAAGTATTCTGAAATGAAGCGTAATAAACAATTGCTCTGACAAATTTTAGGAAATGTATTAAGTATCAAAGTTTAAGAGAGAATGTTAAAAACATCTAGGGAGAAGCATGAGGTCACTAACAAAGGTTTCCACATCCAACCTTTGCTTTCTTATGTGTCCAAGTGAATAGTTTTTGGTCATTATTTTTGGAGTTTATATGAGATTATTTTATTTCCTTGTTTCTTAGTAAAGTTGTTTTCTTGATTTGGCGAATATTTTAGTTCATTTTGCTGCCACTCAGGGGAGGATAATCTCTAAATAGGAAATACCACCACATTCTCAAGAGTTGTATTTTCTCCTTTAATAATGGATTGATAGCTACAAATACAGTAAAATAATAAAAAGGAGATAATTTAATTAAGCTAATTACAGACGAAATAGATCTGTCTTCATCAAGAGTCTTAAAAATAGTACTTCATTGGATTAAAATTCAGCTAATCTCAGCATTTTAATTTTTTAGATGGGCCCACGGTCTAAACATTTATCTATGTATTACATCTATTACCTAAATATTTAACAACAACCCCAGGAATATAACAAGGTTTTCCCATTATCGCCCCAGATTTTTATCTATCACTTTATATTGTTCTTAAATATATGTGTGAGCTAATATGGCTGGTAGAAGAAAACAGCTACTCTGTTTCAGTGATGACTTGAGGATAATTGCAACATGATTACATCGGCCTCTGTGATATATTGTCTTGTACATCCTTTACAAATGAAGGACTGATTTTCCTAGCTGGTGGGAGAACTGCGGCAGAGAGCCCTTAGCTATCAGCCTTCTATGGGAAATTTCTTGGTTGTAGAAATTCCCGTGGTCATGTTCCTTTACAGGGAAGCCTTACACAGTGACTGACTGATGAGTGAGGTACAGAAGCCCACCCTCCATGTCCCAATTCAGACACCTCTGAGGAACTCTATAAGTTTGGTTGAAGAATGTGTTGAGATTGCATCACAGCTAACCTTCCTCTGCCCAATATTGCTTCCTTTTAATCCCAAGGGTATTTCTTAATAAACTTTCAGCATATAAATTTGCATTTTAGGTTATTGGAAAACCCAAACCAACATGGGATAAGGAATAAAAAATAACCCTTTTTGTACTAATATAGCTGGACATATTTTTATTATATAACATGAATATATTTTCACTTTAAGCATAAGAGTACAAGAGTAAGGGAACATGCCTACAATTCCCCAAGGTTTATTTGATTTTATCTTATATGCAGTTCATTATCCAGTCAGTAAGTGTTTGTTGTACTCGATCCTGTGCCAAGTGCTGGGAATTGAGGGATGAGGACCAAGGAGTAGAAACTCGGCCTATTGAGATATTATTCAAAATGCTCTCCTCAATATAAGTTAGTAATCACATAAATAGACAAGATATTGACATATTACAATAAATGCTATGAAGAAAAATCAGACTGAAGATTTTTAAAAGAGGTTGAAGATGAAGTGAGATAAGGTGGGATCAAGAAAGGCCACTTTGAGGAAATTAAGCTCAGGCCTGAAAGAGGGGAAGATGACAAGAGAATTCCAGGCAACCAAAAGAACACATGACAAGGCCTTCTCACAGGAGAATGTTCAGTGTGTATGAGTAACAGAAGTCCATGGTGGCTAGAGCATAGTAAGTGAAGGATGCATGACATGAGGTTATACATACATTTAGAGTTAGGGGGTCAGAATATGGGGTGTGAGCTTTCTTGCACAAGTATTGAGAAGCTTCTGGAAGATTTATCTAGGGCAGTGACCTGATGTAATTCCTTTCCTGTTTTCTTTTTCTTTTTCTTTTTTTGGTGATTACTCTCTTTGCTTTCTAGAGAACAGATGGTAGAAGGGGGAAGTGGAAATATGCAGACATATTAGGGACCCATCAAAATATTGAACTGAACTGATGGGTTTGGCCGTGGTTTGACCTAGAGTGCTCATTATAGAGAATGAGCAGAATGGATGCATTAGAGAGATTTCTCAAGTTTGAAATGGTTGAGCTACGGATTGGATACAGGTAGGAAGATGGTAAAGGAAGGGATGACATCAGGTATACTTCGAGTTTGGTGTTGACAAACAGGGTGCATGGTAGAGCCATTTATAGAAGGCTTCAGGAGAACAAGGAGACTTGGAAATTATTTGGAAAGGTCAGAGACTGTGTTCTGAATCTTATGGTAGAGACAGGAGGCATTCTATTGCATACAGTAACAGGAAGAAGAATCCAAATGCAGCTTTTTTGACCAGCTTTACAGAGTTCAGCCAAACAATCCATACCTAGTTCAACCTCATGTTAGAGATGAGCAAACTGAACTTCAGAACCCATAAACAACCTGTCAAAATCATCTGACTAGCCAGAAGAATATTTTGCCCATTATATGATACTTTGTTTATTTAAATAGTTATAATTATTTTAGATATTTTATTTTCTTGATTTTATTATTAAGCACAAATAACATGGTATTTAAAGTTTATCTCTATTTTTCACTTTTCTTATTTTATCATAACTTCAAGTAAAAATCAAAAAATTATATTGAAATTGAAATATGGAATTTTATACTAAAGACAAGGCATCCAAATGAAAATGAAATTTTTCAGGTGAAAATTTCCAAATCATAAATATGTAGGGACAAAAAACTTTATTTATAAAGAAAGATATAAGATAATTCTAATTAACTGATGATTCAAAGGTTTACAACTTTCAAAGTAAATATTATCTTTGAAATAAAGTCCATTTAAATTATTTATGCAGCCAAAGTTTTAGTAATTGTATATGTATATCATGTAAACTTTTTTGAGGAAAATTGAATTGGAAATGTTAGAGTATTATGTGGAAAAAAATCACCTACAAGAAAAAAATTATCTCCTTATGAAGGATTACTTTAGCCACTTTGACAGGTGTAGGTAAAAGAACACTAAATGCACATCAATATGATTAGCAGATGCGTGCTTAGAAATATGTTATCATTGAAAAGAGAATCGTATTATCACCTTCGCAGGGCCTGTTCTTTTCCTTCATATTTATGTAACTTTGTCATCTATAGAAAGATTATGGGAATTTTAAAAATAGCTGATAGTTAAGAAACATCACCATAACACTTTGCTGAATACATAATAAAACATTTCCCTTCTCTCTAAAAGCCTTTTAAAATTAGGTACCATAATCAGTATAGCTAGAAGAGGGTAATTTCTATGTTCAAGTTCTTCTGTTTCTTGAGGTTGAGAATCATTTTATAGTCTTCTGAGGATGACACTGTACTGTTTTTTTAGCCTGATTATTTTCACCTATTTTTTCCATTCCTTACCTTTGTACATTTACATTTTACATATTGAAATGTTATTTTTTCAAATATTTTATATGCAAATTTACAAAGTACAATGACTGTTTGTACATTAAAATAACTTATTTATGCCATATGGAAGTTTAAATATAATTTTACAATATCTAGTATTGATTGTTTAGTTTCTAATAATTGATACTTCACATGATTTTTCCCAGCATACCTCAAAATATTCTTCAAAATCCTGCTAATTAATTCCTGTAACACTTCTGAGGTGTATTAATAAGCTAGAGATGTAAAGAAGATTTGCAGAGAAAATTAGGTTCCCAAATTAGAAATTTTGTCCCACTATCGACTAGAAACCTCTTGAAATGATCAAAAACAATAATAATGCATGTCATAGAGGAAAACCAATAAGTCTGCTGCAGCCTGACTACCTCTGTGACCTCAGACAGGTTACGTGTGGGTCCCTACCTCTGTGACCTCAGACAGGTTACGTGTGGGCCCTACCTCTGTGACCTCAGACAGGTTACGTGTGGGTCCCTACCTCTGTGACCTCAGACAGGTTACGTGTGGGCCCTACCTCTGTGACCTCAGACAGGTTACGTGTGGGTCCCTACCTCTGTGACCTCAGACAGGTTATGTGTGGGTCCCTACCTCTGTGACCTCAGACAGGTTACGTGTGGGTCCACACTTATTTTCTTCATCTCTAATAAGAAATATTTGACAAATCTCATTTTCAAAAGTCTTTTAAGACCTTTCCACCTTTTTTTTTTGAGATGGAGTTTCGCTTTTGTTGCCCAGGCTGGAGTGCAATGTCATGGTCAGGGCTCACACAACCACTGACTCCCGGGTTCAAGTGATTCTCCTGCCTCCGCCTCCTGAGTAGCTGGGATTACAGGCACGCACCACAACGCCCAGCTAATCTTTTGTATTTTTAGTAGAGATGGGGTTTCACCATGTTGGTCAGGCTGGTCTCGAACTCCTGACCTCAGGTGATCCACAAGCCTCGGCCTTCCAAAGTGCTGGGATTACAAGCATGAGCAACTGTGGCCTGTGAGGGCTTTCTACTTTTAAGATTTCAGGATGTATAGCCTGGGAGGTAAATGGTAGTGCGTGTAAACACACACACACACACACACACACACACACACACTGTATATATACATATATACTGTATATTATACTATATATACACATATATAGTATATTATACTCTACATATCTACTGTATATTGTATATATATACACACACACACACACATACATATATGAGACAGAAAGAGAGAGAGGAGATAGAGAATTTCATGTGAAAATATAAACTGTTAACATAAAATTTTGCTTCTCTGAGGAATATTTAGCATTGTTTTCAATCTTCTCTGGAGAATTTAAGCATTTTTCTCAGAAGTCACCAGATAGAATGAGGGAGGGGCCATGTGATAGGAGCCAGAGATGAAAGGAGAACAATACAAAGAGTGCTTTGGGAAAAATAGTACAGTAAGGCTAGGGAAGACTTCTCTCCAACAAAAGACCAAGTTCACAGTTATATCTCTTCAGAAGCCAATCTTACTTTTAAAATGTCAATTTCCATCTATTTCTTGCTTTACAGACATTCCATTCGTTGCCAGATTTAAAATAAAGCCTTTCCATGTGCAACCTTTCTATAGAAAAAGAGAAATATGGGGGACAGTACAGTCTAAGAAGTGATTAAGAATATCTAGTGGACTTTCCCAGACTGTAAATCTTTACATATATCTGAGCCTAATGAGGTGATTTATTGTGCTATAATGCGCAGTGAATTATACAGATGCTTCTTTTTGATCATACTGCAGGATGGAACTAAATACTAAATACCAAATAGCACTCCCATGATTCTTATAGATGTCATTCACATGACATATTTATGCTTTTTTATATAGCAATTCTTATTCTTAGCTCTTAGGCAATTATGGAATCTTTTTTGTCATTTTAATAATCATGTTCCATTTGAGTTATGCAGGGTAGAATTTCTAAGTAGAAAGTCTTGTTTTTGTTGAACATTTTCAGTAAACATTTTGGAAAAAGTCTCTGTTTTTTGATGCTACTTCTGCACGCTTTCTCAACATGATATTACTTGGTATTGTCCTTATTAACCTATAGTACACCGTATTCTGAAAATATTAGAGAGGGTTAAAAATCAGTCATGAATAAATAAAGTTAATGAAATAGAAAGGAAACCACATTCAGGAAATGGAAGGTAGAAGCAAATGTATTAACCGTGAGTTAGAAACAGTTTAGTCTTTGGAATGAAGCAGCAAGAGTTTAAAAATCTTGTTTGTGATTCACTAGCTTTGTGACCTTGGAGAATTACTTCAGATTTCTGAGTATCAGTTTAGTAGGTGATATCAATTGCAACTTCGCAGAATTATCACAAGTATTAAATAAAGGACTTAGTATCTGGGAGAGCATATAAAATTACTAATAGTTACATTTTTGTTAATATCACCATTATTATTATCATACGTATAGTATTTTCTTTCACTGACAATGCGTTTAGGACATAAGGAGAACTATAAAACGGTGCTTCTCCAACTTAAATGCATAGCATGAATCACCTGGAGTTTTGTCAAAGTACGAATTCTGACTCAATAGTCCTGCAAACTAAGAAACTCTTGGTAATGCTGGTGCTGCTAGTTCACCAACAGACCACATGTTTTGTAACAGCTATATAGAATATCCTGTTTCTTTTTTTTAATCACAAAACATGGCAAACTCTAAAATAAAGCAGAATAACAGATTTAAATATTAATACTCATGTCCTCACAATTTATAATTTCTCCCTCCCTAACAATGGTATAATTCTGATTAAAAATTAGCAAAGAAAAAAATTGAAATTAATCTTCCTATGTTTATTCCTTTAACAAATTCTGGGTGATTACTACTGGGTTACTTGCTGCAGGAAATAGAAAAATTGCTTTGACATAGATCCTTAAGAATCTGTCTCACTACAAGCTTATTTTTGTAGGAAGCTAAAAGATTTATATAAATAACCGTAATTAAAGAGACAAACTAAGAAGTGCAATGAAAGACCTAGGGAAAGTGTTAGAGGAGTTCGGGGAGAGTAAAATTATCCTAAAATAATATCTATACGTAACATTATGCTATCTTCCCTAACCAGCACTTGACCAAATTGTCACAGTGAACTTTGGTCCTTTCTTATATCTTGGTTTTGGTTGCCGCATCCTTCTGTTTGGGGAAGTTCTTGGTTTCCTCATGTAATAATAACAACACTTAAACAGTATATACTAGATAAAAGGAACTATATTGCTTGCTTTATTTACATAGTTTAGTTAATTTAATTTGAACAACGAACTATGAAGTAATCAGCTTTATTTCCTTCATTTTACATATGAGAAAATGGAGAATCAGCGACATTAAATCATCTCAAGTTTCTAAAATATCCACTCTCACCAGGCTGTTTACCCTCTGTTTTCGTCTGTCTGCTGCTGTAACAAAATGCCACAGATTGAGTAACTTATAAAAAACAGAAATGTATTTCTCACAGTTCTGGGGCTGAGAAGTCCAAAATCAAGGCAGCGGAGATTTGGCGGTTGGTCCAGACTGCTCTCTTCTCCTGAGGTGGCACCTTCTTGCTTTGTTTTCACGTGACAAAAGTGGGCAAAAATGGACAACGTAAGGACATGGCAGAAGAGACTGAGGAGCCAGGCACTCCTCTAAAGCGTCTTTTATAAGGACATTTATCTCATTCATGAGAGTGGATCCTTCTTCACTTAATCACTTAACCAAAATTCCCATCTCTTAATATCATTATCCTGGGATTTTAGTTTCAACATACAAACTTTGGATGGGCACATAGGTTCAAATCATAGCACCCTCCAAATTATAATGCCTCTCTCATGACTGTTCTCCTTGAAGTACCCTCTGGTTTTGCTGTCTTCATTTTTGCCATCACAGTTAACCCTTCAGTTCCATTTCTTTAAGTAATCTCTAAATTTGTAAGGTTCCATCTTTTTCTTTTTTGTATATGGCAGACTCTCAAACATATTTGTCATATGAACTAAGTAGGTAAATATGTAAATGCCTGCTAAATTTTAGTGAATGATATAATGGCTTAAAGAGTTATCTACCCTTCAGCCAAGTATATTTGCTTTTAGTAGCAATCTCCTGCCATATACAAAGTCACGACTCTAGGGGTAAACATTTTAGCCTGTAGGTAAGATGTAAAACAGTGGTATGTTATAGTGACAACTCACTGTCATAGCACTGGGACATGCTCCTCTATCTGCTACAAATTGAATCAGCAAAATATATTTGATTTTGTGAGATTTAAATGTATGCTCCTGTTAGTAAAATAAAAGTATGGGAAAACTTTACGGAGTAGATTCAATAGAAATGTTTTCCTGAGTTATCTGCCTTCTTTATTTTTATGTTATGCTTTAAGTCTATGGTCAATGTATAGAGCTATGATTGATGTGCTTTTTCAATTCTGTTCAGAACAGACAGGATAATTTTCTTCTTTTAAATCTTCTTGAATTTTGTCTAACATTTTTTTGTTCCAATTTCTTACTAGATTATACTCCTTTCCCTAATGCTGCTTCATGATTACTTATACTCAAACAATATTATGATATTTACACATTGAATTCATTTTAGGTGATGATTTTGGTCATAAACATGAGCAGGTTGTAAAGTGTTTCAGCTATCCCAGGGCATGGCTGTCAGTCCCTTGCCTAATGTTTCAAACAAATCTTGAATTTGTGATGCTGCTGTGATGGCCCCTCAGATATTCTTACACATGTCTTTGCCCCTTGTTCCCTCTAACTTTCCTTTTCTGATAAAAAAGCAAACACTGCCAAGCTCAAATTGAATTACATTTGGATGCAAGTGTCACTATGCGATGGTTGCCAATAAAAGTACACAAGGAATTTTATCATGGTGAATTAAAGGCAAACAGACTTCAGAGAAATGAGCATGAGCATGAAAATGGCGCATGGTACGTGGATCTCACTGGAAAGTCATTCAATACACAATATTTTCACTAGAAAAATCCATTAGCTTTAGCTAAAAATTGAAATTACTTTATAGGAAATCAGAATAAAATATGTGAAAACATTATATTCTGTGCAAGATTAATACCACGCATGGTGTTGAAAGGTTTGTGGTCTTGCTTTGATGATGCTAAAAGGTCAGAAACCACAAAGATGCATGTGTGCTGTCATTTGCACAGTTACTAATTTTTCTCATTATTTCCATAATGAGACGTACTGTTTCAACAGAGAAACCCTCTTGAGAGTTGCTTGTAGTGTTTTCAGGCAGGCAGCTCTTTTGCTTTCATGTTTTGGCCTTGGCCAAGGAGTACAGACAGACTTTTCATTTATTTTCGGCAAGAATGTATTCGTTTATTGTTTTAAATAATAATAAATAGATTTTAAAATTACTCTACATTACTGCACTTTAAACTCCATGAGGGCAAGGACTCTATCAAGTTTGGACATCATTGTATACCCTACATCTTGCACAAGGTTTAGAAAAAATGGCATGGAAACCTATTTTTTGAATCAATAAATGAATACATAAAAGAATTCCAAACTCTAGTCCAAGGTTTTAGATTAATAATGTGTTAAAATGCGTAAAATTTATAGACAAAACTATTCTTATTTAGAAGCTTGTTCTTTAGTTGGAGAGATAAAATATATGCACATAAAAGCTTAAGGAAAAATAATAAGGATTTTGAAGTACTTAGTATGTGAAAAATTTAGCATAAACCTTACATCCATTTATTTAACACATTTTATATCTTTCATTATTTATACAGTGCTGATTGGTAGAATTCATAAGTGACCAGAACTATAAAAATTTTGAGGATAAGCACTAGAAACACAGAATAAATAGAGTGTTAACACGCAAAACACAGAAATCCTTACATTGGCGAGGTGAATAAAAAAGATTTCTGGTTACATGTACACTGATTATTGAGGGATGAGTATGACATTATTATGCCAGAATCAATAAATATTTTTAATAGGGAGAAAACTATAATTATATAACTTTGTGTTCAATAGAAGTAGTAGTATTTATAAAGTAGAAGTTTGTTATACCTTGTTCATAGCCTTTTAAAGTTGTTTATAAATAAAATCTACTCTTAATTAGTTAATGATTGATATTAATTTAAGTGTTTTAAAATTTTTGACCTCTGAATTGCCTTGTACATATGGAGAAATAAAGCTTGCCTAGAATAATTTCTTGAGTGGAGAATGAATGATCTGGATAGATTTATTGACAATAAATATATCTGTACTTATTTTATTAATTAATCTTCATGAAGAGAAATATAAAAGTCATATTCTAGTAGTTGATACCATGGGAAAAAATTCTTATCCTTTTCCTAAGGAAAAATACATCATGACACAAAAGTAAAGTTAATTAAATTACTTACTTTATTAATTGTCTATAATTTCTATGGGTTGAAGTAAATTTGATACTCAATGCTATTTAATCTAATTCTAAAAGCTTGAATGAGTAATGATTTTTTCATGTAAGGTTAGTTGAAATAAATTATCATTGATTTTCAAATTTAATATTAATTAGCTATTGCATATTCTTAATGGGAAACAAGTGTTTACAAGGCCTTCTTTGGTTGCAAAAAGACCATGCCCATTGTAGACTTCTTAGAATACATCACATCTGGCCTCTTTTTTAGAGTGGGGAATTCAACTCATATGTGGCTGGACATTGATTCTGAACATTTTGAACATTATTTGTCTGTCTAAACTCATACTGGTTGCTGTTCTTTTATAAGTAATCACCATGTTTAGCATGAACTTGAGCTATTGTTACTTAGGGTGCTTGACTATTTACAAGTCTCACTAGGATTCTAGGAATTCATTCGTCTTGTGGTGTGTATTTGCCGATAGTCCTATTATCTTTGTTGGTTCAATTACACAGTACCATCCAAGATGCTGCAACACATTATACACAGGGTATGGGTTGTGAGAGCTACAGATTTCAGTTATTATTCAGGCTCAGAAACTTAGAATCTCTGCGAGCTGGAACATGTTACTTAGTCTTGTTTTAAGACCGTCTTGTTTTAAAAGTCAGTCTCAAATTCTTAAAATATAGAATAGGGATGCTAGTAGTGCTCACAGAATTGTAGTAAAGATTAGCTGGGGAAAAAAGAGACTATTAAACAGAGCCTGGTATTCAATAAGTATCAGTTGCCTTCGATTAGCAATCTGTGTTGTCATGATTAGAAGATTGCTGGTTTATGTTACAGACCTGAAAGTATGGTCAAAATATGTCAAAATAACAACCAGACAGAATCATATACCATTCCTTGAACATTTCATCCCTAGAATCTAGCCAAATTAGCATCTCTATACAGACAATACTGTTAACACAGATATGTGCTCAAACCCCTCATTTACTTTTCAGCACTTGTAAATTACTGGAGATATTTAGGAAGGAGTCTGGGGTTATGGCTTAGTTAAGCTGAGTGGCTAGAAAGTGTGAGATGCTGGATGCCTCCTCCAGTTCCTGTCTCCAGTGGCCGCACAAGGCATATCCACAGCTCTGCTCCTGCGAACTCGTTTCTGGCGTGGGGCTTGTGCGCACCCCAGACCGGGAGGAGCCTCGAGCCTGCTCATTAGTAGCACGGGCAGCTCGCGCGCTGGAGGAGGGAGGCGGAAGGACAGCGCTGCGCCACCACCCGGAGGAGGGAGCGCGGTAGCTGCAGGCAGGGGAGGGAGAGGAAAGAAAAGGAAGGACGGCTCCCAGACAGAGAGTGGGAGAAACCGGGGAGCAGCGGGAGCAGCAGGTCCGGGGGGAGCTGTTCCGCTGCGCTGCCCTCGTTATTCACACGGACGCTGCGGAGCTTCCCAGGGCTGCTTCCCTGTCCCCCTGGGTGGAGGCTGCCGTCTAAACCTGACTCCAGGTGAGTTCGGCAAAGAGGTGAACCGAGGGGTCTCGAACCAGAGACGTGGCATTGGCGAGGCTGCTCAGCTCCCCCAAGCGCTGCTGCCTTTATATTTCCCAAATTCACGGAAGGTCTTGGCGGTGGCTGCACAGGCTGGGAGGGGGCGGAGGGTCGGTGGGTGGTTGCGATCCTCACGGCCAGCGTGGGGGCATTCGGATGGAATTAGCTTAAGTGAATGGGGTTTTAGGAAATGTCCCCAAAGGCACGCGTTATATATGTGTTTCTAGACAAGCTTTTAAGACGGAAATTTGGTTTCCCGGATGCCCTTTTTGGCCTTCTGTCCTTCCTTTTGCTTGCCTCATGCCCAATTTTCCAAGCCAAGGAAAGGTTTGGGAAGGCGTGGAAGCAGAAGGTCTGGGCACAGAATGTGACGGGGCAACCTTGGTCTCTAAGTTTGGGGGTGGGGGTTGGGACTCTTCCTTTCCACCTAATTTACCAGGGGAAAACCCTCAGAGTAACTTCAGGTTCCTTTGCTCTGCACCCTCCATAAGCTTATTAAAGGGAACTTCAGGCTCTCTAGACAGCCTGTGAGATGTGACGGCAATATAGCTTAAAAGCCATGTTGGTTCACTTCATCTCCTCTTTATCCTTTGTTGCAAATTTGATACCTTTTTGGATTTCTTTAACAGCACAAAATTTAAGTGGCCGACTGACAGGAAATATTTCTTTTGAAAATGCTATGAGAAAAGTGATGAGTTAACACTGAGAGAAAGGCAACTTTATTTTCTTCGAAGAACTTTGGGGAAAGGGATTGATAGAGAAATTCTGGGCGTGAAATTATGGACATTTCCCACAGAACTTCCTTCACTTATTTATTTTTACATTTGCTTCATTTTTTTTAATCGTGTGCGTGTGTGTGTGTGTGTGTGTGTGTGTGTGTATCAGAGAGACAAAATTCCTTGGAGGTATTATGACTTTATTTGGTTTAGAAGTTTCTTTCTTACTAATAGCACTAATTTGTGATCATCATGATTGTAAGAATTTACTAACTGTTTTGCTTTTAGGTGTTTTGGGTCTGTTTTTTTAAAAAAATTCAATACTTACTTTGTGGGCCTTGCTGAATACCTGTCAATAAAATCGGTGGGCATACAGTTAGTCACATGACACACTGTGGATTTAATAGCAGGTAAGTATACAAACGATAAGTTTAGGAAATAAATGTCAGAATCAAAATTCAGGTGTGAAATTGAAATATCTTTCAAATATTTACCAAATTCTCTTTTAGGATCCAATGTCATTTTATGGTCAAGAGAGCTTAAAGGTTTCTCAGATTAAGATATATGTATCTACTTTGTTAATCAAAGTATGTAATATTTTATTTTGTTCTTTCTTTAATGACTGAGTTCAACAAATAAAACTTGCATATTTAATGTAAGGTTCTTTCACATATATTACTTCTCCAATTTTTAATATAAATTTAAGGAGAAAAGTGATATTCCATTTTGTAGATGTAGAGACTGTGTCACAGAAGTATTACTTTATCTAGATTTCTGTAATTATTATGTTATAAACTTAGAAATTACATATTATTATGGAACATATAAAATATATGAATGTTATAAACCATAAGAATTCAGACCTATGCTATTTAACTTCAAGTTTAGTTCTTTACCCAAACAATTGCACAACTACATTGAGACTACTGAAATAATTATATATGAACATGCTATATGAAAAAAAAGCATTTCTTATTTTTCTGGTTTCTCTTTGATATAAAATATACTATAATTTTGTGGAGTTATTTTCCATATTTAGATGCTCCTAACTTCCAAATAACTCCTAAACTCCTAAAAACTGACCTGTGTCCTTCTTAATAAAAGTGGATTCACAGGGAGACTCAATTTTTACTAAGAATATTCTTGGGATAATTTGTGTCTTATAATCAGGATAAAGACAGGCCACATTTAGCTGTGTTTTTAAACCACTTAGTGTGAACTTGAAATGCAGACAGAACCTGCTTTCAGGCTGAACTGCCAGCTTCGCAGTGAATAGTCTTTCAGATTCCGTGGCAACACTGGCAGATATATCTAATGTATATCTGATGTGGGACTTATGAGAAAAGGAGAGGTAGAAACGGAATGCTCTTATATTTCATATGTGACCACATTCATAAAACTTTATTGATAAGTACTTTGGTGTCTGACACGGGCTGACACAAATAGGCTTCTTCAAGAGTTGAGGAAGAAAACAAAATCCCTATAATACAGCCTTTTTCCTCCTTTTCTTTCTTAAGCGGTAATAGTTGATCCTACATAATCTCTTAAAAAAATAAATTTCAAAGAGAGTTTGTGAGTTTTTTGGAGGGAGGGAGCTTTTGTGTGTCTATGCATGCTCAGTACAGTTTAGGGGTATAAGGAGAAGTTAAACAAGAATATTGAATGCTAGCTATGAAACTTTTTGGAGTCTCAAATGCATTGAAACAATTTTTCATATTATATACATAAAATTGATAGTTACCTTGGGGAACTAAGTATGTTATACACAACTTTGCATCTGATTACAGGATTCCCTGAACATTTATAGCTCAGGTATTCTGGAAGGAGTCAAGATAATTAGTTTTATGGCTCTTGCCCATGTGACCTGTTCCTTTCTGGTCCTGACATTAAAAGGATGACTTAAATTTTCTGGAATGTCAAAATTTTCTCTTCCCTCAGATCCTACAAAATACTTCAAGCAGTGTATGTGTGATACTCACTGTCATTTCAACATTTTCAAGGAAAACAATCCTCTTGAGAATGCTAAACAATGCCCTATATTTCTTCCTTTCTAATTCTTTCAGAAAGAGGGTTAGATGAATTAGGAAGAAAGGAGAGAGGGAGATAAGAGAGATGACATTTTATCCCTCAGGAAAGAGCAAGACCAATTGTATTCCTAATTTAGAAATATTATTCTACAGACATTCCTGAGCAAGAGGGCTTTGCATATACATTAAAGCAGAATACCTAGTCAACTTCTAGTTATGCCATGTAGTGAGATGGAAGTAAGATGAGGAAGCTGAGATCATTTTTGTTGGAGAACTGAGACCACATGAAATAGGTAACAGAGTTACCCCAACTGAGGGGCAAGAGGACTTGGAAGTTTCCTCCGTAAATTTGCAGTTAGTACAGGGCTGCTCCAGTGATCAGAGTCATTAATGCCCTGGAGTTTCTGTATAACCCTGTACACAGGCTGAGACAGCTCTGATGGCCCAGAAAAGCCTTTGGACAGAATCACTGCACCCTTGGACATTGTCCGACCACATGTATGAGAATAGTGAGTGCTGAGGAGTTGTGGGTAGCTTGGTGACAACTCTTGCTAAAGGAGTGTCATCAACATTCATTGCTGAAAGTGAATTTTTTCATTCACATATGTCATGCCTATGAGGTCATGCTTTCTTGGATACAAATTTGTACAAGATATGAATTAATTTTTGAACATCCTTTCTTAAAAGTACCATGTTCATGTAGTTGCTC
The DNA here is from genome assembly GCF_000001405.40 of Homo sapiens. Taxonomy (NCBI): domain Eukaryota; kingdom Metazoa; phylum Chordata; class Mammalia; order Primates; family Hominidae; genus Homo; species Homo sapiens. The sequence goes on from NC_000003.12 coordinate 75,910,455, forward strand.
ATTTTAATATGAGTAGTTCAGATGGGACATAATATACTAGGGAGATGATTGAACATCCTAAGTTCTAGTGTATATACCTTTGTTCATTACGAGATTCATCCCCTGTCCCCCTTTGTAGTGACATTGATGGCATAAGGGAGTAGTAGATGAAATTTAATGCAGAAAAACATGGAGATATATGAATGGTAGATATGGTTGACAACCACCATTTTCATTGAAGTTGTTTCAAAGCAAATAAATTTGGTATAAATTCATTTTATTTGCTCCTGAAGGGTAATTAAGAATAGGTAGGAATTGTGAAGAGACTATAGTGTTGACATTAAGAGAAGTTTTTGATTCTTAAAATAGGATATATTACACAAGAGTGAACAAACAGAAGATACTGAACAAATATTCTGTCATAAGTAAGTGATGGATTATTCGGACTTGTTGAACTATGTTTTTAAATGTATTATTTAAACATTTAAATATTATTAAAACCTTAAATAATATTTAAATATTATAAAAGTTATAGAAAATTATGTTTACAATACAAATATACACTTATAAGCTATATTGTAGATATGGGAGTAAACAATGCAATTTTTTTTTTACTGAGTGAAAAATGTAGTTTTTTAAAATTCTAAATGGAGCTAACAGCTTAGTGTGATATATATTTTGAATTTCAAAATTTGCAACCAAATAGGACAAATATGTTGAACTGTACTTTTCTTGAAGAACTGTGATAAGAATGAGCAGTGAAAAAATTACAGCTTCTCAGCGATCAAATACTTGCTTAGGGTTTAATAAGAAAAATCTCAGTGAATGCTGGAAGTGATGTACACGATCTATTACAGACCCATGATTAAAATGGTATCTTGTTAGCTATATGAGCTTGAAAACAAATGGTATAGCTTCTCTTTACCTCAGTTGCTTCTTGTGTAAAATGGGGAGACTAAGAGCATGTAACTCAAAATTCTTTGTTAATGATTTGCTTCTTAGAACAGTGCCAGGTCCAATTAGGATTAGATTGCTATTTTTATTATTGATATTTGCCCTAGTTCTGCCTTTTATTGACTGTATGAAATTGGTGAAGATCCCTTTCTGAAGCCTTGTTTCTTTTTTTTTTTTTTTTTTTTTTTGAGACGGAGTTTCGCTCTGTCGCCCAGGCTGGAGTGCAGTGGCGCGATCTCGACTCACTGCAAGCTCCGCCTCCCGGGTTCACGCCGTTCTCCTGCCTCAGCCTCCCGTGTAGCTGGGACTACAGGCGCACGCCACCATGCCCGGCTAATTTTTGTATTTTTAGTAGAGACGGGGTTTCACCGTGTTAGCCAGGATGGTCTCGATCTCCTGACCTCGTGATCCGCCCGTCTCGGCCTCCCAAAGTGCTGGGATTACAGGCGTGAGCCACCGCGCCCTGCCGAAGCCTTGTTTCTTATCTACAAGCTGGGAATAGAATGCCTGCTATGAAGAGTGGTTGTTAGTACATTAAAAAGGCTGGATATTTGTTTACAAGGGCCTCAGCACATGGTAGAAATTTGATAGTATTTTTTTCTTGTCCTCCCATATATTACTATGGAGATATCCCACATATTATGTCCAAGTTTTTATTTTCCCCTCAAATGCAATGTCAGTCTTGCACAAAACATTCCCATCTCCTAATTCTCTTCTAATGTTCTGTAATCATTAAAGTATAGAAAACTAGAATGAGTATTTTTATAACTTTTGCTGTACTCAAGCATGTGGAGAGAAGAGTGCTAGATCACAGGACAAAGTTTGATGAGAGAAGGGAAATATTTACACCACAAACAACTTTCTCCTCCCCATGCTTAACAGTTTTATGCTGTCATTCTGTCAGCACTGAGTGAGATTTTTTGATTTAAATAGTTTTCTATTTGTGGTATGACAATTCATGTATGGACTTCATGTAATTAACATAAATATAATGGAGGGTTGAGAAGTGGTTTATTTTTACCAAGAGGAAAAATTTGTACACAATTTTTTAAAATACTGCTTTGAGAATCTTTAAAATTAATTTTGATTCAGTTGGTGGAAGATAGCATCACAAACTCACTGCTGGTGGTATTCTTGAGAAGTAATGTTTGAATTTTCTAGGTATTGTCCCCAGACTGGCTTAAAAGAATTTAATTTTAGATGTAAATTTTCTGCTTAACATGGAAGATTTTTCCATGAAAATATTAGCTCCATCAGATACACGGTTGCTTACGTGTAGCTGCGTGGAATTATGGGAAGGGTGAAATAGAAAAAAATTTCATCTCTAAGTTATACATACTGGTATAATCATATTGATTGGATGATAGTGATAATTACAGCAATAATATGATTGAAAGGGTAAGCAAGTAACATATAATACAGTTACTAATATAATCCTGTGATTGAGTTTACCACTTCATTTCTCTTTTCTGGAATCCCTTAAGTTTGTCACTATTGCACTTTATTTCCTTTGCTTATTGTAGTGGTGTATTAGTTGTATTACTGCTGCTATAACAAATTACCACACATTTAAATAACTTAAAATAACACATATTTATTGTCTTACAGTTTCAAAGGTCAGAAGTCCAAAATCACTTTAATTAGGCTAAGTCACTGTGTCTGCAGTGTTGGTTCCTTCTGGAGGTGCTGAGGGGAGAATCCATTCTCTTGCCTTTTTCTGCTTCTGGTGGCACCTGTATTCATTGTCTTTTACCCATTCCTCCATTTTCAAGGTGCATTGCTTTTATTTCTGTTCCTTTCTCCGCATTGTCTCCTCCTTTAACTTTGAGTCCTTCTCTCTACTTCATCTAAGGACTCCTGTGATTACTTTGGACTCACATGGATGACGTGGGATAATCACCTTGTCTCAAGATCCTTAACTTAATCATATCTACAAGTCCCTTTGGCTATGTAAGGCAGCACATTCCCAGGGCCTGGAGATTAGGCCAAGAACATCTTTTGGGACTATTATGCAGCCTATCATAAGTGGTAATAATATTTTTGTGCCTTGAGAACCTGAAATTAATGTGCTTGCTTACGCATGGAAAAATAATGTATCTGTGGGGGTAACAATTTATTTTTGAACCATTAGAAGGTATTGATGGGGAAGTTTTCATCTGACTGATAACAGCTACTGATAAATTAAATACCCTTAGATTTGTCAAATCTAGCTCTAGTAAAATGTAAGTAAAAGTATTTGCACTGCTGGGGTCAAAAATATTAATTAAACTCATTATTTATCAAGGCCAACTCCTGGATTACTTAGGTTTAAATTAACATAGAACGTTATCTTCCATATTGCTTATTTGTGAAGCTTAGTTCTTGTTTACAAAATCTCATCCATATAAGAAAGCACAGAAAGGTTGGTGTTTTTTTAACCTTTGCAGAATATAAATTTTCAAAGGGATGTTAGACAGTAGTTCCATAATAATTGATGCAGTTCACAAACATTCGTTGTGAATATTTTATCTCATGAGTTATATCTATGATACTAATCATAGACTTCTAGAAGAAATTTAATGGTCATGTCAGCCTTTGAAATCTTTCTGTAACCTAGAAGAGGATCATTGCATAAGATAGATTCGTTTTCCCCTTTATTCCATTGTTGCCAGAGAGAACTTGAAATGCCCTGTTCAAATTAATTTAATGCAAATGAATTCTTGCTGCCTCACAAGTAGTTTTTCCTTCATTTTTCTTAAAATTATATTGTAAATGGATGTGACATGCTTTACTGGTTATTGTGCAGGGAGCATTGTCCTTCCTAAAAGCTCCCTCATTTGTCAAAATGAAGCCATTAAGAGTAAAGTAAATTATATTATCTGACCATAGTATCACAATTGACCTTAAAACAATAAATTTTATAATCAGTGCAAATTGCTGAACAGTGTTTACAGTTGTAGAAATTTCAAAGGAAACCCTGGTTGAGATACAAAGCTGCTATAATCATTTTTAAAATCTTTGTTTTTCTTTTACTTTGAAACAGTAGTGCAGTAAGTACTTTTGCCTTATTGCTCTCTGCCTTCCAGAAACCCTCATTCAAATATTCTAAGTTTTTAAGTCTTTTTCATTTCTTTTAATATTGTAACATTTAACAATGTCGAAGAAAGTATAATTTTTCTGGAGATCAAGCTAAAAATAAAGAGAAGTTGATGCAAATGAACATCAAATTAACAAGATTGATTATGAAAAGTAATTTTTGAAAAGGACCCAAAATCCCTTTGCACATAAATGCAAAAGAATTTAGTGAAAGGTGAAATTGGAGTAAAGAACTCTACGGATGCGTAAGTAACTCTTAATGAGAATGAGTAACGTACATGCATATTTTTAGCTCCCAGTTTCAGAGATACAGTAGTTGTACAACAAATGGTCCTTTCCTGCTGTTAAGGAAGCCTCTTCTCCTCCAGCCATGCTATTCCTCAGAGCAAGCACTTCCACCGAGTTTTCAGCAACCATAAGTAAGAAGGATGGTATGATAGGCTGCGTGTACATGTGGCCCTCATTAGCAGGCCAGCTGTTCCTTTTGCCCACCCACATCACTGGGGACATATGGCATTACTTTGACTGTGGAAACAAGTGTGTGTGGACATATCTTGGTATGAGTATAAGACTGTTGATTGTCTTTCTCTTGTCGCTTGTGCAACCAACTGTCTCCTTGTGGAAATCATATTATCCATAACACTAGATTTGAGGATGATAAATGATGTTGTTACTATTTACTGAATTTGCCTCTCTAGTTTGATCACAAAACCAGTGAATGTTTGCTTATGGAACATGTAAAGCTTATAGAAGATAGAAAGCTTACAGAAAGAAATGATGGCTTTTCTAAGCATAAGAGTCAGGTCTTTTTCAATCAAAGACTAACTCATTCAAAAATTCAAGAATTATGTAAAACCAGAACAGCAGAGGGTTCAGAAATGCTATTGAGATCATTTATTATAAAATAGCCGTTAATGAAATGTAATAGTGAGTCTGTTGTTGTTAGTTGTGACTATATGGAGAAATTAATGAGAAAATATAAGATAGGCTGGAATGAAGAGAGTCATCTGATCCCAGCATAATTCATTTTATATAGTTCACAGTATTGTAACTTTAAAAAAATTACTAATTTTTTCAATACTGTGAATTCTGAATTTGCAATATGAGGCTTTTCAATACTTGCAACAAGTGTGTATTTTTCAGTGGTGGCTCTAGAATTACATAGCGGGGCTTTCGAGCTGCATTCTGATAAGAAGGCAAGGCTAGAGGACTCATGTTGAGGTGGCATTTGCATAGGACTTGATTTAGATAACATACATCAATGGTGTAGAGAGAAGAGTGGGTGATGTTGCTGAAGATTATAGGGGAGATAATAAAACTGAAAGGCACCTTTTGCTACCTCTGCTGGCCTATTTGTATATTCAGCTGTGTAGCATATTTCTTGTATAATTACATAGTAATTTCACACACTACATTAAGAAAATCTGAACAATTTTTACTAAACTCACGTTTTCTAAATATTAAGTAAATAAAACCAATATTTGGATAGGTAACACTTATAAAAACAGTATTTCTAGATAGATATAGATGATAATTTTTCATCTTTATCTATAGAGCTGATAAATTTTCAAAACCCTTTGAATATCACTTGTACTACAAAGTCTCATTTCAGTTTCAGTGCCATGGCACATTGATTAATCACCACTAAAGCGGTACATGAAATATTTGGCAATATAGGTATCAAGATATTTGGTAATGGTGATTGATGCACAGAATACAGCACATTATTGTTATGCACTGGCCTTGAGAACTTTAGTTTTCATCTTCGTTCACCTTGGTAGAGAACAAACTAATAGCTTTTTTCTTTCACCTTGCTGGAGAACAAACTAACAACTTCAAGTTATCTGATCCATCAAAAAATTTATTTCCTTGAAACTCACTGATTTATTTATTTATTATTTCGGGGGGATCACTATTATTTGCTGTAGTAAAATATCAAATGATCAATGTATTATACCAACATGGCAGCTCACATGGTAGGCAACAGAATGAAAATAAACAGATTTACTACCAAGAATTATACTATATTGCTTTTATTGACAGAACAAGCATACAGATAATTTTATTCAGAGATTTTATGTGAATTATTTTTGATAAGTGTACACATATATTTATAACTGACCTTTCTTTGTCAAGTGTGTGCCTACACACGTATTCATACTAAATCAATCTTAGAGATCTTACCCAAAGATTGATTTTCTTAAAGCGACTGTTCCAAATATGTATAATTTATGGCAAAAAAAAGTCACAAAATGGCAATATAAAGAGGCATAAAAATGAAGATAAAGGGGGAGATAATGGTTAAAAACACCTGTAAATGAATAATTGATTTTGATTTAAATTCTCTTTAGTTCTTAGCTGATGAATATAAATGAAATTATTATGCAAAACACCTCTATTTGTTGTATATGCATGTACATATATATGTTACAAATACAAAACTGATGGGATATTATTTAACATATATTCACACTCATAATGTACATATATGTACATAATGAAAATGAGTGCATGTTTTCTATATATATATACACACACACATACACATATTGCGTACTTTCATTTTTTAAAATTTTACTGTAAGTTCTGGGATACATGTGCTGAACATGCAGGTTTATTACATAGGTATACATGTACCATGGTAATTTGCTGCACCTATCAACCCGTTATCTAGGTTTTAAGCTCCACACGCATTAGCTATTTGTCCTAATGCTCTCCCTCCTCTTTTCCCCCACCCACCGACAGGCCCCAGTGTGTGATGTTCCCCTCCCTGTGTCCACGTGTTCTCATTGTTCAGCTCCCACTTATGAGTGAGAACACACAGTGTTTGGTTTTCTGTTCCTGTGTTAGTTTGCTGAGGATGATGGTTCCAGCTTCATCCATGTCCCTGCAAAGGACATGAACTCATCGTTTTTTATGGCTGCATAGTATTCCATGGTGAATATATGACACATTTTCTTCATCCGGTCTATCATTGATGGGCATTATGTTGGTTCCAAGTCTTTGCTATTGTAAATAGTGCCACAATAAACATACGTGTACATGTGTCTTTATAGCAGAATGATTTATAATCCTTTGGGTAGATACCCAGTAATGGGATTGCTGGGTCAAATGGTATTTCTGGTTCTATATCCTTGAGGAATCACCACATTGTCTTCCACAATGGTTGAACTATTTTACAAGGCCACCAGTGGTGTAAAAGTGTTCCTATTTCTCTGCATCTTCTCCAGCATCTGCTGTTTCCAGACTTTTTAATGATCACCATTCTAACTGGTGTGAGATGGTATGTCATTGTGGTTTTGATTTGCATTTCTCTAATGACCAGTGATTATGAGCTTTTTTTCATGTGTTTATTGGCCACATACATGTCTTCTTTTGAGAAGTGTCTGTTCATATCCTTTGCCTACTTTTTGATGGGGTTGTTTTTTTCTTGTAAATTTGTTTAAGTTCCTTCTAGATTCTGGATATTAGACCTTTGTCAGATGGATAGATTGTAAAAATTTTCTCATATTTTGTAGTTTGCCTGTTCACTCTGGTGATAGTTTATTTTACTGAGCAGAAGCTCTTTAGTTTAATTAGATTCCATCTGTCAATTTTGGCTGTTGTTTCCAGTGCTGTTGGTGTTTTAGTCACGAAGTCTTTGCCCACACCTGTGTCCTGAATCGTATTGCCTAGGTTTTCTTCTAGGGTTTTTATAGTTTTAGGTTTTACATTTATGTTTTTAATCCACTTTGAGTTAATTCTTTTATAAGGTGTAACGAAGGGGTCCAGTTTCTCTTTTCTGCATATGGCTAGCCAGTTTTCCCAGCGCCATTTATTAAATAGGGAATCCTTTCCCCATTGCTTGCTTTTGTCAGGTTTGTTGAAGATCAGATGGTTGTAGCTGTGTGGTGTTATTTCTGAGGCCTCTGTTCTGTTTCATTGGTCTATATATCTGTTTTGGTATTAGCACCATGCTGTTTTGGTTACTGTAGTTTGTAATATAGTTTGAAGTCAGGCAGCGTCATGCCTCCAGCTTTGTTCTTTTTGCTTAGGCTAGTTTTGGCTCCACAGGCTCTTTTTTGCTTCCATATGAAATTTAACATAGTTTTTTTCTAGTTCTGTGAAGAAAGTCAATGGTAGCTTGATGGGAATAGCATTGAACCTATAAATTACTTTGGGCAATATGGCCATTTTCATGATATTGAGTCTTCCTATCCATGAGGATGGAATGTTTCTCTATATGTTTGTGTCCTGTCATTTCCTTGAGCTCTGGTTTGTAGTTGTCCTTGAAGAGGTCCTTCACATCCCTCGTAGGTTGTATTCCTACGTATTTTGTTTTCTTTATAGCAGTTGTGAATGGGAGTTTACTAATGATTTGGCTCTCTGCTTGTCTGGTCTGTTATTGGTGTATAAGAATGATTGTGATTTTTGCACATTAATTTTATATCCTGAGACTTTGCCAAAGTTGTTTATCAGGTTAAGGAATTTTTGGGCTGAGGTGGTGGCGTTTTGTAAATATACAATCATGTCATCTGCAAACAGAGACAATTTGATTTCCTCTCTTCCTATTTGCATACCTTTTATTTCTTTCTCTTGCTTGATTGCCCTGGCCAGAACTTCCAATACTATGTTGAGTAAGAGTGGGGAGAGAGGTCATCCTTCTCTTGTGCCAGTTTTCAAAGGGAATGCTTCCAGCTTTTGGCCATTTAGCATGATATTAGCTATGCATTTGTCATAAATAGCTCTTATTATTTTGAGATATGTTCCATCAATACCTAGTTTATTGAGAGTTTTTAGTATGAGGGGTGTTGAATTTTATTGAAGGCCTTTTCTGAATCTATTGAGATAATCATGCAGTTTTTGTCATTGGTTCTGTTTATGTGATGGATTACATTTATTGATTTGCGTATGTTGAACCAGCCTTGCATGCCAGGCATGAAGCCAACTTGATCGTGGTGGATAAGCTTTTTGATGTGCTGCTGGATTCGCTTGCCAGTATTTTATTCAGGATTTTTGCATCGATGTTCGTCAGTGATATTGGCCTGAAATTTTCTTTTTTTATTGGGTCTTTGCCAGGTTTTGGAATCAGAATGATGCTGGCCTCATAAAATGAGTTAGGGAGGAGTCCCTCTTTTTCTATTGTTCAGAATAGTTTCAGAAGGAATGGTACCAGCTCCTCTTTGTACCTCTCGTAGAACTTGGCTGTGAATACATCTGGTCCTGGGCTTTTTTTGGTTGGTAGGCTAGTAATTACTGACTCAATTTCAGAACTTGTTATTGGTCTATTCAGGGATTTGACTTCTTCCTGGTTTAGTCTTGGGAGGCTGTATGTGTCCAGGAATTTATCCATTTCCTCTAGATTTTCTAGTTTATTTGTGTAGAGGTGTTTACAGTATTCTCTGATAATAGTTTGTATTTCTGTGGCATCAGTGGTGATATCCCCTTTATCATTTTTTAATGTGTCTATTTGATTTTTCTCTCTTTTCTTCCTTATTAGTCTGGCTACCGGTCTATCTATTTTGTTAATCTTTTCAAAAAACCCACTCCTAGATTCATTGATTTTTTGAAGGTTTTTTCGTGTTTCTCTCCCATTCAGTTCTGCTGTGATCTTAGTTATTTCTTGTCTTATGCTAGGTTTTGAATGTGTTTGCCATTGCTTCTTTTGATTGCGATGTTAGGGTGTCTATTTTAGATCTTTCCCACTTTCTGATATGGGCATTTAATGCTATAAATTTCCCTCTAAACACTGTTTTACCTGTGTCCCAGATATTCTGGTATGTTGTGTCTTTGTTCTCATTGGTTTCAAAGAACTTATTTATTTCTGCCTTAATTTTGCTATTTACCCAGTAGTCAGTCAGAAGCAGGTTGTTCAGTTTCCATGTAGTTGTGCAGTTTTGAGTGAGTTTCTTAATTCTGAGTTCTAATTTGATTACACTTTGGTTTGAGAGATTGTTTGTTATGATTTTCATTCTTTTGCATTTGCTGAGGAGTGTTTTACTTCCAATTATGTGGTTGATTTTAGAATAAGTGCTATGTGGTGCTGAGAAGAATGTATCTTCTGTTGATTTGGGGTGGAGAGTTCTGTAGATATCTATTAGGTCCGCTTGGACCAGAGCTGAGTTCAAGTCTGAATATCCTTGTTAATTTCCTGTCCTGTTGATCTGTCTAATATTGATAGTGGGTTGTTAAAGTTTCCCACTATTATTGTGTGGGAGTCTAAGTCTCCTTGTAGGTCTCTAAGAACTCATTTTATGAATCCTGGTGCTCCTGTATTTGGTGCATATATATTTAGGATAGTTAGCTCTTCTTGTTGCATTGATCCCTTTACTACTACGTAATGCCCTTTGTCCTTTTTTATCTTTGTTGGTTCAAAGTCTGTTTTATTAGAGACTAGGATTGAAACCCCTGCTTTTTTTTTTCTTTCTTTCCATTTGCTTGGTAAATATTCCTTCATCCCTTTATTTTGAGCCTATGTGTGTCCTTGCAAGTGAGATGGGTCTCCTGAATACAGCACACCTCTGGATATTGACTCTTTATCCAATTTTCCAGTCTATGTCTTTTAATTGGGGCATTTAGCCCATGTATATTTATGGTTAATATTATTATGTGTGAATTTGATCCTGTGATCATGATGCTAGCTGGTTATTTTGCACATTAGTTGAAGCAGTTTCTTCCTAGTTTCATTGGTTTTTATATTTTGGTGTGTTTTTGCAGTGGCTGGTACTGGTTTTTCCTTTCCATATTTAGTGCTTCCTTTAGGAGCTCTTATAAGGCAGGACTGATGGTGACTAAATCTCTCAGCATCTGCTTGTCTGTAAAGGATTTTATTTCTCATTCATTTATGAAGCTTAGTTTGGCTGGTTATGAAATTCCGTATGTACATCATGAAAACAAGTGCATGTGATATACATACACACACACACACATTGCATACTTTCATTTTTATGTCCATTACTTTTCTGATTTCATCAGCAGCTAACTAAAGAAAATAGAAAAAAAAATTGGTAATTTGATCTTTCGTGTTCTGCATCTTCCAGCTTCACACACAGTTTTCTATTTGTATTGTTATTGTTCTATTTTTATTGATCAGAATGAAAAAATATGCTATAGAATCAGAATCAGGTCAGAATCAACAAATATACTATAATGTTTGTAATGCTTTCAATGCAGTTTGTCTCTGCAAAGGGTGTGTGTGTTTCTATGCAGATGTGCATGTACACAAGTGTGTAAATAATGTTTTATTCATGATGGAGAAAGATTTGTCAAAATTATTCTGAATGAGGTAGCACCACTACAGCAGATAATTAGGTATCTAGCAATAAAACAAATCATTAAACATGTTTCTAAGCATCTACTCAGTATCTGGCACAATGTTAAGTAGTAGAAATATAATCGTAAGCAAAATTCAGCTTCTACCCTCAATGGTATATGTGTAGAACAAATTGGTAAAGCTGGAGTACATTTCAGAACCAAAAACAGTTTCTGTATAGTTCCCACTTCATCAAGACCATGTTTTATACTACTCAGACCCTGAAGCCATAAGGAAGCAATTCTTCCATCCACCCTTTTACAGGGTAGTGGTGGGGAAGAAGAACTGACTGTCATGCTTGAATTCGCATAATTTCATAATTAAATAATTTCATGTTACATAATCTCAATAAACCTAAAATCCAATATATGATAAAGATAGTGTTTCAAATCAGTGGGTAAGTGATAAACGGTTCATAAAATGGTGTTCAGATAATTGGCTATATGTATTTTATAGTTGCACAAAGGTATACTATGTCATTCATAAATACTAATTCCAGAGTGGATGTCAAATACACTTTTTCAGAATATAAAGAAAAAATACCATAGACAAATATCACTTGCAACATTACGGTTAAAACTAAATATCTAAACGTAGCCCTAACCAATAACAGAAAATTTTTTAAAAAATATTTATGGATTGGAATTTGTTAAAATATAAAACTTTTCTATTTCAGAGGATACCATGAATATGTGTAAAAAGCAAATATCTAATCAGCAGCAAGTGTTTGCAATTCACTTGACATATTTAAAATATGAGTAGTTCCAACAAATCATAAATAAATGATTAGTAGTCCAATAAAAAAAGACAAAGTACATTGACAGGAAACTGTATGAAACTCATGAACACTAAATGTATTAGATTCCCTATTGTTAAACAAAATGCAAAAACAATAGAGAGCATTATTGATACGGAGTTAATATTTTAACAAAATTATATTATTAATTTTATCCATGTTATAAGTAAATATATACATCCAAAAACCCTTATTTTCTCTGAAAGTTGTCACTTATGAATCTATTTTGAAAATGTTTAAAGAATAGTAATTAACTTTAATAAATAGGTATTCGTATTGAGGGAAAACTGACATTTCCATAATTTTTCTTCTGTTTCTAATATAGTAGATGGTAGGAAAATAATGACAAATGCATGTTCATACCTGGATAATATGCATTCCATTAGTTCTTTTAAACTTTTGCATTCTCAAAACTATACTGATACCTCAAAGCATACCCTTTGCTGTTGAAAGCAGCCTTTCAGGTATAAAGACACACACATCACTTTCCCTAAATCTTACATAAGGCAAGGGCCTAGATGCCTATCAGAAAATATATTTCAAGAATGCTTTTTTAAGTAGTTCCTATGGCCTTATCTTATAGAGGAAGGTTTTTTTTTAAAACATACACACAGTTTTTGATGCACATTTTTATTGGGAAGAGCTTTTATTTCCTTAAATGTTTTGTTGTTTAAGTGTGAAAAGTATCCTGCAGTGGAATTTAGTGGAACAGATGCTTTTATTGTGATAGATGAGATGAACTTGCTTCCCTAAGCATGCATGGGCATGAAATGCATCTGGCTTCTGTACATAAAAGTCAGTTATGTTCCCAAATATGTTTCTGCATTTACACAGACGTTTAGGGGCAGACACCCTACTATTCCCTCAAAAGGCAGCTCTGCTTAATTATGAAGTTCAAGTTAGACCAGAAGTTGGAAAATACTAAATTCCACATTGCAGACAGAGCCTGAGCAGGTGATGTCACCACTGCATACTAAGGTGGCAAGTCCTCAGAGAAGTCACTTATCACCTTACCATGGAGAAAAATAACTGTGTCCAGAACACAAGAGGATGCTGTAAAGTAGCGTACAATCAAGTGTGCAAGCCTGTGCAATACACACCAAATGAAATCCAGTTCAGAGGAGGAAATAAGGGTAGGCTCGGGAAAACAAATAAATGAGTATATGCTTTAAAAAATAGGACTTAATATAAACAGTCATGAGAGTAAAGACTATTGCTAAGCACATAGGAAACACAAACCAGGCTTTCAGGAAGGAGTTTGCACATGTGTGCACTGGTAGGAGGTGTAATGTGCAGAAATCTGGCCTTTTGTGGCATAACAGCTAAAGTTCCTTTTCTATTGTCCAGATAACCTTAAATATCCCTTTATAAAGTAATATTTTAAAAAGGCCATCTACTGTGCACAATGTGTTAGCATCAAGGACATGAAATTTATCTGGAATATACCAAAACTTTAATCAATAGACTAGGACCAAAGCTTTTAAAAATAGTTTTTTTTAGATAAATCATTATAATTTATTATTTCCTTGCCATAGGTAATGCATGATACATAACTTTACTTTTTTCTCAGTTACTTAGTGTGTAGGTAGAATAATGACCCTTAATAGGATGACCTTTTGAATATGTTGTCAGGCAGCATGGGAGCATTGTGGTTGCAGGTGGAATTCAGATTGCTAATCACCTGACCTTAAAATGGAGAGATTATCCTGAATTATCTAGGTGGGCCCACTGTAGTCACAAAGAACCTTCAAACAGGAAGGCCGAAAGACCAGAGTGAGTAGAGGAGCTTGGGGAGACTGGAGCCGAGGCTGAAGTGATGTGCTGTGTGGATGGAGGCAGAGGCCAAGAGCTCAGGGGTACATGTGGCCCCTCAAACCTGGTGAATTCTCCCCTGGAATCTCCTGACAAAATATAGACTTGATGATAACTCGATTTTAGCACACTAAGACCCATTTTGGACTTCTGACCCCCAGAAGTATAAAGACAAAAAATGTGTTGTTTTAAGCCTCTGAGTTTGTGTTAATTTATTATGAGCAGTAAGAAACACAGTAAGACGGCTTTTATTTTTCTCTATTTGATGTATAGAGTTAAATTGGATATTCTAGGAATTATTGGGAATTTATTTTCTTTTCTTTTTTTTTTTTTTTTTTTTTTTTGAGACTGTAGTCTTGCTCTGTGGCTCAGGCTGGAGTGCAGTGGCACGATCTCGGCTCACTGCAAGCTCTGCCTCCCGGGTTCCCGCCATTCTCCTGCCTCAGCCTCCCGAGTAGCTGGGACTACAGGCGCCTGCCACCACGCCAGGCTTATTTTTTGTATTTTTAGTAGAGACGGGGTTTCACCGTGTTAGCCAGGATGGTCTCGATCTCCTGACCTCGTGATCCGCCCGCCTCGGCCTCCCAAAGTGCTGGGATTACAGGCGTGAGCCACCGCGCCGGCCGGGAATTTATTTTCTTCAGATAGTTCTTCATATTAGAATAATGAGAAACATCGAGTAATTAAGTGTTCTATTTTGTGAAGGATGATTATATAAACAGTATGAAGGTTAAAAAACGGGCGGGGCCGGCTGGGCACGATGGCTCATTCATGTCATCCCAGCACTTTGGGAGGCCGGGGCAGACGGGTTGCTTGAGCCCAGGAGTTTCAGATCAGCCCGGGCAACATGGTGAAACCCCATCTCTACAAAAAATACAAAAACTAGGCAGACGTGGTGGCTGGCGCCTGTCGTCCTGGCTACTCCGGAGGCTGCGGTGAAAGGATCTGAGCCCGGGAGGTGGAGGCTGCGGTGAACCGTGATTATGCCACTGCGCTCCAGTGTGGGTAACAGAATGAGACCCTGTCTCCATTCAATAAATAGATAAATAAATAAAAGGGGAGGGTGTCTTTTGAAGGCTACTAAAGTCATCTAAGTGTCCTCTGATTATATGAGGCTGGGATGGTGCATGGAAGGTTGTGTTGAATAACCTGATACTCTTTCTGAAACTATAGAAGCGTTAGTAATTTTAGCCTGAGAGTGCTATAATCTGAGATAATTTGGTCCAATACTTCCAGGGAGGGTTGAAGTTTTGAGATAGCTTGAGTTATTTCAGTTGAAGACCAGAATATGAGGCAACTGGATACTCAATTATAATTCAATTTCTACTCTTTATATTAGGTATGTATTTGCCAGCCACTTATGTGTGGGACATTATGTTAAAGGTAAGGCAGCCACAGTGTAGTGGTAGAAGCAGATGAAAAGTACTACAATAGTCATATAGATGAGGTACTGGGAAGAAGCAGAGTTGAAAAATTGGAGATAGTTGATAGTTTTCCAGAGCCATAGGATTAAAACCAAGTAGGATTGCAAAAGACTCAATTCACTCAAGATGTCTAACTTGGTAATAGGTCAGAACACTAAATTTGTCATATTTTCTTAAAAGTAAACAAAAATGTTCCTTTTGATAAACAACGTGTAGTGCACCTTCGGATTTGATTTTTCTTTATATTCTGTAAACTGCTCACAGTAAAACAGAAAAAAAATCTGACAAATATGATGGTCCTTAAATCTTGTAGGAGTATGATATTCCTCCAAAGAATAGAGGTTTTGCTAGGAAGGCCCTAAGCAAGGAATCAAATTTCCTTTTGCAAGAAATAAAATTCTCAAAAGTTCCCTGCACCTTGGGAAGGCTCTGGTTGAAATTAATAGCACAGCATTATTTATTTAAATTTTAGCTTTTAAGTTCAGGGGTACAAGTGCAGGTTTGTTACAGAGGTGAGCTTGTGCCATGGGGTTGGTTGTATGGTTTATTTAATCACCCAGGTATTAAGCCTAATATCCATTAGTTGTTTTTCCTGATCCTTATAGCAAATATTACCCCCACAAAGTTTTATGGTTGCTTTTTTCTTATCTTCTGATTAGTGCCATTAGATTCACAAATTGAAATTATTTTTCGGTAGTTTAATTCCCTCTAGAAGGTTTAAAAAATGTTTCCTAATTTCCTAAGTCTTCTTTCTTTGTTAGTCTTCTAAAAACTATATTAAATAGAATTCATGTGCTCAGGTACACTTTCACTAAAAGCATACCTTCAACATTTGCCCTGTTTAAAGGTTCTTAAGGTGTTAAGGAACATTAGGTATCAGAGTTTATGGCATTTGATTAATCTGAATAAAGCTTGGCATCAAATTGAATTCAGCAAAAGTAACAGTGATAAATCAAAGAGCAATATTTGAAATGTCTCCATCGAACATTTTAAAACAATTTTTAAGTTCACTAATTTGAGTCATTACACTTGGCCCTAATATAGTAGATTTTTAAGTGAAGCTCAGTCGAACTTGGCAGATATCATATACACACTTTTAATAGTCATAACAATTCCTGTACCTCATTTGGAAAAAGATTATTTCCAGAGCATCAGTGCTTTGACCAGAAAGGCATTTATTATTCTGTAACACTTTTCTTGAGAAATTAGCATGATTTATCATTTGAGTACGCTCTCTCAGATAGGATTCTAATATTTGAGTGTGAATAAAACTTCAGGGCATTGAAAGCAGCTGGAAGATAGATAAAAGGGAGATCATCCTCTCTTGTCATTCTTTATCAAGGTCCTCTTTAATTATTGGCTTAAACAGCAATAACTTTATGGTGAAACAAACTTCTTGGATATAGCATTAAAGGTTGAAATAATGAATTATACATAAATCTATTTAGTTCAGTTATATTCTGTTGAATTGGAAGAAAATCCAATTTTTAAATTTCTCTGCATTCTTGAAGTTAGGAATAAAAGCTGGTGTGGGGTCTCCTGAAATAATGAGGTCTAGAATAATTTCTGTTGTTAAATTTACTTTTTAGCAGGATAAGTCTACTAAAATCAATATGAATGGAACCTTCAATGTACCACTTAAGATAATTAATCTTTGAGAGGTTAAGTAACTATTACAAGGTAGTTTACCTAATTAGCAACTAAGCCAACCAATTTTTGGATTTCTTAACTTTAAGACTATTGCTCACATAGTCACGTAAAGTATATCTTCCACATAGTCACAGGCAATCACAAGCTAACACGAGCAGGTAGCACAAAATATATGTTCCACACAGAATGCAGAACAAAAAAAGACACTTTTAAAATCCTTTTCCCTTTTCCAAATTCATATTTAAAAAGTTTCTTGTGGAATTTCCCAAATGCCAGCATGGCCACATACAATACAGATTGATTACTTAGACCTCTAATGAGAAACACTTAGAATTATGCTAAACAAGGAACACTCTGTATTGATTTAACAAATTCTCCTCTTTCTACTTATAGTTTCTCCTAAAATAAAACGTAACATGTTTGTCTTGTTTGGAGTCTGTATAGAAAAAGTGTGATAACTGAAGATATAGACACACAGGTGTATGTGTGTCTGTGTGTTCCTGTGTATTGTATTATAGCCTTTCTTTAATGATTTTCTCTCTTTTTTTTTTTTTTTTTTTTTTTTTTGAGACGGAGTCTCTCTCTGCCCCCCAGGCTGGAGTGCAGGGGCGCGATCTCAGCTCACTGCAAGCTCCGCCTCCCGGGTTCACGCCATTCTCCTGCCCCAGCCTCCCGAGTAGCTGGGATTACAGGCGTGAGCCACCACGCCCGGCTTATTTTTTGTATTTTTAGTAGAGACAGGGTTTCACCGTGTTAGCCAGGATGGTCTCTATCTCCTGACCTCGTGATCCACACGCCTCGACCTCCCAAAGTGCTGGGATTACAGGCGTGAGCCACCGTGCCCGGCCTCTATTTAAGTTAGCTCTGTCCAGGGCAAACCAGCATTTCAAAAATACAAACTGTTTTTGCAAAAAGCAGTTATACACCTATCCATAGTGCAGACATTATGTCTACTTATTTCTCTGTAAATAGATCTTTCATTTTAACAAGTACTTCACCTTCACAAAATTTAGTGTGAGTCAGTGAACTCTTATCCAGATGCTGTATCTTGGCCAGACCATCAAGAATTAAGCCTCACAGGCAGGTTGTTTCCATTCCTTTAACAAAGTTCATCAGTCCTGGGTTACTTCTTGATTTCCTGCCAGTGGCATATAATGATGACTGAGCCAAGTCAGTTCCCAGAGCTGGACTCTTTTTCTTTTTTCTTATACACAGGAAACTTCTTTTCCAAGAATGCTTGTTCCAGTTGCTCACAGTCTCCATAGCTGATGATTATAGAACGATCTATGTACTTTCAATGTACCTTCAAACATGAGATCTGCAGCTGGTTAAGACGTGTGTGTGTGTGTGAGATAGCTGATGATTATACAATGATCTGTGTACTTTCAATGTACCTTCAAACATGAGATCTGCAGCTGGATAAGACGTGTGTGTGTGTGTGTGTGTGTGTGTGTGTGTGTGTGTGTGATAGCTGATGATTATAGAATGATCTATGTACTTTCAATGTACCTTCAAACATGAGATGTGCAGCTGGATAAGACGTACGTGTGTGTGTGTGTGTGTGTGATAGCTCATGATTATAGAATGATCTATGTACTTTCAATGTACCTTCAAACATGAGATCTGCAGCTGGATAAGACGTGTGTGTGTGTGTGGAGGGGGGGTAGCTGATGATTATAGAATGATCTATGTACTTTCAATGTACCTTCAAACATGAGATCTGCAGCTGGATAAGACGTGTGTGTGTGTGTGTGTGTGTGTGTGTGTGTGTGTGTGTGTTAGACTTAAACCGTTCATTGAATAAGAAGCCTGGTTGATAGTATAAGGAGAGAGTTAGAAGAACAGGGAATTATTTGGTTTAAGGAATTGTGAAGAAAGGTGCTGTGCCATTAAAATTTTTCTATACTTTTGTGTTAAATCTTAATTTTTTGCAGAATTTACTAAGCTGCAGGAAACTGTCAAAATTCACGTTTGCTAAGTTCCATATTGCTTTGTAATTATCTTAAAACAAAACTTGCTTGATACCAAAGTACAATTGTTGCTCTAGCTTTCATAAATTGAGACTGGTCTTTTTCTCACCCTCCACATACCTGTGGCTGGAAGCTGAGGTGGTTGTTCTTGGTTCCCATTACAACTTCTAGACTGTTAATTTCTCCCCTTCTTGCAAATTGTACTGTTCCTTTGAAACTCAAACCCCTTGGAAATATCAGCCATGCCCCTTTGGTATTGCCATCATCAACAGACCTCCTTCCTGGGCACTCTTGTCTTTTTTTTTTTGAGATGGAGTCTTGCTCTGTCACCCAGGCTGGAGTATAATGGTGTGATCTCGGCTCACTGCAACCTCCTCCTCCCGGTTTCAAGTGATTCTCCTGCCTCAGCCTCCTGAATAACTGGGATTACAGGTGCACACCACCACACCCAGCTAATTTTTGTATTTTTGGTAGAGACTGGGTTTCACCATGTTGGCCAGGCTGGTCTCGAACTCCTGACCTCAGGTGATCTGCCTGCCTCAGCCTCCCAAAGTGCTGGGATTACAGGCGTGAGCCACTGCACCTGGCCTCTTGTCATTTATTTAAGGCTTTAGATCTTTTGCTCAATATCATCTTCAGGCAAGTTCAGCCATCATTTTAGTGGCTCAGCATTCACATGAAAGGACCATTACGAACCTCTGTTCCCCATTTTTTGACATCTTTATTTCCATTACTTTTTTTCTTTCCTCCACTTTATTGTCATCAAATCTGAAACATTTTCTATAAGGGTATGTGCCACCAGGATCTAGATGCAAATATTCTGCCTCCTGGACATCACTCCTTGCCAGCTCATTGGCTTGGATATCCTCATTCCTACAATCCTTCATTTTTATTGAGACTCTCCTTGGGACACAGCTGCTGCTGCTCCCTCACAATCCATCCGTACTCTCTTGCTTTCAGTTTCCACGTTTTCCTCCTCAAATGTCGTAGTTCATTTTTAGCATTCCCTTGCAACTACCCTGAGCTTCATTTTCCCACCATTAGTAGAACAATTTATTTGTTTCTATTTCTCTTCCCCAATTTTAAATATTGATGTTTCTAAGGGTTCTGTCCTAATTGCTCTTTTTTCTCTACACACATACTCTCTCTAAGCTCTAAACACTACTAAACAGCTAATAATTTTCAGTTTTAGAGTTTGGCCCAGACCTTTATTCTGGGAGTTGATGGTTTATATGACAATAGCACTCGAATAATTCAGAGATAACATGTCCCGGTTTCCCACATGTCAGTAAGTGGCACTGCCAGCCATGCTAGATGCTTATAAGTCATTTTTGGCCCTTCCTCAATATTCTGACAATATCCAGTTCAACATTCATTTAAAAAATATTTTGGTTCCAAATATATCTGTAATTTCCTCCACTTATTTTGATTTCCAGTGTCCCCAGCCTAGCCAGATCCACATATTTTCTTACCTACTCTATTTTCTTAGGCTCATCCTTAGTCAACCTACTTTAATTCTTAATCTCCTACACTTTGTTAGCTACATAGAAACCAAAGTGATCTCTTAACGTGTCTTTCAGTTTCCAACTCTCCCGCTTTTCTGGTGTACTTGGACTAAGACCTATGTTCCTCATCATTGCTAATGAAGACCTGTACAGTTTCACATATCTTTCTCTTTCAGCCACATCTCACATTAGTCTTTATCCCTTTTGTGCTTCATCCAGATTCCTACTTTTCAGTTTTTTATTTCATCCAATTCACAGGTTTCTTCTACATGCCAAGATGTTGCTCATATATTAGGGTCCTTGAACACTGTGGGTTTTTTCTTAAAAGACGAACCTTTCTGTATTGTATGAAAAGCTAACTCTTTTTATTCTCAGGTCTTAGCTTAAATATTCTCACTTGAAAGAAGTAGTTAGAATCTGTATAATCCAAATTAATATTTCTTTTTTTCTTTTTCTTTTGAGACAGGGTCTTTCTCTGTCACCCAAGCTGGAGTGCAGTGGCACAATCTTGGCTCACTGAAACCTCTGCCTCCTGGGTCCAAGCAGTTTTCCTTCCTCAGCCTCCTGAGTAGCTGGGACTACAAGCACACACCACTACACCTGGCTAACTGTTTTATTTTTAGTAGAGATGGGGTTTTGCCATGTTGATCAGACTGGTCTTAAACTCCTGGACTCAAGTGATTCATCCGCCTTGGCCTCCCAAAATGCTGGGATTACAGGCATAAGCCACCACGCCCGGCCCAAATTAATATATCTATATATAAAAATTTCATGTATAAATCTTACATAATCTGAATTAAGATTATATCTGTCTGATGTTCCCCCCAACACCCTTGTTGTGTATTCAGTCCCCTGCTTGACTTTGCATGTGAATACATTTTGTAATAATCTCTTCTCTTTTCTTAGTTGGGTTTCTGTACCTGTCTTCATCTTCAGAATTAAAACCCTAGGAGTACAGGACTATGGCTTTCTTATTCACCACTGCAGCTCAGTAACTAAGATAACATCTGATACATATTTGTTAAGGGAATTGATTAAATATAGACCACTAGGTCCAGTGGAGTCCACAGTCTATTCACTTCATGTAGTTTCCGAGAAACAAAGGTTTCTCAACGTATATTAATGAATGAGATATGGGCCAGGGTATATAGTCTGGCTGGAGATCTGGCTTAACTTTGAGTTCACTTGAGAGGGTATCAGTGTAAGCAGGAGTGGTTTTACTCACTTCAAGAATTGCATGGTGTTTAGGAGGAAAAATCACCCTGCTTCTCTGGAGAGACTTTAGGGCTCTGTGGCTCCTGTGGGCTCTCAAACTATTGGAAGATTACTACTAAATCTGAGGAGTTTTCAGGTCTCTTAGTTATATTCATTTAAACTTAGACTTAGATGATTTGTCACTATTTTAATTTGTTTTTCACTGAAAAGTCAGTCTGAATATAGAGCCTTATTTCATTCAGATCAGAAAAACTGGGTTACTGTGAAATCTGTTTATCTATAATTTTTAAGTAAGTACAATTTTATAAACCAGTTATTCCTAACTTGAGAGGCCTGGAGGATTTATTACAATATGTATTTCAGTGCCACATCTGCAGAAGTTGTGATACAACATTTCCTTACTAATACCCCTGACAGCACATTTTAGCAGGCATCGTGTGTTATTCAGAAGCAGAACGTTTATGCACTACACTTTGGGAGGGAGAAGTGCGTGTTATGTTACCATTTAAAGATGCCTGGTTCTTGTGGGGCAAATTGGCAAATGATTTATCTGAACTAATGGCAGAGTGGAATTTTAATACTTTAGAGTTTTCAGGAATCTTAGAGCTGTTTTCATTTGTCTCATACATAGAGCCTGAACCTTGAAGACATTAATTAATTTGTCACAGAAATTAAATGGGGTCAAAATTTACATTTCCAACCCATGTCTGTGCTCTTCATTCTAAAGCACGATGGCCTAGAGTCATATTTTAACCTCTAAGTTTTATCTTATTAA
Organism: Homo sapiens; assembly: GCF_000001405.40. Lineage (NCBI taxonomy): Eukaryota > Metazoa > Chordata > Mammalia > Primates > Hominidae > Homo > Homo sapiens. The sequence goes on from NC_000003.12 coordinate 75,932,901, forward strand.
AAAATAAAATAAATAATTTTAAATACATGCATGTGTTATATCTATATATACAATTTATATACATTACAATATTAATTTGAATTACACAAGACTTTGGACATCACTATTAAAGGCCAGGTACAGTTTAGACTGAGATAAGCCCTGCCTGTGAGAATTTACTAAGGTCAAAAAGACTCCTTTTAATAGTGACTCAGTGGCACCTAGTCTAAGGACAAAGGCTCCAGTATACATCTTAATCTAAGTTATTACTGAATGTGAGTCATGTGATGGCTTCTAATGAAAATTTTCCATTGAAAAAAATCAATGTTAATAACTGGAACTCAAGAGCTGTAATGGGCTCTGCTGTGTTTTTCTGGCTTAGACTGTGTGCTGTAATATGCTAAGAAGAGGAATTGATGACCCATGAGCTCTGGTGACTTCCTGATCTCATTTGATTCTTTGGTCTTTAGTTTTAAAAGGGTGATCAGAGAGGTTGCTTTATAATGGAGAAGTTGAACAAACGGACCATCAACCTGCAGGCTCACTGGCACAGCCCAAGTTTCACTGGATAAGCATTTCAGTAAAGAGGACTATTGCCAACAGCAATACTTGCAGGGAAGCTTTGTTCCAGAGAGGATTTTTTTTTTTTTTAAAGAAGCTGCTAGAAAAACTGACACTAGAAGCTAACTAGAGTCACTCTTTCTAGATAACAATGAAATTGCCAGTCTGAAGACATTACTTACCTAGTTACAGAAGTGGACTTTATTTAAGAACCAACTTTATACATACATAATATACCTAGGCTTGTTGGTCAAGTTGGCTGGCTGGGGAAGAATAAAACCATCTAGAAGATCCACATGACGAGTGGAACCATTCGGGGAGGGCAGACAGATACCTGATGCTGGCCACAGATAGAAGCCAGAGATGCTCTGTGATTGAAGTGGTTCTAATACCTGGAAACTTCGATTTGCTCTTATAACGTGTTCTAAAGCCATTTAATTCAGGACTACCCTTCCTGGTTGGTACCTGTAGATGTAATGCATCTCTTAAACTGTGGGGGTATTACTCTAGGCTCCATCGGACAACTACCTGGAGATAGGTTGTGGAGCCTCCAGACTCCACAACACATTTCACAGAGCTGTTTACTCCAAAACACTTGCCTAATTAAACTAATGTAGCTATTGGATAAGACGAGAAGTAATACGCGAACATTCTTAAAGTCTGTTCTCTTTTGCCTTGTGACCTTAAACATTTGAAAGACCAAGATGAACACTATTGAATGGAATTGTGTTTCCATCATCATAACAAATCTGAAAGCCTAAGTTTTACCTCTCTGTTCACTGCATATCCAATCTGTTTTATGTGCAGAAGAGCACAATGGGCTCAACTATCCAGGCTTTAGGAGTTATTTTAATCTTTAAAGAGCAATAGGTACAAGTAAAAGTACATACATAAAGTAGGCATTTAATATTTAATTTTTATTCTCATATGCACGAAAAGGGTGTTCCAAAAGAAGATTAGAGAAGTCCATGGCATGTCTTTATGGTTAATGTTACTTTATGTTTTGGTTCATCTACCATGCTTCTTACAAATTACTTGTTTTATCTTTCATGGAAAATTTTTTTTAAATGAATTGAGTTTACTTTTCATCAGCACAATTGTTGACTAATACCAAAGTTAGTTAGAAGGTTATGATTTTTATATTTATAGAATGGCAGGGGCAGCATTTAGATCATACATCATAGTAACTTGGCATTTATGAAATATTAGTTTTCCATAAACATCAACTCAGAGAGGAAGGTTACATTTTTTTAAATTATAATAACATTTTGAAAACCATCTGTCCTTTAAAATGTTACTAAAATATATATTGGAACTGGTGTTTTAGATGCCAGTCCTTCCTGAAAAGTGTTTTGAGATTTTTTTCAAATACTGCCTCAGTTCTATATAAAATAGTAAAAATTCTGCCTTTTAAAATGACTACTGGATGTAGGTAAGAAGAAGTTAAGGAAATATTACATAAAAATAAATTTGCAAAAGTAATTTACTGAAGGATTATTTACACTTTGATGAGTGGATCTGGATATTTTGATACTAAGTGAAAGTGGTTCCACTATAATTATAAGAGAACAAAGTTCTGCAAGTAGAAATTAAAAGAATGTATATAGGCCAGGCACGGTGGCTCGTGCCTGACCTCAGGTGATCCTCCTGCCTCAGCCTCCCAAAGTGCTGGGATTACATGCATGTTAAGTGGTACTCTAATTATATCAGTAATTTAAACCTCAAAAGAGATTCATCATGTACACAAAATTAAACTTGTGTAATTAAATTTATAAGTAAAATTAATTGAAGAAATCAAAAAACACAAGGTGGCTCACACCTGTAATCTCATTGCTTTCGGAAGTCTAGGTGGGAGGATCCCTTGACCTAAGGAGTCTGAGACCAGTCAAGCAACATAGTGGGACCCTATCTCTATAAAAAAATTAGCCGGGGATGGTGGTGCGTGCCTGTAGCCTGAGCTACTCGAGAGGCCGAGGCAAAAGTATCACTTTGAGCCTAGGAGTTGGAGTCTGCAGTGAGCTATGATCACACCACTGCACTCCAGCCAGAGCAACAGAGGGAGACTTTAAAAAATAAATAAATCACAAAACACTTGTAATTCCAAATCCAGATATATAAATATTTATATAAACACACGTTATCCATAGTATATGTATGATAAAATATACTTGTATGTTCAACTTGGGAAAGGCTGTTGATTTTAGAAACTAATAATTCTGTTGCCTTATGCTCTAATGATTTTCAATTTGAAGATGTATTTGGGATCAAATACTTGAGCCTCCATACACAAGACATCTTTTTTTCCCTCTTCTCAGCATCAGTTTTTGGCTGATTGTTGGACTACAATTGGGAGATCTAGAACTAAATTCCTGCTTAGTGTTTACTTGTTCAGAGCATAGGCTTTGAAATCGTCCTGTTTTGTCTCAGTCTCCACAAGAGTACCCATAACCTGATGACTAGGGGATCGTGTAGCATTTCTCTAAGCCTTGTTTTTCTTAGCTGTGAAGTGGTAAATGTTGAAAGTGCTTTGTTCATAGGATTTCTGTGAAAACTAAATTGGGTAAAGAATGTAAGGCATTTAGCACAGTAAAATAACCTGGATTACAGTAACTTTTCATGGAGTGTTTATTGGTACTTAAACTGTCACTGTCATCAAAATTCTGTTTTTACATATGAACTTAGAAATGTCATTGTAACCTTCTTAACTCATTTGGTCATTTAAAATGGAGAGGTTGAGTTAGATGTTTCTTAAATTTCTCTTTAGCTCTGATACTATGAGTCTGAAGTTAAGTAATGCAAAGTTGGTAATTAAATCTTCCCCTTTCATGATGTAGGAGAAAGGGAGAAAGAAAACTTCTGGGTGACTGGATTCCCTTGCAAGTTTATTAGAATTGTAATTATGCAGCATTTTGAATAAAGCATTCATTCTGGAAATTATTAAGTTTACTTTTCTTAACTCCGTATTTTGTCAACTGTGGAAAAATTGGGATTTAGGAGTAACCTCTGATTTAAAATTCCATCTGCTAACCATTTAAATTGTAGTCTTGTAATTTCCTAACTTTGGTCTTGAAGGTGTTTATCATTCTTATGCATTATTATACTGTATTATATATTTATGCAACATAAAATGTATAGTTTTAACTATTGTACATGTTTACATATGAAAGGTATAGTTTTGAACTTATCATTATTCAATTTGCTAGTTTTGCTTCACTATTCATTTTTGACACTTATCCATATTAGTACATGCAACTCAAGTTTATTCTTTAGAGCTACTGTGTATCATTCAAATGTATGAATAAATAACCTTGCTTTGGTGGACATTTAAGTATTTTCATATATCAATATGAAAAGCAGTTTCAAAATGAACATTCAAATATACATTGTCATATATATGTATAATATTTGTATATATGAAAGTTCCTGTGGGTTATATATCTGAAATCAAAATTACAAGTGTTTTGTAATGTCTATAATTAATTTTACTATCAATTTTAAGTAAATAAGATTAGTTTTTGCACATGATGAATCTCTTTATTCAGTTAATTACTGACATAATTAGAATACCACTTAAAACTTGAGAATATTTTCAAAGGTATTTATGCTAAACTTACATAAATGTGTTGAAAAGTCCTTTTGTATATATGTAGAGATTACATGGTATGTTAAATTCATCAATTTGCCTAAATATCAAGTTATACTTAAGTAGTGTCCATACACAATTTTTTTGCTTGACTGAACTCCAATATGTATATTGGGAGTACTTTTTAACATTCATGGTTAAATGGCCTGTTTTGGAAAATGATATTAAAAATGTGATTCAGATGAATGCTTAGAATAAAGATTAAAGATGAATGAGCTTTCATATTAATCATCAATATGACAATCCTAAAGGGAAGCATGATTTTCAAATGTACCTCCTTGTAAGCAGGATAATTCAGAAATGCACAATGCATATTAGATATGGGATTTGAGTCGTAGTATATTTCTCTAAGAATGTAATTTATTGTACTTTCACATCCACCCCACTCAATATGCAGAGTTTAAGATGCAATGGCCAGAAGACATGAACGTGTCACTAGAAGGATGTGGACATGGGCTCCGGGACTGTTGATGATGACTGTGGTGTTTTGGGGTCATCAGGGGAATGGACAAGGCCAAGGTAAGTGCAAGGATGTTCTAATTCTTTGAGAGTTGGATGCGAATTTCACTTTATGATGATATTATGTGAGTCTTTGGTTCGACGTTTAAGCAATTTGTTGTAATTTTCCCCCAGGTTTTTGTTACACGGTATTGTAATGCCTCTGCACCAGTTAAATTGAAATAGAATTATGTGTGAGTAAATGCATCAAAATTGAAGCCATCTTTCTGAAATTGGCTTTTATCTGTTGGAATTGATTTTATATATATATATATATATATATATATATATATGAGGTATTATGAGGCTATGTGTGTGTGTGTGTGTTTTGGGTGGGCGGGTATGCGTATGAGTTTGTGTTTGTGGTATTTTATAAGAACACGTAGCATATAAAGTTTTTGTGATTTTGAAGAAAAGTTTTTGGATGTTTGTTTATTTTCTTTAGGGTTTTTGTGTTTTACATTTTAAAATTTCAAGAACCTATTCTTAAAGGATGTGATGTTCTTTAGAAATTAAATGAAAAATGTGATGTTTCTCATTCTTCCGCCAAGTGTATTTAGGGGAAATTAATGATAGAGTGGAGCTGTAAGGTTGTGGCATCCTGAAATGTCTGTTGGAGAGTAGAAAAGGGCCATAGATTTTGTAATAAGGCTTTCAATACTGATTTGATCAATAGCTGTATGGAGTGGTTTGTGCCAAATCTAGTATCTCTGAGTGTATTTTGTGATAAGTATTGTTTTTGGAGGTGTGTTGGAGGTTTTGGAGGTGTGTTTTGGAGGATTATTATTTTTGGAGGTGTGTTGCCTGCTCAGATACAAATTGCATTTCCGTATTTTATGTGATAAAACATCCTGACACCCCTGAAATTTTCTTTTCCTTTTGGGGCAAGTATATTTGGCATTTTTTCCGCATTTTTAAGGCTTGAAATGAAATCTGTAAGCAGGAAGTTCACAGAGTTTATTTCAAGGGATAGGTGTATTACTCCAGATAAAATTGAAAGTGTGCAGTGTTATTATATAATTGTGATGAAGTTGAGCTTTGCTAGTTTGAAGTATCTAATAAAGTTTAACACTTTTTAAAAGATCCTTCAAAAAGAGCAGTTTTCTTGCCATATGTAATATTGTTCAATGAATTTTTGAAATGAAATAGATATTTTTCAAAACCACAAATGCATGTGTGCCTTTGTATATGAATAGTTGTATATACATGTAAGCAGATAATACATTTTGTTAATTAAGATCAGCTTTGATTTTAATTTTTCTTTCATGCCATTCAGAATTTATATTAGCATCTAATAGAATTCTCATTTTTCTTTTTTGTGATAAAACTAATGTAAAATATATTTAATACACATAGTAGTTTTTTCACCAAAGGTCTAAAACAAGAATATGTAGACAGTAGCCACGTTGGGTTTCTGTGGCTGTAAGAGTTGTTTATTTCTCTGGTAATGTGTAAAATTACTAAAATGCAGCATCACAACTGTTTCTCTGTAATAGTGATCCAGCATGACGTGTAGTATGACACAGGGTTGCTGAAACAAGAATATGTAGACAGCCGCGTTGGGTTTCTGTGGCTATGAGTTGTTTATTTCTCTGGTAATGTGTAGAATTACTAAAATGCAGCATCACAACTGTTTCTCTGTAATAGTGATCCAACATGACATGTAGTATCACACAGGGTTGCTAAAACCTTCCTCTGACCATCATTTCCAGTAATTGTGGCTTGTTTTAGATGAGGAATAGGTTACTAGATATTTAAAATATTTGAGAAAAATAGGTATCTTCTCTCTTATTTACCCAAACCCTTTTATTTACTCAATATTGATTGCTCAAATATTCTATCTTTCATTGGGGACCATCATTTATTAAAAAACAGCCTGAAATCAATTCCAAGTCTAGCTGTAGTAAAGCTTCTAGTGGGAAATGCAAGTTAAGTAATTTGTTTTCTTTCTAAAAGGATAAATTAAAATAGACAATGATTCAAAGAACAAAACAACTTAATAGAAAACTTAATGGAATGCTTTGATATTATGATTCAGGCAATTTTGCTTCCTTTGTGGTAGCTAGATTGAGTGAAGGAGATTGCTTAGGTATAATGAGCAAATCTTATAATTGCAAGTATAACCCAAGCTGCATATCATCATTTAGATCAATAAGCCTCATTAAATATTAAATATTACCTTTTAACTTTTATGCAATTAAGCAGAATTTAAAAATAAAAGTTTTAAAAATTAAAGTTTTTATTACTAAATATCTTTTAAAATACAAATCTCATAGCTCCTTATTATTGTCAAGAAAAGAATACATGAAAATTTATAAATAAGGTTTTCTCTCTATTAAGTTTACAATCTTGCATTAAATATTGGTTATTGTGACCCGCAATGTCCAAGATTATGATTAAGTATCAGTGAAGTGTGACTCCTGCAGCAAATATGCATGCAAATGTTATAAGATTATTTTCACATTATTTCACATAATTTCTTAAGCATAATAGTATGAGTAAATTATACTTTCTACACAACCTCTTCATATTTATGAATAGACTATGTTCTAAATGTTTAAGTCACTGGGGAGTCCCAATGTTCCTTCCTAGAGAAACCGTGTGAGAAATTGTAGCTAAGTTAAAAAAACGGAAGACAAAAAACGATTTAACGAGGAATGTAGATTAATATCATAGTATATCTCAACTGTGTGCAACCACTACTTATAAAAAATGATATAAGAAATGCAGTCTGAAATCTGAATTCTAAATAAGAATGTAGGGCCATTATCCCTCTGGGGCCCTTAGGGTCAAAATAAGAGAAAAGGGATGAATGGTGGGTTGGAAGTAAGTCAATGATCCTTGTCAATTTTTTGTATCTGTGAAGAAAAGCATCTGCTTGAGGACATCCATTTTCCTACTTCTGAGTTACAGAATAATAGGTGCTTATCCTGAGTGTAACATTCCCTGACGTGGACTCTGTCTGTGTCTATGCTGCTTAGGTGGTTTGTGCATGAGAAAGTGTTTAACATCTGATAATGGAGACAATCCTTAGAGAAAGATATATATGAATTTTAAAAGGAAATATACCTACAATGGAAATAAAACAAATAACATAAATATCTAGCTGTATTTTGTCTTTTTGGTAACTATTACAATATATACATTTTCAAATAACTAAGTTCAGCACTGACTTTGGGAGAATCTAGATAAAACTGAACTGACATATAATAAGCATGGGTGTAATTAATGGCACAGCGGGCAAAACCATGGGGGTGTTTCCTGAGAAAGAGGGACTATAGAGAGGCACCAGAAAACCCAACTCATTTACAGGATTCTGGGGAGTGCCAGCAGCAGTTATTATATTCAGAACCAAGAACTTATTTCTAACTCAGCAACCCATAGTTCTGGCTGAAGTGCAGTGGTGCAATCATAGCTCATCACAGCGCCAAACTCCTAGGTTCATATGGTCCTCTCATCTCAGCCTCCTGGTAGCTATGACCACAGGTGTGCACTACCATGCCCAGCTAGTTTATTTTATATTTTATTTTTATTTCATTTCATTTCATTTCATTTGTAAAGGCTGGGTCTTGCTATGTTGCCCAGGCAGGTCACGAACTCCTATCCTCAAGCAGTCCTCTAACCTAGGCCTTCCAAAGTACTGAGATTACAGGCATGAGCCGTTGCATCTGGCTCAAAAATATTTCTGTCTTAATGGCTTTAACAAAGAAGTGCTATTTTGGGGATATATACAATGGTGTGCTGTTTTGGAGTGACACAAAAATAATTATAAGAAGAATGGAATGAATATGTCAGTATGTTTTCAAAAGCAAGTTAGCCCAAGTTTTTAAACAAGCATAATTTTAGAGTTTTTGTAACTAACTTAGGGTTTAAATGTAGCAAAAATTTTAAACATTATCATGAATACACAGAAAATTTTAATCAATTTGGTTTCCACGATGAATTTACATGCTTAAATTCCTAATTTCAATCTGCTGCTAGATATGAGAAAGTTTGAAATTTTGAAGAAGCCAGTGGCGCTTACAACTGTAGGAAACTTAAATTTTGAGGACAATTTAATTTAACTTCCATTTTTATGACCAGATTTTGGGTCAGCTATTAAGCAGTCAAAAAATAAAATCTGATAATATCTGGCAATTCCAATTTTCAGTTTTATTGGTCTTCACCATGAAATAATATTTAAGTTAAGGGGCAAAATTTTGGAAAAGCAGATCACTTTGTTGTCCTATTTAGCAAGTTCTCAAATTATGCCATCCTGGAATCATTACAAGTAATTATATGAAGACAATATCTTGTGTTTTGTATTTCATTGTTACACATCCAAGTTTTCTCTAGAGATATCAGAGAAAACCTACTCAAGAAGGGAAGGTTAGATAAACAGCCCTCTCTCTCTCTCTGTCTTTGCCTCCATTCGGTTCCTTACAATCGTTTCCCAGTGCATTTCAAAGTTACTTTTATTGTTCCCTTCATTTTCTCTTTCATTCCAGAAATTTAAGTGATTGTATAATTCTTTTGAGAGCTGAAGGTAGTATCTGACTTTGAATTAAAGGTTTACAGCTACAGCTTTTAATTAGAAAATCTCAGATCATGTGATCTATGAGTTTTAATATCTTAGGATCACTACCAGTAAGGAATAATCACTTTGAAAAACCTTAATGCTACCTAGAGTTTATGTTTTGTGAGGTTGCTTGGTAAATTATTTTCATTTGATAATTGAATATTGCTTCGAGAGAGGTGAGCTCAGACATTTGGCAATGAATATTGAATGTGTATTCCAAGAGACATGACCTTAAAATATCATCAAGCTAAGTAGTAGTGAAATTGAACTCTGCTGTATAATAGAAGTCAGTGTTTCTTACATCTTTATGATATATAAATATTTTTACATTGTGGTAGACAATAATTTGTATGGAAAAATTTAAATGAATTCAATTTATCCTATGGCAGAATTATGTTACCTAGGTCATTTTAGTTTTTGATTTAAGCGTCTTAAAATTATAAATGCAAATATTCAACACATAAAACCCACATGAATACACACTCCCAAACATTTGAAATCCTAGCAGTCATTTCTAACAGCTTTTTCCTACAAAAGAAGTCAACTATTTTTAGAGATTACATGCATTCCCATAGCTTGAGAGGTTCACACTATAAGGTAAACAGAGAAAGTATTACAGCAGTTTAAGAATACCAGTGGATTTACTTTAAAGACAGTATACTTTTGATTTCCTTGTCTTCAAAATTTAGTTTCTTGAGAAAATTATCTGTGTAGATTAATCATGCATTTCAGATACTTTCCAGACATCTGAATGTTGTTTTCTTAAAAGTAGTTAGCAAGCCTTTTTATGCAGTCTGCATGGGAGATAGTAAGAGACGTGTATGCTGTATATCTACTAGCAGAGATTTGTTTTTGAGTGCTTCCTTAAAAAATTATTTTTTTCTGAAGAAAGGGATTTCTTTTTTATAATTTAGATTAGATGATTTTAAATGTTTTTATGTTTTAACCTGTATTTCTGATCATCAGGGTCACTGCCATGGAAAAATGCAAGTTATAGCATATTTCATTTTTATAAGGAAAGAAGTTGATAATTTAGACTTTTTTGTTTTACTAAATTGAATTACATCACTCAATATTTGGATGGCATTAATTCACAATAGTAACAAAAAAATCTTACTATTCAACATAATAAAGTATGATTTCTTTCACATTTGTTTAACTTAATTTGTTCTTTAAGGTACATCTCCTAATGAAGGTTTTCTCATCCTCTGAAGCTGAATTTATTTAGGAAAAATATTTTAAACACCATCCCAAGTGATATAACTATTTTTATTGAGCTTTGATGTTCTATTTGAACATATTTGAAGACTGTACAAGCACTCAATTTGGAATTAAGATTTCATTTGGAGATTTTGGTTGTATTTGAAATCTGTTGTGGAATTCAACATGAAGAATAGGTAAATTTACTAGATGTCATTGTCTATGACACATTTTAGTCTTATCTCTCTGCCTATATGTAAAGAGGAATAGAAATAATTGGTATAAACAGGAAAAAAGAAGTAAAGTGGTAGGATCAGATGTGAGAAATATATAAACTAAGATATTCTTTTTTTGTTTGTTTGTTTGTTTTTTGTTTTTTTGAGACAGAGTCTTGCTCTGTTGCCCAGGCTGGAGTGCAGTGACACAATCTTGGCTCACTGCAGCCTCCACCTCCCGGGCTCAATGGTTCTCCTGCCTCAGGCTCCCGAGTAGCTGGGATTACAGGTATGCATCACCACACCTGGCTAATTTTTGGATTTTTAGCAGAGATTAGGTTTTACCATGTTGGCTAGGCTAGTCTCAAACTCCTGACTTCAGGTGATCCGCCCACTTCAGTCTCCCAAAGTGCTGGGATTTCAAGTGCGAGCCACCAGGGCCAGGCTAAGCTAAGATATTCTAGAAGCTAATAATAGTAAAATATAATATAAATTGTTTAAAATTAATCTGTATACGAAATTTTTTCTAGGACTTTCCTGCCAGAAAAGTAGGAATAGAATGGCAGAAGGAAAGAGGTTCCTTCTACAAGCAGGCACACATCCTATCTCACTTTATCCTGTGATCAGTCTCATAACCATCTCCTGGTGTGAAGTGCTAAAACTGTGCTTTAAGAATAACTTAAGTCCTTTATGTACAACTAAAGTACGAGAGCCTGAACCTTGGAAACCAAGAGATTCCAAATAGCCTTATGTGTGAGACTGGATGGCACAGATCTTGGCAGAAATTACTGCTTATTCTTAATTCTTATTGTTCCTTTCTAACACTTCAACTTATAATGCCAACATCTACCTCAGCCTAAAGACAAGCTCTGGAATCACTTGTGTTACTTATTACATTTCTTTTAAAAAACTCATGAATTACACATGAATTTCAAAGTTGCCAACTGAGATTCCAAGGACTTAAAAAAAAACCTGGCACCTTTCCATTATAAAGGCTGTACACAGTGTTCATAGTGTTTGTCTTTAAGGGCCATGCCTCATCCATCAGCAACTTTTCTTCCTTAAATCATCATATCTTGTCTGAAAGTGTTTTCTCAAAAGTTAGGAAGGACTAAGATTTACAGGTTGTTATATCACACCTTAATCTACTTATCAACTTTAGCATTATCAAAGCATGAACTGTTTTGGATTTTCATAGTTAATTATGTTTGTCATAATAATTGGGATGCAATTGTTTTTCTTATGATTATTTTGTACTTCTTTTTCTTATGGTAACTTCTGATGTTTGTTTGTAAGATCTTCCTCTCTTTTCTCCACCTAGTTATCTTCCTACTTTCTGTCCTTTAACTCAGATATCACCTACACTGTGTGTCTTTCTGGATTGCTTCTTATTTAACTGTTGCTTTTCATAGTTTACGTACCTCCTCCTATACCACACTATTAATATTTCTCAAACTGCACTATAATGCTGGTTTGTGTCTTTATTTATTTATAAGCTCCTTGATAATTCAGACTATATATTTCTATATTCAAAAATTACTTATGAAGTGTTTACTTTGGGTCAAGAATTATTGAGTGAAGGAAATTGACCAAAACTCTGCCATCATGAAGCTTGCATTCTAACATAGGGAGACAGATAACAGACAATGAGCCACATAAATATGCAAAGTATCGTAAGTTAGATGGTGAAAAGTAATCCTGGATGGGGATCAGATTATTTTGATAGGGTAATTTTTAATTGGATAGTCAAGAAAGGCCACACAGAGAAGATGGCAATTGGAAGAACAAGGTAGTGAGAACTGCTGAGTCTGGAGCAAAGCACACAGTTTGGAGTAGTAGAAGATTCCAGAAGTAACAGAATAGAGGCGAAGAAGTAGGAATTGTGTAGAGTCTTATTTGCTGTTGTAATGACCTTGGCTATGGTTTGAAGTGAGGTGGAAAGTTCGTAGGGACCTTAGTTTTCTTTTTAATAATTCATTATGAATTTTAAACGGTCACTATTGAAGACTCAATAATTTTGCTTTATTCTCTTGCAATTGACTACAAAACAAACTAGTGTATTAAAGAAATGTTAAATTCTAATTTAAACTGATTGAAATAGGTTTTTATCTTTTTATATTTTTCATTACCAAATATCTCATTTTTAATTAATTTGAAAGCATTCTAGAATAGTTAGCCAATGCAATTTAGCATAATGCATAACTTATTATTCATCAGATTTAGGTATTTAACTGAAGATGCTAATTAGAAAAGTAACTTGTTCTGTTGGATGATTTTGATAAAGCTACTTTCAAATGATTATCACATCCATTGATGTCATATTAAGTTGTGTTTCTGGAACCCAAATTTAGGCAGTGGTAATGAGTTAATATCTCTAAGTGGATACCTTTTATCTCTACAGTCAAGATACTTGAAAGTGGAAAAACATACTGGCTTCAAGTCTTGGGAACTAGGACTTACCGGAAATGTTTTGGTTTGTTTTGTTTCCTGGCGGAATTGTCTTCTTGGAAAGACGGTGTTTCCTTCTACCAGGAAAAAAATTGATCGTATGCTGCTTTACTTTAATGCTTTGCTTTTGTCAAAATAGTGTTTTCTTAGGAAAATTAACCTATCATAATATCATGAAAAGAGAAATGCTGAAGACACAAAATGATGTACATGTTAATATTGAGTAGGAAGCATCAAGGGACGTGAGAAGAGAGGGAAGCAAAGAGAGGGAGAATAGAAATATATACTATAACAAAATAGTAAAAAGGATTAGCATATACATGTAGTCAATAAGTCAATAAATGGCTATTTATAGAAAGCCTACCAGGCACTAGGGGATATAGCAGTGAAGAAGGCAAAGACACAATTGGCTATACTGTAGTGAGGAGGGAAAGAGGAAGAAGACATACAAATACCTAAACAAAGCAATGGTGTGAAGGGCTATAAGGTACACTACTGTGAAGAAGATTACATGTGGTAACATGGTTGAGTAAAACTGGCAAGTAGGAAGGCACTGATCTGGCTATAGGTATTTCAGATAATTTTTCTCTCTGAGGAGGTAATATTTCATTTGAGAGTTGAGTGAAGACAAATAGGGAGGTACTTTGAAGATCTGGGGTGCTCTGAGCAGAAGGAAGGGCAGATATAAAAATTCTGTAATTTAAAAAGAGAGCTTGATAGTTTCTTACAAAGAAAGCCAGTTTGGCTGGAATGTCCATGAAGGAAGAGCATGGAGAGGTATTACATGAGTGCTCTCAGGGACCAAATTTAGATCTTATATCAAAGTGTGAATATAAATTACATTGAAAAGTGTATGATGGATATGTGATATGATGAGGTTAGTTACCTCTTAGGAGGGTGTACTCTTGTGGAAGGGTACAGTAGTGAAGGAAGGGGGATCATTTTGCTGACTATTGCACCTGTCCAGTTGAAGGATGATGGTGGTTGGGATTATGATTGTAGCAATAAATTTGGAGAAAATCAGTTGAGATTGGAAGTTGATTTGAAGGTGATTGAATTTACTGAGCAAGAATTATACCAAGGTATTTGGATTTAGGGACATGGGGGATTATGGTCACTTTTAGTGAAATGGCAACGTCTTGATGACATGAGGAAGTTTGCAAGTGACAGAGGTGTGGGCAGATGCATATGTATGATTGATTTTACATTTTTTAATCTTAAATTAAGACGATAGTTAGAATCCAAGTGGAGATATCAAGTAGGCACTGACAAGTTGACTTGGCTAGAGATGTGAGTTAGATAATCATAGCCTATACATCATGCCTAAAGTCATGAATCTAGGTGAGGGGTTGGCAAACTATTACAGCCCATGAGCCAGATCTGGCCTGCTGCCTGTTTTTGTATGGCTCATGAGTTATAAGTACGTGTTACATTTATAAGTCTAAAATGTAAAATATAGGAAAATTTTTCAGCAAGGAAAGTTCCATAAATTTACCTCTTGGCAACACAAAGCCTGCAATATTTACTGTCTGGCTCTTTGTCAAAAATGTTGCTGACTCCTGATCTAGATGAAACCCTGTGGGGAGAGAGTGTTGATAGAAAAGAGAGAAGCATCATAGTGGAAATTAAAATTATGTCAACTGAAGTGTGTAGGGTAGAGAATTTAAGCCTGAGTATAACAGTAAGAGATTAAAATAACAATAAATGCATTATCAGCATGATCAATAAAACCTTTGGGGGCAAAAAGGAGCTATCTTCATCAGACCATTCACTCCCTCATACAAAGATCTTAGGAAATATAACTTGTTTGAAGATCTGAGATAAGGCTAATGTAGTTTGGACAAAGAAAGCCCATGGGAGGATGACATTATGTCTGGCCAAAGATTTAGGGAAGAGCCAAATACTTCAGGCTTTTTAAAGTGATCTTTAGATAAAGAGGAAGTCCTCAAGGCATTCTGAAGTTGGAAGATCAAATCACATCTGATGGGAAAAAATCTGGCTGTATGTGCATCTAGGATGTAAGGAAGCCAACACGGATGTGAAGTTACAATTGCCCATTGCAAATAATAAAATGAAGGCCCCAGGTAGCCTTGGCAAGGGCAGATTTGGTACAAAATCCTTATTGGAATGGGCTTAAGCATTAATGGGAATAAGGATCTAGCTGTTGTGTTTAGTGGACTTTTATCAGTCTTTTTGTTGTGTATGATATAGATGGTCAAAATAAGGAACTTCTACATTTTTGGTTTTTGTTTTATTTTAATTGAGATTTGAATTAAAAATAAGAAACTTTTATTTTCAAAATTGGAGACTGTGTTTAAAAAGTGTAGAGTAGGGCTGGAAAAAAACATCAAACTCTCCTGATGAGGAGAATGCTAATCATGACTCTAATAATAATGAAATACTTTTCTGATAACTTAATTTTTTTATTGCTTCATTATTTATGTGTGTATGGGAAGTCATACCCTAGCCACATGCCAATTCACCTGGTGAACTTGTTCTTCAACGTGGCCCAAATATTTCCTTCTATCTTTAGCCTTCCGTGGTTTCTCACATGGACTATTGGCTCTTCCTACTTGAGCCTTCTGGTAGTACCCTGTAAGAGACATGCTACTCCATGACAACAGGCACCACGCTGCAGGGGAATTGCCATACCTGTCAATCACTATCGCTAGAATGTGGCCTTTCATGAGCCCTGAGATTTCTTACTGTTTCTCTGAGCTGTAACAATATTTATATTGAAAAAATAAACATGTTCTTCTATCTTTAATATTTTATATCTTATAATTTGAATATCCCATTTTCATTATACTACTTAGCTGCTAAGTTATGTTATAAAAACAAGTTTTAATTATCTGCAAACACCTTCAAATCTAATCCTTACCAGTGAAGACTAATGTCTGGTTAACATCTGTTAGGACATTTATTTCCATACGGTATTTATAGTGCATTTTTGTTATTGAAATGATTACTGTTTAGTTTGAAATAATGCACCCTGAGGATTGGAATGATAAATGTGTAACTCTTACACAAAGATCATATTTTTAGATTTTTGTATTTAAAATACTGGTTATCAAAATAAAAAGCCAGATGTTATTTGTTTATGTTTCTGTTGAGGTACTGAATCTATTTCAAGTCATATTTCTCAGTATTGATATACTTAATTTTGCTGAAATAACAACACACTATCTTTAGCTACTTTTTTTCTCAATATGTCTCCTTGTCACTCACCATTTCTGCCTCATCTCACTTCTCATCTTTATTTCTTTTTCTTTGGTCTACTTTTACTTTAGGGATTCTTTCAATTTAGAAGTTTTCTTGTTTTCTAATAATTACTATTCTTCTTGGATATACACAGATATCCTTTTCCATTTCATTTGTGAATTTATCTCAGAGGAATTTTGTGTGTGCCTTTTACTCATAGCTTCTCAGAAGTCCCTTTTGAGGTTACTGATTTCACATGTCATGTACTGTAAGGTTTGCATGGCATGGTGGCAGCTGACTTTTGCCTTTACATGGATTGAAATGTTCACTCAACATGGACTGGTAGGATTTTTTTTTCCTTAAACATTACATTGCCTTGTAAACAAAAGCAAACCAAAAACTCAAAACTAACATTAGTATTGGTGCCCCTGGAAATAGCTGCCTTCTCACTAAAGTAGATTTTGTCATCCAACTTTGTGTGTTGTTGAACACACATGGTGCTGTATGAGCACTCACTCACTAGTCTAGAAAACATTGCTGTGACAAGTTACCAGAAAAATAAATTCAGATTGCTCTACATTCCACAGATGACCCTTCTGAAAGCTATTTGAATTCATTATAAATTGTAGTTATATTAGTATGACTTTAATTCGTTATCTGAACTTTATGTGCAATGCATTTTTTCTCGTGTTTAATCATTTTTGTATGCTAAATCATTTGCAAACAAATGGCTTGTCCTTGAGAAAGAATTTAAGACTGAAAGTACATTAAGTGCCATCTGGGAATCTGTGTCAATGGTTTTATCACTACATATGCATGTGTGTGTGTGTGTGTGAGTGTGCATATCACCTACTTTCGTCCATTTATTTGATAAAATTCATATGCAATCTCTAAATCATTGTGTCTCCAACTTGTGTTATCCCACAAATTCAAATTTTTATCCTAAAATTGGTGGTACCCTTTGTAAAACTAGAAGCTCTCATTTGTGCAAAGGAAGGAAAAATAAAACAAGAAACAAATTCAATAAAATATTAAAGGTCAGATTTCTTTTATAGCTGCTGAGTTCCTTTCTTTCCTTTCCATCCTCCTCACATTCCCAAATCTCAACAAAGTTAAGAAATTAAAACACACATCATGAGATCATATGTTCACCTTTGTTAAGGAACTGAAGGATTACATATACAAGATTATAGCTTAATAAGTAGAGGGAGAAATATGAAGATATAAATAGAATATGAAAATTTATTATAATGCAGTTCTATTCTAAAGTGTTTTCTAGGCAGGCGAAGAGTATGTTGCCAGGAAATGTTAAGAGACCCACTCCATTATATAGAAGAGGATGTGTGTAGATCTCTTAATATTGAAATGTTTAGAACTGAGTACAGCAGGTCTTTGAATAATGACATTTCATTCAATGTCATTTCATTATAATGTTGATGAGAAAAAACAAATTGATTCCAGTTGGGGTTCACTGTCTGTGTAGAGCTTATGTATTCTCCCCATGTCTGCATGGATATTCTCTGGATGCTCCAGTTTCCTCTCACTTCCCAAGGCTGTGCATGTGAGGTTGATTGACATGTCTATGTGGTTCCAGTCTGAGTAACTGTGGGTATGTGTGAGTGCACCTGCAATGCTATGGCGTCCTGTCCAGGGCTGGTTCCCACATTGCGTCCTGAGCTGACAGGATAGGCTGTGGTCAACTGCAACCCTAAACTGAAATCAGTAGGTAAATAATGATTTTACTAGTTTTTATTAATCTTAAATATATAAATAGCTCAAATTCATTTCAGCATTTAATGTTAGAATTGTTTTGATCTTTATTTACAAGTTCGTTGATGTTTTTGTTACCAAAAGCCATAGAAAGTTAACTCTTTTTTATGTCAACCTATGGTAAAATGGGTTTCACTTACTGTATTTTGGCACTAATTAACCATCCCCAATTTATCCCCCCTGTATGCGTGTATCAAAACATCACATGTGACCATAAATTTATATACCTATTACCAGTTTTCAAGAACCTATCAATGATGTTCAGTGAAGACTTATTGTAGTCCTTTTTTGGCATAACAAAAATGTGTGTGTTTTGTTTGAGATTGGAAAACGTCTTTCTGTAAAGAACTGGACAGTAAATATTATAGGCTTTGCTGGCCATATGCAGTCTCTGTCTCTCCTTCATCTACTCGTTCTTCTTCTCCCCTTCCTTCTCCTTCTTTAAACACTTCAAAAATGCCAAAACAATTTTTAGCTCTCAGCCATATGAAACAAGCCATTGATTAAATTTGGCTTGTAGGCCCATAATATGTGAACTCCTTTACATCATCGGAATGCCATATATATATGAAATGTTATTTATGAGAAATTAATGGTACTGCCAGCAGACAGAAATTAGCCTAAGTTAAGTTTGGGCTTTGGAATTCAGGGGAATGCCATGCATGAAAATGCTCTGCTTTTAAAACAAGTTACTAACAATCCATTTCTGATATCAGAAATATATGAAAACTACTAATTGAAGGGGCATTATTCACTACCTTAGTGCTGCTGCTCATGTGTGGTGGAAAAAAAAATCCAGAAAGTTTTCCTTTCCATTTGAACATTCATGCAATAAAAATGTCCAAATCTTTTTTTGAACAAATTTTTATCTGATAGCTCCCTTGTGTACTTTATAAGTACATTTTGCTTATTCTCAGCAACTGTATTGAAACAATCTCTGTTTTCCTTTATCAATCAAAATAAAATAAGAAATTTAGCTTAATACTAATATTAAGCTGAAGTGCAAGATATATGGAAAAGAGAAAAAAGAAGCAGGATAAATTGACCTTTTGATAACTGCCAAGGACAGCAAATCCAACAAAGACTGGACTTCAATGTCTTACATTTTCAGAATGTAGCACAGTAAGTCCACTGGGTCCAGCAATAGGTTTTAATCCTACATTGAAATGACTCACAATGCTGTCATGACATTGAGTTTTGTGGAAACAGTGAAGTTAATGTTCTTCTCAATATTTTTTTTAAACCAAACTATGATTGATTTAACTATAAAATGGACTGATTCTAAAGAGCTCATTCTGACTTGGGAGGTGAAAATGCTTTTACTCTAATCATTAAAATCAATTTCTCTAGATTTCTGATTTTATTCTGCTTTATAACATAAAGAATGAAACTATATTTATTAATGAAATGTAATCTAGCAAAGTGGCATAAGCATAATTATCAGTCACTTACTAAAATTGTGTGTTTTTTCCACTGCATGAAAACCCTGCCTTGTTTTAATTTTTATTAATTGACTTTTTAAAAGCAATTTTAGGTTTGCAGAAAGAAGTGAATAAGCATTCACATGTCATCCTCAGCCTCTACCCCAATTTCCCCGATTTTTAACATCTTGCGATAGTGTGGTACATTTGTTATAGTTGATGAGTCAATATTGGTACATTATTATTGACTAAAGTCTGTAGTTTATATTAGAGTTTACTCCTTGTCTTATGCATTCTATAGGTTTTGTCAAATGTGTAATGACAAATAATCCTCACTACAGTGTCATACAGAATAGTGGATTCACTTTCCTAAAATTCTTCCTTGCTCCATCTATTCATCGCTTCCTCTCTCTCCTCCAAATCCCTAATAGCCACTGATCTTTTTACTGTCTCCATGGTTTTGCTTTTTCCAGAAGGTCATGTAGTTAGAATCACATGGTATGTAGACTTTTCAGACTGGCTTCTTTCACTTGGCAATATGCATTTAAAGGTTCCTGTGTGTCTTCTGTGGCTTGACAGAATAATATTCCGTTGCCTGGATATAACACAGTTTATTTTTCCATTCACTTCCTGAAGGACATTTTGATTTTAGTGATCATGAATAAGGCTCCTATAACATTCATGGGAAGAAGGTTTTTGTGTGCATGTAAGTTTTCAAATCCTTTAAGTAAATACCAGGGAATGTAATTGCTGGGTTGTGTGGTAAGAGTATGTTTAGTTTTGTAAGAAACTGCCAAACTGACTCCCAAAGTAGCTGTACTATTCTGCATTCTCAATAAAAGTTCCTGTTTCTCCTCATACTTGCCAACATTTGGTATTATCAGACTTTTGGATATTGGCCATTTTAATAGTCATGTAATAATATCTCACTGTTGCTATGACTTGCAGTTCCCTAATGATACATGACTAGTAACTTCAATATCCATATTTGACAGCTGTATTTAGACCTTTGGCCTATTTTTTAAATGAGTTGTTTTCTTTCTTATTTTCGAGTTCTTTGTATACTTTAAATACCACTAATTTATCTGACATGTGTTTTGAAAAGATTTTCTCCCAACCTGTGGCTTTTCTTTTCATTCTAAGCACAGTTTGAATAACAAAAGTCTTTAATTTTAATAATGCTCAATTTCTCAATTTTTTCTTTGTCTAACCCAATAAATCAGAAAGCTTTTTATCATTTCACATGACTTAATATTCAGGCAGGGTGTATATAGGCCCCTTTCAAACAGTCATAAAGTTTAGAAGCTCTCACCTCACAAACAATAGCAACAACAATATAGAAACAAAAATGACAGCTTTTGATGTTGTCTCAGTAATTTCTCAATTCAAGAACAGATTACTGAGCTTTACAAGCAATACATATAGACATCAATTTCACAATAAATACCTTATGATATTTATCAAATCACCTTAGTTTTGGTCTACTTACTGCTATTAGACTAAAATGTAATTTGTCAGACATGAGAAATCTTTTTGTAGTATTTTTTATAGAACCAAGTGTTTATTTTAGCTTTTTCAGTTCTTCCCTTGCTGTTTCTCCAGTATGGTCATTCCAATTGTCTCTATAGATGTATTAATACCAGGTACATAATAAATACAATTATCTCCCATGTGTACCCCAACCCCCTTCCCTGTTCATGCAGTCAGCATAAAGGAAGCAGGTCAAAAGGATATCATGTACCCTGTGATATGCTAGGTTGTAAGGAAAGGTACAAAATTAATTTACCATGTCTGAGTTTTCTTCTTCTCTGTATTTGTTCCATTTAATGCATGTATATTTTTTTATTCCTCAGGCGTCTCCAGTCCTACCACTCTCAAGGACACTTGATACAGCTATAAGGCTGTGTCTTTATCAGGTCCCTTTGGGTTACCTCCAGCCAAGGGTGGGAAATAGAGGAAGTGAATGTCTGTATCTTCATTATGTGTCACACAGAACAGAAACATAAAGAAGCCTGTGCGGTGAATGGGTCTCCTCTTTCTCCAAAAACCACCTACCCCTTCAACTCCTACTGCTTCAAGGAAAGTCTTGTATTAGTTTCCCCATTTTCCCCTCAAACTTGCTTTAGCAAAGTAGTTCCTAAACCTCTGTTAACGTTATGTCCCCACCCCTAACTCAAAACACAGTCTTACATCACATCACAGAAAAGAAGTTCAAAACAAAACGAAACAAAGCCACAGTCTTATAAGAAAAATAGGTAAGTTTTACAAAAGTTGTGTACTGTACCTCTGCTTTGAATTTCATCATTTGCCAAGGATAGTAAAACTCTTGGAAAACTATGAAACAGGAACTTACTTAATATGTTTTACCCAAGATTTTTCGAACATTTTTGGAAGGATACTTATTAACATCTTGCAGAGGTAATGTTACATGAAAAACTTAGCATAAGACCAATCAGGTATTCTATGCAATAATGTAGATATATGAAAAAATAATATAATGAAATACATGACTTTTCAAAAGGTATTGATCCCAGATCCACATTCTTTTTTTGGTTCAGGTGAGGCAATTAGAATGTCAAAAAATTAAAGAAGCATAGAACAAGCGTCTAATGAGAGGGACGAATGCGCCTGGGTGGAAAGTTATTAGAAGATAAATTAGTAGATTGACCTTTTTGCCATCTATGTAGTTTGTTTGTTTGTTTGTTTTGCTAGTACCAATAGAAACAAATTCATTTTATGGTTTGTGTCACTGGAAATGTATAACTTAGTGGTAGCTATATAGCAAACTTTCAATATGTATAATGAGAGATTAGATGTAGGTTTAATATCATTATTTAATTTATTTGCTTGGATACCAGTGAGGAATTTCCACTTAAGCTCGTGTTTTCAAGATGAGTGTTTAGTTGAATTCCAGAATTCATTTTGAAATAGAACTTTGCATAGAATATAAATTTCTTTGCAAGAAAAATCATTTGTACACTTGGGTTTGAGAGCAGTTTAATGTCGATATAACTTCTTTCCAGGCTTTCCTTTCCTACTTTTTGATGTGGGAATAATCTCGTGACGTGATTGTGAAAGTCTTAAAAGATAATGTTTAGGGGGGAGGGGAGGGATGGCATTAGGAGATATACCTAATGTAAATGACGAGTTAATGGGTGCAGCACACCAACATGGCACATGTATACATATGTAACAAACCTCCACGTTGTGCACATGTACCCTAAAACTTAAAGTATAATAATAAAAAAAAAGATAATGTTTGCAAAGATACTCTGTGCACTCAAAGTGTGCTCTATACACTTCATTGCCATTCACATTTTGGGTTTATGAGGCTTCCATTTGCTGGCAATTCAAATGTGACTCTGAGTTAGATGTCGTGGTGTGGGAGATATGTTTATAGGAGTTTAAAGCACAGATAGACAACTAGATTGTCCTGCCCACCCAGACTGTGCTTCTCACTCTCACTGTGCCCTTTCTTAACCTTTGGAAATGCTTTTATTTATATATAAAATAGGCTATAACTTCATATAGTTGTATTACAAAAAGTTAATGCACAGAAAAAGACTTGTGCTAGGTATATGGTTTCTTCTCAATTAAATGGAAGCCATTGCCTGTATTTGTCAATAGAATTCATCATACTTTATCTCACATATTCAGTGCTTTACATCACTGTTGGCACATGATATGTTTAGACTGCACAAGGGTGAATTATGTCAAATTTATCTATCTGCAGGAAAGAATGTAGCCCAAGGTACCTTGTTTAGCTGAGCCAAAGTTTGCATTTATTAAAAATGTAATTTTTGTCTTGAAATGATGCCTGATCTCACAGAACTATGGCTTCCAATCTCTAAATCACTGTGCTCAGTAGTACAACTATGTACTCTGTGTCCGTCCTAGTAGCTATATTGCTGGGATCTGGAGCGTGACTTTTGGGTCTTTCTGTAATGCCTTACCTCTCGTCAAAATTCACAAGACCTGCTCTCTGGATTGTGAGACTTATGCATTACAAATAAAAAGGTGCTGTCCTGATGGCATTCCAAAGCCATTTGAAATGAGTTGCTTTGGTTTCCAGTGAGTCATTTTTTATGTTGACTATCATTACTTTACCATTACCTTTTAATTTGGAAATGTAAAAATCCATTGCCATGTTCCTTGGAATATAGGGTCCTTGGAATATAGTGACCCTCATATAGGGTCACTGAGATGAGCCTGGAAATATCAATCACTGGAGCCCTTCTAGTGGGATAATGTTGTTGTTAATATTGCTGGTATTGTATTCTTCACATTTCCTCCAGTAAAATGTAAAGTGACCAAAATGTAAGTGTCATGCAGGCAAGGGTTCTTTTATTTGTTCAATGAACACTGCCTTCACGTAGTGGTCAGTTAATATTCACTACTAGAATGCATGTTGAATGGCAGCTCTTTTATTTGCCATTCGCATTGGCCCACTTTATAGCAGTTGGACCAAAAAGTTGGACAAAGTGTGTTGATCTTTTATGACAAAATAGATATCTCTTTCTTTCTTTCATTGTTGCTTTTTCTGTGGGCAAGTTGATACACGTTGTAGCCCTGATGTTATTTTAGGGCATACAGTTGAAGTTATTAGATACTTTAGAGTTTATTTAATTATAATATGAAGCTTTGAGTTTCTGTTTCATTATTAATTTATTTTATGATAGTGTTGCTTAACTTAGTGTGCAAGGCCTACAAATAAACCTAATAAATATCTTACAAACTGCCTTAAAATATATCTAATGTTTTTTACTGAAATATTTTTAAACATATTGAAGTTGGAATTCCAGGTAACTGTATACACGCACACACACACAAAACACACACGCACACACACACAAAACACACACACACACACACATACACACATTAGGTTTTCATTTGGTTTCTTTGTTCCTATTATTGAAATTCCTGTGCTAATAACCATATCAATTTATGAAACTCATTTTGAGAAAAAAAGGCCTAAAATATAACTCATTTTTAAAATGATTTTCTCTTAATTTTTAATGTAATATTTTAATAAAATATGGTAGGGCAATTTTGTATAAATATTTATGCTAAGCTTTCTACATAAGTTCCCGCATATAGTTTAGTTTTTAATAGAAGGTTTTTTTTTTTTACTTCAGTATCCACTTTAAAGTCAATGACATTTAGTGTTTTTTACTTTACAGTTCTAAGTTACTTATGCTTAAAAAGTCATCTGACTTTTAAGTTAATGTCCAACTTGATTGTTATCTCTCTACATGTTATTGATGCGTTCTTGAAAGTAGTTAGATTTTGAAAAACATTACTAAGAGGGTTTTTTTTTTTCATCTTTGGAAAGTAACTTGGGATAAATGGTTGTCTTTTGTCTTTGTCCTCCTCTCTACACACAACTCCCCATTCCAGATCATTAGCTGAACTTGTGTGCTGAGGTTAATATTCTGTTTTACCTTTCTTGTCAAATTGCTAGATACAGCTTTGTTCAGTTATATACTGTACAAACAGAATCTCATCTTAACTTTTTAATCTCTCTCTTTTTAACTGATGTGTTCACCCTCAGATTTGTTGTCATTTAGAAGAGGACTTCCTGTTAGAAATATAATAATTTTCCTTCATGTGGAATCTTCAATACAAAAAAACAGAAAAACACGTATAAATGGTTTGCATGTGTCATGCTGATAGTTGGAGGGCAACTGATATTAGAAAAAGTGACACTATCTTTCTGAACATAAACCTTGTTTCATCTTAGAATTTAGAATTTGGTGCTGAACCAATTTTGTACCTCATTGCTATAAACCTAATGAGTTGTTAATATGTGATTAACTGCCTTGGCCAAACTCAAGATCTTATTCACACATACAATATGCTCAGATAACTTATTTTTATTTGTTCAATCACTCCTTTAGTTTTTCATTTATTTCACAAACATTCATTGACACTTACGTGGCAGCACTCTTATAGGAATAGAATATACCCTGTTAAATCAGACATGATACTTGCTTTTGTGGAGCTTATGCTTTAGTGGAGAAACAGAAAGTCAAGCAAAAACTCAAACTATACAACTTTAAATTGGATATGTGCTAATGAAGGAAAATGTGGCACTGTAAGAAAAAATAATAGGGAGTTAAAGGATAAATAGGAGTTTGCTGGATGAAATTTATGAAGGGCTGAGGATTTCAAGCAAAAGAAACTGATGCAGGAGGGGGCAGCTTTGGAGTCAAGAATGAAGTTCTAGGATATAGAGAGCAAGGAAGTGGTGGGAGAGGAGGTAAAAGTAGGTAGGATTTTATTATTATCAATGGGAAAATATTGAACAATCCTAAGCAGAAAGGCAATGATATATGTTCATCTTCATTACAAATTCTTATATCTTTAGTAGACCTGTTTTCAGGCAAAACTTCATGAGAGAATAGTAACAAAGATAAAAAAAGCAGTGTTCTCAAATTATCTCTAACCCACCTGGTAACTTTGAGTTAAATGGCCTCAACATTTTGTGATGCTTTTCCCTCTTATAAAGTAAGGAGTATAGATGAGGTGAGGTATCCAATTTCATTTAGCTTCAATTTCCTGTAATTTGACGGCTGTCAAGCCATGCTTTGCTTTGTTCTGTTTGTGAGTCAGAGCAACTTTAAGGCAGTATATTAACTAGGAGAACTATTTCTTTACTTTTAAACTTCAAAATTATGATGACATAAGTATTTTAAAGAGCATTTAGAAAGTAGACAAATGAAAAATTTTTAACATTTTGGAATGCTTCTTTTATTTCTTTTTGAAACCTAGGTTTTTGGTGGTAGTGGTGATATTTATTTTTGCCAAACTAACCATTCTGTGTAATTTTGTAGCATTTTGGGTTGATGACCACTGTAAGTCTAGTATTCCCATACGTGTTAAAATTTATCTTTACAATTAATATATTTTCACTGAATTATTTAATTATAAATTAAACTATAATTTCAAATACATGTTCAATGAGATATTATTAGGCATTACCTGAAAAGGATTTCTGGAGAAAGAAAGAATTTCTGGTTAAAAAAGGGTTGAGCAGGTTTTCCTAGTGCAGTACTCTTGGTCTCTAGGATGGAGCTACAGCGTAAAACATCTTCCAAATTTACTTCACAAATTAGCCCTTAGATTTCATGAATTACTTATAATTTTTGTTTGTAGACCACAGTTTCTTTGCTCTTCAGTATTACACTTGCTTATGTGAGTTTCTAAAACTAAGTTTAATTTTGGAAATTCTTAATTTTCTATTTACATTTTGAATTGTGTTTAAATATAAAATTAAGTTTAGTAGAAAGCTAGGTTTTTATTTCTACCTACAAATTCAATGTCCCATCAATAGAAAAAAATTCTCAATAATATTTTAAAGTTACTTACTTTAGTCTTTGTCGTTAAAAAATAAAATTTACCAGGCAGAAATGCTCCATAAGCTACCTATGGAGGAAATATAAATATTATTATTACCTACTAATATTAATATACAAAATGGTCAATTATGTGTATAGCAGTTAAATATATATAAAAGTTAAATATTTATAAATGATACAGGACTCACGTGTTTGTATGCCTGCTGTGCAGTCACAGTCTGATATATTGATAAACAGAGTTTGCAGTAGAGAAAGAGTTTAATGATTGCAGGGCAGCTGAGTGAGGAGATGCGAGCACCCTCAAATCTGTCTTTCCATAGAGTACTTTGCTGGGGTGAGGGGATTGTAGAGGGCCAGGGGCTGGAAAATTGGGGTCACTGACTGGTTTGGGTGAGGGGGATTAAATCACCAGGATGTAGAAACTTCGCCCTTTAGTGAGTCAGCTTCTCCTGGAGTCCTTCAGAGCAGCTGATGTCAGTAGTTTCACTGGTATGTAGGATCTGAAAGAATACCTCAAAGAGAAAACTTAACATTTCACAATGCTCAAGTTGTTATCTATGAGTAGTTAAGTTTAACTATAATCTTGTGACAGGATATAAATGATTGTGGGGCCATACCTAGTGAACAATTATGAGGAAGCAGGACAGACAGCAAGTTAACATAATGTTTAAGGCTGGATGTGCTGGAAGCTTGTTTTTATTTCATCCCCTCCCTCCTTTCCCAAATAATTTTATAAAGATTATAGGGGTGGTTTCATTATATATATAACTTCTAATATTTTATCGGTTAATAAAAGCTCAAATTTTCTCGACATTTTTGTTGATTAAGCTAATAAGGTGGCTTTTACCAATGGATCTTGAAATGTGGTATGCTAAATGAATTTCTGTTTTCAAAAAGAATTGTGCATGATCAATAACTCACTAAAACAGTAGGCAAGTAAACTATATCACTAAGACAGTAGGCAAGTAAACTATATTTTTAAATTTACTAGTGGTGCAATCTTGTGCAAGTCACCTGACACTTTATGCCTTAATTTCTAAAAGAAAAAAAGAGAACTTCCTAAATTACAGAGTTGGGATCAAATATGAATTAGAAATATAAATATGAAGATATTGGAAATATTAGAAATATGAATATGAAGGTACCTGCCATAGTGTTAGTGACTAACATATACTTAACTATCATTGACAAAATTATTATTCTTTTCTTTTTTGAAATAATGGAGACATAGTAGACAAGATTTTGTTAATTTGAGGTGTTTTAACTCTTTATTCAGTAAGTTATTTGTAAAAATTTACAGGAAGAACTGAAGGGATATAAAGGGTTCATAATAAACACAGCAGATGATTTCTGATCCTTAAATCCAGAAACTGGGCCCTAGTCTATTTTGCTTTCTTATTTCTAGCAAACTACCTAGAAAAAGTTGGAGAATGGCACTTTTTTTTATTGATCTCAGCTTCAAAAATTTCAAATGTAGTTTTTCATTAGTAGTAGTAATTCAAGCTAGAACATATTATATATTTAACATTACACTAAGTGATTTACTTTTGTATGTTATTTAACCTTAAGAATATTTCATGGATATATTTATATTTATTTTTACAGATTAAAAGATTGTTATTAGCAGAGGTTGAGTAACTTGCTGAACTCTGATACATTGCTAAGGAGTAATTGACCTATAATTGAGTCCGGTTTCTTCTAAATACTATGCTCCACTGTAAATACATGAGATTACAGGTTAAAGTTTGAGAATTACTTCTAAGTAATAAATAGCTCACTCAATTTTAATATCGATTCTGGTAAACTTCTTTATAAAGGGTGTAGCATTCTTTATAATGTTTGGGGCTGGGTCAGGGAGAAGGTAATGAAAAGAGAACAGAGCAGATAAGAAACATTTTGCACATCTGACTTCCAAACTGATCCTCTAAATAGATTTTTTTATGCTATCTCATCAAACTGAAACTTTTTGATGGATATAGAAACAAAAAATATTGTATTAAAATATTGAGAAAGATTGAGGAGAAAGATAGAAAATTTTTTTCAAGAGAATCAAACTATATTATTTAAGGTATATTTCTGTGTGAATCTTGAAAGTAGGGAAAGAAATATGTCAGCAAAAATACTAGAAGTAATTTATTCTTTCATTGTCACAAAAACATTAATCAATTGATTAATATGTAGCAATCATTAATCTAGGATGCTCTTGCTCTGACTTATATTCCTTTCCCAAATATTCCAAACAATGACCTTGTATTAATAAAAGAAGACATTAAAGTAGTATATTGATATTTTACAAGCACTAAGAATGTATATTTTGAAATTTTGTGGTGATCTGATGAGTGACTTTGAGTCTCAAAATTAGAGAAGTTTCTAATAATTCTGGATTAAACAAAATGTGAAGGGAGTTAATCTTGAAAGCAAAAGAAAAATAACTCATCCATAGAAGGAAACGACTTTATGATTAACATCTGACTTTTCATCAGAAACAATGATAGTCAGAACACAATGGGATAGCACATCCAAAGTGCTGAAAGAAAGAATATTTCTTTCTGTTTATGTCACCAAAGTTGTAATGTGCATAGGATTTATATGTAAAGGGGAAAAACTTTAAGAGGAATTAGACATAGTCAATGGAAAGAATATGACCAATAATGTGTTCTAGGTCTGGCTTGGTTAGATATAACGTGTTTAACTTTGGATAATTCATGAATCCTTTGCAAATCTTTGTTTCTTTGCCTCCGATATAACTGGGCTGAAGTCAACACTAAAAAGCTTGAACTCCAAATATTGTGTATATCTGTTATTTCAAGTTATCTTTGCCTCCGATATAACTGGGCTGGCGTCAACACTAAAAGCTTGGACTCCAAATATTGTGTATATCTGTTATTTCAAGTTAGTATATTTTATGTTTCCTTCTTGATGGAAGCTTGTCTTATTTTGTTCTCTACAGTCTGTATTTTTTTCTTTTCATAATTCTGTAGCAATTGTTTTCCAAATATAAAAATAATTCTTTCGTGCTGTGTGAAAATACGTGTGCTTTTATTTAAGCTGCCAGACAGATGTGTTATTTCAAGTGGGAGACTATGATTTTTCTCTACAGATGATGGGTAGGGTTTTGTTGTTGTTGTTGCCGTTTGTTTGTCTAACTTTACCAGTAGGTAGATTATTTGAATGACTGATCTCATTAACGATCATTCCTTCTAAATCTGTCTCCTTTCCTTCAGGTCTTTCACCTGAGTGACATTAGAAATTCTCAATACAGTTGGTATTGTGCCCAGCTAAATCCATCTGATTTTTACTTTTAAAAATGGCAGGTTGATGTAACATTTCATCATACTATATAAAAGAGAAAAATCAGAGCAAAATATAATTGACAGTTTTCTGAGTTTCTTTTAGTCTTAAGTTTTGAAATTGTTTTTATCTATTTTTATTTATTTATTTATTTATTTACAGACAGGGTCTCACTCTGTCACCCCGGGTGGAGTGCAGTGGTGCAATTATGGCTCACTGTAGTCTTGATCTCCTGGGCTCAAGCAGTCCTCCCAACTCAGCTCCCAAGTAGCTAGAACTACAGGTGTGTGCCACCACACCCAGCTTTATTTTTTATTAAAGAAAAAAATGTGTAGACATTAGCTTTCATTATGTTGCTCTGGCTGGTCTTGAACTTCCAGCCTCAAGTGATCCTCCCACCTTTGCCTCCCAAAGTTCTGGGATTAAAAGTGTGAACCACCTCATGAAACTGTTTTTTTAAAATTGTCATTATAATACTTGATAACATAAAATAAACGAACTAAATCAAACATCTGAAAATGATGCTAACGTAGTTGGGTGCTGGCTTTAAAAAGTCCATTATGTCCTTTACCAATTATGTTAGTTTTCTAAGGTGGCACTTAAACACATGCACACACACATAGACTGGGTGGCTTAAACAACAGATATTTATTTTCTCACAGTTCTAGAGGCTGTAAATCCAAGGTCAAAGTGCTCCTCTGAGGACCACGATGGAAGGATCTGTTTTAGGCCTCCCTTCTTGGCTTGTAGGTGGTTGCCTTCTCACAGCTCTGTCTTCACGCAGTTGTACTTCTGTGCATACACGTAGCTGATTTTTACCCCTTTCCAAATTTTATTTTATATGGACATCATTTTTATCGGATTAGGACCCACCCCGAGGGCCTCATTTTAACTGAATTCTTATTTAAATCATCCGAATATGGTTACTTTCAGAAATACTAGGCTTTAGAATTTCACCGTATGAATTTGGGGAGAGGGGAGCAGCGTTCAGCCCATAACTAACACATGGTAAGTAACCATTGACCAGGTTAATCATGTTACTCAGAAGAGATAATTCACTTTGTTAATAGGAAGCAATTTTTTTCCTCAGTAGGTGTAAGAGTGTGTGTCAAACAGAAGTAACATTTTAACGTATAAGAGATGTAGCTGAGCTCTAAATATAGGAGACAGTATGATAATTTTTTACATTTCAAATTCTCTGCCTGCATTAGAATATTTTTGCAGAATGTGTAAAAAAAATCTAATGAATTGATTGGAATGTGCAGGAACAAGAAATATGGTTGTGGTTTTTACGTAAAGCTTTTATATAGTTCCTTTAAAAATATAATTATCTCATTTACCTATTTCCTTAAGGCAATGGGTGTATTTTGTTTTATTATTTTTGATCCCCTGATTTTTCTGACTATGGTTCACAAAAAATCCGTAAGATAAAATACAATCCTGCACTTTATCTTCATGCAAGTTTTTTTCTGCTAAATTAATATTTTGTATATTTTTATTTTGTATATATTTGGTATAATTCTGTTAATATTTTATATATTTTGTATATTTGTATATGAGATGCAGATGCTTTAGACAACATGAAAATATCTTTGAACATCCCTATTTTACCAAGGAAGAAAGATAACCAAAGCACATGATTTAATAGATTTGATAATTAACTGGTAAGTTACACGAGTTTCAATTTCCCAGAACTCTAATATATATCCCTGCATTCTTATCATGAAATATACAGAAAGCACCATTTTGTTGCATGTTGTTACATTTATTTATATTGTACACATGATCTCAAAGTTTATATTTTGCCACCATTTATGCATGAATTTTTCATGACAAATATTCCTAAGTATTCCCATTATATGTTTCCCAGAATAGTGGTTGTACTATTATCCAACTGTCAATTTATTTATTTATTTATTTTTTCTGTTTATTTTTAAGGCTAAGTGTGAGTGGAAAAGAAAACAAGAAATCTGTAACTGGTTGTGATTAATTAGTTTGGAACACCACTACATTTGGACTAGCCTGCTAATTTATTTTTCATCTACACTTACCTCATCAGCACTCCCTACTTCTTGCTTATCTTAAGCAATTGAAATTTTCACCCAAGCTTTAACCTAGTTAGAAATATATTTTTCTAAAATTCAAACTCCATACCGTTAAGGTCATACCTTTCTGAAATGTAGTCATATTTTCACTACTGTTTAAACCCAAACATTTCTAACTCTGTGTTGCAGATATGGATATGAAGAGGCTACTGCTACAAGTTTATGTAGGTTGGCTATTTTCCCCGCACTTTAGTGACTGATCACTGTTTCTTTACGAATGGATGTATTTGTCTTGTTCTATAGTTACCATTCATTGAATTGTTACATGTGCAATCACTATTGTATATGAGCTGTTCAGATATGTGTGATGTACACGTGCGCAGGGATCTTTGTCCTTTGTGATTAGTGTAATTGTGCATACCCATCTTGTTTGTGAGTCTCTTGGTCATTCCAAACTAAGCTAATCATCCTGTACTTTATCTTCATGCAACAGTTTTTTCTGCTAAATTAATATTTTGTATATTTTTATTTTGTATATATTTGGTATAATTCTGTTAATATTTTATATATATTGTATATTTGTATATGAGATGCAGATGCTTTAGACAACATGAAAATATCTTCGAACATCCATATTTTACCAAAGAAGAAAGATGACCAAAGCACATGATTAATAGATTTTAGAATTAACTGGCAAGTTACACCAGTTTCAATTTCCCAGAACTCTAATATATATCCCTGCATTCTTATCATGAAATATACAGTAACAAGGAAAGAAATTAATATATTAAAGTATCTTAATCTATCCAATTAAATGGTATTTTGAAAAGGACTTTAATGCTGTCTTTTGACATTGAAATAAAGTGAGTTTATCTTGAAATTCTGTAAGATAATGAAGAGTTGGTAATTACATCTTTACAGTTTATTGCTCTTTAAATTGCAGAATCTTCATTATTTCTGCGAGAGGTCACAAGCATGTTCATCTTAACTTGACTATTATACAAATAAGTCTTTATTAATACGTCTATAGAAGTAGCCAAATCATTCATTCCATGACTAGGCAATTAAGTAATCCTGTTAAGATAAAGAAGTAATGACTCAAATTGGTTGGGTAAAACTGTAAGACACAATGTCAGCAAGGTGAAATAACTTCTCTTTAGCACTTTGCCTAAATAACGTTTTTTTTTAAAGAGACATATGCAAAAAGAACATGAATGTGTCATGAATTAATTTGTGCATGGTTTCCCTATACAATAGTCACAGTAGCAACCACAATTATGGTAAATTAAAAGTTGTAAAACTAAATGTTTTTAGATCAACAGTTTTCTCTTTAATGCTTTTATCAATTTAATGCTGGCCTATTTTTCTGGGCTTCCATACAGACTTTATAATTAGTTGGATATAGTGGTTGTATGATTAATAAAATACAGACTGTGGTGCTGCCATGCTTGCATTTGAATCCTGCCTCAGCCACCCAATATGGCATGAGTGACGTCAAGTCAGAACCTGGGTTTTCTCACACAGAAAAATAGTCATAGAAACATCAATCTCATAATGTTGTGTGTTGGTTAAATAAGACAATTTGTAAAATTGTCAAAGCACAATAGCTACACATAACAGGCATTCAAGTATTAGTGCCTATATTCTGATCTCTGTTGCCCTCACTTTTCTATTCCCCCAAATGATAACAGAAGCTATATTTACAATCACTATTCCACTCTATAATTTCTGTTGTGGAAAAATAGAGAAATCTCTATTTTCTTATGTAGTAACTTTTATCTGTATATCTACTTGAGTCTCTAGAATTATATAATTTTCACATATACAATTAATTTGACCTTCGGTCTCTACAGATAGTTTATCAACACACTGCTACACATAGACTCAGGTCTTTGATTTCCACAATGTGTGTGTGTGTGCATGTGTATTTATTAATATGTTTTATTTTCTGGCTGTTGAGTTGATGGGAGAAAAGTGAAGAAATCATAAGTAAAATTTTTACTCCAAGATAATGTGCTGATTTTTCTTTTAAGGAGTACACCAATATAACTATTTAAACTTGGAACTATTAAGCTATCTTTTTTTCTCTTTTTTGTAAGTATCTCAAGCTGAAATGACTGTCAGCAGGATGAGGCACATGCCAGTATATACTGCCAATTTGAGATAGTTCATATCCCAGGACTTTTTTTAGAATTGTCTATATGCCAATCTTGAGAAGATTTCAGTTACTTGCAGAGTTTTCCTTTGTTCAGAAGTGAACTCAGTTCAAATATATTGACTTCACTACTAAAAGTGTATAAGTCAACTTTCTATAACTGGAGACAACTGACTCAACTTTTAAAATAATTCTAGGTGTCCCTAGGATTACTATATATTAATGCAAAAAGGGGTATAACCACATACTACAATAACTACAATAATTAAGATAACATATAAAATTACAAACAAATTCATGGCACTCAGATTTAGTAGGTATGTATGGCCCTTACACATTTATTTATCCTAATAATTTGTTCTGATGGCAAAAAGTACCCAAGTAGAAATAATACTGTTAGAAGGCATGGAGGAATCTTGCATTTTTCATTATAATTTCGTATATAATTTTGTTTTTAATGCATAGTTACCATGCATTAAAAACCAACCTTATTTTTAGCCTCTTTAAATAAACACAGTTACACAATCAAGATGGCAGAGATTTTCAGGAATCACCTTATCAAGTTGCCCATTTCTAAGAGTATTTGGAAGCAGATATTATGTTACTAAAAACAGTAACTAGGATGCCGTAACTGCCTTGAAGTAATATTGACTGTAAGTATCTTCAGTGTCCAGAAGTTTTCCTGGCATACAGCAAATGCTCAATTACAGAGTGAACAATTTTAAGAAGATTTAAAGGCCACAGGAGAAGTATAATCTTGAAAAATAACTTCACATGCTAATTCATTTTTTAAATTTACAATAGTTTGTTTTTGTTACGTTATTTTCGAAAATGGTTGCGATCAAGGTGACACATGCACACATGATCAGAGAGGCAGTTAATTAGGACAATAGGTGCCTGAATCAAGATTTGCTGTTCTGTTTGTATTTCATATGTTGCAAAAATAATATATTTACACCAAAGTTTTTGATGGTTTGGCTGTCAACACTATGGATATTATGACTGTCCCCTCAGGCTTTGCTGGCGAGTCTACATTTATCATGTCCCCTCAGGCTTTGCTGGTGAGTCTACATTTATCAGGTTGTCTCCTTCCTCTGCTTATCTTCCATCATTGCTGCTCTGATAGTATTGAAGTAATTGTAAATCTCTCCCATTGGATTATTTTTTCAAGTTTTGAAATTTTTAATGTATAAATTGTTAAGTTTTGATAACCTACATTTTAGTTTATTTACTTATTTTCATGGTACATATTTAAGGCATACACATATGCCATGAAATTATTACTACAATCAAGCCAATTAACATATCCATCACCGTCCATAGTTATATTTTTATGTGATTGGCAAGAGCACCTAAAAAATATACTTTTAGAAAATTTTCAGTACAGAATACAATATTATTAACTATTGGTAACATACTATACTTTAGATACAACTTACTCATCCTACATGACTGCCAGTTTGTACCCTTTGATCTGCTTTTTTTCATTTCCTCTTAATCCTTATCCCTGATGGCCACCATTCTACTGTTTCTATATACTTGGCTTGTTTTAGATAGTACATAGATAGCACATAGAATAGCCACCATTCTACTGTTTCTATATACTTGGCTTGTTTTTAGATAGCACATAGATAGCACATAGAATAGCCACCATTCTACTGTTTCTATATACTTGGCTTGTTTTAGATAGTACATAGATAGCACATAGAATAGCCACCATTCTACTGTTTCTATATACTTGGCTTGTTTTTAGATAGCACATACAAGCGAGATCATGAAGTATTTTTCTTTCCATGTCTGGTTTATTTCACTTAGCATAATGCCATCCAGGTTCATCCATATCATCAAAAATGGCAATTTTAATCTTTTTTTTAAGACTGAATACTATATATATAATATTTATATTATTATTACAGAGTTTATAAGATTATAATATGATATATAATATATTATAACTATACATCATAGTTTCTTTATCCAATTGTTTTCATAGCTTGGCTATTGAGAACTATACTGCAATAAACATGGGAATACAGATATATCTTTCGTATACTGATTTCAGTTCCTTTGGGTATATACCCAGCAGGGGGATTGTGGAGTCATACACTAGCTCTATACTGCAATAAACACGGGAATACAGATATATCTTTCATATACTGATTTCAGTTCCTTTGGGTATGTACCCAGCAGGGGGATTGTGGAGTCATTCAGTAGCTCTATTTTAAATTTTTGAGGAACCTTCATACCGTTTCCCAAAATGGCTGTCTCAGTTTACTTTCCCACCAACAGTGAACATGAGTTTCCTTTTTCCACACCCTCATCACACTTATCTCTTTTTTATATAATAACCATCCTAACAGTTGTGAAGTGATATAGTTGTTTTGATTAACATTTTTCTGATTAGTGATGTTGAACACCTTTTCATATACTTGTTGCCCTTCGTATGTCTTTTTTAAATAACATCTATTCAGATACTTTGGCCATTTATCAGTCGGATTGTTTTTTGACATTGAGTTGTGTGAGATTTTCATTTCACATATCAACCCCTATCTGACATACGGTTTGTAAATATTCTCTCCCACTCTGCAGGCTGCCTTTTCATTTTGTTGAATGTTTGCTGTGAAGAAGCTTTTTAGTTTGATGCAGTCTTACTTGCTTATTTTTGCTTTTGTTGCCTGAGCTTTTGGTGTGATAGCCAAAAAACCATTGTCAAGGCCAATATCAAGGAGTTGTTTTCTCTGTGTTTTCTTCTGGGAGTTTTATAGTTTCAGGTCTTACACGTAGGCCTTTAATCCACCTTGAGTTGGTTTTGTGTACAGTCTAAGATAAGGGTCCAGTTTTATTCTTTTATATGTAGATAACCAGACTCTCACTGTTGCTTCTTCACAGGAACCCCTCTTTGCCCCAATTTTGGCCAAGTATCTTCTACACCTCCTTCAAGTCTAAGTGCAACAGAAAATGCACCTTTCTCTGGAAAGACATTTATTGTTCACTCATAATTCTATCTTTAATAGACATATCCAATAGAATATACAGTTCGCAAGATTAAAAACAAGGTTTATATTGCTTCATAAGGAGCAAGCACATTTTTGAAGCACAGGGTAATTCTTGACAATAAAACCTGCAACTCATTATGATTTTTAAGTTGTGTGAGATGTGGATACCCAGCATTTTCATGATGAGGCTGTGCTTTCTTACATTTTCAGTGATGAAGAAGACATGCCAACAGAGGGTTAATTCCAGATAAAATGAAATGTTCTAAACAGTATGTATTGTTTATTTGAATCATCTGTGGGGGAAGGAAAGATAATTTTCCAAAGGACATTCCTCCTAAATTCTGTCTTAAAGTTGTTTGTAAGTAGAAGATTGAGTTTATGTTACATTACAAGACTATAATGTCTTTATTAAATTCACTGTGCAATCTTTAATCAAATAAGTAAACGCATTATTTGTTTCCAAGTTTGAAGCACACATTCTCTTCAGCTGAAATGCCAGTTCTGGAGGAAAACATATCTAATAATATATGAAACTGAAGGCCATTTTTACTTTTTATTATTCTTGTAGCATTTAAAGACCAAAAGCCTGTCTTATATCTAGTTGCATGTTTTCAGGAAATATGCTTTTTGAAACTATTCTCATGAATATGAAATTAACCTCAATAAATAATTTATTTTTGAAATCTTATTTCATGCTAATTAAGTATCTTTGGCCAAAACATTTTTAATCCTCTTATTTGTTCTTTGAGAAATTTTCACAATAAATTCAAAACTTTTAATGGAGAATATTTAAAAGGTCTTCTTAAAATAAAAAAAAAATTTACTTTTTTTCTTCATCAAAGTTGTGTATCCCTATATTTCTAATGTTTAGGACATAAACAATTAGATGTGATTATGACCACTAAATAACTAAGAACAATATACATTTTTAGATTTCAGGCTTTAAAAGTAAAACACTTGTTAGAATTTTATGGTTAAATCATGTTCTTTGTACCATGAAAGAAAAGAATAAAAATCATCATGTTATATATCAAAATATAATAATGAGGTATCATCTCTCTCAGAGATCTCTGAACAACATCATAAAACCTGAACATGTTTCTTTTAAGTAATATTTGAGTGATGAAGGCATCAAAAACTTGGAACAAAATAAGATTAAAGCAGAATAATAGCTTAAAAATTAGGTCCAAATTCTAGTTATCTTGCCTGTGGCAAAACTTTGGTCAAGCAATTAACCTCTGATTTCTCATTTTCTTCATCTATAAAGACAGAAAAATTCAATTCATCCTACTTTGTCAAACTCTCTATGAGAAAACTGCATAACTTTGAAATTTTGTGGTAGCATATAATTTTTTAACCATCTAGATTATTAAAAATTCATTTAAAAATTAGCTATTTTTTGAAGTACAAATTCTAATAAATTCTATAACTTTGAAAAAATTTTTCAAGTTTGGAAAACTTCAGGCTACATGGCTAAATCAGAGGGCAATACAGCATGTATACACCAATATATATAAAATTTTTCTTGTAACATTTTAGAGATTCTTAAGTTTTACAGAAGCTTATTCACAAAAAGGGTTGCTACAAATTCAAAAATAAGTCCTTCAGCCTCTTCCATTAATTAGAAAACATTATATAATCAGAGTTCCACCTATCCAAAGTACATAATAAAATATAGCATCCTGAAATAAGTATTTGTTATTTTTATTGGTTATGTTGTGAAATCGAAGCTTATTGCAAAGTAAATCAAATAAATTATTCTGTTCTGTGCTTAGAAAAGTGAGATTTCAGACCCAATTTTAGATAATTCACCATCTTCATGGAAATGGAAAATGTTGCTAAGTCAGTTATTTGTTCTTTTTTTCCCTTCTCCTGTGGGTCCAGTAAATGATTATTGAACAAATGGTTATCAAAAAACTATTTTGAGCAATATAATTTAGAAGCAATATTATTAAGACAAGCACTTTTAAGAGAGTTATGAAATATGCATAGAAATGATCAATAAAATCAAAATGTGTGAAATACCACAAAATAGTATACTTGATTGTTATGGGAGTGCAAAGTTAAGAAAGTATTCTAAGGTAAATGTGAAGTTCTCGAAAGTACTTTTTGGCCATTGACCAGGACCTTGTTTCAATGAAGGAAGCAAGAAGGGAACAGTGGGGCAGGGACACTGGACATCATGTTGAACAAATAGTAAAGACCAAAGACAAATTCTGGAAAATGGATGGCATCTTGAAAGAAAAATTATGTTTGTGCTGCCAGCTTGACTTATTACTCTTATATAAGCAACTTCTAAATAAATGAAACCAAATTTGATAATGTTAGGGATTGCCTGGACAGAGACTTGGATTTTGGAGAAATGCAGGGCATAATTTTCTTGAATTCAAATCATGTAGATCATTGATTCTCAAAGAGTGGTCTTTGAACCAGCAACATCAGTATTACATTGAGACATAAATTCTTGGACCCCTAGATCTATTGAATCAGAAACTCAGGAGATCTCAGCAATCTCTTTTGCAACATGTCCTCTGGGTAACTCCATTGCGTAGTGGAGTTTGAAAACCACTGCTGTGGACAAACAACCTAAGTCCCTCTAAGGCAGTCTGGCACTGACTGTGGTAGCCCGTTAAGTGTGGCTCCTGCAGGACCATCCCTTGTTCACCCTATCTATTAAAGTTTAGTGGCAGATGAGAAGATAACAAATGATAGGGTACAACTTTGTATCTAAACCATAATCCGTGAAAAAATCTATTTTCAGTCTTCTAATTAGAAGATACTTCACTCAAATTTAAGCTATTCTAAATAATAACATTTTCCTGAAGTAAGAAGACATAGAGTCAAAGGACCAGGCAATCAATTACTAATTAGTGGTTAGTTAACAAGAAATAAATAAAACTATTATCAGAATGTCATTTACATAGGCAAAGCATAGCCAGGTAGGTAGGTCGTATTAGAAGGACTATAAGATGGATAACTACAAATCTATTCTGTAACACTAGAAATTATAAAAATGACAAAAATTTAATTATCAAATGGACAAATATTGTAAGATTCCTTCACAGTGGTTTATCTTCATTACTGGAAGAGTGCTTCAGTACAAACTTTCCAGGCTCAGTTTGGCAGAATTTATCAAGAATTTAAAAAATATGGCCACTGACACAATAATATGGTTAAACAATCATCTTAAGGGAATAGAAATCTAAGCCAAGAACTAAAGAACCAGGAACTGAAAAGGCAAAAGGAACTAAGTGATGGAAGGAGCAAGAGGGAGAGATGTGAGACCTTGCACCAAAAATAAAACTTAAAACAACAACAAAAAGTATAGATAGACCCTGTTACCTGAATATGAACATAAAGGAAAAGCAACAGTCAAAATTTTGTCTGGAATAATGGAAATTTTGAAAAAACAGGAGAGTAAGAAAAGGAAACTAATTTTATAGAAAGAATGTTAAGTTTGATTTTGGGTTACTGAAATGACAGCAGGCCATGGAAATGAAAGGAGCTAAGTAGCAGAGGGAATGGGTGATACGAAGTTTTAGATGGAGTGGCTTCCGAGTCATCAAATAAAAATAATAGTTGAGATTTCAGAGGTAGAAGAAAAGAGAAAATTTGAAGGCAGAAGATTAAAATTAATTACCCAGGGTTAGAAAAAAATCATAAAAAAGAAGCCAGTAAAGATGGTGGGATAGGGCTCATGAGTAGTTAAGGTAGGGATGAGGGAGGAGAAAAACCATGGAAATGTGGTTACATAACACGAGAATAATATAGAAGGAAGGGGTAATTATTTTAAAGAAGAAAGTGAAGGAAAACAGCAATAGGTAATGGTGAGGACCAAATACTGCAAACAGCTTACAGTTGCTGAAACTGAAGGGACATTGGGATTGACTATGGTGAGGTCATTGTGATTGCTGAATATAGTGCGTTTGGTGAATACAAAATGTAGAGCGTGAAAGAAGCAATATATGAAAACATTTAAACACAAGAAAGAATAGGTTCAGGCATTTGGTAGATGTAAAATATAGTAGGCAAAAAATGTATAGCAGTGCATAGAAGCAGAGATAAATTCAGATAAGTATTAATTTTTTGTTCAGAGGCACTCAGTTACAAAAGAAATTATGTTTGCTGTTGCAATTATTATCAGCATAATAGGAAGAAATATTATGCACCCCATATTTTGAAAGATAGGTGCATTTGAACAGTCGAGAGTAGCTATACTTCAAATTAGCTATCTTGGGAATGTTTTGGGGGTTAAAATCCATTAATTAAGTAAAATTTATCAAAAATCTGTCAAAGTACTGTTGGTATCAACAGACAATTTAACTTTATGAATTATGGCTTGTCTTGTAATTCTATGTACTACTTCAAATGTATATTTGGCTAAACAGTGTTTCAGATTTTACTGTTAGCAGTTATTCTCTAATGTTAGGTAAACATTTATAATGTTTTCAATTATTTGAGTTTAGTTTTACAAGAGATTTATTGAAAAGTTTAGTGTGTTGTAAATTTCCATATTGCACAATAAGAGGCAGTTTTGAGAGGCTAAAATATGTAGATACATTTACTTTCACAACTTTTTAGACTTAAGTCACATTATATTTATTCGATGGCAATAGGAAAATAGTTTGTTGATCCCATGTAGAACATACAGAGATGTGTGTTTATACAGATAGTATTTTTGATAAATTGATGAGCTTTATTTTATTTTTGTCGGGCTATAACATATTTTTAACCTGTCCTCAAAATATAAATAATAACAAGTAAAATGAACTATAATAATCTTTTTCACAATGGCTAAAAAAAATTGAATTATTTTTAAGATTCATAATATATGCTTAAAATTTGGAAGAAGATACATACTTCGGGATTAGAATTGGCTAGATATAAAATAGTTGGCAGATATCTAGACAATTATCACTAGCATAGATTGGTTTATTTTGTAATTGGGTACAATACATGAATATTGGCAAATTGGGTAAATAAGGTCTGCCACAGATACAAATTTAAACATATTTGTACCAATTTAATAGTTTGTTGGCCTCTTTATAGGTACTTTTGCAAGGCCAAATTCTTT
Source organism: Homo sapiens (assembly GCF_000001405.40). Classification (NCBI taxonomy): domain Eukaryota; kingdom Metazoa; phylum Chordata; class Mammalia; order Primates; family Hominidae; genus Homo; species Homo sapiens. The sequence continues at coordinate 75,975,317 of NC_000003.12, forward strand.
GTCAAATTATTTATATAAAAATGAATAATTTTTATAAATGACTAAGATATTTGAATATTTGAAGAGCAATTTTGTCTACGCTTTATTTATATGTACTAATATATTTCGGTAGCCTCTGTTTAGATCAATTTCATCTACTCTTTATTTATATATATTAATATATTTCAGTTAGTCTCTGTTTAGATCATTTTGAAATGATTTTTATTAGCATTTCTCAAGTTTTCAGACAACTCTTTTTTTCCCATTATTTGGCTATCACTAGTTACCAATGTTTATTTTTTCAAGTAATATGATCCTTGATATCAACAATTATGACATTTAATCAACAATGTGGTTGATGGAAGCCTTAAGAAAATTACCTGCTCTGATTACTTCTCAGTAAACAGGAGATGCTAACATAACCATATAGAAATAGTGTGTGACAATTAAATCCAAGATTATGTGTGTATCTGTGATCTATAATTTATTAGCATAAAATAACTAAACAACAAAATCCCATCTGGCTATAATTGGGAGAGATACTTACTAATGGGAGACAGGAAGTAGTATTAATCTGATTTCTACAGGACTGGGGGGCTTTTTATTGGTTGAGCCTAAGTTGGAGACTGTTCTATTCCCATCAAATCCCAAGGATTTGGGGCCATAGAACTCCAGTCACTGCCATGCAATTCTGAAAATCACTGAATAGCAACTGTCAATGTACATGAAGCAGAAGTCCCATTGCCAGGTAATGGAGGTCTTTGGCTTGTGCCTGTGAGCCTTCACTGGAGAGGAGAGAATAGTGTCAGTATCCATGCAAATGGGAACAGCAGAAGCACAAGTTATAAAACTTAATTAAAAAGAAACTCTACCAAAAATTTACATGTGACTATGCATATACTATGACCCAGAAACTCAATAAAAATGTGTACATGTGTTTAAAAAACTGTACTGAAATGTTTGTGTTAGCAGTATTCAAAATAGCCACACACTGGAGATCACTCAAATGCCCAGAAAATGTAGAAGAGATGAATTAATTATTGCACATTCATGCAATGTAATACTATTAAGCAATAAGATTGAACTACAACTGTGGGCTGTAGTTAAATGACTCTCCAAAATACAGTGTTGAGTAAAGAAATCTAGACACAGAAAGTACATACTGTATAATCCCACTTATACAATGTAGAAAGAAGGGAAATTTTTTGTGACTCTCAGAGCGGAAGAGAGGAACTTCAAAGACATTAGCAATATTTCTTATCTGATTTGACTATTGGCTACATGGATATTAACGTATAATACATTCTCCAAATGTATTACATGTTAATAAAAATTTAAAAATCAATTTTTCATTGTCACAAAGAAAGAATGGGTATTTTCAATAATTCATATTAAAAACCCAAATCTAAGGAAGTTTCCATTGTGACACAGAGCATTGTAAGACAGGGAGTGTGTAATATACGGAAGAGGAATTAGAAACAAGAAGAAGACTCGGAGGAAATAAAAGGGAGAGAAATCCACTTATGAATGGCACAAACACGTTTCTTTGCCACATGTCTGTGGAAAGGGTTACTCCATACCATAGACTGGAATAATTAAAGACTCATTATCTGTATGGTGTGTTTTATTTTTAGCTGGTTGCCTTAAAAGTTATGTTACCTATCAAGGAAATTGCTTAGTGTTTGCTTCCCATTATGTAGCTTAGGTATTCTCATTTATCCCTCCCTTCTTTATAATGTGTTGTGTTGAATCACTCTTTCATATAATATCAAAGAATTGCAAAATAATATTTTTGTGCATAGAATTATATGATATGGTTAAAAGCAACCATTTCAGAGAAACATGCTAATTAACAACAGATCAAACACTTAACGAAGGGAATTCTCACCTGGCCTTACTCTGTCTCACAATTGTCCCTGGCAACATAATAGACACTTGATAGGTTCTGATACGACTAGAGCACAGATCAGAAGCAAGGTCCAAACATACACCAAACACATAGCTAAAAAGTAAAGTTGAAAAAAATATTCATGGTCTGTGCTTGGTAGAATGGATTATCTCAAACTACTAATACTTGTCGGAAATATTTAACTTAAAGGTCAAATAGTTAATTGTAGACATAAAAAAGTTGCATCTCCATATTTGGTTTTCAGTTGATTCAGTTTATTTTTGAATCCATAAAGTTGGAAACTCTTCCTTTTTGAAAATGCTTAAAAATGTTTTTCTGCCACAAGCAACTCTTTCTACCATATTTTATACTAGTTAGAACCATTATTTGGGTTTTCTTAAAATATAAGGATATGAATTTAGCTAAAGAAATGAGTAGGGGTATGCTAGTTGCAATTTAACTAGGATGGATGAACGCTCATGATAAGGAAATTTGAAAAGAGTGAACTGCCATATTGATACATACACATCAGCATATACTTTGTACTCTTCTCAAAGATCCAGAAAAGGTAGAGTGACAAAGATAAATTGCATTATACATTATTTTCTGCTATTGATTATTTTCACTATTTACAACTTGTGGTATTTTGGGTAAAAATGAGACATTCTTGTATAACGCATGAACAATTTTGAAAACAATGAGTAAATTATTATTGCTTTAACATTTTCTCATTGAACTTTTCAATTTAGAGACACTATCCTAAAACCAACTCAATGGAAAGATGTTATAATGTAAAGGAAGTTAAATTAGCAAGAAGTAATACAATGTTAGTTACAGTATGTTCCAATTTTTCAAAATAGTGATATATTACACATAAAAACAGTTTGTAAAGCTGTATCTGAAAAAATCAGCGATAGTAGTTTTCAGTAGATATTAAATTTTACCATCATAAATGTGGTGTAGAGAATTATAGTAACACTTGAATTGGAATCATGGTGCCTCCACTTAAAAACTGGTTGGCTTTTGTTAAACATTTCACTTCTTTGTTTTTCTGTTTTTTCATAAGTCTAGTGAATACACTAATGGGCTCTCCTTTTGCAGGGTTTTGTAGAGCAGTCAATAATTTTAAAAAAGTACTTACAATGCCAAAATTATTCAATAAGGTTTAGCTATTATTTTACTAATATTTTATGTTAGCTAGTATTTCAAACTTCAAGATCTTTCATTTTTAATTTAATCTTCAATTGATGGTGTTCACCAAAATTTTACCTATGTTTTACCAAAACATTTTCTAAATGCTTCACAATTTTAAAATAAAGCAAAATATTTAAAAAATTGATTAAATGAAGTGAGACAAAAAATAAAAAAGCTGTCTGAAAATTTTAAAATTACTGTAGTTATGTATATTTAATATGAAGTATTTGGTTTTCAGCTTATTAATTGATATCAGTCCTTAAGAGTTAATAATTGATCTGAACTCTCAACAGTAGTAAAACTGCACTGTTGTGGTAAAGACACATGCAAGTTCCATGAAACTTTTACCAACATCTAGTGAATAACTTTACAGAATAAACAGACACAGTTATTTATACCAGTAATCTCTTTAAAGTGAGGTTTTGCTACAAACTTATGACATCTTATTGGCAAGCTCACATCTTGTTATTGAGTATCACTGGAATGGAGCGAAGTACATGTAGGATGGGGCATGAGTAAGTGCTTGTGCATTTTTGCTTTCTCACTGGCTCCTCTCCCTCCACCATGAGATCATACCCGGGTTAGTATTCTAAAGAATGAGAAATTAGAACGAAGGTGAATACTCTCAGCTGAGGGCAAACTATGTCAACCAATGTCTACTTGACCCACCAGCTGAAAACCGATGCATATGTAAGATCAACTGCTCCCAGCTCAGAGAGGCAGGACCACTTAACTAATCTATAGACATTTGAAAAATAATAAATGGTTGTTTTAAGCCATTAAATTTGGAGGTGGTATGTTATAAAAAGTTATGGCAGTGATAACTAACAGATACTCTATCATACTAGGATGGCATCATAAAGATATGTGGGACTGGTGAGGGATAAAGGGATGAATGAGCCTTATATTTTTAAAGTAAGGGAATATACACACATATATAGAGAGAGATAATAATAGACTTGCTTATTTAATTGTATACTAATTATCTTATCCAAGACAGGCAGGGGAAGTGCTGTACAATTTCTTGAGTAGGCAGGAGAGAATAGGATCAGCCCAAGTGGATAGTGTTGAAACCCACAAGAATGGATAAGTTTATCTAGTAAGTGATTACATTGGAAAAATGGTTCCGAGGACAGGTTTTTTTCACAATCTAACCTATTGGGAGCACATGGAAATTCTCTTCTGGCACATAATTTTTAGAGTTGTTAATGGAGATTTAGGACATAACATGCATAAAAATGCCTTGTCTACTGGGTGTCCAAAATAAGTTGGGTGCTTTATGTGTTTCTTGTGTCCCTTCAATGTCTATATAAACTTCTTAAGAGCCTTAGCATTCTGAAATTCAGATGATGACCATTAAAACACAACCTTTATTTCTTCTAAGCCTGAAAGCTACACATTGTTTTAGTTAAATTCTTAATTTCTTCCAAAGTATAAATTTTGTAGATATAATGTTGATATCCTTTAATCCAATATTTAGGAAGTGTGCCATTTAATTTTATGTAAGTTGCTTAGTTTATTTTCTCACACTGTTTTTTCAAGAAATTCCATTTCCTAAAAAATACCCATAGGAGCCGTGGATAAGGATAAAAGTGCTGAATTATATGCATCATACAAAATTAAAAATCAGTCAGTGACATTTTTCAAGTTATATAAACTTGTCTCACATTTGTAGTAGGTGTTTTCATGTTGCTATTAGCTGGATGAGTAGCAATACCAGTTGAAGTGCTCACTTTCCAAATTTCCAGACGATACAGGGCAAAGTATTTTGCCGTCACGGACTTCAGATTTCATAAAGTGCTTACGTTTCTCTTATTAAGTGAATCCTCTGAACTCCTAGAATGTATAAACTTTAGAGTATGTGGAACATGAGCCTCCCTCTCTGCCTTCTGCCTTCAGAATGATGTCAGTGCTTGAAAACGGAAAACACTTCAGCGTCTTTAGGGGTTCCTGATCCAACAATCACTTATTCCATTAATCTTCTATAGAAGCATTTCTGATGATGTTTGAATTTGACTTTCAGTCTGAGCCAAATGCATATGGCTTTTTTTTTCTGCTTAGTATTCATTGTCACACTTACTCTTGAAATTAAAAAAACTGTTGTGAAACAAACAAAAGTGGATAAGTTACCTCAAATCTTTTCATGCATCAGCACCCATGGCTGTGGAGGAAGCAGTAGTTTATTTTCACATGAAATATGTCGAGTTTCTGTAGTCAAACTATACAAAGCTGGGCTGCACCTAATTATTGGTATAAATTACATAAAGCATCTAAACAGTGATAATTTAGAAGACTCAAAGCATTGCTACTCACTTAAATCTGAAGAGGATCTGACTGGACACATATATCTCTGACAAAAAGTCTGAGTGCCATATAGATGTTTGTGTTGGCTTTCCTTGATTCTTGGCCAATAACCTCTCCCCACCACTTCTCTCACTATTTTCTGAAGAATACACTGTTAAGTGCAGGAACAAACATTATTAATAAGATAGGGAATAATAACATGCATTATGAGATACACATTGATGTTAAAATAAATATTTACACTTCTATGTAGAAAATATTTTTGCAACTATTTTTACCATGTGAAGTATTCAAATAAAGTATTATTTTGTGCAATAGAAACAAGATGGTTAATACTTTTTATATAATAACATTACAACTAGCTCAAATATTAACCAAGTATTTCTATTTTAATATCAGAAATGAATGAACAGATTATATTTGCCATAATGTAACATCATTTTCTGTATTATGCAAGATTAATGAAGACAAGGGCCCATGTGTTTTTTCAGCAATATTTTAGAGCATTAGCTTCACAGTGGTGAAGAAATTGGGCAAAATAATTACACAACCTTATATTTTATTCCTTGTCCTGCCATTCAATTGCTGGAACTAATTATTTAACTATTCAGTTTCCCAAGTTTTCCATTTGTACAAAGGACTTATCTATCTCCTATAGCCTATATCTACATCATAGGGTTGTGGTGAGGAATAAAGTATGATGTACGTATATCTTGAAAGACAGTGTTAATTATATAGTATGTATTAAATGTTAGTTTTTGATTATTATTCACAAAAAATAACTCGTGACTCTGTTGAATGCCTACTATGTGTGAGAGATGTGGGTTGCAGTTTATATAAATATTTTAGTTAAATATTAAATATTAATATTTGTATTGATATTACACAAGTACTGTAACAAACTGTAATATAAAATTATTTAAATTGTTTTTTATTTTTATTATTTTTAAATTTTTTGTGGGTACATAGTAGGTGTGTATATTTATGGGGCACATGAGATATTTTGATACAAGCATGCAATGTGAAATAAGTACATCATGGAGAATGGGGTATCCATTCCCTAAGCACTTATCCTTTGAGTTACAAACAATCCAGTTACACTCTTTAAGTGAATTTAAAATATACAATTAAATTATTATTGACTATAGTCACCCTATTGTGCTATCAAGTAGTAGGTCTTATTCATTCTATTTTTTTTACCTATTAACAATCTCCACCCTCTGCCCCCTCCCAAAAACCCCCTACCCTTCCCAGCTTCTGGTAACCACCCTTCTACTTTCTATGTCCATGTATTCAATTGTTTTGATTTTTAGATCCCACAAATAATTGAGAACATGTGATGTTTGTCTTTCTGTGCCTGGCTTATTTCAAGTAACTTAATGATCTCCAGTTCCATCCATATTGTTGCAAATGACTGAATCTCATTCTTTTTTATGGCTGCATAGTACTCCGTTGTGTATATGAACCACATTTTCTTTATCCGTTCTTCTGCTGATGGACACAGCTTTCTTCCACATCTTAGCTATTGTAAACAGTGCTGCGATAAACAAAGGAGTGCAGATATCTCTTTGATTTACTCATTTTTTTTTTCTCTTTGGTATATACTTAGCAGTGGGATTGCTAGATCATGTGGTAGCTCAATTTTTAGTTTTTTGAGGAACTGCCAAACTGTTCTCCATAGTGGTTGTATAAATTTACATTCCCGCCAACAGTGTACAAATGTTTCCTTTTTTCCACATCCTTCTCAGCATTTGCTACTGCCTGTCTTTTGAATAAAAGCCATTTTAACTGGGGTAAGATAATATCTATTGTAGTTTTGGTTTGCATTTCTCTGATGATCAGTGATGTTGAACATCTTTTCATAGGCTTGTTTGCTATTCTTAATGTGTTCTTTTAATAATATATTTAAATTTTTAAAGCCCTAATTTTACAGTAGAAGAAAATAAGTCCCAGGATTCTGTCTTACATTTGTGATTTCACATCTTTGTTTTACCTAATAAATCACTGCTGTTGTGTTCTTCCTAGGATGAATGCAAAAGTTTGGTAACATTTTTGACACTTGACTGTGGCAGTTGTCTGCTAGTCACCCTTCAACCTTGCCAGCAAATCCAATCAGCTTAAGAGCATTTTAATGTACCTATGCAAGTCCTCAGAATTTAAGATTTAGGAAAGAAAGCAGGTCTTGTGACCTTCATAAGTGGTATTGAATGGTTACTCTGGAAATGATAAAATTAGCTTACTTTAAGCTGCAATTTGATGGAAATGTTTTCCAATTTTAAATCAGATACTCGACTAGCACTCGCAATGTGAGGAAGGTTATATGCTGTGCATTTCTAATGCAGTAGAAATGCAGTTGAGTCAAACAAAATAATTTGTCATCAGTAATCAGGAAAAGGTTGCCCTAGATGTTTTAGATCCCAATTTTAATTTAACAAGAAAGCTTAAGTGTACAGTAGGAGAGAGTATATTTGACTCAGCTCTTTTTCCTTAGAAAAAAGTGCAATGTTTTACTTCATTCTGACCTTGAGTCAAAAGCTTTAGAAGTATGTGAAGAGTCTGATTCTGTGTGGATTGAGGGTAAAAGCTGAAATGAAAAAGAAGGAAGACTGCTTTTAACATAACCAGATGGTAATTTTTACTAGTTGGCAGTGTACTGAAAGCACATTTTCTGAACGGGAAGTATACATTATAGACTGGCACAATGAAATGTGTAAAACCATTCCCAAAATAGACTTAAAATATTCTTTAGTTTTAAAGTTATGATAAACTTATGTGGTGTACGTTTCTCTTTAAGGTAAAGATAGTAACAGAGACTAACTGTACAGTCAGAAGTCCTGTTGAAATTAGAATTGATTTGATGGTATCTAACATTTGACGTTGTGTTCTAAAAAACTGAATTGTGCCCCTTACATTGCCAGTTTCAGGATAAATAATAAACTGTGTATAATAATTGAATATTGGTTGTTTCCTTGTTCTACTGAGATCCTGACCAGTCTCAGTGACCCACATCCTAGATTTCCTAACTGAATTTTTGATATCAACTCCAGTCATCACAGGGTAGATATTTTGAAGTCTGCTAATTTAAATAGCTTATTTCATTCCTTTACACACATCAGTAGAGTTGGCATGACATCATCTGAAAACTATGAAAACTCACTTGTCAAAAGTCTGGAAAACACAGACATTTAATTACTTATTAATAACTAGTTTCGTTTGTCTTATTTTTGGCAGGGCTAAGCTGATTAGACACAATCACTCTGCCCGATCCTTTGCTCACTAATTCGGTTTATCTTATGTGCTCTTTTAGAAATAATAGCAATCTTTAAACCTTTCTAGTAGGGAGATACCTAAATATTTCCATCTGGAAGTGACTGAAACATCATTACAACACACCACTGCAACTGGAAGTTGGAACACTCCCACATTTTCATAAAGGCCACTGTAAAACTTTAGTATTACTCAACAGGTCCAATGTGTTATTCAAAGATGTATACTTAGAAGAATACAGTTCACTGTCAAGCAGCCACATATGTACTAATTAAAAACACACTGCTTTAAAGGAGTTATTAGACTAATTACTAAGTTGATTTGCCTTTCACTTTAGTTTTTGAAATAACCAGTATGGTAAGAGTAAAATGCCCGTGATGGTAGTTTATTTCCCTTGTTTTTTAACTGTAAAAAACACAGAGTAATATTTATTCTTTGTTTGAGTTTTCAGAAGGAAGCTTGGAAAATGACTATAACACAGATTAGGATCTCTGGATAAACCAATAATTAGCATTTGATAAAAAGAACTGAGAGCATTTGAATACTCAGTACTATGAGATAAGCATAAATATTTAAAATAAATTTGTAGCATAAATTTAAATTTTTATACTATAGTCATTAACTGGAATGAACACAAATAGCCCAATAGGATAATAACAATACAAATTAAAAATAGCCAGTATTTTTCTGCATGCTATGTACATGCATACATCTATAAGTACATGTATTCGCACACTTAATTCTTGACAGAAATTTATGAGGAATGGAGAAGTTAACGCTACTGGTCAATCACACAACTGGTAAGTGATAGAAGACCTGAAAATCCAACCCAGAAAATCTGGCTTAGGGGTCTATTTCTGATCATTACATAATTCTGCCTTTCTTAGATAATTAGAAGAATTTGGTTTCAGTGTAATAGTAGCATATTTTGTATAATGTACTGGTTTATTTTACAAGCATGATATACACTTGGAACATAAGGGTAATACTCTTATTTAAATGGGCATCAGTTCTACCAAAGCTTTCTAATCCCTATTAGTATCTGCATGTTTCCTTGGAGATCTTTATTCTAATCATATAAAATATACACACATATGTCATTTTTATTTAGATTTATCTAAATGGAATAATGTTGCATATACTCTTCTAAAAATTGTTATTCTTCATGTAATAATGAATGCCCATCCTTATGCATTGTATCTTGACAGTAAATTCTATCAAACTCTCACTGCTCCACCTAGCAAACTTTCCTACTCATTTTATTATCATGGTTCTCACCTGCTTCAGACTTTGGCCAATATCCGTAAGTGAAGACAGAGGTGGTAACTTTGCAAAATAAAATACACTTAATGTGAAATTTATTATCTTAATTATTTTAAAGTAGACCATGCATCACTTAAAAGACAGTGATACATTCTGTCCATAGGTTACAAACCTGTAAAGCATGTTACTGTACTGAATATTATAGACAATTGTAAGACAGTGTTAAATATTTGTGTATCTAAACACAGAAAAGGCAATGCATTGATGCATTGTACTATGACATGATAGCTTCAATTTCACTAGGCAATAGGAATTTTTCAGCTGCATAACAATCTTATGGCAACAATGACCTGTAAGTGGTCTGTTGTTGACAGAAACATCATTATGTGGTTTATGGCTATGTATAGGTCAGTGATACTAAGTACATTTATATTGTGCAATAATCATCACCATCCATCTCCAGAGCTCTTTAGTCTTGTGAAACTGAAGCTGTCGACCCATTAATCAATATATATCTCTAGAAACTACCATTCTTTTCGTCTGTGATTTTGACTATTCTAAGAACCTCATATAAATGAAATCATACAGCTTTGTCTTTTGTTATTGGCTTATTTAATTTAGCATAATGACCTCAATTTCATCCTATTGTAGAATATGTCAGACTTGTATTCATTTTTAAGGCTGAATAATATTCTTTTATTTGTGTACACCACATTTTGCTTATCCATTAATCCATTGAGAGACACTTGGATTGCTTCCATTTTAGCTATTGTGAATAATATTGCTGTGAACGTGTGTACAAATATATCTTCAAGACCTTGCTTTAAATTCTCTTGGGTATATACCTGGATTGGGGTGCTGGATTATATGTACTTATATTTTTAATCTTTTAAAGAACTGACGTACTGCTTTCTACAGTGGCTGTATCATTTTACATCCTCACCAACAGTGCACAAGTGTTACAGTTTCCCACATTCTTGCCAACAATTGTTATTTTCTGTTTTTTTTTAATAGTAACTATCATCATGTGTACGAGGTGTTATGTTCTTGTAGTTTTGATTTGCATTTCTCTAATGATTCATTATGTTGAGGCTCCTTTTATGTACTTATTGACCATTTCTATTAATTCTTTGGAGAAATGTCTTTGGAGAAAAGTTCTTTGCCCATTTTTGAATCAGGCTATTTGTTTTATTTTGTTGATGAGTTTTAAAAATTCCCTATCTATTCTGGATCTCAGTCCCTTGTCAAACATCATTTGCAAATTTTTTTTTCATTCTCTGGGTTGCCGTTTTATTCTGATGATAGTATTTTTTGGCAGTTTTTTAAAAAAAGTTTATCAAGTACAGTTTTTAATTTTTTTCTCTTGTTGCCTGTGCCTTTGATGTCACATCTCAGAAATCATTGCCAACTCTAATGTTGTGAAGCTTTTGTTCTATTATTTCTTCTCAGAGTTTTATAGTATTTTTTGTATTACATTTAGGTCTTTGATTAATTTTGAGTCAATTTTTCTGCATAGTGTTATACGAGGGTCCAACTTCATTATTTTATATGTGATTCTTCTGTTGTTTCACCACCATCCCACCATCTTTTTTTATTTTTATTTTTTTTTAAGATTGTTCTTTCCCACATTCAATGGTCTTGGACCCATGGTCAAAAATCATTTCACCATACATGTGAAGATTCATTTCTGGGATCTCAATTTTACTTCATTGGCCTATAAGTCTGTCTTTATGCCTGTGGCACCCTGTTTTGATTACTGAAGGTTTGTAATAAATTTTGAAACCAGGGAGTGTGAGTTCTGCAGCTTTGTTCTTTTTCAAGATTGTTTTGGCTATTTGGTGTCCCTTGATTTTTCATATACATTTTAGAATAGATTATTTCTTTCTATAAAAATTGTTGAAGTTTTGAAAGGCATAGTATTTAATGTTAAGATTGCTTTGGGTAGTATTAACATCTTAAAAATATTAAGTCTTCCAACACATGGACATGGAATATCTTTCCGTTTATTAATGTCTTCCATAGTTTTCATTTTACAAGTCTTTCATATCCCTGGCTAAGTTAATTACTAAGTATTTCATTCTTTTTGATGCTATAATCAATGGAATTATTTTGTTAATTTTCTTTTCTGATTGTTCATTGTTAGTAAGTAAAAATGAAACTAATGTTTACGTGTTGCTTTTGTATCCTACTGCTTTCCTAACTTTGTTTATTAGTTTTAACTATGTGTGTGTGCGTGTGTGTGTGATCTTTAGAGTTTTCTACCTAAAGTATTACGCTGTGTACAAACAGAGATAATTGTACTTCTTCCTTTCCAGTTTGGATGCCTCTTATGTCTTTTCCTTGCCTGATTTCACTGGTTAGGACTTTCAGTATTTTGTTGAATACAAGTAGCAATGTATGCCTCATTGTCTTGTTCCTGATCTTAGAGGTAAAACTTTCAGTCTTTTAACAGTGAGTGTGATGTTGGCTACTGAATATTTATATATGGATTTTATTATGTTAAGGTAGTTTTCTTCAGTTCCTAGTTTGTTGAGTGTTTTTGATATGAAAGATGTTGAATTTTACCAAATGCATAATTGAGACAATTATGCTTATTTTTTCCCTTGTGTTAATATGGGGTATTACATTGATCAATTTTCGTGTGTTGGACCATGCTTAGATTCCAGGAATAAATCCCACTTGGTCATTCTAATATGCTGCTGAATTTGGTTTGCTAGTATTTTGTGGAGGATTTTTGCGTTGATATTCATAACAGATATTGGTCTGTTGTGTTTTCTTGTTTTTTTGTTTTTTGCAATGTCTTTGTCTGGTTTTGGTAGTAGGGTAATGCTGGCCTCATATGAAGTATTCCTCCTCTTTAACTTTTTGGAAATGTTTATGAAGGACTGGCGTTATTATAGTTCTTCTTTAAATGTTTAGTATAATTCAGCAGTGAAGCTGTCAGGTCCAGGGATTTTCTTTGTTGCTAGATTTTTTATTACAGATCTATAATCCTAACTAATTATAGATCTATTCAGATTTTCTATTTTTTCATGATTTAGTCTTCGTATGTTGCATATTTCTAGGAATTTGTCGATTTCATCTGGTTCATTCAACTTTTGACATATAATTGTTCATAGTACTCTTATAATACTTTTTATTTATGCAGAGTAAGTAATAATGTTCTCACTTTCATTTGTGATTTTGGTGATTTGAGCCTTCATTCTTTTTAAGTCAATCTAGCTAAAGGTTTTTCACATTGATTTTTTTTGAAGAATCAACTTTTGGTTTCATTGATTTTTCTCTACTTTTTAAATTCTCTACATCTGCTGCCTTTGGGTTTTCTTTGTTCTTCTTTTTCTAGTTCCGTAAGTTGTACAAATGGGTTCTTGATTTAAGATCTGCATTCTGTTTAAATGGAAGCTTTTATAACTATAACTTTTCTCCTTAGCACTTATTTTACTATGTCCCATAATTTTTGTTTTGTTTTTGTTTTTATTCATCTCCAAGTATTTTCTAATTTCCTTTTGTGATTTCTGTAATGATCCATTAGTTGTTTAGAGAGTGTTTTTAATTTTCAAAAACTGAAATTTTCAAGTTCTCCCTCTGTTACTGATTTTTAACTTCATCCTGTGGTTGCTGGAGAATATATTTTGTATGATGTTTATATATTAAAATCTGATGATATATAATTTGTTATGTCAGTTCTATTTTAACTTAAATATTATGAAAATTATTACTATTAATATAAGTTTAAAATCTTATATTGAATTTTTTATAAATCAAATGTGTAAGACTGATTTTTCTTGGATTTGTTTTATAAAGATACTTCACATTAATATATATGTTAGTTTTAAAAATGTGTTTTTGCTACTCTTTATATTTCCATGAAGTATTGCATTATTAAATATTTATTTTGTTGTTGTTGTTTTGTTTGTTTGTTTTTGAGATGGAGTCTTGCTCTGTTGACCAGGCTGGAGTGCAATGGTGTGATCTGGCTCACTGCAACCTCCACCTCCCAGGTTCAAGCAATTCTCCTGCCTCAGCCTCCCAAGTAGCTGGGACTACAGGAGTGCACTACCATGACTGGCTAATTTTTGTACATTTACTAGAGACGAAGTTTCACCGTGTTGGCCAGGCTGGTCTCGAACTCCTGACCTCATGATCCACCTGCCTCAGCCTCCCAAAGTGCTGGGATTACAGGCATGAGCCACTGCGCCAGGCCAAATATTCTTAAAGGGGCTCTATGTTTTAGGAGCATTTAAAATTGGTTAACCCAACAAAGTGATCTTGCTTCTCAAACACAGCTCAAAAATGACTGTTTTCCAATAATACCTGTTGGATATTAAACTATTTTATAATTTACAACAAGAAAAAATAGAAGTAAATAACTTCTTAGGAGTTGCAGGTTTTGAAAGAACATGTTAAAGATAAGTATGAAGATTACCAAAAAAAGATTTGTTTCACACGTTTGTCTGTTCTCACTTCAGCTTTGCTGGAACCGTGTTAATATAAGAATGATGTCAATACAAAATAAAATTTGAAGCTGACCTGCAAAACTCATAGAGATATAAGAGGGGCTGCAGATAGAGAAACAGATGAACTGATGAGAAGTTGTAGAAGTATGTGCTAAGGATGCGTAACACACATTCTGTGATTGGTGGCGGTTTTGCATGTCAGCAATTGCAGGCCCATTTTTGGCGATGTTTCTGCCACACTGTTACTGATCACAGCTAGGAATTTCCTTTTAATTGGCATGTGTGTTTTTTTTCCTTCAAATTAATAATTGATTTCTCAAGGTATAAAAAATATCTCAACTGTATTGCATAATTTCTAAACTGTAACTTTTCTAAAAACCATTGTTAAAATCCTTTTAAAAATTAAATAAGCTTATAAAGTATGTTTCTAGAAACATACTTAACATTCTCAAGCCATAAAATATATCTCAATTGTATTTATTACAGAATTACTAAACTTTAACTTTTCTGAAAACTATAATTAAAATCCTTTTAAAAATTAAACAAGCTTATAAAGTATGTTTTTAATACTTTGGTTTATCCCTTGATCACATAATTTCCTGAAAACTCCACTTAAGGGCTAACAGAATCATAGAGGTTAGACTTCATAGGGGAAAGAATTTGTTTTAGGTCACCCTGTCTTTGAGTTTTGTCCACACATTTGTTGGGGACTGGCTCTGGAACAGTAAAGGGGAAACTTAGGGATGACTAGGCTTTTGTGAAAGACATTTATAGAGTTGGCCTCTAAAAGTGGCTTAGTTGTTACTCCAGGATAGATTGAGGTGGAGTGCATTAATGCTCAATTTAATTTTGCCTAGGGTTCAATAACAAAATGGTGATTTTTTTCTAATAAATTACTGAAAGATAGACTAACCTTTTGTAGTCCATTGCTAAAATGGAAATAAGTAATTTAATTTTGAGCTTAAAGAATAACACTCAGCTAGAATTACCGCCATTGGAAGGTAAGGTAAGAGTTGTATTTATGCTTTAAACTAAAAATAAAATATACATTCATGTTTTTGTTCTTTGTCTAGTCCTTGTCTTTTTCATGAAATATTTAATTTTTTGTGTTAACTTTGTTGACCTAAGGAATACCCAGGGAGCTGCTAAGACATTATTTATGAGTGTGTCTGTGAGGGTCTTTCCATAAGAGATTAGTACTTGAATCAGTAAACTGAGTGAAGAAGATCTGCCCTCATAAATGTGAATGGGCATCTTCTAATCCACTGAGGTCCTAAATAGAACAAAAAGGTAGACTAAGTGTGAATTTGCTCTAACTGGGACATTCATCCATGATGACTTTAAACATTGTCACTCCTGGTTCTTTGACCTTCAAACTGAGCCTGAATTATAGTACCTGCTTTCCTGGTTCCTAGCTTTCAGACATCAGATGGTGGGACTGGTTGGTCTCCCTAGCCTTCTGAGCCAAGTCCCATAATAAATCTCTCTATCTATGTGTGTATGTATGTATGTATCCATTTATTATTGGTAAATTTCTGTAAAGAATCCTGACTAGTACAGTGATTATAATAAGGAAAAGATACAAGATGACAGTTGATATGGTTTGGGTGTGTCCCCACCCAAATCTCATCTTGAATTGTAACTCCTACAATTCTTATGTGTTGTGGGAGGAATCCAGTGAGAGGTAATTGAATTATGGGGTCAGGGCTTTTCCACACTGTTCTTGTGATAGTGAATAAGTCTCACAAGATCTGATGGTTATAAATCATGAGTTCCCCACACAAGCTCTCTCTTTGCCTGTTGCCATCCATGTAAGAAGTGATCTTCTCCTCCTTGCCTTCCACCATGACTGTGAGGCCTCCCCAGGCATGTGGAACAGTAAGTCCATTAAAAGTTTTTTTCTTCCCAGTCTCAGGTATGTCTTTATGAGCAGCATGAAAGCAAACTAATACAGTAAATTGGTACCAGTAGAGTGGAGTGTTGCTGAAAAGATACCCCAAAATGTGGAATCAACTTTGGAATTCAGTAACAAGCAGAGGTTGGAACAGTTGGGAGGGCTCAAAAGTCAGGACAATGTGGGAAAATTTGGAACTCCCTAGAGACGTGTTGAATGGCTTTGACTAAAATGCTGATAATGATACAGACAATAATATCCAGGTGGGGGAGATCTCAGATGGAGATGAGGAACTAGACTCGTTCAGAAAAGGGTTACTCTTGTTATGCTTTAGCAAAGAGACTGGTGACATTTTGCCCCTGCCCTAGAGATTTGTGGAACTTTGAACTTCAGAGAAATGATTTAGAGTATCTGGTGGAAGAAATTTCTAAGCAGCAAAGCATTCAAGAAGTGACATGTGCTGTAAAAGGAAGTCAGTTTTAAAAGAGACACAGAGCATAAAAGTTTGGAAAATTTGCAGCCTGTGAATGAGATAGAAAAGAAAATCCCATTTTCTGAGGAGAAATTCAAGCCAGCTGCAGAAATTTGCATAAGAAACCAGGAGCTGAATGTTAATCACCAAGACAATGGGGAAAATGTCTCTAGGGCATATGAAAGGTCTTTGTGGTAGCCCTTCCCATCACAGGCCCAGAGGTTTAGGAGAAAAAAATGGTTTCATGGGTGGAGCTCAGGATCCCTCTCCTGTGTGCAGTCTAGGGACTTGGTGCCCTGTATCTCAGTCACACCAGCCATGACTAACAGAGGCCAAGCTCAGCCCATTGCTCCCGAGGGTGGAGCCCCCAAGCCTTGGCATCTCCCACATGGTGTTGAGCCTGCGGGTGCACAAAAGTCAAGAGTTGAGGTGGGGGAACCTCCTTCTAGATTTCAGAGGATGTATGAAACCATCTGTATGCCCAGGCAGAAGTTTGCTGCATGGGTGGGGCCCTCAGGGAGAACCTCTGCTAGGAAAGTGCAGAAGGGAAATGTGGAGTTGGAGCCCCCACAGAGAGTCCCTACTGGGACAACACCTAGTGGAGCTGTGAGAAGAGGGCCACTGTCCTCCAGAACTCAGAATGGTAGATCCACTGAAAGCTTGCACCATGCACCTGGAAAAGCCACAGGCACTCAATGCCAGCCTGTGAATGCAGCCAGATGATGGGCTAAACCCTGCAAAGCCACAGGGGCAGAGCTGCCCAAGACCATGCTAATCCACCTCTTCCATCAGCATGACATGGATGGGAGACATGAAGTCAAAGGAGATCACTTTGGAGCTTTAAGTTTTAACTGCCCTGCTGGATTTTGGACTTGCATGGGGCCTTTAGCCCCCTTGTTTTGGCCAATTTCTCCCATTTGAAACAGCTGTATTTACACAATACCTGTACCCCATTGTATCTAGGAAGTAACTAGCTTGATTTTGATTTTACAACCTCATAGGAAAAAGTGACCTGCCTTGTCTCAGATGAAACTTTGGACTGTGGACTTTTGGGTTATTGCTGAAATGACTTAAGACTTTGGGGGACTGTTGGGAAGGCATGATGGGTTTTGAAATGTGAGGACATGAGATTTGGGAGGGTCCAGGGGCCGAATTATATAGTTTGGCTGTGATTCCACCCAAATCTCATCTGAAGTTGGAACTTTCCTATGTGTTGTGGGAGGGACCCAGTGGGAAGTAATTGAATCATGGGGGTGGATCTTTCTTGTGCTGTTCTCATAATAGTGAATAAGTCTCATGAGATCTGATGGTTTTAAAAAGAAGAATTCCCCTGCACAAGCCCTCTCTCTCTTTGTGCCTGCTACCATGCATGTAAGATTTGACTTACCCTGCTTTCCTTCTGCCATGAATGTGAGGCCTCCCCAGCCATGTGGACCTGTAAGTCCATTAAACCTCTTTTTCTTCCCAGTCTCAGGTATGTCTTTATTAGAAGCAAGAAAATGGACTAACACAGCAGTTAATTGATTTCTAGGACTAGTCCCTTAACTATCTAAGTCCCTTTCAGTTTTTTTAATTCGCAATTTTAGGTGGAAACTGTACCAGCTTGCTTGCTAACTATACCTTTTCGCTTCCTGTAGAGTTTCTTGTCATTAAGCAGTGATGGTAGGCAGAGAAGGTGTGGCAATGCAGATTTCTGACCTCTTGACTTAATACATTGAAGCACCTCATGACAATGAGAAGAAATGACTGGTGGTCATGGTATCCAAAAACATACAGGCTTCCAGAGGCCTGTTGATTTACCAGCTATTCTCTTTCTCATATGTTCTTGCTCTTGTTCTCAAACTACTCCCAGACCCAACCCCTCCACCAAAGTTACATTAGGAGCGTGTATGCTGTTTTGTTTATCAATACTATTTACTTTATTTACAGGTTGCTTTTTTCATTCTATTCCTTTTAAAGCACAGGGCCAGCTGTGGGAGTATCTAGAGCCCTTTTAAAAAATATTAAGAGTATAAAGAAAGGGACAGCCAAGCACAAAACCAATGCAGGAACCTTCCAAGTATAGGGCTCTGTGGGACTGTACAGGTTACATGTTCATAAAGGTGATCCAATTAACTTTAGGGGGTCCACACCAAATTTAATCTGGAGTTTCATCAGAGCAGCTTTTTCCTGAGATGGGCTTTTTGCTTCATTTATTCAGACTCCACCTTTGAAGGTGCCTTATTTCATTCTTGTAATTTCAAAATTGTCATCACCCTGCAGACTTTTTCAACACTTAAACAAAAAAATTGATATGGTTTGGCTGTGGCGCCATCCAAATGTCAACTTGTATTTTAATTCCCAGAATCCCATGTCATGGGAGGGACCCAGTGGGAGGTAACTGAATCAGGAGGGTGGTTTTCCACCATGCTGTTCTCATGATAATGAGTGAGTTCTCACAAGTTCTGACGGTTTTATAAGCATTTGGCATTTCCCCTGCTGGCACTCATTTTCTCTCTTCACCCTTTGAAGAAGTGGCTTCCACCATGATTGTAAGTTTCCTGAGGCTTCCTCAGCCATGTATAGTTAATGAAATATCTTTTCTTTACAAATTATCCAGTGTCAGGTATTTCCTTATAGCAATGTAAAAATGGACTAATACAGTAAATTGGCACCAGGAGTCACGTACTGCTATAAGGATACCTGAAAATGTGGAAGCAGCTTTGGAACTGAGTAATAGGCAGAAGTTAGTACAGTTTGGAGTGCTCAGAAGACAGGAAGATATGAGATAGCTTGGAACTTCCTAGAGACTTGTTGAATGGCTTTGTCCAAAATGTTGATAGCAATATGGACAATGAAGTCTAGGCTGAGGTGCTATCAGATGGAGATGAGAAACTTGTTGGGAAATGGAAAGTTTTAGCAAAGAGACTGGCGGCATTTTGCCCCTGCCCTAGAGATCTATGGAACTTTGAACTAGAGAGAGATGATTTCAGATATCTGGCAGAAGAAATTTCTAAGCATTCAAGAGGTGACAGAGCATAAAAGTTTGGAAAATTTGCAGCCTGACAATGTGATAGACAAGAAAAACATTTTCTGGGGAGAAATTAAAGCCTGCTGCAGAAATTTGCATAAGTAATGAGGAGCTAAATGCTAATCATCAAGACAGTAGGGAAAATGTCTCCAGGGTGTGTCAGAGGTCTTCACAGCAGCCCTTCCCATCACAGGCCTGGAAGTCTAGAAGGAAAAAATGGTTTCCAGGACCAGGTCCAGGACCTTGCTGCCGTGTACAGTCTCAGGGCTTGGTGCTCTGCATCCCAGCTGTAGCTAAAATGGGCCAATATAAAGCTCAGGCCATTGCTTCAGAGGGTGCAAGCCCCAGGCCTTTGCAACTTAAGGGTGATGTTGGGCCCATTGGTATACAAAAGTTAAAAAACTGAGGTTTGGGAACCTCAGCCTAGATTTCAGAAAATGTATGGGAACACCAGAATGTCTAGGCAGAAGTCTGCTTGCAGGGGTGGAGCTCTCATGGAGAACTTCTGCTAGGGAAGTGCAGAAGGGAAACATGGGGTTGGAGCTCCCACAGAGAGTCCCTACTGGTGCACTGCCTAGTGGAGCTGTGAGAAGAGGTCTACAGTCCTCCAGACCCCAGAATGGTAGATCCACCGATAGCTTGCACTGTGCACCAGGGAAAGCTGCAGACACTGAAAGCCAGCCCACAAAAGCAGTTGGGAGAGGGGTTGTACCCTGAAAAGCCTCATGGGCAGAGTTGCCAAGGCTGTGGAAGCCCACTTCTTGCATCAGTGTGTCCTGGAGGTGAGACTTGGAGTTGAAGGAGATTATTCTGGAGCTTTAAGATTTAATTACTACCTCACTGGATTTTGGACTTGCATGGGCCTGTATCCCTTTTGTTTTGGCCAATTTCTCCCTTTTGGAATGGGTGCATTTACCCAATGCTTATACCCACTTTGTATCATGGGAGCAACTAACTTGATTTGATGTTACAAGCTCCTAGGTGGAAGGGAACTGCCTTGTCTCAGGTAAGACTTTGGACTTGGACTTCTGGGTTAATTCTGGAATGAGGTAAGACTTCAGGGGACTGTTGAGAAGGCATGGTTTGTTTTGAAATGTGAGGACATCAGATTTTGGAGAAGACAGGGGCAGAATGATATGGTTTGTCTGCCCACCTAAATCTCATCTTGAATTTTAATTCCTATAATCTCTACATGTCATGGGAGGGACCTAGTGGGAGGCAATTGAATCATGTGGGAGGTTTCCCTCATGCTGTTCTCATGACAGTGAGTGAGTTCTGATGAGCTCTCATGGTTTCATAAGCGTCTGGCGTTTCCCCTCCTGGCACTCATTCTCTCTCCTGCTGCCCTGTGAAGAGGTGACTTCCTCCATGATTGTAAGATTCGTGTGGCCTCCCCAGCCATGTGGAACTGTGAGTCAATTAAACCTCTTTCATTTATAAATTGCCCAGGCTTGGTTAGTTCCTTATAGCAATGTGAGAATTAACTAATAATAGACCTTAGTGACTAAGACATCCTCATACATCCATTCATTTAGGACTTTCC
The DNA here is from genome assembly GCF_000001405.40 of Homo sapiens. Lineage (NCBI taxonomy): Eukaryota > Metazoa > Chordata > Mammalia > Primates > Hominidae > Homo > Homo sapiens. The sequence goes on from NC_000003.12 coordinate 75,996,588, forward strand.
TTATCTACATCATAAGATGCATAAGATTCAAAAGTATTTGTAATTACTTGATTATAACTTTATTCTCTGATAGTATACACTGTACAAATATTTCTTAATAATTTACCTTTTCCTCCTAAAGTAATGAATATCTATTCTGATATATGTAAATCATCAATTCTGATATATGTAAATCATCAATTCTGATATATGTAAATCATCAATTCTGATATATGTAAATCATCAATTCTGATATTTGTAAATCATCTATTCTGATATATGTAAATCATCTATTCTGATATATGTAAATCTTCACTACTCACTATGCTGCATGATCCTTGACAAATTTTCGATTTCCTTGTATTATTAAGTAATAGCTGCATTCTTTTAGGATACTATTTCATGATCAGCACTCTTCCTTCAGGCTCTACCTAAAAATTATATAAGTAAGACTACTACATCAATTTATGATCTAATTATGTCATTTCTTTATTTGTCTATTATTTGCCACTGTAACTCAATTGTTCAAAGATTCAATGTAGGAATCATATAATTCAGCCTGATTAATATAAGTATTTGCTCTAAATGACATTGGAAATGTATATATCCATTATAGCTCATTTTAGCACATATGTTAATGTTTCTGTTGCAGGATTCACTCAATTATATCCTCATTAAATGTTGGTACAGTTCGAAAATATCAAATGATATCAAATCAGCAATATTGAGCAGCTAGCTACATTTTTGAATTTCTTATTTGCTAGTTGAAGTTACTTATATTTGTTACAATCTGGGAAGCTCTTAAAAATGTAATTATAACTTTAAATATATCTCTGCAAAAGAACTTTTGGAAATAATTTCTTTGGTGTGTCTGAGAACTGTGAAGTCTTAAGTCTGAATGGAATTAAAGGCATTTGTTTTGTTCATCCATTCTTTTTTTTTTTGAGACGGAGTCTCTCTCTGTCACCCAGGCTGGGGTGCAGTAGTGCGATCTCGGCTTACTGCAAGCTCTGCCTCCCGGGTTCATGCCATTCTCCTGCCCAGCCTCCCGAGTAGCTGGGACTACAGGCGCCCGCCACCATGCCTGGCTAATTTTTTGTGTGTTTTTAGTAGAGACGGGGTTTCACCGTGTTAGACAGGATGGTCTCGATCTCCTGACCTCGTGATCTGCCCACCTTGGCCTCCCAAAGTGCTGGGATTACAGGCGTGAGCCACCGCGCCCGGCAAGTGGTATCTTTTCACTTAGTTTATTCAGTGACTAAGATATGAACATTTTTCTAATTGGTATTCACTTCCATAACTGTGGAGTCTACCCAGTAACCAATATCTGTAATGGTATTAAGTACCACCTGTTCAAGCTATTTATATGCTGTAAATTAGTCTCTAATACCCTCTATTTCCAAAGTCTTATGACATCTAAGATGAAATGATAATAGATAATTTCATTAATTTATAAAACTCTGACTGAAGATGGGAGAAAGATCTCTAAACTAATTCTTTAGATTATATTTATCAAGAACCGGACAGATTCTAATCATTCTATATCTACATAAAATGTATTGAATTAGATTTCTCTTCTAACCTTTTCAATAAATGCTATACGAGCTTGTGTGTTTATTTAGCTCCTGGAAAATGTTAGCTCTAATCTCCCCTATTTCATGCTATTTATGTTTTAGACCTTGTTTCTGAATGTGTTTTGTTAATTTGAATTTTATTGCCCTAAAGCAATTTTTTATTATAATAAACATAAATTACATCACCATAACTCATATGACGTTTTCTTCCCTCCCTCAGAAAGTTGTGACCAATCAGGGTTTTAATAGACTGCAGTTTTTGTAGAACTCCTCTACCAACACTTTCATAGCTAGTTACTGTTTAAATGCACACTTACTGTGCTAATGGTTGGAGAATAAGAGGTCAAGATGGTGGCTTTTACAGGGAACACATATTTCTGAGCATATGGCCTGCAAAGCTAAGATAAATTTTAAGAGAGAGAAATATATCCTAAGTATTTATATGTTTAATTTTGTTATATTTGAAGTCACATATTTAGAAAATAAAAGGTGTTTTCAAACAATGTCAGTTTCTATCAGCATGCAGCAGGCGTATCCCTCTCCATGCACAGATGCACAGAAACAAGAGAAAAATTAAGTACTAAATTCTAGTGGCTATTATAGGATGATGCAAGTTTCAAGATGTGTGAAAGAAAACACAAACTAAAATAATTAGTAAGGACTGTGATGTCCAATAAGGCAAGCAATGAATTCTCTCTTAGCCTCATCTTCTTCATTTGTAAAATTGTTAAATATTTTGCATGACTTCTTCATACTCAGACTTTAATTGTGGTTGGCTTAGAACTGTTTCTCTTTCAACATTGTCTTCATTTCTCCGCCCTTTTACTAAACCTTAGTCGTGATTGTTAATATGTCCTCAAGTATCATATATGCACCACGTTCCTTGGAGGTGGTAGAGTGTAGTGAATAGTCAAACAGCTTCTGGGTTTAAATCCTACATCCTCTGCTTTCTAGCTGTGTGATTTGGGTCAGGCTAGTTACTATCTGAGCCTCATTTTCCTCATCTGATTGTTTTAAAGACAAAATAATATATAAGACAAAAGAGTTAAACAATATGTGAAAATATTCCAGCCTCTGACACATTGAAATTCTCAAGAAATATTTACTGTTCTTAGAACAATATTCTATTCACAATAACAATTGTTACATTTTTTATGACTGTTCTAAGTTAGAATCTCTACAAGTCCAAGGGTTAATCAAGGAACATTAAATGTCCCCCAAATAATTATTTCTATTTAACATACTTTAATTTTAAAACAGTTTTAGGTTCACAGCAAAACTGAGCATTGAAGTGTAAAAACTTTAAGACAATTTTTTGCCCTTTTAGTATTTATTTTATTTAGACCTGATTAATTATAAAATTATTTTTCCTTAGCCATAGGAGTTTAATATTACGTTATAAAGATATTTCAACTGGAAAGCATTTTTTAACTTTGTCCTAAAGAATTTCATGTGTGTGGCATGTGCATGAATTCCTTCTTACTCAATTACTTTTATTATTTTATTCTATTTTAATTTGTTCAAATTAAAATCAATGTCACATTCTCTGCAGTTAATCACAAAATTTATGTTTTGATGTAAGAAAGGTAAATGATCCTCACAACATTATATTTTTGAAGTTTTCTTTTGAGATCATAAAAAGAGATTAAAAACTGATGAGAACATATTAAAGCCACACCACATAGAAAGTTTGGGACAGAAAGACCTTAAACTCATCATGTTGATACTCTAGCCATTTTAATTGTTATTAAATGATACTGCAAATTATTTTTCAATGTGCTTGCTAGTTGGATCTGAGTATTTTCTTAAATGGACATTGTCAATTCTTTAATAAAAGAAATATTTATAAGCAAATATGTTTATATCCAAATATTTGGGCATTTTGTATAATTCTTTATCATTTGTACACAGAAAAAGACATTTAATGAACTCACAGTTCCACGTGGCTGGGATAGCCTCACAGTCATGGCAGAAGATGAAAGGCACGTTTTGGGGCAGAGAGACCTTAACATTCATCATCTTGATACTCTAGTCATAATCTATATATTTTGCATGATACAATTTTACAAAATATTAACAATTTTACAAATGAAGAAGATGACGCTAAGAGAGAATTCATGGTTTCTTGAAGAAAGAGGTTTCTTTCTTGAGGTTTGTATACTTAAGTTCTTTAAGCACACGGGACCCATAAAAATTGTTCTAAAAATAATATTCTTTTAGAGTTCTTCATAGTTTCATTGTTTCAAACAACATCATTGTGCTATCCATATCTCCAGTAACCACACTATGAGTCAGCTTCATCTAGCAAACCGAATTAAATTAAAATATTCCACCATGATTGTGCGCTTATTTTTTTTTTTTTTTTTTTGACGGACTCTCACTCTGTCCCCCAGGCTGGAGTGAAGTGGTGTGATCTCGGCTCACTGCAAGCTCCGCCTCCCGGGTTCATGCCATTCTCCTGCCTCAGCCTCCCGAGTAGCTGGGACTACAGGTGCCTGCCACCACACCTGGCTAATTTTTTTGTATTTTTTAGTAGAAATGGGGTTTCACCGTGTTAGCCAGGATGGTGTCGATCTCCTGACCTCATGATCCACCTGCCTCGGCCTCCCAAAGTTAATTTTTTTATATATTTCAGATTTTACTCTAGTATATTTAATGAGATATTAATATCACTATACAACCTAAATTTTAGCATGATATATCATTTTATATCCCTCAGCATTTAAAAATCCTTTGTCATTATAGCTTATGCTCTCTATCTTTTAGTAGCGAACTTAATCTATTCATACTAAATATGATTTTGACACATATGGATCTATTTTCACATCTTTAAGAAAATTTCACTCTATTTTTACTTCTTTATTTTTTCATTTGTTTTCTGCTTTTCATTGACTTGACTGCATATTTTTGCAGGGGTATGTTGTTTGTTTGTATATTTGTTTTTCCATTTAATCTGTCTCGCTTTTCATTGCTCTTTATTTAGTTATTCTTAAATGTTGGACAAAGTACATTAGCACTAACGAAGCACAACATTGCATTAACGAAGCACAACTTGAATCAATCATCTCCTACCTGAACAATTTAAGGGCTATAGAAAATTTTAGATATGATCATCTCTTCCCGTTTTTATGTTATTGCTATTTGTAAATATAATTATACATTGTTTTTTAAATTCCAAGCTAAATAGTCATTATCCTTAGTGTTATTATTGTTGTTACTTTGGTTATTGATTACTTAGATACACAACACACTTTCAAGTTTCTCTATAACTCAGTGTCACTGAGATCTCACTCTTCTAAAAAGAATTTTCTTCTCATTGAAACTTATCTTTTGATACTCTTCAGTATGTAAACTCAATCATTTATTTGAATATGTGTGTGTGTGTGTGTATGTGTGTATGTGTGTGTGTGTGTCTGTGGCAGGGTCTCAGGCTGTCACCCAGGCTGCAGTGCAGTGGTGCAATCATGGCTCACTGCAGCCTTGACTTTCTGGGCTCAAGCAGTTCTCCCACCTCAGCCTCCTGGGTAATTGGGACTACAGGCATTTGCCACCATGCCCACACCAGGCTAATTGTTTATATTTTTAGTAGAAATCATGTTTCACCTTGTTGTCCAGGCTGGTCTTGAACTCTTGAGCTCAAGCAATCTGGTCTCCCTAGCCTCCCAAAGTGATGAGATTACAGGCATGAACAACCATGCCTGTCCTGAAAATTATCTTATTTTATATATCTTACTCTTAATAATTTAGAAAGGTTTAAAATAATAGATTGACGGATATTTTCTCTTAGCACTTTGAAGAGTTTAAAATCATAGATTGATGGAAATTTTCTCTTAGCACTATTGTCTTTTATAATTTGAAGATACTTTCAGTTTAAATTATGAGTGGAAGACAGAAATTACCTAAAAGGGCACAATTACTAGACTAACAGTGTTATGGGTTGAATTGTGTCCCTTCAGCAAATAATGAGGCGGTAATTCCAGTAGCTGTGAATGTGACCTTGTATGGAAATACAGCCTTTGCAGATGACCAAGTTAGGATGAGGCTGTTAGGATGGGCCCTAATCCAATATGACTCTGTCCTTACAAAAAGGAGAAATATGGACACAGGGACAGATAGGCATAGAGAGAAGATGATGTGAAGATACAGGAAGAATGCCATCGATAAGCCAAGCGATATGGTTTGGCTGTGTCCCCACCCAAATCTCATCTTGAATTGTAGCTCCCGTAACTCCCGTGTGTTGTGGGAGGGACCCGGTGGGAGGTAATTGAATCATGGTTGTAGCTCCCGTAACTCCCATGTGTTGTGGGATCCGGTGAGAGACTATTGAATCACGGGGGCAGTTTCCCCATACTGTTCTTGTAGTGGTGAATGAGTCTCACAAGATCTGTTGGTTTGATAAGGGGTCTCCCTTTTGCTTGGTTCTCATTTTCTCTTGCCTGCCGCCATGTGGAATGAGCCTTTAATCTTCTGCCATGACTATGAGGCCTTCCCAGCACGTGGAACTGTGAGTTCGTTAAACCTCTTTTTCTGTATAAATTACCCAGTCTCCAGTATGTCTTTATGAGCAGCAGGAGAACAGACTAAAACACCAAGAAACACCCAAAGCTTCAAGACATTAGGAGAGAGACTTCTCTGGAATAGCTTTTTCCTTCTCTGGAATAGCTTTTTCCTTGTGGCTCTCAGAAGGAGCCACCTTTTCAACATCATGATTTTAGACTTGTACCCTCCAGAACTCTGAGACAGTACACTTCTGATTAAGCCACCCAGTGTGCACTGTTTTGTTAGGGCAGCCCCAGGAAACTACTACAGATACAAATCATAAACAGAAACAAGAGCCAGGAGAAACCAGAACCTCCAACTCTCCATGCAGTACTCTATCTATCCTTTCTTTCTGGAGGTTTTTAGAAGGCATTTCAAGGATTCAGCAGGGGGTTGGTAGACCACTGCTGGGCCCACTATGTCCCATTCCTGCCAGATTCCTGCAGTAACTGCAGGGTTTACTAGCTTACACTTTCTTTTCTGTTGACTGCTTCTCATGATGCACACTTGACCCTATGCCCTCTCTTAATCCTGGCAGCTCCCCATACTCTGCTAAATAAATACCAGTGGACATAACTACCAACATGCCATATTCCTCAATATCTCATATTCCATGCAAAAGTACATAGACAGGCTCTTTCAATTTATACTGTCATAGATTATACCAGCCGGGTATCCAAGTGATGTCAACAGGGCCCCAATGTTTTTTAAACATTTTAATAAAAATTGCTTTTAAAAAATCAGATTTTGCTATAAAGTCAGGCTTATAATCCCTATGTTCTTTTTTTGAGAATATGTTTTTCCAAAAGAATCCTCAGCCATCCACATAAAAACAGTTTCCATATGTGCCAATTGGAAATTTTTGTAACTTGTAGAAATAGATTAAAAATTGGACTTTGAAAAAATACAGTTGGCCTTTCATGTGTATGAGCTCCACATTCGCAGATTCAACCAACTATGGATAGAAAATATAGTATTCCCAGATGGGGCAGCCCAAGGATGCAGAGGGCTAATTTTTAATTTTCCAAGGTTATACAGGACCAGTGTTGGAATTTTAGCATTTCTGGGTTTTGGCATCCATCAGGGTGCTAGAACTAATCCCTCACGGAGAACGTGGAACCACTGATATACCAGTGGCAAATAAGCACTGAAAATTTGCTTAACACCATTAGTCGTTAGGAAAATGCAATTAAAACTACAATGAGATGCCCTATATAGCTACTAGGATGGCTATAATAAAATTACAGAAGACAGAGTACTGGTGAGGATATGTAGAAACTTCAATGGTATAGTTGCTTTGGAAAACAATAGGGAAGTTTCTTTTAAATTTAAATATAAATCTATCATATGACTCAACTATCAATTCCTGGATGTTTACCCAAGAGAAATAAAAGCATGTTCATCCAGGGACCCATTTGCTAATGTTTATAGCAACTTTATTTGCATGGCCTTAAACTATAAATAACCCAGAAGCCCACATATTAGTAAAAGTATAATCAAATGGAACACTAGTTTGCGATAAAAAAGAATACAATATAGACATATGTAACAGCATGAATAAATCTCCAAAGCATTAAGTAAACTCAATAAAAAACAATCAAGGCTACATAGTATATGATTCAATTTTTGTGACATTATTTAATAGCCAAAACTGTAGCCACCCAAATCTGAGTGGGGTAGACAGGGGCTAGGTGTCAGTTTGGGGGCGAGGATTGATTACAAAGGGGCACTAGGTAACATAGTACTCTAGGTTGCTGTAACAGAATATCATAGACTGGGTAGTTTATAAACAACCAAAATTTATTTTTCACAGTTTTGGAGACTAGAAGTTCAAATTCAAGTTACTGACAGATTCAGTGCCTGGTAATGACTCACTTCCTGATTCAGAGGTGGCTGTCATTTTTTGTCTCCTCGCATTGTAGAAGGATGGGATATCTCCGGGGTCTCTTATAAAAAGCTCTAACTCCTTTGATTAAGTCTCTGTTCTTATGACCTAATCACCTTCCAAAGGCTCCAACTCCAAATACCGTTATATTGGGTATTAGATTTCAACATAAAATTTCAGGAGAATATAAAAATTGAATCTATAGAACAAGGGAATTTATGGATGAAATGTTTCCATTGAAGTGGTTGTTACACTACTGTAAACATTTGTCAAAATTCATCAAAATGAACACTTAAGAAAGAAAATGCTGTTATTATTGTTTGGATGTGTCCCTCCAAAAGGCATGTGTTGAAACATCATCCAATGAAACACTGTTGGGAGGTGGGGCCCAATGGGAGGTGTTTAGGTCATAAAGGCTGAAGCCTTGTGAACAGATTCAGCTGATTTAAAATAACTTAAGGCTGGGAGTTCAATCTCTTGCTGTCTCACCTTCCACCATGAGATGGCACAGAAAGAAGGTCCTCACCAGACGCTTGCCTTTGCATCTTGGATTTTCTGGTTTCCAGAACCATAAAGAATCTCTACAAATTGCCCAGTCTCTTATATTCCATTATAGCAGCACAGACTGAATGGAAATATACATGTATTGCATTTGAATGAATATTAGTAAGAAATTAAACATTCACCACAATAAAAGGATCTTTGAATGAGCACTGAGTCCCTCTGAGCAAGGACATGAACAGATGTTATGTAAGAGAAAGGACTGGATCAGAACTTTGAGAGCAGAAAGCATCAAATATTCTACAGCTTGAGCCTTCTGTGATGGTAGCAGTAGGAACTGAAGATTCCTATGTTTTTGTTATCTTAGATGGTGAATTGGACTCCACTAATGGAGGGGCTTAAGGTATGGGCAGCCATTTATTTTGTATAAACAGTTGTATAAAATGAATGTGCCAATAAACCATAACAAAATAAATTGGGAGAGCTTAAAATCTAATCCACCTTTTAGGAAGTCTGTGATGGATAGACTTGACCTACAGAATCTGTGCACACTTTTGATAAGCCAATAATTTCCTCTCTATATAGATACCCCTAATTCAGGCTTCAGGGGCTAATAAGTGTTTCCAGAGTTACAACAAAATGATCAATACTTGAACAATATAACACACACTACAAGATTCCTTACTTTGAATGTTGAATATGTGTAGATATAGAGCTACTAACAGAAGAAATTAAAATTTGGCAGCTTTTGAAAATGTAGTCATTCAAATATGTAAGGCATTGTTTGATGACACAACCAAAAATAAGAAAGTTTTCATATTTCTTTTTTCAGTATTTTACATAACCTAGGGAGATATAAATTTCTGGCTAACAACAGAATAAATGTTTGCTTACAAAACAAAAGACTCCCAGACTTAAAAATCTGTACAAAAATACATATGTGACCAGTTATGTTTGGTTTCTCCATTGTCTTTTGGTTGCACTCTGATTTTTCCAGCTTGAAGTATCTTGTCCTTATGCATTTTTAGACATCCAATACAGAGGTAATATTTATTTATTCAGTATTTGTCATTTTGAGAGTACTATGTTTTCTTATATCTGAATCATCAAGTTGTTCTTGAATATTATACATTTCATTTTCAGGGTAGAATAAACTTTGTACTGATTATATTTGAATTTGTTACTTGAAGTGGAAATTGTATGTGATAGCAGAAAGGGTGAGTGCTTTGAAATAAGTAATACTGGATAGTGAAATATTGGTTTAAATTCTGGATCTTCCAGTGATAGCTGCCATCAAGGACACATTTCTTACCATTTTTAGCCTTAAATCACTCACTTTGAACATGGAAATAATAAACACATTTTGCAAAGTTATATTGGTGTGATGAGATCAGCATTCGGTAAAGGGAAGCTGATATGACTGTTAGTCAACTGATTCATCTAGCTATTTACCTATCCTTCTTTTGTTTTCCTCTCTGCAGCCAAAAGATTTAAGTTCAAATTCTAGATTGATAGTTTATTACATCTGTGACTTTTAGCAAGTTATGTACTTTGCAGTCTAAAATTTCACATTTATAAAGTATGATATTAATATTAAAGAGTCTGTAAGAATCTAGTTTAGTGCCTGAAATATAGTAGGTGCTCATTTAATGACAGCTACTGCTATTTTAACTTTTAGACATCACTATTACTACAAAACTTGCTTTGATATTTTACCTTTCTAAAATTTATTTTTTTGCTTCCTAAAATGCAGACTATCCTGCATCCAAACTATATTGGAAATTAAATATTTTAATGGAAAATAAAAATCACATACCGGTCAAGTAAGTTATAGTGGTTTTGAACAAAAGGCATACAATTTCTTTTTTAAAAAATATAAAAAGTATTAATACTATGTTCAACACAAATATACTTATATGTGTATTATATAAATGCTGGAAATACCAGTTTTTAAGGGACTACGTAGCAGCTACATGTTTTGATAATTGACATTATTCAGCATATTTTTCTAATACATGAAGTATGTCAAATGATGAGTTCAGTATAACATTTTTATCTGCATTGCTTTGTTACTTTTGTGCATTATTATTAAATGCAGTTATATATTGCTATAAGTTGTATTATTGCATATTAAAATCATTCTTAGATAAGTTAAAATAAAAATCAAGAAGGTCATTTGCACAGCTTGAGAAAATGTTTTTATCAAACAGAGATTATGCATTTTTCTTTTAGCACTTTTTTTGTATGAAATCAATTATTTCATGTTTTTTAAAAACATAAAACACAGCTTCCAGGTAAAGTAAATATTTTCACTTTCAGTTACACATGGATATCCTCCATTGTCTATGTTATCATATACTTGTCTTAGTAAAAGTTTTGCCTAAAAATAACTGCTTATCGAAAGTGTACTTATGTTAAGTGTAGATACATTTTGAGTAGATAAAAAGCAGGTATTTTTTTCAGAGATAATCTTAAAAATGCTTTTTCATGCATCTGGAGATTAAATAGCCGGAAATGAAATCCAGAAGTAAATGGTACCACTTGTAAACATACCTCTGACATTAGGAGTATATTGGAAATTATGACAAGTGTCTGTTATCATAGATAAGTAAGGGTATCCCATGAGTAACTAAAAATGAGCATATTTAATGGAAGCCAAGTTTCATATTTTTAAAAGACATGGAGAAATTTATTTCATAAGAAAAATCTGTTTAAAATGGATAATCTTTGTAAAAAAACTACTCTTAAAAATCCTTTGCTAATGGCCTTCTTGAACTTTATCTTAATGTATATAAGAATTCTTCAAAAATCACATTATATAATTAATTAAGGATATTAGAGAAAATTAGAAAGATACTGCAATGTGTCAACAATTTTTAAAACTGATGCTAAATAAGTCTGGGCACGGTGCCTCACTCCTGTAATCCCAGCACTTTGGGAGGTGGATCACCTGAGGTCAGGAGTTCAAGACCAGCCTGGCCAACATGGTGAAACCCCAACTCTACTAAAAATATACAAATTACCTGGGTGTGGTAGTGGATACCTTTAGTCACAACTACTCTGGGAGGCTGAGGTAGGAGAATTGCTCGAACCTGGGAGGTGGAGGTTGCAGTGAGCTGAGATCGCACCACTGCACTCCAGACTGAGTGACAGAGCAAGACTCTGTCAAAAAAAAAAAAAAAAAAAAAAGAAAAGAAAAAAAAATCGCTGCTAAATATATTTCTGGCTGTTAGTAATTTCTATTTGTGCTGGTCTAATTTGTGCTTTTCTTTTTAATAAAGACTTGTTTTTTTAAAAGAAAGCACAGTGATCTGGATGATGTCTTATGGTAAACCCTTGGGGTAAACTCCAAAGGGTAAGTATTAGCAGTGTCGATGCCACCTCATTACAGTAACTACAATACCACATTTAAAATGAAAAAAAGAAAATCAGACTTTTATGAAGTATCTTGCAAATTCAAATCCTTTCTATGATGGCAAATAAAACAGGAATTTGGAGCACCAAACTTGCCCCTTCCTCTGCAATAACCTAAACACAAAAGTCTCAAACGTTTTAGAATGAATTCCTAATTTTATACATCAAATGACCACCCTCTCATCACATTGAATACCTATTGTAAGAAGTTAGAATCCTCTATCTTGTCCTTCCTTGTTAGTTTAGGGTAGAAGGGATTTTTTTTTTTCTCATCCATCACTAGGTTCATGGCTGAAGCACCTATGACAAAAGACAGTTTAACAAGAGAAAAGCATACGTATTTGTTTAATGTAAATTTTACATGACATGTGGACCTTCAGAAATGAAGACCCAAAGAAACGGGGAAATCTATGTATATTTATGCTTAGGTTGGATGGGGAGTAGACAGTCATGAGGAAGTATGATTGAACAGAGGGAGTATGATCTAATGGTAATACGCTGGGGGAACTTAGCAAGGCCTGTTTGTTCATATTACTTTCTGCATCCCAGTGTGACATTCCTTCTCTCCAGATATGAGGCACATGAGGCTCTTATAACATACTTCACAGGAAGATCAGATTCTTTTCTCTTTTTTTGTTTTTGAGACTGAGTCTTGCTCTGTCGCCCAGGCTGGAGTGCAGGGGCGCGATCTCGGCTCACTGCAAGCTCCGCCTCCCGGGTTCCCGCCATTCTCCTGCCTCAGCCACCCGAGTAGCTGAGACTACAGGCGCCCGCTACCACGCCCGGATAATTTTTTCGTATTTTTAGTAGAGACGGGGTTTCACCGTGTCAGCCAGGATGGTCTCGATCTCCTGACCTCGTGATCCTCGCACCTCCGCCTCCCAAAGTGCTGGGATTACAGGCGTAAGCCACCGCGCCTGGCTGAAGATCCGATTCTCTTACAGCTTGCTTCAGAGAAGAAGGATTGGAGAAAATCAGAGCCCTTCGTTCTCTGTGATTTTCTCAAATGCCAAGGTGCCATATTCTGGGGTAGCATGTTCTGAACCCAATGCTCTGGGGTAGCATGTTTTTATTTGTAGAATATCAAGAGAATAGTGTTGCGTCTTTCAGAAAACTCAGTCTAGAAAATCTTAGGAATGAAATATACAACCTAATTTTATACATTTTTCTAATTCCTATTTATGGTTAATATTTGAAGAAACATTCCCTCATGCATATATAGTTTTAGTTTAATGTAAGTGAATAAGATACATAATAATGCTGGTTGCAAAGATTTTGTGTTCCAGAAAAGTTCAATAATATTTTCCTTAAAGGTTGGCATGTAAGAAGAAAATTTATTTCCAACATTTTAATCTTTGACTCTGCATTAGCCATTTTCAATTAGATAAATTATTTTTTTCACTTGAGTTATTTGTTGAAAATTGGTAAACTTAATTGATGAAAAGCTTTAGCTTTTGCTATTTTTTTTTCTAATCAGTGATTCAGTGATTACTATTTCTTTTCTATTTTCTTTATATGTATTGTAATTTCTCAATGGCATTCAAGAAACCCTGGAAAGCACATTGAAAGTGGAATTATTTAAGTTGGACATCTGTAGATACTTGTGCATTAAAAAATTCTCCAAGTATGTCTTTAAAACTTAATAAAAATGTCAACTTCGAAACTTAATGTGCCTGGGGCTTAGTCCAGAGGACAGTGGTATCAGGTAAGCTCAAACAGGAAGATAATGGAAGGGGATTTGAACTTTATAATTATGATAAGGACTCCTGGCTAGTTTAAGAAAGACAATGACGGGACCAGAATATACGTTACTGCCTGCTGTGTATATGCAGCAATAGTGGTTATACCTGGTTCTTTGTCTGCAAATCAGAGCACAGGCTCAACATGAACAATCCTCGGTCCACTTATGAAGGAGGCTTATCCACTCAGCTGGAGGTATGATTTCCCTGCATATTGCTGCCAACTTCCTGTCACTGTCCCAGAGGTTTAGAGTTAGCATTCATGACCTTCAAACAGCCTAATTTCCCCAGAGTCATTGAACACAGCTAGTTGGCCCTACTAGGCTGAAAGCCATATGGCATCAATTGTAAATGTTTTGCTACTATTTCTAAATATAACCACCTGCCTGATTTACTGTTTGCTGGATGCTCACCTTGAATGTGAATATGTCCACATAATTTTTTTCTTTAAATTAAGAAATGTAGTTTAAAATTATGATTAATTTTATCCTATTAAGATGTTGAAGGGGGACGCTGAAGAAGCTTCACATTGTCAGTTTTGTATAAATCCACTTGTTGGAGAAAAGTGTTGAAATGAAATTAACAAAACCATCACATAAATATAAACGTGTAGATTGTTAAAATTACAGTTTTAGGAAATTTGCAACATAAAGTACAAGGTAAATAAATATCTCATTTAGAACTCACATATTTAGTACAAAATATTGCCCAAAATACATCCTAGGGCTTGGGGATATTTAGAAAAGAGAAGACCCCCAGAGCTATAATCCTCATTAAGTAACCAGATAGCTTAACTTCAAAATGCATTTTATTGTTTTTTAACCTTGGGTTTCAAGATATAACCTTGAAGAAAACTGCGGAAGCCTTTTCTGTTAGCTATAAAATAGACTCCATATCCCTCCCTTTCCTACCATGTATACTCCCTTCACATTTATCTAATTGTATGCTATCATCTGTGTGCCTTCTTAGAAGTTGCAGGGGCTAATCTTGAGTCTGACAAAGGAAGCTTGGAGACTCAGCTGCAAAATTCCCGCGATCACTTCAAGGTGGCTGGCTAGTTAACAACCCCGCCATTGTTGAGATGCTGCCAGCCCGTGATTCAGGTGGACTGAGACCCAAAATAGCCACCAGAGCAAGACACACAGACATTGTACTCAGCACAATTCTTGCATGCCTTCCTTATCAATGTTTCCACTTTTAAACCCCTGCCCTCACCCCCAAAATTGAAGTGGTTGGTTTAGATGGGAATCCGGCCACATCCCCTTTACTAGTTTTGGTTAGTAAAATCACTTTCTTTATACGAGACCTCGCTCTTGTGAATTGGACTCTGCAAGTGGTAAGCATTCAGATCTGTATTCAGTTACAAGGAAGTGATCTCTCTGCAATGGACACAGAAAAGATAAAAGGTTCAAGGGGAAATATAGGGGAAGAGGGAGGGGGAACTTAAATATTGGGGATAAATGAATTTGGGATAATTAAAACCAAATATAGAGAAAATTCTGAAGGGAAACTGATAATAGTGTATATGTAGACATTATGCTCCTCAATGGAAATTTTAAGGATACAATATTGTTTCCAGTCATCTGTCTTTCAGCAATATCACCCAGTGACTCGATGCAATCAAATGTGTATATGTAGACATTGTGCTCCTCAATGGAAATTTTAAGGATACAATATTGTTTCCAGTCATCCCCCTTTCAGCAGTATAGCCCAGTGACTCGATGCAATCACCTCACCAGTTCTCTTCTGAGGAAACAGTTTTAGACAGATTCAAAGCCCAGTTCAATGTAGCCAAGATTCTTTAATTTCTAATTTAGCTAATTAGTAGCAATACAAACTCTTGCCAAACAAGAAATGTGAATTCTTAAAGATTAAATTTTATTTTATCTCTATGTAGAGGTAGGAAACCAATCTTTTGGGAGGCACAAATTAGGATGACAGCCAACATTCATATATTCATTCTAAAATAAAGCCTTTATATGTAATGAATTATTTGTCATAATTCTAGAAAGTGGCATGTTCCAGCAATTATAATTATAAAGTATACTATTTTTGGAGAGTAAAATAGTAAGCCATATCATTAAGATCAAAATGATATTTAAAGGAAAACTGTAACTATGCCTTTAGTATATTAAAATTTGGTATTTTATACATCTGTCCCTACAAAATAAAACACTTTTTATATGTTTTCTTTGGCTCACGCACAACTAAATTTGATGAGATAAAATATACAAATATTTGACAGGTTCAATTTCCTTTTCAAGTTGGATTTTAATTAATTCAATAAGCATGTATTGATGACCTACTGTATGCAATATATTTGGCTAATTTTTAGCATATTTGATTTTGCTCTATCATCATGGATCGTGATGTTTGTGACTGGGGATATTTGTGACTGGAAGCTTTTTTTTTTCCCGTTAGCCAAATAAATAAGTAGGTAAATAAATGCTTAAAGACTTTTTTAAAAATCCGTGTGGTGTTATTTTTAGAGGTATATAATTTATCTAAGCTCCAGTTCCTTCCATTGGAAAAATGCATATTTAAATGAGGTAATATGTATAAAGGCAATTGGTGACTGGGCACGGTGGTGTATGCATGTAATCCCAGAAGTAATATGTATAAAGGCAATTGGCGACTGGGCACGGTGGCTTATGCATGTAATCCCAGAAGTAATATGTATAAAGGCAATTGGTGACTGGCACGGTGGCTTACGCGTGTAATCCCAGAAGTAATATGTATAAAGGCAATTGGCAACTGGGCACGGTGGCTTATGCATGTAATCCCAGAAGTAAAATATGCATAAAGGCAATTGGAGGCTGGGCACGGTGGCTTATGCGTGTAATCCCAGAAGCAATATGCATAAAGGCAATTGGAGGCTGGGCACGGTGGCTTATGCGTGTAATCCCAGAAGCAATATGTATAAAGGCAATTGGAGGCTGGGCACGGTGGCTTATGCGTGTAATCCCAGAAGTAATATGTATAAAGGCAATTGGTGACTGGTACGGTGGCTTATGTGTGTAATCCCAGAAGTAGTATGTATAAAGGCAATTGGAGGCTGGGCACGGTGGCTTATGCGTGTAATCCCAGAGGTAATATGTATAAAGGCAATTGGCGGCTGGCACGGTGGTGTATGCGTGTAATCCCAGAAGTGGTATATATAAAGGCAATTGACGACTGGGCACGGTGGCTTATGTGTGTAATCCCAGAAGTAATATGTATAAAGGCATTTGGAGGCTGGGCACTGTGGCTTATGCATGTAATCCCAGAAGTAATATGCATAAAGGCAGTTGGAGGCTGGGCACTGTGGTTTATGCGTGTAATCCCAGAAGTAATATGTATAAAGGCAATTGGCGACTGGGCACGGTGGTTTGTGCGTGTAATCCCAGAAGTAATATGTATAAAGGCATTTGGAGGCTGGGCACGGCGCCTGATGTGTATAATCCCAGAAGTAATATGTATAAAGGCAATTGGCGGCTGGGTACAGTGGCTTATGCATGTAATCCCAGAAGTAATATGTATAAAGGCAATTGGCAACTGGGCACGGTGGTCTATGCGTGTAATCCCAGAAGTAATATGTATAAAGGCATTTGGAGGCTGGGCACAGTGGCTTATGCGTGTAATCCCAGAAGTGATATGTATAAAGGCAATTGGCGGCTGGGTACAGTAGTTTATGCGTGTAATCCCAGAAGTAATATGTATAAAGGCAGTTGGTGACTGGGCACGGGGGTGTATGCGTGTAATCCCAGAAGTAATATGTATAAAGGCATTTGGAGGCTGGGCATGGTGGTTTATGCGTGTAATCCCAGAAGTAATATGTATAAAGGCAATTGGTGGCTGGGTACAGTGGCTTATGCGTGTAATCCCAGAAGTAATATGTATAAAGGCAATTGGCAGCTGGGTACAGTGGCTTATGCGTGTAATCCCAGAAGTAATATGTATAAAGGCAATTGGCGACTGGGCACGGTGGTCTATGCGTGTAATCCCAGAAGTAATATGTATAAAGGCATTTGACGGCTGGCACGGTGGCTTATGCGTGTAATCCCAGAAGTAATATGCATAAAGGCAATTGGGGGCTGGGCACGGTGGCTTATGCGTGTAATCCCAGAAGTAATATGTATAAAGGCAATTGGCGGCTGGCACGGTGGTTTATGCGTGTAATCCCAGAAGTAATCTGTATAAAGGCAATTGGCGGCTGGCCTGGTGGTTTATGCATGTAATCCCAGAAGTAATATGTATAAAGGCAATTGGCAGCTGGCCTGGTGGCTTATGCGTGTAATCCCAGAAGTAATATGTATAAAAGCAATTGGTGACTGGGCACGATGGCTTGTGCGTGTAATCCCAGAAGTAATATGTATAAAGGCAATTGGCGGCTGGCATGATAGCTTATGCATGTAATCCCAGAAGTAATATGTATAAAGGCTATTGGCGACTGGGCACGGTGGCTTATGCATGTAATCCCCGCACTTTGGGAGGCCCAGGTGGGATGATCACTTTAGCCCAGAAGTTCAAGATCAGCCTGGGCAACAGGGAAAGACCAGTTTCTACAAAATATTTTAAAAGTTGGCTGGGTGCAGTGGCACGTGCGTGTAGTCCCACCTACCTGGGAGGCTGTGGCAGAAGTATTGCTTAGGCCAGGGAGATTGAGGTTGCAGGGAGCTGTGATCGCGCTACTGCACTCCAGTCTGAACCACAGAGTGAGACCCTGTCTCTAAAAATAAATAAATAAAGACATACATACATACATAAAAAATAAAGGCAAAAAGTAGGCCCTCAATAACTTGAGCTAATATCAATCTGTATTTCCATAAATTGGTATCATTCTGTGTATTCATAGTCTCCAAACCTGTTATAGTCCAGTCTTCGGCTCCTTTTCCTGTGGCTTTAAAAGTTTATATTAGATAAGTATAAGAATCACACTATGTACTTACCCTTAACTGTTTTACAGTTATTTTCAGATTTACATTTTCTGTGGTTACCAAATTACAAATGGCTACATATAAAAACATACCTTTCTGGAAAGTTTAGTTTCTCAAAGTTCAGAGGAAGTCATATGCGCTTATATGTAAAAATTATATAAAATATGCATATGTTAACTTGTCATGTATACTTAAAAGATACCTAACAAAATTGAGAGTTCGCAATGATGTTACACAGATATTTGAAGCTGCAAATTGAAAAAAACAGATATCCAGAAATCAGGCTGAGTTTATTCCCTAGAGATATTTGCAATTCCTCCATAATAAAGTGACAGAATTTGTGACTTTTAAACTAAAAATTTTGTATAACTATATTTTACACAATTTTAGCCATCAACAACTTATATTAACAACTAAATTAAGTTATACATCAGGCCAGAAAAGATAGCAAATTTCTTATGTTCTGGTATGGGAAGAAGAAAGGGATTTTTAGTTTAAAATTTAGTATGCGACACAAAATGGCCAGATGGCGCACACAATCCATTTGTTGCAGGGCTTCTAGTTCTTTCTGTGCATTGGAAGAAAACCAGGTGACAAGTTAGGCAGCAGTTTTTATGTAGGCCATTTCCAAATTGCATATAATCAGAGAATAAAGATCTAGAAGATAACTTCCAACTAGAACAAGCCATTCTTAGTCAAAGTCACAAGAATTCACTCTTAATAATCACAAATGCTTTCTGTTCTCAAGCTTAAAAATCTATTCTCTATTTTCTTTGGACTCTCAGTGTTTTAGAATTTTTGCACACATAGTCTTATATTTTCCTCTTCACAGAATGGGATTGGCAGAAAAAATGAGAGAACTTTTTGCAGTTAGTGATTTTTTCCAAGATCACCAAGCTAGTAAATACACCATGTGATTCACATAAAACATGAGAATAGCCAATATGGGGTACCTAGAAATGAGGAGCATTGCAATTATAATACAAATAAAAATTATACCCCATTTTACTAGTTTGAATGATTACCACAATAAACATGGATTCATATGTTAGTCTGTGATAGAACCAAAGGAAGACATTTATGTGATTTTTTTTTAATGGCACGCATCTGCTCGGGACAGGCTGTGCTTTTTAGAGGAACAACTTTATCCTTCAGTAAAAAATTCTGGAGAAGTGTGATATCGAAGCTCAATTAAACTTGATATTTAAAGTCTTTATACTAAAATAATGAATCTATTCATGAACAATACAAGAATGAGATTTGGCATGAAATCTCTGTCAGTATATCTCGTATCAGTGCCTAGCTCGGATGCTAATTCACAAGAAAAACGATTGTCATTCTCCAATGTCAGACAGTTATTTGAAGCCTGTCTGCTTTTTTTGGTAAAGATACTTTAAATAAGGAACCTGGGGAAAGAGTTATGGATATTTACTGGCATGAAGAGGAAGACTGTTTACTGAATATAATTGAATGGATTATTTTTTATGAGTATTGGTATTATTTCAATTTTCAATAAAAAAAATAAACTGGTATATGCAAAATCTTCATGCCGTGGGCCATATTGAAAGATAGTAAATAATTGAAATAAAATGCCAAGATATTGGTGGGGACTCGTCTGCACCTAGTAGGATCTCGATGTTACCTGAGTCCCCTCAGGTATTTTAAATATGTGCCAGAAGACAGTGCTTCTCAGGACATGATTTTTCTATTCCTAAAAATAATTTGCCAGGAAAAACAGACAAATGAAGACTAAACGTTTCAAGAGGGAACCCATATAATGGATTAAATGAGGCATAGGATAGCAGTGTGTGAGGCACTTTGTATTAGAGCTCATTTAAAATACCATCAGTTACATGAGGTTTCAGAAAAAAAGAAAGCAGCCTGTGTTTTGCATAAACAACTGTATACAACGTATTGTAAAATGGGTATGAGGAATTAAGGAAAGAATGCCTTTTCTTCTGGTTTTCATCTTCCTTCTGGGTCCTAGCCAACTACAACAATTTGTTTTATAATCTTGCTTATGGCACCTTCCATGGCAACAGGTGCTTACTCATTTTGACAAATGTCACTTTATTAACAATCGTGATGTATGCAAAGACGACTAACAATCCCTCTAGTTATGCAAAAGACAGGCACAGTACCCACTGGGGATCGGAGCCTACCGACTTTGTGACAGCTCACAGTATATTTTCAGTATTAAAGCCAATGGAATATATATTGAATATATAGGTTGTTCAAGGATTGGTCCTGCTTTATTCTTGAGGCTTATTTTATTTTCAATGTGTCCTGATTTGTTAAACTAGTTTTATGATGAGCGCACCTAAAGAGCATCTGTCTCCTATGCAAGAAATGGCCATGTTATAGTTATAAACTTAGCAACATAGAAATAAACTTTGAAATGTAGGCAAATATTAGATGATATCTGAACATCATCTCAGCCACCTCACAGTTATTGAGATATTGTTTTCTAAGGCTAAGGTCCAAACACTTTGTCATATTTTTATATCTTGCATGTAGTAGGTAATTTATATACATACCAATCACACACACATACAGACACACACTCAATGTCATAGCAATCTAATTAGAAATAAAAGTTTCTACATTTCAAATAATGTGGAGCAAAACTATAAAACATTGTCTTAAGTTCTACAAATTTTTTAAAAAGATGATTCACAGGATTATAGAGGATATTGATCCAATTGAATAAAACATAAAGCCCTGAATACTTCTCCACTCTTCCGTTTTTATAGAAACTAAGAGGAAATTTAAGGATTTCCTTTTTAATGTGAAGAAAAATGTTTTGTTAGATTTTCTGATTAATGCCATTTAAATAATTAATTTGCCAACATTTAGGGAAATTGAGTATGCCCCTTCTCTAAAAAGCTTGTGTTTTCTCTTTAGGGTAACGTATAACAGAGATGCATAGGAAAATTCAGGGGTATGCTTTGAAATACTATTAGGAGATAGCAAATGGGGGATAGATGGATAAAATTTAATCTATATATTACTGGGCAATAGTTAAAAGGAATAAACTATCTCTAGATATACATAGATCTCAAAATTGGCCTCAAAAATGATATTGACTTAAAAAACACTAAGTAAAACATGGTGAATGTCACATTTCTCTGTGTAAATAGAAAAATAGAAAAAATATAACAATCATTGTTGATATGTATTTAGGAAAGAAAGGATTAATAGTTTAATATTGAGAGTAGATTAGACACACACATATTAAGTATATAAGAATTAGCCTTTGGATTTGTTAATCTTTTTGTTTTAATCTGCTGTATCTCTATTTACTATTTCATTCATTATTATTGTCAGTTTTTATAATCGCATTTCTTCTGCTTGGTTTCTTATTTTTTCCCTAATATCTTAAGTTAGCTGTTGAATTTATCTGTTTTCAGACTTTATTGCTTTTTTGTATGTTTTAAATATGCTTTCCTATTTCCAAATCTACAAATTTTTCAAAAAAAATTGTTTTTTTCTGACTTCAAACTTAATTGTGTTGTGCTTAGAGAAATATATCTGTCTGATAATTCCTTGGAATTGGCTAATATTTGCATTATGGCCTCCCCACATGGTTAGTTTCTCTCTGAAGTTCCATGCGTATCTGAGAATACTGTGTATTCCTTGGAATTGGCTAATATTTGCATTGTGGCCTCCCAACATGGTTAGTTTTTCTCTGAAGTTCCAAGCGTATCTGAGAATACTGTGTATTCCTTGGAATTGGCTAATATTTGCATTATGGCCTCCCCACATGGTTCGGTTTTCTCTGAAGTTCTGTGCATATCTGAGAATACGGTGTATTCCTTCAAATTGGCTAATATTTGCATTATGGTCTCCCCAAATGGTTAGGTTTTCTTTGAAGTTCCGTGTGTATCTGAGAATACTGTGTATTCCTTGGAACTGGCTAATATTTGCATTATGGCCTCCCCACATGGTTTGGTTTTCTCTGAAGTTCTGTGCGTATCTGCGAATACTGTGTATTCCTTCAAATTGGCTAATATTTGCATTATGGTCTCCCCACATGGTTAGGTTTTCTCTGAAGTTCCGTATGTATCTGAGAATACTGTGTATTCCTTGAAATTGTCTAATATTTGCGTTATCGCCTCCCTACATGGTTAAGTTTTCTCTGAAGTTCCATGTGTATCTGAGAATACTGTGTATTCCTTGGAATTGGCTAATACTTGCATTATGGCCTCCCCACATGGTTCGGTTTTCTCTGAAGTTCCGTGCGTATCTGAGAATACTGTGTACTCCTTGGAATTGTCTAATATTTGCATTATGGCCTCCCCACATGCTTTGGTTTTCTCTGAAGTTCCGTGTGTATCTGAGAATACTGTGTATTCCTTCGAATTGGCTAATATTTGCATTATGGCCTCCCCACATGGTTCAGTTTTCTCTGAAGTTCCGTGTATATCTGAGAATACTGTATATTCCTTGGAATTGGCTAATATTTGCTTTATGGTCTCCTCACATGGTTAGGTTTTCTCTGAAGCTCCATGCGTATCTGAGAATACTGTGTATTTCTTGGAATTGTCTAATATTTTCATTATGGCCTCCCAACATGGTTAGGTTTTCTCTGAAGTTCCATGTGTATCTGAGAATACTGTGTATTCCTTGGAATTGTCTAATATTTGCATTATGGCCTCCCCACATGTTTAGGTTTTCTCTGAAGTTCTGTGCGTATCTGAGAATACTGTGTGTTCCTTGGAATTGGCTAATATTTGCATTATGGCCTCCCCACATGGTTAGGTTTCCTTTAAAGCTCCATGCATATCTGAGAATACTGTATATTCCTTGGAATTGGCTAATATTTGTATTATGGCCTCCCCACATGCTTCGGTTTTCTCTGAAGCTCCATGTGTATCTGAGAATACTGTGTATTCCTTGGTAGGATGGGTTTGTTGATTTCTTCATATGTTTTGAGACAAGTTATTAGAGGCATCAAAGTTGAAATGAATGTATAATTATCATTGTTTTATGATGTTTTCCATTCTATATGATGCTTTGTGCCTTAAAGACTTTGCTCTGTAATATTAATAGAGATACAGCAGCTTTCCTTTGACTAATATTTAAACTGCCTAATTTTTTTATCCTTTGTGTATCAGTTTTCCCATGCTTTTATTTTCATGTGTGATTCCTCGATA
Source organism: Homo sapiens (assembly GCF_000001405.40). Taxonomy (NCBI): domain Eukaryota; kingdom Metazoa; phylum Chordata; class Mammalia; order Primates; family Hominidae; genus Homo; species Homo sapiens. The sequence continues at coordinate 76,020,291 of NC_000003.12, forward strand.
GTATAATCCTGGATCTTATTTTTTATTGAATTTAACCTTTAACTAGAAAGTTAATTTTTTTACATTTATTACGATGACCGTTATATTTGGATTCATTACCATCTTATTTCTTGCTTCGTATGTTCCTCTTTTGCTTCATCGCTTTTACTTTTTATCACTTTTTCTGCACCCTTTAAGTTTTTATTTAAATTCTATTTCCCTCTTTATTCTTTTAATAGTTACCATGAAATTTTAACAGATTTGTTTACTTAAGGTCTACATTGATAATTTTCTCTATTCCCTCTTTATATAACATAGGGACCTTAGAATTATAAAAATCAAATCACCTGCTATTTAGTCTTACTTATTGTTCCATATTTTAATTGTATCCTTTCTTTATTCCCAAATTTAATATTTTTGTTATTTCACACAGACTCTGTGGTTTATCTACATGCTTTCCATGTTCTTCACTCAATATTTCTTCTTGTAGCTCCAGCTTTCCTTTTGTGGTTATTTTCTATCTTGCTGACATGTCGTCAAAAGTTTGTTAAAGTGTGAATCTATTCACTTTTAGGTTTCCTAAAGGGAGTTTTAGTTTTTCTTTTATGTTTACTTACATCTTACTTTTGAATTATTTCAAACATGACAAAATATGTGAGAGGAGTACAAATACTAATAATTCCTATATACCTTGCACCCACATCCTTTACTTATGTTTTACTGAATGCACTTTATCATTCTCTCTCTCTCTTTCTTCATCCTCAGTGTTCATTTTATTACCATGTTGACAGGAAGAGTTGTTCTTGATATTAAGTAAGGATTTTAAATCAGCTTATTATCACTGCAAATTTCCAAAACAGAGAAAGAAGGGTAACAGTGTGAATCTCTCTATGAATTCTAGTGGAAATGGAAATGTGAGTCCAAAATATTGCCTAGATTGGAGGAAGGTCATAGAGCACTCGGAAAAAATATGATCATATTGCCATCATAGAAGCAATACATTTGTCTTTTGTCTCCTTACTTGTTTATATTTTTTCAACTATTTAAATCAAACAATTTGAGGTGAAAGTTCACCACCACTCTCACCTACCAATAACAAGATAGAACAATGGAAACATTATTTCCCAAACATGTGTTTTCATTTTGATGATAGTCAGCTACTAATCTAGATGCTTGATATAAGAGACATTATCTAAGCTCTGCCATACCTGTATCAGTAGAATTACGTCCCTATTATACATGAAGATATACAGGCGTACCTTGGAGATATTGCAGATTCAGTTCCAGACCACTGCAATAAAGCAAACATTGCAATAAAGTGAGTCATACAAATTTGTTGGTTTTCCAATGCATAAAAAAGTTCATGTTTACATTACAATATAACCAGCTGAGTGTGCAATAGAAGTATGTCTAAAAACAATGCACATACTTTAATTTTAATATACGTTATTGCTAAAATGCTAACGATTATCTATTCCTTCATCAAGTTGTGATTTTTCACAGGTAAAGGGTTTGGTCCCAATGTTGATGGCAGCTGACCAATCAGGGTGGTGGTTTCTGAAGGTTAATGTGGCTGTGGCAATTTCTTCTAACAAGGCAGCAATGAAGTTTGCCACATTGGTTGACTTTTCCTTTCGTGAAAGATTTTTTTTTTTTTTTGGTAGCATGTGATGCTGTTTGATAGCTTTTTCCCCACAGTAGAACTTCTTTCAAACCCAAATTCTGCCACTGCTCTATCAACTAAGTTTCTGTAATATTCTAAATTCTTTGTTGTTATTTCAAGAATGTTTACAGCATCATTACCAGGAGTAGTTTCTATCTCAAGGAATGACTTTCTTTGCTCATCTGTAAGAAACAACTCCTAATGCATTAAAATTGTATCTTGAAACTGCAGCAACTCAGTCACATCTTCAGGCTCCACTTCTAATTCTAGTTGTCTTGCTGTTTCCACCACATCTGCATTTACTTCCTCTGAAGAGTTAAACCCCTCAAAGTCATCTATGAGAGTTGGACTCAACTTCTTCTAAACTCCTGTTATTGTTGATATTTTGGACTCCTCCCAAGAATCACAAATGTCCTTAGTGTCATCTAGAGTAGTGAATCCTTTCCAGAAGATTTTCAATTTACTTTACCCAGATTCATCAGAGGAGTCATTATGGCAGCAATAACCTTATCATATTTAGTTCTTATGTAATAAAACTTGAAAGTTGAAATTACTCCTTGATTCAGCGGCTACAGAATGGATGTTGTGTTAACGAGCATAAACACATTAATATCATTGTTCATCTCCATCAGAACTCTTGGGTGTTCAGGTACATTGTCAATGAACAGCAATATTTTGAAAGGACTCTTTTTTCTGAGCAGTAGGTCTCAAGAGCGGGATAAAAATATCCAGTAGACCATACTGTTAACAGATATACTGTCATTCAGACTTTGCTCCATTTATAGAGTACAGGCACAGTAGATTTAGCATAATTTTTACTATTTTCAGAATGGTAAATGAATATTGGCTTCAACTTCAATTTACCAGCTGCATTAGCCCCTACAAAGAGTGTCACCCTGTCCTTTGAAGCTTTAAAGCCAGGCATTGACTTATTTTCTAGCCATGAATGTCCTAGACAGCATTTTATTTCAATATAAGTCTGTTTCATCTACACTGAAAATCTCTTGTTTAGCGAAGCCACCTTCATCTATTATCTTAGCTAGATTTACTGGATTATGTGCTAAAGCTTCTATATCAGCACACACTAGTTCACCTTGCACTTTTTTTTATTTTGGAGATGGCTTCTTTCCTTAAAAATTATTAACCAACTTCTTCTAGCTTCCAATTTTTCTTCTTCATCTCTCTCAGCCTGAAGAGAATTGAAGATAACTTGGGCCTTGTTGTAGTTGCTTTGATTTTCTATCCAGACTAATAAAACATTCTTCATATCAGCGACAAGTGTGTTTTACATTCTTTATCGTTCATTTGTTCACTGTAGTAGCACTTTCAATTACCTTCAAGAACTTTTCCCTTGTGTTCGTAAGTTGGCTGTTATAAGAGACCTAGCTTTTAGCCTCTCTCAGCTTTCAACATGCCTTCTTCATTAAGTTTAATCATTTCCAGCTTTTGACTTAAAGTGAGAGATGTATGATGCTTTTCTTTTCACGTGAACACTTACAGGCCATTGTAGGGTTATTAATTGGTTTAATTTTAATATTGTTGTGTCTCAGCGAATAGTGAGGCTTGAGGAGAAGAAGAGAGATGGAAGAACAGTTAGTTGCTAAAGAACTGAGAACACACATGATATTAATTAAGTTCACTATCTTATATGTGCAGAGTGTATGGTGCCCCACAAACAATTACAATAGTGACATAAAAGATCGTTGATCACAGATAACTATAACTATATATATAACCATAACTATAAATATAACCATAACAATATAATGACAATGAAAAAATCTGAAATATTGTGAGAATTACTGGAATATGACACAGAAACCAAAAGTGATCACATGCTGTTGGAAAAATTGGTGTGAATAGAATTGCTCAAGGCAGGCTGGCCACAAACCTTCAATTTGTAAAAAACACAGTATCTACAAGAAAAGTGCAATAAAACAAGGTACGCTTGCCATTGCTCCAGGTTACAGAGAAAAAAAGTGGAAGAGATTAGATCCAAATCAAATCTCTCTGATGCCATAACCCACGATCTTAATCATTAAATACATTGCTTCCAATTTTATGTCTAGATAATATATATTTCATAGGTTTTATATAAAAATCTATTGTTTAACATCATCTCATTAGTTATATATATATTATATTCAGAATGTTTTCTTTAATTAAACAATGGTTGCTTAAATGAACTACTGCTTTATTAAGCAAGAAACAAATCTTAATCTGTAATATATATTTAGAAGTAGCACTTATAACATTAAAATGAGCCATGACTGTTTTTCCAGAATAATGAGAAAATGACCCCTTAAATCGATTATACTTTAAAAGGAAAGACGCCTGTTTTGTCTATCGTTATGAAGGAGATGAAATTTGGCAAGGCAAAAACTTTAATTTAGGTTATTAAAAGAAGCAAGTTAACTCATGTTTATGTTTTAGAACTTATTTTTTTTTTTTAAAAACCTTGAGTCGAGTTTTCTTTGTATTTATTTTGTACTATTTTAAAATGTATAGGTCATTTGCAAGTAGTTAGTTTCTGAATTTTTGGTGCAATCCAAATACTTAGTTTAGTGTTACCTGTGGTTTACCTGCTAATTTAAAAAGATGACTATAACATGCAAATTAAGATTATAACCACGCATTTTCAACTGGAAGCTATATGGAAAGAGTATTCGATATAAAAAACACAACAAATAAAAATTACATAGATTCTATTTTCTTTGCAGTTTAAAAATGAATTGGAAAAATGAATTAGTAATAATGTTTAAAATGCATTTAATTGTGTTTTCTAATGTTGCATGGCATAAAATTTTGATAGCTCGGTTGGAAATGTATGTCTGAACTAGATTTCAGAGAAATTGTTTTCCTCTTTGTATTGGTGAAATACTAACTGCTATGTCTTGATATGACCACTTGATGGAACTCTTTCATTTTGCTTTCAGCAATCTCTAAGCAGTGACAAACTCACCTTTCTGGGCAGGCATAAAAGTATATGTATGTGTGTGTGTGCGTATATATATATATATTATATATATGTGTGTATATATATATGCTTAAAGGAATTCTTTATTTGGCATATTTAATATTCTCTACAGTTTTTTATATATGTGAATTTTATTTATTTCTATGGAGAACCATAGTGTTAGTAAGTCGATCTGTAGAAAAAAATAATAAAATACTACTTCTTAAATAAACTCTTGTTCTCATTTCCCTCCAAGAATTTTTTGCAGAAAATTAATTTTAAATAATGCTAAATATTTAAATATAGTCATAGCCAAGATGTTATTGTTTTTTTATAATCAAACTTAAACTCTATTTCTGGGATGTCTTCAAAATTAATAGTCAGAAACATTCACAAAGTCTTGGGAATTAGAGGGTGTTACGTAGCTATGGGAACTTCCTCACAATTATCCTTATTGGGAAAGATAGCTAGAGAAGGGGAGAGATTGATTTTGAAGTGAAGCTTTCAATAAAGTCATATAGAATAATTAGGAAAAACTAGAAGTGAAGGGCAGGGTGAAAATCACCTTCTCTTTATTGAAAACATTGACACTATAGATCATCCAAGAGCTGTGGATTAGATATCAATCATCTATTTGTGACCTTTCATTTAAACTTTTTGAAGTTTTGCATAAAATAGGAATAATCTGAGTCTCTCATGAGGCTCAGATACAATAAAACTCACTATAGTAATACATTTGTAAACTCTAAAAACATCATGGAATTAGTAGTTGTTGGAATGATCACATTGTTGTAAAGAAAGCCCACATTAAGCGTGTCAGCATATCTCAGAGAAAAAGGCCATCTTCAGTAATTCTACCTTACAAAATATTTTCCATGCTCTGTAATGTCTGGCTCCTAGTCACAAGAATCTCAAGGAAGTAAGGCCTCTTTTTTGTTTACCATTTATTCTAAGTGATCTCTGCCACTTCAGTGGCATCTAGTCCTATGCTAATGATGGCCAAATCCATTTTTCCAGTCCAGAATTTCTACATGAGCTCTACCATCCTATTAGACATTTTCTCCCCAATATTCTGGAAACTGAAATTTCTCTTTGTCTAAAACCAATCTCACTGTATTTATTCTGCAAAACTGTTGCATATACTTGGCTGACAGAGTTTTTGGTTTTTAAATTGATGACCATGATTAATTTCTCTTTTGGCTCCCCAGTACCTTGCCTACAGTAGTCAGTGACCGATTAACCATTGAATGAATGAAGTATTTTGAAGCTCAAGATATAGATTTGACGTAATGGTGATAATCTCAAACATTAATTTGTTTTATTGTGACTCTATTAGAGATTGGCTTATACAATATTACTTTCCTACTGTTTCTTGTTTTTATCTATTTTTGGTCTATGCAAGGCATTGAAAATATAAGGCACTGAATGCACCTTCATTTTCAGAGTTTAAAAGAAATTTCATTGCTGCACTAATGATAAAAATTTAATCAACCCTTTCTTAGGAATAAGTTATAAAATACTATTAATGCTTTTTCTCTATATACACTTTTTCTTCTTGAATTACTGGAGTGAGGAAACTCACTTAAGAGGAATGTCCTTCAATAAGAGCAGCTGTAAGGAAAAAGCATATTTTCACTGCCAAGAAAAACTATCAGATAAAATACATTCATTGTACAAAAAAATTATGAATGATTTCTGTAGACATGCAATATGGTATGTACTATTGAATGTGTTGGAGATAAAGTAATAAACAAAAGTACATGTTCTTACATTCTTTGAGCTTGTGTGGAGATCCCATATAAACAAATGTGTTATTTATATTTTGGTTTAACTTATTTTATTTCAGGTTGCAACAGAACTATACAAAATGTGAAGTAGGGAAGGTGATGAAGTAACAGAGGCTGCTATTTTCTAATGGGTTGTCAGAGAAGATCTGTCTAAGGGGAGACTTTATATAGATATTTGAGTGAAAAGGGCCAAGTCATTTGGGGAAGACATTTTGGACTGCCTCGAGAGGTCTCAAGGACCTTCCAGGGCTCTCCAGAACCCCTCTTCAAGGATCTCTGACAAGATACTGATTACAGAGATGTCTGAGGACTGCGCTGGGACAATCCAACATTTGTAGTACTGATGCAAAGAAAGCCCACCAAAAGAGATTTCAATCATTTCTATCGTTCTATAAAAATATTTTTATGACTCCCAATTTTCATTTAGTTAGCATATTTTTTCTTCTTCATGTCACATTTACCCTTTTGTTGACTGTAAAGAAATCCATACACTTATGCAATGTATTCTGTAACAGCATAAGCTGTTTTCAATGATGGGAGCATCGATTTATAGGTAAGTATAACTCAATTAAAGCACATAGGTTCAGGTACTAAAATCAATACAAAGAGCATATTCTTGTACCTCCCAGTCACCTGCCCCCATTTTACATAGGCTTAACATTTCTGGTGGACAGAATCTTGCTGCTTGTTTGGGATCCTTGACATTACAATATTCATTGTAGAGTAGGCATGCAATGCTTTTAATTTCAATTAATAAGTTAATTTCAAGGGGCAGGGAAGTGAGCAAAAGGGGGCTTATGACCCTCTTTCCTAAAGAGCAACCAATGGTGAGCCACTGTTGGTTGCTACGCAAGGCCACTCCTGAGATCCCAGTTCTAATATCATAAATAATCAAGTACATGAAAATAATATAAAATGAAACCCATCCTTTTCTGACAACAGTGTCTTGCTTCTGGAGATAAAACTAATGATTTTCTCAGAAAATTTTTAATCAACATTTGGAGGAAAAGCTAAAGAGAGATTTAAATATTATTCCATTAGGACAGGATTGCCTGGTAACTTACAGGACACCCATTTAAATTTGAACTTCAGATAAGCCACTAAGTATTTAAGATGTTCTTGTACTAAAAAGTTATTTGTTTTTTACATGAAATTGAAATTTAAGTAGAAATCCTCTATTTTTATTTGCTAAATCTGACAATCCTATGTTAGGAATACTTTAGACAGATGAGGGTAGGATACTTTTTCTGGAAACATCAAGCAACCTATTTTTGTTAGTCCATCAATCAAAGCCAAGGAGCCAATAGGATAGATTAATATGGCTAAATGTCTTAGGCTATTGGCAAAAAGTGTGGGTGTAGTATTTTTCAAGACAAAATAAAAGAAAGGAAGTTAGCTTTTAGATGGATGAAATGTTCTTTCTTAGCTATGATTTTATTAAAAATATACTGAGATGAGAAAATCAATCCTTTCTCAGATGAGAAGAAATCCAAACATAAGCACAATAAAACACGTGAAAGAAATAAAATACATGCTATAGAATTAAACCATATTCAAATATATACTGATAGAGCAAATATGAGAGGATAATAATACATGAAGGTAAACTAGGCCCTCTTCCATGAAAAATCATAGGCTCAAATTATCTATGGAGGGGTTAGGCCACTCATAATGACAAAAGATGAAGACACTAATAAGAGTTATATAACCTTTTTAGTAGTTATATTAAGCTTCTAAGTGAGGTTAAAAAGTAACAGAAATATTACCAACCATGTGATAAAAACATGAAAAAATTACCACAATTGACAGAACTCCAGGATCATAAGAGACTTGTTAGATTCTAAAGGAAGTTGCTAATGAATAAGGAAAGCTGTTAAACAGACATTGAAAATCTCCAAAGAACTAGGGCATGCATTAAAGAAATCTTCAGGAAAATGCAATATAGAAAAATTAAGAAAAAAATGTTTAACTATGGTGCGGTATAAAATTCCAGTGGTGTGAATTTCAGAATCAAGAATAGACCTAAGAAGGAAGAGGAGGAGGACCTTTCTACCAAAGATCATTACCTGTCAAAACCATGAAGTCTCTTAATAACATAAGCTACTGACTAGATTTTAAATTTGCATTGAAAAATGCCATGATTATTAAAAATTTTTACATAAAAAAAGGCCTGGGTTATTTGAATGTGTTCTCTAACTGGTTGTGTGCTTGGAATTAAAGCCCTATCACTGGCATTCCAACTCTGCTGTGATCCTATTTTGGGGGCTAGTTCCTGGCAGTGATGCTATGAGCATATTTGCCAAATTGTCTAAAGACCACTTTTCTTGTTATGCAAATATCAGTTTAGTCATCCAACTTGTGTATACAGTTCTGGAACAAGAAGCATCTGAAAAAAAAGAACATATTATTCTTATGACAGTTTAGCTAAAAGTAGGGGATGGGGATATTCTTTGGAGGAAAAGAATTCTATCAAGGACCTAATATATTTAGTTTTTTTGTTAAAAACAAATTTCCAATGGTTTCAAGCCAGAAATTAATTAAAAATGGAAGTTAACATGAAAAATTAACAAAACTTTATCATTTCTATTTGTTTTTGTTAACTGTGTTTAATAAGTGTTCAGAAAAAACATGGTATTATATTAATGTCTCCTAAATATTTGAAAATCTATAATTTAGCACTTCTTACATTTCTTTATTATTATTATTATACTTTAAGTTCTAGGGTACATGTGCACAATGTGCAGGTTTGTTACATATGTATACATGTGCCATGTTGGTGTGCTGTACCCATTAAATCGTCATTTACATTAAGTATTTCTCCTAAAGCTATCCCTCCCCCCATTCCCCAACCCCATGACAGGCTCTGGTGTGTGATGTTCCCCACCCAGTGTTCAAGTGTTCTCATTGTTCAATTCTCACCTGTGAGTGAGAACATGTGGTGTTTGGTTTTCTGTCTTTGTGACAGTTTGCTCAGAATGATGGTTTCCAGCTTCATCCATGTCCCTACAAAGGACATGAACTAATCCTTTTTACGGCTGCATAGTATTCCATGGTGTATATGTGCCACATTTTGTTAATCCAGTCTATCATTGATGGACACTTGGGTTGGTTCCAAGTCTTTGCTATTGTGAACAGTGCCACAATAAACATATGTGTGCATGTGTCTTTATAGTAGCATGATTTATAATCCTTTGGGTACATACCCAGTAATGGAATTGCTGGGTCAAATGGTATTTCTAGTTAGAGATCCTTGAGGAATCACCACACTGTCTTCCACAATGGTTGAACTAGTTTACAGTCCCACCAACAGTGTAAAAGTGTTCCTATTTCTCCACATCCTCTCCAGCACCTGTTGTTTCCTGACTTTTTAATGATTGCCATTCTAACTGGTGTGAGATGGTATCTCATTGTGGTTTTGATTTGCATTTCTCTGATGACCAGTGATGATGAGCATTTTTTCATGTGTCTGTTGGCTGAATAAATGTCTTCTTTTGAAAAGTGTCTGTTCATATCCTTTGCCCACTTTTTGATGGGGTCGTTTGCTTTTTTCTTGTAAATTTGTTTAAGTTCCTTGTAGATTCTGGAAATTAGCCCTTTGTCAGATGTGTAGATTGCAAAAATTTTCTCCCGTTCTGTAGATTGCCTGTTCACTCTGATGGCAGTTTCTTTTGCTGGGCAGAAGCTCTTTAGTTTAATTAGATCCCATTCATCTATCTTGGCTTTTGATGCCGTTGCTTTTGGTGTTTTAGTCATGAAGTCCTTGCCCATGCCTATGTCCTGAATGGTATTGCCCAGGTTTTCTTCTATGGTTTTTATGGTTTTAGGTCTAACATGTAAGTCTTTAATCCATGTTGAATTAGTTTTTGTATAAGGTGTAAGGAAGGGATCCAGTTTCAGCTTTCTACATATGGCTAGCCAGTTTTCCCAGCAACATTTATTAAATAGGAAATCCTTTCCCCATTTCTTGTATTTGTCAGGTTTGTCAAAGATCAGATGGTTGTAGATGTGTGATGTTATTTCTGAGGCCTCTGTTCTGTTCCATTGTTCTATGTATCTGTTTTGGTACCAGTACCATGCTGTTTTGGTTACTGTAGCCTTATAGTATAGTTTGAAGTCAGGTAGCGTGATGCCTCCAGCTTTGTTGTTTTTGCTTAGGATTGTCTTGGCAATACAGGCTCTTTTTTGGTTCCATATGAACTTTAAAGTAGTTTTTTCCAATTCTGTGAAGAAAGTCATTGGTAGCTTGATGGGGATGGCACTGAATCTATAAATTACCTTGGGGAGTATGGCCATTTTCACAATATTGATTCTTCCTATTCGTGAGCATGGAATGTTCTTCCATTTGTTTGTGTCCTCTTTTATTTCGTTGAGCAGTGGTTTATAGTTCTCTCTGAAGAGGTCCTTCACATCCCTTGTGAATTGGATTCTTAGGTATTTTATTCTCTTCATAGCAGTTGTGAATGGGAGTTCCCTCATGATTTGGCTCTCTGTTTGTTATTGGTGTATAGGAGTGCTTGTGATTTTTGCACATTGATTTTGTATCCTGAGACTTTGCTGAAGTTACTTATCAGCTTAAGGAGATTTTGGGCTGAGATGATGGGGTTTTCTAAATATAAATCATGTCATATGCAAACAGGGACAATTTGAATTCCTCTTTTCCTAATTGAATACCCTTTATTTCTTTCTCTTGCCTGATTGCCCTGGCCAGAACTTCCAACACTATGTTGAATAGGAGTGGTGAGAGAAGGCATCCCTGTCTTGTGCCAGTTTTCAAAGGGAATGCCTACAGTTTTTGCCCAGTCAGTAAGATATTGGCTGTGGGTTTGTCATAAATAGCTCTTATTATTTTGAGATAGGTCCCATCAATACCGAATTTATTAAGAGTTTTTAGCATGAAGGGCTGTTGAATTTTGTCAAAGGCCTTTTCTGAATCTATTGAGATAATCGTGTGGTTTTTGTCTTTGGTTCTGTTTATGTGATGGATTACATTTATTGATTTGCATATGTTAAACCAGCCTTGCATCCCAGGGATGAAGCCAACTCGATCTTGGTGGATAAGCTTTTTGATGTGCTGCTGTATTTGGTTTGCCAGTATTTTATTGAGGATTTTTGCATCGATGTTCATCAGGGATATTGGTCTAAAATTCTCTTTTTTTTTATTGTGTTTCTGCCAGGCTTTGGTATCAGGATGATACTGGCCTCATAAAATGAGTTAGGGAGGATTCCTTCTTTTCCTATTGATTGGAATAGTTTCAGAAGGAATGGTACCAGCTCCTCTTTGTACCTCTGGTAGAATTCAGCTGTGAATCCTGGACTTTTTTTGGTTGGTAAGCTATTAATTATTGCCTCAATTTTAGAGCCTGTTATTGGTCTATTCAGACATTCAACTTCTTCCTGGTTTAGTCTTGGGAGGGTGTATGTGTCCAGGAATTTATCCATTTCTTCTAGATTTTCTAATTTATTTGCAGAGAGGTGTTTATAGTATTCTCTGATGGTAGTTTGTATTTCTGTGGGATCGGTGGTGATATCCCCTTTATCATTTTTTATTGCGTCTATTTGATTCTTCTCTCTTTTCTTCTTTATTGGTCTTGCTAGTGGTCTATCTACTTTGTTGATCTTTCAAAAAAACCAGCGCTTGGATTCATTGATTTTTTGAGGGGTTTTTTGTGTCTTTATCTCCTTCAGTTCTGCTCTGATCTTAGCTATTTCCTGCCTTCTGCTAGCTTTTGAATGTGTTTGCTCTTGCTTCTCTAGTTCTTTTAATTGTGATGTTAGGGTGTCAATTTTAGATCTGTCCTGCTTTCTCTTGTGGGCATTTAGTGCTATAAATTTCCCTCTACGCACTGCTTTAAGTGTGTCCCAGAAATTCTGGTATGTTGTGTCTTTGTTCTCATTGGTTTCAAAGAACATCTTTATTTCTGCCTTCATTTTGTTATTTTTCCAGTAGTCATTCAGGAGCAGGTTGTTTAGTTTCCATGTAGTTGTGCAGTTTTGAGTGAGTTTCTTAATCTTGAGTTCTAATTTGATTGCATTGTGGTCTTAGAGATAGTTTGTTGTAATTTCTGTTCTTTTACATTTGCTGAGGAGTAGTAGCACTTCTTACATTTCTAATGTAAAAACTGTTTAAACACTATGGCATGCTAGTTTAAAAATTACGTATTGAGTGGTCCAAACAGACCATAAAGTTTTCAAAAAGCAATATTCATATCACACACATTGAAGTTAGTTTCAATTGGATATTATATGATACTGCTTGTTTAGACAAGATAGTGTTTTCTTTTAATATTGCAATGTGTGATATACTAAAGAACTTTTATGTTGAAGCCTTAAAAAGACAGAAATAAGAGAAACCCAAACACATTCTGACTGGCTTTAAAAGTAAGAATAAATAGTACTTCCAAAACATCGTAAAATGGATATAACAGCAAAAAAAAAAAATGGGGAGAAATGTTATTGTTGTTTTTTCTTTGTTTCCTCAGGGGGGAAAAATATGGTACTTTTATCATGGTTGGGACATAACTTCTAAAGAAAAACAAGTTTAGAGCTTTCTATGTATTTTCTATTTCTTTCTTTAGACAATATTACCACGTGGTCTGGTCTAATGTAGCTGTGACACATACACACACACACACACACACAGACATATCACCGACCAGGATATGCTGTGCTATTGCTTTTACTTCTTAGTGTGAATACTAAAAGGCCTAGGGTCACCTTCAGCTCTTTGGACACTGGCTTCCTGTGTGTCCTGCTGTGCATATAGGGCCTGCTACTGTGGTGTTTCCTCTGAGTCCCACATGCTGTGCCATTTTTGTACGAATTGAGCCAGATATTTTCTACATGGCATCATGGTCTGCCACTGGAATTTTACACTGAAAAGTTAGCAATAAGCATTTTACTACTCATTGTTATTTATATGTTGCTATGTAATAAACCACCCCAAAGCTTAATGACTTCAAATCACAGCCATTTTATTGGGTACGATGTCATGAGACAGCAATATGGGCAGGATGAAGAAGAGATAACTCGTCCATGATTGAATGGTTTTGGCTGGGACAGCTCACCTGGAGCTAGTGGAACCCATTGGCCTCATTCACACGTGTGGCATGGGTACTTGCTGTTGTCTGGAACACCATGGGTCTCTTCCATGTAGATTGTGTTTCTACCTGCGGCCTGTCACCCTCCCGTCTCTCCGTGTGGTTACCCTCCTTAATAGGAGATCCTGGAATTCTTTATGTGGAGCTGAATTCCGAAAGGGAAAGTAGAAACTGAATACCTGAGCTCAAAAGTCCTAGAACATAACTTCCGTGACATTTCATTGATCAAAGCAAGCCACATGGGCAACCCAGATTCAGGAGTTAAAGAAATAGACTTCACCTCTTGACAGGAGGGTGGCAAACACCTTAGAAAAGGGGCATAGGCATGAGCATTGGTGGGCAGTTTTCATCACTCTAGCACTCTGCTTTCATGGGTCATTTGCAGTGGCCTTTGAAATGAATAGCTGCACCCAATATCATTTTGCTTTGAATAAGGCAGGAGCATGGATTTTAAGTTTTTCTCTAAATTATTTCCTGAAGGAAAAAAAATATGTATCTGCTCGTTTGTGGTTATAATGTTAAATTAGTTTTAAAAGTTTAAAATTTTGATATAATCTCCTTCTCCTCAAGTAGCTTAGCTGGTTAATTCAGAAGGACTAAATGCATCTATTTCTATTATATTTTTCTCCCCGTGTGAAATAGACAAGTCACCTATACTAATTTTCTATGATAAGATGTGGAGACTAGGTTATGTATCCTTGCAGATAAGCACACTCAGAACTGAAAGAACAAAGTTGAAAGTATGTTGTTTCATTAGGGAACAATGTGAAATAATTAATAACCCACATTAGTTCTGTGTGTTAGAATGTTTTTGTGGGGGTAGGAAAAATATTTATTTTGCAGTTAAATTATACAATTCTACTTCCTAATGCTTCCGCTACAGTAACTTCTTCTTGTCTTATCACCTCAAATCCATGTTTTTGGTGATGTGCCATTATCTTGCTTTAAGCTCTTCAATTTCTTCCAGTGGCTGGTAGAAAAAAGTGAAAATTCCTTCGTGTGACATTTATGAGCCTTGCCTGGTTCCAGCTATCATTCATCATGCCCCACCTCATGGCCTGTGCCCCAGCCAATCAAACTGCCTGTAATTTTCTCAGATTACAGTCTGGGTGAGGCCTGCAAGGCTGCTAGTTCAGCGCTCTCTGTTGTATCTTCCTTTGGTCTCTGATTTCTTTTACTCTCCCACCTCCCAGAAAACTTGGTCCAAGAACAGTGCTTCTCTCTTTAACCTTCGCTCAATACTGTATCTGATGTGAATCTTCTTTATAATCGCCTCCTCTTACATAGAAGTGACTGTTTTATCCCATGTGTGCTAATTTCTAGACCTTCATATGTTTTATCTTTGAAGCTATAGTATACTCCTGCATTTAATTACTTACCTATCTTTTTCTATGGCTGGACTACATGTAAATATATCTTTTTTTTTTTTTTTCTAAATCCTCTCTTCCTAGGACAATGTCTGGCACATATTTGGTATTTAAGAAATAAGGCTTGCTGAATTAATGCGCATATGCCAAAATCCCTTTTGATACTGAGTCTTCCTAGTAACAAATATTCTAGACATGTTCTAAGACAGATGCATAAGTATTATCTCAGCATGGATTATCCCAGTATGATTCAGAACAGAACTCATGTATGATTCTCTGTTTGTTTGTTTGTTTTTTTAATTAAGACTGGAAGCATGATTAGAAGGTGACTGTGATCAGTCTGAGGATGCGCTAGGCTAGATTTTCTCCAGGGTAGATTTTCTCCTCTATGCCATAAAATAACCAGCAGACTGTTTAAGAGCCACCAGCAACTCCAATTTTTCTTTCAGAAGTCTGTTAAGACATAATGTTTGATGTGCTTGCTTTCCAAGGCATACATTAGTTGAGTGCAATTATATAAAGGAATGTTGAATCCACAAGCCATATTGCACCGAGTATGTTTTGCAGAAATGTACCTTGATATGCCACATAATTCCCATACACATTTGGGGGCCTGCACTCATTATCGATTGAAAACAATCTCATCAAAAAGTGACAGTCTTGATTGCGATTTTCATCTGATCTTACAAGTTATTTCCAAGGGCCACGGTGTTGGCACATTTTTAACTCCTGTGTCTCCTTCACCCTCTAAAACAGACTTAGCTCCACCTTTTCATGGAAAAACGCAAGACCCTCAAATCATTGTATTGTCCTAACAGCTTTCGAAGAATTACTTCCTTCAAAGTTATTTTCCTCTTTTTTTTAACTTACATTTCTAAAGCTAGAGTCAGGATAGTTGATTCTGGTGCTGAAAAAAAATCAATTAATAACCATTTTTATAAACTTCTACACATTTCTTTGGTGTAGGGATGATGTCGTGGAATATTGTGCATTTGGAGGTTAGAAAGAAATTGGCTCACTTTTTTTTTGAGACCTGGTCTCACTCTGTCGCCCAGGCTGGAGTGCAGTGGAGTGATCTCAGCTCACTGCAACCGCCGCCTCCCGGGTTCAAGTGATTCTCCTGCCTCAACCTCCCAAGTAGCTGGGATTACAGGCACCTGCCACCACGCCCAGTTAATTTTTGTATTTTTAGTAGAGATGGGGTTTCACCATGTTGGTCAGGCTGGTCTCGAACTCCTGACCTCAGGTGATCTGCCTGCCTTGGCCTCCCAAAGTGCTGGGATTACAGGCGTGAGCCAATGCGCCAGGCTGGTTCACATTTTAAATATGCTACTTTTTAACCAAATGATTTGGGGCAAGTTTCTCCCTTTTTTCTTTTTTTTGAAACAGAGTTTCACTCTTGTTGCCCAGGCTGGAGCTCAATGGCGTGATCTCGGCTCACCGCAACCTCTGCCTCCCAGGCTCAAGTGATTCTCCTGCCTCAGCCTCCCTAGTAGCTGGGATTACAGGCATGCACCACCGTACCCAGCTAATTTTGTATTTTTAGTAGAGACGGGATTTCTCCATGTTGGTGAGGCTGGTCTCGAACTCCCGACCTCAGGTGATCTGCCCACCTCGGCCTCCCAAAGTGCTGGGATTACAGGCATGAGCCACTGTGCCCGGCCATTTCTCCACTTTTTCACATGTGTTTTCTCATCTATAAAATATTATTTATCCCTGTAGATCTCTATTCACCTCGAAAATTAAGATAAACCTTTCCATTTACTTCCCAGTATATAATTGGACATTTTACCATAGCGAACTTACCCATGCTTGTTTTTCAGTGTGTTCATTTATATTACTTTGGAAAAGCAATTATCTTGCCATCCTCTTTGTTGTCTTCTGATTTCGACTCCCTATTTGTCAGTGAGATTTTCTTCTGCCCTTAAGTACTATATGCTCATCCATCTCCATTGTATATCAATAGGCCTTTGAAAATAATCCTAGCTGTAAATCCTATTAAATAATTCAGAATTATTTACTCATCTGCATCATCCTGATACATATTCCTATGTTGCCCATACTGTATTCAGTGGTAGAAACACATGCTAAATTAAAAATGCATGTACATTTTCTTTTTTCTTTTTTTTTTTTTTTTAGACAGAGTATCACTCTGTTTCCCAGGCTGGAGTGCAGTGGCGCGATCTCGGCTCACTGCAACCTCCGCCTCCTGGCTTCAAGCGATTCTGCTGCCTCAGCCTCCCAAGCAGCTGGGATTACAGGTGACCACCACCATGCCTGGCTAATTTTTGTATTTTTACTAGAGACGGGGTTTCACTTGTTGGCTGGGCTGGTCTCGAACTCCTGACCTCGTGATCTGCCCTCCTCGGACTCCCAAAGTGCTGGGATTCGCATGTTCATTTTCCAATCACTATTTATGCATTCTTCAATCATACTGCTTTACTCAGTACATACATACATAAAATGTTTTCTGTGTATCAAGCCTTATTCTAGGCACTGGGGATTGACTAAAAACAACAACAAAAAAATAGGATAATCTGTTCCCCTGCCCCCTTGAAACTCACAGTCAAACAGGAGAAAAATATATGAAAGAAAAGAATAAAGTAAATAATTTTGTCATTTGAATAAACACAAAGATAGAGTGATATTATAGAACAAAATCCTTAACTACCCTTGGACAATGAATATGAGTTTTTAAAGAAGTGCCATTTAAGCTGATACTTTAAAAACAAAGAAAGATTCGCTGAATGACAGGGGTCAAGGAGGAAGTATGAATAAGTAAAATTAACCTAGAGAGGAACTTAAGGAAGAAATATAGATCAGAATATGCAGAGCTTTGAAAGAGTCATTTTAAGAATGTTCTTACCTTATCTGAAGGGTACTGGGAAGATACCGGAAAGTTTCAGCAGAAGGGTAACTTGACCTCATTTGTATTTTTAGAGAAATCATTCTAGTTTCTGTTTGTGGAGCAAGAAAAAAGAAAGATTGTTTGGGAAAGAACAGGAAGTAGGGGAAGATCATGAGTAGAATTCTACAAGTAGGTTTTGCAAATATATGTCTAGAGCTAGAAGAAATATCTGGTACAGATATAAATTTGGGTTACTTCAGTCTATCATTATTAAAGGAAAGAATAGGAGTAGGTGAGATTGCATTGAGTGTATATTGCAAGAAGAGTGGGGAAAAGAAATTATGAGGAACTTCAACACTTTAAAATTAAGTAGGAAAGTAGGATCTGGTAATGAACAATCTAGAAGCAAGAATTATAGAGGTGTAAGGAACATCTTAGAATGAGATTACATTGTATGATGGGTGCTGTGATTACTGCCCTCTTAAGGGTGGCCTCAACTACCTGCAACCCATGACTGATCAATATAGGGTTAGGAAGGCACAGTCTACCCGTTCCAACTAGAACTTGGCCTTTATACAACTCTGAAGTGTTATTTTAACACCAGTGTCCCCATGGGCTGAAGCTGCATCCGGCCCACTTTCTCTCCTTGTCCTACCATGCTTCTCTCTACTTTCCTAGCTATTGATCCCAAGAGAATTCCATAAAAGACATCCTTCTTGTTAGTAGCCATCTGACATTCTCCTTCCCTGGGAACCCAACTGGTAGCACATGGAAAACTGCGTGTGTGTGTGTGTGTGTGTGTGTATGTATGTGTGTGTGTGTGTGTGTTTAAAGAGTGTGCTAGATTGTGTCTAGTAATCTTACACTGTCAATAAATAATGTCTGCAATAGGAACAAAGTAGTGATTAGCTCTTTTGTTTCAGTAGTGAATGCAGCTGAATTGGTCAAGTCATGCAAGCAGCAATGGAATTGGACTGTGTAGAGGAATAAGAGAGGGAGACTTAGGATTGGTAATGTTGACAATCTTACTGAAGAGTTTAGAAGGAAACACAAAATCAGGAAAATGGTAGCACATGTAAAATTTGTTTTAGGTAGAAGAAACTGCGTAATTGACTTTGAAATGTTCCTCCACAGGTGGGGGAAGTGGCCATAGTAAAGACTGGCATTAGGTTGACTAGAGAAGGATGCGGTACAGTTTCCTGTCTTGGCTTTTGTTTGTTTCAGGGAAGAAAGAGACAAAGAGTAAGGATAGAAGAGGGAAATACAGAGTTGTGTTTGTGGTAAAAGAGTAAAATAGTCATTTTGAAGGGTGATGGGTTGAATTGAGAAAATAAACATGGTCTATTTTTTTTAGGCAGCATCAGGAGTTCATTTGACAGTAAGGACAATGAATTTATACTGGCACAAATGTAGGCAATCACATATTCTACTTGTTTTCTTGTTTAATATAAATGGCCATGCATTTTGGGTTGGTTGGTAAATGGTGTTTGTGATGAAAACATCTGTTTCCTTTTTTTCTACTCTCTTAAGAAAAAAACCATTTAAAGAAAATTTAAATTACCTTGCATTTGAAAAGAACACATGAATAAGCTTACATAAACATTTTCTCTGTTGGGGAATACTTCCTAATGAATCACATCCTTTGTCTACAGGGTAAAAGGAAAGAACATTATCTGACTAATAAGGAAGAAGGAGTTCTTTGTGAATCTATAATAATAAGCATAGATATTTGTCAGTCTAAACTTACCTTGTTGAGCCTCTATAATTAGTATATGACTGATGAAGAGAAGAAATATTTGTATATGATGTAATGAAAGGCTTTGTAAAGTTTATTTGCATAGGGGATGTAGGTGGAAGCCTGGCTCAAATTAATCAGTATTATCTTCAGAACTGATTGCATTCCACTTCGGAGAATAAATGACATGACATCCTGTGGTTCCTTTGAATTCTGTACATTACATGAAAGGGGCCATATTATTGCTGTGTTAAATAATATCTGACTTGTAATTAAAAATGAATGTAGGTTTTTAATGACTTCTTTTGTCTTCTTTTTTGTGCAGAGAAAACTTCTGAAGCTCATTTTTAACATTTGCTATTCAATTTATAGATTTATAAGTGTAGTTCATCTCTAGGTCTCTTTCATTACTGAAATTATTTTTAAAATGGGAAATTTTAGCAATTATTTTAAGGGCTTGTGAATTTTTTAAATCTTGTTTATAAATGTAAAACATTTTTAAATATTTTTAAATTTATTTATAAACCTTTATAACTTATTTTTTGAGTGCTTCAAATTTAGGATGGTAAATCTTTTCTGCATATCTAAGTAACTTTTATAAATCTAATTAACAAAAATAGTGGCCCTAAAATGCATCTAGTTGTTCCAAAATAATATATAAATACTAAAATATCAATTTAAAATACCATGTCAAAATCAAGCAAATAATTACATATTTTAAGTTTGAAATTATGAAACCATCATTCCAATTCACTAGGAATTCCAAATGTAATATATTTTATTTCACTTAAGTTCTTTAGTGTCTGCATCTACAAACAAAATTTCCCTGATAATTTTATTTTTGTAAGAACAATCAATATGGTGAATCCAAAAGCTTTGCCAAATGTTTCAATACTGTTTATATTAGTAAGAAATTTAAAATCAAATATCTGTTTCAAGTACTCAACTGCACATTTGATATTGTACCTTTAAAACTCACTCTCTGCTGGGCATGGGGGCTCATGCCTGTAATCCCAGCACTTTGGGAGGCCAAGGAGGGTGGATCACCTGAGGTCAGGAGTTCAAGTCCAGCCTGGCCAACATGGAGAAACCTTGTCTCTACTAAAAATACAAAAATTAGCCAGGTGTGGTGGGGTGCATCTGTAGTGCCAGAGTTATTCAGGAGGCTGAGGCAGGAGAATTGCTTGAACTGGGAGGGGGAGGTTGCAGTGAGCTGAGATCCCACCACTGCTCTTCAGCCTGGGTGACAGAGTGAGACTCTATCTCAAAAAACAAAATGAAACTTTCTCTCATAAGTGAAGTTCTCTTAAATATTACAAGTATGTAGATTTCCAACACAGATTGGTTCCTTTCCAATGCCAAACAATCTTTACTAGGATTTCAAATTTTTAAAATATTTCTATGCTTAATCGGAAATCCTGCTGAGGCTAAGGAGATGTGTACACATTATGAAAGCAATGACTATCTGGTAACTGAAGATACTCACAATACCAAATACTTAATTCTAAATCTTACTGCTGAGGAAGATAATGTCATCCTACAGGACTATGATTTATTATGACCAGAAATCTTTGCCAGGATTTTGACTGATCTTTTTAGATTGTATTTTTTCTGAGCTACTAATAAAAACTTATGTAGAACTTTTGTGTCGGAGACCCTCAGACCTCAAGGAGGAAGTTACACAACTCATTCCCTGGAGTTACTTGGAACAGATTTTCTAATTCTCCTGTCTAATCACAGAACTCTGCCCTCCCACCTACATTGGTCCTTTGTCTGTATGTCAAATGCATTATTTTAGCTCTTAAGAAACATATGTGTATTTTCCAACTAAATCTTAAAATTTCATTGGAATATCAATGAATGTCTTTTCCATCTAACTTTAAAGAACTTTGAACTTTATAGAATTTTTTGTTTTTTCATGTTCTTAATACCACAAAACACTTACAGGTATTAATATCATAAGTATTGGCATTTGGATATCTCTTATAGCTTTATCTGACTTGGGTTTGAAAATTATAAGGTCATTCTATTGGCATTTATTTAATTATTGCTTATGACATTTTATGTTGATTGATCCCTACATTTTTGGCTTTTGGAAATAAAGACGGCTATGATTTTGTCTGTAATGGCGCAAACGCATTGCCATTCATTGACATATGAATGTACTTCAAGTTTAAAAGATGTCCTGTTTCTCTTGATCATCGGAAATCTCAGAACTGACAGCACCAGGCATGTGTGTTTGTGTGTGTGTGACAGAGAGTGAGAGAGAGAGGGAGAGCGAGAGCAAGAGAGAGAGAGAGAGGTTAAAAAAAAAAAAAAACACCCCAGAACATAGTAAAGTGACAGAAACAAATTAAAGATGAATTAAATTTCATCCAAACTTTAAATATGGTCATTCTGCATCTTTGAGAAAGTTGGGTAGCTTATTCTAGGAAGATCATATTGTAGAAAGGATCTTTCCTATTAATGTACTAATACCTGATTAGTACATTAACATAATTTTGAAGAAATGAAATGAATAAAGTACTTGATTTTAATGCATGATATGCAGGTGTATATAAGAACTTTGCTAATAGTTGTCTTTTTGAAACAGTAGTAGATGTTTCCAGGTGTGCACAGGTATGTGCGAATATCAGAGATTAAAATAGAAACTGAACCAACAAGCTGTGCTATCATTGAAAATGTATTTGTTTAAAGACTATGTGACACTTAGGAGGCATTTTAATGCAGTATTTTATGTATGCGATTATTTACATAGGTTTAAGTGTTTTTTATTTGACTTCCATAAAATTTAGATTTGTTGCAATCTTATTTTTACCCTTGAGGGAAGAGAGACCCTCTCATATTGTTTTATATTGTTTTATACTCAGTACCTGTTTTAAGAAAAAAACAAGGAAGTGAAATCAAAGACAGGCAGCCCGGTGCCAGGCCCAAAACCAGACCCAAAACCAGGCCTGGGCCTGTCTGGCCTAAACCTAGTAGTTAAAAATCAACTCATGACTTAGAACCCGATGTTACCCATAGATTTCAGGCATTGTATGGAAGAACATTGTGAAACTCCCTGCTCTGTTCTGTTTCACTCTGACCACCGGTGCATGCAGCCCCTGTCACATACCCCTTGCTTGCTCAAATCAATCACGACCCTTTCTTGTGAAATCTTCAGTGTTGTGAGCCCTTAAAAGGGACAGAAATTGTGCACTCAGGGAGCTCGGATTTTAAGGCAGTAACTTGCTGATGCTCCCCGCTGAATAAAGCCCTTCCTTCTACAACTCGGTGTCTGAGGGGTTTTGTCTGTGGCTCGTCCTGCTACACCCTTAATAGTTTCTGAGTCTTGGAAAGGAAAGGGAGGGAATATCCAAATATCTTCAACGGGGTTCTTGGACTTCTAATAAACAGTTAAAATCTTACACACAAGGTATTTAAAGCATACAGATGATTCTACATTTGTCCTAACAGATCATAGTGCCATGAATATTTGTCCATTAACGAACATCCCTTACGTGTAAGAACATTTTGCCACTGTGCTTTTAGTCATCTCCTCTTTTCACATACTGTGCCCTGGAATAGTCTCTCCCTTTTCGTTTGTAAGGGGTCTTCTTGAGCCTAAAGCTTTTATTGGGCCTCACTTTTTGCTGCTTTGTTCCTTCACCAGTTCTGGGCCTTTTTGCTGAGTTGACTACAGGTTGAAAAAGGGAGAAAGCACAACCCCAAAGCTTCTGACCTATGAGTAACAAGATTACTGAATTTCCCTTAGTCCTGCTGAGGGCTGATCCTCTACTCTGTAAAGACCATGGCTGGAGAAGACCTAACATTGACTCCAGCTCACTTGGATTTTTCAGTCTTTGATGATGGAAGCCTGAAATGCAGAGCTTACACCCTAACCAATTCTTCATCGTCCAAAAAAAAAAAAAAAAAAAAAAAAAACCACACCAAAAAACCAAACCAAAACAAACCAAAACAAAAAAACACTGCCACCTCTTTATGACCAACCATAGTTTTGGTTTAAGCCTTCCAGAAGCACTTATCTACTTAATCCACAATTATATTTTAGTATCATGCTAAGCATGGAGTTAATATCAAGGAGCAAATGGCCTCTGGCCTTTTGGAATCCACATTATCTTGGAACTATGTGAAGATTGTCTTCGGATCACTTTGCCCTGCTGTGCTTCCCCTCCACCCCATGCATTTTGTCTTTTCTACCTCCTTCCCTATTGTTTTGTAAAGTTACATCACGATGTTGAGTGGTGGTGTTTTACACCCCAATGTCCCATAAACAAATACTTTTAATACCCTTTTGTTGGTGCTAATTTGTAAGTGACCATTGTATACACCACAGTAAGTACCTGTAAAGTTGGGAGACAAAGAAAAGAGAATTGTATTGTTCTCATGCTGAGACAGGGCAGCATTAAACTCCTCTGTAACCTCTTTTCTGTATTTCTGTTTTAACAAGGGTAGATACAGAAAATAGCAGCAAAGGAAGATGTGGGGTCAGAGAACAAGGACCAAAGCTGGAACCAAGTTATCACGAAGTGGGTGAATGTAAGCATTCTTCCCTCAAACATCTGTGTTCTTCAGCTTGTCCCACTTCACCCTTTCCAAAGAAGCACAGGTTTTTAAATAGAAGAGAAGCAATGTTGAATAAAGAGTATATCAGAACTCTCCATAATTCATATAACCTCCAGACAAGTTTTCAGATTTATTGGTCAGAAAACACATGGTGACATTCACTACTTTTTTTGTTATTATTGTAAAGATTTCTGTGAGAATGTGGGACTCAGTCAAACTTTGTAGGGAGAAATAAGTCACAGTCACAGAGATTCATTCATTCATTCATTCATTCATTCATTCATTCATTCAACACATAGCTTTTGTTTCTATTATGCCCCACTGTCCTAGGCTCTGGGGATTAAACAGTGACCAAAAATGACAGGTGTTTAGCCTCATGGAGCTTAAAGCATATTGAAGGTGACAGAAAAAACTCATAGGAATGTGCAATGTGCATAAATAAAATACTCTGGGATAAGTGCCATGACTAAAATACACAGAGGGCTGACATATAGTTGCATGTTGTGTAAGAGGGACTTGCGTTAGGTAAGGTGTCTAGGTTAGCTGTCTCTGAGGAAACTGCATTTCAACTGGGACCTAAAAGATTACAGTGAGGTCAGAGAGTGTCCTAGGCAGAGATAAATAGAATGTGCAAAGGCCTTTAGGTTGAAAAATTCCTAAGCTGTTTGAAAAACTGATAGGGGCCAAGTTGCAGGTGAAACGGATGTGAGAGCAAGTCAAGCTATTTCCATTTTATTACAAACCACACATAAGGTCTTTAAATGTTCCAGAATTTTGATTTCTTTTATTACCTGGGAGAGAATGTAATTTTATTTTCATCAAATCTTGTTTTTATAAACTCCTGTTACATTTTGTTTTCATCTGAGAAAGCTGACTATATAGTGCCCCCGTGTGGCACAGTGCCATGTTACATGATTAATACTGTACAATCTTTGAGGCATGATTTTAGCAAAATTCTTTTACACCTTTTCAGTTAATCTAAGTCACCTCTAGCTGCTCTCACTCAAACATAGAATCTTATTTATTTTTATTGTTGTGTTTTACTACTTTCTCACATTCCACTGTGGAATGGACATGAGCTGGGAGCACAGACTCCAGTGGCCTCAGGAGCCAGGCAGATTGAGAGCAAAAATGAGTGAGGCCAGACCAGATCTGAAACACTAAAAGACTCTGGGAGATTTGGAGACACAAGTTATAGAGAAAGACTTTCAATTTTATGTATTTACTTTATAAATAAGTAATGCCAAAATAAATAGCCTTGGGGACCATTGTATTTTTCAGTCTCTGTCCCCAGATTTCTACTTTTAGCAAATGTACATTGTTAATTTCTCAGTCAACACCATAAATGCTCTGTATCCTTTTGTACATTTTGACTATTTTAGAACTGATTATTTTGTGCATCAAGTTGTCTATTTCTGTTTCCAAGTTCAATATTTTGCCACAGGTTTATTTTGGAAAGTATTTCAGGAATCTTTGCTGCTCAAAACCAAGCACTCTGTAGCTGGTGGTGGTTTCTTTCCTCCTCTCCCTTCCTCTCTCTTCCTCTTCTTTCTTAAGGCTTGAGCCATTTTTCAGTAGAAGAGTTTTATTTTTATTTTTATTTTTTATTTATTTATTTTTGACAAATTACTGCCAGTATGCTTTATGGAATGCAGCTGTTGAACTTCATTTCCTGCTTTTCTTTGCATTAAAGTAGTCCCAAAATTTTTTCCCGAGGAAGTCTTCACTTTGACTGCCAGCACTGCTTGTATACCTTTCAAGTCAGAAATTGAGTGATCTGTTCAGGCCCATCTTTATCCAGCTCCTGCTTTTCATATGAGGATGTTTGTGCTACATGCAATTTTGTTGACTTTTGGAGTGTAAAGCTTTGTTCGTAAATGAAAACATAGAATTACAGCTTTCCCGGTCCTTGTCAGGGACTATAATCACAAATTCACTGCAGCTTGATACTTTTCAGACACATGGATAAGATAAATAATATTTATGGAAGATGGCCTGGAGGAAACGAAGCCATCCATTCTGCCATGTAATCTAAAATCTATTTCAAGATGAAGTGAGACCATCAAAAAATGCCTAACTGGCCGGGCGCGGTGGCTCATGCCTGTAATCCCAACACTTTGGGAGGCCGACGCGGGTGGATCACAAGGTCAGGAGATCGAGACCATCCCGGCTAACGCGGTGAAGCCCCGTCTCTACTAAAAATACAAAAAATTAGCCGGGCGTGGTGGCAGCGCCTGCAGTCCCAGCTACTCGGGAGGCTGAGGCAGGAGAATGGCGTGAACCCGGGAGGCGGAGCTTGCAGTGAGCCGAGATCGCGCCACTGCACTCCAGCCTGGGTGACAGAGCCAGACTCCGTCTCAAAAAATAAAATAAAAAAAGCCTGACTGGACCACATCATACTGGGCCCAACACAGTCGCTTCTTACTGAACTACTTTGGTCCTCATAAAACCTTCTCTTTATGAGGGGCCATAGGAAATATTTTCTCTTATTTCATATTGGTGTTTCTCCCAAATAACTAGAATATATCACGTATGGTCTTGTTACTGGTTACATTTCCTCCTTTGTGCATGTTAATTGGAAAACTCAAAGTCAAATTTGTGCTCTGCCCTGACTCAGTGCATGATTCGTCAAAGTATCCATTTGTTCATTGACCACATTTCTGACACCATCTTGCTTCCCTATTTTTGTATTTCCTAAAGGTTCTTTCTAAAGAGTTTAAATATTTTATATTTGCAAGCAACTTAAATGCATTTGGAACAGAAGTGATATATAAGTAACAACCATAGGATCTCTATCGATGCTGTACTTAATTATAGGTACATAATTCCTGGCTGAACAGTCTGTAACCTAAATAAGTAAGAATTAATACACTGTATAATTCCTCAAGAGCTGAAACCTCCCCCCAGATAAATTTTATAAGCCATGCTAATCCTATTTCTCAGTGTACAAAGGTTGAACTTGTGGACTAATAATGCATTAATATTCCTCATGAAAAATATAGCTAAATAGGGAGAGAGGAGATGAAAAGAACCAAAAATATTCTTTTAAGGATAATATTTGATCCTCTGCATCCGTTCATTAAAGCTAATATTCATTCTCCATTTCTCTCTGTCTGTCTTGTTCTATGAAAAGACCTAACCTGCACTCAACATGTGTGTGACATTAATAGATGTTAGTGATACAGAGATTGCCGTCAGTGGAGATTGACAGCACTGTGGAGGTGAGAACCAGTCTTGCTTACCACCCAGGATCTGGATCTCTGGTCTGCTTTGTCATGCAACACAATCCTTCTGGGATTTCTGCGTGATGACAAGCCTCAGCGATAATTATATTAAAATGCTTTTAACTTAGTGTAAACATAATTTAATAAGATGTAGATGTTCCGATAGGCTAGCCTTGAATCCAGTCTTGAGACCAGAGACAATATGCCTGCGTGCATGATGTATGTCTGGAAAGCATGTACATTCTTCAACCCCAGTTAATTTCTACTAAGAAGTGTGTTAGTCTCTGATCTAATAATCTAATCTGCAGATTACTACATTTTTATTACAATAAAGAACTCCTGGGCTTTTAAAATATCAGTAAGGTTATCTTACCTGGAATATTAAATATTATTGAAGTTACAACTTTGGAGAAATTATATTCTTAATGAATATGGTTATATTATACCTGTTTGTTATTAGAGTAGCCCTCAAAGTTGGTGATTTATCAGTGCATTGCTGCTGAATAACAATAGCTTTATTGAATGTCTGCTTGATACTGAGCATTGTATTAGAGGCTTTTCATATATTATCTCATTTAGTCATCGTAAAACATTTTATGGAATGTATTGTCAACACTTTGTGAATGAAAAGTGGAGTAAATTGTTTGCATTCCCGTAGGTGGGCAGGTTTTTTATGCTAAAAAAAAGAAAATGGTTGCATTCACATCTCTTAACCTATATGCACACTTCCTTTGCACAGTGGGGTTTGGCAAAGCTCTATCTTCTGCTAGTGATAGAGCAATTCTGATTGAAATCATACCATTTTAGATAAACAAAATTAAAATTAAACTTATATTTGTGCAACTTGAAAATTGTGAATTTTTCCTGCAGTGACAGGAAGACACACATCATGATTGACACTCAGGTTTATGTTTTAGAGTAGGAAACAGATAGTGATAAGCCAGAAAAATGAGTTTGTACATAAACTGCAAATATTTTTACTTAATATAGTAAGCAGTAAATGATTAGTCAATGTTTTTGATCATATGAATGATAATTTATACATGGGAATATTGCAGCCCTTATGCACTGCAGATGAGATTATGGATTGTCACACTAGTTAAAAAAACAATATGGAATTATACAATATATTTTAAGGCGATTCATAGGTGAATCACAACCTATGATCCATCCATTTGACCCCTAAAAAGCTAGCAAGGAAGCTTAGACACATGTGCATCAGGGCACACAAGAGCATCCATGGCAGCTGTGTCTACGGTAACGGGGCACTGAAGATTGACAGGAGAGTAAGTTAACAAATCGTAGCATGTTTACAAATAGAATACTCCACGGCATTGTGAATGAGGGAACGGAATTGTAAATGTTAACAAGATTAATCTCAGGAACACAATGTTGAATGAAAATAGCACACCACAGAAAGTTACATACTTCTTGAGTATACTTGAATAAGGTTCAAAGCATGCAACGCTAAACAACATATTAGAGGCACATATGATGGTACAACTATTAATAAAAATAAAGAAGAATTAAAAACCACACAAGATACAGGATAATGGTCATCTCTTTGGGGGAGAGAGTTCTCAGGATGAGGGACCCTAAGAGTTTTGGCAACTTCTTATTTTGAGCTGGGTAGCTAGGTGGTGTGTGTAAGGAGCCCCCTTTTCCGTTTAATCTTAGTGTCTCACATTTATCACAAGCATTTTCTGTTTTTTTGAGACAGGGTTTTACTGTGCTGCCCAGGCTGGAGTGCAGTGGTGTGACCACAGCTCACTGCTGCAGCCACGACCTCTTGGGCTCAAGCAATCCTCTCACCTCAGCCTCTGGAGTAGCTGAGACCACAGGCACATGCCACCACCCCTGGCTAATTTTAGTATATATATATATATATATATTTTTTTTTTTTTTTTTTTTTGTAGAGACAGAGTTTTGCCATATTACCTAGGCTGACCTCAAACTCCTGGACTCAAGTGATCCGTCTCCCTCAGTCTCCCAAAGTGCTGGGATTACAGGCGAGAGCCGTGGAATCTGGCCACAAGCGTTCCTTTAGTGTATATGTATTAAATATTCCAACAAGGACAAAAAATATTTAAGGCCTAAATATTTTCTAAGTAAAGTTATTTATATCACACTCTTTACAGAAGCACCTCCTCTTAATTAATTCTTTCCACATATTCTTCTCTGAATTTAATTCATAAGAGTTATTGTCCAGTGTTCTGTAACTTGTGCCACTTTTTCATCAAACAAGGAAGATATGTGTGTGTCCCTGCACCCTGGGTGGCCTGCTACAAATTTTTCACTCCTGGTACTACATAGTCCCTCTCTGGAAATCAGGTCAGTTGGTAGTCTTCTGTATTTTTGCCTCCTGCCGCAGTGTATTAAAAATGATAAAAAGATAGGCCTCTTCTTTGTGCTGTAAAATAACCCAAGCATAGCAAAGCTCTGATTAAATGAGTGCAGAATGGTTTTCTGACAGTAGTTGGTAGCTGATGCTTGCCATTCCCCAGTGTGATGGTTAATAATGAGTGTCAACTTGATTGGATTGAAAGACGCAAATAACTGTTCCTGGGTGTGTCTTTGAGGGTATTGCCAAAGGACATTAACATTTGAGTTAGTGGACTAGGAGACATAGAACCACCCTCAATCTGGGTGGGCACTGTCTAATCAGCTGCCATTGTGGCTAAGAGAAAAGCAGGCAGAAGAACTCGGAAGGACTAGACTGGCTAAGTCCTCAGGTCTCCATCTTTCTCCCGTGCTGGATGCTTCATGCCCTCAAACATCAGACTCTAAGTTCTTCAGCTTTTGGACTCTTGGACTTAACACCAGTGTTTTGCCAGGGGCTCTCAGGTCTTCAGCCACACACTGAAGGGGACACTGCTGGCTTCCCTACTTTTGCAGTTTGGGGACTCAGACTGGCTTCCTGGGTCCTCAGCTTGCAGATGGCGTATTGGGGGCTTCACCTTATGATCATGTGAGTCAATTCTCCTAATAAACTCCCTTTCATGTATACATCTATCCTATTAGTCCTGTCCCTCTAGAGAACCCTGACTAATACATCCAGCTAGGAGACACAGTTAAGGTTATAAATACCACCCACAGGCTGGTTCTCGTGGCCACTGCCTCTCTTACAGTGTTTATTTCTCCATCGAGTTCTGCAACGGCTGTGTCCTTGCTGTGCTCTCCCTCTTCTCTCTCCATACCTGATGGCCAGAGCTGTTTCCAGATCTTCTTTGCCTTTATAAATGCCTTCTTCCCTCCTACAGCTGATTCCTTCCAACAGGGCTCAGCAGGTGAAAGGGAATTCACAGAAGTCTTCTCTAATGAATATTGCTGTGATGCTTTTTGAAATTACTAACATTCCTATCATTTTCATTAAACAGTGAAGATAGAAGATTAAAGACAACTATTCCTGCAGAAGAGCTCTTCCTTGTTGCCTGCCCATATTTTAAATGTGCAAACCTTGGTGATATATTGATATCCTGTGATGAGTTTATCCTACATCATTGGTTGAGTTTTCTTCTGTTCTTTCATATTTTATCATGTGTATAATTATTTTTCTCCAGATGAATCTTACACTGTTTGTTATATTTACTTGTTCTTATATATATTGCCATATTGCCTAGGCTGAAAAAAAATTGACTTATGCACTTATTTAGTGCCTTATTTGAAAAAAACGACAGTTTCAGTTATTTGAAACTCTAAAATACATTTTCTTCGTGTCTGTTTTCTATATTTTAAAAATGAAGTACTTTGATATGTCACTATGGTCATAAGTTCCAGTCCAAAGTTCCTCTAAAGAACCACCTTATCTTACACATCTCAAAGGAATTTAGCTGATGAAATACTTTGAACTAATCAAGGAAGGGATAACATCCTACTTTTTGTAGACTTTGTTTTCACATGTATATTACACATGGACTATATTATAACAATGTTTGCAAAAATTACTTTTAAGTATATTAATCATGGTTTCTGACAGGTAAAATGCTGAAATAAGCTTCTTGTAATGGGCGTGAATTATTTTTTGTGGCTTGCAGAATATTGCAGATTAATATCACAGAAAGCATGTCTAGTTCATGCAACAATTATTTTCATGCAAATTGTGTGGGGCTTTACAAATAATACATATTTGCTACCACTCTACTTGACAGCAAAGAAAATAAAATAAAAACAATAAATGTTTGAGAAAAGATCAGGTTCACGTATACTACATATACCACATTATCTTTCATATCATTAGTTGCCTTGCACTTTAAACCTGTGACAAAACATGACAAATTTTAGAAGGGAAAATATTATTGTAAGATAAATTATATACCTCTGAAGCCTGTATTCCTATAAATTTAGTTGATAAAGCTCAGCTTATTTAGAGTTTTGAAGAGATATTTTTCTCTTCAATGAAGAAATCTCCATAATTGAATGATCTAAATTTCAATGATAAAAAGTACTATTAAAAGAAAATATTTATGGAAAAGCTTCCCTTTAACAATTTTTATGTCCAAAATATGATTTAATTTTTCATGAAATGGGAATATGAATAATCAGACATTCTTTTACACACACCTCATAAATTTAAAAGTTCTCAATCTATTTTAAAAACCTATGTGTGAACAACAATGTCATAGGACATGTTAAGAACTACAGCAGTAAGAAAAAGTGAACAGCCCTTGAAATGGTGTGTAGGAAAGGACAGGATGTCTTCCAGGAAGAGCTGCCAATTCTGTTTAAAATTAAGAGACAATGGAGTAATGTAAATACTAACTTTACCCTGGAAATTGCAACATTTATCATCTAGCATCAAATATGTATGCTAGGACTCACTCATGCACACACAGATGATTTCTGTTCTATAATAAAGTTAATTGGTGAAACAAAATAATGGGTTTAATTTCTGGCAAAGAAATGCCTGGTTAATCTAAATTAGTAATGTTTGCTTATGGAATTTCATACCCCAATTATTTCATGATGCTGTCCTTGAGATTTTTTTTTTGTTAAACTGCATGATACACATTTTGCATGAAGTATTTTTAAAACTTAGGGTATCTCCTTATTTTCTGATTAAAGTAAAATTTCTCAGTGTTTCTGTAAGGACTTTGGCAAATATTCTTGCTGCTTTATAAAACAAAATATAAGAACCAGAAATCTTTGTAATCCTTCACTATGTTGATGTCTTTTTATAGCAGATTTCTCAGGAATTATTGTTTGTGGTTCCAAATTGAAATTTTCCCTGCATAATCTAACATTCATATCTTCAAATCTGATGTGATAAACTGAACAATCTCTTTGTAAGTGATATTTTGTAAAGCTCATTCTGTATTTAGGACAAGTGAACATAAAGTCATCACCTTCAAAATAGCTCAGTGGTCATATCTCATGTTAAATTGACTAGGGAAATTCTAAACATTGAAAGTGTTCAAGTCTGGATTTTTTTCCTTAAGAAATATAACCTTTGGTTATTTATATTTTAAAGAAGCTAGTTTTATGAATTAAGCTTTAACTTTGAGATAATTTTATATTCATAGGCAGTTATAAGAAATAATACAGAGATATTTTATTGCCACTTGCCTAGCTTCCCCCAGTGGTCATGTTGGCCAGACTATAGGACAATATCATAACAAAGATGTTGACATTGATATAATCCATTGAACTTATTCAGGGTCAGTTTTGCTTTTTACGTTAAAGTACATGATTCATTTAGTTTTTGTTTTTAAAATAAAGTATCTGAGGGCCAAGTCTGTTGACTTAGTTCTTTAAATTTTACATCTAACGCAAAGTTACTGAGACATAGAGCTTTGAGAAGTGCAATGTTATTTCTAGAGTTAAATTTAAATAAAACACTTAAAGTCTGAGACTATTTTCTAGTTGTAAAAACAGTTAAAAATGCATTGTAGATGTTCTTTTTCTTTCATTTCAAAACCTAAACAATGTTCTATTCTTTAAAGGTAGTTCATTAATAAGCAAAGATTTGTTACAACTGTGGTGAGAATAACATGTATGTATATTTTAGCATTTGGATACATCCTACATGAAAACATTTCTTTATATTTAAACAATTATTTCATATAAATAGAAGTCAAAAGAAATGTTATCAGATGCTATAAAATAACTATCTTCTGTAATGTAGGATGCACTAGGAAAATAGTGAATAAAATATCATGTGCTGCTTTTGGCATTAGATTTACCATACATTAAGATAAATGGGTTCATTAACTTCTTCCACCCATCTTTTTTATTTTGGAGACTGACTTCATATTACTGTGATAAGAGGCAGATTGAAATCCTGGCTTCCTGATGATATATCTTCTTAAATGAACTCTTGTTGATGTAGATTAAGTGGGCTAGCAGATACAGTACTACTCATAAAACAGCTTTTCAGAGCTTTTTATAGTTTAATAAACATTTGCCTATTTCCCAAAAATATCATGCAAGCATACTAAATATAAAGTCAATAATCTGTACTTTATATAACTATTACCATTGTCTAACAATGTGATTTATCTGTTTGGAACTAAATTGACCAAAGACATTAACAAACATGTCTGATATGGAAATTTAAGTTTTATGTCTTTATGGAAATATGTTTTAAGTCCTGCCTTTTTGTAATTGAGAGTTATATTTTTACTTGAATATTTAAATTTTATATGTAATTACAATAATAAGGCAACCTCTATCATGAACGAATCCTGATTTGGTGAGGTGAAATGTCTTAGTTTATGTTTGTATAAATTGTATACAATATTGTGTAATTTGTATAAAATATTTTATCTGAATTTAGTTCTTTAGGTCAGATGGAAAAACCTCTCCTCCCTAGCCCTACCTCCAATAATTGGAAAATCTACTTACTGACATGTCAAGTCACTTTTCTTGAGGAATAAACTTCTAAAAGTAGTAGTCATAGAGTGAGTTTAGACAGAAATTCAGAAACGGTCAACTAAAGTTAACTATACCCCTGTTGTTCACTGTTATCATGGCTTTCATTTTTCTATCCAGCCAAAAATACTTCTAGTTTTATTCCCTCCAAGTTTACTGCCTTCTTGTTTACATGCCTATTGCATGTTGTCACTTATAAGTAGGAGCTAAACAGTAGGGACACATGGACATAAACATAGAGATAATAGACACTGGGAATTCCAACAGGATTTGGATTACATATTATATTATTCAAATTAAGTCCTATGTGCCTATCAGTGGAGGTCCATAATAATTGTTTCAGAAATAATTTTAAACATGGAAGTTTGAAATGCATTTTTGGCATATTTTACCAGGGAAAGTTGGAGAGAAGAGCAGAGATTTTCTAGCTGTCCTCTTGGTATGCTTGCTTATGCATTAGCTTGCATAAACTGACACATCCTGTGTCAGCCCATAAACCCTTAAGCTGAAGTTTGGGGAGGTGAGGAATCTCTGGACATATCCTTAAGTTGATTGATTATCAATTTGAAAGGGCAGTGTATTAGTCTGTTCTCATGCTGCTAATAAAGACATACCCGAGACTGGGTCATTTATCAAGGAAAGAGGTTTAATTGACTCACAGTTCTACATTGCTAGAGAGGCCTTGCAATCATGGCTGAAGGCGAATGAGGAGCAAAGTCACATCTTACATGGCGGCAGGGAAGAGGGCATGTGCTTTATAAAACCATCAGATCTCATGAGACTTATTCAATATCACAAGAACAGCATGGAAAAAACCGCCTCCATGATTCAATATCTCCCACGGGGTCCCTCCCACAACCTGTGGGGATTATGGGAGCTACAATTCAAGATGAGATTTGGGTGGGGACACAAAGCCAAACCATATCAGGCAGACCTTATTAATTGTCACCACCATCTTTTTATTGTATTTATCTTATTTTCTAATTTTAGATGCAGAGATTATTTGTTACATGGCTATTCCATGCGTGATGGCAGGAAATGTACTTCTAGTGCACCTGTCACCCAAATAGTGAACATTATACTCAATAGGCAGTTTATTAACCCTCATTCCCCTGTCGCCCTCCCCCCTTTTGGAGTTTTCAGTGTCTATTATCTCCATCTTTATATCCATGTGCCCCCATTATTTAGCTCCTACTTGTGAGAATGTGAAATATTTGATTTCCTGCTTCTGGGTTTGTTCACTTAGGATTATAGCCTCCAGCTCCATCCACATTGCTGCAAAGGGCATGATTTTATTATTTTTGTGACTGTATGGTATTCCAAGGTGTATGTATACTTTTTTTTTATCTAATCAACTGTTGACCACCAGCTTTTATTTTATTTATTTATTTATTTTTTGAGACGGAGTCTCGCTCTGTCGGCAGGCTGGAGTGCAGTGGCGCGATCTCGGCTCACCGCAACCTCTGCCTCCTGGGTTCAAGCGATTCTCCTGCCTCAGCCTCCCAAGTAGCTGGGACTACAGGCATGCACCACCACACCTGGCTGGACCACCAGCTTTTAAGAACAAACTTGATTGACTAATTTTACTAGTTTTTGTGACTCACGACTCATTCAACACTTCTGGGATTAAAAATACATCCTCTGGTTTTGCATCCATGGATTCAACCAAGTGCTGATTGAAAATAGTTGAGAAAATGAAAAACAAAAAAAGATAAAAATAATACAAATGAAAAACAATACAGTATAACAACTACATAGCATTCACATTGTATTAAGTATTATAACAACTCTGTAGATAATTTAAAGTATACGGGAGGATGCGCATAGACTATATACACATATGACACCATTTTATGTAAAGGACTTGAGTATCTGCAGATTCTGAGGAGGGTCCTAGAACCAGTGCCCCACAGGTACCAAGGGATGACTGTATTCAGACTGAAACAAAATATTCTTAAACAGAAATCATTAGCCCATAGAATATAGTTCTAATACTAACCCTGCTTATAAAACCTTTAAATTGCGTGATATTTTCTTTAAAAAATGGTGCGTTTTTAAAAGGCATGATCATGATGGTTGTATTTAATTTTAACTACATGTTCTAAAAGGGTCTCCAAAATAAAATTGAAGAAAAAAAACCCATTCACTTTTAAAATACTGAAGTTTTGTTGCCTGTTTATAGAGGAGTTTACAAAAAAAGAAAAAGAAAAGAAAAAGGTTCTTACATGTATCACTACACTGAAGCAATTGCCTTCAGAATACTTAGCATACACTTAAATTTGAGTCTTGTAACATTCTGAGGAACATTTATGATGGGAGGGTTGCAGATGTTTATGGTAATTTAAGGAGGTACAAATCTTAAACATACATCAGTAGATTATGAATTCACAAGTGGTGATTGGTAGCACTTTATAATCTGCAAATTGGTTTGCTAAAGTCTACCCTATAATAGAGGAAAGTGTAATGTCAGATGTAGTAAATTGCAATTTTTGGACATATGTTAATAGTATGCAGTTTCAATCCCTCATTAAAACAAAACAAAACAGCTAAAAGTTATGGTCCTTTTAAAAAAATGATTATGTTGTGTATGCCTGTGTGTGTATTTAAACTATGTTATTTACCTGAATATTCTGTCTACTTAACTTTGGATTTCCTCAAATTTTCTAAAGACCAGTTAGAAACAAAATGAGATCTTAAAATATTTTATCATGAGGATGTGGATTCCCTTCCTGTGTGTGTAATATTTTAACTTACTGTTATCTCTCACCTTCTAAGACCTTTTATTTATACGTGCTTCAATCTGATACTAGGCGTATGCGGGCTTATTCAAATATGTGCCACCCACAGCCTGCAGTGCCTGGGACATTGCTGGAGTTCCTTAAAGTCATTTAGACTCTCCATCCTTGGGTTTATACAACACGTTTGTTCCTTCAGTAATTCAATAAGTATGATCCTCAGTACCTCAGGAGGAACAAAGCTTCTTATGCTTAGAGATGTTAACATTTAGAATCTTCGGAAGGTTAGAAATACTTTAAAGGAGACAAGCATTCTCCTTAAAATGCTAGAATATTTCTATATTTACTTTATAAACATGTTCATGGTTGATAAATAAGTCAGTTTTGGGTCACAAAAAGGGGTTGTGCTGCACACTTCTGCATTCGGAATTATCCCCAACATAGTAAGCTTCCAGGGTGACATGTAGATGGAACTTTTTTAGAAATATATCAGTTTCTTGGGAAAGTGTTGTGGAGTAGAACAGATTTATAGAGCTGGAACCGTATTATACAGAGCTGTAGATCACTGCCGCCGACCAACAAGACCAGATTTTTTTTTCCTTTTTGCAAATATTCACCAAATGTCCTTTGTCTTATCTTTCCTTGTTGAAGTAACAATTCAATTGGTTTTTTTTTGTCTGAAAAATCAGACCATTCCCTGTTCTAAATCATTTTTCTTGATTTTTGTTCCTAATCTCATACCATAAACAAATGTTTTTGTTTAGCTGTGTTTGTCAGGAATGACAGATTTAACAGCAAAGCATAAATGTAGATAGGTAGTTAAAAATACAGTACAATAAATCACTGCCTTTACCGTGTGTTTGTGAAGGGTTATGATTATAAATGGAACATGAGTGAGGTAGAAAAAGAAATCCAATAATGTTATTTTAGGAGGATAGTGTTATAAGGTTCAGAATTGTACTCATTATAAAGAGCTTTTTGTTTTTTTTTTCCTTTTCTTAAACTATACTTTCAGTTCTGGGACACATGTGCAGAATGTGCAGGTTTGTTACGTAGGTATACACATGCCATGATGGTTTGCTGCACCCATCATCCTGTCACCTACATTAGGTATTGCTCCTAATACTGTCCCTCCCATAACCCCCTACCCTCCAACAGGCCCCAGTGTGTGATGTTCCCCTCCCTGTGTCCATGTGTTCTCATTGTTCAACTCCCACTTAGGAGTGAGAACATGCGGTGTTTGGTTTTCTGTAAAGAACATTTTTAAAAGGAAAACAGATACTATAGTTATTACTACTGAATGTTTTTAAAAGTTCTAATAAGTTCATATTTTAAATGTAATATTGCCTTTTGCATGAAGCACCTAGTGTATAGTTATAAAACTCATTGCGACCTAATTGATGAAATAGGTAGAGTGACGATTTCCACTTGATGAACGTTGCACATGAACTATCACACGTCGAAACAGCAGAAACTTTTTTTTTTTTTTTTTTTTTTTTTGCTATTTGGTATGCAAGATTGTTTCCTTGCCTTTTTTTTTAATTATTATTATACTTAAAGTTCTAGGATACATGTGCACAACGTGCAGGTTTGTTACATATGTATACATGTGCCATGCTGGTGTGCTGCACCCATTAACTCGTTGTTTGGCATTAGGTATATCTCCTAATGCTATCCCTCCCCCCTCCCCCCACCCCACAACAGGCCCCAGTGTGTGATGTTCCCCTTCCTGTGTCCATGTGTTCTCATTGTTCAATTCCCACCTATGAGTGAGAACATGTGGTGTTTGGTTTTTTGTCTTTGCGATAGTTTGCTGAGAATGATGGTTTCCAGCTTCACCCATGTCCCTACAAAGGACATGAACTCATCATTTTTTATGGCTGCATAGTATTCCATGGTGTATATGTGCCACATTTTCTTAATCCAGTCTATCATTGTTGGACATTTGGGTTGGTTCCAAGTCTTTGCTATTGTGAATAGTGCCGCAATAAACATACGTGTGCATGTGTCTTTATGGCAGCATGATTTATAATCCTTTGGGTATATACCCAGTAATGGGATGGCTGGGTCAAATGGTATTTCTAGTTCTAGATCCCTGAGGAATCGCCACACTGACTTCCACAATGGTTGAACTAGTTTACAGTCCCACCAACAGTGTAAAAGTGTTCCTATTTCTCCACATCCTCTCCAGCACCTGTTGTTTCCTGACTTTTGAATGATTGCCATTCTAACTGGTGTGAGATGGTATCTCATTGTGGTTTTGATTTGCATTTCTCTGATGACCAGTGATGATGAGCATTTTTTCATGTGTTTTCTGGCTGCATAAATGTCTTCTTTTGAGAAGTGTCTATTCATATACTTTGCCCACTTTTTGTTGGGGTTGTTTGTTTTTTTCTTGTAAATTTTTTGGAGTTTATTGTAGATTCTGGATATTAGCCCTTTGTCAGATGAGTAGGTAGCAAAAATTTTCTCCCATTCTGTAAGTTGCCTGTTCACTCTGATGGTAGTTTCTTTTGCTGGGCAGAAGCTCTTTAGTTTAATTAGATCCTATCTGTCAATTTTGGCTTTTGTTGCCATTGCTTTTGGTGTTTTAGACATGAAGTCCTTGCCCATGCCTATGTCCTGAATGGTATTGCCTAGGTTTTCTTCTAGGGTTTTTATGGTTTTAGGTCTAATATGTAAGTCTTTATCCATCTTGAATTAATTTTTGTATAAGGTGTGAGGAAAGGATCCAGTTTCAGCTTTCTACATATGGCTAGCCAGTTTTCCTAGCACCATTTATTAAATAGGGAATCCTTTCCCCATTTCTTGTTTTTGTCAGGTTTGTCAAAGATCAGATGGTTGTAGATGTGTGATGTTATTTGTGAGGGCTCTGTTCTGTTCCATTGGTCTATATCTCTGTTTTGGTACCAGAGAAACTCTTTTATATATTTTTAAGACATTATCATATCAAGGTACTTTGGTGTGATTTCCAACAGAATCAGCTAGAAAATGTTTTTTTTTTTAAAGACAATGTGATTTGAGTATTTGATTATCATCACTGACCATAACTATAAATCATTTCCATGCTCTTATAATCCAAAAACTACCTGTGGGAAAATTATTAGCAATCACATCTATGCTGAATGTTCATTCATATATAAATTAAAAAGCATTTTCACACAGAGACCTGATTTTTGTGTACATCAGAATAGAAAAAAACCTAATATGGGTATTGTATTAATAATCACATGTGGTGAAGGAGTGAATAAGTATGTCTGTGACCATAATCTTGAGTAATATCTTACCTTTTAGTAAACAATAAAACTCATCTGCCTTTGCAGCTCTCTAAGGTTTATAAAATTATACTAGAGTGAATTATTTTAATCAGCACAGGAAATTTTGGCTCCAGATCTTTTGTCTTCCGGGAAAACATTGGCTTCCACAAAAGGTGGTCATTTTGAAGGCTGGCAGCAATTTCTGGTTGATGACTGTCACTGAGGATTTCCATCCCTAACAATGGGAAGTATAAATATAATCTGACTGCTGTGGCTAATTTGGGTCCCTTTACAACTGTAAATAACTAGTCCAAGGTTTTTGCTTAAGGTGTCACACCAATGTTACAACTCTTGAATTTTTTCAAGTCAGGAATAGACATCTCCTTCTTACTGCTATGTGAAAGATAATTAATAGATCTTGTCTGTGACTCTTAACTTGGAAAACTGATTTGTTATGGGCAGAGAAATAACAGAGAATAAGAAATCTCAAACTTCGCCATCTCATGATCATCCCTGTTCCCACCGTGGAATTTGATTTAATGTTCTTCCACCTTGGACTCAGTCAGTGTTTCAATATTAGAAATTCTAGAAGCATGTTCTTGCTACAGTTTCACCCCAAGAACAAGATTATTGCAAAACTCCACTCGATTTCAGGATTTTATTTTCCCTGGTACGATTTGCAGCCACCTGGAAAATGCCATGTTTATTTATGTTATTCTTCTTTATAAAGATTGCAAAAAATCAATGTCAAGGTGACTTCACATGTGCAAATTCTCAGCAACAAGTTAGTTTCATGTCAAAGTTTAAGAAAAATGTAGTTATCATTCCTAAAACCAATTTTAGAGGCTGGAATTGTTTTGCTGAATAAATTCGGGTAAAGTGCATGCTTCCTTTGAACACCTGCATCCTGCATCTCATGGTCAGCAACCAAGTTAATAATTAGGAAATGCATCACATTTCAGCTGAGTTGTTTGAGCTCTCTGTGTTTAAGTACAGTCTCATTATTCAGATTGGGATTTTCTTTTTTTGGTAAGATGTATTTTTTACTTTTAAAGGAACCTGTAGTCATTGTTCATTCTGTAACTAAAGGTGGACACAGATATAAAATATTGCTTGCTTGTATTTTCTGTATTTGACCAGGAGTTATAAACAGAGTTGTTTGATAGTAGAGACGTGTTCTGTTGAAATTTGTGAAAAAAACATATTTTATCTAGATGAACCTGTTTACCAAATACTTTTTTGATATACAGCTGGAAGCACCAGAAATTTCCCTCCTGGAGAAAGTAAAGTCACACTTATTAATTGTATTAGTTCTATGCAGCTGCTGTAACAAATTACCTCTAATGGCTTGGTGGCTAAAACCCCACAGATCCATTATCTTATAATTATGTAGCCTAGAAATTCAACAAGGGTCTCAGTGGGCTCAAATCAAGGTATCAGCAGGACTGAATTCCTTTCTGGAGGCTCTAGACGGTCCATTTCCTTTCTTTTTCTGTCCGACAGGGGCCACCCGCATTCTTTGGCCTGTGGTCCCACAGCATCCTCAAAGCCAGCAACATTGTTCTCTCTGTTTCTTTCTTCCATAGTCACATCTCCCTCTGACTCTAGCTCTTCAGCTTCTCTTTCCCATTTTAAAGGACAATTCTGATGTCATTGGGCTTGCTAGGATGACTCCAGATAATCTACCTATTTTGAGGCCAACTGGCTAGCAACCTTAACTTTCCCTGTGCTATGTAACCTAACACATTCACAGGTTTACAGAGATTAGAATGCGGACATTCTTGGGGGATACGGCCTAGTTCTGCCTACCACAAAAATGGAGCCGACTTTTAAAACAATCTTTGAAAGGCATAACTGATTTTTGGGTGCAACAGTAAAATTTAAATATTAATAAGATAATCAAAACAGCACGTCTAAAATAATTTGTTTAAAAAGTTAACTTAAAAATTTCAGTTGAAACACAATTTTTTTTTTATCAGAAATCCTAGCAGTTATGTGCTGTCCGACTACTTCACTAATGTTATCCCCAAACAATTACAGGTGTAAGAGTCCCTATAGTTTTACAACATTAGCAAAACATTGTACCAGGTTTTGTCAGTCATAAAATGAGAAATTTCAAATCCAAGTTTCTCCCTCCTTCATTGATATGAAGTGAAGTCAATACTCAATCTTACCTGGCATTCTTCTTCTTACTTGGGATTAGCAACATATGCTTATATGAGGGTTATAGGCCTGTGTTCTAGATGCAAGGGAAATTGGGTTTGTGCTTTCATCTCAGAGAAGAATTCATAAGGTG
Source organism: Homo sapiens (assembly GCF_000001405.40). Classification (NCBI taxonomy): domain Eukaryota; kingdom Metazoa; phylum Chordata; class Mammalia; order Primates; family Hominidae; genus Homo; species Homo sapiens. The sequence goes on from NC_000003.12 coordinate 76,062,668, forward strand.
AAATTTTCCCAGACACAGGCACAGTATTCAAAGAAGTGCAGATCAAAAAGCATGAACAGTGTTAGCTATAGGACTGTCAGAACATAATCGTTGCTTGACCCTAGCAAATCATAGCTTTGCTTTGTTTTTCCCCCAGATAATGCCTTCTAGACCACGAATTAACATGACTTTGGATGGTGAGAAAGCAGAGAAAGCATTTGGGGAGATTTCAAAATTGTTAAAATCATGTATGTTGGAGTTAATATAGGAGAAAATTATGCCTACTGATACTAATATTTGTCTATGTCATATTTAACAATCAGAGTTCATTTAAGTGATTTTCTATTCATAATTTAGAAATCAATTACTGTAAGTTCTTGATTAAGCTTATTAGATTCATTCATTCTAAAAGCCTGGTTACATTTTGTCACATATCAGCTCATTTAAACAACTGATACTCAAATACTTAACCTATGTTTATGCAAGGTAACACCAACTATAGTCTTTAAAGAGGGAATGAGTCACCGTATCTGGCAGCTATGCAAAAGTTTTGCATTGTTAATCATGAGCATAATGTAATGTGGCAGAGGGCATTGGGCCTTTTGAGTTACTGGGCGAAGTCTAAAAATAGCTACCATTCACTGAGTCCAGAGCATAGGCGTTGCTCTAAGAATTTTTTTTATGCTGCCCTCCTCCCTTTTTTTTTTTTTTTTTGAGACAGAGTCTCACTTTGTTGCCCAGGCTAGAGTGCAGTGGTGCAATGAGGGCTCATTGCAGCCTTGATTCCCTTTGGGCTCAAGCAATCCTCCCACCTCAGACCCCTGGGTAGCTGGGACTACAGGTGTTGCCACCACACATGACCAATTTTATTTTTTTTTTTGTAGAGATGAGACCTCACTCTGTGATCCAGGCTTGTCTTGAACTCCTGGCCTCAAGCTATCCTCCCATTTCGACCTCCCAAAGTGCTGGGATTACAGGCATAAGCCACTGTACCCAGCCTATGTTAACTTTTCTTTCTACCAAACTTTTGAGATAGGTGCTAAGCTTATTCATATACTGAGATATAACTTGACAAAGGTCACTCAGCAGACTTATGGCAGAGTAAAATCTCTGTACATCTGTTTTGTCTCCTGAGTACATGTGCTTTGTTTAATACCCTACCTTTAAGTGGAATTGGTGTGTGTGTGTGAATATAACTAAGCAAATTATACCACAAGAGTGATCCTCTTGTGATTATTTCTTGTTACATAAGCCTCCTTTATAGCAGACTGGAGAGTTCCCTCTAGCTTTAGAGAAGTAAGCTGCTATGTTTTGAGAGGGCCATATGGCTAGGATCTGAAGGTGGCCTCCAAGAGTTGAAAGCAACTCTCGTTGACAACCAGCAGAGAAACAGGGACGTTAGTCCTCTAACTGCAAGAAGCTGAATTCTGCCATCAATCAGCATGAGACTGGAAAAAGACCTCCAAGTTTCACGTGAGAATTGCAGACTGGTCGACACCTTGATTTTAGCCTCGTGAGACCCAGAGCAGAGGATCCAGTTGAGCCACACTCAGATTCCTGACCCATGGAAAATGAAATAATGCTCGTGTGTTGTGTTACGCTTCTAATTTTGTTGTAATCTGTTATGCAGCAGGGGGAAACTGACACATATTATGAAGGTTACACAGCTGATGAGGGGCTAAGTATTTTGCTGAGGAAGCTCGGCTGCAAATCCTCTGGCCTCTCCCATTATAGATGGTTGCCTTCAAATTCGAGGAGTCAGCAGTGAACCAGTCCAGGGAACTAGCATAACCCTCATCCTCTGGGCCAAGCTACTAGGTAGTTCCACTCTCATTAGAGAATTATGGTTTGGTCCTCTGATGACCAAATTTAAAGGCAAATTATCGGTGATTTGAAATCTTTCTGAATACTAATATATGATTAGCTCTCTAACAATCCTTAAAAAGAAAGATTTTTCTAATAATTACTTTTATTCCTTTAGCAAATATAGGTACATCTGAATCAGGTCTTTTAATTTTAAACTGATTTTCTTTTAATGCAAAATAAAAATTGGGGGCCTGAAAAAATACATACAATGTAGAAGCACAATAGAGCTAAGATATTTTAGGAAGTGTCTATTCAGGGCAACTTGAATCTATGCTCCTGGAAATAACATTTTAAAAATAAAAAAGAGAACTAAATATTTTAAAAGGTGTATGGCCTAATAATACCTATCTTTTCAAATTTTATTTCAAATGTGCCGTGCTGCCATAAAAGAAAGGTATGATTTTTTTTCTTTGTTTGTTTGTACTTGACTTCTATATCTTTATCACAGGAGTATAACAAAGATTATATGTATAGTCATTAATCAATTTGCATTCCAGATTGTTGTTATATTGAGTCCATATATAAGGAAATAGATAAGTTGAAACAACTTAAAGAAATGAAGCAAAAGTGGTTAAAAAATATAATAGCATAAAAATTATTGTAAGAAACGAAAAATTTGGAGCCCATAAAGATTTCATTAATGTAGTGATAGACACAGGGTCCGTATCTCTCCGTTGTCAGAGTTAACTAGATTTCCTCCCAAAAATGCTTTAAACAATCATTGTGGTTGCTTGTCCTACAATTATAGAATATGTTTATCTTTGCTTAATTGTAAAGTAGCAATTAGTGCTTATTATCAGGATATTTTAAATAACGTGTGAGAACAATTTACAATCTCAAGGAAGATGACTACAAAGCAGCTTTTAAAAAACTGTGTATATGATTCAAAAATCATTTGTAAAGACAACAATCGTGTTGTGTTGAATAATTACTTCCAAATCGATACCAAAGATTGTTGGCCACTAATTAACTGTATTTTGCACTGTAAGAAACAAAATCTTTGGCAAATTCTGTCTGTAAAAGCATCAGAAACCTAAAAAGCCTCTACTTAGAAAATAAAATTTCCCTTATAATAACCTTTCCTCCAAAGGGGTATATTTTTATCATGTTAGGGAAGAAGTAAAAATTATCTGACAAAGTAAAATTTTAAATGCATAAAAATACAGCCTGATATGGGTTTTCATATACCAATTTTTAAACTAAATATATGCATATTTAAACTAAATATATATATATATATACACACACACACACACACATATATGCTGCCATTTGAACTTTTACTTAGACATGTTGATTCAGTGAAGTGGTTATTCTGAATTTTGTCTGAAATATTTTAGACTAACTATTTAAAGAATAGTCCCTATATTGAAAAATTGTTCATCCCATGGCAGTGCAGATGATAATCTTTCTCTACTCCTGTATTATTCCCTGCTCACAACAGCTGCTCTTAATTGAACCCTAAGTACAATTTAGGATTGTTTTCTTTTGCTTTGTGTTCCAAGAATTCTCACTTTAAATCCATCTAAGGTTACAACAGCCTCTGTAGAGAGCACAATTTATCATGTAGCTTTTATACAAATGTGACATGATCTCATTATATTTCTGCCAATGGATTTTATCACTTTAATAATCCTCTGCAATATTTATAGAATGTCATGATGAATCATATTATATTTATCATATCACACAATAAATAGCATGACATGCTAATAACTCACTCCATTTTGGAGAGTGTTGAAATTATTCTTTGTAAGCTTGCATCAGAATGATTAGTCAGCATCCAGTCTCTTCATCAAATCTGTAGTCTTACACCAATTTATAACTTAGAATGGATAATGCAAATGAATACTCAAAATTATTTAATTATTTGCTAATTAATATTTTATATAAGTTAACCTCTTTAGTTGTACAAAATATTAAATTATGAAACCAAATATTTTTTATAATGAACCATTTTCTTAAGAATAATACCATAGACATAAGACTAATAAGTTTTTGCAAAAACAGACGTTTATTGAACATTTTTCAAATTAGCAAGAATAAATTTAAGAGAAAACTTTATTTTAAGGATATTAGAATCCACAGAGAAGAAAGGAATAGAGAAATATGATGTAGTCTGCCAATTTTATATGTGAATAAACAGGCTCACCTATGTTAAGGAATGCAATCAGTTAGACTGACAAAGAAATGAAATTAGAAATTAGGTTTTCAGACATTTATCTTAGTGTTACTTTATAGTAAGTTCTTTTCTGTTCTCTTTAAAATTTCATGTTTATTAAGTTTTAAGAATTTAAGAAATAATATTTTATATAAATATTAAAAGATAATTAAACTGATAGATATAATCAATCAAGTTAGTTTAGATTGCATCAGAATCTTTTGGAATCTGGCTGTTATCTTCTTGACTGCGTGTTTGAAGGCAGCAATTTCTTTTCAATTGTCTTTTTGCTTTAATGTGAATTCTTGATTAGCTCTTTCGAAACAAAGACACTTTCCATGGACAAATACGAGTCTCCAGCTCAATGACTGTAGGGTTCCTGAGGTTGTATGGCTGACCTAGGAAGCCCAAGGCAATAGCTGAGCAAAGTGGTTCAGGCTGTGAATTCTGGAGTCGGCTTTTTTGGTTTGAATCCCAGATTTGACACAAATCAGAAATGTGATCACAGGCCAGTTATCTGATTTTTCTAAGCCCCAGTTCCCTTCTGTTAAAAATGGGGATAATAAAGAATACAACACAGCTCACATCTGTTGTATGATTAATTATTGTATATCAAGATCAAAGGAGGACAATATCTGCATAATAATCATCAACAAATAACAGCTATTGTGTATACTAGTAACAGGGACTAAGAGGAAACTTTTTGAACAAATGTTTGGAAAACATGGTAGAGATTGGCAACCAAATTTAGTCAAATAGTTTACAGAATTCCTGTGATTCACTGCTTTTCTTTGCAATAGAATATACCAGAGCCTTGGAATTGTTTAAAAAAAAAACTATTGTTTACCTGAAGAGCCATAAATATATCAGGCTCCATACAATTAAGTAGAAAAGGAATCTCTTTTTTATATTATTCTTATCCTGTAGCATTTATCTGTACTTGGTGTCATATCAGAAACATTTCCGAGAGGGCCTGGTTTCTTCCAATTACGAAGTAGGAAATGTATTTTTTTTGTAAACTTTCACCAATGCTCTAGTTACCAATATGAGAAATCTCATTGAAAACTACAATACCCTCTAGTGTATGTGATTGCATATTGTTTAAACATTAATGTTGCTTTAGGATTTTTATGCAAAGCAGTAAAAATTTGAGGTTAAGCCCTAAAATATCATTTCTTCATTTATCTGGCAAACTTACTGAGCATGTAATATGTGATAGATAGTAATTTAGCTGCTGGATATATAGCAGTGAACAACGGGCGAAAATTTGTGTTCTCTTAAAATCTATTATTTAGAGGGGTAAGACAATTATCAAAGAAAATATTTAAAACTCTTAATATGTCATGTATTGGTAAGTGCTAAGGAGAAGAAATACACATGGAGGGTGGACGGTTACAAGGTCAGGAAAGACTTCATTAAGCAGGTGAAATGTGAGCAAAGACGCAAAGGAACAGAGAAGACAAGCCATGCAGGATAGCCTAGTTGTTAAGAGTACAGACTTTGCAGGTAGAGAGGCCTGCAGGTGTCTGGTGTGTTTGAGGGAGGGTAAGGAGCTCTGTCTGACTGGGCTGTAGTCAGCTGAAGGACAGTGAGAGCAGAAGGAGACAGTGGGGTAATGGAGCCAAATTACATAGTTCCTTGTAGGCCTCTGTAACATCTCAGGCTTTTACTTTGAATGAGATGGAAAGCCACTGAAGACTTTTTATCCAGCCATACCTTATGATCTGGCTTAATACGAGAAAATATCACTGTGGGTGCTATGGAGAAGGTGCCCTAAGAGGCCACAGTGTGTTCATAGGAAATGCTAAGCCTTCTACCTGTGTGCCAGACCCTATCGCCTCTCAATTAATGCAGGAACATTATTCCACCAACTTTTCCCTTTCTTCTGTATCATCAATTCTCCTCTTGCTAATTAATCATATTCTTCATATGCAAACATGCTACAATTATTCTTATTTTAAAATACCTTTCCATATTCTACAAATCTCTCAAGATACTGCCTCCTTTCTCTGATCCTGAGAGCAAAACTCCATGCATCCATTGTACCCAAATGCTTTCATCTTGGTTTTTAAAGATTCCACCCCAATCTGCCTTCTCCTTTTCTACTTTCCAAAATTTGTTGTTGCCAAGGCCAACATTGATCTCCATATTCTTCAACTTTTAGTCCTTTTCACAGAATTTGACATAGGTAATCATTGACTTCTCCTTAAAACATATTTGTCACTTGGGTTCCAGGACACAATATTGTCAATTCTGTTTACCTTATTAGCTGCTGCTTCCTAGGTTGCTTCGTTGACCACCATCTTCCTGATTTCTCAATTACAGCACAGAAGGGATGATTCTGGCATTTATTTCCTCTATTTAAATGCATTTTCTTTTTATCTCAGATGGTGTCATGCTTTAACTCCTATGCCTATACTGCCAATTTTCAAGTTTTTAATCCCCAGCCTTCATTGTGCTGTAGAACTCTGGAATTGTACATTGAGCCACCTAGTTGATATTACTTCTTGAAATCTAATAAGTAACTCAAGGTTATTATTTGCAAAATTGACTTTCTGATTTTCTCCCTAAACCTGGTTCTCCTGCAAGTTGGCCAGCTCAATAAATGATAATTTTATTCTTCGATTATTTAAACCAAACTCTATGAAGTTATCCTTACCTGTTATTTCTATTTTTCCCAGATTCAATCCATCAGGAAATCCTGCAAGTCTGCTTTTAAATTGAATACCAGTTGAAGTAATTTACACTGACACTACACTGGTATAATCCACCATCAGCTCTCAATGGAATATTGCCTTAGTTTCCTATTTGCATCTAGAGCTGATGAAGCCAGACAGCAGGCTTATTGCTAGTTTTTTTTTTTTTCCTGAAAGAAATAAATTATTGTAATTTGGTGGGTCTTAAATAACTGACTTAGAAATTATGTAATCTCATTAAAAATACCTACACTTTTTTTTTAATGAAAATTAGAAACATCCTAAACTGTATTTAGTAAAGTCTTGACAAGTTCTTTCTGTGTGAGTTTTAATGGTGAACTCTTGCTCAAGAACAAAGAACACGTTCAGACACGTTAGCTAAGGGAAAGTCTAAGCTAAACTCAGAGAGAAGAGGTGTTGCGGGAAGTCAGGGACCCTGAACGAAGGGACCGGCTGAAGCCATGGTAGAAGAACGTGGATTGTGAAGATTTTATGGACATTTATTGGTTCCCCAAATTAATACTTTTGTAATTTCTTATGCCTGTCTTTACTGCAATCTCTAAACATAAGTTGTGAAGATTTCACGGACACTTATCACTTCCCCAATCAATACCCTTGTGATTTCCTATGCCTGTCTTTACTTTAATCTCTTAATCCTGTCAGATGAGGAGGATGTATGTCGCCTCAGGACCAAGTGATAATTGCATTAACTGCACAAATTATAGAGCATGTGTGTTTAAGCAATATGAAATCTGGGTACCTTGAAAAAAGAACAAGGCGACAGCAGTGTTTAGGAAACAACAGAGATAACCTTAAACTCTGACCGCTGGTGAGCCGGGCGGAACAGAGCCATATTTCTCTTCTTTCAAAAGCAAATGGGAGAAATATCACTGAATTCTTTTTCTCAGCATGGAACATCCTTGAGAAAGAGTATGCGCACCTGGGGTTGGGTCTCTGAACTGGCCCCGCTGGGCGTGGTCATCTCTTATGTTCGACATTGCAGAGATGAAATGGACTCCAGTCTCCCATAGCGCTCCCAGGCTTATTAGGAAGAGGAAATTCCCACCTAATAATTTTGGTCATACCGGTTGATCTCAAAACCTGTCTTCTGATAAGATGTTATCAATGACAATGGTGCCCGAAACTTCATTAGCAATTTTAATTTCGCCCCTGTCCTGTGGTCCTGTGATCTCACCCTGCCTCCATTTGCCTTGTGATATTCTATTACCTTGTAAAGTACTTGATGTCTGTCACCCACACCTATTCGCACACTCCCTCCCCTTTTGAAAATCTCTAATAAAAACTTGCTGGTTTTTGTGGCTTGTTTTAAAGCTGGGCATCATGGAACCTACTGACATGTGATGTCTCCCCCAGACGCCCAGCTTTAAAATTTCTCTCTTTCATACTCTGTCCCTTTATTTCTCAAGCCGGCCGGCACTTAGGGAAAATAGAAAAGAACCTACGGAATATCAGGGCAGATTCCCCAATAAAGAGGGCTATTGCTTTATTTGAATTTGCGATTCTTTGAGAGTCTTAATGTCACGAAAACAAGTGTAAAAAGAAACCATACAAATATCTCATTAGCCATCTAGTTTTTAATATACTGTCTAACCAAGGGTTGCATTTCTTGAGTCAAAGGTAGCATTTTATGATTCATAATTTCTACCATCGTGAAAATTTTAAATTTGGTCATAAGATTTGATTGGTTCTCCTTCATAATTGCAATTTCAGGGCCTGTAGTTTGTCTGGGTTGATAATTATCCAGATGAATGATTTATCCATTTAGATAAACATCAACTGGTTCTAATAATTTGTGATTACTGTTTATGTCAGGTTGCTTAATCATAAATGCTTTCTTGAGATCTCCTCTTTGTCAAAACTGTTCTTTGGATTCCCACAAAACACTTTTGGAGTTAGAATTTTCCCCATCATTTCTAAAGATAAATGGAAGAACTCAGAAATTAATTTGACCTCTTTGCTGCCTTGCCATCCTACTTAATTACTACAGAGTTAACTATAAAAGCTATTATCTCATCAGTAACTATCTAATTTATAATATCCTATATTAAGTATAAAATGTTATGAACTGGTTGGGTTATCTGGCTTTATGTTACATAATTACCCATTCAAATTTTTATTTCAACCCGGTTTATGTGCTTTGCAACATTTAGGATATATTCGTATCTTTAGGTATTTCTTGTTTTAGTAGAGACTGATGTTCTTTAAATACAAGCTTTTACTTTGATTTCTGTGAGCATTGTGAGCAATTTGCTCATTTTCTAATTGGACTTTTTCAGGTCATAGAAAAATTAAGGAATGATATTGTCATTTAAATTCACTAAGAGAATTGGAAAACACCAGTAGTGATTTACAAGTTAAGGAAAGTAAACAAATACTTTAAAAATATATATTTTTTAATGATTATAATCTTATTATTATTAATTAAAAGCTGATTTTTAAGAATGGAAACAAATGTAGATTTGTAGATTCTTAATGTCAAGCTAACACCTCTTTCTGGTAGTTTAATTTACTTTGGTTCACTTTCTTCTTCATGTAACAGTAAAAACTGTTTTGTGGAACACACTTCAATACCAAAAAAAGCTTGTTAATAGTTGTTCTACAGTATATATTCTCAAATCCATGTTATACCACATCTTTTCATACTTTGTATGTCAGTGGTTTAGGACATAAAAAAATGATGTTTCTCAAAACACTTGTCATTTTTTCACACATACTGTGTTCTAGCATTCTAGAAGTGTTTTGGTAGATTTAAAGATTGGTTTGCTCTGTCACACTACAATCTAACAAAGTTTTCCTTGGCTTTTAAATCTAATCTCCGAGGCTGGATAGTAGACTTTCTTTCCCCCGCAAAAAAAAATCTTTGTTGGTTTTTTTTTCCTTGAGGCATATCAAATTCTTATTTCCTTTAGGATATAAAGAAATAGAGATTCAAAACATTGTGTCGAAACTTTTTCATATTTTACCTGCTATTTTGTGGAGAAATGTTTCAAAAAGTAGCCAATGCTATATATTTCTTAGTTGTATTTTATTTTTACTTCATATTATGTTGAATATAAAATAAAACTTGAGAGATGCATTTACCAGTTTATCCAATAAGGCCTTTTCTTTATATATACTCCTAGATAAATTTTAGCAGAAAAGTCAGAAACTTATACTAAATTAAAGCTTAGTTTTTTTGTTTTTTTGTTTTTAAGACCTACAAACTCCTCTTGTATCAGCACACTTCATATTATGGCTTAAGCTGTTATCAGAAATAGTATTTCTTAATATCATATATTATTCTTTAAAGTGCAACAATTTAATACAACCATATTTATTAAGATCCTCACAGATCAAGAGCTGAGGGTGTTTATTAATGAAACATAAGAGATGACAGACATAGGGCCAATGGCCTCAAGCGATGTTCACGAAACCCCAGTGCAGGAATGTAGGCAGGCCTCAGAGGCAGTAAAGTTGTACTAAGAAGTACAAAGTTGACAGTTGTTTCTCTGCCTATTCAGACCTCTGTTTCCTCATTTGTCAAATGAAATCAATAATAGAAAGTACCTCCCAGGACAAATGATGTGATGGATATAAAGCATTCTTACACTTTGGCACATAATAATTTTTCAGTGTTCCACAAGAAACCTTTATTTTGTTTTATTTTATTTTGTCCCTATTCTTTCCCCAGTCACTTGAAATGTTGGAATGAAGGTGAGTAGTCTGATCTGCTTACTGCTCTTGTATCGTGGCTGAAATTTGTAGGGGAGGCTGCTCTCCATAATTAAGTCTAGTATCATTATTTTATATGTGTGCCTTTAATATTTTTAAAACATTTAATTTCTTTAAACACTTAATTAAGCCTAACTGATTTGTAAACTTCTCAGAATGAGTATTCTTTTTTTTTTTTTTTTTTTTTTTTTTTTTTTTTTTTTTTTTTTTGAGACGGAGTCTCGCTCTGTCACCCAGGCTGGAGTGCAGGGGCGCGATCTGGGCTCACTGCAAGCTCCCCTCCTGGGTTCCCGCCATTCTCCTGCCTCAGCCTCCGGAGTAGCTGGGACTACAGGCGCCGCCCCCACGCCCGGCTAATTTTTTGTATTTTTAGTAGAGACGGGGTTTCACCTTGTTAGCCAGGATGGTCTCGATCTCCTGACCTCGTGATCCACCCGCCTCAGCCTCCCAAAGTGCTGGGATTACAGGTGTGAGCTACCGCGCCCGGCAGAGTATTCTTCTTAAAATGTTAAATTAATAAGAAAATTAAGCACAATATAAGGAAGACAGTTACATAAAAACTGAACAATACGTTAAATTGGAGTGTAGTCAAAGGCACTTGGGACGCTAGAGCTGTTATAAGTGAGCTTTGAATTTATGTCAAGAGTCCTGGTAGATAGAAAATTAAGAGTCTTTGTATCTTACCATCTTATAAAATAAGTTATACAGGTTCAACTAGAGAGATAAGCAGTGTCCTGACAAATGTGAACAAGGGTTCCCTTTTAAAAACCTTTCTAGTAAAGGCACTGCCTTGAGCTTGCCCTCCAATATGGTGTCTCTGTGGGGCCCGTGTGGAAATGTGAAGCTGAGGCTCCAGGTCCATGAAGGTCATTTCTCACTCTTCAGTTTCATCAGATAATATGGCGTCTCTGTGGCACCTGTGTGGAAATGTGAAGCTGAGGCTCCAGGTCCATGAAGGTCATTTCTCACTCTTCAGTTTCATCAGATAATATGGCATCTCTGTGGCGCCTGTGTGGAAATGTGAAGCTGAGGCTCCAGGTCCATGAAGGTCATTTCTCACCCTTCAGTTTCATCAGATAATATGGCATCTCTGTGGCGCCTGTGTGGAAATGTGAAGCTGAGGCTCAGAGTCCATGAAGGTCATTTTCACGCTTCAGTTTCAGCAGATAATATGGCAGGGGTTAGGAGAAGCTACACCCAGTCTCAACATTTCAACTCTGCTTCAATGAGAAAGGAAATAAGCCAAGGAAAACGCCTTACTTCATTAAGGCAGGGCAAGAGAGAAGAAGAGCACCATGGTTTGCTCATGATGTAAAAATATTCAGCCAGACGACCAACAAGTGAATGTGGCCCGATTAATTGGTAATGTGTAATCAGATTAGAATTTCTTCCCTTCTTAGAGGAGTAAGAAATGGGTAAAGAGATGGACAGAGGTGCCAAAACATATCTTCTTTCTTAATATCTCATCAGGAAAAGTAGTTGATTATGAGTAAAAAGAAAGGAATTAAATGAAGTTAAACTAATATTAAGTGAGATGGATCCATATGTTAGGTTAAATACTTGCCATTAATCTGGAGGAATTAATATAAAGTAAAATATAAGACTGTTCATAGTAAAATAGTCAATAAAATGAATATAAAGGCAGATAGCCCACATATGCTAGTTTTTTAATGAAAAAAGAAAGTTCTGTTTCAGATATGGCCCTTCAAAGTATATGTAAAGAAGACACAACATAAATTGATCAAAAAATGGTAAAGTAACGTGTCAGATTACTTTTAAAAAATGTTCCTTTAAGCAACAGTTAATGAAATGATGGTAGTTGTATATAAAGAAAGAAATATGTGACAATAGGGTTTTTCATATTCACTAGAAACATACTTGGGGGATGAGACCTAATCCATTAGGAATGAATACGAACAGAAATGGAAGACATTCAGACACAAGTGATAATTTGTGAGATACGAGCTTGATCGTATTTATCCTGCTGAGTTCTTTGTTGAAACGACATTGCTTCCCTGCATGATCTTCCCGCAGCCTGTTTGAATTGTCCTCTGCTTGTGTGGAGCCCTGTCACCCATGCTTTCTGTGCCAGGGCCACCTTGTGATGGCTCATCCAGTATCTACTATCCACTATACAGTAACTTCCAAGGCTGAGAGTGGCCAGGGGAGGATGAACGATTGTGTCCTTATTACCAGGAAAGCAAGGTACACTGGTAATAGCTACAGCCTGAATGTGACAGAATGCAGAGTAGAGAATCTCTGACATCTTTCCACATCTGGGAGTTTCTGTACGCTCTTCCTCTGTCTTTGCCTCCTGTCTGGAGTTAAATGAGGGATATTTTTAAAAATGTTCTCCTGAAGACTTTTCCTATTTTTTTTTTTTGCTAGGGTTCCTGTTTTCCATATAACAAGTGTCAAAAAGCATAGATGTGCTATTTGCAAAACTAATTTAAAATTTCTTAGATTGAATTAAATGTAACATTTTACACAATGTAATGCCTTTTTAAACCAGGTATCACTCCATTCAAATCAGTGATTCGCTGTAGTATCCCAATAGCGTAGACAAACAAATGAGCATCTAAAATCTGATGACATCTCTTCCTTAATGGCTCCCATGAGTCAATAGAAAGAGCAAAACAGAAGGAAAAGCAACATCTATAAAGGCCACGTTAGTGCCAGGAAATTTGTATCCAACATTATATTCAAGCCTGTCAATAACACTATGAGGCAATTGTCTCGTACTTACTTACAGAGCAGATAATAAAACAGGATCAGGAAGATACAGTAACTTGTCCTAGCTCTAAGCAACTAATTGATGAAAAAGTTTGGATTCAAATTCAGAGCTGTCCAATTCCATATTCTGTACTAATTCCAAATTCTTTATTACTTAAGACATTATTTTAGCAAATAGCTCAATGAAAACTTTTCACAGAGCAAAATGGTTATTGCATTAATGCTCACATGTACATTTGACCAATAATATGTTGTCCTTTTATGTGACTGTAATTGTACTCACATTGAAATGTTTTTCCAATGTTGGTTATAGGTGGGGTTTGAATGTCGTTTACTCTCCTGCACCTCCCTTTGAGATCAATTGCATCCATTTGCTGGATGGTTCACTTAGGTTATGTAAATCTATAACCATGTATCAGAGTTTTTTTGGTCTGAATTGCTATCTCTAAATAAGTAACCCAGAAGAAAATTGCAATGGCCTTTCACCAGCACAACTGTTTTAGTCTTAAGACATCAGCAAATATATCCTCTGTTTCAGTGACCGATGAAAGGCCATATTAACTCACAGTTGGCTATGGCTGGCATTTTAGCATAATATAAAAAATGGAAATCATAAAGAATCCTATGGACATTTTATACTATAGACATTATTTTTATAGAGGGTGGAGGTGCTTCATTTATGCATTCTAAGGAACAAAATTTAGCTAGTAATTAACAGTATTTAACCTGCGTAAAGTCTTTTATGCAAGCTATAAAATTAATTTTATTATAGAAATTGCATTACACTTAACAGCTGATGACCTATCTTACCACAGTAATGTATTTTTCATTAAAATGAAACATTGTGTTTCAGAAGCAGGAGCCAGGAATCAGGGCTTGAATTGGAAACTGCCACATGTGTTATATAGAAGTGCTGTCTTCCAAAAGAGCATATAACCTGACATTTCTCTGTTTATTACCGCATCAAGATGAGCAGATTTAAACTCTAATTAAAGAGATGCCATACATTGTCTTTTTACAACTTGGGTGACTTTAACTGTTGTACTGTCGAACTAGCCCTGGTAAATTATAACTGTTGTTTTGGTCTTTTATGTAAGCTCAGACGTCTAGGTTGGATTTATCCTGAAGTTGGAGTATTGGCCAGTATTTTTCTGTTTAATTCGGGCTCTACTTCTCTACTGCAACATTTTACTCCCTGGTAGTGCAAAGTGAATTTTGTTTGTTTTTATTTTAGTTGTTGTTGATTATCCCCAAAAACATAATTTTCACTCGTACACAATAAATGCAGTATGAATGGCAACTTCAATAATTAATTGAGTCCATGAATGGAGTGATTATATTTTAAACATTTCCCATAATGTGTAGAAAAGCAAAACAGTGTGCAACTAGGGATTGGGGAATTTGGAAATCTTACATAAATTTCATAATGTTTTAAAATCTTAATGAGGCCGGGTGAAGTGGCTCATGCCTGTAATCTCAGCACTTTTAGAGGCCGAGGTGGGTGGATCACTTGAGGTCAGGAGTTCGAGACCAGCCTGGCCAACATGGTGAAACCCCGTCTCTACTAAAAATACAAAAATTAGCCGTGTGTGGTGGCAGGCACCTGTAGTCCCAGGTACTCAGGAGGCTGAGGCAGGAGAATTGCTTGAACTCTGGAGATGGAGGTTGCAGTGAACCAAGATCGTGCCACTGCACTCCAACCTGGGTGACAAAGCGAGACTTCATCTCAAAATAATATTAACAATAATAATAATAATAAAATCATAATGAATTTTCAATATAAAGATTCTTCTTGACTTGAGCAACATTTTTCCTACTATTATTTAAAAAAAGAAGTAATATACAAATGGCTAAGGAGGAAACACATGTGGGTATGAAAAATTAAAATTTTAAGAAACTTTAGATGTAAAGACAAAAATGGATAAACATTAAAATACATTAGATTTTGAGTTGCAATGGAAAAGTAGGAAAAAAGTGGAAAGAATCAGCAAAGTGAGTTGGAAGATCAAAGAATTGATTTAAGGAGACTGTTCAAATTCTAAGACAAACACTAGTTGCCAACTTCCATTGATAACCATTCCCCCTTTTGCCACCAAAATAAAACAGAAGAGCATAATTTCCTCATTTCTTAGAATGAACCTGCAGTGCAAATTTACTGCTAACAACCCTGCTTTCCACTCCCTCTCTTCTTTCCAGAGAACTGCTTAATTTTTCAAAATTTCACAATACTGGAATATATTCTTCCCTTAGTGGCAATTAGAAAAGAGTGGAAAATCAATGCAACATTCATATGATAGAGTTTGGTAGCTAGAGGATCATAACAACCTGTGTTTTCATTATTGGTTGTGAGGTAGGTCATATTTTTTGTTAATGTTTCTGAGTTGATATTCTTAAGTTGTTCTATGACTTAACCTATAACATTTTTTCATAGAAACAGATTCGGATGTATTTGGAGAGTCTGAATCTGAGTCATCTTTTGCACAACTCAGTCCTAGTGTTGGATTTAGCAGTAAGCGATTTATTTATTTATGTATTTATTTATTTTTAAAGACAGGGTCTTGTCCTGTCATCCCCAGGCTGGAGTGCAATAGCATGATCATAGTTCACTGCAGCCTTGACCTCCTAGGCTCAAGCAATCCTCCTGCCTCAGCTTCCCAAGTAGCTAGGACTACAGACACACACCACCTTGCTCAGCTAATTTTCATCCTTTTGTAGAGACAGGGTGTCCCTATGTTGCCCAGGCTGGTCTCAAACTCCTGAACTCAAGAGATCCTCCTTCCTTGGCCTGCTAAAGTGCTGGGATTATAGGTGTGAGCCACCATGCACGGCCTCAGTAATAAGCTTTTAAAGAACAATATCAAATTGTTCAATATCTTAACTAATGTAACACAATATTTTAAAAATTAGAAAAAAAAAGCTTGCCATATGTAATTGGAGTAGATAATATATAATAAAATAACTTCAATTTTTAGTTTTTTGAGGGACCTCCATGGTTTTACTAATTTACATTTCTACTAACAGTGTACAAGTGTCCCCCTTTCTCCACATTCTCATCAACATTCATTGTTGCCTGTGTTTTATTTTTTGATAAAACCATTTTAATTGGGGTGAGATAATAGCTCATTGTAGTCTTGATTTGCATTTCTCTGATGATTAGTGATGTTGAGCACATGGACGGAACTGGAAGACATCATGTTAAGTGAAATGAGCTAGGCACAGAATGACCAATATCTCATGTTTTCACTCATATGTGGGAGCTAAAAAAATTGATCTTATAGATATAGGAAAACAATGGTTATAATAAACTGGGAAGGGTAGTGAAGAAACAAGTTTTAAGAGGGATTGGTTAATGAGTACAAATATGGTTAGATGAAAGTAATAAAATCAGTGTTCATTATCACAATAAGGTAACCATAGGTAACAATCATTTATTGCGTATTTCAAAATAACTAGAAGAGTGAAGTTGGAATGTTCCTAACACAATGAAATAATAAGTGCTTGAGGTGATGAATATCCCAATAACCCTCATTTGATCATTAAACATTGTATGTGTGTATCAAAATATCACATGTATTCCTATAAATATGTGCAATTATTACGTATCATTAAACATTGAAAATTTATTTATTTATTTATTATTATTATTAGTTTTTTTTTTTTTTTGGTGGAGACAGAGTCTCGCTCTGTCGCCCAAGCTGGAGTGCAGTGGCACAATCTCAGCTCACTGCAACCTCCGCCTCCCGGGTTCAAGCAATTCTCCCACCTCAGCCTCCCGAGTAGCTGGGATTAGAGGCGCATGCCGCCACACCCGGCTAATTTCTTTTGTATTTTAGTAAAGATGGGGTTTCACCGTGTTGCCCAGGCTGGTCTCGAACTCCTGAGCTCAGGCAATCCGTCTGCCTTGGCCTCCCAAAGTGCTAGGTAAAATTTAGGTTTTTGAATGAAGTAAAGTCTGACTAAGTAGGCAGAAATTACAAACAAGGGACTAACAACAACAACAACAAAGAAAAAAAGAAAGAAGGAAGAAAGAAATTTCTACAAAATCCTAAAAGATTGGCCTTACTAAAAATCTTGTAATCTGGAAAATGAGAGAAGAAAAATGGAACCAATGATATGCCTGATTGTCGCCCTCAAATATTTTATAGCAGGAATACATAAGAATGAGATAACATAATTGGCCTTCACATAGATACAATATTTAAATGCTTTTCCCTTTTGTGTAGAAACATGACACACTGATTTCTCATGTTGAAGGCGAAATTAAATCTAGCCAAATAGTGACCTAGCTCTCAGCCTACAGTGATTTAGTGAGGACCAGTAATTCTAATCAGAGCTTATAAGCCTCGGCCAGGATGCTGACGAAAACACCCCTGCCTGACTATCTGACCCAGGCTCAGTGCGTACTGACCACCAGAAAAATCGGTTCTATTTTTGGCTTCAGCGCTTACTATTCCTGGTTGCCTCAAATATCCCAACATAGTGAGACCATGAAGACATTTATAATTCAGTCCTAAAGTGAAATGCATCCATGTTTTTTTCTACTGTTCCCAAAGATCAACTTGTGCGGGACTTCGGGTGGAAGAACTGGAGCCTGGATTATGTTGTAAAAAACCGTATTTTAGCCTGATGGTCGGAGCACAACACATTCTTTTTCGTTTCTGCAAAAGATACTAATTTCTGCCATTGTGAAGTTTCAGACCCACTCTATTTGTTTAATCAAATAACCACTAAATTGCTCTGAGGAGTTGCTTACAAAGAATTTTTTGATCATGTATGTCTGCTCACTGTCTACTCAGTTGTCACATTTATAAATGAAAGCATTTTAAAATTAGATGTCAGTCTTTATTTTCATCATTTTCACTTATTTCAGGGGCAAATTATCTGTTAGAATTTCTTTTTCAACCATCTACAACGGATCTTAATATGCCAAGGATATGTAGTAAGATATATGAGTCTTTATGCAAACAAAGAAGAGAAAATAGATCATCTTTTTCTTTGCGGTACTGCAATTACCATATTTAAAGCATTCTTAAAACTATTTTTAATCCTTGATTTTGCCAGTATGACACACAATCTTACAATTGTTTGTCCTATTAATATTCCTTTATAAAAATATTCTCTAATGTTAAAGAGACTGGCTTGTTAACAGAAAAAAATTCAACCAAGTGAAATTTATAGCTCCTCTTTTAAAAAGACAGCTCTTTAAGGGCTTTGTGGCAAGAAATCAGGGGCATTAGCAATCACTTTCAAGTTACTTTGAGGGAAAATTCATGAGAATCATTGAAAATTAGTGTTTTATAGTTTTTTTTTACAAAATTTTATGTATATATACATATATATATATTCTATTCCATGTACAAACTACATTTTTAAGCAGGCATTACTTAGATGCCTACTAAATGGAAATTAACAATCTATGGTTCTAAAACATAGATTTATGTAGACTTGATGTAGATACTTGAATTTTGTCCCAGCTCTACTTCCTAATAGATACATGAATAGTCATGTAACTGAAACTGTCTGAACTGATTTTCTCTGTAAATGGTGAAAATCATGCCTCAACAAAAGAATAGTGAAAAGAGTAATATTTGATAATATGAGTTTAGCTCAGCCTCACATAGTTAAGCAATCAATAAACAATAATAAAAATAATAAATAACTTGTTTTAATCCTTCCCTATTTTTCAACACCTGGCATAGAATTGGATGAGAATGAAAAATTCACCTGTGTCACAGAAGCAGAAATGAATTCAACACTTTAGATATGTTTCACTTCACTCAGCTCCTACAGAGAAATTTTCCATCAGAAAGCAACCCATGTCTTAGGCTGCTGGATAAGGAGCTTAAGATCCCCTTTTCATAGATGTTCTCATTTCTCTTGAGCTGGATACCACACCTGTCCTTTAAAGGCCTGTAGGTGGTATGCTAAACTATCATGGTTTTAAGTTTGTACAATTTCCCTTTGCCCTTTATATGGAATACAAAATGGCACATGTAAATACATACACACACACACACACACACACACCAGAAAAACTGAAAGAAAAGATAAAGGAAAACCCCAAGAGCAAATACTCAAATGCAGAAGTGTAGACATGCATATAAAATATAACTTTATTTTGCTAATGAAATTAGAATCAAGCCACAGATTTTTGTGACTGGCAAAGATAATTGAGCCCCCAACCGTTAATCTCCTTTCTTCACTCCAAGCTACTTGATTGATTCTACAAACATATTTACTATCTACAAGCATCAGTCACTGAGCCGTATGCCCAAATAAATGTCAATCACCGCCCTAAAGGTAGACTGATGTAAAAGGTAAGAAATTTCAATCCATTGTGTTACACACCATGACAAAGTAGGTATAAGAGATGATGTGACTACTGTTACTACCAGAAATTAGGGAAGACTCACCAGAGAAAGTGACATTTAAGATGAGTCCTTAAGGGTTTAGCAGAAAGTTAATGGATTGGGAAGAGGAAAGTTCCTTTTAGATTTTTTTTTAAACTAAGTGTGTAAAGGCATAAAAAGTTATGCTATATGTAGAGATCAATGGGAAGGGTAGATGATGAGAGTATAGGATGTGGAGTAGGAAATGAGAAGCAGGAACAAGAGGGTAAACAACTGACAGTTTCTTAAATAGAAGAGCTACATAATTGACTCTTATCTGTATACAAAATAACTCCTGTGTTCCCTGGAAAAGATTGTTTCAGAGAGAGTGACAAGTTAGTAGAGGCCAGTAAGAGAGGAGGGAGTGACAAGCCTTTTGTCTTTACCTCCTTCAAGTCTCTGCTCAAATATTGCCACTTTACATAGATTGATTTGAATCACCTTCTTTAAATAACAGTCGCTGCTACTCTCTTTCCTTATTTCCTATTTTATTTTTCTTTAAAAAAATCATTACAGGAATAGTTATCATTTTCCCACTAGTATGTCATTTTTTATATCTTTTGAGATGATTGCCATAGCCTCAGTGACCAGAACATTGCCTGGGATATAGTAGCTACTCAGTAAATATTTTGTGAATAAATCAATGATTTTTTTTCAAAATGTGAGCTGATGAAGACCCGGACCAAGGCGATCACCATGGGCATAGAGTAGAGACTGCAGACTTAAGAAGCTTTTCTAAATTAAATCAACCAAACGTGTTTGGTGATGGCATATATGTAATGAGGGAGGAAAGATTAAAAGAGGAGGCGCTTCCTTCACAGTGTGGGAGATAGGATGAATTATGATGACATTCACTGAAATGAAATGTAATATGAACACCTTTGGGAAGGAGATCATAAATTCAGTATCAGAGGTGTTGAACATCAGTTCTCTATCAGTCAAAAGGGAATGGAATTGCAGGCCTGGGGCCCAAGAGAAAGATCTGAGATTAAGGTAGAGATATATAAATCATTAAAAATTGATAGCAGTAGAAGACACAAGTATAAAAGTCATATGAATAGTGGGCATAAGGATATAAATACTGCAAAGTTTAGAGCATTTGGAAAAGTATTAAGATCAGGAAATAAAATGATAATATTTTTAAAATGAGAGTTAAGGTTGACAAAAATTCTGTTATTCCAAAGTTGCACTGGGAGTCTTTGAGATTGACCACTGTTCATCATGAGAACTAGATAAGTTTTTGTTTTTGTTTTGTTTTTTAGCAACAGCATGGGAAGGAAAAAAAATACACTTTTTGCTAGACTAGTTTGTGATTTTTGCATTTTAAATTTAAGTGTAGAAACTTACTAAGCTTTTAGATTTCAAAAATATGTAGGTCAACATCTGAGTTTAGATTCATAGAGCACTTTTTGTCTTTCACCAATTCCCTGATAGAACCAGCATCTGAAATGTTCCCTCCTGTCCCAAAATTCTACACCTCCTATGGCTTGTTCTATGTACTTATTTCCCGTTTGAATGTCTTTCCTTTTATTCTGTATGTTACAAAGCAGAAATAATTGAATAGCGTGTAGACTTTCTCAGGTGCACACCCTTTTCTCTCTCCTCTAAATTGGTCACCAAAATTCCATTATGGCAATCTCAACGATGATGGCAATATGATGGTTACCACAACTGCATGCTCATTAGGGAGGAATTTGAAAGCCATCCATTGGTAAGCTTATTCCAACTTATGCCTGGGAAATGGCCACTTACCTGCTCTTAGTCTATTGTTTTTAATGGAACTGAGACTGCTGGATATTGTGTTGGGGAAAAAAATCCATGCAGAACCAATGATATGTAGGAATTAATGGAATTCCTAGGAAAAAGCAGACACTTTTGTGCTCTTTCGTGAGGGAATATGAGAAACAGCTGCTGCCATGTTGTAATCATAAAAGCAAACCATAAGTAGAAGCCAAATATGTAGAAGAATGCAAATCTGAGAAACAAAGAAGCAAAAAGAAAATAGTTGTGTACGCTCTTCATATGACTCATGTAGACTCTTTAGTCATATGAAGTAAGAAATGGCTGTTACTTAAGGTGGAGTTGCTTAGTCTTTTCTTCTCCACAGCCACCGGAGTCCTAATTAGTCATTTATCATGTGCCATTAATTAATTGTGCTACATATTTTATGAACCTTATGTCATTATATCATTTAATTTTCAGCACAATTCTGTGAGGCAGTTATTACTACTGTTTTACAGATAAGAAAGCTGAGGAACAGAAAGGATGAGGAATTTACTCAAAATTACACAGTTAATTGAGGCATAGATGCAGGAATTAAATCCTAACCTATTCTAAATCCCTCAGTATTATTCCACCTGTACTGACCCGAATTTGGCTACATATTAGGATTTCCATTATAATATCTGGCATGAAGTTTCCTCTAAAGTCTATCTCATACTAGTGCCCTGTCTCCATCTTCTCATGTCTGTAAATGGATTTTTAAATTATGGTGTTTACATTTCTTTTGTATCTACATACACTGACAGAAGAATTACCACCTTACAGAATGAAATCACATTAATAATGGTCCTTGCTGCTCAAGAGGCAATTAGGATATTCTCTATGGACTCATCCAATCCCTGGACCACATCTTATTCTGTGAAACATATAGAAACCTAGCTTAAGTAAATTAATAAAATAAAATGAAACACGTAAAGATTCAGAATGTGTCTGAATTAGTACCCAACTACATTACTTAGGTAATATTTAGGCTTTTTAAAAAAAATTTATGCAACCTCATGTAACACCTGTGTGCTTGGAAATGCTGACTATTCTTGTGCTTAAAGCTTATCCATGATCTGCTTCAGAGTTTGTGTAACACAAACCCCCCAGTTTACATATATATATATATACACACACACACACACACACACACATACGTATATACATATATGATATATATGCATGGAAAATTGAGTATATGTATATAGAAACATATCATTAAGTGGATTTCTAAAGTTCTTAATCATTGACAAACCAATTCATTCTCAAAGACACCTTTAACAAATGTTTGATTCTTATCTTACCATAGTTAAGTATTATAGAAATGCTATGCAAGTTTGTGTTCTTTCGTTGACCTGATTTACAAAAGCTAATTTATCAGATATCAAGGAATCCCAGTTTTTGTTTCTACTTTTAAAAAAGGTAAACAAAAAACCACAAGCACTGCATATCTTTATCTTTTAAATAGAAGTAAATCTAGCAGGTATTTTTTTAAATAAAAAATATACATTAGACTTGCAGTTTTCATTACAGCATGTAAAGAGCTTAGCGGTCACCACTTCATTCTAACAACAAGTTAAAAGCTTATCAAATGAAAAACTAACAGTTCTTTTTAGATCCATCTAGAGGTCAGATCACAGAGCAAACTGTTGCCCCTGAAATTGGAGAGAGACACAGGCAGATACAGAGTTTCAAAACCGACTTGCACAGAAACCCATCAGCAGTAACACCTGTGGGAACCAGTGCCACACTAGGGAAACCTGAACCGTAATTGAGGAATTGCTGGAGACCCACTGTGGACAACTCTGAGAATTAAAAACTCCAAGAGAGCCCGTCACAAAGGGCCCCCACACTTTTGTGCATTTGAGCTCTAAGAACTCTACCAGTTCCTCATAGTGAATATTGGATAAAAATCTCTCAAGCTTCTGGCAGGGAGAGGGATAAATGAACCAATTTGAAATACAAAAGTGCATCCCATTCTTAAAGACTTGTACAGAGAAACTATTTTATCAGGGACTAACCGTTTGGGGTATTGTCAAAGCCTAACTGACATGAAGGAAGGAAAATATCCTATGTATTAGTCTGATCTCACGCAGCTATAAGGACATACTTGAGACAGAGTAATTTCTAAAGAAAAGGGGTTTAATTGACTCACAGTACGGCCTGGCTGCAGAAGCCTTAGGAAACTTACAATCTTGGTGGAAGGGGAAGCAAACACATCTTTCTTCATGTGGTGGCAGCAAGAAGTGAAAGCGAAGCGGAGGAAAAGCCCCTTATAAAACCACCAGATCTCAGGAGAATTCGCCCACTACCATGAGAACAGCATGGAGGTAACCGCCCCCATGATTCAGTCACTTCCTGCTAAGTCCCTCCTATGACACATGGGGACTATGGGAACTACAGTTCAATATGAGATTTGGGTGGGGACACAGCCAAACCATATCACCCAACTTCAGCCACTTCTTGTCATCCTATGTCACCCAATGGGCAGAGGTTGTGGATGGGGCTGAGAAGTAGGTAAAGTTCATAGTCCGAAGTCACAGGCTCAACAAAATACTAATAACTTCCTCTACTGCAATGCCTTACCAATCTATTAAAGGCCTATTTACTGCAGTTCTGTTTACCCAGTGCATCATGTCTTCCTTTCAACAAAATATTACGAGGCATACTAATATGTAATAAGCACAATTTGAAAACAAAAAACAATCATCAAAATCAGAGTCAGATATGGCAAGAAACTTGGAATTATTAGACAAGAAATTTTTTATTTAGTAACTATGATCAATATGCTAAGGGCTTTAATAGAAAAAGTAAACAACTTGGAAGAACACATAGACAATGTAAACAGATGAAAATTATAAAAAAGAATCAAAAAGAAGTATTAGAGTTTAAAAACACTAATAGAAATGGTGAATGCCTTTGATGGGTTCATTAACAGACTAGATGTGTATGAGAAAAGCCTCTCTGAGCTGGAGAATATGACTACAGAAACTTCCAAAATAGAAAAGAGAAAAATGATGAAATAAATCAGAACATAATATCCAAGAAATGTGAAACAACTAAAAACTATGCATAAAGGAAATACAAGAAGAAGAAAGAAAGAAGCAGGATTTGAAGCAATAATAACAGAATTTCTCCCAAATTAATGACAGACACCAAACCACAGATCCAGAAAGCTCAGAGAACACCAAGAAGGATAAATGCCAGAAAACCTGCATGTAGGCATATTATACTCAAACTTCAGAAAATGAAAGGCAAAGAAAAAATCTAAAAAGATGCCAGATTTTTAAAATACCTTAATTATAAAAGATCAAAGAAAAATATTATATCTGACTTCCTTTCAGAAGCTATGCAAGCAAGAAGAGAATGGGTTTAAATATTTAATTTCTTGATAGAAATAAAAAACTCACCAAGCTAGAATTCTGTACCCTGCAAAATTATCCTCCAAAAGTGAAAGAGAAAGAAAGACATTCTCAAACATAAATTGAGAGAATGTTTTGTCAGTAGACCTGCCTTGCAAGAAATGTTAAAAAAAAAAGTTATGTAGAAAGAAGGAAAATGATACAGGTTACAAAGTCATATCTACATAAATAAGTGAATAGAATCAGAAAAGGAATAAGTGAAGATAAATCTTTTATTTTTGTTATTTTAATTTATCTAATAACAGTTTATTCAAAATAATAGCAATAATGAATTAGATTGTTTATACTTCTGTTCATATATATGGCTAAGTGTAAATAAAATGAGTGACACTAATGATACAAGAGACAGGAGTGAGTAATTAGAGTTATTGTGTTATAAAGTTCACACACTACCCATGAGGCAGTAAAGCATTGTTTTAAAGTGCATTTGGATTACATGTAAAGGTATATTGCAACCTGTAGGGCAATCAATTTTAATTCTAATTAATATGGATGATATTAACACACTAAAGACAAAGATTGTAAGAATGGATCAAGAAACTACAAGCAATTATATGTTATTTATAAAAAGTCTTTTAAATCTAAAGACTCATAGATTAAAAGTAAAAATTAGGATGGTGAGAGATATACTATGCTAACACTAATCAAAAGAAAGCAGAGTAGCTATATCAATTTCAGACAGAACAGACTTCAGAGCAAAGAAAGTAATCAGGGATAAAGAAAAATATTACATAATGCTAAAGGGTCAATACTCCAAGAGCACATAAAAATCCTTAGTGCGTATGCACCTAACATCAGAGTGTTATAACATATGAGGCAAAAACTGATAGGACTGCAAGGAAAATTACGTAAATCTACTCTTATAATTAGAGACCTTAATACCCTACTACCATAAATGGGCAAATCCAACAGGCAGAAAATCGGTAAGGACATAGATGTACAGCATTAACAAATCATTTGGATGTAATCGACGTATAGACTACTTTATCTGACAATAGCGTATTACACAGCCTTTCAAGCTCACATAGAAGGTTCACCAAGATAGATTACATCTGAACAATAAAACACACCTTAACAAATTAAAAAAAATAGAAACCATGCATTGTCTGCTATCAGAGTACAATGGAATTACACTAGGTCGATAACAGAAAGATAGCTGGAAAAATCCCAAAATACTTGGACGTTAAATAACACATTTCTAAATTACCCATGGGTCAAAGAAAATATCTCAAGAGAAATTAAAAATATATTTTGAACTGAATTTAAAAGAAAATACAGTTTATCAAAATTTGTGGGAGGCAACAAAAGCAATTTATGAGGGAAATTTACAGCATCGAATGAATGTGTTAGAAAAGAAGAAAGAACAAACAACAATATAAGCTTCACATGAAGAAACTAGAAAAATAGAACAAATTAAATCCAAAGTAGGCAGAGAAAAGAAATAATAAAAATTAGTGGAGGAATCCATGACACTAAAGACAGATATCAATAGAGAAAATCAATGAAACAAAAAACTGGTTATTTGGAAAGATCGGAGTGGAAGAGAGAGAGAATGAGAGAGAGCACACGAATTACCAATATCAGAAATGAAAGAGAGGACATCTCTATAGATTTATGGGCATCAAAAGGATAAAGAATATTATGAACAAATCTATGCTTCCAAATTGGGTAATCCAAATAAAATTGACCAATTCCTTAAAAGACACAATCTGTCAAATCTTACACTAAAAGAAACACAATTATAATAGGCTTATATCCATTAAGGAAATTGACTTAATAGTTAATCAGTTACCAAAATAGAAAATACCAGACCCAGATGAGTTCAGGGAGGAATTTTACCATACATTTATAAAATAAATTATGCCAATTCTCCACAGTCTCTTTTGGGAGACAAAAACAAAGGAAATACTTTCAAACTCATTGTTTGAGGCCAGCTTTACCCTAATAAAAAAAACCAAAGATATTATAAGAAAAGCAAACTACAAAACAATGTCTCTCAGGAAAATAGCTGCAGTAATACTCAACAAAATATTAGCAAATTAAATTGAACATGTATAAAAAGAATTATACACCACAACCAAATTAGATTTATCTAGGCACGCAAGTCTGGTTAAACATTTAAAAATGAATTAATGTAACCCATCACATCAACAGACTGAAGAAGAAAAATTACATGATAATATTAATATCTGAAGAAAAAACATTTGACAAAATCAAACACCCATTCATGATAAATTCTTAGTAAACTAGGAACAGAGAACTTTTTCAAGTTGATAAAGCATATCTGGAGAAAGATCTAAGTCTACAGCTAATATCATACGTAACAGTGAGAAACTCAAAGCTTCCTCATTAAGATCAGGAACAATGCAAGAAGATTCAATTCACCACTCTTTCCAAGATCGTACTGGAAGTTCGAGCTAATCAAATAAGAAAACAAAATTTTAAAATATAGAGTGGAAAGGAATAAATAAAACTTTCCTTGTTTGCAGATGACATGATTGTTGACATAAAAAAATCCAAAAGAATTCTCAGAAAAACTCCTGGAATATTAGTGATTATAGAAAGGTATCAGAATATAAGGCTAATATACAAAACTCAATTGCTTTTCTACATATTAGCGATGAACAAGCACAATTTGAAATTACAAACACACTAACATTTACATTAGTACCCTTCAAAATGATATACTTAGGTATAAATCTAACAAAATATGTACAAAATCTATGTAAGGAACACTACGAAACTCTCATGAAAGATATCAAAAAGCTAGGCTGGGTGCAGTGGCTCATGCTTGTAATCCCAACACTTTGGGAAATTGAGGCGGGCAGATCACCTGAGGTCAGGGGTTCGAGACCAGCCTGGCTGACATGGTGAAACTCCATCTCCAGTAAGAATAGTGGCAGGTGCCTGTAATCCCAGCTGCTCGGGAGGCTAAGGCAGGAGAATAGCTTGAGAATAGATCCGGGAGATCATGCCACCGCACTCCAGCCTGGGTAACAGAGTGAGATCCTGTCAAAACAAAAACAAAAACAAAAACAAAAAGCTAAATAAATGAGGCTATATTTCATGTTTTTCTATAAAAACCTCAAGGTAGTCAAGATATCAGTTCTCCCAAAGTTGATCTATAGTTTCAACACCATCCCAAATAATCTTAGCAAGTTATTCTATAGATATCAACAAACTGATTCTAGTGTTTATACAGACAAGCAAAAGAATCAGAATCGCCAATTTAATATTGAAGAAGAATAAAATTGGAGAAGTGATGCTATCAAACTTTGACTTACTCTAAAGCTATTGTAATCAAAACAGTGTCGTGTTGGTGAAAGAACAGACACATAGAACGGAACGGAACGGAACGGAACGGGAGAGCCCAGAAACAGACCCACATAAATGGAGTTAACTGATCTTGATGAAGGAGTGAAGGCAATACAGTGGAGCAAATACAGTCTCTTCAGAAAATGGTGCGGGAACAACTGTACACCCACATGCGAACAAACTAAGTTAATTTGGACATAGGCCTTACAACTCTTCCACAGATTAATTCAAAATGGACTATCAATCTAGATGTTAAAACACAAAACTACGAAGCTCCTAGAAGATAGCATAGGAGAAAATCTGTGACTTTGACAATGACTTTTTAGAAACAGCTTCAAAGGCATGATCTATGAAGAAAATAATTGATAACCTGGGCTTCATTAAAATTGGAAACTTTTGCTCATCACAGCCACCATGAAGAGGAGAAGATAAGCTGCCAACTGAGAATGAATATTTGCAAAAGACACATTTGATACAGGACTGCTATCTAAAATACACAACTCTTAAAACTCAACAATAAATAACTCAATTAAAAAATGAGCAAAAGGCGTGAACCGACACCTCACTAAAGAAGATATAAAGACGGAACATAAAATAAGCATATGAAAATATATTCAGCATATATAATTAAGGAATCGCAAATTGAAACAATAATGAGAAATCACTGCTAGAATGGCCAAAATCCAAATCACTGACACCACCAAATGCTGAGGAGGATGGGGAGCAACAGGACCTCTCATTCATTGCTGCTGGGGGCTACAAAGTGGTACAGCCGCTTTGGAAGACCGTTTTGCACTTTCTTACAAAACTAACCGGCTCTTATCATATAATCTAGCAATTTCATTCTCAGATATCCACCCAAATAAACTGAAAACTTATGTTGGAACAAAAACCTGCACATGAATGTTTATGGCAGCTTCATTCATAATTGCCAAAATTTGGAAGCAACTAAGATTTCCTTCGGTAATTGAGAGTGTAAATAAACTGTGGTACTTCCAGGCAATGGAATATTACTCGATATTTTGAAAAGAAATAAACTATCAAGCTATGAAAAACATGGAAAAAGCTTCAATACACTAAGTGAAATAAGCCAATATGAAAAGGCTGCATACTGTATAATTCCAACTATATGATCTTCTGGATAAAGCAAAAGTATAGAGATAGTAAAAAAAGATCAGTAGTTACCAGGGATTATGGGAATAGGGAGAGATGATTAGGCAGATCACAGAGGATTTTTAGGACAGTGAAATTATTCTATATGATACACTAGTGGTGAATATACGACATTATACATTTCTCAAAACCTATAGAATGTACAGCATCTAGAGTGACAAACTATGGACTTTGAGTGATAACAATGTGTCAGTGTAAGTTCATCACCTCTGACAAACGTACCTGATGTGGGATATGTGGGATGTTGATAGTGTGGGACGTTGCGCATGTGTGGGGACAAAAAGTTTATGAGGGCTTTTTGTACTTACCACTCAATTAGGTTGTCTGCCTAACACCTCTAAAAAGTCAAGTTTATTAATTTAAAAAATACACATATATTTGAAATTGTTAAAATTTACTTGATTATCTATTAATTCATTTTATTGCTAGCTTGACCCTAGAGGTGATCAAATAAAAAATCCAATGCTTCCTTTATATGTCTGTTCTTGATTCTAAATAGCTAACCAATCATCAAGGAGTCTGGTATGTCATTTTCTCTTCAATAGCTGTGTGATTTATTGTTTCAAATTAACAGTAATGGCTAATGGCATAACTTCTATCCCCTAAGTTAAAGAATTAAGAATCTGTGATTTGTTTCCTCTCAATACATCCATCTCTTCTCTACTAGGATCTGGGTCATTGTTACTCTCTGGGTACCCGCAGTTAACAGGTGTTCTAGCAAGACTCATAAATTCCGAACTTGTTTCTGTTAGGATCATTCTCTTTGCTCTTAGTAGATCCAGCCTCTTCAGCTACATACTTTGTAAAATTTTATCTTAGTGACACACCCTTTATTTAAGAATTGTTGCCAGGTCATATGTAATCTGTGAAGCTGTTTTCTAAGGACCTGATATGAAGATTTCTATGACTATTTTGATAATCAGTAGAAAAATGCAAACATATTCAGTGACTCAGTCAACCTTGACAAAAGAACAGTTTGAAGTATTTTCCTGATAGAAATCACGGAAGACATTCACTTTGCATTCATGAAAACATCTTCGTCAAATCACTTTTTATTTAGCATGCCACTTATGAAGGTATTTTACATCATAGCCCAAATGTAGAAAACTTATTCTCCCTTTTCTGTTGAGTAAAACGTGGTTGATTATGTCTGTTTTGGGATACTTTTGAGATGTAAATTTTGGTTTCAACAAAGGAAGTTGATTTGAATTTTCTAGTCTTTATATTTGTCTTCTGGTGTAATCATCATTGTGTTTCTGTTGTCTTTATGTGAATGATACATATTTTACCCATGACAAAATTTAATACGTAAACAGTCCCTGACATTAACACCATCAGCTTGCTTCCTCATTTGTTCAATCTTGTGCTTGCCTCCCCTGTATAATGGGTGTTCTTTCTTTTCTATAACAAGTAGACATTAACATAGCATGCTAAAATAGATCATCTTTGCCACACAAGAAGAGATTTTGGCATTGTTTATTCATACAATTTTCTTTCTGTCAAAAATGCATACGGCAAATCAAATATTTACTAGCAGTCACACAGGCCTGCTTGAAAAAAATACAGTTTATAATATATTATGTGTAAGATATTATAATATAAAATATTTATACATATATATTAGGCACAATATATTCTCATATATATTATCATTTTATAGTTATATATATTTATATAAATTGCTTGGAATGATTTTTTTTCTCCAACCTCATTCTTTTTAAGAACTCAAATGGAATTTGTTTTCAGTTAAGATCCTAAAATTTACAGTTGAGCTTCATATCTAAATGGTTTCCTTATTTCAGTTAAAGAGGGATGAACCATAAATATTACTTTTTATATCTATAAATGTTTATATCAGAGAAATAAGCCACCTTATAGAAAACATGGTAGAGTCAATGATAGTGATAGTTTACAGGAAAATGTGTGGCATTTTATACTACTTCTGTGTTATCAACTTTTAGAATAAAAGTCTCTTTTATAGACTTGGTCAGCCTCATAAGTATAAGAATCTACAACAACATAGTTAGAAATATTCATAGGGTTGTCTGGTTAAGATATCAAGCATTTGAGGTTTCTAATTTTCCCTCTCAGATTTGTGAAAAAAATTAAAAGCTATGGACCAAATATGTGCCAGATCACAAAAAGAATTCCTGACAACCACAGGTACATGGAGCCCTGAGGAAGAATAGGGGAATGTGCTGGAAAGTGTATAACAATCTCGAGTGCACACTCGCACTCACACACACACACACACACACAAGCACACACAATCTAAAGAAACAAAGAAATACACCCCTCAGAAAGTCTGAAAGAATTTTTCTCAAAATAATCAATTCTGTGTGCCTGCCTTGTAGGATCGGCCCATCCAGTGACCAGATGGATGCGGCAAAGCGCTCTTAATCCTCAGAAGCAGGAAGGAGACCTGCCAGGGCAGGCAGCCCTCACTAATTTTTCTCCAGCAAATCTTCCCAACAACACAGTGCCACTAAGAGAGACATGTGTTTGAGATTTTGTTTTATTTTCAAGGATTCACAGTCAATAACGAAATACAGCTGGGCTTAGAAGAGTTGTGGGAGAAGGATGCCCTGAGACTCCATCTAGCAAGGAAAGAATTAAGTCTTCTCTGGAAGATCCACAAATAAAATGTACTGCTCTTTACAAAATGACACCATGATTCAGTTATTTTAGAATGTGCAATTATGTTATGATTGACTATAGTAACCCCATTGTTTCTTTGAAAGCAGTATCTTCACTGTGAAATGAAACCTGAAATATTCAAGGAAGGAGAATTCATTCTTCCTCTATCATCAAATAACAAAACTATGTAAATATTGTTCATTTCAAAAAGAATAAATAAGGGAGAAAGGGAAACTACAAAATCAGCCAATATGTTTACAGGATAGAATACAGCTTTCAGGTTACTGAAGGAAATTCTTCTTTTCCAAATAGAAATAAATTGTAGATGCTTTGTACTATCAACAAATTTTAGATAAGTTAGAGTTCATGAAGCAGGATAGATGAGATGGGACAACTGACTGATATGAAAAGTGACTTCTGAGTTAGGTGGCGGTAAAGCTTTTAAAGATTATATAATATAAACAATAATCTCAGCATTAATGTCAGCATCAAAAGCAAT
Organism: Homo sapiens; assembly: GCF_000001405.40. Classification (NCBI taxonomy): domain Eukaryota; kingdom Metazoa; phylum Chordata; class Mammalia; order Primates; family Hominidae; genus Homo; species Homo sapiens. The sequence continues at coordinate 76,095,034 of NC_000003.12, forward strand.
AAGAAGTAGAATTAAATTGTAGGAAAAAGCGATATGGAAGACACACTAAAAAAGCTCTCTTTTAATTTTGGGCTGAGTATGGGTGAGTATGAGACTAAGATGCAAAAGACACAGTGAGAATGAGAAGATAATATGGTGAACAGAGAGAGAAAATCCAAATATGGAACTTTGTTGCTGATATCAGAACACATGGGAGATAAGCAGTAGTGAAAGACTTAATAGAAAAAAAACCTGAAAGCTAAGGCAACTATACATTGTGAATTTAAAAGGCCCATTATGTAAGAGAAAAAATTAATGAAGTCCTGCAGAGAAACAAATAATTTTTTCCAATAATAAAGAGAAATGTGAAATCACTAAACCAAAAAGGAAAGATAATATAATAAAAGAAAAAAAATTAAATTTGTTACAAACATCTGTGCAAAACCAAATAAGACAAGCATAGGTTGGGCTGACCACTAGTTATAAATAACATTATATCAATTGATATAATGATAACTCAAATAATGAAATGTCAAAGCTCCATGGTTGTCTATATATGAAGGCAACACTAACCTATTATTAGGCATATGGGGACTTAGGGTCCACTGAATATCTAAAATTTATTGGATAACAACAAAACTCCACATAGAAAATACTGTAGTACTATCTATGGTATTGTCAATGTGTGTGTATGGCACATATATTATGAATTATATACAAGACACATAGTATGCTTGACACACACACACACACACACACACACACACACACACACAAGATAATCATCTGGTAAATATAACAAGGAAATCTAACATACAAACAAAGCAAAATTAGAAATAGAAATTGCAAAGACATAAATGTGTAAAATATATAATACTAAGCTAATACATTTGAAGATATTGATGACATTAATAATTTTCTAGAAAATAATTTACCAAACATTAAGCTGAACAAATATCAAGTCATGTACTTAAGTGAAATTTTAAAAGGTATTAAAGAATATCCTCATAAGGTATAACATAACAAAATAACCTTTATCTCTAAGGAGATAAAAAGAACCCATATTGACAGGCCTCGTAAGCAATAATCTCCTCATGTGTGCAGTGCATGTCATAGGCAGTTCTCATGTTCTGAGAATCCTGTGATTCTGGGCCATCTTCCATCACAGACCTCGAGTTTACTTGGGCCACCTTTATGATCAATTACATTTTAAGAAGAGCCTTCTGACCTACATTCTCATGCTGAATGACTCATAAATAACTTTGAGATAATAAACTAGCCAGCATCATAACTTGGGTAACAAGAATATTCAGAAGAAAAGCACTTTAAAAATAAGAGAAATTAAACTAATCTTTAAAAAAAATCTCCCCAGAAGAGGTATATTTTACGGAGAAATTGTGCTGTTAACCCAGAGGAAGATCACATTATCTTGTTTTAATTACCTCCAATTCAAAGGTAAGTAACACAGAGAAGGATTTTCAGCATGATTCAACAGTAGAATCCAATGCATTTGAGTGTTTATTTTTTTATGTATTTGTGGTTAGGTCATTTATTGATTTGTTTTAGAATTTATCTCTGAATTTCTATAGATTATGATAATTAATAATACAAATAATAACATTAAGCATTTACTGAGTATTGACAATATGCTAGGCATCATGCAAAACACTTGGTTTTACCAGTATTGTCTCATTTAATCCTTACTACAACCCAGCAAGATAGGTGTTGCTATTATCTTCATTTCATAGAAAAGTAAACTGAAACATAATCATTTATACAACAATGTAACTATGTAACCACAATATTGTAGAGACGAGTTAATGAACATCCACCATGAACAAAACAGACACATATCCTTGCCTTTGTAATGCTTATAGTCTAGTGAGAAACATGCATTGGAAAAATTAGTTATGGGCAGACGACTGACAAAACTCTCTGTCTTTGCTACATGAGAATCTGACTTTTGGCTAACTCTCTAGTTCTGTTCTCCTGGAAACCTGGTAAACATAGATTGTCTGCTACATTACTCAGCAACATTATCTATGATTAAAAAAAAGTGACCCCAGGTTGGTCAGTTGCATCTGGACTGGTGGGAAATGTAAAGAGACTATCAATATGTCGTGGGAATGCCGTATTTTGGGTTTTACTGAATGTGGTGAATCTTGTTAATGAAGCATGTACTCTGTGCCAACCCTATGTGCTGCAGCCACAGAGTTGTTAAAAGAAATCCTAGCTTCTCTGACGGCATGAGCCTATTTGTCAGGATGGCCCCAACCCGTTCCCAGTGCAGATCTCATAGCCTAGCACCTGAACTTGCTCCTGGAGAGCTACATGGTCCGTTCTTGGGACTGCAGCAGGGGCTCCTGCTGAGAAGAGCTATTGATGCTTCCGTGCTGGCCAGCTGTGGTTCATTAATATCCTTCTGCATAGATGAGTTCCTGGTGTGTCATGTGATAGTCTTAGAATTCTGAATATTTAGCTAAATCTAAGGAGACTAATGAGTATTGTGATAGGCAAGACTGTGCATGGCAGATGGTGATAAGTTTTCTGATTAGCAAAGAGAGATAGAAAATGTCAAAGAGTGGAGGTTTAGTGGTGGAAATTAAAATAAACAAAAATTAACAGGGTAATCAGGGAGGATCTCACTGAGATGGGGACATTTTAAAAAATATGTGGGAAACATGTGCAGAACGTAGGAAGCAGCGAATACACATACACAAGTCCATGCAACTGTAATCTCTGTGAGGGCTGGAACTCTGTTTTGCTTCCCCACTTTTTCTCCAGAATATATTCTAGTTCTTGATGAGTAGTAGCTTAAAAAATGAATGAATAAGAGGTCAAGTTGGGTTTAGGAATATGAAAAATGTGACATCTTTATTTCCCCTAGGACACTTAGAAAATCAAAACAACGATTAATAAAATCAAAGTTTCACAAGATCAAAGCAACTCTTGGTAAATAAAACAGCATTTTTTGACACCCTTGAAATTCTCCATTTATTTTTTTGCCATAGTGAGCTCATGGATCAGTTCAGGGTCTTTTTATATTTAAGAGTGTGGTTCACTCTCTCCATACACATGTCTCTCCTTCAGTGTCATCATGTAGGTGTACGTGTTAATATCATCACATTTGATTCCTTATAAATATTCAGGGTTGAGAGGAAACAAAATCTTCAATTTTAAAGCAACTGTTTTGCCAATTTGAACTTTAATTCCTGTGGTAAGGAATTTGAACTGAATTTCAAATTCTATTCTTAAGAAATAGAATGTGCATTTCTATAGAGAACATCATTGGTGAGGTATGTAAATTTTCAAAAATACAAATTCATCAGAATGCAAAATCTCTCTGTAACTATGTTTTTAGATTTTACATATTGTAAATTTTATTTTTGATATCTACAACATGCAATTTTTGTGTTTGGATGAGTTTTAAGTGCAAGTGTGTATTATAGTAACTACTGATGAAATATACTAAATAAAATCATTATGCAAATCAACTTACATAGATCTATACTATTAAGATCATTAGTCTTTCTGATAAAAGATAAATCAAATAAATATGAAAAAATAACAATTCCTGTCATCAATTTAGAGTTTTTATATTGTTTGATTGATATATATAAAATAAATTATCATTTAAGACATATAATCTAAATAAAACAGAAGCATAGTTTTAATTTAAGAAATAATGGCTCTTAACAAAGTAAACATTATGGTGTAAGAGGTAATAACTACAAATGGCTGCCTTAAATGTTGTGGCCATGAGTTCATTATTTTTTGTGCATAAAATAATGATTTTAATAAAAGTCTCGAGTTCATGTTCTGAAAGCTATTACCTTTCAGCTATTGCATATACCTCTTTGTCTAGAGGGCAAAGTGAACAACATCTCATATTTTTCTTAGGCACGATATGAAAGCATTAATTTCCTCCTGCTGCTTTGAAGGAACTCAGTGCTGTGGGGCAAGTCAATGCAAAATGATCACATTTTCACTCATAATCAATATAGCTAGGTGACAGTGGGCATCTATTTTTCATCCAGCATCCAGTAAAGTAAAATGATATGTGGATTTTCTTCAAAAGAGATTCTTTTAGGAAACCCAAGTGAAAATAGCGTTCTTAGCAAGCCACTGAGAAAGTTAGTTATTACTGCAATTCCTTGGCAGCCAAGACAGATGTGAGTTTAGCCGTTCCTTTTCTCCTCTTCTATCTCTCTCAGTGGGATAATTTGAAAATCTGTAACTTTACTGAAGGAGTTGGCTATGAATCATAAATGACAGAATTAGTATTTAAGGATAATATATTTAGTCCTTGTAGTGTCTCTGTGGACTCCTTGACTTCTAAGCACCCATTATGTTTTAAGTGAAGAGCATAGATCTGCATTTTGTGCTGAAAAAAAAAAATGTAATTACCAAATCACTGTAGGTTCATTTTTTCTAAGGCATGTATTTCTTGAGAGATTTTCTAAAATACGAATGAGCTAAATTATAGAAAATGTTTCCAATTGCCATTAGCTGGTTTTGACTGAAAAGCAGTGGATATTTTATGTTGAAATTGAAATATTAGGATACTTGAAGAAAATGACTAACAATAAAAAACCTAACTTTCATAAACTCTACATTATAGAATCCTGTAAATTTTATACTTGTGCCAAAAAAGTACATTTTAATTGTTAAAAATCTGCAAAATTTCTGATTTTTTTCTCTAAAAAAATTTTCACTTATTAAAATGTTTTGGAATATGGCTTACCAAAAACGTAAGAGAAAGAAGGAAGGAAGGGAGGGAGGAAATGAAGGTGTGATAGGACTCTTCAGGCTGGCTAACGGCAAGTGCAGAAATTACTTTGCTTCTGTAGCCTTTTGGTCATGTTGCCATGGATTCTCCACTTGATATATTGGCCAAATTTTCAGCAATCTTCTCAGAATAGTTTTCGTCTGTAGGTAAGGGAGAGGATCATAGATAATGATTCTTATTTTGTTTTCTGAGGTTCCAGATAGCGTGGATCTGCAAACAGCATTGGGCTCATAGCCTCATGCATAGTCCTGTGTGTTTTTTAACCACCAGAATCCACATTAAGAAGATCGACTAGAACGTATTTCTGTAATTGTTTATCATTCAATTCCTTGGAACCCATGAATCCTTGCACAATTCTTTCAGCTTTATTTGTTTTGAAGTCTAGGTACTGACTGAAGGGATTGTGCTTCTTGATTTATTTAGGGATGCCGGTTGGGAAGAAAAATATTGTGATTGATTTCAGGCTCAATAGAATCACCACATTTAAAAACATTATCTTTTGCTGTTTATAAATAATACACACATTCTTTCCATAAAAGAGTCAACCAACCAATGTCTATGTGGAACTAAACATGAAAACTGCTCTTTGTCTGCTCTCTGCAACTTCAAGACTCTAGAGCTAAATATTCTTGCAATATTGTATGTATCTTTCCATTCCAATTTCTGTCCATTTGCAAACCTTTTGTTCATACAAAGATAGTAAATTTTACTTAAAAAGTATCATATTGAATAGAGTTGAACATAATTTTTGTTTATTTGTAAAAGAAGAATAACAATATGTATTTCATAGAGTTATTGGGGGATATTAAGGAAAATATAAAAGGAAAAAGATGATCCTGGCATAAAATATGCACTGAAGCCATTACTATGTTATACAAAGATGACTCTTTCTAGGGCGTAATTTTCTAGAAGAGGTATTTGGATCAAAGGACAAACATACTTGTAACTCAGAAAGATAAGAGCAAATTGCTTTATGGTAACTCTATCTCAGTAAGGAACACCGTACTTTCTGATTTTCCTGGACTCTTCAATACTGGGTTAAGTTCTCCTCATTTAACATGGATTTATTATGTGCCTATGATGTACCAAGTACCTGTTAAGCATATAGGATACAATTGTGAGCAAAGCGGGCATGGTCGTGGCTCACTGAATTTACAACTTAGTAATAAATAAGTAAATTAACAAGATAATTGAAAACATTTTAATTGTAAAGAGTGCTGTGTATAAAAAAAAAACAGAGAGCCAAGGAAGCAAAGTATGTGCTTTGTATAAAAGAACCAAGAGGCAAGAAAACGTGTAACAGGGAAACAGGTCCTGTCCAGAAAGCCGGTAATCGTCACAGAGTTAATATTAATTTGGGCTACCGTGGAGGAAAGATGTGATGAGATTACTTCTCAAAGGAATTATTATTGTTTTAGTATTACATTGGATATAGGTATAATGTTAATCAATATTATCATCATAGTTGTGAAAAAAATTGAGATAACAACTAGGTTTCCATCTTGCAACACTATACAGACAGCAGTGCCAACCTTTATGAGAAGGGACAATGGAGTAAGTTCAAGCTGGGAGGGGACGATCACACTTTTAGATATAAAAACATTGAATTTGCAACACTAAAAGGGAGATGTCAAATATAAAGTATTCAGAACTCAGGAGAGGTCTAAGCTGGAGATATACATTTTGGAGTCATGATTTTAAAGTGGTAACGGAAGCCATGAGGACAGGTGAGATTATGTAGTTATTTATTTATTTATTTTTTATACTTGAAGTTTTGGGGTACATGTGCACAATGTGCAGGTTTGTCACATACGTATACATGTGCCATGTTGGTGTGCTGCACCCATTAACTCGTCATTTACATGAGGTATATCTCCTAATGCTATCCCTCCCCCCTCCCCCCACCCCACCAACCCCACAAGAGGCCCTGGGGTGTGATGTTCCCCTTCCTGTGTCCAAGTGTTCCCATTGTACCCCGGGGTGTGATGTTCCCCTTCCTGTGTCCCTGTGTTCCCATTATACCCCGGGGTGTGATGTTCCCCTTCCTGTGTCCATGTTTTCCCATTGTACCCCAGGGTGTGATGTTCCCCTTCCTGTGTCCAAGTGTTCCCATTGTACCCCAGGGTGTGATGTTCCCCTTCCTGTGTCCAAGTGTTCCCATTATACCCCGGGGTGTGATGTTCCCCTTCCTGTGTCCATGTGTTCCCATTGTACCCCGGGGTGTGATGTTCCCCTTCCTGTGTCCATGTGTTCCCATTGTACCCCGGGGTGTGATGTTCCCCTTCCTGTGTCCATGTGTTCCCATTGTAGTTCTTTTAAGTCTGGAGCTGCATCGTTTAATGTAGGAAACACTACCACACGAGGCTACTAAGCCCTTGAGATGTGGCTAGTTTGAATCTGAAATCACATCAGATTTTGAAGACTTGCGTGGAAACAAGGAATGTAAAACATCTCAGTAATACATATATTGGTTGCATTTTGAAGGATAACATTTGGATATACTGGACTATTTTATTAGTTTCTTTTTATATTTTTGATGTAGCTACTAGAACATGTAAAATTTCGAAGGACATTTGTGACTATACTTCTATTGGATACCAGGGTTATAGTGAGAAAAAATAATACCTGTACTTGAACTTTGATAAAATCAATATTTAACAGCTTGGTAGAGAATTATTATCTCCAAAATCATTATTTAAGAGCAGTCAAAGTAGTAACAGAAAAGTCATACTCACTTGGAGGCAAAGAAAAGAGTATGTTTCAAGATAAAATGTTCTACAGTAAGGAATTCTCAGAGGTCAAGAAAGATACAGATTGAAAAGTGTGCATTGGATTTAGTGATTATGAATACTTTTGAAGATAGTAACATTTATTTTGGTAGAAGGGATGAGAGAAAACCAGCTTTTCAATGTTGATGAATGAACTGAGCGTCAATATTTGGAGATTAAGAGTGTAGACAAATCTCTACAATTTGGCTATAAAGAGGAAATGAGATGAAGGAATATGTTTTAATACAAAGAGACCTGACTTTTTTTTTTTTTGAGATGGAGTCTCACTCTGTCGCCCAGGCTGGTGTGCAGTGGTGCGATCTCGGCTCACTGCAAGCTCTGCCTCCCGGGTTCACGCCGTTCTCCTGCCTCAGCCTCCCAACTAGCTGGGACTGCAGGCGCCGCCACCACGCCTGGATAATTTTTTGCATTTTTAGTAGAGTCGGGGTTTCACCATGTTAGCCAGGATGGTCTCAATCTCCTGACCTCGTGATCCGCCCGCCTCGGCCTCCCAAAATGCTGGGATTACAGGCGTGAGCCACCACGCCCGGCCAGACCTGACCATGTTTAAAAGCCAAGAGAGTTATCCAGAAAAGAAGGGAAGTTTCCAGGTACAGGAGAAAGTCGAGGTAATGAATGATTTATAGTTTCTGGGAAGCACAGTAGCAGAGTCCTCCTACCAGAGCACTCGCCACATTTTAAATAACTGTGTGCTTTCTTGTCTATGTATATCATTAGATTATAATGAGGAAAAGAAGATAGGAGCTGTTTCTTCTCCTTTGCCTGGACACCTACTCTGAAGTGTTCTGTACTTAGTATAGTTTTAAAATAGGTTTCTAACTGAAGAAAACAGAGGTGTTACATGTAGTTGGAGTCTGCAACGCACCCTCTGCTCACAATACACAGCTCTTAAATGTGAAATGTTTGTTAATGAAGAGATTAGAATTATTCTTCGTAATGCTCAGTGGCAAAGAAAGGGGAGAGGACCGTTATCATTATGTTTTTATACTGATTACGTTTACAGACTGTCCACGTACATACTGGACCACAGACACCTGTGGATACTGGGAGCTGGGAAGCTTAGGAGAAAGGGTCAAGAAAAAGGTCCATTTGAAAAGGTTACTTAAAAAGAGGTGAACAAATATCAAACCACGTTTCCTTTGCAGGCCATCAAATCTACGCAGGTGTTGTACTGCGTTTCTTGATGTCCATTATCACTTTATTCTAGGCTCCGGCTAGGTGAAGTCAATTTGTCCCTTTCCATTTTGAAGATGACTCCTGGTGGGGCTGCTGCTGTTGACGCAGTGCTTATGCCGAAGTTGATTTCCAGGACATACGAGCCCCAGTGAACATAAAAAACCATCTCAGGTTTGAGAGGGACTTGATGGTTGGGCTTTTCTCATTTTTCCCCTTCCCTTGGTGCATGTTTCACTTTCCCTGTAAGGTATCTTCTCTACTGGCCTTAGACATGAGAGGAATATACGACATCCAGAGAACTGTCTTTTCTGAACCCTGGTCTCTTTAGCTTATAGGCCAGTGTGTTCATTATTTCCTAGAAAACAAATCTGGAGAAAATATACAACTTCTAGAGACACCACATTTTAAAAAGATAACATTTAATGAACACTTAAATCTTTCATACAGTGATTTAAACCTTTTAGCTTTAGCAAATCTAAATAACTTAGTAACTATAAGCTGGAGATCTAGAGTCAAAGTACTGAAGCCAGAAAGCTGTTTTACTTACATAACACCAAGAATAGCAAAGCCAGTGATCTTAGGAAGTAGGTTGAAGGCATTAAAATGTTATTTTAAAACTATAAAGGAAAGAAGAGGGTGGTAGATAGTATACAGACTTGAGACTTGGCCTCAAATACCCTTGAAATAAGCAACTGTGGCTTTGTCAAGTTAAACCTCCCTTGGCCTCAATTTCCTCCTATGGAAAGTTAATTGGTTGGATTAATTGTCAATAATGTCATTCATAGCCATAAAATGATGGAATTTCTAATGAATTCCAATCAACATCTTTCATGCTTAAAATAATCATCTTAGCAAGTAGGCTACTAAATAGTAAATGATGAATTATGTAAGTGGAAAAGGACACTATCACACATTTTCAGTGAAATCTTTATGAGAGACATCTCTTTAAATTTCCTTTTAAAACATTTCTAGCGAGTATGATGGAGGGCTAATTAGATGTTAATTGTTCATGTCTACTGATTAGGAAACTTAGGAAGTGTTTTAGAGCAGTGACTTAATAAGGAATGACACTTGAATCTTACCCATAATTAGCTTATTAAATTTGGCTGCAGTTTGAATCTGTACTATGGGAATGATTTAAAGAGATTAATCTTTTTCAAGGACCAGGTTAAGTGCTGATAAGTTACCCAAGAACACCTTCCAAACTGAAGGAGACAATGATGACTTTGATTCTCTATGATTTATTTATATGTTTGCCAGGGTAAAGAGAAAAGCAAGAGACCTAGCCTTTAGGTGGGTCATAAGCTCTCAGTATCAGCTTTCAAATGGTTACACAGGTAACACCCTTGTGCTTCTTTTAATGGGAAAAATTTCATGGTACCAAACAATGAAAAATCAATTTTTTCAGCCTGTACTTAGAAAAAAAAAAACACTATTCTGTTCTTTATAAAAAATTGTTGGATATAAATCCCCCTATCACCCAAATTGACAGCGCTCTGCCAACAGCAGAGGAAACAGAATTAAGCAAGAATTGCACACCTTCTATAAAGAAAATAACAAAAATATTTTCAAGAATAATATAACAAATTCTTGTATACCTAATATCCAGCTTAAGAAATGGAACATGTTGAACTGTAGTAAGACTTCTGTTTAGCCTGAGGCTTGTAGCATATTATTCTCAAGCATATCCATGCTTTTACTACATGTATCTGTATCCCTAGATGATATATTTATATTTCTTCATTGTTGGAATTTGATACAGCTTAATAAAAACATTTTCCCTGCTTGAATTCAGAACCAATGGAAAGGTTGACTAAGAAGTCAGGTGGATACAGATATCTTGATACCTGGCTTACAGGGTGAGGAGTCTTTGTGCAGCAACAATATACTTATGAGTTCTGAACTGTAGAAATAGAGTAACCTACACGTTCATTAGAAGGAGAGAACACTTGCAGACCTTCCCATGGGGAGTAAAATGGTATTGCCTATAAGAGCAAACCAGAATGCGTCTCTGTGAGGGCAGCTGAGTCCAATAAGGAGAAGGAATATGGATCAAAGGATTTTCAGCAACCAAAAAAAAAGACACAGGTAACACCAGGGAATTCCTTTGTTCATAATTAACAAAGATTATCACCTACTTCCAATAGGGTGGAAGGAAAAGTTATTTCATAATACCACTGTACAATGGTTTCAGTTATTACATTAAATTTATGTCTTTACAGTTCTAGTAATGTATACACCATTTCATTTCAGGTTAGAGGTTCAATATTCTGTGCCACTTTTAGAAATGTCTAAGTTAAATGATCTCTCGAGATAATGTTATGTTATGGATTAGTGAACTAAGTGGGCCCTGTTTGACTGGTAGAGACGATATTCTTTTACATAGAGTTGGAAAAGGCAAACATGTAGAGATGCTGACAAAATTCTGTCATATGTGGCTTATTTTTGTCTGGCTGTGCTGTATATTCCAGTTGGATAACCCAGAGTGAAGCATGTTTTTTACCTGCAACAGAAGCAATTTTACAAACACAAAAGCAAAATAATCTCAATCTGCGTGATATTATATATTTGAACATTCATTCAAAGTAAGAACATATATACACATATAGGTTGATAAACGCACTGTGCATTAATTCAAAAATAAGAAAATATACATGTATATATAGTCCCAAAGTTTGCATTACTACATAACTTTTACATATTTGCTTGGACTTGAATAGAACGTCTTGTCTTTCCCACTATTTTCATGACACTCATAGTTTTATTTGGTTGTTGAAGGGTTTCGAGCCATGGATTATGTACCTTCAGAGACCAGATAAATTTACTCTCTTCCATGGCCTCAAATAATACTTTAAACTTGAAAACCCATTTTCAAATTATGAATTGAATGAGAGAAGGCAAGATGAGCCAAACAATTCCATAAGCACTTGAGGAAAACAGAAGAGCATTTACATTTTGGAAAAAGGTTATTAGGACAATAATACAGTTATTAATTATTTGTAATGATATTTGATTTATTTATAATGGAAGGGTAATACCACAGCCCTTTTCTGTCTGATGAATAGGGAAAATGCTAAGGGGCTTACTAGGCTGCGTGCATAATTCTTCCCTTGTTTGCTACCACAAGGGGTACTCTTGATGCTGTTTGAAAGCAATCCTTGAGTGTGGTATCTGAAAATCATCCAGTAAGATATCCTCTTTGTGTAGGTGTAGATATATCTCTGTACATATTCATCATTGTAAGACAAAATAGGTAATGGAATTAATAAAAAATAAAGCTGAAATATTAGTCAATGGAAAACTTTCTGCATCACATTTGTATAGCTTTCAAAAACATTCTCATTTGAAGCTCACAATAAAATGAGAAGATGTTATCTCCAGTTTAGAGGAAGAAACTGGCAGGTATTTGTTCAAGTTGAGGTAGTTATTGTTACTACTCCATCACAGAGATGAACAAGCTAAGGCACAGAGACTTAGGTTATTTACTCAAGGTCGCATAGTAAAGTGAATGGAAAGTTAATTATGAGCCTGGGTGTCCAAACTTTGGAGCCTGTGTGTGTCACCTCTAGACTGTACCATAGGGCCAATGGGAAGGCAAACTTCATCCAGGTCAAAATATATTTACCATATTATTCAAAATATACTCTAGAACAACTCTCAGAGAACCAAATCCATTGACTTGTCTCCTTAGCATTTTATTTTCTGAATCATGTGATGCCTTTGGACAAATTCTCTTTTTAAAACTCCTTTTTTTAACTTCATGTGGGTGAAAATAATGTTACATTTGCATAGCATTTTTCCCTTCCTTTGCATACGCTATTTTATTTTATGTATAGAGTTTGAGTTGTGTTGGAAAAGGCTTGTGATTACTATTGTGGAAATAAAGAAATTAAGGTACAGACATGTTCAAAGACACAGTTACACAATTATACTCAAAATTACACAGTTGAAGTGCATAAATCACATCTGAAATCCCTATTTTATGATACCTGGTCACTAACGGTTTCTGTTACAAAATGTTTCCTCTTTATATTTTTCTTATTTTTCCCACATGAATGAATTAGAAACTCAAAGTTAATATTTGTTTTACTCATATTATACCAACTCTAAATTTCTTAATTATAATTGAATTTCACTGAGATTGAGTTATGAGTAATTGTTGCCATTTTATGTGAAGGCATATTAGCTGTTTGTACTGTTCAGAAATGTATAGGTAACCACCACAAAATCAGGATAAATTATAATGCATTTTAGGATGTGGTACCTGTATTATATTAGAAAGAATAGCATACTCTTTTTATTAGATGCTCTATCTACGTGTGTAATACTAGCAATGTATAATTTATTTCTCAATCTTTCTGACTTTGTAACAGCCTACTGCCATCTACTGGGTTGTGTTCGGAACTGCGATGCTAATCATCTTCCTGCGTATGAGTTTAGGATCTGATAGTTTGACGTTGAAATTTTTAGTGATTTTTAAACTTTTTGCTCATCTTATAAATTCTGAAAGTTTTTAATGAAAGATTGGTTTAGTTGTTATTATTTAGCATCATTTCTAATTTCATGGCATAGAAAAATTGGAATTCAAATCTCACCAATAAATTACATTGAATATCATCACTGTAACTCTTATATTCATATCAACAAATCTCACCAATAAATTACATTGAATATCATCACTGTGACTCTTATATTCATATCAACTATTTTTTGTTTTATTTAGGTCCTAGAATTTATTCTATAAAGATTTTGTCCAAATTTTTTATCCATCTTTGTTTTGAATTATATCTATACTATGGATACTTTTCCCATTAAAAGTGGGATGTAAGGTCTTAAAGTAGCCCAAATTTTCCTCAATTCTTCATAGTTAATGAAGAAGTGAGAATAATATCTGACATTACTATATTCAAAAATAAGTATAATTACAAATAGTTTTTTTAAGTAATTCATTGAACACAAATTACTATGTATTACCAAATTCTGTTGATAGAATTTAACTTAATTAGAATTTTGTTTTTATTTATATTTTTAAATTAACTATTATTTTGATTGTAAAATAGGATAGAAGTCTAATGAGGTTACATACAGATATCTATTTTATTGATTTTAGTTATTAATTTATCAATTATTAAAATGTAATTTTATTAGATTACTATTAATGTATTGATTTTAGTTATATAAGGTTATATGATAATAATTTTTATTACACGTATATGCTAAGTTTTTCAAGTATTTCTCTGTATCTTTTTTCGCAAGTAATATCTAACGTGAAGAAAATGTTCTCTAAAATCATTAATAATGCTGCTACTGGTTTTTAAATAACCTACAATATTGAAATTATTGCTAGAAGTTTCTGATACTACTCATAGTCAAACTCACAAGCACAATAAAGTGTATAATATAATAAACTATCGCATGGATAGTGTTTCATAAATGAGTTTTGTAATTACATTTTCCCAGATGAAAATGCTTTTTTTCATAGTTACATTATAATGCTTCTTTTGAGTTGCAGAGAAAACTATGACTGATTGGTAGGAACAAAATTAGAGGCCATAATACCTTTTAAAAAAACTAAAGAATTAAAATCATGGCAGTATGGGTTTGAAAATTTAGAAGGGTAGAGAAACGCAAGATGTCAGGTACCACTACTACTAATAATACCATATGTGGCTTGTGAGATAAAATATGCACGGCAAAGCAGGCATCACCCTAAGGAGCTTCTTCTGCAGACACCTTGGAGTCACCACTTTTTCCTCCTTAACTCCACACGTAATCATTTACTGAGAATGTGTTGACTGTGCCTCCTGCTTTCAATGTTTTTCATTTCTTTTTCCACTGGCTCTTTACTCTGGTGCTGTTCCCATGTTTCTCTTGAGATTGCAGTAACTTATTTTTTCAGAAATTTTTTTATTTTTATGGATTTAGAGGGTACATACACAGTTTTGTCACATGGCTATATTGCGAAGTGGTGAAGTTTGAGCTTTTATTGTACCAGCCACCCTAATAGTAAACATTGTACCCAGTGGACAATTTTTCATCCCTCATCCCTCTCCCACCCTTCAATTTTTTGAACTCTACAATGTCTATTATTCTACTCTATATGTCTATGTGTGCCTTTTGTTTAGTTCCCACTTATACATGGGAATACGTGGTATTTGACTTTCTGAGTTATTTCACTTAAGATGATAGCCTCCAGTTCCATTCAGGTTGCTGAAAAACAATAATTTTGTTCTTTTTATGACTAAGTAGTATTGTTATATATATATGTGTGTGTATATATATATATGAATGAATATATATATATATAAAAGCTTCTCATTCCATCTGTCTTAAACTAGATATATGGGAAGTCTTCCTAAAGATATGTGTGGTGTTGTATTTCAATATCAGTTTATAGGTTGATAATAATAGCTTATATACATACACAACACTTTGATCATAGTAGACGTGATGGCAAACCTTCTTAAGGTTTTAAGTATATTAATCTTTTTAATTCTCAGAACAACCCTACCAGGTAAGTACTATTATTATATCCTTGTTAGTAATGAGAAAATGGAGGCATATAAAGTTAAGTAACATGACAGCTATTAGCAAGCTAGGAAACAGTGGAGTGAGGATAGGAAGCCATGCATTCTGGCTTTAGAATCCATATGCTTAATAATCACATGAGGCCTAATTATTGTTTAGCACATATTTGTTGAGCTGACATGAAGCTTGAATAGCAAATTCTGTGTATGAAAATGGATTTGAAAGGTTAAATATAAGATGGAAAATAATGGCACTGATGTTTTAGAGTTAAAGGTTAAAACATTTATAAAATAAATGTTATTGGTTATCTATTTAAGTCCTATGGAATCTTGAAAGTCTAAAGCCCTTTTTACATCCCTGTGCAGTGTGGGATTAGGGTAAAGAAAAACTTTGAAAATATAGATGGAAAAGGCATTTATGGTACTAATAAAATGTAACATGCTTAAGACAACTAAAAAAAGTATTAAGAAATGAAGAATGAACTTTAATGAAATAAAAATTCAATTAATTAGTTTGTAAAACTGAAATCTTTGTTATTTTGAAAGGTCTGTTAATCATAAAAATACTGTGCTTAAATCTTCCTTACTTTAGCAAACAGGAAAACTTTATTTTTTTCTCTTTTCAATCTTAATCTAGTTCCTCTACCTCTGAAAACTATCACTAAAGAAGGAGACTGTTGATTTTTTCAAAATTTTGGCCTGCCTAGTGTTAATGGTTTTATTTTGTCTTCCAAAATGATACGTTGAAGTCCTGACCCCCAATACCTTAAAATGTTACCATATTTGGAAAGATGGTCTTGCAGATGGAATTAGTTCAGATGAGATCATGCTGGAGAAGGAGGGACCCTTATTCCAATATGACTGGTGTCATTATATTAATAGGAGGAACATGACAGAGGGCAGAGGACCATGTTAAGACACAGGGACACACAGGGGGACGTCATGTGAGAACAGAGGCAGAGATTAGAGTGGTGCAGCTGCCAGCCAAGAAACACCAAGCATTGATGGCTACCAGCAGAAGCTAGGAAGAGTCAAGGAAGGATTCTTTCTACTCAGACTCTCTCTGGAGCATTGCCTTGTTGATACAATGATATTGAGCTTCTGGCCTCCAGAAATATGGGAGAATAAATTTCTCCCATATTAAGCCACCTGGATGTTTCACTTTGTGAGGGCAGCCCTAGGAAATGAAGACGCCTGGCATTGTCTCACACTCCTGGAGACTCTTGTTTTCAGGCCAGCCAGTGCCAGAATTTTCTCCATCTGTGGGCTTTCTATTTCTGCCCATTACGATTACACAGGAAAAGCCCCCTTTGAAACTGTATAGTAGTTTTCATCACACAGGAGGTTTGAGTCATCTTCTCTCATTATGATTCAAAATATAGCTGTCCTGAAGAGACCCTCCATGAGACTCTACTCTGCTGTTACCTTTCCTGCCTCCACCCAAAAGGGCAGGGAGATGAGCCTTCTCCAGCTGGAATACAAGCTATAAAGCTGCATGAGGGCAGCGACTCTCTCTCTCTCTTTCTCTCTCCCTGTCTCTCTCTCTCTTTAATCAAATCAAGTAATGTATAAATGATCTGTTAAAAATAGAAGGTCCTCACTGAATATTGAGCTTCCTAAGATGTCTAAATCTGCACACTTCTCAGAATGGGCACAGATAATTAGCCACAATGACCCCATCTACATCCTGAGTCATTTTGGAAGAGTAGACTCTCGACTCCACCCAACCTCATCCCACTCTTAAACTTTACTCTGAGCTAATAAGTCACCAGTGGCCTCCCCTTCTATCCAACCGTAACTGAATTATTTCTAGCTTTCTTTGCCTTTGCTTCCCTTATTCATCACAGCCCCACAGATATAATTGCATTTCCTCTTTTTTCCAGATATTTTCCTATCTCTTAGGAGTCCTTTTTTTTCATAGATTGGGCTGGAGAAAAATGTTTTGACTATTCTATATCTTGAACTCCAAAGTGATTTTTTTCTATTTGATTTAGGAGTTTGGCAAAACATAGTACTATTATTATCATGGGCATCTTGTCAAAATTTCAGAATGCACTAATGTTCTTATATTGAAATACAAATAACCTAGTCATATTTTTTCTACTCCTACCTTCTTTTTATATCTGGTAGAACCTCCTATAACTGAATAATATTATCAATTATCCTTGGGTTTTTAGGCTTATTCATCTGTTTATTTTTAATTTGGTGAGAAAGCATCTACCATGTTGTTTTCTGTCTGTAGGTAATATATCTGTTGAATTATAGTGAAACTGTGGATATAAAATTTAAATGTACTATGTTTAAGAGTGTAATTTGTCTTTCAGAAGAAATCTTCACTGTAGACAATGTTTTGGAGGTTCAATCCCTCCTTTACTTAGAAAAATTCAAATCAGATTATTCTTAGCCCAGAAGCAAGAGATCATTCTCAAATGATTTTTAAATATAATAAAATTATGTGATTGAGATTTTATAATTTTTGCACATCTATGTTTTTCTAATTTTATAATGAAAATGCTATAATTTCATAAAGCAGTATTTATATGGTTCTATTTTTGATTTAGCAGGCAAAATCATTAAATATCACTGAAAATTCTAAAATGTAAATCAATTCTTTTTCTAAATGATATAATACTTTAAAAATAAATTTTCAATAGGCAGTGATTGATTGATTGAGGAAATTTCCTGTTGAATAAATATATGTTCAGCATGAATCGGTTGACACAATTAGCTTTTATTAACCACTAGTGGAGTAATTTCTGCAAATAAATACAGTGACATATGTCTTCCAGGTTGCTATATTTATAGACTTAAAGAATGAGAGATAAGAAGATGAGAAATAAAAAATTTTGTTTATTCTTGATACAAAAACAACGTTAATCATTAAAGACTTATGTAATTATTCTTCATTATATCTAAAAAATGGATGTGAGGAAAAGGTTGTAGGAAAGATTAACAGAGGCCCAAAGCAGCTGAATTCTAAACATGGGCCTCCCAATTATTTCTAAAATAATGGTGGATAAGTTCAATTACTATAAAAATCTGAATATTAATTTAAAATTAAGAAAAAATATCAAGCTGATTATACTGAGATTTTCTTGAAGACAGAGGTCTTTATCCTTGTACCTTTACCACTTTCATTAAAAGGACCCAGGAAGCTTTGCAGAGAGACTTTTAGCAACAGATGTGTGAGCAGACTCTGAGTAACAGCCCATTACATATATCTCATCTGCAAAATTATGTCATACAATCGAACTTAAAAGGAATTAATATATTGAGTCATAGGAATATCGGAGTACTTGAAGTTTAAAATTGTATTTTCCATCATTTTAGTGATGAAGAGAACCAAACTCATCCTACCTATCTGTGGTAGCTGCCCCACTCTCATAATAAAGGATTTAATGCACTTATAAGGCCAGAACCCTCATAATATAGATTGGATGTTTTGCCTTCCAAAACCTCATGTTGAAATGTAACCCCCAACGTTGGAGGTGGGACCTCATGGGAGGAGTTTGGGTCTTGAGGATGGATCCCTCATAAATGGCTTGGCGCACTCCCTGTGGTAATGAGTGAGCTCTCACTCTATTAGTTCATGTGAGAGCTGTGTTTAGAAAAAGGCTGGCCCCTCTTCCTCTCTTTCTTGCCCCCTCTCTTGCCATGTGACACACCTGCTCCCCCTTTGGCTTCTGCCATAAGTAAAAGCTTCCTGAGGCCTCACCAGAGCCGAGCAGATGCTGGTACCATGCTGGTACAACCTGAAGAACCATGAACAAAATAAAGCTCCTTTCCTTTTAAATTATCTAGTCTCAGGCATTCCTTTATAGCAATAGAAAATGGAACAACATACCTCATGACCTAATCACCTCTTAAAGTCCCACCTTTCATCACTGTCGCGTTGTGAATTGAGTTTCCAACACATGAACTTTGGGAGACACATTCAAGCCACAGCACAGATGAAATTATCTTGGAGCCCAAGTACTCTGTGAATATCTAAACTTTAAGTGTTCGGTGGCTTTTCATGAAATTAATTTCTTGGGTATCACTAATGGAATAAATTGATTCTATCCAAGAAAGACTAGAGTCACAAGTTTGTGATCATTAGCTGCAAACTCTCAATAAAGGAGTAATATTAAATAAAAAAATTATTCATAATAGCAAGAACATTAACATCAAATAATATTTTAATGGCTGCCTAGAATGTCAATATTATTTATATGCATTATTTATTTATATGCCTTATTTCATGTACTTTACAGAAGGCCCTGATATAATTATTATCATTATCTTTAAAGATGAAGAAATTGAACATTAAAGTGGTTATGTAATGTTCCCAATATCACCCACCTAGTAAGAGATCAAGCTGAAGTTAAGACTCATATACATCAGACTTTGGAGCCCACATACTTTTCACTTTATTACCCTAAGAACTCACAAATTAGTTTATGATTAGTAAAGGACATGTTTATTGAAAACTCAGAAAAATAATTTCTCTGACAGTATCAAGTTTTACAAAACACTGATCATTTGTTGGTGCTACTGCAGATACTGAAGTATCACTTTTAATGGTAAAAAGTGCAATCACTTTTCCACCAACCTAATACTAAATGCAAATTGTCTTGGGCACTCAGAAGGTGAGATTGCTCTTGAATGGGCATTTCTTTCATGTGGCTGATTAAGATGACTCTCTGTTAAGTGAGGTTAGAATTTATGATAGTTCCGGGATTTCATTCCAATGGATTTTAAACAACTTTAAACAAGATTTAAACAATTTTAAACAAGATCTTTAACAGATGTTCTTATGGTTAGAACTCAACTTCGCATAAATCACTGTAAGATCCAAAGGAAAAGAACACTAAGTTTGAACTAAGATACCTTCTCAGAACTGATACTAGTGGGGCAATTTTAGTCTATTAACCCCAAACTCCCAACATCAGCATTTCTACTTCTAATAAATTCCCCTTTTTTGCATCACCATAGGCACCAATTCGAATTAAAAAATGAATGTGGCAACAGCAGATATGATCCAATCAGATCCACTTTGCGTAATACAATGAGTTATGATTTTAAATAATTTCTAGCATTTTAATTATGTGAAAATTTTCATCCTCAGCACCATGGGAGGTGCCTCAAATAGAATCTGTAAGTAAAGATTTGGATTCAAATCCAGGCTTTACTGTTTACTAGCTGTGTGAGTTGGGAAATCCATGCTTTCATCTCAGTCCAAGCTGCTTGGTATGTAAAACTAATTTAAAAATAGATTCTTCCATATGATTATTATGAGATACAAGTATAGTCACATAGGTAAAGTATTTAGCAAAGTGAATATGCACATGAACATTATTAATAATAGTATATCTAGCATTGTTAGGAAATTTTTTTAAAAAATTAAATAAACAAACATCAATTGTTTTCTCAATGTTTCTTTGGAGCATTAGCCATAAGAAGCAGCAAAATGAATTTCAACATTTCTGCTCTTGTTTCTTTTAATTTAGCCATATGGACATCTTTCTGTACCTAAATTTCAGCAGCTATAGATGATGACAGCCAATCTCTTTGAGGTTCCCCCAAGGACACTGACAATGGATTTCAAATGTGCTATGCCACATAGATTTCAAATTATGCCATCCTAAATGCCTTCATGTTTGTTGGAAACTCACAAAATTTAATGCAGACATTTTAAAGATCATGTATGTCTATTCCAATTAAATGAAAACACTATTAACTGGTTTTAACCAAAGTTCAACATATCAGTATTGTTAGAACCAGGTCTAGATTTTAGAGAGGTAGTCTAGCATGGACTCTAGAGCTGACAGCTTTTATTAAAATCCTGACTCTTCCCCTCATTTAGTATAAGATCTTGGACAAGTTTGTCAACCTGTATGTGCTTATATTCCCTTAGGTAATGCCTCAAAAGAGTGTCCATGGTTAAATGAGTAGATCTTCTATTACATGTATACCACAAAAGTGTCAGGTGCAATGCAAGCACTATGTGCATGTTGGCTGTTATTTTCGAGCTTCAATTAAGTATTCTTTTCATCCCCTCTCCTATGGATATCCTTAACGGAATCCTCAGTCAGACGTAGAATAAATTAACATATGTAACTGTTCTAGTCACCCTGCTATACCATTTCTGCATGTAATTCTATTGAATATTAGCGAAGCACTTCAGAGATACTAATGCCCACATTTTGCTAGTGTAGATGTAGAAGGTTAGAGACAGGAGGAGAACCGAGATGCTTTCAGTTGCTAAGTTTATTCTAGTTTTGGTGACAGAATTTAAGTCTTGCTGTGTAGGAGATATTAAACATCACTGTTTCTACAGTGTTTCAGTCTTTCAGCTATTAATCCTTCTGTTACCAGAGTCAAGGACTCACAAATAATATGCTGGCATTTTATCTTAAATTTATTTGATGCTACAGACATTTGAGCAATATCCATGAATTAAACTACTTTTGCAGGTGTTATACTGTTGTCAGCCAGAAGTTTCCACCAAGCTTTGTGTGAGCACAGGTGAGCACAGACACTTTCCTCACCCTTAATTTAGCTGCATATTTTTTTACTTGAGTAAAACCTTAAAAAGCAGAAGCTTTTCTTGCAATGTGAAATGTTTTCCATCAAGACATTACTCTAGCTAGTAGATTTCTTCTCTAAGCCTCTGCAGTTTATCCCAGTATTCAAAAAACTGAAGAAATAGATTATGGAATATTATGAGCTAACGAATCACTTTAAAATGTTGCTTTCAGTTACAGCTTCATCATAAAGTTTGATAATAATTGGCTATTAGCCAAGACACTTTTTAAAACATTCTAATGTAGAGTAGAAATATAGGTAGGTGTTAATGGTGTTGGAATGAATTCCTAAACCATATAAAGAAGCTCCACAGGTAAGATGTGTTGTCAGAACACATTTCATGTAGAGTGAAATGCATTCTGGAAAATATCTGCTTGTTCATAGCTTCATTTGTCATGATAATATTGCCACACTATTTTCTCATCCATTATTGTGGCTATTTTCACAAACAGTGAAGCTGAAGGAACTGATTAAATTGACCTCTTTTAAGTCTGACCTTAATCTATTTGAGAATATATAAAATCTATTTAACTCAACTCAAATAAAACCTATACAGTGATTAACAGATTGTTTATAGTTACTGTTTCCAACAGAAATTATGAGACACCAAGTTTAACAAGAATGTCTCTGTGTATGTCAATGAAAATCAATCAGTAATGATTAATATACTTACGTAAACTCCTCTGAGGGACAAGCACTTGGTTCCAATATCACATCAGTTCTTACTTCATGTGGAGAATTTTAGAATCTGTAGTTGAGGTATTTTGTTTTCCTCTTCTGATAGTTTCATAATAGTCATCATTTAACAAATATAAATACTGTGCTACGTTTTGGAATTTAACATAATCAAATTCTATGTTCCCTGCTCTTCCGAAGCTTACATTCTAGTGGGGGAGACAGATGTTGAATATAAAAGACACAAATGAATTTTAAACAAAAACTATCATATATGTTTTATAAGTTTCATAAATGTATTTGATAAATCACTTTCACAGGAAAAGAGAGAACTGGCATCGTCTCAGTGGCCAGGGAAGGTTTATTTGAACCTGGAAGAAAGGTAGCAAGAAAGAGCAACATTTTGCTTTCTATAAAACTAGATACAGGAAGGGGAACATCACACACCAGGGCCTGTAGTGGGGTGGGGTGAGGGGGAGGGATGGCATTAGGAGATATACCTAATGGAAATGACGAGTTAATGGGTGCAGCACACCAACATGGCACATGTATACATATGTAACAAACCTGCACGTTGTGCACATGTACCCTAGAACTTAAAGTATAATAAAACAAAGACACCAATTTGAAAAGAGAAAAAAAATAGATGAGTAAGAAAACTGACCACATTATTCTTCACTTTCTACTGACTACCAGGCACAAATTGAGAGAGGGACACAGAGAGACAAGGTCAGTCTTAATTGTTGGCAAAATGAAATACTACTTGGAGCACTGCTCAGCAAACTTTATCAGTAATTTGCAGCCATGTGTCCAACTGTTATCTGTTAACACCCAAATTCATATACATACTTTGAAAATAGCTCACTAAAGCATTATCCTCATATTATTCTGATACTTAGTATGGAAAAGTCATAAGGTCATGTACTGTTTCTCCAAATGAGGGAGGGTTGATTAACATATGATGGAGATGAGATTCTCAGATTCTTTCCCTTCAAAAGTGTTAACATGAGAAGCATAGTAAAAACACCAAGGATTGTGGCAGAACCTCCGTTATTATTGGATCGCACTTGGCTCAGACAGATATGTGACACACAAGAAGAATATAGTAAAGAAGGGAATATTCCATTTATTCATTTCTGGGAAGTTATTTTGCTTGTTTCTCTTAACTTTTCCACATATAGACTGTATATGTTTCTGAAAAATGTGAATCTTTTCTAATCTTAGCAATTTATGATTTCCTTCAAGAGATGTCAAGTACAAATATTAGTGCTACTATTATCATGAACACTTCTAGTACTACCATCAGTAATGGTATTAACAAAATGGGCACCGTTTAATTAAAATCTGTGCTGGTTTCTGTGCTGTTGAAGAATGTCAGGGCTCTTGGCTCTTTCACAATATAGGGAAAACTTTATGTTAGCAATGTTTTTCTTATAGAAAATCATCTAGCTGTAGGTAAAGATCTTCTTCAGTTGCTTTCTTTAAATGACTACTCTTGGGAAATGAATGCAATATGAGGACATAGCAGATACAGAGAAAAATATTGTATATAAATTGTTTCTCATCATGTACACCTGAATGAAACGAGCTGTGTTAAATTGCTTATGTAAAGTAGGAAGGCTGTTTTTATTCATGAATAAATGGCATTTATAGCCTTGCTTTTCTAAAGTAATAGATGAATTCGCTGTTGGTTCATGCACCAAATCAATTTTCGATGGGTGAAATGAACTGGTATTGCACTATTTATAATGGTGTGTTTTCTGTTCAATTCAAACAAAAACAGTAGAACATTATGTTCACTGTGAATAACTTTCGTAATTTTTTTTTACCATAGCTCACTTAGTTAACAAAAAACTCTTGATTTTATGGCCAGAATACCAGTGAGATTATGACTCACCCGAAGGTATCATGTCAGAATTACATTAATTAATAACATATTATAATTATTTAGTGGTCCAATAAAATATTAATGGTTTTATATAATTATTGATTTGATATTCTCAGGAATTCAGAGGCAAGCTTAGGGTTAACTTTCTTACAAGAAGTTGTACTTTTTCTTATACTTCTAGGGCACATGTACCCTAGAACTTAATATATAATAAAAATAAATAAATAAAAAAGAAGTTGTACTTTTAACATTTGTGAAATGTCATATTATCATAGGAAAAAAATGACATTCAAAATAGGAACCTACTTTATTTTACGCACATACACTCTGAGAATCTTGAGCAGGTCTCATCAGTCATAGAGTATTAGAACAGGAGTTTTCAAAGACTGACCACACATGACTTACCTTTCTTGCTTTCCTTTCTCTCTCTCTCTCTCTCCCTCCCCTTCCTTCCCTTCCTTCCCTTCCCTTCCTTCCCTTCCTTCCCTCCCTCCCTTCCTTCCTTCCTTCCTTCCTTCCTTCCTTCCTTCCTTCCTTCCTTCCTTCCTTCCTCTCTCTTTCTTTCATTCTTTCTTTCTGTCTTCTTTCTTTTTGACAGAGCCTCACTCTGTTGCCCAGCCTGGAGTGCGGTGGTATGATCTCGGCTTACTGCAACCTCTGCCTCCTGGGTTCAAGCCATTCTCCTGCTTCAGGCTCCTGAGTAGAGTAGCTGAGATTCCAGGCATGCACCACCATGACTGGATAATTTTTGTATTTTTAGTAGAGACGGAATTTTGCCATGTTGGCCAGGCTGATCTTGAACTCCTGACCTCAGGTGATCCGCCCACCTCGGCCTTCCAAAGTGCTGGGATTACAGGCGTGAGCCACCACGCCTGGAGGCTTTTCTTCTTTTAATGTTAATCTTTATTGCTGTCAGATCACAGGTTGTGAGTGGTAGGGCAAGGTTCAAACTTATGTTTGCAGAATTTAGTAATACTTACTTACTCTACCATATAATCTGCTTATCCTGATATTAGGCACATGACTGTTCTTTAATAAACATAACTGAGTTACTTCTGTTGGTTTCTATATGGGCTACAGTACTGTATTTTTATACAGACTTTCATGTACTTTTAAATTCTCATTTGAGATACTTAGTTTAATCAATGAATGGTTTAATGTCTCTTTCATCTCTAAGATTCCAAGATAACAAGGACCACTCTACTTTAAAGATCTTGCCACATATCAGTCATATAGAAAGTACTCCTTATATATTTGTTGGCCATCTAAGAATCTATTATTCAGTAATGCAATTGTAAAAGCAATGCCAGAAGAAAATTTACCAAGCTCAGATTCTACCCTTCTTTGAACCTCTCAAATTATCTTGTTCATATGAACCCCTGAAAAACTTCTATAAAAATTCTCCTAAGCTGTGTAAGGTATTGTAGTATAAGAGTTCCTTCTACAAATACAGAACAATACTTGCCTGCAATATAAATACTTACTGTCGAATATTATGTCTTATTTTTATCCCCTATAGTATCTACTAGATTGATAGCCACATAATAAATAATTAAAATTTTTTTGAGGAGTCTAATTGAAGGGAGCATAACAGCAATAGATGACATGGGCCAAGAATAAGATGGAACATTTTATTATTAGACAAGATTTGTATTCCAAGGATGAAAGAGAGGCAATGAAATTATTGGGTCTCTAAAAGAGGAAAATGGTGGTTATACTACTAAGGGTCATGCATACCATTTAATGAGGACAGCAATTTCACAATCAGTCGAATAGAGTCCATATGGTAGAATTATTTTTCCAGTAGTAGCAATTTGGGAGATTACTATCTTTGGCATATTGGCTAACATTTACCTTTCCTAGTTCAATTTTTAGGTTCAACATAATAAAGAAATATTATTGAGTAGTAAGGAGGGGGGAGGAAAATAATTGTCTAACTGTACATAGCAAAGCATCTGTGTGATTCATTTCCAAATTCTTTGTAATCAGGGAAAATAATTACAGTGCTCTCTCCTAAAATTGGTACAGGAATGATTATTAAGCAGATGTACAGCTATTTGTCACTGAGGTTAGACAATTTCATTTATAAGCTAAGTGTTTATGTAACAGTTCTGGATCAAACCTACACCATCTGTGTTGGTTAAAAAAGCTTATTTGGGACATGTGCTGCCTACAGTACTGAAACAATTCTTTTATTTCATTGACAATTGAGTATGTTGTTCTGTGTGATTGGATGCTGGCATTTTACTCTTCATTTACCCTGGAGAAAAACTCATCTGAATAGTTATTCTTTTTATCCACCTATAATTCACTGAAAGCCATACTTCGCTCTGTGATGAATTATTTAAAACATTCATGCCATGAATACCAAGGTATGTGTCTTAACAGAATTCCAGAGCTAGAGAGTACCTTTGAGGCAGACAGTCTCTAAAATGTGCCTAAGTCTACAGCCAAATAGACTCTCTGAATTCAGATTTTTACTTGACTATTTAGATAGTATCTATGTAACGTGAAGATATTATTTAAATGCTCTATTCCTCAATGTATTTTCTTTTAAATTAGTCATGATACTTGTATTTACCCCATACAGTTGACATGAAGGTTAAACATGAATGCATGGAAAGCCTGCATTACATGCAAAAACACTGCATGCTCTACTGTAAGCCACACAAAAACACTAGTTGTTGTTTTGTAACTCAACTTCCTCATTTTACAGATGAAGAAAAAATGGCTCTAATGCTCTGAAAGGCATTGATGACTAATGTGGAAAGAAAAAATTTAGAGTCAGTCAAACATGAATGTTGATTCAGCTCCTTTATTTATTTTCTCTGTGGCTATTAGGCTCTTGGACCTCAAATTTAACCAAATGTAAATAAGTGAAACAAGATCATATTCTCAGAAGGTGATTTGTGGATTGTGTCTAGAAAAATATTTTGGGTTCTCTGTATTTTTATTTTTCTTGATATTTTTCAGTCTTGAATAGGATTTTTCTGTGACTCAAGGAGAGAGATTTCAGTTTTTATTTCCAGATGGTTTTATTTGTTGTTATGAATATTTGCAGAATGATAGAAAGATGCATTTTTTGAATTTTTGGCATTTATTGATTTTTTTCTTTGTGACCTAAAATATGACCAATTTTTAAAAATAATCCATGGATACTTAAAAGCACATTGTGTTCTCTTTCAAGATACAGACTTTGGTAATTTGAAGTTTATTAGTTATGTTATTTAAGTCTTCTAAGTCCTTACTTATTTTTTCCTTTTTACTTTTCACAGATACACAGACTAATGTATTTATCTGTTTCTCCCTACGTGCTCTCTCTGCTTTATGGTTGTTGATACTGTAGCATGATGGACATATATATTCATTTGTGCAATGTGATTTGTAACAATAAAAATACCCTTCTTCAATTGTCTGATGTTTTGTGATCTAAATTATTCTTTACCTATAAAAATTGATTTCAACCCTGGATTGCCACCACATCCGGCTAACTTTTTGTATTTTTAGTAGAGACGGGGTTTCACCGTGTTAGCCAGGTTGGTCTTGATCTCCTGACCTCCTGATCTGCCCACCTCGGCCTCCCAAAGTGTTGGGATTACAGGCATGAGCCACCGTGCCCGACCTGTTTTCATATTTTCTTTCATTTTTTATGGAACTTTCACAGCTCAGTTTTCAGATCTCTCTCAACTGGTTTGCCATATCTTCCCTGAGCTCTTGCCTGGCATTCTTAATTAATTGAAGCAAATACTCTTTTTAATTCATGGTGAAAATATATTGTCAGAATATTTATCTGCTCCCCAGCAACATCTTTTCTGTGGGGAATTTTGCATTTTCCGTGTATTTTTCCCTATTTTTTACTCCTTTGAAAACAGTCATTTTACATATCCTATCGAAATGTTTTTATTAGTCATTATTGAAGGAACAATATTTTCATGAATAAACTATTGTTAAGGTAGAAGTCAAAGCTATGTTCAAGACTAAAGTTTTTCTACTATTAATGAGTTTCTTGTATGTAAGTTCAATTTTTCCTTACTTCTCTCTAACCAATAAGTTGAGCGACTTCATGGGATGTTTTTTTCTTTTTTGCTGATTTTCTGCAAATAACAAACTGGTTAACTGGTTTATGGAAATATTACTCGCTTATTAATTATTTATTTTGCTGGTTTCCTCTGCTTCTGGAACCTAACTATGTTTTGGACTCTCCTGTCACTAGTTAGTATATTTTATTTTTGTTCCCACTGTTGCAAAACGAGGATTCAGAGTTTTCTTCTCTTGTGCCCCTCACCTTGAAGGAGTTCATTTTACTTCCTTTTTCTAATGTACTTGGTGCTTAGTTCACACTCTCTGGTGTATTAGCTTCGTCTTACACCTTTTCTTCCTACACCTTGATCCCTACTGCTTCACATCATATTTATGGGGTGGAGGTGATGTATGTTTCCCAGTTGTAAATGACCTGGCTTTTTCCCCTTTCCCCTTTTTCTTTCTTGCTTTTTTGAATGACTTCCTAGAAATCCTTGTTTTATGCTGAAGTGTTTAAGCTTATATATTCACTGTTGTACTTGTTAGCAAAACAACTTGTTTAGTGAAGGAAAGTAATCACTAACTTCTTAACGAGGTTTATCTTAAAAATAATGAGTTTTTTTGTTTTAAAAAAACACTAGTATTGATGTCAAGAAAGATGAATAAGAGAATCAGAGTGCTTAAATATAAAAGTTACTATTCTTGAATTACAAAAAATTACCTAATGAAAAAATTCGAAAATATGCGGGAAATCCAATTAATATTGTTCAGGTTTTGAATAGCTTATTTCTGTCTAATTAAAATTTCTGCCATATTATTTCCTGATTTCAAGGAATCTTTATATCTTCTAGCTAGAGTGTTATTTACAATGGATTATTGAGTTTCACCAGGATTTTTTATCTCATTATGACTCTATCTAGTACTCTATACTCCTTATATGCCCTAAAGTTTCCTTTTAGGAACAATTGTTATGGTGAGATTGCTTGACATAAATACATCAGGGCAAGCTCAAAGCTTATCTCACCCATTAATTAGTGACCAGAACACTTATCATAAATTTTTACACACACCAGTTGACATAATATCAATGAGGCACCAGAGACAATGTAAAAATGTTTTTTCTCGACATCATTTTCTTTTTTTCATTTCTGTGAGCCCTTTAATAAGTAGTATTAATGTTCATAAGTGTCAGCTGGACTTCTATGCAATGAGATTGTAATAAGATAATTCATGGTAATTCAATAAAGTTACAATGAACTTCTCAAATTAATCTAGAAAAATGTTTCAAAAATATCCAATGTCTAATATTACATATATTTTTTTCTGATCTGAAGAGGAATTTTTGAAGTAACTATTTGTAATAAAATTTACCAATCCAAACATAGCAACATTATTTTAATTTTTTAAAAATATTTCAACTTTCAGATACAGAGGGTACATATGCAGATTTGTTACATGGGAATATTCTGTGATGATGAGGATTGGGGTATGGATCCCATCACCCAGGTACTGAGCATAATACCTGATGGGTACTTTTTCAACCCATTCACCCCCTCCTTCCACCTTCTAGCAGATTGCAGTGTCTGTTATTCTTGTGTTTATATTCACGTGTGTTCAGTATTTAGCTATCACCTATAAGTGAGACCATGTGGTATTTGGTTTTCTGTTCCTACATTAATTTGTTTAGGATTATGGCTTCCAGCTCTATCCATGTTGCTGCAAAGGACATGATTTCATTCTTTTTTATGGCTGTGTAATATTCCCTGGTGTGTATGTACCACAATTTCTTTATCCAATCTACCATTGGTGGGCAGCTGGGTTGATTCCATGTCCTTGCTATTGTGGGTAGCACAACAGTGAACACATGAGCACATGTGTCATTTTGGTAGAGTGATTTATTTTCCTTTGAGTATATGCCAGTCATGGGATTGCTGGGTCAAATGGTAGCTCTGCTTTAAGTTCTTTGAGAAATCTTCAGACTACTTTCCACAGCGATTGGACCAATTTACATTCCCACCAGCAGTGTATAAGCATTCCCTTTTCTTGGCAGCCTCACCAGCATCTGTTGTTTTCTGACTTTTTAACAACAGCCATTCTGACTGGTCTGCGGTGTTATCTCATTGTGGTTTGGATTTGCATTTCTCTGATAATTAGTGATGCTGAGCATTTTTTTTTCACATGTTTGTTGGCCACACATATGTCTTCTACTGAGAGGCAAACACAGAAACATTTTAAAGTTAAGATTGTGAGGTCTTTCTGGGCCCCATACCCCATTGCAGCAACAGATTCTGATTTTTCTCCCTCATAAGCTTAGGTGTTCAATTAAACTAAATGGTTTATCACAAATAACAGTGTCTTAGAGCATCAAAATAATTTTATTTTCTATTTATTATTATTATTTGACATGGAGTCTTGCTTTGTTGCCCAGGCTCGAGTGCAATGGCATGATCTCAGCTCACTGCAACCTCCGCTTCCTGGATTCAAGCAATTCTCCTGTCTCAGCCTCCCAAATAGCTGGGATGACAGGCGCGTGCCACCATGCCCAGCTAATTTTTGTATTTTTAGTAGAGACGAGGTTTCACCATGTCTCTGACCTCTGATCTCAGGTGATCCACCCTCCTCGGCCTCCCAAAGTGCTGGGATTACAGGCGTGAGCCACTGCACCCAGCCTGCATCAAAATAATTTTAAAGGGGAAAAATAGCATTGTCAGTATTTGGTAACAAGGAAACAGGAGTGAATCAGGTCAAACTCTTTGCTTTCAAGTGTAGAGTGCAATTACCTTTAAAACAAACATTAATTTGAGAGGAGTGTCAATAGAGACCAGTTTGCTTTTATTTTTTCCGCTTTTGATTTTGGATGGCTTCTTAGGAGTCCTTATTTTATGCTGAAATGTATAAGCTTATATATTCACTGTTGGACCTGATAGAATAAAGCTTATATATTCACGGTTGGACCTGATAGCATAACGCTTATTTAGTGAAAGAAAAGTATTCAATGACTTCTTAATGAGGCATACCTGTACAATAATGTATTTTTTCTTTGTTTAAAAAAACCACCTGGATTACTATCAAGAAACATGACATTGTAATTAGTGCAAGAGCTTTGCTTCAAAACATGTTCCTTAAAGCAAGAAAAGATTTAAAATTTATCAACACATTTATTTAAGGCATTGCATTCATGACTCCTATTAAACCCAGTTCAAATGAGAAATATATAAGTAAAAATAGAATTCCTATATTCTATGGAATTAGAAACTACATTCTCCTTACTTTTGAGGGAATACAGTATCATGTTCAAATGATCCCTACATTTAGATCTACTATTGGATATTCATTATTATTAAGCATTAATACCTGTCTTGTATTTACAGTTATAAAATAACATGTGTTTAAGTTTAGTACCTGGAATGGTTGAAGCATATTAATTTCTATTAATTTGATTTCATTAATTTGAAAAAACTACAAGATTTGTTTAAGACTGAGTTTCTGCTTAATATCTTGTTGTGAGATGGCCAAACACATGTCCTTTCCGTGTTTACCTCCAGATAATGCTTGGTGTATTATTAAGGGTAAGATATAGGAGACTTTGTTGTCAAATTCTATCATCAAATACTATTAGCTATCATGAGAGTTCTTAGATGCTCAGGAATTTTTGAAGCAAAGCTTTTCCTTAAAGATGATCCATTACTATGATTTCATATTTCCTTGTGGGACAGTCTGTAAGCCTTTGGGAAGTTTTGGATTAACCAATTTACATCAACCACAATACCAGATACAACTCCACCAGTGGTAATTTGGGAGGCCACTTCTAGAAGCTGGAAAATTTGCACTCTAACTTTTCACAAAGTTGTGTTCCTTTTCATTCTTTGAGAGCTACCACATTAATAATCATAGCTCATTTTGTAGGATAAGTGTTTCTTAATATAAGTCTAAATTTTTTTGTTATAATTTGTCACCAAATGGCATCACTGAAAGCAAATAGACTCTAGGATAGAATATAACTATTATCTAACTTATATAATTTTCTAAAATATAAAATATTTTGAACAATTTTATGTCTGTGATATAGTTGGACACGTTTATATAGAAAACAAATGAATATTAATTATCTTACAACCAAATAGCTGTGTGCTTTCTCTATATGGTTTGAAAAAATATATATATATATATACATATACTATCAAGACAGTAAATTGCAATCAGCAACAGAAAACCAATCTGTGAATTATCTCATTTATCAACGAGTGAACTCTACACTTACAGGTGATAACACAACTTCTTATAGGTTATAACACTTATAGGCTATGACTTCTTATAGGTATAATTACTTTATTACATCAATAAGAAACCTGTTTTACAAAATATCTATGAAGCAAAATGCCTGAATACTTTGAAAAATACATAAGGTAAAATAATCACTTCAAAGAACTGTATGTTCTTGAAGACATTTCTTTTTTTTTTTTTTTTTTTGAGACGAAGTCCCACTCTGTCACCCAGGCTGGAGTGCAGTGGCGTGATCTCTGCTCACTGCAAGCTCCACCTCCTGGGTTCAAGTGATTCTCCTGCCTCAGCCTCCTGAGTAGCTGGGACTACAGGCGCCCACCACCATGCCCAGCTAATTTTTGCATTTTTAGTAGAGACGAGGTTTCATTACATTGGCCAATCTGGTCTTGAACTCCTGACCTCGTGATCCACCCACCTCGGCCTCCCAAACTGTTGGGATTACAAGCATGAGCCACCGCACCCCACCTGAAGAATGTTCTTCTAAGGATCATGTAAAGCAGCAACACTGAAATGAGCACCATTTACACACAGTTATGGGCCCTGTATTTGACTAGTTATGCTTCATAGAAAATGTGGCCTTTACAGCAAGGAGCTCTCCAAGTTTCTCTTACGAAAAAGAGGGTATGAAGTGAATGATCTTAAACAAAGGATGGCTCAGTTTCTAGTCTTTCGAGGAGGAGCACATAATTCTTCCCTCTCAGACCAATGGAATTATATTAATTTATAGTAACTGTTTTCTGATTCAAAAGCTACTTTGGGGAAACCTTTTAGGAAATGATCTTGCCTAGCTGAAAAGATAAGATATTTAATAACTAGTCGCTGTATCTAAAAAAAGTTGATTAAATGGGCACATTCTTTCCCTGAAGGATAGGTTATCCCCAAAGATATGATATGAGTGTGTGTGTGTGTGTGTTCATATGAATTCTCTGGAAGAGACTTTTATTCATCTTAGAAATTTACATATGGCTTCTTTGGCTGGGTAATCCCAGCAAAACCTTCCTCAGTCATTGACAGTCAAAGAATATAAACTGCTGCTTTTTTCTTATACTGTATTTTTAAAAAAGATTTAATAACATTCATTTAATGCCTCAAATGTAGATGTATGGTGCTCCTTGGGAATCATTTTTATCCTTTTCTTCACAATAAAAGGAGGAGTGAGAATTATACTTGTGACTCCTGAGTTTGCGTATAGAGCAGTAACTTGTGAATAATCATTTTTTGTAGCTACTCGTCTTCTGGACTTTAGGGAATTTACAGATATGGATAAATCCTTTGCTGTGAGGTTATACTCTATGAATAAACATAGAACAAAGTAAAGGAGTTTGTCATTTCAAAAAAAAAAAAAGAAACTCAAGATCTGGGGACATTTTTCTCACTAAAGTTTGGAACTGTGATTTCCATACCTGCAAGTTCTGTGACTTTGGCGAGGGTGATGGAGGTCACACTTTGATCTATCGATGACCAAAGCCTCTGTTTGAGTGATGTGAAAAATATTCTTTAGTGTTACGGCACTAAAGTAAAAAGCAAACAATTTGCTGCTGTACAGTAGTGAATGAGATGACGTGCACTCTAAGGATATTAAACTTTCATTTTATAGAGAAGAATTGCAAGATGGATTTTGCTTTGGTATTCATACTCAAAATAAATGTGTTCACTTTTTATATTCAAATGTGTCTTTAAAGTTGGAGGCCAATTGAAATGCACTATACAATCTCCTAGAATTTAACTCCAATAACCCTAGTTAATAAGGATAATGCCTTTTATTGTATAGTGCTTTAGAGCACAATGAGTGTTTTCCCATATGTAACTCTACACTTAGGACTAAACTAAGTTTAGAAAAGAGAGCTCTTATTAGTCCCATTCGAAAAATGATTCAACATCCCCACTAAGGCATTGTGACTCTTCTAAGTTATGTAAATGAAAGGGTTTATGTGCAAAAAACATACTTCTTTCATGAAAGCAGAGAAGTGGAACCTAAAACATTAGGAGATGTGCCTCTAGAGTCAGTAATCTTGATGACTGAGGCAATTCCCCACATGCTTGGAGTTTTTCTAGAATATTGATTCACTTCTGCTTGGCATCAATTGTCAGGGAGTTACATCTCGATTCCCGTCCTAGCACCAGGATATTTTCATATCTTATGCCTATAACTCTAGATCATTTTGATATATTTTAGTTGAAAGTTTTCTCTCATGCTGAATCACCTGATGGATCTGAAGTATAAAAATAGCATAAACTAAAAGAAAGTTAATAAAAAACATATGAGAAGGTTTTCAACTGCTCGTCATTGGGGAATATATTTAAGACAGTGAATTATCATCTTCACCCTCCAGATTAAAAAATAAAAGTCGGATCTTATCAATTTTGAAAAGGATGTGGAGAGATGGGAATTTTCATATATACTGGGTAATATATATGCTTTTTCTTATAAGCTCTGCAGAGTAAATTGTCAGTATCTAGAAAAAAATATGCAAATTATCCACCAGAAATCCCATGCTAGAAACTTTTACCCAAGAGAGCAAGACTTGCATTTGGATATTTATTGCAACATCAGTTTGGGATATTTTTTGCAGCTTTATTTGTAATGGTAAAACAATACAATGCTTTTGTTTATGCCGCTATAATTTCATATGATGGCATAGTTTTCAGTTAAAAGGAAAATATTTCTCCATAAAAAACACTGAGAAATTTAAAAACATTGTTGAGTGAAAAGAGAAAGAAGTTATACAGTCCCTAGGATATTATATCATTTATATAAATTTACAGAACTTAGTGTATACATGTACGCATACACTCACACACATATCACTGATGCCATGCCAGATATCATATTATCATATCTGTATTCAGGGAAGGAAGATTAACAAAGAGGTAGCACCACCAACCCCCACTGATATCTTCTTACATCTTATTAACCATAAGCAGGCCACATAGCCATTCCTAATAAGAAAAATACCTGAAAAAATCAACTATCATTCAATAGGAAGAGAATTATTGTCATTGGTGGGAATTAATAACAATTCATGTTCTAAAAAAATTAGCATTCTGTAGGCAGAAAGATTTAAGCAACCAACAGTAAGTATCTGGCAATTAGTAAATCACACTGTTGAATACAGTTCTATTTTTCAATATTAATGATGAATATACCTCTTTAAACCCATTCTGATTTCAAGCTCTTTGTGAAGACATCCTGTATTAAATGTTTCCCTCATTGCCCCCAGCACATTCAGTGATGGACATATGAAAAGCACTCCAAAAATGCTTGTGATTAAATAATGCTGAGAAGAATTCACAATCTTTAAAATGAGAACTTATCTTAGTAATTGATAGAAATTTTCTGGACCACAATTGTTACATTTATAAAGACTGATAGAATTAATGTGTATAGTATGTTGCATCTTTTGTGCTAAAATTTAAAAAGTAGTTTTCACTATTCCTTTTACATAAGTGCTTGAATTATAACTGCTTGAAATTGAAAACTTCACCTGCTATATGCAATTAGATAGCAGCATAGTCTCCATTCATTCCAGTGGAATTTATGAAATGAAGATCAAACTGCAGTTTATTAATCCTTAAGTTATAACTTGTTTTATAATCAGAAAGGCATTGTGACAGGCCAGATAGGCTGTTTCCTTTAGAAACTTAACGGATGCTTTACATGTTACGACTGTTCCTTAGGTCAAGTTTCTTGAAAAAATAATGTGAGATTGAGGTTTGCTCACAAGAAGTTGTTGAGGAGTGAACTGAGACAATGCCCATAAGGAAAAGAGTCAAGCAGGATCTCACAGAGCAAGAGGCTGAACCACGGTAGGTGGTGAGGGAGTAGTTCCCTTTGGTAAGGTTTTTTCCTTGGGCAGGAATCAACTGAGACCTGTCAGCAGCTGAGATTTCTGAGAGTTCAGTCTGAAAGAGAATACAAGCAGAGCAGATGTGATTTTATTGGTCATCGTTACTAAACACTGCAACACAGAGGATGACTACTGATACGTTTTCTTTGATTTTATAACAGTTTTGATATAAAAACAAGTGAGCATTTAGCATTCTTCTGAGCATGATTGGAGTAAGATCATATTATTCCCAATGTGTGGATTATAAGCACAAAGTTCTCTAAGTTGTAATGATTAACTGTTTATTTCACAATCATCTTATCAAATAAAATGTTCTTATTGATTAGAGTGACTCAAATTAGGAAAATTAAATCACGGTGACACGTAACCAAATATTACTAGCAAAGCTAAAAATAATGAAATAATAGCAGTTATGACAATTTTGAGCCTTGTGCAAACTCCTATAGCCTTCTGTGTGGAGGATCCCCAAGATGACCCCAAAGTTCAGTGATTCACCAGGAAGGATTGCAGGAGTCAGTGTATGGTCATACTCGTGGCTAAGATTTATTGCAGCAAAAGGATACAAAATAAAATCCGCACAGGGAAGAGGCACATGGGGCAAAACCCCAAGACAAGTTTTCAAAAGTTCTTTCCCATTGGAGTTACACAGAATGTGCTTCATTCTTCTAGGATCAAATTGTGGCAATAGGAGAGACGTGCTACAGGGCAGCTCTTTGCTGCAGTGTTGCAGAAACTGAAGAGATTTAGTGCCCAAGGTTTTCACTGGGCCTAGTCATATAGGCACCCTCTGCCTAACACCTGCCCAAATTCCAGACTGTTGGGGGGGGGGGGGGACGCAGATGTTCAGCATAAACCACGTTTGTCCAAATGGCTTAGGCACAGTAAATCACATTCATCAATTAGGAAATGACAGGAACACTCACAAAACTCAAGTTCCCGGATGCCACCGAGGACTAACCTTGCAAGCAGGCCTTTCTGAAGGTAGCAGTTAAGTCCTGCTATGTTAACTCTTTTCTGAATACCTCAGATTCTCTATTATTATGCAGTAATTTTACTATATAGTGTTTGGGGAACTGGATCCCTGGCTTTAGGCCTTCTTCTAAAACATGTAACACATTTACATTTCCAATATTTAGTGAGATTAATGTCAGTTCTCTTATGTGAAATGAGAAGCCACAAAAGATTTCCTGGAAATTATAGAAAATATGACTTTGAGCTCTTTTTCTTATATGTGAATAAGAAGAGACAAGGTTAGAAAAAGAACAGTAGCAAAGTCACACACAGTAGTGGAAGCAAGTGAGCCATGGGAAGAAAGCGCAAAGTGAATGGCTTAAAATCACGGATGCTGGAGACAGTCTGGCTGCGACCCTTGGACTGTCTTGGCCTCTGTTCCCTCATCTATAAAGTGGGGCTGCAAACGGTCTTGACTCATAAAGCCCCTTTTGGGAAATGAGTTCACTTTTCTATATTTGTCAAATATATTTAAATAATACTGGGAACATAGTAAAGGTAACCTCTTCAGTGTTTGTAAAATAAAACTAAGTTATATAAATTAACAAACAGGCACCTCTCTAAAACAGCAAAATATGACCTAGTTAAACTTCTTAGCCCAGGGTATAAAATTAATGTTGGAAAGGCCAGTAGTTTAGAAAATATAAGAAGGGAAATATACAACCAGATTTTAGGTAAGATTTCGTTTGTTTGGATTGTATTCTTCCCAAAAGACACTCAAAGTATTGTGAAAAAACCAATCGAATTTACCCTTTACTTTCACACTCAAATATATATTTTCTCTAGAAAAATAATACTACATGTATTAGTCTCTAGAGACTAATACATGTATTAGTCTACTAGTCTCTAAAGGGACAGAACTAATAGAATAGATGAATATATGAAAAGAAGTTTACTGGGAGAATTGACTCACATGATCACAAAGTGAAGTCCCACAACAGGCCGTCTGCAAGCTGAGGAGCCAGGAAGCCAGTCTGAGTCCCAAACCACAAAAGTAGGGAAGCCGACAGTGCAGCCTTCAGTGTGTGGCCGAAGACCCGACAGCCTCTGGCAAATCACTGGTGTTAAGTCCAAGAGTCCAGAAGCTGAAGAACTTCGAGTTGGAGTCTGATGTTCGAAGGCAGGAAGCACCCAGCATGGGAGAAAGATGGAGGTCAGAAGGCCCAGTCAGTCTAGTCCTTCCACCTTCTTCTATCTGCTTTTATTCTAGCTGTACTGGCAGCTGATTAGGCGGTGCCCACCCAGATCGAGGGTGGATCTGCCTTTCCCATCCACTGACTCCAGTGTTAATCTCCTTTGACAACGCCCTCACAGACACACCCAGGAGCACTACTTTGCATCCTTCAGTCCAATCAAGTTGACACTCAATATTAGCCATCACAACAGAAAATACAAATGAAACAAAATACAAATGAAATTTATCTCACTGTCCTTTATTCTTAGGCTTGTCATTTCATAGTACATAGTTTATGGGATTTGTGTACTTTTTCCGTTTTAGTAAAAGTATTTTTATTCGCTAGTTTAAGTTGCTGCAATTTTCAAAAATTTTCAGACTTCAACTGTTTCAGAGCTTGTTTACATAGCCTTATACTTCTGATGTAACTTAATTAAATTACTAAAAGACACGAGGAATTTCTCATGGCACTCTCTTTTCTTTATTTCAAATTCCCAAGTGAAGATACTTTTTTTTTCTCTCTCTCTCTCTGATAACCACCGTAAATACAGAAAACTGGGGCAGACACACCCAGTGATGACCCTCAGTGAGTCACCTGCTTGTCATGTATTCTCATCTTGAGAGTAAGTGGACTTACGAGTGTTTCTGACCAACACCCCCGTGATTATGTTATGTTCTATGGCAAAACGTAAGGGATTTTGCAGATGTATTAAGGTTACTAATCAGAGGTTATCTTGGATAGGTTGACAGTATCAGGAAAACCCTTTAAAAGAAGATCTGGCGATCAGAGAATCTCTCTCCTGCCTAATAAAAAAGCAGCCTTGAGGTTTTCACCTGTATGGAATGGCCTGAGCTTGGAAAAAGATCATAAGCTTCACAGGAGACCCCAGCCCTAGCTGACACTTAGCGTGCAGCCTTGTGACCCCTTACGAAAGGACCAAGCTAAGACATGTCTGGATTCCTGACCCATGGAATCCGTGAGATAATAAATATCATTTATTTTAAGTTGCTAAGTTTGTGGTAATTTATTCAGCAGAAAACTAGTAAAATGAGTATAATAAAACCTATTTATTTTTGAGAAGCACCTATATGGTCTCTAAACCTCACAAAAAAAAATAAGTAGGGTAGACTAAGCCACGGTAACAAATTGACCCAAGCATATGTTTCAACAATATGAAGGTGCTTATTTGATTGTTGACCATATAATGATTTTCAGCAATGCCACAGTCACAGGAAGGCTTTACTCACAGTCATTTAGGACCTTACGGGGCCAGTGGCTCTGCCATCTCTGAATTAGCTTTTGAGGTCTTCCTTGGAGTTCCCCTCCAGCTGGTAGGAAGGGGCAGAGAGCAAGAAGGAGTGTGTGGGGCAAGATTCTGGGATACACTTCAGTCCCCTTGCATCTCATTGGCCAGAACGCAGTCACATCATGGGTCACACAAGAGGGGCAGGGGAATCTGATCCAGCTTTGTGCTCCCTGAGCACAAAGAAGATGTGAAATTTAGGGAATAATTAGCCTTTTAATATACCCGTCAAGGTACTGATAGAGGGCCCCCTTGACATATGAGGAAACCTAGGCTGAAAACAGATCAGTAACTTATCCAAGGCCACTATGCAATGCCCTCTCTTGCTTTACCACTCTCTTTAATGGTTGAGGATGATATTTATGTAGGTAGAACTTGTGTGCTACTTTTGTATAATTTGTTATAATTTCACAAGGTGCTTTATGAAGATCTTTTGGTAATTCCTTAATCCACTCAACATATAATTTTGTTCAGTAAAGGGAAAGATGTTATGGGCTGGGACACAAACATGTTCAATGTATCACAATTACCCTAGAGGAATCGGCCCATGAGGAAGTCGCGACTGTTCTATTATTTTCAGAAAACAGGTCTGTGATCCAAAATATTTTCTAACTTGGAAAGTTAACATCTTGTCAGTAGCTGAGCCAAGAATAGAACTCAGGTCTCATGACTTCAAATTTCCTTTTTCAGAGCAACTATGCGCAATTCCCATTTTGTAAGGACATCTAAATAGCACTTTACAATTTTTTCTTTTGAACAACAAAAAATATATTTACCATATGACAAATTCCAGAGATGAATTTTGCGTGTGCTGAAGAGGAAATATTACTTCACGAGTATTAAAAACTTGCATTACACTTACAAATGTTTATTTTACTACAAGGCAATATTATTTACCAAAAAAAATCTGTAACATAAAGCTTAAAATAGGTATCTGACTTTTTGTTTGGTACTGAAACAATTCACTTTTAAAAATCACTGTAATGGAACAAATAAGTTTACACTTTGTCATCTGACGTCGTAGACAGCTTGAAAATAAATTTAAATGTTCTGAGTTTTAGTGTTCTTGTGTATCCATTGGGTTTAATACTCTCTTGACAGCATTTTTGGAAGGTATTATTGGCATAATACTCGCTGATGGTTTACATAGCATTCAAATACTAGCTTCTCAACCTCTGAAGTTGACAGTGCTGTAAGAAAAAATTCAATCTTGTTTCTGCCTTTTTGGAATTCTGATAAAGCTCCCTCCTGTCATTTAGAATAATGCTTCTGTCTAAACAGTTTTTATTGACAAAAAATGACTTAAAATGAACAGTGTTCAGAAATTGCTGTTGGTAACAAAAATGAATGGGGAAAAAACTTGATAATGATTGAAAAACGGATAAACAACCTTCCTTCTCAATTCTTTTGTGATTTTCTTGACTTGGGGAAAGCTTGGAAGTGTGATAAGGAAAGAGAAATGTCTAAAATGTTGCCAACAGAGTGGGGTATAATATAGGAGTGCAGAGCAGGGTGCCTGTCTATCTACATACATTGCTTGCAAGTTTATCCATTCATAAGTACTTAACTTTGCATTTATTTATAGCCTGTGAAGGATTCATTACAACTTCAAAATATTTAATAAAATATAGACCACTAATATGAGTGGTTGAGAAAAAAAAGAACAAAGGGAAAAGGAGGTTGTAAAAACAACAGCTAAATCAAAGAATGAATTTAGTGTCAAAATAAATGCAGAAATCTTATGCCTGTACAAAAAAGAAGCCACAAATCATATTCTAGCTTTCCAGTCACCGTCACAAAAATGATCATGTACAGAAGTCAGTTTCATAAGAGCTTCCAAAGTCTGGAATGTAGGGGGCGGAAATCAAGTCTATAGAAAACATGTTAAGTGGATTATCATAGGAAAGAGGTGGAGTATCTTTAACAATTAAAGGGAAAATGCAGAACCTTCAGATTTTGTGTTAGTTTTATATTGCTGCAAGAAAAAAAATACCACAAATTCAGTGGCTTAAATTACATGAATTAATACACAGTTCTGGAGGTCAGAAGTTTAGGGTTCAACCTTATATTCTTTTGCCCCGAGAATACTTGCTGGCAGGGCTTATGGCTACTGTCCATTTACCCTGAGATAACTTTGCCAGGAAATATCTCACTTTTATTAATATTTTTGTATCACTCCAGTGTATCGACTTTGGAAACAAAAGACAGCATTTTATTTTTAGCATTCTGGTTTTCGTAGTGGTATTTCCATTTACAAAATGTAGTAATTCTTGGTTGCCGAAAACGTCCAATCCTAGAAAACGTACCCTTTCTATGCCTGATGTTAACATTGTTCTCATACAGTTGTGGACCAAAGATTCATTTGATGAATCCAATTTTTCCGAAATAGACTATTGTAATAATTCAGATGATTCTGATGTTAGTTCTGTTTAGAAATAACTCCAAGAACAGTTTTTATACTTTAATTTCACATTGAAAATTAGATTTGCTTCAGCCTCAAAGAGTAATGTTCATGTAAAATTAAATGACTGCCAACAATCAACTGCACTTTTTTTTTTTTCCTAAAAGGGTAAAGGGTTTTAAGATCAAAGTGTTGGCAGAGTTGCTCTTCTTTCTGGAGAATATAGGACAGAATCTTTATTATTCTTTCCTCAGTTCCAAGAGGCTGCCTCACTCCTTGACTCAATGTCCCCTACCTCCATCTTCAAAGCCAACAATTGCAAGTCAAGTGCTTTTAATATTGTATCTCTCTAATTCTTCTGTTTTATATATATATATTTTTCTAACCAAACCCACAAAGTGTTCTCCAGTTTTA
Organism: Homo sapiens; assembly: GCF_000001405.40. Lineage (NCBI taxonomy): Eukaryota > Metazoa > Chordata > Mammalia > Primates > Hominidae > Homo > Homo sapiens. The sequence goes on from NC_000003.12 coordinate 76,137,880, forward strand.
GGGGTTTGTGTAATCAGATTGAACCTATTTGGGAAATCCAGGATAATCTTCCCATCTCAAGTCAGTATTCTTAATTACATCTGCAAAATATCCTTTGCCACATAAGGTAATATATTCACAAGTAGGAGATTAGTACTTAGACATCATGGGGACAATTATTCTACCTACCACAAAAGCATAACCGTGACTTTATCATCATGTCCTTGGCTCTTGATGATTGATAAAAAGATAGAAACGTTTTTAGTCTTTTAAAGAAAACTATAATCAAATGAAAATGCCAAAAACTCATAAAAATGTGATGCCCAAATCACTGTGGTTTTTTAAACTACCTATGAGACAAATAGTAATAGAGAAAAGCACTTTTATGTTGCGCTTCATATGGTCATATTTGGTTACTCTTAAATGTGAAAAATTAAAAAAACAAGCTACAAATATCTGGTTAATTTGAGCTAGAAGAACAAAATATAAAAATATTAAATGTAAATCTATATTGTATCGATATAGATTCTAAATGCACATGCTTTTTGCTCACCATATAAATGCAAAGAGAAATACCTTATAATATAATATGAAATGGAAGAAACTAGAAATGCGTTGTACTATAAAAGGGAACTTGATGTGTGGAACAGAATGGCACATTAGCATTTTCAATAAGATTTTCTGAAAATTAAGACCTAAGCACCTCTTTTAAAGTGTTCCTTGAAGCTTACATCATGCAGTTGAATTTTTTCAATCAAGAGAGAATAATTAAGACATGGGACAATGAGACATTTTATGATTTTCAGGTATGCTATATAGTATCTACTACTTGTCCACAGAATCCAATTATTTGTAGTATTACAGTGAAATCATGTAAGAACTTTGACAGCTCATCCTCCAAATTTCCTTTTAATAGTTTACTGTGTTCACAATGCCATTTATGTTTTATTACAAATTATAATCTTTAATAGCATCTTTCAGACATTTCAATTTTTTAGAATTTTTAGGTAATGTTTTCAAAGTTCAGTAAAGAGTTACCTGAAGGGAAAATCCTTTATCTGATCAATGGTATGCCTGGGTAAACAGATTTACTTATATGGAATTTGCTCCAAGAATGAGCCACAAGAGAATGTTTTGGCAAGAAATGAGGCTTGCCTCTGATTTCCGATAAAGATTTGAGTTGAAACAGTGTGTGTTCACTTAATCTTGTTAAATGTAGCACAAAACACTAAATGTATTAGAGCGTGTACTTAAATGATAACAAACCCTGCTGTTAGAGCTAATAGGAAACAGTTCTTTTCTCATTGAGTTGCCACAATCAAGCATTCCTTTAGATATCATCATTTAGTATGACTTCTTATGCTTGACTGTAATATGCTTTGTATTTGTAAGCCTTTGTCTTTCCTTATTGCTAAGCAACAATTTCCTTTTTTCTCAAAGGGATAAAATTTGAGGACAACACAGCTCAGATACCAACTAATACAAAATGTACAAATATTTAAACTTAATTTGGATAGCTATAAATAAAAAAGGAGAATAAGAACCAAATCTCTGAATCTACTGATGATGATTAAAAGCAGGCAGTGAAATATTGAAACCAAGCTTTTCTAGGGAGGACTGTTTTCCACATTTAAATTTATCTTTGTATCTTGAGCTTGCAGAGCTTGGTGGGTAGGGCAAGAAGGTCCTGCAGTGGAGTGGAGAGAGTTCTTAAATTCATCTTCGTCCTCCAGGAGGGTTTAGGTACACTCTGCCTTAAGGCAGGGTGATGACCTCTGTGGGTCTCTTCCAGCATCAAGCTCCTGTGAAGTAAAAAGCAGTTATAAAACCTTTAGAATACATCTTGAAATATATAGTTATAAAAATATAAAGAGCCCCTGAAGCATTGTCTGCATCGAGGAACCAATATTATTTCTTACCTCTCCTTTACATTTAACATGAAAAATGTCAGGTAAAACATGGTGAAGTTTCGTTTCCAATCTCATATTAGAACTAATGGGAATGGCCATATTCTTCCAAGCGTCAGCTGGATGTGTATCAAAGTCTTCGGAGCTTATCATGAAACTACCATCACTGATTCTTCTTCGTAGTTATTAAGGAGTAAAATGCCATATACCTGTCTTATCAAACTTCATTCTAATCTATTTGATAAATGAAATTGGTATAAATAGCCAACTGACTGCGTCATTTTGGTTTTACCATAAATAATAATGTATATTGCCCATGTTTGTGCCTTTAACTAGGCAGCTTTTGACTATATGAGCTAGCATTCATTAATCAAGTAAAAGTAAGCTTCAGAATGTCGCTCAATTTGAAGAACCTACATGAAAGCTGAAGAGCTTTTACATAGACCAATTAGGACTAACTTGAATATAAAATATTTGGAGTAACCTGATTTCATTTTTATATCATTCATTCAAGTAAAGGAGCCTTATAAATAATATTGTCTAAAATCAACTACACTTTTTCAGTTTTTTGGGTAAAAATGAATAAATAAGGCTTAAGGATAATAATAGCTAGGGTAATCTGAGCCAAGCACTATTTCATTTGCCTTATTTTTATTAACTGATTTAATCTTCATGCTATCTTGTTATTATCTTCATTGTACTGAAGTGTATGTAGGGTCAAAATAGTGAAATTGCTGAGGTTACACTAGTAACTTCAGTGGTAAGGTCAACAGTGAAATCCTATCACTTTATAGTCTACCTGCCAAACCTCCTCATTATATATATCCTGTCAGTAGTAATTACCTGTGCCTTTTTTCAGAGTGTTCCCTGTGAAATAGGATATCTTCTTCCTTAACTCTACATGTTAAAAAGTGTGTCCAAAGTGATAAAGCTAATTAGTGGCAGTACTAGGGAGAATACTTTGATTTGTGAATTCCCAATTTTATTGTTCTCCTATTATGTTTCAATGCTTCTAGATGCCCATTATCCTTTGAGGGGTGGGAGAGGAAGAGGCAAGTCAGTGAATTAATATTTTTATTATAATTTCACATCCATATTGTATGTGTTTTTTTCAAGGACTATATGAGATGCACTGAAACGGAAACAATGATTAATAATGACTATTATATTCTAATGGGAGAGATATGACTGTTACCAAAAATATGGTAAACACTCAGATTTAACTTGGAAAGTTGATGAGGCATATAACTTAGAAAATTGTACACACACACACACACAGATGTCTTTTTACATACATATATATATATATATAAAATATATGTGCCTGGGTTTATAGGTATGAGCTACCATGCTCTCTCTCTCTCTCTCTCTCTCTCTCTCTCTCTCTCTCTCTCTATATATATATATATATATATATATATATTTAATGTCTGATATATATATATCAGACATTAAAAATGACATTCTTTCTGGCTTTGCTGAACATGAAATGATTCATGGAAGAAGCGATAGCCAATTTGAATCTTAAAAAATGGATATAATACTGACAGCCAAAGTTAGGAAGGAAAGACATTCTAATCACAGGGAAATGTGTGAGAAAAAAACTTGACTCAAACCTCAGCATCACGCAATATACCCATGTAACAAACCTGCAGATGTACCCACCGAATATAATTTTTTAATGAAAAGTTTAAAAAGTATTAGAGACACATAATTAAAAAAATCCTAGCAAAGAACAATGAGTAACATTGAATAAAAATACAAGGTAGGAAAAATAATTAGTAGAAAATAATTTGGAAAGCAAGTTAAGTTATATCCAGTTACTTCCAACTTTAGAATTTAAGATAATTATTTAGGCTTCATGTGATAAACAGTAGTATGTGCTAGATATTTAGGGCTAAGTGAGGGCCTGAGTCCCAGTCTAGAGATCCATGTGGCTAAATAAGTATTTGAAGATTGGTTTAGTGTGGGCATAGGGGGAATGTGGCTTCATCTAATCTAATTTTTTCCTCAAATATGTTAGACACAACTAAATCAAAGAGGTCAATGTTAATTATGCTTGTTAAAATGTAAGCTCCACTAGAATGTAAACTGAGAGCACAGGCATTGTTAATTTTGCCAACTTTTTTATCCCCAGACTCTAAAACTGTAACTATTCCATAGTAGGCACTAATGCACATTAGTTAAATGAATGACTAAGAAGGTCAACAGTTTTAAGCAGTAAAATAATACCTACATAGGAAGAGTGTCAATAGTTTAGTGGCTGAGGGGGTCAGACATATAAGACACAAATGCAATAACAAACGGATTCAGTAAATGTTCAGGAAAGGGATAATAAAAAATAAGTTATAGAATGTCCAATCCTATTGAATGGTTGTCAAGTGGCATGTGATAGCATTCCTACAACTTAAGACACAAGAATAAAATCAATTGTTTCGGGTACACTTATGCAATAAATAAATAGTGATTGACATTATGGAGAACAGTATGGAGGTTCCTCAAAAAAACTGAAAACTGAGCTATCATATGATCCAGCAATCCCACTGCTGGGTACATACCCAAAAGAAAGGAAATCAGTTTATGGAAGAGATATCTGCACTCCTACGTTTGTTGCAGCACTGTTTACAGTAGCTAAAATTTGAACCTAAATGACCATCAGTAGATGAATGGATAAAGAAAATGTAGTACATATACACAATGGAGTACTATTCAGCCACAAAAGAATGAGATCCAGTCATTTGCAACAACATGGATGGTACTGGAGATCATTATGTCAAGTGAAAAAAGCCAGGCACAGAAAGACAGACATCAGATATCCTCAGTTATTTGTGGGATCTAAAAATCAAAAAAATTAAACTTATGGACATAGAGAGTAGAAGGATGGTTACCAGAGGCTGGGAAGGGTAATGGGGGGCTAGTGGAGATGGTTAATGGGCACAAAAATTAGAAAGCATGAATAAGACCTACTATTTGATGGCACGATAGGGTGACTATAGTCAGTAATAATTCAGTTGTACATTTTTAAATAAAGAGGATAATTGGATTGTTTGTAACACAAATAATAGATGCTTGAGGGATGAATACCTATTCTCCATGTGATGTGCTTATTTCACATTGCAGGCCTGTATCAAAACATCTTCGCATGCCTCATAAACACACACACTTACTATGTACCCACAAAAATAAAAATAAAAATAAATAGTGGTTGAGTTATGAAATAAATTTTCACGTCATTTATGATGTGCTCTGGATGGGAGTTTATGTATGTAGGTATTTGAGATAGGAACTTCTTGCCCTGTCACCCAGGCTGGAGTTCAATGGCACAATCTTAGCTCACAGCATCCTCGAACTCCCTGGCCCAAGTGATTTTCCCACCTCAGCCTCTCAAGTAGCTGGGACTATACGCATGCACCACTATATTCAGATATTTATTACTATTATTATTTGTAGAGACAGAGTCTCAATAGGTTGCCCAGGCTGGTCATGAAATCCCTGCCTCAAGGAGTCGTCTCTCCTCTGCCTCCGAAAGTGTTGGAATTACAGGTATGAGCTACCATGCCTGACTTAGCTGGGCATTTAAATCCCTAGCCCCATCCTTGTCTGTCACCACTTTGTCCAGTGACATTAGGAGCAATCAGCCAACCTTATTATATTTATTAGTTTTCCATAAATATTTTTACAAGAATTATATACACAACCACCAAGTTCCTTGATAAGGAGTATCCAATAAAGATATTTTGCATATCTCTATTGGTAGATCATGCCATGAACTAGCAATACTCTCTCTACTAACAGAAAAACAGTCACTAGTGTCTTTAAATCTAATCAATTTATGAAACCCCAAAGCCAATTCAAAAACCTCAGCCTTAAAACCCATTTTTCTAAAACCACTCCCCAAATCTGTATCAGTCAAGACTCTTCAGAGAAACAGAACCAATAATATAGATAGATTGGTAGATCAAGAGATGGATTATCAATACATTTTAAAGGACTGGGTCACACAGTTACTGAGGCTAAGTCCCAAGATCCTCAGTCGACAACCTGGGGACCTAGGAGAGTTGATGGTACAGTTCCCGTCTGAGTTTGAAGGCCTCGGGGCCAGGAGATTGTGTGGCGTTAGTTCCACTGTAAGGTGGGAGAACAGTGTCTCAGCTCAGAGTCAATCAGAGACAAAATTCTCTCTTATTCTGCCTTTTTTTTTTCTATTCAGGCCTTTAACTGATTGGATGAGGTCCCCCCTACACTGTGGAGGACAATCAGCTTCACTCAGTCTACTGATTCAAATGTTAATCTCAGCCAGAAACACCCCCACAGACACCTCAGAATGATGTTTAACCAAATATTTGGGCACATTGTGGCCCAGCTAATTTGACACATAAAATTAGTCATCACAAGGGGCGAGGAAGTCAAAGCAATTATTAACACTAATACACTCATGCACACACACACAAACAAAACTGTTCTGGACTTTAAAAGGCATTCCTAATTATCTGTAAATAGAAAGTAGAGGGAGGAATGTGATAAAGATCTTGAGAAAAAAATGATAGGCCTCGATATTTGAAGTATTTTAGCTATTTATGAATTCCATGAAGCCTTCATTTGTGAATACATTATAGCAAGAGGGAAGAATTCATCAGGTTTTAAAAGAACTTGTCTCTGAAAAGTACAAAAAAGTAGATCTATACTTATCACTAAGCCCTTGAGCTCATTTCAATTAGTTATATAAAAAGAAACCAAGGTAAGCCATTTCACTCAGATGGGTTTATACATCCCTATGTGAATTAATTATAGGTTTTAGACACAATTGGACTTTTAAAATTCATGTGCATGTTGGAGATTCTTAGATTATGCAAAAGATAATGAACAATTCCATAGGTGGTCTTGTTTATTGTCATATTTGCAGTTAATTTACTTCACAGTTCAGCTACCCCAAACTGAAGAGTAGTCACGTTTTCATTGTCAGGGTTTTAACTTGTGGAATATGGATGAACTTCAGCTGGGTCCTGGGGCTTTCCTAAAATTAGACACGAAATATTGAATGTACATACATTTTCCTGAAAAGAGTTCCATGGCTTTCAAGAAACTCTCATTGCCCACCACTTTCCTTGTTGAGATGACCATTATCTGCAGCTACAAGCTGGCTTTCAAAAGTAGTAATTTTAGTGCATTTTGACTTGGTGAAAATGACCTTGTCATACAGCTGTGGCTTAAAAAAAAAAGCATTGTCTACTGTACACTTTTATTCAAGAATTTCTTCATTTATTTTTAAAATCAAAGCAGTCATGCAATTCCTGTGGTAGATGATTTGAGGTACTTTGATTTTGTAACTTGTAAAGAAGAGAAAAAAAAAACGCTTTGAAATCACAAGGTTTTTATTTGGAGAGTTGATGAAAACTGGTTCTCCCAATGCAGTAGGCAAAAAAGCCTTCTAACCTTGGAATCTGACTTATTTTTTCTATTCTGTGAGATAGAAATAGCAATTTCTAAGCTCTGATAAATCTTCATAAAATAAGTTTTAATAAATGACTAATTTAGAAATAAAGGCATAAAAGAAACATAGTCCCACCAATATTTAATCCATGCTGTGAACTGAAATGTTGTCATCAGGTACAAATATGGTAAATTGAACATCCACTGACATATTTTCCAGATATGCAAAAGCTTGGGAGGAGACAGGTCTGATTATAATCATGACTTCAATAAATTAACTATTCTCCACTTTGTCTTGATACTTGTGATGAGCTACCTTTTATACAAAAATACGTAAATTAATGTATGTAAAAGAGAAATTACTAGACTATTATACCATAACATTTTATACATTAAACAAGTAGGATTATCTATATCTATGTATATGAGAGAGATACATGGAGATATAGATACAGAAATTTACTTATGTATAACTCCTTAGAAAAAGGACTCGATTTTTTATTTCTATATATTTCTTTGGGTAGAAGTTTACATTTCTTCTAACTGAAGTAAAATGTTGTATTCAAACAATTTTAGTTTTTCAAACTAATTAGACAAATCTGAATTGTTTGGTTCTTACAAAAATAGGCAATTTCCAAATTTCAGTACCCTTTTTCATTCACAAATATCACCTGTCTATATTTTACTTTCACACACTAAACTTTGCATTTTTGCATCTATAGAATTTATGAACAATAGTTTGAGGAAATGGTCGCAGTGAGGGGTGAACTAACTGAAACCTTAATTTCGTTGATTCCACTATTTCTTTCCCGCTGTTCATCAACTTTAATTCTGGTTTATATCATACACAGTTTAGATTCCATAGCGTTTGTAATTAATCGCTTACATTTACACTCTATTTGCTTGTCTCTTTCTCCTGCATCTGACTTGTTGGCAAAACTCCAACACTAGATCTATGTAAACCCCTACCTTCTCCACAACCACACCCCAACAGTAAAACATTCTTTAAAACAATTACTCAACAAAACTGATTGCTTTTATTTTAAATTCTTTATCACATTCCTCAAATGTTATATTATGTTTCTTTTAGGGACTCACAATTTCCATCCCTTTTGTGGCTATTTTATTTAATTGTTTCTCCTTAAAGCATTCTCTCAGGAAATTAGGGTGTGTTATCAGCAAAGTCCCCTATATCTCTACTCATTTCTCAAGGTCCTCATACTTCCTGCTCTGAACAAATCCTTTTTCCTCTCTATGTCTCTAATCTAGAGAGTGTCTCTGCTACTTCAAATCTCTCTGACCTCTTTTAAATAACTCACTAGATTAGATCGGTCCTTTCAGGATAACCCCATTTTGATTATCTTAAAGTCAATTTATTGGAGATTTGAAATACCTCTGCAAAATCCCTTCAACTTTGCCTTGCAGGCTAACTCAATTATAGGAGTAATATTCCATTATATTAATAGTCCCCATTCTCACTTAAAAGCATGGGATTACATAGGGTGTGTGTGTGTGTGTGTGTGTGTGTGTGTCTGGTGGAGGGGAGAGGTGGGTATCCTCATATCATTTTAGAATTCTATCATTACCACAGACACCCACTGCCCAAGGTAACTCTGTGGTAATGATAGAATTCTAAAATGATATGAGGATACCCACCTCTCCCCTCCACCACACACACACTCACACACACACAAACACACACACACATACACACACACACACACAAACACATATACCCTGTATAGAGGGGAACAACACACAATGGGGCCTTCTGGAGGGTAGAGATTGGGAGGTGGGAGAAGATCAGGAAAAATAAGAGTACTAGGTTTAACACATGGGTGGTAAAATAATCTGTACAGCAAACCCCAATGACATAAGTTTACCCTAATAACAAACCTGCACATGTACCCCAAACTTAAAAGAAAAGTTAAAAAAAGGAAAAAAGAAAATTTCTTGAGAACAAAAATAAAATAATAAAAATTGAGTAGAAAATAATAATTAGAGTACATTGAAATATGTTGAGTTTGTAATAAACCATGTATCTATGATACTTAAATTTAAGTTTTAGGATACATAGAGGTAATGTTAATTTCAAAATAAGTAAATGTAATGAACATATTCAACATTTTATAAATGTTACTATATATTGTTTATAATTTTTAATAATTAAGGAATCAATATTAATTATCTTATTAATTTTAATAAGTAAAGGGTGTGTGTGCATACGCATATTTTGTTTCTTATATTACAATCTTTATTTATAAAGTGTAACTATGTCTTTATTTATCTTCATATAATTAGCAAAAACAGTTTCAGAGATTACTGTTTTACACCTTTAATCTTGTGAACCATTCAGCAACCCCCAACTCTACTCAAAGTACTTAAGTTTGCAGCCTACAATAGCTGGTTCCATAACATATATGCTCAGTAACATAACAATACACTGAGACAGCAGGTTTTGCAGCAGAGAAAAATTGTAATGATTGCAAAGCAGCCAAGACAGGAAATGGGAAGGACCCTCAATGCGTCTCCCTGAGGAGTTTTGGGCTGGAGTATTATGGGGCATTAGAAAATTGGGGTCATTGGTCAGGGGAAGGGGGATGAAATCATCATGATATGGAGACTGCATTCTTTGGTGATTAAGCTTCTTGTGGGGTCCTTCAGACCAGTTGACATCAGTAGTTTCACTGGTATGTGTGACCTGAGAGAATATCTCAAATGAAAAACTTAACATTTCATAATGTTCACGTTGTTATCTATAGAACAGTTAAGTGGAACTGTTATCTAGGGTCTACAGGATTCTAGGATAATAGGCACCAAATACCTATGAGGAAGCACGTCAGAGAGCAAGCTGGCCTAATGATTAATGCTGAGTGTGCTGCAAGCTCTGTTTACTTTCATTTCTCTCCTTCCCTTCCTCCTTGATTAATTTTATAAAGTTGTTAGGAATGGTTTCACTCACATTTCATAACCTCATTTCTGACTTAACTGAGAGGATGGAAGGAATCCAAAAATATACTACCCCCTTAAAACTAATAAAATAAACCAACTCTCAACTACCTGCCTTTCTATTGATGTGCTGCTTCTGTTTCTACTGAAGACAGCTCCCCTAGATATACACCATCTATCTCATCCCCTGTCATCTAGTGGGATAATTTTTCCCCATTGATTACCTTGGATCTCTCCTAAATCATGCTTCTTTCCTGTATATGGTCTAAGTACTCTGGCATGCCAGGATGCTATAATACCTCCAAACTTAAACAAATTAAAGCATCTTTTCCCTTTCATTACAGTCCTCCATTCGTCTGCTCCCTTTTATAGCAAAATTTATCCCAAAAAAATCCAAAATGCTTTCTGGGCCTATCCCAATCAGACTCCTTCCCACCAACCTTCTGGAGCCTCCCTCTTCAGTCATTAAGAACCTCCATCTTGCCAAGTCCCAGTGTTTGATTCTCAGCCTGTATTTGAACTTGCTGCCTTATTGTAATAAGAAAATTAGGAATCAATTCTTCCCTTCTTATGAATTCATCCTTCCCTTGAATCATAAGACACTTCATTTTCTTTCCTGTCCTCCTATCTCCATGGCTTTCCCAATCTCCTTTGTTGTTTCCTCCACTTTTCCTTTTTTGGTTGTTTAAAGCTATATTTCTGTAGGGTGCAGTGCTTGTCTTTCTTTTCACTATTCCATCTATAGTTACTTTCTAAATTATCTCATTCAGTCACATAGTTTTATTTTGAATAAACCATGTATATGCTAATGACATCCATATTTATCTCTCTCAGTCCTGAGCTCTAGTTATAACTCATCCAGAGCAGAACTCTTGATTCCCTGTCCCCTTAAGCCTCAATTTTTCTCGTCTCTATAAGTGGCATTCTCACTCACTCAGTTTTTTTTTGTGTGTGTGTGATAAAAACTGATTCCTTTAATTTTCTTCCACCATATATCTAGGACATCAACTAGACTGATCAACTGCTTTAAAATACAAGCTGGGTATGACAAGCAATTTCCACTTTCACCAAATCTCTCCTAATCCAAACTTGCAGACCCTTTCTAAGAAGGGGTAGTCCTTTAAAAATGTGTATCAGAACATTATCACTTCCTACTTAAGCCCCAAACTTAGAACACAACACAAGACCGGTTAGCTTTGCAAGTCTGTGATTTCAGTGCTCACCTTTTTCTCCTTGATCCCTTTGATCTAAACCAGGTTACCCATTTCCAGCTCTGGGCCTTTGCGCTTGCTGTCACTCCTGTCTAAAACATGCATCTGTCTAAAGCACTCATCTGTCTAAAACACATCATCTGTCTGAAGCACACATCTGTCTAAAACACACATCTGTCTAAAGCACACATCTGTCTAAAGCACACATCATCTGTCTAAAGCACACATCATCTGTCTAAAACACACATCATCTGTCTAAAACACACATCTGTCTAAAGCACACATCTGTCTAAAGCACACATCATCTGTCTAAAACACACATCATCTGTCTAAAACACACATCTGTTTAAAGCACAATCTGTCTAAAACACACATCTGTCTAAAGCACACATCATATGTCTAAAGCACACATCTGTCTAAAGCACACATCATCAGTCTAAAACACACATCTGTCTAAAGCACACATCTGTCTAAAACACACATCTGTCTAAAGCACACATCATATGTCTAAAGCACACATCTGTCTAAAGCACACATCATCTGTCTAAAACACACATCTGTCTAAAGCACACATCTGTCTAAAACACACATCTGTCTAAAGCACACATCATATGTCTAAAGCACACATCTGTCTAAAGCACACATCATCTGTCTAAAACAGACATCTGTCTAAATCACACATCTGTCTAAAGCACACCTCTGTTTAAAACACTCATCTGTCTAAAACACACATCTGTCTAAAGCACACATCATCTGTCTAAAACAGACATCTGTCTAAATCACACATCTGTCTAAAGCACACCTCTGTTTAAAACACTCATCTGTCTAAAACACACATCTGTCTAAAGCACACATCATCTGTCTAAAACAGACATCTGTCTAAATCACACATCTGTCTAAAGCACACCTCTGTTTAAAACACTCATCTGTCTAAAACACACATCTGTCTAAAGCACACATCATCTGTCTAAAACACATATCTGTCTAAAGCACACATCTGTCTAAAACACACATCTGTCTAAAGCACACCTTTTTAAAACACACATCTGTCTAAAGCACACATCATCTGTCTAAAGCACACATCTGTCTAAAGCACACATCTGTCTAAAACACACATATGTCTAAAGCACACATCATCTGTCTAAAACACACATTTGTCTAAAACACACACCTTGATCCCTTTGATCTTGAACACGTTTAGCCCATTCCCACCTCAGGGCCTTTATAGTTGCTGACTTCTGTCTGAAACACACATCCCTAGGTCACCACATGGCTAATTCTTACTTTCCTTAATATTCACTCAAATATCACATCATCAGGGAGACCTTCCCTGACCAGATGCTAAAATACCACTTCATCCCCAATCACACTCTGATCTTTTTCCAACTTTTATTATTTCTTCATGGCACTTTCCCATTACTCATAATCTTATTTTTATACTAACTGGTTTACTTGTAGCATTTTTCTAAAATTAGAACTGAAGTCCAAAAGGGTGGGGGCTTCTTCCTACATGCTTGTGATAGATGACCAAAAAACATTTGTTGAGTTGATGAATAGTACAATGTAGCACACCATAGAATAGAAACCTGCTTTGAGTTGAAAGGCATACACCATTTACTCAACATTTAAGACCATGTTTCTCCAAGGTCCCCGACCCTACCGTGTGTTGGGTCCTCTTAGCTTTGCTGTGTCTTCCCTCTTCACTATTTTTCTTCCCCCTTTCCTCTGTGCAATAGTCAGAAAAATATCTTCAAAATCCTTGTGACCTTATTATAAAATTAATCACCATCCCAGACTACTTCTTGAGGCCCTCATTCATATAACTAAAACAGTCCATTAAGAAATCTTCATAAATGAGAGTCTCTCATCCCTAGCAGAGATTATGCTAGTTTCCTATAATGCTCATATGGAAATCTTTATCTCTCTCTCTTTCCCCACCTCTCTCTTCCTGTCCCTTGTTTTTTCTTTCCCCTCTAAAATGGGATACATATAATAGAGATATGCCAAGGCTGGCTGCTCAGTGAGGCACCAGAGCCACCAGGGCATGCTGTCTCCTTGGGCGGTCTATTTCAATTTCCAAAGCTCTAATTTTAAGAATGCTCTTTTTATATGATGAGCTAATATTTGCCAGGCTATAGCTTTGATCCATTGGTCCTATTTCTGCTGGCTGGGGCTCCTAAACATATCAATTTCCTGAGCAGAAATAGAACAGCTGCTTAACACCTCCCATATGCTATTGCTTTATATAGTTGAAAATTGTAAATCCCCCAGACTCCAGAACCTCAACTATGTACTTTGTGAGCCTTCTGTTCTCTGTTGTAAATAAATTCAGTTCCATAGCCTTTCCTCAAATGATCCATTTTCCAAACACTTGATTACGTCTTTTACTGAACTCAAGAGAGGGGACAAAACCTTTCCTGATCAACTCATCCATTTCTGTCTTTGTTATTATTATGTATCATCATCATCATCATCATCGGAAGGAAATATAGTTTAATGCAGTTACTTGTGAATTCTCATTTTGATAATTTATTTGGTTGCTACTTTAAAAAATAAAAACATGAGTATTGATTCATCCAATAAACATTATCAAACGTCTCACTAGACATAAAATACTATGCCAATATTAAAATAAGCATAAGACATCACCACTGATCTTGAAAAGTTTAGTTTCATTTGTGAAACTACTAAATTTTTCTAATGAGCTTTAAAAGGCCATTTAACTTCTTTGGTGGCCAGTGTTGTTGGTAAAGGCCATGTGCGGTGTTTAGCAACATCCTTAATGCACTTCCAGGGTTATGATGCCCCAGGGCTGAACTGAGGGAGCTAAGCCATCAGGCTATCTCCCTAGTGATAGGTCCTGCACTTTGACCCTCTCTGGGTAAATGGCAGCTGCATTCATTTCATTAACTTGTGGGTTATAAGTTAATTTAGGGGGAAAATGCTATTATAGATTTGGATGAGTTCCATTAAACTCCATTAAAACTTTGACTGTAGGATGCATTAATAGAGCTTCAAATTCAGTCAATCAAAAGATTGATGGAGTATATAGAACACAACATTAAATGGAATATTTGATATGAACTAGTAAATCTTTCAGAGGAATTCTATGGAGATTTTGTGAGTATACATTTATTTAATATATGTATTTTTTTCAATTGTAGGTAGGGATTTGGGGATTGTCCTTCTAATGTGTGCATTTGTGTTAATGTTTATGAATTAAAATAGTATAAAATATTTGATTAGAGTTCTCTTTGCAATTCTTCTGTGAGGAATCAGTTTATCATTTAAGCCCCCAGTGAATTCTTACAAATTGGCATTGTCTAACATTGTGTTAATTAAGGAAGGTATATGAAGATCTTTGAAATTATAAATACCTTTAAAGTTTTAGGAAGGGAACTAACTTCTCTTATATTTCAGGAAGTCACCAGCACTTCTAATCACATTTTATTCACTCAATACAATTATTCAGATAAATATTGCTTTTTATTGTTTCCATTTTACATTTGGAAAAAATTGAGACTCCAAAATCGATGTCAATTACCAATATAATTTAACAAAGTCAGTATTTAAATTTAGATCTGCCTTCTTCTAAATTCCAGAAATAGAACAGCTGCTATTAATTTAACATATCAGTCTTTGGCCAGTGATGATTATAATATGATAATGCAACCTGAGTTCTTACAATGTGTTATTAGTTAACTATGAGTAAATTAATATAATAGTAAACAAATAAATCTCTTGTGGATTTCAGTCCCATGAAAACCTAATTCAAGAGTGAATAGTATGTAAAGTAAGGGAAAGAGATAATGTCTATTATTATACTCTTGAGAGGACTCACATTTGAGGAAACATTTTTCTTTACAGTGTGTGGAGCAAGCTGCATCCCAGAGAGTTTAAATAATTTTCCATAGCTTCACAGCTGGTAAAACACAGAAATGAAATTCAAACATTCTTCTACCTGTCCCTTAAAACTTGCTCTTTTCATACCAGCAGAAATGACTTATGTTTGACTTCCGTTTCATCTTAAGGATAATCAAGTGAATGGATGCACAAACATTAATTAGGGAAAAGCATTGAGTTTTTTGTTGTTGTTGTTGTATTGGTGGTTTTGTTTTGGTCTTTTTGTTTTGGAGATGTGATGAAAACATAACCAAGAAAAGAACCCTAAACCAAAATTTATCCTGGATGGTCTTTTTAAAATAAAAATCACACATATTCAAATATCTTCTTTGTTTTAGTTGGGATGAGTAGGGCATGCTACAGAAGACGAACCTTACAATCCTCATGGCTTAACATAAAATGGGTTTGTTTTTCCCTCACATGGAGCCCAATGTGGATTAGTTTGTCCGTCTTCAAAACATTATTCAAATTCCATCTTTTAGCTATGTCATCTAGAACTCAAGCTTCTAAAGTCCCTACAGAGAGATCTTGGGATTTAAGTAAGATGATTTTAAACACCAGGCCTGAAAATGACTTGCATCACTTTTATTCACATCTTGTCATCAAGAACCAGAGTGAGTAGCCCCAACACAACTGCAGAGGAAGCTGGTGCCTCCACAAGAGCATATGGATATATTGATAGTACTTCGAGCCTATAACGTATTTCAAGAAGAACTTCAAGAAGTTCTTTAACAGATTCCTCTGCTTGCCAGTTACCTAATACACATTCCTAGGTGAACTGGACACATAAATGCAATCAGAAAAACATATGCCAATATTGTGTGCTAAGTCAAAAGGAGATAATATGAAATGTTTTAAGGGGGAAGTTGGAGATACATGAACAGATATTTCCAAATCAGAACCGCGCTTTGGTAACGTTGTTTAAAAGTAGCAGCAGCTTCCTCAGAAAAAGAATGTGATTCAAGTTTGGCATGCCTTCTTTTTCATTGCTTAGATTCTTCATCTTTGAAGAAAAAGCTAATATTCATGAATATATGATTTTGAGTCATCAGGATAAAACTAATATATTTGTGCAGCCATGAAGGCATTTGTGGGATGAGTCAGTGAAAAATTCAGGGGTTTTTAAGATGATTACACTACCTTGGAAAGATTAGATAGAAAAGTTCACGAGAGCACAACAAGTACAGACTAATCAAATACCAAAAGGATTTCAAGGTGCTCTGAAGGTGGATAAAATAAACAGAGATTTGAGAGAAGATTCTCATTGCCAATGACAAGATAACTATTTAGAAATTCCTTTGTCAGCTGAGCCAGTTCCAGATTGGATTATTATTGGGGAGTAGCGGAGGAATTGAGATTTGAGTATATTTGATTACATTTTTTCAATGTACTCTGCTTTCTATTATATATAAAAAGAGAATCAGCAATTATGACCACTGAAAGTAAATTACGCCACTAAATTGCAACTAGTCTTCAAACATTCTGGAAATATTATGATGTTTAACCATCTTCTCAATTTTATTTTAAAACAAATAGACATATTTTCCAGGCAGACAAATATGTATTTTAAGGGTAATGACACCAACATACTGATTTTCTTTTCAGCAACTGTTGACTTTTTGGTTGAATTTCTACTTTCTGGACAAATATATATTGTGGTTATTTCAGTGTCATGATTCACAGCTTGAAAAGTCACACTTGATTGAGAACACAGATAAAAAATCTGAATTGGATGATTGAAAATGCCATATTAAAGATATCCGAAAAACTGGCAGATAAAGGGAAATATTTGTCCTGTTTTTCTATGTGAACAGTGCCATTAACCCAATAGTACCGAAGAAGTGTCCCTTTGTAAAAAGATCACAGGTAATACATTAAAAATAAATGTCAAAATTAGAATGTTGCTGTTTTGCAATCCCCAATGAACTAATAAAAAATAGGCCTAAATATTGATGGCTTCGATATCACTAAAAGAAAGACAATTTAACATTATGTGCCTACTGATGAAAGAACACAACGCCAACTATATTCTCAGAAAAGAGACTGAACCTCAATCTGATCCTGTTGATGGATCCAGGTTCCAATCTGCCAGATATGCAGAGAACCGTGAGAATGCAAATCAGCAAAATAGACTATGAAAAATGCTACTGGAAAAGAAAAAAATGGAGAGAAACAGACTTAAAAGATAGAACAAAGTTTACAATGGGGAAAATTAAATTATAATGTTTGTGAAAGTACATTCAGGTGATAAATCGATTTAACAAATAAAACCAAACAAGAAGGGATTACAAGAAAAGTCATAACAGGGGCTGCTTTTGGAGGGAGAGGAGGAGATGTGATTCAGATTTGGTCCATGAAAGCGTTTTCTAGGATGGGTAACAAAGTTCTTTCTTGACATGAGCTGCAGGTGCAAGTTTGCACGTCTTTAACTAATTCATTAAGCCATGTGTATTTTTTTGGGTGTTTTTCTTTGTCTATTTTACCATAATATGATTCTAAACCGCATTTTATAAATATTCAATGTAAAGAATATCTGTAATCCTCTGAAACGTTAACAAAGATGCATGTAAATGGTATTACTGTCACTTAAATGTATCGCAAGGCAAACTTAATTGTAAGAGTACTTGGTGTGATTTCTTCAACCCCTTTGTCTGTAGGCAATTTTCCTTTCTACCTTTCCCTGTCAAAGAAACTAGTCGGTTATATATATTTTTTCATCCAAAAGACATATTGATTTTACTAGGAGGCTAAATGATACCATTTTGCTTCTCCCTGCCTGTTTCTTCTCTAAGATTCTAAATTTCAGATCTATCATTTTTGACAATTTTTTTTTTGCCTGCCTTGTGATTTCCCCCTAGTAGTTTAAATGCCCTTTAGGATTACTTTTTCTGAATCAGAACATCGTAAGTGCTGTATTACATATTATAGAAGGAGATGAGCTTTTAAGAAAGCAGCCATATTCTTGTAAGAGAACCATACACTGAAAATACAAAGTAATAAGAAAGTAAGAGGAAGATTTCTTCTATGTGCTTAAAGTGACAGAAAAAAAAAGCATTTCAAAGGTTATTTGTCTAGCCTACACATTAAAGTTATTTATCAGACTGCAAAAGAAGCCATATAGTACAAACTGGAACAAAACTGGTGTATCTGTAGATATGTTATGGACTCCTCATTACACAGGTCCTTTCTGAATTGGACCCCAGAATTGGAATTTATAAATATAAATCAGTTTCTGTCATCATATATATCAAGGCATGTAAAAGTGAGTTGAAGCCTTCTCTGTGTTAAGTGTAAGGAAAGGAGGCAAAAGGTACAATTGTGTTTGTCAATGCCAAAATCTTATGGCATGTCAGACCTTGAGCTCAATAACAGCCTTAACAAGTGATACCCCACAATTATAGAATTAACGAACTTTAGAAGAAACAGTTGCTGGGCGCAGTGGCTCGCGCCTGTAATCCCAGCACTGTGGGAGGCCAAGGTGGGCGGATCACCTGAAGTCAGGAGTTGGAGACCAGCCTGCCAACATGGTGAAACCTCATCTCTACTAAAAATACAAAAACATTATCCTGGCATGGTGGTGGCACATGCCTGTAATCACAGCCACTTGGGAGGCTGAGGAAGGAGAATTGCTTGAACCCAGGAGGTGGAAGTTGCAGTGAGCCAAGATGGTGCCATTGCACTCCAGCCTGGGCAACAAGAGTGAAACTCTGTCTCAAAAAATAAAAATAAAAGTAAATAAAAGAAACAGTTGTAATTAAAGTATGTGTGTGGATATGTGTGTGGATATACAAAATTCTTATTTATGAACAGAGAGAATTGATATCCTCGGAGTTCAAGGAATGGTCATTTTTCCTGGCTTAGGTAGCCAACTCCACCCACTCTGTAAGATTTCTTTAATGTCTTCTCAGCTTATCAGTAAGGTATGCATCCATTGAACTTTAAAAAATAAAATTTGTTAATAATACTTGGCTGATTATTTGAACCTTCTAACTTTTTCAGTTCAAACTTTTCTGAGGCCATACTGTATTTTTGTCTATAGAGAGCTTTTTTTTTGGGGTGGGGGCACCTAAGAGATTTGTGGGTCACTTTGGCCGGGAAGCAGACTAAGTCTAAATGGAGTATTGTGTGTCAACAAGTCAGTTAAATGTAAAAAAATGAAAGTATTTATTGTAGCAGAGTAAGCCACAATGCGTGTAATCTGTGAGTATATAATCAAGAATTGATTGCAATTCTCATTTCAAATAACATGTACTCTGTGCTAATTATAGACAGATGTATATTTCTGAATATTTGTGGGATTTCTAGCTAATGTGAGAGAAGTGGTGGTTCTCATTTATGGGGGGGCTGCAAATGCTTTAGGGGTTAATTAGGCACATTCTCTGCCCCAGGTTCATTTTGATATCTGCCTTTTGTGGAAACAACAGAACTAAATTTCCAGGAGTCCACAGTGTTATAAAAAAAAGCAGTGACATTGAACTTCCTAATTTGTAAATACTCTTTTCTTTGCAGTGTTGGCTATGTTTGTTTTGGTGAAGAATGCCTTGTTCCACTCTCATAGATTTAACTACCATTTCTAAGTTATAAATTCTCTCAAAAGGCATTTCACTGTGTACCAGAATGTTCACATCTTCTCTCCTTCTAGACCTTGAGACTTGGCAGAGTCTCAAAATTACCATATCAGATAGGAAATTCATTCTCTTTCCTCCAGATCAGAAAATGCCTTTAATTTGTATATATTAGTAATCTCTCTAAGAAGTTCTCTCAACCAAAATATGTTACTGGTCTCAGGAAGTTGGGAACCAATGACTTCACAGGTGAGAGGTTTGTGTTATATTCAGAGTGGTTTAGTCTATCATTATGCCATATGCTCTCCATCTAGGACTACAGCAGAAGTATTCCCAGAGTCACCTAAGCCAGAAAGCTGGAAGTCACCTAATCTACATCTCTGCTCTTACTACCATCTATCAAACCAGCTACCCAAATTGGTCCATCCTGCCTCCTTGACTTTCTTTCTCTCCATCCTCTCTGTTCTTGCCTTATCCTAGGCCCTCATTAGCTCTAAGAGTCAGGAAAATCCTCTCTCTAACTATAGGCTTGTGTTTTTATGATCCAATCTCCAGACCAGCAGTCTCCAAATTAAAGAATATTTCAACAGACCAAAGTCCACATATTTAATGATACTATACCCCTAAAAAAAAAAAAACTTCACAAACTCATGTAATGCTGCACAGGTACTATCTCCACTTAGTCCTCTTTGAGTCTATTTGATACATAATCAAATCTGCTGAGCAAGTGTTGTTGATTTATTTTGTATACATACTGAACAATGAATGGGGTGGGGTTGGGGGAGAGAGGTGGTATGCAGTGGTTGAGAGTTTGCTGCCAAATGAATGATGGGAGCATTCACATATTGAGCTGGCTTAAGAGAAGTAGCCCTGCATTGTCCCGCTTCCTTTCTGGAAGGTGGCAGTTTGGTGAGAAAGACTTGTATCAAGCAAGCTACCCTTATTTGTAGACTCTGGGATTCTTTTCCTGATAAGGCTAATTTCCTGAGTCAAACTATCATGGGGCATTCTATTATACAGTTATATTATAAAGTCAGATTACTTATCATCTTTACCATAAAAATATAGTGTTACAGATTGTTTATATGTAAAATTCTGTATAATAATTCTTATGCACAGTGAAACTTGAGAACTGCCAAATTAGACTTAAAGAATGAATTAAAAGAATTATAAGTGCAGAATGCTTATGGGTATTTAAACCATTGCTCCCTTAAGATTACTGTCATATTTTTGAAGGTGAAAGTGGGATGTGTAGTGAATTTGAAAATGTCCCTCCTAGCTTGCATGGCTAACTCCATTTTATCTAACATTTATAACCAATTAACTTACTAAAAGGTAAAGAATTTGGATTTTGTGTTGTGAAAGAGACAGTCATAATGCCGTTTAACTGTTATTAAGTTGGGAGTGCTGTATTTTTATAGGCGCCAAGCAGAATTGCTGCAACTCCTTTCATACAAGCCCATGAAACACATCCTTGGACAGAAAGAAACAGTTCTCTTGACAATACAAAGGACAGGTAGTCACTTCAAACATTCTTTTTTCTAAAGCCAGTAATAATATTACACCTACTAACTCATTAGATTTTTTGGAACAAAATTGAGGCATAAGAAAACAATAAAGAATTAAAATCCACACATTTTAAATTTTTTTTGGACTGCTACTTGTAGTATCCTTCAGTTTAGACAGAAGGTTAAGAGTTTTATTAAAAGACTTGTGTCAAACATGGGACTGAGCTGGGGATAGCTGTCTCAGAGAAGTGTAAGCCACCAATGCGAATTCCACAATAAACATATGAACAGTTTGGTCTAGGTTTTCTGCTGTCTTATATATACAAGGGGACTTCAAAAATTTTGTGGAAAATGAAAGTAAAAACGTTATTTCTCAGCATAAGCTCTATCAAGTTCAAAACACTTTTGTAAGTAATGATACCAGCCACCCTAGTTCTTTAGTCCATCCCTAAAGAAATAGGAATTGAGCCTTTGAAATAGGAATGTAGTCTTTTTTAGATTGTTAACTAAAGAAAAATGGTGGCCTTTAAAGAATTTTTAAGATTAAGAAACAAAAAAGATGTCAGAAGGATCTAAGTCAGGACTGTGAGGTAGATGCCTCATGATTTTCCATCAAAACTCTTACAAAATTGCCTGTACTTGATGAAAGGAATGAGCCAGGAACGTTGTTGTGGTGGAGAAAGACTCCCTGGTAAAGCTTTCCAAGGTGTTTTTCTGTAAAGCTTTGGCTAACTTTCTTAAAACACTCTCATAATAAGCAAATGTTATTTTTTGGCTCTGCAGAAAGTCAACAAGCAAAATGGCTTGAGCATCGCAAAAAAACATTGGTACGGCCTTTGCTCTTGATCAGTTCTCTTCACTTTGGCTGGGTTACTTTCGTCTCTCGGTAGCCATTGCTTTTCTCTTGTTACTCTTCAAAGAAATGCTTCAGAACTTGATTCCACTTGTTTAAAATATCCATTGAAAGCTCTGCTCCTATCTGCAGGTGATCCATCTGGTTTCAATAGTTTTGGCACCCATTGAGTGGAAACTTTGCTCCACTTTAATATTAATTTCAGTCGGAATTGTGTAAGCTGAAGTAATTGAGATTTCTATGATGTTGGCAATTGTTTTTGCTTTTAATTGTTGGTCATCCCCATTAGGACATGTACAAGATGATTTTTTCCTCACAAGTTGATGTGGATGGCCTGCTGCTGCAAGCTTCATCTTCATCGCTGTGTCATCCCTTCTTAAAATGAATTATCCATTTGTAAACTGCTGATTTCTTCAGGGCATTGTTCTCATAAACTTTTTGTAAAGGATCAGTGGTTTTACTATTCTTCCACCTAAGCCTCATCATAAATTTGATATTTGTTCTTGTTTTAGTTTTAGCAGAATTCATGTTGCTATGAGAGGGCTTTTTTCAAACTGAGGTCTTATCCTGAGTGCCTCAAGCTACATCTGTTCAGATATGTTATAGTAAGTTAGCACAAGTTTATTTTGTAGCAAAAAAACCCATGAAATACACAGAGATTTCTCGTGAAATTCACAGTTCAAGTGAATTTTTCATGAATGTTTTCAAGACCCCTCATATTTCTATTTCATTTTGAAAGTTTTCTTGTAAAGATTCTGACATGTTACATGATTTTTTTCATGTAGTTTGAACCAGTCAGGCTACCTCATAACTAATACCAACAGAACGGTTAATGAACTTTGTAAACCTAAAGGAAAACACACTAAAGCTTGTATTTCTTCTGAGAGACAGCAGTTGCTTCGATGCCATATCTTTTTGTAAAGCAGAATTCAATTCCTTTTTTGGGTGTTACTAAAGTTACTCCTCATCCTTAATCAAGACCACTTAGTTAAAAAAAAAAATACAGTGACTCTGATGACAGAAGGGGGTGAAAAAGTCAAATAGCAAATTTAGTTGAATACATTAAAGTTTCTAATCAAATTTGATCCCTGTGAAGGAAAAAAGAACAACTCTTTATAAATGTCCTTAATGTGTTTATTCTCGAGCTATTTTTGTGTCTTAGGGAATTGTTTTATTTTCTATTGTGCTTATTGTTGAACATTTATATATGGATTTAAGAAAAATCCTAAAACACATCATTGGTAAAAATAAAGTAAGCTAGACTGACAGTACAATATCTGAATGTGAGCTAAAATATTGAGAATTTCAGGTTAA
The DNA here is from genome assembly GCF_000001405.40 of Homo sapiens. NCBI lineage: Eukaryota > Metazoa > Chordata > Mammalia > Primates > Hominidae > Homo > Homo sapiens. The sequence continues at coordinate 76,161,499 of NC_000003.12, forward strand.
TGTCACCAATGTCTCCAAACCAGTGAGTCACATGAAGGAGCCCTGCTAAGAGTGCTCTCAGGGTCATTAGAGAATTGTGGCACGCTTGCTCTCTGACAGACCCTTTCTCTTCTGGTTCTCTTTTTCTCGGAGATCTATTTTATAAAACTTTCCTGAGTCCCTCAGGCATATTAGGCATTTTTCGTCTTTTATCTAAATTGCAGCATACAAGTTTTCCCTATGTTCACATGTTTCCCATGGTGTGCTTGGTTCTTACTCTGTTGTAAAATTTATTCCATTTCACCATCTCTTTTACCTGCCTCTGTCTCTCCTATTCAACTCTGAATTCCACAAGAGGATGATTCTCATCCATATCTCTTACAGTAGCTGTCATACATCATACTGCATGTGCATTTGAGCATGTTAAATGAAAGGGTGACCTTTGAAATTTTTTAGAAGTCTCCATCTGAATTTTTACCTCAGCTTAATTGAAATATATGTGGCTATGTAGTTTGTGTAGTTAAGTAACATTATGTACAATCTTTAGTTCTGATAGCCTTGAGCTCTTGCTACCATGAGTCATGACTGAAAAAAGTAGGGTTTTAACTACTTTGGACATAAGTTATGCAGAGAGATTTTGGCATAATTTATTTCTTCCTTGATAGCTTCAATGTATTTATTGGTATCAGGCATTGTGCTGGACATGGAGATGACCAATGCATCAAGTAACATACTGTCCATACAGCATATCAGTTAAGAGCAAGAACTCAAAAGTGAAATAGCTTTGATTTGACTAGCCTCTTTGGCATGAGCATATTACTTTATTGTGTTTCATTTTATTTATTTTTAGGAGACAGGGTCTTGCTCTGTCACTCAGGCTGGAGTTCAGTGGCATTTTCATAGCCCACTATAGGATCAAACTCCTGGGCTCAAGTGATCCTCCCGCCTCCTCCTGAGTCACTGGAACTACAGATGTACTCCACCATGCCCAGCTAATTTTTGTTTGTTTGTTTTCTGTAGAGATGGAGTCTCCGTATGTTGCCCAGGTTAATATCCAACTCTTTGCCATGAGCAATCTTCCTGCCTCAGCCTCCCAAGGTTCTGGGATTATAGGCATGAGCCACTGGGACCAGACTATTTTGTTTTATTATGTTATTTCCTCATTGTAGAAATATAGGGAAATATAGGAATCATTTATAAGTCTATACTGCAAATAAAATGTAACTATTCATATTTTAGAGTATGCCCATCTTTTTTCAACAATAAGTACATATCGATTCCAAAATTGGGACATGTGTATACTTTTGTATATTGATATTTTTCTTATTAGACATCCCTATACTACTCCTTCATATTATTATATTGACTTAAAATATTTTGATAGTTATCTCTTTTTCTTATCACTGGAAGTCCAGATTATTTTAATTTTTTGTTTTTATAGTGCTATAAAAAATGCTTGCCTATTTTTACCTTGCCATGTTTGTGATTAATTATTTAGAATGGATTACTGGGTGACAAACTTTTGCCACAGGACTTGAACATAAGAGAAAAAGAACCTATCAAGGTTACTGAAATCTCCCATTAGTCTAAAACATTTCGAGTCTTTCTTCATGAAGGATCATAACAAGTGAAAATAATAATTGTTTTATCATGTTTATCATTGTTTGTTGCATCTGATAACTTTGCCTAGGAAATCTAATATTGAAACTATTAAAGAATATGGTGAGCAGGGCCCACCATATTCTACCTTCAAATTTTATGATGAATCCTCTAGTTTTTCATCAATCAATATAATACTAACTACTTGTTCCAAAAGATTATATTTGTTAGGTTAGAGAATTTTAACTTATTTATATAATGGAGATTTTCTAATACTGAGAATACCTTAATTCTTATTGTAAGCCTACTTAACAGTGACAAAATGTTATTATAACGTGGTATTGAAATTAATATGATAGTATTTTATATGGATATTTGCATATGCAATTGACATATATTGTATATACAATATATAACTGTGTATTATATATTATATTTATATAATGTTATATTGTATATGAATATATTTGAATTATATGTATATACATATATATAGGCATTCATCAGAAATATTGCAGGTTTGGTTTCAGACGACTATAATAAAGTGAATATTGCAATAAAGCGAATCACAAGAAATTATTGTTTTTTTCAATGCATATCAAAACAATGTTTACAATATACTACAGCCTAAGTGTGCAATAGCATTATGTGTAGAAATGCACATACCATAATTAGTTTTTTTTTTGAAAAAACTGTTAATGATTATCTGAGCCTTCAGTGAGTTGTAATCTTTTCATGGTGGAGGATCATACCTCTACGTTGATGTCAGCTGACTGATCAGGGTAGTAGTTGCTGAAGGCTTGGGTGGCTGTGGCAATTTCTTAAAATAGGATAACAATGGCATTTACCACATTAATTGACTCCTTCTTTCACAAAAGATTTCTCTGTCTCATGCAATGCTGTTTGACAGCATTTTCCCCACAGTAGAATTTCTTTAAAAATTGGAGTCAATCCCCTCAAACCTGCCTCTGCTTTGCCAACTAAGTTTACATAATATTCTAAATTCTCTGTTGTCATTTCAACAATGTGCACAGCATTTTCACCATGAATAGACCACTCTCTTTGCTCATCCATAAGAGACAACTTCTCATGCATTAAATGTGTATCATGAGGTTGCAGCAATTCAGTCACATCTTCAGGCTTCACTTCTAACTCTAGTTTTCTTGGTATTTCTGCTGCATCTGCAGTTATTTCCTCCACTGCAGTCTTGAAATCAACTTCTTCCAAACTCCTGTCCATGTTGATATTTTTACCTCCTCCCATGAATCACAAATGTCCTTAATGACATCTAGAAAGGTGAATTCTTTTCAGGAGGGTTTCAGTTTACTTTGCCCAGATCCATTAAAGGAATCATTATTTATGGCAACTATAGCCTTATGAAACATATTATTAAATAATAAGGCCTGAAAGTAAAATTATTCCTTGACCTATGTCTGCAGAATGGATGTTGTGTTAGCAGGTGTGAAAACAACGTTAATATCCTTGTACATCTTTGTTAGAGTTCTTGGATGACCAAGAGCATTATCAATAAGCTGTAATATTGAAGGATGTCTTTTTTGCTGAGCAGAATGTCTCAAGAGTGGGGTTAAAATATTCAGTAAATTATGCTGTAAACAGATATACCATCATCCAGGCTTTGTTGATCCATTTACAGGGCACGGGAAGAGAATATTTGCATACTTTTTAAGGGCCCTAGGGTCTTTGAAATGGTCAGTGAGCACTGAATTCAACTTAAAGTCACCAGCTGCATTAGCCCCTACAAAGAAATGCCTGGGGCCTGGCTGGGACTGCCCCGCAGGACACTGGAACCATGCCACAGAGGGGACAGTGAACAAAACCAATTCAAAGCCAAGCTAGGACTGGCCATGGACCCAGCCTCCTGGGCTGTGTACTCACGGAGCTGCATAGTCTCCTTAGAAACAGTCAAAGCTTTGCCAAGAAAAGAAATGTATAAACCATATTTGACAACATACAGTCTACATATTTTTTTTTTACCACGGGAAAAAATAGAGCTGAAGCTTTGAAGCCAGACGTTGACTTTTCTCTATCTATGAAAGTACTAGATGGAATCTTCTTCCAGTACGAGGCTGTTTTGTCTCCATTGAAAAGCTGTTGTTTAGTGTGAACATCTTCATCATTTTCTTAGCTAGAGTTGCTAGATAACTTACAGCAGCTTCTACATCAGCACTTGCTGCTTCACCTTGCGTTTTTATGTTATGGAGATGGCTTCTTTCCTTCAACCTCATGAGCTAATTTCTGCTGGCTTCCCATTTTTTTTTTTCTGTAGCTTCCTCATCTCTTTCAGCTTTTATAGAATTGAAGAGAGGGCCTTGCTCTGGATGAGGCTTTGGCTTAAGGAAATGTTGTGGCTTGTTTGATTTTCTATCCAGACCAATAAAACTTTCTCCATATTAGCAATAAGACTGCTTGTCTTTCTTAACATTCATTTGTTCACTGGAGTAGCACTTTAAATTTTCTTCAAGAACTTTTCCTTTGTAGTCACAACTCAATTAGCTGTTTGGTGCGAGTAGCCTAGCTTTTAGCCTCCCTTGGCTGTTGATTGCCTGCCTTACTGAGCTTAATCATTTTTAGCTTTTGATTTAAAGTGGGAGACATGCATCTCTTCCTTTCCCTTGAACACATAGAGACCATTATAGGGTTATTAATGGGCCTAATTTCAATATTGTTGTATCTCAGAGAATAGGAAGGCTGGAGGAGGAGAGAGAATGGGAAACAGCCAGAAGCTAGCAGAAATTAGCTCATGAGGTTGAAGGAAAGAAGCCATCTCCATAATATAAAAATGCAAGGTGAAGCAGCAAGTTTTCAGTGGAATAGTTAGAACACAATTCATTCATCAAGTTTGCTGTCTTATAGGGAGTGGTTTGGGGCATTCCCAAACCATTACAATAGTAACATCAATGATCACTGATTGCAGATCACCACAACAGATACAATAATAATAAACATATTTGAAATACTGTAAGAATTCCCAAAATGTGGCAAGAGACACAAAATAAGCACATACTATTGAAAAAAAATAGAGCCAATAGACTTGTTGGACACAATGTTACCACAACCTTCAATGTGTGAAAAGCACAATATCTGCAAAGAGCAATAAAATTATGGACAATAAAATGAGACATACCTGTACATATTTTTGGTTTGGTTTTGGTATCCTTTTTATATTTTTAATATGAATTGTGAATTTTTTAAAGAGTCCCAATACATGGGACAGGGATAATCCCATTACAGTTTGAAAGGCCAGTTTCTTGAATCGTAGGCTTTAATATGTTCATTTTGCTGCCATGTTCAGCTCATGTTCAGCTCATTTTCTTATTCTCAGGCCAGTTCTTTCATCCTCATCATCGTCTAATTTACGGTTCTTTGATTTAGCCGTTGTATTCTAATTTCACAGCCGTTTTCTATTTTCTTTCCCATTTCTCTACAACGAATTACCTCAACCTCTAAATAAATCCTCATTTAGCCTAACTATCCAGCTACCTAACTCCGAAATTCAGGCAGTTGAGATTCAATGATAGCCCCGTTCAGCTATAATTTCCAGTTAAATTTCAGATGGATCCTCAAGGCTAAATCACATATAAAAAAAAAATCCCAGCATAATATACATGAGAATACACTAGAGCATAAATTCAAGGATGACATTCATTTTTGACTCTTGTTTTAAGGAAATCTTGTTTGAATAAATAAATATAATTCCTCAACCTCGACTGCCTTAGCTGACTTCCCTCTATAAAATTCTTCTGATTTCTCATTTGAAGCTTTAAGTTGGCCTGACATGTGCACTTATTAAGTCCTAAATCTCACTGGTCATTGTGCCCCTTCACAAATTACACTTGAGTTTTTGTTTGTTTGTTTGTTTGTTTTTAAGACAGAGTCTCACTCCATGGCCCAGGCTGGAGTGCAGTGGCGTGATCTTGGCTCACTGGTCTGCCTCCCAGGTTCAAGTGATTCTCCCACCTCAGCCTCTCAAGTAGCTTGGATTACAGGTCTGTGCCACCACGCCCGGTTAATTTTTTTATTTTTAGTAGAGATGAGATTTCACCATGTTGACCAGGCTGATCTCGAACTCCTGACCTCATGTGATCCACCTGCCTCAGCCATCTAAAGTGCTGGGATTACAGGAGTAAGCCACTGTACCTGGGGTTACACTTGAATTTTATTGAATTGATTGGAATTTTCTGAATCACTCAGTTTGCTCACATCTCTGTTGTTTGCTGAAATAGTTTGCTCTCCCTGAGCTAACCTTGGTGCTATTGTTTGGACTATTCAGCTCCTCTTCCTTTTCTAAACCCAGAAGAGGAACCAGCCGTTCTGTTAAGCCTTCCCTTGACCATGTCCCTAGACAATGTCCCTCTGGATTAAATTTATCTTCTTCGGTGTCCATGTTATCTTGTGCATCCTTCTATTATAGTATTTATGCTGTCATATCATGCACGTCATGCATGCATGCTTACTTCTCTGCCCTTCCTCTAATTTGAAAACTCCTAAAAAATAGAAACCTCAAAGATGGAAATCCCTCAAAGACAGGAACTTCAGTTATAAGTTAGCACCTATTTGTCTCCTTCACTTTACAGCATTCTTCTCCTTTTATTATAGTATTTAGATTTTTTACCTAAAGATAATTAAATTTCTGAACAAGTTGACTTTCTTTACATATTTTATTTGAAATCTAAAAATTAAAATATTGCTTAATAACAGTAGATTTGTGTTCTAAAGGAAACAATAGGTTGGAATGCATAATTTGTTAGGATTTCTGTTCACTTTTTGCTGGTTTACCTAGAATTGCTACTCTGCATCAGTGTGTAAGGTAATCATTCCTGGTGCACTGGGAGTCCGTTAACAGAGGCTCCAAATCTCTTGGAAGCGCTGGTAGTGGCTGTGGGCCCTGCTCGTTCAGTGTGAACAGTTTTAGGCAAAAGTAGATGATCCAGTCAACCTTGGACTAACTCATGCTGTTATTCTGTTTCCTTTGTCTATTTTTATATTGCCAAACTACTCATTAACTGCTGAAAGAAAGAAACCTAGGGAGAAAGAAATGCAAGTTAGAGTGAGGTAAGTTCACTGTTCCTGGATAAGAAATTATTACAATGGCATTTAGAGTAAACCTATGTCATTTCAATGTCAAACCCTTAAACTAGTATACATGATACCTCTACCCTTATTTCAAATAAGAGTACATAATCTCTTTTACCTACCACATATTGAACTTCAGAAGTCATATTCTTAGAGGTGACGATATTGTTGAAAGAATGTTTTTTATCCTATATTTTCGTCTGTTTATTTTTCCTCTGTCTAATCCATTTTCTCTTTTGTCAATTATGCCTGACTTTTTCTTCGTTTATTCTCTTTTCTGTTAATCTCTAGTTTCATTGGATTGTCATTGTCAGTTCTTCTTAGGTATCAGTATTTTCTCTCTGTATTCCAAATGATAGAAAATGGAGTTTGGGGGCTACAACTTTGTTTATTCCATTTAGGTCTCATCATCCCTTACAAATCCACATATCCTCATAAAATGGACCTGTATTCCTTTATTTTTGCAGTACCTTGAGAGGTTAATTATACTAAACAACACCCTTCAAGATTAACACAAGCATCTTAACTAAAAACGTAGTAGTATTATCATTATAATCTTAATGTTGTCTTCTTAATGTCTTATAAAATATAATTATGATAAATAAAATATAAGTGTAATGCAATGTAAAAATTGTGGAATCCTTAAGTGATCAGAAGAATAATAACCTGCCTTAATGGAAATTGTGAATATTGATTGCCTATCTAGTATTGCTAAGCACTGAGATATACAAATGTGTATAAATTTGTGTCTTTGTTTTCAAGGAGTTTATATAGATTATTTATTTTCATTGATTTCCTAACTTTTAAAAGGTGCACTTAATGATTCCCTGTAGTACTATCTAAAATTAAGGTGCATAATCCATTCTCTTTAAAACTTGAACAGTTCCTGAGAAGGTAGCATGTGATCGACTATATGATGTATGCTGCTAGAAGAAATTCAAAAAACATAAATTTTCTTTCTAGAAGATACCTTAGAAAGTATCTTCAAGATTCTGCTGTTCCTCTGGTTCATTTCTTCTTCCCACTTTATTGATGAGAAAACTGTGGCTCACAGTAAATACACAGGTTGCTTACCATCAGCCAACTGGATAATCAAAGAAGTGTCTTAAATCTGCCTGGAGTGCCCTTTCAAACACAAGCTATGAAAATTGGCAGATGAATTTCCAGCACCCACTGACAACAATAACGGAGGCACAACATTTTGTATATAACTGTGATATGAAGGGTAGCATGCGTGGGGCTTTAAGCAACAGGAAGAACTTCTATGTCTTTGCCGTATGAGAATCTATCAATAAGGTCATCCTAGTTCCTTGCCTAATGTAAGGCCCTTGATCATGTACTTCAATAGGAGAAAAATAAACCTTCCTCTCAAAATATGAAAGCTTTTTATCCAGGTATAGAAAATATACAATACAGGAAATAATGTATCTCTCTGCCACTGAATCTGACTTTATTGCATTACAGGTGGTCATAATCATTGATAATAATAAATAATCATTGATAATAAATCATAATTTATTGATGTACAGTGGATTTTGTTTGACTAAAGCTAGTAATCTCCTAAATAATGACTTTCTGCCTCTTACCAGATTAGATAGTTTCGTTATTGTTAAGGATTCTTCTTTTTTTGAGACGGAGCCTCACTCTGTCACCCAGGCTGGAGTGCAGTGGCATGAACTCAGCTCACTGCAACTCCAGCTCCTGGGTTCATGTCATTCTCCTGCCTCAGCCTCCCGAGTAGCTGGGACTACAGGCGCCCGCCACCATGCGTGGCTAATTTTTTGTATTTTTAGTAGAGATGGGGTTTTACCATGTTAGCCAGGATGGTCTCGATCTCCTGACCTCATGATCCACTCGGCTCAGCCTCCCAACGTGCTGGGATTACAGGCGTGAGCCACTATGCCTGGCCATCGTTAAGGATTTTTAAAAAATTTTTTACTCATTCCCACATATTCCATTTTCTTCAGTCATTTTAAAGATAACTTCTTATTTAGCATGGGTAATACAGGGTTTGTTTTCCTGGAATCTTCACATACATGCAGTTAATAGAATGGTAAAATAGCACAACCCAAACTGGCATTTTTCAATTCCCTTTTAAAATCCCTTTGCTATATAGGCTTTTCCATTAATCTTAGTCTTACATTCTGACTTCCTTTAAAATAGTTGAATTAAATGTAGAAAAATTAATTTAGAATAACTTTTTACGTGCAGCTACAAATTGAGGCCACTTAATATTAAATGTGTTTTTCTGTCTAGAAGCCCAAAACATACTGTTGACAAGGCCCTACCTTCCAGTTTTTGGTGTTTCCTCAAAAAGCAAATGATACTGGCCAATAATTTTATACTACGCAAATTAGACATCATTACAGTGAAACAAATATAGGCAAAATGCGTAGCAGCACCTGTTTAGGCTCTCAAGCCAGCTTTTTCATTCATGAGGTTGATTTGGAGCAGGTTACTTTTTTCATCTAAGATGTTTATCTGCACTTGAAAAATGAGAATAGTAATGGTTCTTAGGCCTATAGAATTGCTGTAAAGAATGAAATCTTAAAAATAATTTAAGGTGATTGGTTAGATACCAGAATAATCATACATACATATATCACTTAGATTATGCCAAATAATGCTATTGAAATTAAGGTAGGTATTTTTGTAGCTATTCATTTTGAACTTTGTAAGTTCAAAATACCCTGGCGAACAATTAGTATGTGGCTATTCTAAAATTAAATGTTCTACACTAATACAGTGATCATTGTTAAGCACCTTCTGTATGCCAGGCACTGCTGATATGTGCTATATGCACATTCATTTATTACACATTAAAACCCACAGAGGCAAGGGTTACTGTCCCATTAAACAGATGAGATGACTGCCTTCAGAGATGTCTGGTAAAGATCCAAACTTAATTCATGCCATAGTCTGATATAAGATCTCCCTCTCTTCCCAGGAACCTTGACAGTTTAGATTATTACAGACACTTGCCCTTAAACTTTCCTAGGTCATAGTCTCATTATTTTCACAATTTCTGATATAAAATTTGAGATTTTAACAAATTTTCTAATTAAGTAAGCCCACCGTAGCTTCTCTACCACTGATTATAACTAAAAACTCTGGACCCCAAATCTCCTTCTCCCAAAACAACCCAACCAACAAACAGAAAAAAAGAAGAAAAAGAAAAAAAAAAAACCTCTGAGGATTCTGAAAAATAATCTCAGTCAGGTGGGAAAGGGAAGTCAAACCTTGAAGAGCCATATTGATGAGTTGTTTTGTTTTTTGTTGTTGTTTGTTTATTTTTCCTTTATGTCTTTAAACTTAAGGGCGGGCCAAACCAGGAACTTTATAATGATTATGGTCAGCAAAATCCAGTCAAAGGACCGGGAAGAAGGGCCTGTGTGAGCAGTAGATTATGGAGTATGTCCTCATTTATTTTTCCTCTTTTTTCTCTCCGAGCAATGCCCTGATGTAGCTACATTATCCCAGTGCGGTAGGTGCACATGCGTAAGACCCAAAAGAAAAATCCCTTTTTTTTTAGGTAGGAGAATCAGCAAAAGAGGTCCTGTTGTGCAAAAAGAATGAGGGTGGGGAGAAAATTATTATTTCTCTTTCTCTCATCTTATTGCTGAAGCTAAATATCTTAAAGAACCCTATTATTTTTGGCCGATGACTCAGCAAAAGGGGATTTTAGAATCCAGAAAGTGAGGTGTAAACTCAGAAGAGATGTCTAGTGAAGAGAATCCATAAATTTTGCATATATACCAACCTAAGTCCTAAACTCACCCCTAAGCTGTACTTGTAAAGAACATACCCAAGTCTTCAAGAGAGAAGGAATATATGACTCCATCCAAATTCCAGGTCAACTCCTAAGTTTTTCATATAATGAGCAGGCCCAAACCACACAGCAAAACTTTAAACTGCTATTGAAAACCACTGCCCATGCGATAGTTTGCTGAGAATGATGGTTTCCAGCTTCATCCATGTCCCTACAAAGGAGATGAACTCATCATTTTTTTATGACTGTGTAAAAACCAAACACTGCATGTTCTCACTCATAGGTGGGAATTGAACAATGAGAACACATGGACACAGGAAGGGGAACATCACACACCAGGGACTGCTGTGGGGTGGGGGGAGGGATAGCATTAGGAGATATACCTAATGTAAATGATGAGTTAATGGGTGCAGCGCATCAACATGGCACACATGTATACATATGTAACAAACCTGCACATTGTGCACATGTACCCTAGAACTTAAAGTATAATAATTAAAAAAAAAAAAAAAAAAGAAAACTACTGCCCATAAAAGGCAAAGCAAACCTTGCAATCTGGGCTTAACCAGAGGATTAGCTGCTTGAACAGACAAACCAACGCTCTTCACAGAAATTTAACAGGACCTAGATTCTCAAACTTAATATTCTAAACGTTCACTATACAATCCAAAATTACCGAACATACTGACAACTAAGAAAAAAAGTAACAAAATCTCAGGGGAAAAGACATTAAAATAAACAGATGCTAATCTGAAATAACCCAGATGCTGTAATCATCAGATGATGACTTTTAGCCACACTTCATGAGGTAAAAGTGACCACTCTGGAAACAATTTAAAAAATAGAAATTCTTGCTACAAAAATAAAAGCTGTTTTATAAATGGAAATTTTGCCATGGAAAAATATAATAAGTTACATTTTAAAAATTGACCACCTGAATTAATGTGCAAACTGCAGTTGAGAAAGAAGGTCAGTGAAACATGTAAACATATATATATATAAAGCTTCAAGCAAAGGTAGGATGACTGGACCTCAGTAAAAAAAGTCACAAAATGTCTGATATTAGAGCATGCTGTCTCTGACCCCAACTATGTAAAATTCATCAGAGGAAATATGACCACATGGCGTAAGGTGATGGGCATTACAGTAGAGAATTACGTGCATTTCATTTTGAGCATAACTAGCTTTATGACTTTGGACAAGATACAAAATTCTTTGAATCCACTTTTATTCATCTTCATAAGCTGTTGTAAGGATTTAATGGTAATATATATGTGTGTGAGTATATATATGTGTGTGTATATATGTGTATATGTATATATGTATACATACATACATACTTATGTATCAAATTCAGATAAGTCTATCTAACATACATAAAATACATGCTAATTATTTATTTTTATTTTTTATTATTTTAATTGAAGTTCTGGGATACATGTGCTGGACTTGCAGTTTTATTACATAGGTATACATGTGCCATGGTGGTTTGGTTTGCTGCACCTGTCAATCCGTCATCTAGGTTTTAAGCCCCACATGCATTAGGTATTTATCCTAATGCTCTCCCTCCCCTTGACCCCCACCCCTGACAGGCCCCAATGTGCGATATTCCGCTTCCTGTGTCCATGTGTTCTTATTGTTCAACTCCCACTTATGAATGAGAACATTCAGTCTTTGGTTTTCTGTTCCTGTGTTCCTTTGCTGAGGATGATGGCTTCCAGCTTCATCCATGTCCCTGAAAAGGACATGAGCTCATTCTTTTTTTATGGCTGCATAGTATTCCATGGTATATATGTACCACATTTTCTTTATCCATTCTATCATTGATGGGCATTTGGGTTGTTTCCAAGTCTTTGCTATCGTAAATAGTGTTGCAATAAACATATATTTGCATGCGTTGTCTTAGTAGAATGATTTATATTCCTTTGCGTATATACCCAGTAACGGGATTGCTGGGTCAAATAGTATTTCTGGTTCTAGATCCTTGAGGAATTGCCACACTGTCTTCCACAATGGTTGAACTAATTTACACTCCCACCAACAGCGTGAAAGCATTCCTATTTCTCTGCATCCTCTCCAGCATCTGTTGTTCCAGACTTTTTAATGATCACCATTCTAACTGGCATGACGTGGTATCTCATTGTGGTTTTGATTTGCATTGCTCTAATGGCCAGTGATGATAAGCTTTTTTTCATATGGTTGTTGGTCGAATAACTGTCTTCTTTTGAGAAGTTTCTGTTCATATCCTTTGCCTGCTTTTTGATGGGGTTGTTTGCTTTTTTCTTGTAAATTTGTTTAAGTTTTTTGTAGATTCTGGATTTTAGACCTTTGTCAGATGGATCTGTTGCAAAAATTTTCTCCCATTCTGTAGGTTGCCTGTTCACTCTGATGATAGTTTATTTTGCTGAGCAGAAGCTCTTTGGTTTAATTAGATCCCATTTGTCAATTTTGTCTTTTGTTGCAATTGCTTTTGGTATTTTAGTCATGACATCTTTGCCCATGCCTATGTCCTGAATGGTATTGCCTAGGTATTCTTTTAGGGTTTTTATGGTTTTAGGTTTTATGTTTAAGTATTTAATCCATCTTGAGTTATTTTTGTATAAGGTGTAAGGAAAGGGTCCAGTTTCTGTTATCTGCATATGGCTAGTCAGTTTTCCCAGGATCATTTATTAAATAGGGAATCCTTTCCCCATTCGTTGTTTTTCTCAGGTTTGTCAAAGATCAGATGGTTGTAGATGTGTGGTGTTATTTCTGAGGCCTCTGTTCTGTTCCATTGGTCTATATATCTGTTTTGGTACCAGTATCATGCTGTTTTGGTTACTGTAGCCTTATAGTATAGTTTGAAGTCAGATAGCATGATGCCTCCAGTTTTGTTCTTTTTGCTTAGGATTGTCTTGGCTATATGGGCTCTTTTTTGGTTCCATATAAAATTTAAGGTAGGTTTTTCTAGTTCTGTGAAGAAATTCAATAGTAGCTTGATGGGAATAGCATTGGATCTATAAATTACTTTGGGCAGTATGACCATTTTCACGATATTGATTCTTCCTATCCATGAGCATGGAATTATTTTCCATTTGTTTGTGTCCTCTTTTATTTTATTGAGCAGTGGTTTGTAGCTCTCCTTGAAGAGGTCCTTCATGTCCCTTGTAAGTTTTATTCCTAGGTATTTTATTCTTTGTAGCAATTGCGAATGGGAGTTCACTCATGATATGGCTCTCTGCTTGTCTATTATTGGTGTATAGGAACGCTTGTGATTTTTGGACATTGATTTTGCATCCTGAAACTTTGCTGAAGTTGTTTATCAGCCTAAGGGGTTTTGGGGCTGAGATGATAGGGTTTTCTAAATATACAATCATGTCATCTGCAAACAGATGACATGATTGCAATTTGACTTACTCTCTTTCTATTTGAATACCCTTTATTTCTATGCATGCTAATTGTTTTAAGCTTTAGTATCTTATTCCAGACCTATATTTAAAAATATTTTGGGTTCTAGTCTGAACGTTGATTGAGATAATTAGCTTATAGAATAAAATTTATAACGCATTTTCTCTAAAAGTTTAAACATGCAACTCATTTTCTCATGAAGCAAATAATGACATAATGTAGGGACCTCAGCTAGAGAAAGATGGTCAAAATTTTTTTCTACACCATATGTCTGTAACAAGGTTACCAGAAAGCTATACTCCCTATCCTTGCCTCTTGGATCTCTGGAACTGCTGGTTCCTGACTTTGCCCTAGTATTTTTATTTATACCTTGAGTCAATAAAAGGAACAATTGCATGGAAGAAGTCTGTATTTATTGAAAACTTCTACCGTGTGTGTTTATTACCCAAAACCCATAGTAATACTTCCATGACTGATTCATCTCAGAAACCAGGGCCAGGAAAACATTACTTTTCCCTCCTGGATGAATATGCTTTCTGGGCAAGAGAAGTTCTCTCATCCTATGTAGTTTTTCTTTCCACCTTTTAGCAGAAAATTCAGAAGAATTACATATGCTCAAATGTGGCAATCTCACTCAGCCAGAATTTTTTATTTTTTTTTCTTCTTTATAGTTCTTAGTGGCTGCCTCTGAATTGTATTGATATCATTATAAGTTGTCAAAAATGTTTTATGGAAACAATAAAATCCATGTGTCCTTTGGGACACATGCTGCTTCTCTAAAATGGTTTTTGTGTTATACATTATTTTAATTTTTCTCTTTTTTCCCAGATTAGTAAAATCTGGAAGTCAAGGGCGCAGCTTTATTTTTTGTTCCTCCATGCAAGCCCATCTTTGTCACCACCTCCACCGCCACCTTCACAGCCTAATAGAGAACTGATTGCAATGTGTTTCATACTCTGAATAGTGTGTGAAAACCTCTGAGTATGGTATCTTTTGTATTATTATGCAGAAAACATATTTTTGAATAGCTGCTGTGCTCCAAGGACAGGGATAAATAAAACTATTTTACAGCTTTCCAGTTGTTCATAGAAATTTTGTGGATAGTCATGAATATTACAGTAGCACATGATAAACTTCTACACTAAAGGGAGCCAGGAAGTACTAAGAGAATACAGAATGGTACACTTTTATATTGATTATTTAAAACTTGGAGTACAAAACAGTGAGATTTGTGGAAAAAAAATCAGAAAAGATTTTTCTCTAAGGTCTAAACAATGGATCTGTTAGGAGGAAGATATTAGGTTCCTCAAAACTCTGTTATCATCTGGGAGACAACTAAAAATACTCCTTTTAATTATTTTTTATTTTTTGCATTTTTTCCTCATTTTCTTACTTGATTATTTGTTTCCAAATAAGGGTAGCTAAATAACAATCAACAATATTCAAAAACCCGTTATTAATAAAGGCCATTATTAACAGTCTCTATTAATCTTTATAACCATCCAATAATATGTGTATGTCATTTCCGTTTTATAGTAGAACACTCAAGTGTAGAGAAGTTAAATGATTCTGTAAAACTATACAACTACTAAAGGGTAAAACTAGAATTTGAACCGAGCTCCCTTATTATTAAAAGCTTTATTCTCTGTACTTTATATTGCAGTCATATCCTCATCATTTTAGTTTTTGCCACAGTCTCCAAATCTTTTCAGAAAACAATAAAAAAATTGTTTTCAGTGAATGCAATTATAGCTACAAATTTCTGTATTAATACTAGTGTGTACTTCTCGTTATTCTCACTCATTGCCATTTTTTATGTCTAATGTCAGATACACATCTCAAAAGCTCTATGTATTTTGCTAAAGATTTAAGAAGATAATCCTTTATTATATAAGGAGAAACATTTTTTGGAAGGAGATGGTATCTTAAATTGGGTATAATAAACATTTAAATTTGATTGTGTAGTTTATTCATCTGGATAAAAGAAGAAAATGCAAGTTACATTCTTTGACCTGTCATTTTCAAAAACAATTGGACCTAATTCTAACTATTCAAACTTATACTCACTTGAAAGAATTCAATTCCACTTAAACAGAAGATTAGTGTTGAAACAGTATGGGGAGCAATGTTGATATGTTTGGGCTAAGTAGCTGTCAATGACATTTTGTAAATATCTGGTTTATGAATATGTTGATTAGAAAATACGAGGCTTGATCATCCTGCTGGGTCATCTGGTGGGATTTTTGCTCCTTCTTAATGTTCTTTTCTATTTTTATTTTTGGCTTATTACCTTTTTCTCCTAGCTAACTAAGGAGATGTTCTATTTTACATGCTAATTGTAATTCCCCTCCCACTCCAAAGTCAGTCTATTTCTTTTATATCGTCCCTGCCAGCTGCAAGAGAAAGACAGACAAGATGAAGCCTTTTTATTGTCGGACACTGACAGAGCAGAGAAATATAGACAGATGGATAACAGATAGTAGGGTTCTAAGTACCCTACAATTTATTGAGGCAAATAGAGGAGAGCTGAGTGGCAAATTACCTACACTGTTCACAAACCAGCAGGCAGCCCTGTTTGCCAGCTATCCGAATTGTTTCTGGGTAATTTGGCACATTTCTACTTTGTTGTGCTACGTCTAAAGGTATGACTTTGAGTTTTGAAAATTCCCTGTTGTGAAAGGTCTGCCTAACAACAAGCAACATTTGGAATGTGATATTCAGAGAAATACGTGTATCTCTATTTGATAGCTCCCCAAAAAGGAGATTTGAAGCATGATCTTTTAAAATATTACAAGGATGAAATAATTTATTTTAGTTAATATTATAGACTTTTTTCCTTTCCATCTTAAAAACTTACCATCCACAATATTCACACTTGGAAATCTGACTTTGATGATGATATTGATGAATCTCAGATATAAAAGTTACTTTTCAAGTCCGTATTTCTCACCATGTAGCAGTTTTAGATGAGCGTCATACAGCAATGCTATAGGATAGTGAATTACAAATTAATATTTCCCAAAAATAGCTTTGCAGTATACTCTAGAGGGAAAAAAAGGAGAGGCGATAAGAAGACTTGAAGCTTAAATTGGTGTAGAAAAACAATGTTAAGCAGGAGTTTATACTACAGGATTTTGTGAAGCTTATTATACATTATTGTTCATCTTAAATCTCTATAAAGGGAACACAGAAAATTATTTTTCTCACAATACTACTAGTTTTACCAGGAATCGTGGTCCATGAATCACTCATTAGAATAATTATCATAGGCAATAATGTGGCACAGCCTTCTAAGTAGTTTGAGTCATAAAATACTAACACATAAAAAAGAACCTTGGCTGGATGCAGTGGCTCACGCCTGTAATCCCAGCACTTTGGAAGGCCGAGGTGGGGGGATTACAAGGTCAGGAGTTTGAGACCAGCCTGACCAACATGGAAAACCCTGTCTCTACTAAAAGTACAAAATTAGCTGGGCATGGTGGTGCATGCCTGTAATCCCAGCTACTCCGGAGGCTGAAGCAGGAGAATCGCTTGAACCTGAGAGGCGGAGGTTGCAATGAGCTGAGGTCGTGCCATTGTACTCCAGCCAGGGAAACAAGAGCGAAACTCCATCTCAAAAATATAAATAAATAAATAAAAAGGAACCTTGTTCTTCAGAGCTTTCATGTTCACACTGCAAACTTTCCCTCAATAAAGGGTATTTTAAGTTAGAAAAGTTATTAATATCATTATTTGCACTATAAGTATTTGACGCCAAATATTTCCTAAAATAACTTAGAGCAGCTCATTCGGAATTAATGAGACATATTAATTTGTCTCATTAATAATTAATAATGAGACATATTCCTGATGGCCTACTAGAGAGCAAGTGGTGTGACAGACACTGGGGATATAGCACTGAACAACATGGGTGTGGTCACTGGCTTCATGGGGCCTCCAGTCTAATTAACAGGTTATCACAGTCTACCTGAAGACTTTCAAAGCACTGCTATTTAAAATGCCCCAAAGGGCATGAATCTTCTTTCCCATGCCCACTGCAAACCTACCTCTTCCCCAGTGTTCCAGATGGTTCTATAGATGGCATCATCATCTGAATTACTTAAGTCAGGAAGCTAAAGTAACCTCTAGTTTTCCATCCTCCTTACTTCCCACAGTTAATCATTGAGCCTTATCAGTTTTAATTCCTAAATATCCTTTCGTTTCTGATACTTCCTTCAATCATCACTGCCTCCGCTCTTATACATCACCATCTTCTGTTCAGAACACTTCTGTGGCCTGCAAACTTGGCTTCCCGTATTGACTTTCCCTTCTTCCAATTCATCTGCCTGGGTATAATCAAGGTGATACTACAGTCTTATTTTCTTCTTTGCCTAGATCTGATTTAGGCATTCTATCCAGTTTTCAGCTGAAACCTCACTTTCTCAGAGATGTAATGCCCAAATACAAACTTGGCTTGGTTTTTCCTATATTATACTTACACACTGCCTTGAATATTTGATGGAAGGGGGGTTGGTAACAGTGATAACACTTTTTATAAAGTGGTGACTTCCAATTTGTTTCACTAAATTATAAGCTCCTTAAGGACAGGGTCTGAGTCTGCATTTGTTTACAACTATAGAACCGGTACCTGATTTAGCTATGATAAAAATGCTTGGAAGTTATTTATTTCGTCCGTGCCATTGCTTCTGCTGCTCCGGCAGGGTGGAATTTTATATCCCTCTTTTCCATCTATACCTCCCCACCTGCCCCAAAATAAATTTCTATCCTTCAAGATTCAGATCAAAGGTATTTCCTCAGTGAATTCTGTTATTGTGAATGCCCCAACAAGTTCAGAATTAATCAGTCACAAAATACGTTTTCCTCTGTTTAGCAGTAATAATGTCCATCCCTCACCCAAGGCAATGATAATCTTCCCTAATGCAAATGTCTTGCAGAGTACTTTGTGTAATGAAAACTTCTAATAAGAACTTGTTGAACTGAAGTAAGTTTTGCTGATTCTGACTTTGCTGACTTTATCTGATTAAGTAGAAGCAGGCACGTATCCAACTGCTTAATTTGATGACACCAACCAAAGGAGTCTCACATAAAATATTGAAAAGAGAATTCTTCACTCACCCCAAATTTGTGCTTCCTGAATCTTCACCATCTAATTAAATGGTACCATCTTCCATTTTCTCAAGTAGAAACTTTGGTATCTTTGAAGTCTCACTTTTTCTCACCATCCTCCTATTCCTTCTGACAAATCCAACGGCAAGTCCTGTTACTCCTCCCTCCAGTCTTTTGATTCAATATTCCTTCTATGCCTGCTGCAACGATCTTATTTCAAGCCAAGCTAATTTCTTTTCCATTTCTTCACAACCATTTCACTGAGTTTGCTCCCACCCTTAACCAATTCACTCACTACACAGAGCAAATAATATATTTTAAAAGCATGAATCAGATTACACAACTCAACTGCTTCAAAACTTTCAGTGGTTTTCTATATCATCAAGATTAAAGGAAAACATCTTACCATCCTACAAGGCCCTGAATTTTCTGATTATCACTACCATGTGAACTGCTGCTTCAGCCACCCCACCTTCCCACTCTCCCCTATCTGCCTCACTGAATTTCTTTCAGCTCCTAAAGCGAGTCAACCTTTTCTAGCCTGTATTCCTGACTCTACTCCTTTTGTCTGGAATGCACCATTTCTACAGTCTACATGACCAACAACTTCACTTCCTTAAGGGCTCAGTTTAAATGTCAGCCTCCCTGAATTGCTCTGACAATGCTACCTGAATTAGGGCACTTTCTTTTCAATATCTTATACCTTTATCTCCTCATAGCCATTATTACAACTGCCATTATTTGTATTTGCCATTTGCTTGTTTGTTGCCTAGATTTGCTTGTGGAATGTAAAATTCCACAACAAAAAGTCAAAAAAGAGAATTATACACTAAGTTTTGTAAGAAATAAAGGAGTGTTCAGATTTGTTAATGTTGGATTAATTTTTTATTTAATTTCAATTGTAATTGTATAATATATCTAAGAATATGTCTACTTGTAAGAACAATTAAAAGAAAGGAAATTCAAATGAGTCGATTCAGCAGATTCTGCCATTGTTTCTAAAATAAGACTTTTGGTATGATGGGAAATTAGAACTCTCTAACTCCCTACTGACTTCCATGCTTTAAAATGCAAGCAGCCTTACAATGTGATAACTAGCGTACATTTCTGAAGATATAATATTTTGTATGTGTTAATTGCATTTAGGATATTTCCTATGCTTCAAGTAAAATATTTCAATGACTTTACTTTCAAATAATTACTAAGATTCCACTGCACTATTTAGAAAAGGTTAAAAATTTTCATTCTCTTTTTAATAGTCATTTCCTCATTTTCTAGCTAGCTTTTAACCTCAGTGCCATTTTGACACAGATTAAAAATATCCTACACCAATCATGAGATGTTTGACCTTTTATGTCCTAAAAAAAAAGGATATAGAAAAGGATGATATCATCTGTAGAGGGAGTATGTTCAACTCTATAAAAAATCTCTGCATGCCACATTTTTATTATGTAGCTTTATTCCCAGACCATTTTCCCCTTGTGTATTTGTGTCATGAAGATGTTTGATTCAATTTTATGTATTCATATGTCTCTTTTTATTTCTAACAGGAAGCATTAATAAGGAAGAAAGATTAGGAATGAGTTTTTGAGTTCAGTGTATGAGAACTAGGATATGTATGGCATGCTTAGTTTGAAATGAAGAAGGGCCAGGAGCATTAGATGGCTAGATAATTGAGTTGTAGCAGCCTAGACGCTGAATTAATATATTTTCAATGAAAAGAAAGCAATTGAATTTCCTGTGAACTCTCTGTAGTTCATAACCAGTTTACATTGGCCTTTTCTGGTCAATTTGTTTGTGCAATTGTTTGTTTATTTAGTCAATTACAACCTGTCCCTTAGGATTCATGGTAACCTTCCTGAACACATATATCCTTTAATTCATGATCCAGAAACTGGAAATACGTTTTTCTCCATATTTCTTCCTCAAATAGCAGAAATAAAAGTGTTGGCTTGAACTCTTTTAGTTATTATATTCAATGGCAGTTTTCTGTAGCTGGGGAGTGACGAGCTAAGACAACATGAAAGTAGGCTCAATTCAGGATTAGGTTGTGTTACCCTACTTAGTGATTAGAACTTCTAGGCCTTGCTAAAATATTGATTAACCCCTGTGTCCCTCCAGTAAGCCTTCTAAATCTCTATAGGAGCAAATGCTCTACAAGTTGACGGCTCCATATGGACTATTGTGAATTACATTGTGCTCTCTTACACTTAATCTCTGCTTATCACTCCGCGACCAACCAATGCCCTTTGAATGACTATAGTACACCTAAAGTCAGGAGGCGCAAATTAGAGATTCAAAACTAATATCCTTCCTTGGACTGCATACTCTTCCTTTTGGAGATTGGGGATATCTCCCAAAGTGGTGTTAGTTTTTTCATGATTTGAACAAAAAGTGGTTTTACGTTTTCAATTACGATATAATATTTGAACCAGCTTTATCACTGGAAACATTGTCTGCTTGTTCCTGGTGTCTATTTGCTCTATAACAAATTTCCTTGAAACTCTGTAGCTAAACATAATGATCATGTCATTGTCTTTTAATTTTATGGGTCAGAAATTTGGGCAGAGCTATGTTGGGTGATTTTTCTGTTTCAAGTGATGTTAATTGCTTTGCTTGATGGAATTTAGCTGGCGAATGAGCTGTGTAAGAGGATCAAAGAGCTGTCATTCACATATCTGGTGCTTTTTCAGTGACAGCTGAAACCTAGGTTCAGCTGTGCTGTCCAGCAGAGTGTACACAAATGTCATCTCTAGGACAGCAGTCTTAGGACATTCCAACTTCTTACATGGCAGCTCAGAGGTCCTGGAGACAGCAATTCAAGTAACCTAGCAGAAGTCTGCAAGGCATCTTATCACCTGTGCTCAAAATCTTAGACTATCACTTCTGCTCTGTTGTATTGGTAAAGCAAGTTACTGAGGTGAGCCCAAATTCAAGAATAGGAGTTAGACTCAACCTCTCAATGGGAGAAATAGCACGGTACTTGTGGCTATCTCTAGCACTGCCCAACTGTCTGTTATACATAATATATATATGGTCAGTTTTACTATAGTA
The DNA here is from genome assembly GCF_000001405.40 of Homo sapiens. NCBI lineage: Eukaryota > Metazoa > Chordata > Mammalia > Primates > Hominidae > Homo > Homo sapiens. The sequence goes on from NC_000003.12 coordinate 76,183,487, forward strand.
GCAGAGTGGGTCAATTAAAAATTCACCTTCCTTATCATTTCTTCATTTATTTATTCATTCATTCATTCATTTGTTCATTCATTAAACAAAGATTAAGTAAAGAGCTGTCATATTACATGCAGGCACTCTTCTAGGGAGTAGAGAGACAGAGAACCTAAAATTTAATTTCTAGTAGGGGCAAGCAGAAAATTTAAGGATACACTCTACTCCGAATATTCTATTGGCTTATTTTTGCAGTCTTCACAACAGCCCTATGAGGCAGATATTATCATGTTTATAAGTTGAATTATAAAAAATAAAGTTCTTAGAGGCTAATGTTGCTAAGTTCACACAGCTCTATTTAAAAATTAAATAAATAAAGATATTCAATTAGATCTGCCTGCGTCCAGATTCTATGCATTAAGAATGATTAATTTGATTTTGGTAGCAAGTAAATTTTATTGTGAATTACAAAATAACTCATTATTTCTTGAATAATTTAGAAAATACAGTAAAGCAAAATGATAGTAGTAAAAAAGACCTATATTTCTACTTCTCAGATGTATTCAATCTTTCATTTGTGTGTGTCCCCATATCTGTCCACGATTGCTATGTAACAAATCATTCCAAAACTTTGTGGCTTAAAATAACAACCATGTATTTGGTTCACGTGTGTGTGGGTTGTTAATTTAGACTGGGCTCAGTGGGTCTCTTCTGCTTCTCCAGTGGGCTTTCTCATGCTTCTGTGTCCAGCTAGGTACTTTTGCTTCTGGGTAGGCTGGCTGACTTCTAGGGTACCACAGGCTCCTCACACATAGTCTCTCCTCCTCCAGTGGGTTGCCCTGGGCTTGTTAACTTGCCAACGATCCGGTTCAAAAAGAGAAGACAGAAGTATGCAATGGCCCTTGAGGTCTAGACCCATGACTGGCATATCAGCACAAAGCAAGTTGGATGACCAGCCCAGATTTAAGACCTGGGGAAATTGACTTCAAGTCTTGATCTCTTCATGGGAGAAGATGCAAAACACATTTCAAAGAATATTGTATTAGGGTACTCCAGAGAGACAGAACAAATAGGAGATAGATAGATAGATAGATAGATAGATAGATAGATAGATAGATAGATAGATAAGAGGGGATTTATTAGGGGAATTGGCTCATGAGTTCTGGAGGCTGAGAAGTCCCATGGACAGGCATGTGCAAGCTATAGACCCTGAGATGCTTGGCTCAGTCCAAGTACGAAAAACCTCATAATCAGGGAAGTCAATGCTGTAATTCTCAGCCCAAGGACAAAAACCTGAGAACCTGGGAGATGATGGACACTGGTGTGTAAGTTCTGGACTCCAAAGGCTGAGAAGCCTAGAGTTTTCCAAGATAGCAGAGAAAGAGTGTAACTCAGCTCCAGAAGACAGACATATTTGCCTTTTTTTCTGTTTTTGTTGTCTCTGCATCCCCTGCAGATTGGATAGTGCCTTCCCACATCGATGGTGGCTCTTCTCTACCTAGTCCACTCAGATTCATATGCTAGTCTCCTCTGGGAACACCCTCACAGACATACCCCCAGATAATGATTTATCAGATTTCTAGATATTTCTTCATCCAGTCAAGTTGACACCTATAGTAAATCATCACAGGTATGGACTCAGAAAATAGTAACAAAATTGTAGCCATTTTTTAATCAATGTGCTACAACTCTTCCATTTTTTTCTAGGCTTCTATAAGTAAACACAGATATATATATATATATATATACACACACAAAGATGTTATATATACATATTTATGTAATATGGATATACTGTCAACAATAGCTTGGTAAACATTATTTACTGTTTTTATAAAGAAACCAATCTATTATCATTGCTTTAAGTTGCATCTGTTTGATTACTTGCAAAATTAAATATATTTTCACATGTTTATTGGCTACTTGATAGCATTATTTACAGTGATGTGCTGGGATGAGAGAAAGGAGGCAAAAAATTATTTGGGAGCATTTTGCAATTATGCAGTGAAAAGAAAATTAGCACTAAAGCATCAAAAATGGTCAGCATGGGAAGAGAGGAGAAAACCGTTGTGAGAACAGGACCCAGGTGGCATGACTGCTGCCCAAATAGACAGAGAGAGCATTAAAGATCAAAGGTGCTTCTGAAAAAACTGGAAGAATGAGGATGCCATTAATAGTTAATACAATATTATTTGTTACAATTCATAACATAACATTATAATGCACAATTTTAAAAATTGCCATAATTAGCATAATTGTGAAGTCGGAAGGAGAAAATAATTGTATTTAAAAAGTTCACTCCTGAACATTTTTGACAATAAGATACCATCAGAACACCAAATGGAGATATTAAGCAGGCAATCTATATTGGATTATAAAGATGTGTTAGTTTATTCAACAAACTGATGGTGAGAAAATATTTGACTTTCCAAAGGAATAGATTCATTTCTCATTAAAGGAAACACAGATTTTTTTTTTTTTTTGAGACAGGGTCTCACTCTGTTGCCCAGGCTGGAGTGCAGGGGTTTTATCACAGCTCACTGCAGCATCAAGCTCCTGCAATCAAGCCATCCTTCCACATCGGCCTCCCAAGTAGATGGACTACAAACATGCACCACCACACCTGACTAATTTTTGTATTTTTTGTAGAGATGAAATTTCACCATGTTGTCCAGGCTGGTCTCAAAATCCTGAGCTCAACCAATCCACCCACCTCAGCCTCCCAAAGTGCTAGGATTACAGGGGTGATCCACCATGCCTGACCCACAGATATTTAATAAGACTTGAATCATAGTGCATTTAAGTGGCAGAAGAAGAAAAGGGGCAAGCAAAAGACATTGAGAATTAAGCCGTGTCATAGTATAATTTCTATCTCCTTCCCCCATACCCTCTCTCGTTTCAATTCCATAATGTACTTGCCCTCAATTAGTGATCAGTTCTCGTACTTGGTTGTTAAGAATAAAAGCTCTCATGTGTCTTTACCTTCCAGCACTAAACCTAAAACTCACCAAAATGTCTTCCTTTCATCTTCCACAATGAAAGGAGTATCTGTTTTTCTCACAAGAAATGCTCACTGGATCCCATTCCTCTCTGTCAATAGTTCACCCTTCTCCTGGCTGCTGTCTCTTCAGTGTCATTTGCCTCCCACTTTTTTTCCAAATCATCCCCATAAGTAAAGAAATATCCTCTAGTATATACCATCTGCAATAATAAAAACATCTCTTGTCCTCATATCTGTCTCCAACCACTTCTACATTGTGTTCCCTTTCTAGCAAAATTTATTCACTCCCTTGTTCTCTCTAATTCATCTCCAATTCATTCACTACCTCTAAGTGCTCTTATTCTACTCTGACCACTCTTCAAAGTCATTAACAACCACCATGTTGCCAAGTCCAGTTTATTCTCACCATCTCATTCGACTTCTCAGTAGTGTTTGACAGTGAATCCTTACATTCATATTGAAACATCTGAAACATCCTCCTGTCTCATCATTCACTCTCTATTTTCTTCTAAATTCACTGATCCTTATTCTTTTTTGGCTTCTTCTACCCTATGCCATCCATAAATATTAGAATTTTTTGAAACTTTTTTCAAGACTTAAAAAAAAAACTTTGTCAATTTTCTTGGATATAAACATTGTCTTTGTGCTGAAGTTTTCCACACCTATACCTCTGGCCTAGGCACTTCTCTGAGCTGAAAACAAACATAACCAAATATTTGCCTGGAATCATCACCTGAGTATTTCACATATAGTTCTGACATTACATCTTGAAAGCACTCATTGGTTTTTGTTTGCTTGTTTTTGTTTTGTTCTATTTTTTAATGAGACAAGGTCTTAGTCTGTTGCCCAGGCTGGAGTGCAGTGGTATGAACATGGCTTATCACAGTCTTGACCTCCCAGGCTCAAGGAATCTTCCTATCTCAGCCTCCTGAGTAGCTGGGACAACAGGTGTGCACCACCACACCCAACTGATTTTTTAATGTTTTTTAGAAGTGAGGTCTTGCTGTGTTGCTCAGGCTAGTTTGAATTCCTGAATACAAACCATCCTCTTGCCTTGGCCTCACAAAGTTCTGGGATTAAAGGCATGAGACACCATGCCTGGCCAAATTGTCTTTTCTCTTTCCTATTGTGTGTTTACTGTCACCTTTCTCTATGTCAATAAATAACAACATGATTCATTCATTTATTCAAACCAGAAACAGGATTGATTTTAATATTCCCCTCACCTCTTCAATCTAAGCAGCAGACATTTCTGTTGATTCTGTCTCTAAATGGTACCTTGAATATGTCCACCTCTTTTTACCTCTTCTCTTGGAATCATCAGGTTCAGCCTCTCCATATAGAAGCAAAAAGTGAATTTCAGAACGCTGAATTGGGTCACATAATTCCTATGTTAAAACCTATCAAAAGAACCCATTGGTGAACCTATTGCACTCATGGTAACACTCAAGCTCTTAGTAAGATTTAAAAGCCCCGAATAATATGGACACTACATAATTTCTAAACTCACTTAGTGCCACTTTTCCTATATCTGACAATAATCTGTGCACTCAGATTGCAAAGTGGTTTTCTAGAAGGCTTCTCTAGGCCACCCCGTTAGTTGACAGTGAATGCTTCCATCTCTCCTACTGTCCATGTGGCTGTTCTTTATATTGCTTTTTAGTTGTCACATTCTCAGTGGGCCAGTTATAGATTGAAGTGTCCCCCAAAAGATATATTGAAGCCTACAGTACCTTTGAATGTGACCTTTTTGGAAACAGGGTCTTTGTAGATATAATTAAGCTAAAATGAGGTCACTAGTGTGGGCCCTAATCCAATATGACTTAGGGCTTTTTAAGAAGGAGAAATTTGAACACAGAGACAGACACATACAGAAAAAAAGATGAAGATGATGTAAAGACTTACACAAAGGAGACGGGCATGTCATGATGGAGGCAGAGAATGGAGTATTGCATCTGCAAGCCAAGGAATAACAAGGATTGCCTGCAAACACCTCAAGCAAGATGAGACTAAATAGTACTCTCCCACACATGCTTGAGGGATATGATGCTGCTGACACCTTGATTTTGAACTTCTACCCTCTAGAGTTGTGAGGGAATAAATTTCTGTTGTTTTAAGCCACTGAGTTTGTGGTACTTTGCTACGGAAGCCCTAAGAAATTAATAAAGGGCCTCAAACCCCCATGCTATCTAACCTGTTTTGTTTTAGATTACCTTTTATGATTTATTTTCCTTCAAACTCTATTGCACCTAAAGTCCTAGCATGCATCAGTCTGTTTTGGTGATAGTGGTTTCCTTTTCTGCAGTCAAGGACCAAGCTTTCCATGTTCACACTCATATCTCCAACTTTCTGCCTAGTATACAGGCAATCATCAATGCATTATTTGCTATAAACATGAAATAAAGATACAGTGTTGGAGAAGTCAAGGAAAAGGAATAGCTCAGTAAAAAGTGAGGGTTATGAATGTCAAATGCTGCAATGGAATCATAAGCAAAAAAAGGTTATTGTATCTTGTAATCCGTGGAAGCAGTTGGTGACCTTTGAGGGATCAGTTTCAGGCAAGTGGATATGGTAGAAAACACATCATAGGAATAAACACTGAGTCAGCAGTGAAGAAATGTGGGAGGCAGGTGTAGGTTGCTCTTTCCAGAAAGTTGGCAGTGAAATGAGGATGTATAGTAAAACAAAGCCTCAAATTTTCTTTGCATCTCTATCTAACTAAAATGGGAAATGAGTACTCAAATATGAAGGCTATGTTTCTGGTTTATTAATTATAGTAGAGACAAGCAGAGATTCTAGATTTGAAGAGAAAGTATTCAACACAATGGGAAAAAAAGGTGTTTTTATGAATTAAGTGAAGAATTTAGGAGAAACCAAAATCATTAATGAGGATAAAGAGTAGATGCCTTTGGAAAGTTTCTTCCTCAAGAATAAAAATAAACCCAGATAATGATAGAAATACAGAAAGTATCATAGACAGCATCACATAGTGGCTTCTATTTTGCTTTTTGTTTCTGTTTGCTTTTTCAAACATATGTTCCCTATTAGATTTTAAACATTTTTCAGATCCAAGATTCTCTCTGTACATACAAAACAGGGTAAAATATATATTTTAAGACATTCTCTTGTCTTAAGCCATATATAGTTTGTATTTAGTGGAAAAGTTCTCATTCTTAATTTTATGCCCAACTTAAAACCTGTTAAATACTTTATGCTCAGCAAGAGGTGAAAAGTTATTTTCATGAAGTCATTTTCTATGAAAAGAAGAGCTGGTTTTAACTGAGTGCTTATGGTATGCCAGGCTCTCTGCTAAGGTTTTAAACACATTTTATCGTTTCTTCTTTGAAATAACACAAAGGGATAGGTGTGTTTTGTTTCTATATGCAGATGAGAAACTGAGGTTTCGAAGGATCACTTGTCTAAAGGCATACAAAGAATTTGCAGGAAATACATGCCTGTCTCCAGAGCTTCAGGCCTAAATCTGTGTGTTAACTGCCCAGAGATGTACAGAACACTTGCGTAAGAGAAAATTCCAGTTTTATGTTCAGCTGTATTTTTTTGAAGTTTTATTATCTGTTAAAAAATGCTATTTTCTATAAAAGCAGTAATAAGCCATGCCTCCATGCCTCTGCTAGCTTTCAACTATGCTGATGATCGGCTTGATTGTTTATCTCACAATATCCTGTCTATATTCTTGACAATTTTTCATTTCTTGGGTTTTTAAATGATAAAAACAAAAACTTGGTTTGAATACAACAAAATGATTGACAAAAGATATTCTAAGCAATAAAATCTCCAATTTCCTTGTTTCTGGTGTCCCTCCCGAAGAGGTGTGTGGCAATAGTGAATCTCTTTTAAATTAATATTGATGTGTCCATTTGGAAACTAATAAAATCTTATGCCTTCCACAGTTGGTAGCAATAAAAACGAAGTATGTATCATTTAAGGTGGCCTTAATAGCTGGCACTGAGGCTGAGTCAGATTTTATAAGCATTTTAAATTATATTACTCAGCAATTATTGTTAGCATGGACATTGTTATATGTGATTATCTAATGCTTTAAATTATTTAAAATCAATATGTAGTTCTAAAAGCTTAGACATATAACTTTAAAATGGTCACATGAACTCATTTGACACCATGTTAATGTTTCTGTCTTATTTAGCCTATATTTACACCTTGTAAACCAGGTTAATTTAAACATTGAAGATACAAACTACCATAACTTTACAAAATGCATGAATATTACCATTATAAGGAAAAGAAGTAATGTTATGGACAATAAAGTATCCAAGATTGTCTTATGCTTCCCATTGCTGTACCTAATATTTTCTTTCCCTTTCTATACCGAATTTCATTCAAATCTTGACGTCAAAGAGAGACACTATATATGCTCAGTTATTTAGGTAGTTAATTTATTAGTTCGTTCATATGCCAGACTTGATGTTTTTTGATTGCTTAGACTTTTTTGTAGGCATTCAAAGGTTTTGCATGCTTAATTTAAAACATTTTAAAGAACAGCCTTTGAATGGGTTATATTAATCGCACATTAAGAGCGATTAATAGTGGGATCACAGTTGTATCAAGATAGCAACAGTAGAATATTATATTTAACAACTCTTAAGTGGTGCTAATGGGCAGGTTTAGACTACAGAGCAAGGAGAATCTATAAGTGCAAATACAGATCTTGCTACACATGATTAAGTAAAATGAATGGGGTAATTAAGAAGTAACTCTAGGCTTAAATATTACACTGAATTCTTAATATGCATGTGGTGCCTACAAATATAATTTCAACATGGCCTCATCTCTTCATACGTGAAACTCCCTTTGTGATCAATACGCGTCCCAGGTTTATTCTCAATGACAGGTTTATTCTCAACGACAGCTGACCTACACCAGGTAAATAGCTTCGCAAATCATGTCAGTACTGGGAAGGATACTCAGAGGTTATCTTGCCTATCTTTCTGCTTTCCAGCAAGGTCATACTTAAATCATCCCAACAACTCAGACATCCCGTTATTAAAGCTTGTCAGAATATGTCTTAGCCCTCCTTGTTTGATTATATAATATTTAATAATTCTCAGTATATTCTTCTTTTTTATTCATTCATTCATCCACTACCTTTAGTTCAATTCTGCATTATAAAATTAATTTCCTGCTTTGATTTTTCTGCAGGAGAATACACCTATTCTCTACAAGCGGTTTTTCTTTACTCTTGGATTCTTCAACAGGATGAATGAAATTAGAATTGATTTTTTTTAAAAAAGAAGGCATACATAACATTCCCTTTGTTCCAAATACTTCTTTTTGTAATATTTCTCACATCCCTCTGCCAGGAAAGTTGCCATATCTGTCACACCTTCTCTCTTTATTTCCTTTCTAATGAACTAGATGTGATAGTCTGTCATTCCAACTATTTTCACTCCAATAACCTCAACTCTTTCCCTATTTTGCTTGCCCCATGTATACAGGGTGAAACTCCAGTGCTCAACTTACCTGTCTTCACTTTCTTCAGGCCTATTATTGGACTATAGATTGCAATCTAGAAAAATTATTGGTTTCCAACAGTAACCTCACCTTCGATTGGCTTACAAATCCCGCTATTTCCCTAGTTAGTGCCCTTAGTTACCTGACCTTCGATTGGCTTACAAATCCTGCCATTTCCCTAGTTAGTGCCCTTAGTAACCTGACCTTCGATTGGCTTACAAATCCTGCCATTTCCCTAGTTAGTGCCCTTAGTAACCTGACCTTCGATTGGCTTACAAATCCTGCCATTTCCCTAGTTAGTGCCCTTAGTAACCTGACCTTCGATTGGCTTACCAATCCTGCCATTTCCCTAGTTAGTGCTCTTATTTTCTAAAGTTACTATTCCCATCCTTCTCCATTCTTTCAAACCTTTCCTTTCAAGCTTATTCTTGTTGGTATAAAAATAAATAAATAAAAATAAAATCTCCTTTCCTAGCACTTTTCTCCTTACTATTATTTTAATTTCTAATTCACAGAAGAAATGAAATCTTCAGGAATTCTCTAAACTTTGCGTCCAACACTCCACCACACACACACACACACACACACACACACACACACACACACACACACGTCATAAAAGTTTTTTTTTTACATTTATACCCATCGTGTCCTCCTGTTAAGCAGAAGTTGTTCTTCCTTCAATCTAGGGCTAACTTCTCTATGTCTGGATCTCTTTCTTCCCACATGATAAATTACTTCTGAATTGTGATAACTTCAATTTATGTTGGTACCATCCTGTCACTATTCAATCACATTTAAGTTTTTTCATTTTATCAAAACAAATAATACAATCTGTCTATTTCATCTCTCTACAGCTTTACTCTTCTTTCCTCCACTTGACAGCCAAGTGTTCACAAGAGCTGCTTACACTTACTGTATTTCTTACCTTTCATTCATAGGTCAATTTATGCTGCCCAGCTTCATTCTCTACCAGACTATTGAACTGCTTTCTCAAAGGTCATCAATAATAAATATGGTAAATAAGTTCAGTTATTATATTTACTTGACTTCTCAGTAGCATTTAACACTGAGGGTCATTCTCTCTCATGGAAACACTCTCTTTGAGTGGTTTCTATAGCACCATCTACACTGATTTATGACCATTCACCTGATACCATTTTTGGAGGTACTTCTTTCTCCACCCATCAGTTAAAATACTGGTTATCTGTAAGAATTATCTTGTAGCTGTGTTTACTTGGGATCACTCTTTCCTACTCCCATGGCACCAATTAAAGTCTTTGTATTTGGTGGTATTCACTTTCAGATATGTTTCTGCTCTTTCAACCCACACATACAGCTAGCTACTAGATAACTTTACTTTATTCTCCAGTCAGCTTAAATTTGCTGTGTCCATATCTAAGCCTGTCCTGTTACTTGCAAATAATTTTCTTGCCCTGCAATCATTCTCCCAGTGAATGGTACTACTACCATCTGTTAGTTGTCCAAACAGAATATTGGGCATGATATAAATTTCTGTTATCAAATGCTGTTGTTTTGATTCCCCAGCCTTACCTTGTTCTAGGGCACAATTATAGATGATGATTAACTCCTTTCCCTTTCACTTCCTCCAATTGATTATCTATGTTGCAAGTAGAAAATAATTTGTTCATTTAGTCTTGTTGGCATATGCCCATAGGGGAAAATCTTTCGAAACTTACTCTTAATGAATGTAAAGATCAGACATTTGTCAGTGAGACATATTTTAAGCTTTCATAAAATGGGAAATATCTTCCTAGAAAATGTTGTGTGAATACAAAGCTGGACTTGTTTACTGGCCACCTTTATTCAGATTATTAATTGATCATGTGACCTCTTTTTTTTCTTTTTGAAACTCTGGCCAGACTATTTACCATTTTATTGAAGAACTATGTGTTCTATTTTCAGAATTAAGACTGTTATACACATTATCACTATTTTTTATCACAATCCTCTTTTCAAATAAGGAAGGTGAGTTTCAGGCAAGTTAAATAAACAGTTCAAGTTCTCACAGCCAATAAGGAAAAGAATAAGGATTTGAACTCAGATCTCTCTGCCTATAATGCCTATTATTATTCTGCTGTTCAGCAGCATTTCCTAAGATAATTATTATTAAAACAAGAATTGAAAGATTGAATCTAGTAATGCAAGTTTAATTCTACATTTATTTTAATATTAATTTCATTATGGGGGTGTTTCTTCTTCTTCTAGAGAAAGACTAACATTTTATTTTCTATTGTTATTCCTGTTTTGCTTAAAGAATATTTTCCTAATTTCATTATTGTTTAGCACATATTTTAGTTTTTGAGATAGTTTTATTGAATCTCTCCTCTCTTTTTATGTATATATATCTATATAAATATGTATGGTGTGTAAATATATATATATATATATATATATATATATATAGTGTGAGGACAAAGCTGGACTTGTTCACTGGTAATCTTTATTTGGATTATATTTTATGAGTGCTCCTGCACAAATTTAATATGGGAATACAAATCATTCAAGAGTCTTATTGCTGTCTGCATAGTCACTGAGGACATATATTTTTAAGTTTTATGTAATAAACTCTATAAATTAAGACAAAACAGCAAGTTAATACCGGAAGGACTGTAGATCTAATCAATACCTGACTTTAATGTGATTTTTTTTTTTTTTTAGACGGAGTCTCGCTCTGTTACCAGGCTGGAGTGCAGTGGCACAATCTCGACTCACTGCAACCTCCGACTCCCTGGTTCAAGTGATTCTCCTGCCTCAGCCTCCTGAGTAGCTGGGACTACAGGCGCCCGCCACCACGCCCAGCTAACTTTTGTATTTTTAGTAGAGACGGGGTTTCACCATGTTGGCCAGGATGGCCTTGATTTCCTGACCTCGTGATCCGCCCGCGTTGGTCTCTCAAAGTTCTGGGATTCCAGGTGTGAGCCATTGCGCCAGGCCTATAGTATGATTTTTTAAAGGTTGACTTTTGTCAACATGCTAGCTGACATAAAAAGGAGTAGTTCATTAATATTTGAGTTCAATCTATTATCAGTTTGTCAGTTTTTTTTCCTCCCAAAAAGGGCACCATGTTTACATTTGTGAATAGTCAGGCAACTTGTCTTAATCTCATTGAAGAACAATAGTAGGATTAATTAAAAAGATATAATGATGTTTCCTTGAAAACAAAATTTCACATGCTATCTCATTGAATCCTTGCAAACACCTTGAGTATTGGGGATATTGGATTCGCTTTTCAGATAAGGAAATTGAGACAGAAAAATTAGATTACAGCTAAAGATTATTGAAGGTGAATATAAACATGTAGTTAAGCCATTATAAAATTCTGGTTTATATTTTAAATAAGACATGGTCCCTGTCCATGAGGAACTCACAGATCACCTGACATTTTAACAAATCTTTGCAAAACCAGTGTTATTTATGGAATTACATTAGGATCAAATATAAAGGATTGCCAATCCTTTAGGCAAAAAGAGGTGGGATATTGTCAATTTCATAGGAATGAATTTAAAATGTATGCAGACTATTTAGTGGTGGTTATAGAAGAATGTGATTATTTGTGCCCAGTTAAACCAGTAAAGCCTTCAGAGAAGAGAAGATACATAATTGTGTGTTGAAAGGAGTTCTTAGAGAGTTTAATAGGCACATAAAGGATGAAGGGGATGCTTAGTAGATACACACATGAAATGTGGAGACATCAAGTTAAACAGTTCAAGTTGTCAAAGCCAATAAGGAGAAGAATAAGGATTTGAACTCAGATCTCTCTGCCTATAATGCCTATTATTATTCTGCTGTTCAGCAGCATTTCCTAAGATAATTATTCTTAGGCAAAGGCAAAGGACAGCTGCAAATGGATGCAGCAATTCAAGTTGTGCATTGCAAAGGGGTGTGAGGTTTAAGGAAGTGCCACTTACGTCTTAGCCACATCCTTAGTTTTATAAGGTAGGGTCAGAGACTCTGGACTTCATGATGGGGACCTAGAACCCTCAAGAAGTTTCCCTTCTCGCATAAACCCACCCCAGCAAAGAGTGTAATACCCTCTCATAGGATTGCAATGTGCACACACTCTTTGTCACAGACAAGGAGCCTGGGTACATCAGTGCCTTTTCCTGTTCTCACTCTGGGAGTCCCCACAGGTTACTTCCCTTTCTTCCTACTATGAAGGACCTGATTCTTATTTCCCATTTTAGCCAAGAAGCTAAAATGTTTCATACAGAAGAAATGGTTATCAATGGTGCAAGCTGCAGTAAGGCTGATGATACTGACTTAAAGTCTAACAGCAATTGAATTCTTGGTATTTACCTGGCACTATCCTAAGAATCATATAATCATTGCCTTATATAATATCCATGACAATAAAAGAATAAGTATTCCTATTTTCCCCGATGTATAGTCAGCTGTACCTTGGATGAGTGTTTACTGGGGGAGAGAGAAACACATATATATTTCTCAAGAATTCCTACAGGAACATTTCTGTTTGGATTGCTTTTAGTTATTATTGATCCTAAGTGACTGAACATCCACATCTCAAAGGGTTAGTCTAAGAAATGAAAAATGAGAGAAAATACTCTAAATAATAATTTTATCCTAAAATTCATGTTTCTGCTGTGAGATTTCTCAGAGGTAAACTATAATTCGCTTAATGTCTTATTCCTGTCTTTTTGCATGAAAAAAAGTAAATTCTGTAAGGAAAAACTGGCAAAGTTCAAGCAGGTTTTGAAAATTGGAGATTATATTATATAATTACATCTGAGATGTAAGGATGTTATTGTCATGTCTTTTTATTCTGCTCTTTTCCCAAGGCTCATAAAGCCATAAATCACCATTCTGAATAAATTGATATGTGACATTAATAGTAAATTGGAGGAAACAATTTACCTCACTATAAATGCTCACTAGGTATTAAGTAAATGGATAACATATTGTGATTTAAAATAGACCCCATGATATGCATCTAAATTTAGTATGCTTAAGTGATGGCTTTCCGTTTAATGATTACATACTTTACACATGTTGATGCTTCTAGTGCAAATTGAATTGTGACCTCAGCCTCAGTTAAGTCGCTGGTTATACTGTTGTACCCAGCTGAGTGACAACAAGGACTTTCTCCTTTTGGGGAGTGATAATCCACTGAGCTAATCAGTCTCTCTATAGATTTGGATCTGGGACTGCCTTTCTCCTTTTGGGGAGTGATAATCCACTGAGCTAATCGGTCTCTCTATAGATTTGGATCTGGGACTGCCTTTCTCCTTTTGGGGAGTGATAATCCACTGAGCTAATCAATCTCTCTATAGATTTGGATCTGGGCCTGCCTTTCTCCTTTTGGGGAATGATAATCCACTGAGCTAATCAATCTCTCTATAGATTTGGATCTGGGCCTGCCTTTCTCCTTTTGGGGAGTGATAATCCACTGAGCTAATCAATCTCTCTATAGATTTGGATCTGGGCCTGCCTTTCTCCTTTTGGGGAGTGATAATCCACTGAGTTAACCAATCTCTCTATAGATTTGGATCTGGGACTACCTTTCTCCTTTTGGGGAGTGATAATCCACCGAGTTAATCAATTTCTCTTTAGATTTGGATCTGGGACTGGATATAATATACTTTAAACATAAAATAAAATTATTGTTATTACCAGTATCCTGTTTATTTTCCTAAGTAGTGAAGGTATTTTTTTAACATAATGCTCCAAACATATGTGAAAGTTACAGTTATCTCTGTCCTACATGTGAGGAAATAGAGGATTCATGAAGTTAACTGGCCGAAGTCATGTAGTAAGTGAATGGCCGAAATAGAATTTGAATTCATCTCTAAGTAATTCTAGAGCCAGGATGTTTTGAAATCTTGTTGGGCATATGGACACTTGATGTGCCAGCTATTTTTGCAAAGGGTGAGAAAATATCTTAAATCCTCTGAGAACAATATAAGTATCCTGGTTTTACCTATGATGACCACTGCAGTTTTGACTTCTGCCACTCCTTTTTGTACTTTAAGTTCTAGAAATTCCCACCAACTCTTAATATCTGAATCTCACTGTAAACCAAAGTACAACTGTAAGCACCCCAACCGACTAAACGGATCCCTCCTCTAGGCCGAGAGTTTTCCAAAGAAACCAGAAAAGCTAGTTCAGGACATGGTGGGAAGGGGAGATCAGACATACCTCATCACACCCTCTTCCCTCAGGACATGGTGGGAAGGGGAGATCAGACATACCTCATCACACCCTCCTCCCTCAGAACATGGTGGGAAAGGGAGATCCGACATACCTCATCACACCCTCCTCCCTCAGGACATGGTGGGAAGGGGAGATCAGACATACCTCATCACACCCTCCTCCCTTTGGAATTTAGGCACAATTGATCAGCATTAACATGAAAACAGAGATCTTAAGACTGACAAAATAGACTCTGCAGCAATAAGATGCCAAATTCCAACCTGACTTTCATATAGCATCACATGGCAGACTGCATGTGATGAAAAGAAATTACTGCATGAAAGAAATTACTTTACCCCAAAATGTATTTCTTTGACATATTTTGAAATGGCTCTGCAAAGGGGTCTCTTGTAGGGGAAGTATACATTATATAGCGAATCCTCTTCCCTTACCAGGTCTTTTTCTGATCCTGAATAAATTAGCTGACACTCTAGCACCTTTTAAAGGTCTGAATAAGAAATATTTGCCATCTATTGCCTCTGAAGGTGGCCATCTATGAGACTTCATCTACATAGTAAGTACCTTGGTCTCCACAATGCCTTATCTTAATCCAGACACTCCTTTCTATTGATTCTAGGTCTTTAGATAGGTCTCTTTCAACCAATTGCCAATTAGAAATTCTTTTAGTTCACCTATGACATGTAAGCCCCACTCCCACTTTGAGGTGTCCCACATTTCCAAACCAAACCAATGTACACCTTGCATGTATTGATTGATGTCTGCCTGTAACTTCTGTTCCCTTAAAATGTATGAAATTGAACTGTACCCCAACTACCTTGGGTACATGTTCTCAATGGGGCTGGGCTATGAGTCCTATTCTCACATTTGGCTTGGAATAAATCTTTTTGAATATTTTACAATGTTTGGCTTTTTTCATCAACATCACCCTGTACTTACAGGGCCTCAGTTCTTTTGCAACAGGCTGTTGCCTCAACCTTGAAAGCCCTCCCAGTCTGCCACCCAAGCATTCACATCCATACACCCAATTATCAGATCATTCCTCAAATGTGTATGAGATTCCTATTTGTACCATAGCAGTAAGTGAGAGAAAGCCACCTTGGCTGGCTTTGAAGATGTAGGAAGGAGTCAAACCCCAGGAATGTCACAGCCTTTAGAAACAGCAAATAGCTCTCAGTTGACAGCCAGCTAGAAAAATGGGTACCTTGGTCCTACAACCTCAAGCAATTGAACTCTTCCAAAAACTCCAACGGGAGGGAAATGGATTCTCCCCTAGAGCTTCCAGAAAGGAATGCAGCCTGCTAACAGATGATCCTAATTCCTTGAGACCCATATAGAACCTCTGACCTACAGAGCTGCCACAAAATAACCCCGTATTGTTCAAGCTGTTGAATTGTTGGTAACTTCGTGAGAGGATGAATGTACAAATGGATAATGGCCAGACCATAAATAAAAATAGAAACCTGACCCACAAACTCTGCAACAGCCAGTCCAGGAAGCCAAACCACAAGCTATTCAGCAGTTGGCCCAAAATGATCAACACTCTGTCAATAACTGTCAACTTCTCTAGTTTTGTTCCCACTTCCAATTTAGGACCAACCAGAGAAAGCCAAATATGCGTCTCAACTCGAACAGATAAAATGCCCCACTTCGACTTTGACTGCCTACAGCTTCTCTATGCCAATAATCTCCAGTTAAACCTTCCATTTTTTCTACTATAAAGTTTCTTTACTCACTGGCCCACCTTTGAGCCTTAGCCAAATTCAAGTAATAGTGGCTGACTGTCTCTGTATAGCAAACTCTAAATACTTAGCCTTTGTGTATTCTCATGTGGATGGTCTTCCTTTATTTCCACTATAGGAGAGGGATAAAAAAACAACTTTTTTCTCTATTTATCTGAAGTTCTCTAGCAAGGGCCCTGTAAACTAGACTAGCAAAAGACAGATTAACAACAGAAAAACATATGGAAGTTTATTAATGTGTGCATCACACATACACATGGGAGCATTCAGAGATGAGTAACTCTGAATAGTTAGAATTGGACTTAAATGCAATCTTAGGCTAAACAAAGGAAAAGGGGCTTGGGTCTGGGGAAGGAGCAAGGTGACCAAGAAAAAGTATGGTCAGTGCCTTTTCCATCAACAAGGGTTGTGAAGAGTTCTCCTTCTTCTGGTGTGGGAAAGGGATGCATTTGTAATTTGTAATTTCCATTTACAAATGGAAAATCACTTTGTAAATGGAAATACTTTTTATAAAAGGAAAGCTCATGCCCTGTTTTTGGAGCTTTTCCTGAATCCACTGGTTCTCAATGGCCTTTAGCTCAAAATAATTCATATGTCAAAGAGGCATATTTGGGAGTGACATATTCTGGTACCTTGCACCAAATTTGTCAGAAAAGCAATAGATTAATACGTCCAGTATAGGGGGCAACTTAAGCAAGCAAAAGAATGTGGGGATGAATGACAGAATTAAATTAATTTCTCTGTTAACAAAGGCTACAGCAGACCATGCAGAAACATACCACCAAGCATCTCCACATACAGACTAGCACTTTTGGTCATGTAATGGAGGACCAGATTATCCTATAGTAGGGTGGCAAGAAGCATCATAGAACCAAACTGTGTTCAGATTCAGATACTGTCTTCACATTGTTGCCTAGCCATGAGTGGGGCCACTTAGTGCTGGTGAACAGTGGGCAGCTTGGAGCCAGCTCACACGTTAGATTTGGACCCCTTACAAAACTAGCATGTGGGTTCTTGAGTTATTAATTGAAAAAATAAAAATAAAGATTTATTGATGTTTTTTCCTCAGGTTTGTGGAGCATGAAATCATGGTCACCTTCCACTTTCCACTTTAAACATTCGTAGGGTTTGAATTATTTATATTGAGCAGGCATTACTTTTATGATCAGAAAAAGAAAACAGCACAAAGACAGGCTAATTTTGCAAAACAACAAAACAAACCCTGAGGTTTATAAATGGTTTTAATTTTTTTCTGAATCAGTCTTTATGCCACAACAGTCTTCTCAGTTATTTGTGAATATTAAGAGAAATTGTTTCTGAAAAATCCATGCAGTGAGTTAGAAGTTTCCTCTGAAAATCCAATTTTTATACTTAATCTTATGCGAGTGGATTATTACCAATTTTAATTTTTTATTCATAACGTTGCCACTTCCAGTCTCACAGGTATCTTTCCATTATTCTTAGGACCGTCATGCATTGAACTCCATTGCATTACATCTCAATTATCTTGTTCCTTAGTTAAGAGGATGAAGACTTACCTTAAGTTAGAGTTTTAGAAATCGAGAGATATTCTCCATACAAACTATCCCTGAACAAAAGCAAAGTATGTCACTAATGTGCCATCATTGTTGAACTATGTCCCTGTGGCCATTGTAAACAATTGCCAGCAAAATGACACTATGTTAATTAAAGGTTGCCGTTACCCTCTTCAAAGCTGAGGTTATAGCTCTTCCCCATCTGTTAATTTTATATTATTGGAATTTAGATTTCTTGAGGAAGCAGACGGCCATAAACTTTCACAGGTGTTCATGGTGCACTGCCTTAACTTTATATGCTGAACAGGTACAGCTTGAAGTTTGCTGGGCTGCACAGGGAATTAGTGCTTTAAATGATGTGTGGGTAGAGAATTAATTTGTTTTGAACTACCTGAAGAAAATTCAATATACTGTGCACAGTGGTTCATGCTTACTTGACATGGTGCAATACAACGAGAAATGTCAAAAAAAAAAAAAAAAAAAAAAGAGATTTAAAGAAACCCTGAATTGTATTCTTCAAACCAGCCCACCACTTGTCCTGCTAATAAAACGCCAAACAAGAACATGATCCAAGGATACTGCAGTGGATGAAAATGGAACAAATAGGGAAGCACTCATGCATCAGTGACTGCTTCAATGTTTATGTGCATAGCACAGCTCATCTCTACTCCCCTGAAATAAAAATAAAATGCAAATCTGCATTTACATTTTGGACATCTTCACAATATTTTCCACATATATCGTGTTATGCTTCACTTGGCAATGTTCTGTCTCACTTGAATGAAGCCCTTCGACTGTTTCATAATTCATAAAATGGAGAAGAAAAGAGAAAAAGAGAGGAGAGAGCAATATAATGCCTAGACTTGTAGGTATTTTCTGCAAAAATATAAATTGTTTAAAAGCAAGGAGGATATCTTACCACACATGAAATGAATATAAAACTGTAGGAAACGCGGATTGATGAACATGATACAGATTTATTGAATCAACTATTTAATAATACTGCTTATCTAAATCATGTACCTTGTAGACAGAACTTTATTTCAGTGCTTTATCCCACCACAAAGGATGTTGCTTGGCATGAAAAAATAACCTGATCAACATTTGTTGAATTTATTAAATGGATCATAGGTGCAGACAGACTGGAAGAGACCAAATGTGTACACTTTATAATTACTGGTGAAATTGCAGAATAATTATTGAAGCAGTTGTACAACCAAAATTTTTTTCCATGATACAGTCATCTAAAGGGTGCTGCCGATTCCTGTGTAGTTATGGGTGTGGGTGTTTGTGCAGGAAAAGAAGTAATGTGTATATAATGGTGATGGAACTGACCACTGGTGAGGCTTATGAAAAAGACAGTACATTTCCATTGTTTCTCTTTGTTCTGGAGATGGTTGATGTCCTAGGTCACATATTCTGCCCAAAAGTCTACCAGTTGACTTGTTGATCTACTGTCTCTGATATACCTTGGGCTCTCTAGGCAGAGTGACACTGTGTTCAGGTGTCTTGGACTGTTGAAATACTTTAGTAGCTGTGTGTAGTTCATGAGTCCAAACTGGATCACACTCTTCCCTCCTAAAATATATTGAATAACTTAATTATAGAACAACCCTTAGAAATTACAATTCCTGACTCAAATGTATGTCTTTTAAGAGCAAAATTCAGCCGCAGGCAAAAATTTAACTGATTGCCTAAAACAATGTACCCGTGTATGTCTTTCAAATCCCCCCCAGATCCACACTGCTACCCTCTCCCAACCTACTTTGTACTCAGAAAGGTTGACTGATACGGACTCCATCAATGGCCTTCCAGTTGGTTTGGCCAATGGAAAGCCACAAAAAACTCAGAAGGAGGAATGAAAGCGAAGCCAAGGTATTAATTTATTCTACTTTCTCACTGTGAGATTGCCTCAGGCTATCAGCTTCCCCTGTCAACAGATCACAGGTCAGGGTTCTAGTAACCTGAGTGAGATTGCCTCAGGCTCTCGGCTTCCCCCATAATTTCTTCTCCTTTCTCACCATGAGATTCTCAGGCTGTCGGTTTCCCTGGTCAACAGATCACAGGTCAGGGTTCTAGTAATCTGAGTGAGATTGCCTCAGGCTATCGGCTTCCCCCATAATTTCTTCTCCTTTCTCACCTTGAGATTGCCTCAGGCTCTCGGCTTCCCCGTCAAGAGATCACAGGTCACGGTTCTAGTAACCTGTGTGAGATTGCCTCAGGCTATCGGCTTCCCGGTCAACAGATCACAGGTCACGGTTCTAGTAACCTGAGTGAGATTGCCTCAGGCTATCGGCTTCCCCCATAATTTCTTCTCCTTTCTCACCATGAGATTCTCAGGCTAGCGGCTTCCCGGTCAACAGATCACAGGTCAGGGTTCTAGTAATCTGAGTCAGATTGCCTCAGGCTATCGGCTTCCCGGTCAACAGATGACAGGTCATGGTTCTAGTAACCTGATCTTTTCTTTGCTGTTTAGTGGTAGGTGTAAGAAGATGCCTTGCTGTTCCTGCCCGCAGTACTGAACCAGGCATTGCATTTTCCTCACACAACAGCTTGCACTTTTGTAAATAATGCCTTTAATAAATTCTCCTCAGATTACCTGATTTGAGTATATATCATCTGTTTCCTGCCTGGACCCTGATTGATACAGTCTCTAAGTGGTAACTAAAACATTTTAAAGTATTTGAAGTTTTAAACTGCACCCATTTGTTACTTTAAATTTCCTAAGTGATAGTAGTTTGGGAGGAACTGAATAAGAAATTCTTATCTATTTTTTTCAACAAAGAAATTCCTGTTTACTTGCAACTATTTTAAAGTTAAGTAACTACTTAGAATTGAGGAGAAAATAATAAAGCTTTTCTTTTGAGAAATGGAAGCTGTCAAGACTTTATTACCGCGAGGAAGCACTGAAAGTAATCAAGGCTCTTCTGCAAAATGTGATGTGTACCTTTCTGTCAAATACCATTAACTTACAGGTTTGAATTATAGTTCTATTTCACAAAATAGTATGATGGAATCACACATACTATTAGAAGCTGAGAGTTCTGTTTAAAATCGACTCTTCTTTGTTCTGGAGAGAAATAGAATGTTCTAAAATATATCCTTCTAATCAACTATTAATAGCTAATTCAATAGCCACCTGCATCGAATTCTGCTGTTCTCAGAATAGAACACCTTGATATTTTGAGAGAATGTGTTTGCTCTCCCACTTCTGTGTAAGTGAGCTACAAGGAGAATTTCATGTGAATTAGTGGGTAAAGTGTTATCTTCATGTAACCCATAAATTGAGCATTTTGTCTCCTATTGGCTACATATCACAATCTGAGTTCATCTTGCAGATATCCCATTATGTGCCAGAGAATCACATGTGGGTGGGAGCATATAAAGAAATGCTGAAAGATGTTAAATAAAAACTGTATGAACAGTGTGTCTTATTTTATTAAAGATTTGTTTTCTGTGGGCCTTTTTGTAAAAAATATGTGGGGGATATGGACATTCTATAGATAAATTTCATTGGAAATTCATAGAGTCAGTGAATATTTGCAAAGTATGAAAAAGAAATTTTAAAAATCTTTATTTGGAAATATCACTGAGACGAAGTTACCCTTAGGTTTAGATGGCTTGGATAAAGGCCTGAACAACTAGTATAATTAGTTAAAAAACAGACAAAAGTCTTCTCTACTTACCAACTCATGAAATGGAGATGATCCTCGTATTTTTTCCTCTAGAAAAATACGCTAAAGCTGTATTGAGGATTAAATGAGACAAAGTCTTATAAAGTTCCTAGCACAATTCCCAGCTCTGCTGTTGTTATTATTTTGTACCCGTGAGTTCAACAGAAATGCTGCTGCTTCTTTTTTAATTTCAAATAAGAGGAGTAGATTTTGGTGAGAGAGAATAAGGCCAAGATGGAAGTGAGGAGAGGCTGGTAAGTACCTTTTGGAAAAGAGAAAAGTCAGTGGGCAAGTGGAGCAACCTGGCTGCACTAGATCAAGAAGCATCACACTCCTGCTCGTGAAAGGCAAGGGAAGAACCTTCTAGACCTCTAGGCTGCCACCACATGCCCATGTGAGTTACAGCTCGTCTGTATAGAGGATTTGTTTAACTCTACTAAGAGTCCATGTCTTTCATTATCTACTAAGAGTCCATGTGTTTTATTACCTAGCATCTTCCCATTGAACAGGTTTATCACCAGAAACGTAGTTGAACTTAAGTCAGCTTTCCCCAGGTTTACACAGCCCCTCCCTCCTCTTTGCTTTTCAGGCCTGGAGGGTTAAGAGCTTTGCTCTTGCACGTCTCTGGGGGCCATGCCATCCCTTTTGGGTTCCTGTTCACGGATCTAAGAGTATCCCCTTCATAAAATTCTTCTCCAGTACCTCCGTTTGAGGGTTCTGCCTGTTTTCTAACTTGTCACTGATAGAAAAGGAAGCATTTCAGGGGTGACACACTAGCATCTGGCTATACAAGCACAGCTAACAACCATCTAGCCATGGGCTGGGACTCAAACTCGAACTGTTCAACTTTTTACTAGTCCACTTCCCCTTGACTCACCAGGGCTGAATCTGGAAGCAGAAGAAAAGAATGTCAAAACAAAGAGAGAGAGGTGGCTGTCCCTCTAGTCCCCCTGGAGCCCAGTTATTGTTCAAATACTTCTCTGCTCTCTCTCTACAAATAAAGTCGTACAATTCCCCACTCTTAGAGAGCTGACCATCACCTGCAGCCCGCTAAAGCACAAAAGCCTTTAGAACTTCTTACTTGACCTGGCTGCCCCAAAGCCTCTCAGGGGCAGGTTTTACTGGTTGAATCATTGCCTTACATTACTGTCTGAGAGCTGTCCTCATTTACTATTTTCTAAATAGTTTAATAAGTTATCATTGGCCTATTTTTAAACTTAATTAATATCAATTTCTGCTTTTCTTGGTGTTTGCCATTTTGTGTCACATTATATGGCTGATTTGAAGATTTCCATCTCTAATTAATGTATTAATTATCATAAGCAATTTCTCAAATTTGAATATGGAAAATCAAAAAGGCAATAAATTTCCCTTATCAAGTGCTCTGGGTCCAACGTGCATATAGACACTCACATGTGTTAAAAGTTCAGAGTGCCTCCTTCACCACTGCTTGAGTGATTTCCCTTATCAAGTGCTCTGGGTCCAACGTGCATATAGACACTCCCATGTGTGAAAAGTTCCGAGAGCCCCCTTCACCACTGCTTGAGTGCAAGGAATAGTCTTGGGTATTTCCTTCATTGAGCTTTACTTTCATTGGGCATTCACTATCTGTTTCATCTTGGAAGATATGCTTCATCTCTCTGACCCTCACCTTTATCCTTTATAAAAGGGGATTCTAATACATCCCCCATGGAAGATTGTGAGAATAGAGGGTAGTAATGTGCAAAGCATCTGTACCCACAGCTAGGCACATCATTAATGACAGTCAACCCTGTTAAACATTGATATTAGTTTCCAGCATCAGTCCAGACTTAACAGCCTCAGAGCCACACAATCCCAATCCCATTAGAAAAGATTATGCATTTTTTTCATTCCCATGAGTTTAGGTTAATATAAATTTTAGATATAACCACTAGAACCATTAATATGCAAGGTAATTTGTCACAATTCCCTTCATAATTAACTTTAGCTCACAAACTCTATCAGAAGCATTTAAGCAGGAAATCAACAGTATATTAGACAAGGCTTTAAACCAGTTTTATTTTATATACTGAGCCTTACTTATAGCTATGCGATAAGGTAATATCAAGTCTATGCAGAAAATATTTTATCTTCTAGTAAGTTTTATTATTATGGATTTAAAATTTTAAATAAATACTGTTTTGCAGTTTAACCGATATGTTTACAAATTAGTGGTAGTTAAATATATTCTTAAAACAATTTTGGAGTTATTTTACTGAAAGATCTATTCATAGTATGACCTGGACAATCTTGGAAGTATACGAAGTGTTAGTTACATGTGGGCTATAAATTTATGATGTTAATTTTAGTATTTTCTCTAGTATGTTTATCATTGCTATCTTTAAATTAATTTGATGTATTAAAACACTCAAAAATAAGAAAGCTTCAATTAATATATTTAAAAATGAATTTATCATTCTGAATATTATTCCTTTTTGTTCACATATTCACTAAACATTTCTGAAAATCACCTGTGTGACAAATATGTGAGATACTGGGAAAATAGATGGATTAGACACAATGCCTACCCTCAAGGAACTTGGTGAAATTGACAAATGAAAAATCAATGGATTAAATATGAATTTGTGCTGTAACAGAAGTGTCCGTAGGGATAATGTGGATCACAAAGGAGGAAGGAGCGATGTTTCTCTTATATGTAAAAGGTTAGATTTTATTAAGAAGATGATGCTGAAATCAGATTTTGGAAAGGAATGTGATATGGTTTAGATCTGTGTCCCCACCCAAATCTCAGGTCAAATTATAGTCCCCAGTGTGGGAGGTGATTGAGTCATGGCAGTGTTTTCTCATAAGTGGTTTAACACCAGCACCTTCAGTGCTGTTCTTATGATAGTGTGTGAGTTCTTGTGAGATCTGGTTGTTTAAAAGTGTTTAGCACCTCCCCACTGTTACTCTTCCTCCTGTTCCAGCCCTGTGAACTGCTCTCCCCTCTTTGCCTTCTGCCGTGGCTGTAAGTTTCCTGAGGCTTTCCCAGAAGCCGAGCAGATGCCAGATCATGTTTCCTGTACAGCCTGTGGAGCCATGAGCCAATTAGTCCTCTTTTCTTTATAAATCACCCAGTCTCAGGTATTTCCTTATAGTGGTGCGAGGATGGACTAATACAGAATGTTCTGAGTGATCAAGATTAGAATGAAGTTCCTGGAGGAATGCTCTCCTTGTAATGGAAATGCCCTGTTTGCCTTATGTTGACCTCAGAATTAATCATCATTTATTTGAAATAAATTCAGTGAAATATAATACTTTTTCAAATACATATTTATATGCTTGAGTAACTTATTCTTTTAGTGTTCTCAAAAGTACTCTAAATTCTATGTATCCCAGTTAATAATGTCAAGGTTCCCATAGGCACTGAGCAAGCACCGTGTCTCTTAGACACCAAAGATCTTAGACACGTGATTTCCCAGCTTTTGTACTTTGTTTTCTTAACATACTTTCGTATAAAATGTGAACGCTAAAGTAACTCCATCTGAGAAAATAATCTGCCACGTTGACTTCTGATTACAGTTCTAGAAATCTCTCTGAGATTTCCTGTTCCTTTATTGTTTCCTGTGTAAAAGCACACACTTTACCATAAATTCTGCCCTTAGATACGATTTGTACCCATTTCCTCTGAAGCACATGTATCCTTTCCCTATGTTGTATAATCCCCGGGTCTGGGGGATAATGGCACGGACATCTACCTAGCTTCTGGCTTCCAAAACGACACTTTTGTCAGTAAATTACCCAATAAAATCCCCCTATAATGACAAGCTGAACGTGTCTGGCTCCTTTGGTTTCTTGGCTCCTTCTGCATTTGGAGGTCGTTTTGCATGTACCTGCTTTCATGAAACAAATGTGAATTTTGTTCAAAGACTTTTTATTACTACTCCCAGGAAAAAACATGTGAAATAGTTGAAAATGGGCAAAAAAATTGTATATTACCAGATGTCTATGCACTCTTCCAGATTATCCCCAACTTTGTCAGAACTATTTTTATTTCTCTAAACTGTTACATGGCAAGGCATGTGATCTTGTCCACAGACAATCAGATGGAAGGGCAATTGATGCCCAGTCCCTTTCCCAGTGGAAAAAGCCAGTTTTGTAACTATTTGTAAATTCATTTTTGCTTTCCTGTCAGACCTACCTAGATATGGCACTTTATTTCTCCTTTGAATCAGTTGTAATATCTTAGTCATTCTCTTATTAACTAAGGAATTGAACAAACTCTTTGATATGTGTTCATTTTATATTGGTATGAAAGTTTTTATTTTAACTATTTTTGAAAATATAAGATTCTCTTTAGTCCCAATAGATGCAGCCAGTACATTATATAAATATCGAATAATTTATCTGTATGGTATAGGATAATTGAAGAGGAAAAAAACAGCAATATCATAGTGGTATATACAAAATGTTTAGATTTTCTGGGGAAGGTGGGAATACTTCATAGGCGGGGCAAGACTGTCTCTTCTATGCCCCTCAGGAATACTTCATAGGAAGGTAAGATTGGTGTTAATTTTAAAGAGAGTTGACATCAAATAATATTCTAGGCATAGGATGTAATTCTTGTACAAAGATGTAATAAATATAGCAGTGTAAAAAGATGTGTCGTGCTCATGGAATTATTTCATAGCAGCTGGGGATTAAACTACACAGGGGTATAGAGAATAAACATGGTCAACAATGACCCTGGAAATGGTAGCTTGAAAACAGATTCAGAAGACATTCATATTGAAGCATTTAGAATTTATCTTCTATGGAATACAGAGGCATTGAAGAGGTGACATGATCAAATTTGACTTTTTATGAATCAAGCAAAGGATGGATTAAATGATGGAATATTATAGTAAAAGAAAAAAACATTCAGGCCCAGAACTTCATCACTTGAGTTGATTGGACACTCTTTGGTCTAGTCCAGTAGCACTGGAAATAGAGCAGAGAGGAATAGCATAAACCATTAAAATGAAAACTGCAGATATTTGCATGTTACAGGAATGACAAAGAACTCTCCCTTCTAATATATGTAAATGTTTGGTGTGATAATTATTCCCAAAATCAAAATAAGCAATTTTTAAGAAACCTAATGTGTAAGTTTGTTAAATAAATTTCAAAATAAAAAAACACATATTTCTAGGAATCTTGTATTTGACCCTTTTCCAAATGTGCTACTTTGTTAGTAAGCTATCTCAACTTCTAAACTACTCATGAAGGAAAGCTAAAAAATCAGTGGACTCTCTAGCCGTCTGAAAAAGAATATTATACACACAGCATTTTAAAATTATTGAGCCATAATTGATATTTTTGTCTACTAGGCACAAATCAATTTTAAGAAACTTTAGGATATAATGGCTTAAAGAACCCAAACAGTAGGTTATATTGTGCCTTTGATTATTAAGTGTAAAAAAATTTGTTCTCAATCAATACCAAATTTATTTTTAGCCTGATTAAGAGCTTCTTTCTATGTGCTATATTTAAACAGAGTTAATAAATATAAATGCTGTTTTGATTGAAAAATTCTATCTAGCTTTTAATATTACATTTTTCATCTCCAAAAAAGGGGCAAATAGAAAAATGTGCTTTATTTTCAGTAGGCTGTGTGATTAATGTTATAATCAAGTGTTTATAAAGTATCTAATCATGCAAGTTGCACAAAGAACTTTGTAAACCTGTTCTTTCCCCTCTAGGTAAGATGCAGGATTCTTATTTATCGACATTCAGGGTTAGCCCTAGATGACTTACTACAATTATTAAATCTATCATTTGTGTATAATTTAAAGTTTTATAATACTTTTGCTTGCACCTTCTAAAGTAATTATCTGCTCAGCACTCTGAGTTAATATGCTCAGCATTTACTCATGAGGAAATTAACTTGGAGAGGTTAAAGTGTTTTAACCAATCTTTTGTAATGAGTGACGTAGAAAAAAATTCATTTGTCACCTGATATCAACTTAACTACCTCTTCTAATTTTCCATCCACAGTTATTTACTCACTCTTGCCAAACCTCAACACCAGCCTAGGACACTGACAATGTTTGCCCTTCTATAAAGCGCTTCAGGAGCCATACTTACCCTTGCAACTTCTCCCTTTCTGTACAATTTTCCATTTCTTTAGCAAAGATGACTTGAGTTCATAGTTTGCTAACTTAGAAAATTTTACTCATAATTAAACATATAGAGTGAAGAGCTCATAGTCATTTTATTCTTTAGAGGATGTTTGATTTGAAATTTAAGAACTTGTTCAGCTAAAGTCAGCCTGGAATTTTAGAAAAAAGAATGTCAGATAATAGATGATAGTATTTTATGACATCCTTTTCTTTTAGTGATGTGACCTACTATTTTAGGATTAAAAACTTAACTTTTAGAGATTATATATAGGAAACTGACATGTCAGAATGAAAAATGATTGAGTTAACACATGATTGGGAGAAACATGTTCATTTTAGAAATTCCTTACAAGCAATGCTTTTTAGCATCATAGAAGACAAATCATAATTATGGAGAATAATTAAATGCTTATCTACAGAAGCTGTGTGTCCAAGTTCAGATGCCATACAGACTTTTAGAGGTATTTTAAAAATGTATTTCCTGAAGTGTATACATTTTTTGTACACTGTTTTATTTCATAATTTAAAGATTCTGTCTTTCAATGATGGATAAAAGATGAATTAGTCAGCTGTTGATATAAATTCAAAATTACTTTTACCTTTTACTTGATATACCTAAAGTATATCAGAGTAGTTGCAAATTAGCTGGATTTAGGATTTTGTCTGGTTAATAAAAGATAATAAATTGCTTTAAACATGTTTCTTTTAATATGAAACAAGTGACTACAATTGAGGTTAATTAATAAGAAATTTCATACCTGATAGATTTATGATGAATTTTGAAGTAGATTTCTAGAAATACATTTATGCATTTCATGTTTATACAAATTAACTAGAATAACCATAATAAGTATATTTTTGAAAAAAAGGAATTATTCAATTATGTATGTTCTTTAAGTAGGTGAACCAGCTAACCTCTCTAATAATATATAATATACAAATTTTATAACATTCTTTAATTCTTTCATTTAACCATAATCAATCAGACATAATTCTGTGTTTAGTATTTTACTACCTAATGGGGACGTGTAAATAACGGAACATGGTCCTTCCTGAAGAGCTTGCAATCGTATGGAGAAGACAGATTAGAAGACAGATGCAAATATAATTGAAAACAATTTATTTTTGATATTAGAATTTCTATTTTGTTTATTAAAAGAGGGACAGGGCCCGAGATAATGTAATATGCATTATTACAGGCTAAAATAGAAATCAGAAAATATAATTTAAAATATATATTTAAACTTAAGTTCCAGTTTATAAGAGGAAACTAAAAACTTAATGTTCTTAGCAATTAGATTTTTTGTTTTTTATCTTGGAATATTTGTTAGTTTGTTTCTAAATGCTAGAATAAAAAGTAGGTGTAAAAAAATAGTGTCATTTATTATGCAATAAGATCAGGACTAACTCTGGGCTAAAATTACAAGTGTGGTAGGATTTATCCATTTGATAATTAATTCTGATTCATCATTAAGGTCAGATTTCTGCTGCGTAAGTTTTCCCTTGTCCATTCAGTACTTGCTTCTCTGTAGTTCTCCCCATTAGGCTGAAATATCCCAGCATTCCTTAATGTCACATCTTAAGGTTCACATGTGAGATACCTTGGTACTAACCCATGGAGCCTCTCTCTCTCTCTCTCTCTCAGTTTGACTAACTTCTTTAAAAGCCTTCCTTATATCATGGTGTTCTTAGTTTCACTTTTGGTATTTGGCTTTCAAAGGGAATTTCTCAAGGGTAAAGGTGAATGCTACAGAAATCTTAAGGCCTATTTTGTAAGTTAAACACTATCTCTTTAGCCACATTATGTGTCACAAGGTAGGAACGCATATACTACTTGACAGAAGGAGAGACAAGAAATTTTTGGTTCTCTTTAATTCACTGTACAGAGGCATAGGGAAAGATGGGTAGAATTTCAATGATACATAACAGAAAGTTATCTTGAGAGAGAGATTTTGGATTGGCCATTATAACCTTAAAACAAACTCTAGAAAATTCAACAGAGGTACTCGCTTTCAGACAAATTATCATAGTAAACAAGAAAAAGAATCTTGAAAATCAGAGAAGAAAGGAAAAAATATATATTTTAGAAGAAGTTATCTAATGTAATCCTAAACTAGTCTTTTAAAGAAGTGTTAAGATAAACAAAAAAGAAGAGTATGGGAAATTCCTTTTAAAAAGTGGATATGATTGTTTCGCCAATACTAGACTATACTCTTAGTGTTTATTTCTGATCCTTATGTTGTGAAAAGAAAAATGAGAATGGTTCCATAGATAATATTCAATGAAATAAAATTCAAAAAGGTAGTGTATTCTTTTTTCTAAGGAAATTAATCAGTGTTAATTCACCTTTATACATCTATTTTTAAATAAAGTACTAAGAGATTTCTTTAATTTATAGAACATTTTGCAAATATCTTGCATTTATCAAAGTGGAGCACATGGAAAAACAATGCACATAAAGGTAGAAAATCAGGTTTTTGTGGTGTAAAGTCAAAAAACTTTTAGACTTTAAGCTTTGAATTTGAATGTCAAGTTCTTATTAGACATATTTTATCGTTATTAATTTGACATGTATTGAGAATAAATTAAGCAAAGGAATACAAAACACAGAGAATAGCAATGTTGGACCCTATGCCACCTGAATTTATCAAGGTGTTCTAGAAAAATAGAACCAATAGGATAAATACAGTATAGATAGATAGATTTAGATGATATAGATATAGATATACATAAGAGGAGATGGATCTTCTCTACTCGGTCTGCTAATCGAAATGTTAACGTCTTCCAGAAGCACCCTCACAGATGCACCCAGGAATAATGTTTTGCCAGCTATCTGAGAATCCCTTAGCTCAGTCAAGTTGACAGATAACATTAATTATCACAATCCACCCCTTGTCAATTTGGCACCCATACGCATCTCCTTAAACTATACTTGCTCTTCAAATAAAGACAATAGCAATGTGATAATTTCTCCAGCATGATACAACAGTCCATACAACTGAAAACACACTAATCCACTCCTCAGAAAAGAAGCTAAAGTCCTAGCTGTGATTTCAATGTTCATGTCCCCTCCAAAATTTGTGTTAAAACTCGGTCCCTCAGTGGGTGCAGTACACCGAGCATGAGCCAAAGCAGGACGAGGCATTGCCTCACCCAGGAAGCACAAGGGGTCAGGGAATTCCCTTTCCTAGTGAAAGAAAGGGGTGACAGATGGCACCCGGAAAATCTGGTCACTCCCACCCTAATACTGTGCTTTTCCAATGGGCTTAACAAACAGCACACCAGGAGATTATATCCCGCACCTGGCTTGGAGGGTCCTAAGCCCATGGAGCCTCACTCATTGCTAGCACAGCAGTCTGAGATCGAACTGCAAGGCAGCAGCAAGGCTGGGGGAAGGGCGTCCGCCATTGCTGAGGCTTGAGTAGGTAAACAAAGCAGCCAGGAAGCTTGAACTGGGTCGAGCCCACCACAGCTCAAGGAGGCCTGCCTGCCTCTGTAGGCTCCACCTCTGGGGGCAGGGCACAGACAAACAAAAGACAGCAATAACATCTGCAGACTTAAATGTCTCTGTCTGACAGCTTTGAAGAGAGAAGTCGTTCTCCCAGCACGCAGCTGGAGATCTGAGAACGGGCAGACTGCCTCCTCAAGTGGGTCCCTGACTCCCGAGTAGCCTAACTGGGAGGCACCCCTCAGTATGGGCGGACTGACACCTCACATGGCAGGGTACTCCTCTGAGACAAAACTTCCAGAGGAACAATCAGGCAGCAGCATTTGAGGCTCACCAATATCTGCTGTTCTGCAGCCACCGCTGCTGATACCCAGGAAAACAGGGTCTGGAGTGGACCTCCAGCAAACTCCAACAGACCTGCAGCTGAGGGTCTTGACTGTTAGAAGGAAAACTAACAAACAGAAAGGACATCCACACCAAAACCCCATCTGTATGTCACCATCATCAAAGACCAAAGGTAGATAAAGCCACAAAGATGGGGAAAAAACAGAGCAGAAAAACCGGAAACTCTAAAAATCGAGCACCTCTCCTCCTCCAAAGGAATGCAGCTCATCACCAGCAATGGAACAAAGCTGGATGGAGAATGACTTTGATGGGTTGAGAGAGGAAGGCTTCAGAAGATCAAACTACTCCGATCTAAAGGAGGAAGTTCGAACCATGGCAAAGAAGTTAAAAACTTTGAAAAAAAATTAGACGAATGGCTAACTAGAATAACCAATGCAGAGAAGTCCTTAAAGGACCTGATGGAGCTAAAAATCAGGGCACGGGATCTACGTGACAAATGCAGAAGCCTCAGTAGTCGATGTGATCAACTGGAAGACAGGGTATCAGCAATGGAAGATGAAATGAATGAAATGAAGCGTGAAGAGAAGTTTAGAGAAAAAAGATTAAAAAGAAATGAACAAAGACTCCAAGAAATATGGGACTATGTGAAAAGACCAAATCTATGTCTAATTGGTGTACCTGAAAGTGATGGGGAGAATGGAACCAAGTTGGAAAACTCTCTTCAGGTTATTATCCAGGAGAACTTCCCCAATCTAGCAAGGCAGGCCAACATTCAAATTCAGGAAATACAGAGAATGCCACAAAGATAATCCTCGAGAAGAACAGCTCCAAGACACATAACTGGCAGATTCACCAAAGTTGAAATGAAGGAAAAAATGTTAAGGGCAGCCAGAGAGAAAGGTCAGGTAACCCACAAAGGGAAGCCCAGCAGACTAACAGCTGATCTCTCAGCAGAAACTCTACAAGCCAGAAGAGAGTGGGGGTCAATATTCAACATTCTTAAAGGAAAGAATTTTCAACCCAGAATTTCATATCCAGCCAAACTAAGCTTCATAAGTGAAGGAGAAATAAAATACTTTACAGACAAGCAAATGCTGAGAGATTGTGTCACCACCAGGCCTGCCCTAAAAGAGCTCCTGAAGGAAGCACTAAACATGGAAAGGAACAACTGGTAAAAGCCACTACAAAAACATGCCAAATTGTAAAGATCGTCGAGGCTAGGAAGAAACTGCATCAACTAATGAGCAAAATAACCAGCTAACATCATAATGAGAGGATAAAATTCACACATAACAATACTAACCTTAAATGTAAATGGACTAAATACTCCAATTAAAAGACACAGACTGCAAATTGGATAAAGAGTCAAGACCCATCAGTGTGCTGTATTCAGGAAACCCATCTCACATGCAGAGACACATATAGGCTCAAAATAAAGGGATGGAGGAAGATCTACCAAGCAAATGGAAAACAGAAAAAGACATGGGTTGCAATCCTAGTCTCTGATAAAACAGACTTTAAACCAACAAAGATCAAAAGAGACAAAGAAGGCCATTACGTAATGGTAAAGGGATCAATTCAACAAGAAGAGCTAACTCTCCTAAATATATATGCACCCAATACAGGAGCACCCAGATTCATAAAGCAAGTCCTTAGAGACCTACAAAGAGACTTAGACTCCCACACAATAATAATGGGAGACTTTAACACCCCACTGTCAACATTAGACAGCTCAACGAGACAGAAAGTTAACAAGGATATCCAGGAATTGAACTCAGCTCTGCACCAAGCGGACCTAATAGACATCTACAGAACTCTCCACCCAAAATCAACAGAATATAAATTCTTTTCAGCACCACACCACACCTACTCCAAAACTGACCACATAGTTGGAAGTAAAGCTCTCCTCAGCAAATGTAAAAGAACAGAAATTATAACAAACTATCTCTCAGACCACAGTGCAATCAAACTAGAACTCAGGATTAAGAAACTCACTCAAAACCGCTCAACTACATGGAAACTGAACAACCTGCTCCTGAATGACTGCTGGGTACATAACGAAATGAAGGCAGAAATAAAGGTGTTCTTTGAAACCAACGAGAACAAAGAAGACACAACATACCAGAATCTCTGGGACACATTCAAAGCAGTGTGTAGATGGAAATTTGTAGCACTAAATGTCCACAAGAGAAAGCAGGAAAGATCTAAAATTGACACCCTAACATCACAATGAAAAGAACTAGAAAAGCAAGAGCAAACATATTCAAAAGCTAGCAGAAGGCAAGAAATAACTAAAATCAGAGCAGAACTGAAGGAAATAGAGACACAAAAAACCTTTCAAAAAATCAATGAATCCAGGAGCTGGCGTTTTGAAAAGCTCAACAAAATTGATAAACCTCTAGAAGACTAATAAAGAAGAAAAGAGAGAAGAATCAAATAGACGCAATAAAAAATGACAAAGGTGATATCACCACCGATCCCACAGAAATACAAACTACCGTCAGAGAATACTATAAAAACCTCTACGCAAATAAACTAGAAAATCTAGAAGAAATGGATAAATTCCTCGAAACATACACTCTCCCAAGACTAAACCAGGAAGAAGTTGAATCTCTGAATAGAACAATAACAGGCTCTGAAATTGAGGCAATAATTAATAGCTTACCAACCAAAAAAATCCAGGACCAGATGGATATACAGCGGAATTCTACCAGAGGTACAAGGAGGAACTGGTACCATTCCTTCTGAAACTATTCCAATCAATAGAAAAAGAGGGAATCCTCCCTACCTCATTTTATGAGGCCAGCATCATCCTGATGCCAAAGCCTGACAGAGACACAACAAAAAAAGAGAATTTTAAACCAATATCCTTGATGAACATTGATGCAAAAATCCTCAATAAAATTCTGGCAAACCGAATCCAGCAACACATCAAAAAGCTTATCCACCATGATCAAGTGGGCTTCATCCTTGGGATGCAAGGCTGGTTCAACATACGCAAATCAATAAATGTAATCCAGCATATAAACAGAACCAAAGACAAAAACCAGATGATTATCTCAATAGATGCAAAAAAGACCTTTGACGAAATTCAACAGCCCTTCATGCTAAAAACTCTCAATAAATTAGGTACTGATGGGACATATCTCAAAATAACAAGAGCTATCTATTGCAAACACACAGCCAATATCATACTGAATGGACAAAAACTGGAAGCATTCCCTTTAAAAACTGGCACAAGACAGGGATGCCCTCTCTCACCACTCCTATTCCACCTAGTGTTGAAAGTTCTGGCCAGGTCAGTCAGGCAGGAGAAGGAAATAAAGGGCATTCAATTAGGAAAAGAGGAAGTCAAATTGTCCCTGTTTGCAGATGAAGTGATTGTATATCTAGAAAACCCCATTGTCTCAGCCCAAAATCTCCTTAAGCTGATAAGCAACTTCAGCAAAGTCTCAGGATACAAAATCAGTGTGCAAAAATCACAAGCATTCTTATACACCAATAACAGACAAACAGAGAGCCAAATCCTGAGTGAATTCCCATTCATAATTGCTTCAAAGAGAATAAAATACCTAGGAATCCAACTTACAAGGGATGTGAGGGACCTCTTCAAGGAGAACTACAAACCACTGCTCAAGGAAATAAAAGACGATACAAACAAATGGAAGAACATTCCATGCTCATGGGTAGGAAGACTCAATATCGTGAAAATGGCCATACTGCCCAAGGTAATTTATAGATTCAATGCCATCCCCATCAAGCTACCAATGACTTTCTTCACAGAATTGGAAAAAACTACTTGAAAGTTCATATGGAACCAAAAAGAGCCCACATCGCCAAGTCAATCCTAAGCCAAAAGAACAAAGCTGGAGGCATCACACTACCTGACTTCAAACTATACTACAAGGCTACAGTAACCAAAGCAGCATGATACTGGTACCAAAACAGAGATATAGATCAATGGAACAGAACAGAGCCCTCAGAAGTAATGCCGCATATCTACAACTATCTGGTCTTTGACAAACTTGAGAAAAACAAGCAATGGGGAAAGGATTCCCTATTTAATAAATGGTGCTGGGAAAACTGGCTAGCCATATGTAGAAAGTTGAAACTGGATCCCTTCCTTACACCTTATACAAAAATTAATTCAAGATGGATTAAAGACTTACATGTTAGACCTTAAAAACCATGTAAAACCATAAAAACCCTAGAAGAAAAACTAGGCAATACCATTCAGGACATAGGCATGGGCAAGGACTTCATGTCTAAAACACCAAAAGCAATGGCAACAGAAGCCAAAATTGACAAATGGGATCTAATTAAACTAAAGAGCTTGTGCACAGCAAAAGAAACCACCATCAGAGTGAACAGGCAACCTACAGCATGGGAGAAAATTTTTGCAAACTACTTACCTGACAAAAGGCTAATATCCAGAATCTACAATGAACTCAAACAAATTTACAAGAAGAAAACAAACAACCCCATCAAAAAGTGGGCGAAGGACATGAACAGACACTTCTCAAAAGAAGACATTTATGCAGCCAACAGACACATGAAAAAAATGCTCATCTTCACTGGCCATCAGAGACATGCAAATCAAAACCACAGTGAGATACCATCTCACACCAGTTAGAATGGCAATCATTAAAAAGTCAGGAAACAACAGGTGATGGAGAGGATGTGGAGAAATAGGAACACTTTTACACTGTTCGTGGGACTGTAAACTAGTTCAACCATTGTGGAAGTCAGTGTGGCAATTCCTCAGGGATCTAGAACTAGAAATACCATTTGACTTAGCCATCCCATTACTGGGTATATACCCAAAGGATTATAAATCATGCTGCTATAAAGACACATGCACACATATGTTTACTGCAGCACTATTCACAATAGCAAAGACTTGGAACCAACCCAAATGTCCAACAATGATAGACTGGATTAAGAAAATGTGGCACATATACACCATGGAATACTATGCAGCCATAAAAAATGGTGAGTTCATGTCCTTTGTAGGGACATGGATGAAGCTGGAAACCATCATTCTCAGCAAACTATGGCAAGGACAAAAAACCAAACACCGCATGTTCTCACTCATAGGTGGGAATTGAACAATGAGAACACATGGATACAGGAAGGGGAACATCACACACTGGGGCCTGTTGTGGGGTTGGGGGAGGGGGGAGGGATAGCATTAGGAGATATACCTAATGCTAAATGACGAGTTAATGGGTGCAGCACACCAGCATGGCACATGTATACATATGTAACAAGCCTGCACATTGTGCATATGTACCCTAAAACTTAAAGTATAATAATAATAATAAAAGAGAAAACAAAAAAAAAACTCGATCCCCAGTATGACAGTATTAAGCGGTGTGGTCTTTTAGGGGGTGACTAGGATGTAAAA
This sequence comes from Homo sapiens, assembly GCF_000001405.40. Lineage (NCBI taxonomy): Eukaryota > Metazoa > Chordata > Mammalia > Primates > Hominidae > Homo > Homo sapiens. Next base: position 76,220,422 of record NC_000003.12, read on the forward strand.
GCTCGATCCTCACACAGGGATTAGTGCCTTATAAAATGTGTGGAGGAGACCAGTGAGGCTGCTTTTGTCTTTCTGCCCTTCCGCCTTGTGACGATGCAGCAAGAAGGCTTGCAAATGCCTTGGGAGCATTGATTTGGGACTTCCCAGCCTCCAAAACTGTGAAAAATTAATTCCTGTTCCTTATAAATTACTTAGTCTTAGGTATTTTGGTACAGGAGCACAGATGCACTAAGACATTCTTTGAGTGGTGTTTAATCCTCTCCTGATATCCAGAACATAAATACTGAGATGTAAACAAAAGAAAGAAAACAAACATATTTGATGAAAACACACACACACACACACAGACATGTTCAAAACAAAATAAGGAGGAAATAGGATAATTTTAGTCCTTAGTTCTATAACTAGTCACATGATCATAGCTGGTATTTGTAACCACCTTCCTCTACCACCCATTCTGTATTTCCTTTCTCTTTAGCAAGAACTTCCACTGGTTGTAGAACTTGCAGGGTGGTCACAACTAAACCTTCGTTTCTAAAAGGATGGGCCTGGATTTGGTTGTTTTAGTTTTGCATTGAGCTTAATCATAGAACATGGTAATACTAGGAGACATCATGAAGGATCTCCTGTGTTGTAGATATACTCTTCTTTACTTCCATTGAGAAGTAGTAGTTCAATTTCCCCAGGTAGTCTGAATCAATAACCCCAGGCAATATTGACTGTTTCTGTGGTGAAAGCATTCCTCCATCTAGAACTAAGTCCTCTTGCCCAACAGAAGATAAAGTCATGAGCATGGGAAGCAAAAATTTTGCTAGTGGGTAACTCAGGGTGATGGTGAGTAGTGCCACTCTCATTTTACAAGTGGGTAACTCAGGGTGATGGTGAGCAGTGCCACTCTCATTTTACAAGTGGGTAACTCAGGGTGATGGTGAGTAGTGCCACTCTCATTTTACAAGTGGGTAACTCAGGGTGATGGTGAGCAGTGCCCCTCTCATTTTACAAGTGGGTAACTCAGGGTGACGGTGAGCAGTGCCACTCTCATTTTACAAGTAACTCAGGGTGATGGTGAGCAGTGCCACTCTCATTTTCCACGCTTTGATTCCTGAACCCATTAATTGTGGCTGTTGATGAAACTACTATATGTTGGAAACTGCTTCAGAGAATATACAACCTTCTGCAGAATCTTGGCCCAGCTGTGTAAGGTATTGCGATCTAGCTGGTACTGTAACTGAATTCAAAAGACCCTTTTATCATTTTTATCAAGTTAGCTGCTTCTGGATGATGGGGAACATGGTAAGACCGATGGACTTCATGACCATGAGCCCATTGCCACACTTTTTTGTCTTTGAGGTGAGTTCCTTGATCAGAAGCAATGCTGTATTTAATACTGTGCCTGTGGATAAGACATTTTATAAGTCCACGGATGGTAGTTTCGGTGGAAGCATTGCACCCACGGAAGACAAATCCATAACCTGAGAAGGGTCTATTCCAATAAGCACAAAATGCTGCCACTTCCATAGTGGAAGCAGTCTAATGTAGATAAACTGCCACTAGGTAGCTGGCTGATCACCCTGGGGAATAATGCCAAATGGGATCACAATGTGGTCTCTACTGCTGGCAGATTGTATAATCTGCCAGTGGTGGCCATAGCTAGGTCAGCCTTGGTGAGTGGAAACCTATGTTGCTGAGTGCATGCATAACCTTCATCCCTGCCACCATGTCCACCTGTTACTGGTGGAATGTATCTGAGCCACGTGGCACCAAAACACGTTACCAGTGGCAAATTGGTATGGGTTTGCAGCAACTTCAGTTCTTGCCTCCTCAGAAGAAAGAATCTGACTGAGAGGCATAAGGTAGAAGGAGGGGCTGAGGCAAGTTTTAGAGCAGGAGTGAATGTTTATTTAAAAAGCCTTAGAGCAGGAATGAAAGGAAGGAAAGAAAGTATACTTGGAAGAGGGCCAAGTGGGTGACTTGAAAGACAAGTGTACATGTTGACCTTGTGACTAGGCTTATACGTTGGCATAATTCCAGGGTCTTGTGTCACTTCTCCCAACCCGCCCAACCCTTGAGATCTTATTGGGAAGCTGCTGATAACCAGTTTTAGGTATTTTCTATCCAGCAGGAGACTGCCTTTCCCTGGCACTGTCTGTGACCAATTATTACTTTAGAAAGACAGTTAACAACCATCTGACCATCACCTGATGGTGCCTGACATTCCTGGTGTGTGTGGGTGGGGGAGAGCCCTCTCCTACCCGGCTCATACCAGACTACTATAACAGATCCATGTCAATAAATTCAGACTGATCCAAGTTTATGTTTGTTTCACCATTATCCCACACTTTTTTTTTTTTCAGATGGAGTCTCCTTCTGTCGCCCACGCTGGGGTGCAGTGGCATGATCTGGGCTCACTGCAACCTCCGCCACCCGGGTTCAAGTAATTCTCCTGTCTCAGCCTTCCGAGTAGCTGGGACTGCAGGCACCTGCCACCATGCCCAGCTAACTTTTGTATTTTTAGTAGAGATGGAGTTTCACCGTATTAGTCAGGCTGGTCTCAAGTTCCTTACCTCAGGTTATCTGCCCGCCTCAGCCTCCCAAAGTGCTGGTATTTCAGGCATGCGCCACCGCACGCAGCCCTTATCCCACAGTCTTAATATCCATTCCCAGACATGCTCCCCAGACTTCTGCTTGTATAACTTAGAAAACTCTAGTTCTTTTGGAGTATATTAATGGTACACTTCCTCATGAATTATGCTTCGTTTATCACCTTTAGGATCCTGCTAGAACTGAAGTCTAGTTATGGTCTAGAAGCAAGGAAATGATTAATTGGTAGATCCTGAAGAGAATCAGCATTATTTTATATTCCAACTGCCTCAGGAGAGGCCATTACTGTTTCCTGGGGCAATGCGGGGTTAACCCCCTCAGATAGAGATGAAAAGGCTGATACCTTTGGTGTGGGGAAGTAGGTAGGGGGGTAGGGAGGCCACTTTCACCCAGGGTGGGGAGGCTACTTTTCTTGGGGTTGGAGAAGCCACAACCACTGAGAGTAGGGAGATCTCTTCCACTGGCGAAGAAGACTCATCAGAATTTAGGTGCTCAATATTCCCAGCTTCATCAGGAGCTTTCCAGACATCCCCATCCCAGCTTATAGGTTTCAGTTTTTCCCCAATCGGTGCCCTCATTTTAACAGTACACATCCTTCAAGGCTGGGAGTACAACTTGTATTGCAATTAAGCCAATTACAGGATAAGGTCAATAATCTGAGTATCAGCAATATCAGCCCTTCCGCTACAGGAGATAAGGCTCTCACTCAGGGCACACTTAGAAGCTCTTAGGTCATTTGTGCAGCCCTTGATCTGGGATTTAGAATTTCTAAGCTAATTCTTTGATCTCATCATTTGTCCAGTGACATTAGGAGCAACCAATCAGCATCATTCTATTCCTTAGTTTTCCAAAAATGTTTTAAAGTATCATATTCAAAGTTATTTAGCTCTTTACTTCTTATAAGTAGTGGGTTAGAAATAGCTAATATAAATATTTTGCATATCTCTAAAAATAGTTCCTGCCATGAACTATCAGTCACTGCTTTGCATTTTTATAATCAGATTAGAGAGTCACATCCAGAAGCTCCAAATTCAGTTCAGAAAACTCAACTACATGAGCCATTTTCTAATAAGTCTCTTATTACATATCTACATATATCTTATTGGTACTGTTTATTTGGGGAACCCTCAATAGCACAGATTTTTGGTACCAAGAGGGGTTCTAGAAGAAAATTTTGAGAATGAGTTTTCTGAATATTGGATTGATATAACATCTGCAAGGTGGAGAACCAGGAAAGACAGTTGTGTAATTCAGTCTGAAGATCTGAAAACCGAGAGAGTTAATGGCATAATTCCTACTTAAAAGCTAAAGGCCTGAGAAACTTAAGAGGATATGAGGCAGAGGCGTTGGTGTCTAAGTCTCCAAGAACTGGTAACTTCAAGGGTAGGAGGAGATAGCTGTCCCAGCTCAAGAAGATGGAGAAAATTTACCCTTTCTCCACAATTATGTTCTCTTTGGGCTCGTAATGGATTGGATGATGCCCACCAACATTGTTGAGGGCAGATACTTTTTACTCAGTCTACTGATTCAATTGATAAGCTATTCTAAAACTACTGTCACAGACACATGCAGATATAATGTTTTACCAGCTATTGGAGCATCTCTTAGCCCTGTCAAGTTGACCCATAAAATTAACCACGACTTACCTAATTCATAATTTTCTAATGGCTAAATTCTATTTAACCTTGAATCCTGAGTATCCACAAACTAGCACATTCCTGTTCTTCTAGACTCAGCTACTTCCCTTTCCTTATTCCAGTCACACTTCTCAATCATCAGTACAAACACTTCAATCATCCTGGCATTTTCATTGATTTAGCTTAAACACGAGGTCTATAATTAATGCACAATCTCATTTCCCCCTTCCCTGACCAGGAAAGTCAAAATATTAACTGTGAGCAATCTTTTTAGAGTCACTAATACACTTAAGCCTATCAAGAGTGAAAGGTATGATAAGCTGTAGACTCCATTCTATTTTGTAAACTTTCTCATTTTCTTCTAACAGAAAGTAACTATACTTCTTAATATACTCATTTATATAAATATGGTAACTAGTAAATATAAATATTTTCTGAGTCATTTTAATTTAAATAGTGAATGAGAAGTTAATAGGATATTATTCACTCAAGGAACACTCACTGAGGGTCTATAACAAAAACAGTGGGGGCTGTACATTCCCCACAGAAAAAAGAGCATTAAATTGAATTCAAATTTTTCAATGGGCTTTCAGAAGTTTATTATGTTTTAAAGCAAAGATAAATTTACACCAATGTCAATGTCTTATGTTATAGCCCATTGCAAAATATGTGTGTATTAATTTTTTATGTCGTAGGTATTACTTTACTGACAAATTGAATTAAATTGTATTCTTAGCTGCTTATTTTTATTTCCTAATTTGAAAATGAATTCAGGCCAGGTGTGGTGGTTCATGCCTGTAATCCTAGCACTTTGGGAAGCCAATGCAGGCAAATTGCTTCAGCCCAGGAGTTCAAGACTAGTCTGGGCAACATGGCAAAATCCAGTCTTTACAAAAATACAAAAACTTAGCTGGGCATGGCAGCATGTGCCTGTAATCCCAGCTACTCGAGAGGCTGAGGTGGGAGAATCCTTGAGTCTGGGAGGTGGAGGTTGCAGTAAGCCAAGATCGCACCACTGCACTTCAACCTGGATGACAGAGGGATTCCTTGTCTCCAAAAATAGAACAATAAAATAAAATAAAATAAAAATTCATTTTAAAAATGTTAAAAAGAAGGAAAGTTATAAAAATGAATTCAGACTTATTTTTAAAAGCCTGAAACTATCAGTTTTTTAAGCTTATACTTTCAAATACCAAAAAACTCTAAACATTGCAAGATACATTAACTCTAAGATTTTTTTTCCAAGTTCCAAATTCTATGATTATGGCAAATATGGACCAATTGCAAATATTACTTCCAAATCTTAAAAATTGTTCAACATTGCCCAAATGTGGAGATAAAGGGTGTTTGTCCAAAATAACAGTGCATTTTTAATTTAGGCCTCTAAAATAAATAGCTTATCCTGAGCATGGAAGCTTTGAAAATAAATTCAGCAAACCCTGAGATTCCTTAAAAAATAAACAAAACTTAATACTAAGAAATTCAATGAAGTCTATAAGAACACTAATTTTTTCTCCTTATAATATAGGTCAGAAAATCTGTTTAACATTAGAGAAGGCAAATAAGTGTCATAACATTAAGGATAGATATGAAATAATTTAAAGATGATGGAGATTCTTTACATGCAACAAATTAACTTTAAACAAATAATGAAATAATTTTAGCACCACAAAATTCTTCTGTGTCCTGAGATGTGTGTGTGTGCCTGTGAGCCTGTAGTGTGTGTATGTGTGTACAAGCTGGTGTGTGCCCTGAAGGGTGGTGATGAAGGAATAAGGGTTGTTGTGGTCAGAATTGTCACATATTTCTGTCTACACTATTCTTATCTGAAAATCGAGTAAGGAGAACTACGTGTTCTCTAATGTTCCTTAAAATTGTAAGAATTCTATGCAAAGTTTGGACCAGTTTTTAACAAATCAATTATAATGTATTTTTTTATTGTCTCAAGTTAGATTATCATGAATCTCAACCCAGCCTAGACAAAATAATATCCCTTTAGTGATGTATAAAAAAAATTAGTTACAATTATTTCTCCTTTACTTTTTCTTATTTTTATTCAGTCATTTCCTTCACTTTGGCAGTGAACAAACCACTTGCCCTAGGCCCTAATAACTTTGAAAAGCAATCTGAGCTTAAAAATCAATTTAATGGCATGTTTCTATAGCATTAGGGTCCATTGCTTGCCTGTATTTGGCAAAGTTAAATGAGAAGGTGATCTGTTATAACACCTATAAAAATAAATGTACTCACAGCAGTGAAAGCCCATGAAAGTCCAGGAGGCCTCACTGTGCATGTCAGCTCTAAACATCTGTGCATCTCCATCAGCCTCCAGGAACAAGAAGAGATGACGGGGCCTGGGTGTTGGCATTCACCAGCATTGCCATTTTCTTTCAAATTTAGTGTCCAACAATTTTGCCGACTGGCTCACTACAGTGAATCTGGAATGGTTTAGAGACTTGATTTCATAAAATGTGGTAATTCCTTTCTCTTTCTGAAAGTATATTTGGTGAATGCTAAATGAATCAGATACTTTTTGAGAATTCTTAACCCTTGATTCTGCCAGCACATTGCTGGTCGGCCTGTCGTTAGCTCTGTTCTTAATGTTCTGCCATTATTGCGAAGAGTACCAAATGTAAGGGCACAGTATGGGATAATTATATTACTTTTATTTGCAATTTTCACCCATGTTTCAGCATTCCTTCATTTATTCTTTTTCTGAGTGGATAAAAATGATTGTCTCTTTTTAAAAGTATTTGTGATTAATTTTGATTATGACTCTACATACTTTGTACACCTCAAATAAATCTTACGATAGTTAATAACATACACCATTTTTAGGTATATATTTGTTTCTTCTGTGATGATGCTTAGCATCAGGATCAGCCTTATAGCTTTTCATTTTTGATAGCATCTATTATGTTTTAATTTTTAAAACTATATGTTTCCTTGAATCACTGTGAAAATAAGCTTAGTATTTTTAAGAAATCCACACCTTTAGTCCAAGGATAAAAAGAATCTCTACTACTTGGCTATCTAAGGTGTGATTTAAGACCAACGGAGTCACCTTAATTTTAGAGCTTTGTAGACATTTGAAATCACCTACCCCACCCTAGACTTCTGCTTTAACACATCCGCTGGGGATTCTTCTGCGCATGAATATTGGAGAAGCACTGCTCTGGCAATCTTTTGAACACACACATAATCACTTTTTTAGTGCCAAGCTTTTATTTTTATCTACAAACCCAAGCCTAACTGGTTTTAGATTTCGTTTAAAGATATGATCTAACCTTTTGATAATATGCCTAATATACTCTATACAAAAAAAGTAAGGGTTATATTTGCTATTTTCCTTTAAAGTATTGACTAAGAATCTTACATAATGTCAACACTGTGTGTTTATGCTAGAATTTTATAGTATACCCTAATTTGAAATAAAAAAGTGTGGATGTTTAAAAACATGTAAAATATCAGGTGATTATTTTGTGAAAGACCTTGGCAGTCTACCAAAGGATTCTCCATAATATTTTCTGTTTCAACTATAATAATTCAATTTATAAAGATTCAATTTATATACAATTGCAGAGCACATATAAGACAGCAAATGGATTATGGCAGCAGCAATTGTATGGGGGTTATGAAACCAAGAATGGTTCTATAAATAGGCAACCCAGAGACAGTACCATGTATTCCTTCAGGTTCAGCCAGAAACTTGGTGCATTTATCAGCATAGATCATTAAATCCTAAACACTTTTATCTTAGTTTTTCCAAAAGATCTGTACAAGATTTTTAAATAGCAAATTACAGACAGACAGTTTTTTGGAAAGAAAACCCATAGTATTTGAAGAAAAGTATAAATTAAATACATTTAATGTTGAATTATTAGAAAATGAATGAATTCATATTCATAAAAGAACAAATTCTTATTCTTGTATCTTTAATTCAGCGTTGCAAATCAGAATTTTCATTTGCCCTTTTCATTATTTACAACATTTTATTTTACATAAATTATGTCAACATCTTAGCAAATCTAAAGTATCTGTCTAATCAAACCAAACCAGTTTACTGACTGCCATGAAACTTTCATAAGAACTCACAGATTTTACTTCTCAACAAAATAAATCACAATAAGTGGATAAACAAATGTTGATTTCATTTCCATGAAATTGGAAAATATTTGGTTATTTCAAAATATCCTTAAAAAATTAGTGGGGCATGCTGGGACACAATTGTCATCACAGCTACTTGTGACGCTGAGATGGGAGGATTGTTTGAGCCTAGGAGTTCAAGGCTGTAGTGAGAAGTGAGCTGTGATTGCACCACTGCACTCCAGCTTGGGCAAAAGACCGAGATCCTCTCCCTCTCTTAAAAAAGAAAAGAAATAAGATATCTTAAATAAAATCTTTCCTCTTCTCAAATTCTCTAGTATATCAGTTTCCACAATTTTTTTTTGGAAAGAAAACCCACTGCATTTGGAGAAAAGTATAAATTAAATACATTTAATGTTGAATTATTAGAAAACTAATGATTTCTTTCTCATAAAAGATCAAATTCTTATTCTTGTATCTTTATCTCAGTGTTGCAAACCAGAATTTTTATTTGCCTTTTACATTATTTGCAATATTTTATTGTAAGTAAATTATTTCAATATCTTAGCAAATCTAAAGTCTCTATCCAATGAAACTAGACCAGTTTAGTTTAATTCAAAGTAAAATTACAATAACTAATTTAGCTGATTTTCTATTAGTTGTATCATCATTTCAAAAAAACAAGCAATAGATGAATATCATTTTACATCATTCCTTTTTGGATTACATAAATATCAAAATATATTTGTATTAAGTTTCTTCAGCCTACTCAATTATTCTTAATGTGAATCAAATGAAAGAGTTAAATAAAGTATTATTAATAGGAATCATATGGTTACCATGATATGCATATAATGATGTATCTCATATAAAGCCATTCCCTTTCTCTATATTCACATCAGGAACAGCAGGTTTTACTTTTTGTTTTGTCCTATTTATCCTAGCTTCTTTCACATTATGAAAGAAGTAGAAAATATTTTGATAAATATTTAATAAAGCAGTAGAATAATATTCTATGTAATAAATAGAAGATCTATTTATACAATTATATTTACAGAGGGGTAACAACTAGAAACATCAACCAAAGGTGTTTCCTCCATAACTTTAGCTCATGAAAATGAATGTAATGGATTCTCTGAGAGCAAGAAGAAATGTCCCAACAGCACTGGTACCACCCTGTGCTGAGATAGAAATACTCATCTGTGCTGGCATCTCAGGGGCTCCAGCCTAAACTAACCTTATCATGGATGGCAGGCAGGAAAGGAGACCCTGGGAGATACTGCCCAACCATTGTTTCTTTAGCAAACAATCAAGCCTTTTCTTAAAGAGCAAAAAAATGATGCCATCAGGTGTCAGCTCCTCCAGTCTCTCATTCTTTCCCTAATAACTTGATACCCACACATCTATCTTGATACCACACATCCTTACATCACCCCCTCCACTGAAAATAAGGACCTTTTTCTTCATGGAGTCCAGTGCATTAATTTCTCCTATTCCTGACTCCATCCACTAGCCCATAGCTTCAAAGGCTCTCTCTTCTTATAAAGACATATTTTCTTGTATTTCTCATTTGAAAAAAAAAATGGCTTTCCTTTACATAGCACGTCCTTCCCAGGTTACTACTACATTTGTCCTTCCAAAGGCTAGGGATTCTCCATTAATTGTCAAATTAACAACTGCTTCAGTCTTGTCTCACTTGCCTTATCTGCTTTGCTTTATGAGTGCTAAGCCACATCATCTTCTCCCCATTTAGGGTGCTTCATGTCTCTCTGCCCCATTCTCCTCTTCTGCGTTCCTCGGTATACCCATGAATACTCTTTCCCTGGCCCTTTTCTCTTCTCATTTTTCCTCATCTTCTTTCCTCTATGTTCTCTGACTTTTCATCTGGAATTACTTACTACTATTTGTTATTCAATCGGTCACTGAATGTAAAGATACTACTCTGCCCCAACCCTCTCCTTCTCACACTGTTTTGGTTTGAATTGTAATTCCCAGAAAGATATGTTAAAGTCTTAACCTCTAATACCTGTGAACATGACCTTATTTGGAAATACATTTTTTGCAGATATAATGAAATTAAAATGAGGTCATTAGGGTGAACCCCTAATTCCGGACTGGTGCCCTTTTAACAAAGGAATTAGGACACAGACTTGTATATCAATAGAACACTTCAAGGACACAAAGGCAGAGATCAGGGTAATGAATCTACAGGCCGGAGAACACCAAAGATTACCAATAAACCACCAGAAGCTAAGAGAGAGGCACGAATCACGTGTCCCTCAGAGCCCGCGGAAAGAATCAACACTCTCAACCTCCTACTTTCAGACTTACTGCTTTCAGAACAATGAGATGATGCATTTCTGTTGTTTGAGGCTACCCAGTCAGAGAAACTTTGTTAGGACAACCCTAGGATGTTAATACACACCCATGCCCTTCTGCTGAGAATTTCGGAGACTGATGCAGCCCAAGTTTCTCAGCGTAATACATGAAGAGCAATTATAACCGTTTCTTGCTAATCCTCCTCTTCATCAATTGCTACCTCCATTTACCTTCTGCTGCTTTATGTACCATGATGATGCTTCTGTTAATCTTTCCCTTAGCACCCACTGCTCTGCGGTTTTATGTCCATTCCTTCTCAGGCTCATTCTCTTCCTCTGTAGTCCTTCATCTGTAATGCGAGTTACCCTTGCCTGATAGGTATACCGTTTTTTGTTCTACAAAAGCCAGTTTCAATTTCATTTTTTCTTTGATGACTTTCTTGACTCCTCTTCTGAAATTGCCCATTCATCTGTAGTTTCATTTACTATCTCCTGTCAGTGCCTATTATGAGATTGGGATTTGGAAGGTGTTTTTCTCTACGTCCTTCAACTCTAACACAGTGGCTGGCCTGTAGCAGTTGGTGACTTTATTATTTAATAAACATTTGTGTACTTACTACATGTAAGAATGTTCAAGTAATCTGATTTAAGATCTAAGAAACAAGGATGAAGCAATCTTCTGTATAGAGGTTTAGTTTTTAATGAGAAGTTAAGACATTATGATGTATAAACAAATCTGTACTGTAATATTATGTGTGGTATTCAGGCAGCAACACGTAGAAAAACAGATTAATTCTGAATAAAACCCAGTAGGTCCTTCAAACAAAACTGAAATTTATTGACTCAATAAAAATACTTGATAATTTTTTATTACTTATTCTCTATACAGAAGTTTTTAAAAATTGTGTCCTCATTAGTAAAATAAATTTATAGATTAAAGGCTAACTTGCTCAAAATAGACTGCTAACATCATAAATGTTTCATCATACATTGATCCTGGTGGTGCCAAGAATCAGTCAGTCAGGTTGTGATCTGAGCTTTAGCATGAGTGATCAGCTACAGAGACAGCACTCAGCAAGATCACTAAGAAAAGCAGAAAAACAACATGCAGGGCCTAGATTTTAACATCAGCAAAATACTAAAGAAGTTCTCAATAGTTATTACATTTTTAAGCATCTCAGTATATATGGCTTCATAAGGTATAGTAGACTTGAGAAGAGAAGAAAAGACTAGAACTAAAGATAATTTGGATGTATCTTGGCCTATTGGTTCAGAGTCTAGAAATTTAACTCCATGGAGACACGGTCAATACAGATCAACTAATTTGTTCTTTCTGGCACTATTGCTGCAACAGCAACAACGTATTTGAACCTGTAATCATTTCTATAACAGTAAGACAGTTGTTTGACATTCTCATCTTGGAAAGGAGAATATATTTAAATATGATTATTTGCATCAGGGCAAATTTGATGCAAAGTTGCAACAGTACATCGATTGCAAATATAAACTATGGTCACATATCAGAAACAGTCATTGTATCTGAATTGTCTCTTATTTAACGATCACAAACAAATCATTTAAACAGTAATTCCATCTTAACAGTTGATGCTGTTAACTGTATATCAATGCTATTTAACCCTTCTTATACATTTCATGATCACAGATTACAGCCAGGCATTTTTTCCACTACTTCCTGTAAATCCTACAAATTTCCTCTTGTGAGTGGTCTTTTCTAACTCTTTTATAACTATTTCAAACCTTTCACTCCCTCCCACTCCACCACCACTCTCAGTATATAGCCCAGCCTTTTATCTCACAGAGAAAATAGATAGCAATATGCTCAGCCACCAGCTACCAAATTGGCTAACCTACTTGTATATGTGTTAATCTCGCACCGTCACTCTCTTTCTAAAGAAGAACTGTCCTCCAGTCTTTCTAAACCTTCTTGAAAATTTTGAGTCATGGATTACTGGTTTCCAGAGTATGGAACCTTATTCTTCCTATTGAATTCATTCATTCTTTCTTATTTTATTTTTTTTCTACATCAATTCAAAGTTTACTGCCAGGTGTTATTCTATTTTTTTTTAATTTTATTTTTCAGGTAAAGTCTCACTCTTGTCTCCCCGGATAGAATGCAGTGGCTTGATCTCAACTCACTGCAAATTATGCCTCCCAGGTTCAAGCGATTCTCCTGCCTCACCTCCCAAGTAGCTGGGCTTACAGGCACTTGCCACCACACCCAGCTAATGTTTGTATTTTTAGTAGAGATGGGGTTTCACCACGTTGGCCAGGCTGGTCTCAAACTCCTGACCTGAGGTGATCCGCCTGCCTCGGCCTCCCAAGCTGCTGGGATGACAGTTGTGAGCCACCACGCCTGGCCTGCTGGGTATTATTGTAATTGCTGGTAGTACAGTAGATAATGGATCTGCCCTCAGGTTATCTGGAATATAGCATTTACTGCACCCTTTCTGTCAGCCTGTGCACATGCTTCAGTCTCTCCCATTTGAAAGTCCAGCAAATACAACCTACGCATCAGCTCCACATTTCCTCCAGTTATGTCTTACCACTGTCTACTCATTCAAAGCTGAACGTAATTACTAAGTTGTTAAATTCAAGCACGTCATTTCTTCATGCCCGGACTTATCCTCCAATCTATTTCAATTTGATGTCTTGTCTTTGGTGCATTACCAAAAGGTTTAGATTCAAACAATTCATAAACGTACACTCTTTTAGTTTACTTTTTTGTTATTTTGTTTTTAACTTTTATTTTAGGTTTAGGGTTACATGTGCAGCTTTGTTATACAGGTGTATTGTGTTGTGTTGTAGGGGCTTGCTGTACAGATTATTTTGTCACTCAGGTAATAAGAATAGTGCCCAATAAGTAGGTTTTCAATCCTCAGTCTCTTCCCACGCTCCAACCTCAAGTAGACCCCAATATCTGTTGTTTCCTTCTTTGTGTTGATATGTATTTGAAGTTTAACTCCCACTTATAAGTGAGAACAGGCAGTATTTGGTTTTCCATTCCTGTGTTAGTTTGCTTAGGATAATGGCCTCCAGCTCCATCTATGTTGCTGCAAAAGACATGAATTCATTCTCTTCATGGTTGCATAGTATTCCACGTGTATATGTACCACGTTTTTAAATCCAGTCTGTCATTGATGGGCTTTTAGGTTGATTCTTTGCTATCATGAATAGTGCAGCAATGAACATATGTCTTTATGGTAGAATAATTTATGTTCTTTGGGTATATATTCAATAGTGGAATTGTTGGGTTGAGTGGGAATTCTGTTTAGATTCTTTGAGGAATCTCTAAACTGCTTTCCACAATAGCTGAACTAATTTATTGGGTTGGTGCAATAGTAATTGCAGTTTTTGCCATTACTTTTAGTGGCAAAAACTACAGTTAATTTTGGACAAACCTAACAGGTTTTCACCAGCAGCGTAAAAGTGTTCCCTTCTCTCCACAACCTCACCAGCAACTGTTATTCCTCGATTTTTTAGTAATAGCCATTCTGACTGGTTTGAGATGGTATCTCATTGTGGTTTTGATTTGTATTTATTTAATTACCGATGGACATGTTTTCGTATGCTTGTCATACACTGTTTTTAAACAAAAAAATACCTTGATGTCTTTGGTCAGTCTATTTCAAATTTATGTATATTTGCCTTTACTACCAGTAAAATTTGTCCTGCTAAGTTTTGAACTTCCTTGGCACAAGTGACCCCTTTGTTCTTTCCAATTATCTTTTTGAAATTGGAGTGTTTATCCTATGCCTGTTCATTATATTTTGGAAGAAGAAAACTCATTTCCTAGTTGAAATCCACAGATGAAGGGTTATTTTCCCCACGGCAGATTGTACCCAGTCTCTCTTGTAGCTGATTTAGATGGTTTAGAAGATAAAAATTTGGACTTTGAGCTGTTGCTGGAGTGGTTTAAAACTCCCAAGGATGTTAAGATGTCGTGAAAACATTTTGCACTTAGAAGGACGTGAATTTTGGGCCCAAAGGGTGGGTAAGTTGTAGTGAGTGGACTGTAGTCTCTAAAAAGTTATGATTGAGTCCTCCCTCACAGTAGTTGTGAATGTGACTTATTTGGCATTGAGGTGCTTACATAGGTAACCAAGTTAAGATGGAATCATACTAACTTATGTCTTCATAAGAAAAAGGAGTGGGAGATTTAGACACAGAAACCTCCCCTCTCTCCCCATGAGCACCGCCCCACCGCCCAACACACACAGGGAAGAAGGCCATGTGAAGGTAGAGATAGAGATTGGAGTGAATTTCTACAAGCCAAGAGGTGCCCAGCATTGCCAGCAACCAAAGAAAGCTAGAAAAGGCAAGGAAGCCACCTTCCCTAAAGCCTTTGGAGGGAGTGTGGTCCTGCTGACCTGTCTACGACTGCGGAGAATACATTTTGTTGTTTTTAGCTACCTGGTTAGTGGTCATTTGTTGTAGCAGCCCTAGAAAACTAATACAGATCTTGGTAGTCCAGAGTAGTTCATTCTGAATTAGTATTGAAGAAACCATTAAAAAAAGTCAACTTAAAGAGACATAAAAATTTAAAGCAACCCTCAGGGTAACTTTCTAAATTTGGAATACGTGAACTTGTAACTGTACGTGTTCATAACTTGTCACATTTGCTTAGAGAGAAAAGTTCCATAGCCATTTTATATAATTCATTGGTGGATTGTTGGTATTTGTAACTTTAGGGCATTAATTGCATTGTGGGTTTTAAAAACAGGGGCATTTTGGAAGTTTTGAGAACTTTGGTGGGACAAGATTAATAAAAGCTGAAGAGCCAGTGAGAGTTTCTTTGGTGGAGAATTTTAAAAATTGGAAGAAGAGAAGGTAGGATGAAGAAAGCAGGGAAGGAAACACATTTAAGTTATCAAAAATAATAGAAATAAAGATGAATGGATTGGTAATTTCATATGTCAATAAACTTTAAGGAAATGAACCTCATATAGTTAATTTTCTGCCTTATTTGGTTGTTAATCACCAGCTCAGATAATTCAGGTCCTCAGTTATGTTTTTTTGTTCTAATTAAATGGAGTTTGCTATTAATAATAAAGTTAAGTCAATTATTTAATTTTATTTGCCTATATTTAATTTTCTATTTATATAATATCAATTTACATGTAGTATAGATGTATTCAGTTTTAAAGTGTAAATAACTAAAAACATTCTAATTATTACAAAGCATGTTTTTAATCCTTATATCTTTTGTGTTTAAAAATACTTAAGAAACACGGAATTATGTCAATGTTTATCTTGGTTTTGGAGGCTTTAAATAGTATAACATCCCATTCCTTTTGTATAAAAATGTATCTCTAAAGTGCAGACTGAAATAAATCTTGAGGGTCAATTTTTACACATTGTTATGTATAAAGACCATATTTTAGCAAGGTGAATGTCTTCATCAAAGAACAAAATCTGAGATGTTCTTGCAAAAGCAATTGACAAAGTTTGAATCGTGGTTAAGTAATTTTCGTGTTACTTTCTACTAAGTAGATTATTAGTGCTGCTTCTGCATTTCCAACTCTGTAAATCTTACAAATGACAACACTACAAGATACTGCAGTTTTTATTTGTGAATATTGGAGTGGGACATTGGAATAATTTATTTCCTTGTCAAAATTATGAAAAAGGAGAAGTTAGAATTCCTTTAAAGAAAAAAATACATGATTAGGTTTTCTGAATTAAACATGATATTAACTATTTGAATAGACAGTTCAGAATTCAAGAAGAAATATCAAATTACTAGATAACGTAAGATCTGGTAGGAAAAATATAACCCTAAGGTATATAATGTAACATCTGGTAGGGAAAATATACCCCTAGTGTATATAATGTTGCATTTTTTTCCTTTATATGTAACATTTTATGAGTTAAATTACCAAAGCTAATTTCTTAGTTGTTACATGGATTGGTTAATAGAGTAGAACTTCAGTCATTTGAAATGAATATTGTCTTTTAAGGTATATGTAGTTAATAATTAGAAAGCAATACAATATATGGCATTTTAAATATTTTACTGAATGAATGAGTGAAATTTAATTAATGTCTTCAATTACAGAAGCCATTAGTTGTGCCTCCTTGTAGCAAGTAAATGAAATTTTCCATACTCAAACAATGTAAAACTAAAAGATACCTAAATCTTGGTGTTAAAGTCACTTTAATATAAAAACTGTGAAAGAAGGTCTACATTACCTAAGATGGAATCTGTGGAACCTATCAATAGGCCAAGCTATAATCATTAATGGTTTTGTTTTTTCTTTATATATCTTGTCTAAACATTATGTTTAAAATCATTAAATAGAAACTAAACCTTTACAAAACAAATTCCAAAGAAGCTGTATCTTAGGATCCCTCCCTTTGAAGATATATCTCAATAATTTAATATAAATGTTGGACTCAGTAGAATGTTTGCCATGTCAAATAGAAAAATAAACATCATCCTTTGTATCATTGAGACTTCCTGACTGTTCAATCTAGGAATGACTTAAAAAAGAAGCTCAATGTCCTGGATAGTTAATAAATAAATAAATACCTACTGAGCATCTTTTTCATGCCAGCATGGTGCCAGGAGAATACACTAATGAGTGAAACATGTATGATTACTGATGTGTGGCTAAGCTTGGTATCACCCAGGAACAGAAAGAAATAGGAAAAAAATAAATAAATATAAAAAGCAATGTGGTTAGAGGACATGAGTGTGAAAAAACTTTGGTAGAGTATGAGATTGGAGCGGTAAGCAGGACCAAGACTCAGGTATTTTCAACTGATTACAATGAACTCGTGTTCTAAGACAGCGATTTTCCCCTCAAACCTTGTGGCTGAGATTAAAGGCATACCGAAGAGAGGCATCTTATCAGCCTTTGTGTAGCTGGTGGGGACCTGGGCTATGTGGAGACTTGGGGTCTGATTTCTTTTGATGGAAAGAAGTCCCATTCTTTTACTCTAAAATGCCATGCACATTATCACATTATGGGTACTATGGCAAAAAGGTCTGAAAGACATGAAATGGACTTTTTGACCATTTAAAGGACTTGGGAGGTTATTCTTACTGAAATTTAAAGCCAAAGAAAAGTTGAAAACAATGGAATCTGACTGTGTTAGTCTGTTTTCACACTGCTGTAAATGAATACCCAAGACTGGGTAACTTATAAAGGAAAGAGGTTTAATTGACTCACAGTTGACGTGGCTGGGAAAGGCCTCAGGAAACTTATAATCATAGGGGAATGTGAAGGGGAAGCAAGGGACTTCTTCACGTGGTAGCAGGAGAGAGAAGAGTGAGGAGTGAAGTGGGAAGAGCCACTTATACAAAATCATCAGACACCTTACTAACTCTCCTGAGAAGAGCATGCGGAAAACCACCTCCATGATCTAACCACCTCCCCCAAGGGCTTCCCCCTAGACACAAGGGGATTATGTGAGAAGAACATGGGGAAAACCACGGCCATGATGTAATCACCTCCCCCCAGGTCTCCCCCTAGACATGAGGGGATTATGTGAGAAGAACATGGGGAAAACCACCTCCATGATCTAATCACCTCCCCCCAGGTTTCCCCCTAGACATGAGGGGATTATGTGAGAAGAACATGAGGAAAACCACCTCCATGATCTAATCAACTCCCCCCAGGTCTCCCCCTAGACATGAGGGGATTATGTGAGAAGAACATGAGGAAAACCACCTCCATGATCTAATCAACTCCCCACAGGTCTCCCCCTAGACACGAGGGGATTATGGGGATTATAGTTCAAGATGAGATTTGGGTGAGGACACAAAGCCTAACCATATCACTGACTAGACCTCACTTCCTGCTTTTAGAGAGTAGATTGTAGAAGAGTGAAAAAATAAAGGCAGAGAGACCAATGAGAAGCCTTTTGTAACTGTCTATTCTAGGGTCTCCAGAAGTGTGGTCCAAGGACCAGCAGCATTGGTATCAACTGAAAACTTGCTAGATACTCAAATTTTCAGTACTGACTCCTTCCTGATATTTACATTAATCTATGTTTTAACAAGACTGCCAGCTGATTTCAGTGCTCACTAAATTGTGAAAACCACCGCTATAATCTAGGAATGATGACTTTGGTAGAATGGTAGTTATAGAGATAGAGAGAAATAAATTTTTTTAAGGGAGGGCAACAATAAATACTGCAGTATCCAAATGTCAGCCACAATGTCCTAATTCCAATGGATACTACTAAATAATCCTATTTAATAGAAAAATTCAAAATTATCTGGCATGACTTTATATAATATGCATGTTTATGTAGTATAGAATACGTATATGTATATATATATATGTACATATATAGTATGTATCTAGATAATGTGTATATAAGTATGTATACAGACACATGCACAATTTTTTAAGAGAAGTTGCCTTGATGAATTTATTTGGGTGTAGGTTCAAACCAAGCAACTATTGGACAGAACAGGCTCTGTTTTGTAGAGATAGACAGGTGTTGAAGTCCAGTCGGAATTCTCTTGACCTTGGGCACATGTGTGTTTTATAGCACATGATCTGTGATTTCATTTGAGTACTAATGAGAATGCATGAATTGATTCACAAGTACTTCTTGGGAAGAGCCATGATGGTCTCTACTTGATCAAGATTACAAATTAAAGTCTTTAATTTTTGTAACAAAACAATCATTGACACTTACCTAAATCCTGGTAATAACAAATGGTTTTTGTAAAGTGCTTATCTACAGTGACCTTGGCCTCAAATTGGAGCCTAACTGGCTCCTGTGCAAAGTGCCAGCTGATTGGTCCAGAGAGTAAATGTTGCAAATTCTGAAGAAAAAGAGATCACAGTCTAGGTGCAGATTGTCAGAGAAACCATGTTGATGATGAGAGGTGTAAATGGGGCTTTGCAGGCACGTTGGGAGTGAAACAGGCAGGAGGAAGACATGGTACACGATGAGAAAAGCAGTTGCCAAGGAGGGAGGTGGATATGGTCACAGTGTGATCAGGCAGAGCACAGGCCGTTCTAGACATGAAGCTCTGTGTTTCTGGAGTGGAGTAGTATTTACAAGGCTTGATTGTTAATCTAGAGCTGTACTTTCTTTATTATTATGCTGTAAGTTCTGGGGTACCTATGCAGAACATGCAGGTTTGTTACATAGGTATACACTTCCCATAGTGGTTTGCTGCACCCACCAAACCATCATCTACATTAGGTATTTGTCCTAATGCTCTCCCTCCCATAACCCCCACCCCCCGACAGGCCCCAGTGTGTGATGTTCCCTCCCTGTGTCCATGTGTTCTCATTGTTCAACTCCCACTTAGAAGTGAGAACATGCGGTGTTTGGCTATACTTTCAAAGGGAGTGTTGGTTAACCGGATGTCCAGGCAAGTCTTCAAAAATAGTTTCAGTGGGGATTTTTATGATAAAACTAGTATATTAAGTAAATTATTTGAAGGGTGTGATGACATTCAAGATTCGTTGAAGTAGAAGGAAACTTTGAAGCATGTTTTAGAGACATCTAGAATAATCTAAGTGCTATGATTGGAGTGAAATGAAAAATAGAAAAAAGATGCTCTTTGATTTTGTGTAGTAGGAAAGGCATTGCATTGGAAAACAGTAAATTTCCTGTGGGTGAGGTGACGTCCTGCTTTTTTTTTCCACACCGTTCATCTAAATCACCAATAGATACATATACAAGAGATACTTATCATTATCCAATTGGTAGAATTTCAGTTGTGGAATGATCAGAAATTACTTGTACAGCCATAAACACTGAGGGTTTTGGGCTGCACTCATAGAGACTACATAATCCTAAGGTCACTTCCAACTCTAAAATGTCAGAACTTAGTAAATGAGAAAGGTACTTCCTCTACATAAAGCAAGAAAATATAGTTTAACATGTAGTAATTATCTTCCATTTTACAATAAAAATATAGTCCTATGGAAGTTGTAGATTTGGGAGGACATTTCCATAGAAAGATAAATCTCTCCTCATCCAAACAGTTTTGGTTTATGAAATTTGTAAAGATAGGAATCTATCAATAGCATCTCATTTACATTTCATTAAAATGGTCACCTCTTGGTAGCGTGGTTATCTGTGATAAAAGCGTATTTCTATTCCCCACTCACAGGTATTTCCTAGTTTACTGGCCTTTCTAAAACTTTAACTCTGTTATTGAATAACTATTTCATGATGCCATGGCTTCCCGGGATCTTAAGGACATGGGGAAATAAAAACAATGAAGAAGAAAAGCACATTAACAAAGAAAGACTAAGAAGTTGTTCAAACAAACGACGATGTCAAAATCCATCAATAAACATATTCGCATTCAGTGAACAAACACTTACTGGTCATTTGCTATGTGCTGGGTGCTGTTTTAGCGCAGAAGATATAGCAGAGAACAGAACGGAGGAAAATCCCTGTCCTTGTGGAGCTTATATACTTGTATGTTTGAAGTTTTAGAAAATAAGCTTCGTGACTGAAACTCTTGATTCAGAAAATTCTTGAGCTTTAGGTTCATGCTCAGTTATATTACTAAGTGAATAGAGTAGCCCATTTCACACCTTAGCCTTCAGATCCAAAGATGAAAAATATGTTTCTGCACAAAATGCTCAAATATATTCCTGAAACAAATGGTGTGTGATATAAAAGCTCATTTTCGGATTGTTGCTAATTGTGTCTCTTACATATACTTTTGCTTCATTCAGTGTGAACTTATAATAGTAAAAAATGATTATACATTTCCAGGAGGAAAAAATGTACTGTCTGAATGATAGGAAATGTAATGGTTATTCCTTGTGTAATGTTTTATCATTGGCTCCAATGGATTAGGACAATTTTCATGATGGAATTGTGAATAATTAAATATTCACACGTGAAGCAAAGTGAGAAGAGATTAGAATCCTATTTAAGGGATACTAGAACTGTCAGATACTATAAATAAAGTATGTTGAGTAGAAAGCAAGGAAAGTGCTGATTACCACTCTGAAATATTATCTTCATAGTCACTGAAATGTAATTTTTTTTCCCTAAATGACTGAAAACTTTGAGACATTCCTTTTTCCCCCTTTATTAAGCGGTCAAATAATGGATCTTGGTTAATGCATTTCCTTATTGCCAAATATAGCAATTACATTATGAAGCTGCTTTCTAAAGCAGTTGTTGTGCGGCCCTGTTCTAGCCAGTTACATTATGGATCTGTGCACTCTTGGCTACTAAAAACACAACTGCCCCCTTCTTCAGATACTCCTTGACCAAATGCGACTAGGAGGCATAGAGCTCTCCTTCACCCTATGGAGCGGGGCAGTCTCAGCTACTACCTTGTACTATTATAATATTAGATACAAAAGGCTGGCTTCTTTATGTCAAAGTAGGACTATTGTTGTGATACAGCTTAGACTTCAGAGCTTCCTGGTAGAATCAGGGAGAAGCTAGTCTCTAGCTGAAGGCCACATATTTGTTTAGCTTCTGTTTCTCTGCTCTGTCTTTCCTGTGCCCTTCATGTCCCTTCTCCTGAAAGCATGTTCCCAAATAAATCTCCGAAGCAAGAAATCCCACATCTAGGCAGGGCGTGGTGGCTCGGTCTTGCAATCCCAGCACTTTGGAAGGCTGCGGTGGGAGGATTGCTTGAGCCCTGGAATCGGAGATCAACCAGGGCAACATAGTGAGACCCTGTCTCTACAAAATATAAAAAATTGGCAAGACATGGTGGTGCATGCCTGTGGTCCCAGCTAGCTGGGAGGCTAAGGTGGGAAGGTCGCCTGAGCCCGGGAGTTGAAGCCGCAGTGACCCGTGATAGTGCCACTGCACTCCAGCCTGGGCCACAGAGCACAGGGAGATCCTGTCATGTCAACAACAACAAAACAACAACAAAACAACTGAATGAACAAAACAAACAAACAAATCCTGATCTAACACGTAACGTATTTATAGATGGAAGTAAGTTGCTGCATGGACGATTCCCCC
Organism: Homo sapiens; assembly: GCF_000001405.40. NCBI lineage: Eukaryota > Metazoa > Chordata > Mammalia > Primates > Hominidae > Homo > Homo sapiens. The sequence goes on from NC_000003.12 coordinate 76,243,007, forward strand.
GCTTCTAGGCCTTTACTGGCTCTTTAAATCTGTAAAAACGGCTAATCCCTGTAACAACTCACAAACAAAAGGCAATTCCAGGGGGTTTCTCATTCCTTTACTTTCCCATTTGCTGAGTCGCTTGATTAACCTTTTTCTCTCGGACTTCGGATGCCAGGTTGCAAAGTTGACTTTGGTATCCTCTCGCGGCCCCTTTAGCCCATTACATGTCACTTCTGATATTTTGAACCCTGTGCTGCAGCTTCCAGCTCCTTGAGCACTGCCGGTCCTTCTATTTTTCTTACCATTCTGCTGAGGATGCACCCTGTCCCCCAAAGCCCTGCCGTAACTCCCTCAGGGAATGGAGGGTGGGGACACGCAGGGGAGGGGGCAGTAAGGTCATGTGGTATTTTGTTTTGTCTTGGTAAAGTATAAGGAAAGAGAAAGCAAAGAGACACATCTCTCATTATCACTTATATTACAAAACAGTATAAATAAGCTAAAGAGAAAACACAGTAGTACCCAAAGGCCTGAGAAGCAGCCGGGAGTCTCTGGGAGAGACCCACTCTTAGAGCTTTAAGCTGGAGGGCTGAGGACGATAAAAACTGCAGGAGCTTAGGAAACCAACAGTAAAAACCATGAGAAGTAGCAGAAGACAGCACTTGCAGGCGTGATGCCTGCAGATAAGAAAAGTGCTCTTCACCATTTCCCCTGTCGTTTACCTCCCTGTAGCCAAGTTAATAATCTTATATCTGCCCTCAATATTTTTTTATTTCTTGGGGTAATTTATGCAGTGAACAAATATAATATTATCTTTTCCACTTATGGAGATTAAAAGCTCTTTAGTACTGAATACAATAAAATAGAAACCAACATTTTGTGTTTATTCATACAGTATAGTTCTTGTCTATTAGCAAAGTAGAGAACAATGTAAGTTTTTTTCTTTTTTTTTAATTTGGGAAGAAGGGAGCTTGGGGGAGGAGCTGGAGGACAAATTTGATTCTATTGTCAGAATATGGTTAACAGTAAATAGCAACTAATAATTATGTATTTACTGTGCCAGGCACTCTTGTAAGCATTTTACATGTCATATCTTATTGAATCTACATAGAAACAACCTAAGAAATGGATTATTATTCTTTTCTATTTTAGGAACAAGGCAACTGAAGTTTAGAGAGATTCAATGTACACAGCCTGTAAGAGGTAAAGCCAGCAATAGAACTTGAGAGACTGCTCAGATGTAGCAAAGGCTAGCCAGCTGTCCTGGACATCACTTCTTCCTTTGTCTTTGTAACATAAATTTTGGCTGGACCTAGGGGTGATGAAGTAATTTGGTGCTATGTCCCCTTTCTGGGTCCTGTGATTGACAGGAAGAAACAGGCACTCACTATCTTTCCAACCAACTTCCTGTTGCCTGGAAGGTGGACAGGAGGTTTGAACTGAATTACTTGTCTTGGATTATATGGTAGAAACCATTTATGTGGATGGCAATGGAGAAAAATCAATCAAGCCCCTAATAATTGTGGCATTACATTTCCAGTCCTGGGCAGTTCAGGCTTATAGATGATAAAAACACAAACTGCTATTTTGCTTGAGACATATTCTTTCACAACTTTTCTTGAAGCTGCCTAACTTACGGCCTAATTAATTCAGAGAAGCAGAATAACACATTAGAAGAAGTATTGGACTGGACGTCAGGAGCCTGGAAATCTAGACCTCGCACTGAGGCAAAAAGAAAAGTATGGTTGTAGACAAATTATGGGATAATGGGTAAAATGGGTGTGTTAGAATAGACAATACTGAAGGTCTTTTCTAATTACAAAATGCTATAAAAAATTCAAAATATGAATAAAAGTAACTATTCAGACCCCATCACTTAATACATTTGGAACTTTAATAGTCTGTGTCTTCGGTATCTAGATGTTAAGTGTCAGCCTAACATCATCCTTTTTATGGAATTCTTTACACAAAATAGGTTCTGTTTCAACAAAATAGAATATGTTTTGAAATTGGCTTACAAATTCACCGATGAAATTAAACAGTGTGTAAATATTGTCACTCATAATAAGGCATTTTCCTAAAAAACTCTGAATTTTCAATTTGCCTCTTTAAAATGGGAAAACAGAATCCATTACCAGAATATTTTTAATACTTAAATATTTCTCATGTCATTTGTAATCTAGACCTTACACAATTTCTTTCTATACTGAAAAATATCAATATTGACATAAGTATTTGTAATGCTTCAAATATGTGGGTTAAGTGGGAAGGTCGGCCAGAGCTTGAACCCTTTTGGGGCAGCGCCCAATACCTATTTTAGTCACTGCTGTGTTTTCTATGTGCAGCAATGTTCCTGGGAATATTGTAGAAATTCCATTTGTATTCATTGAATGAATGGATGGATGAATCTAACTACCTAATTGTGACAGATAATTAACATGAATTGTTGACAAAAATACCTACAGTGGAAGCTCTTTGGGAAAATGATCCTAAAATACAATACTCATTACATTATAAAAAATGAGTTTCTATTTAGTCATTCAAAAATAATTTTTAAAATAAATGATTTTGGTTTATCTTTCTCTTATTTGATGATTTTTTATTTCATATAATCATCAATCTTTAATCTTAATATTCTATTTTGTATCTTATACCATTTTGAATTTAAAATTTTTCTCTAGTCTCAAAGGGCTTGGGAATTCTTGCTAAGCATTACATCTTCTGCTCAATTTATCTATAATAAATTTTCTGAATTATTCTCTCTAGCCATTGCTCAGAATAAGAAATCCAAATATTTACTTTGCTCTGCTGAATGATACTTGCTCCCTGGGCACAGACAAGTCATACTTCAAAGGTCTGCTACTACTGCTGACTCCCCTTCATTCCAACAGCCACACTAAGTTGTTATATTCTGGAGAAGTTTTCTACCTTCTAAAGGAAAAGGAGAATTAGAATGACCCAAGAGCTTTTAATACCCACATTAAATAAAGAGAAGAAGCTGAATTTTATGAAAGGTACATATATATGCTTTTTGTTTTCCATGTGTGTTATGTATTACTCATTATATGTTAGCAACATGGAAGAGCCCATTGAAAATAACACACTTTCTAGGTGGTATGTGTATTTTGTTAGTGAAGAAGTTTTTTTTTTCCAAACCAGATTATTTTTTCAATGATCAGGAAATGGTGTGTTTGACTCCTATTTCCTGCATATCATCTCACAAGAGTAACTCTTTGAACAGCTCTGAAGCAGTAAATGAAATATTGACTGAGTTACTTGTCATTTAATTTGCAATGATTTCAGTGCTTTTCAAGTGCTAGGCAAGGCACAGGGTATAATTCAATTGTATCATTTCTTGTAATTTGAGGACGTAAGTCTACAGCTCAAAAGTTAACTGGAATGCAGAAAGGTTAATGGAGGTTTTGAAAACTAATTAGTAAATAAATGTCATGTCATGTCTGATTAGTTACTCAGCATTTTCTGGTTTACAACTTTTTCCTGCATTTTTGTTAAAATTCTGTATAAAATGTTTCATGAGTTTTTACGAACACTTTCTAATTATTAGTAGGTTTATGCATTTAAATAATATCAAGTCACGTTCAGGGAATAGGCCACCTTAGTATTATTCCCTAGAAGTTATAACAAACTTATTTTGTTACTGCTGTGCATAATTTTTCCCACCCAACTAGAAAAGGATTTATTTTGAGTGAGAATTTTAGGCATGCTGAATTCTAGACTAGAGCATCTAATTCTCTAATCAGTCTTAATTAAATTTTATGGGTAAGTTCTAATGACTGCTATGTTGACTCTATTTCTTTTTACAGAGATAAAGTATATAACTTTATTAGAATTGACTTGGTTTATCAGCCAAATCCTTCCTATCATTTATTGCAATTTGAACTTTGGAATTAGGAACACAGTTAAAATTGATGACCCTGGAAATTCTTATTTTTTCCATCTTAGTTGTAAATTATCAGGCCTGGAACACAACTGTAATGCTCAAGGGTGACCAGCAAATAGGTGTAAAAAATAGTTCTATATTATCAGAGACAGGCCATCAGGGCTACAAATTCTAGTTTCTGTTGTACTACCATGCCAGCTATTTGAAGAGAAACATCGTTTCCATACATCCATCTACACAGTTGTTCTTCAAGACATTTGGAATCACACTTTTCCATTCCTTGTTACTTAGACTTCTTACGTGTGTTCAATCTGTTACCATATCCTGTTGGATTTGACAGTAAAATCAATTGTGAGTTAGTGCCACTTCACTTTATTTTTATGGCCACTGCTCCAATCAAAAAGTCTCCATGGTATCTCCCCAGGATAACTTTAGCCTCTTCCCAAACCTCCCCACATGCATTCTTGATCTTCTAAAGTTCATTTTTCACCAAATAATTAGACTGCTATTGAAAACATAAATTAGATCACATTAGCTTTCCATTAAATATATTCAAAATTTTAACATTACATTTAGAATAAAATCCAAATTCTTTATTACTCTAACCCATTTTCTGAAAGTTGGCACCTGTCCTATCTATGCGCTATGACACATTGGGCTTCTTTTAGTTTCTTAAATAATAAGCAGGATTTTGTTGTTGTTGTTTGTTTGTTTTGAAACCTGAGGACCCACGCTGCTTCATTTGCTGACTGCTCTCTCTTCCTGATTTGATATGGTTTGGTCTTACTCATTCTTCAACTCGCATCTTAAATTTTAATTCCTTAAGAAATTCTTGAGAAAATTTTCGCAACCTACTCATCTGACAAAGGGCTAATATCCAGAATCTACAATGAACTCAAACAAATTTACAAGAAAAAAACAACCCCATCAAAAAGTGGGCGAAGGACATGAACAGACACTTCTCAAAAGAAGACATTTATGCAGCCAAAAAACACATGAAAAAATGCTCACCATCACTGGCCATCAGAGAAATGCAAATCAAAACCACAATGAGATACCATCTCACACCAGTTAGAATGGCAATCATTAAAAAGTCAGGAAACAACAGGTGCTGGAGAGGATGTGGAGAAACAGGAACACTTTTACACTGTTGGTGGGACTGTAAACTAGTTCAACCATTGTAGAAGTCAGTGTGGCGATTCCTCAGGGATCTAGAACAAGAAATACCATTTGACTCAGCCATCCCATTACTGGGTATATACCCAAAGGACTATAAATCATGCTGCTATAAAGACACATGCGCACGTATGTTTATTGCGGCATTATTCACAATAGCAAAGACTTGGAACCAACCCAAATGTCCACCAATGATAGACTGGATTAAGAAAATGTGGCACACATACATCATGGAATACTATGCAGCCATAAAAAATGATGAGTTCATGTCCTTTGTAGGGACATGGATGAAATTGGAAATCATCATTCTCAGTAAACTATCGCAAGAACAAAAAACCAAACACTGCATATTCTCACTCATAGGTGGGAATTGAACAATGAGATCACATGGACACAGGAAGGGGAATATCACACTCTGGGGACTGTGGTGGGGTCGGGGGAGGGGGGAGGGATAGCATTGGGAGATATACCTAATGCTAGATGACAAGTTAGTGGGTGCAGCACACCAGCATGGCACATGTATACATATGTAACTAACCTGCACAATGTGCACATGTACCCTAAAACTTGAAGTATAATAATAAAAGAAAAAAAACTTAAAAAAAAAAAAAGAAATTCTTCCAGACTTTCATAATCTAAAATGATCTTCCAACTATTCCACTCCTATTTTGTTTTGGATTAGTTGTCATGGCACTGATACATTTTGTCATAGTGTGTGCATTTGTTTACTTCCCTCTCTAAACCCTGTCATTTCACCAACCTCTAAACTCCATGAAAAGACCTATGCTGTTTAGTAAAGTCTAGCCTGCTTACCTGAGTCTCTGCTGTTTACCAAAGTCTGTGCTGTTTACGCTGGTACTAGCACAGATATGTGTTCAATCATCAAAATGTAAATTTTCTAACATGATTGACTGATTTTCTAAGACACACATGTATTTCGTGTTTTTTGGGAGACTAAAGGGATTTGAAGTGGAATGAAAAACTGGGAATTCTTTGGAATAATTGGTGATGTACATGTGCACATCTTTGATAAGGTCTTCGTTATTTTATAAGTAGTTAATAATTATACTTGAATTTGGTTGAACTTCGTGAAATATTAAGAGACAACTTGTTAATAAAGCAAAGCTAAATGAGTTAAAACTTAGTGTAGTAAGAAAGAACATCACCACCACACAGTACTAACAGTGCCTCAGAACTGGGAAGTCAAAATGGATATTTATACAGTTGGAGAGTCAGGACTTGAGCGGTTAAAACTGAGATTCTCAAGGCAGGCAACTGATTGGGAAGTTTATAATATAACAATCCAGGATTGGGAGATATAGCAAAGTAAAGATTTTAAATAAGAGAATTTTAATAAGTGAATTACTTATGATAACTCAACTATTTACCCAGGTGAGCCAGATTCTATCTTTAATAAATGGATCTGCAGGAACTGCCTAAAGCAGAAAGAAAAGTTATTATTATTTTGCAATCTTACTTTTCCCAGGCAAAACTTTTCTGTTGCAAGCAACTAAGTCATGTTTACACAGGTGATTTCAATGATTAGTGCTTTTAGCTATGCCATGTTTGATGAGCGTGGTCACAGTGTGTCTATGGAATAATAATACTTTACTGCAGAAAATTATTTGGCTATATTATTTGCAAGAAAGCCAAAAGACAGACAATTCCACAATGCGTTTAACTAACTGGAACAAATGGAATGAGAGAGAGGAATATTTGCAAAGATGGACTTTCCAATTTAGACCACCGTTTCTCAAAGGATATTTGAAGAATGTTGCTTCTAAGAAAGCTTCAAGATATTATTATAGAATCTGTCTTTACATACATTGGAAATCACTGAGTTAAATAATGTCAAACAGGTATTTCCCCCCTCTTCAAGGCATTTCAGAGTCTTTAATATGTTAAGGTATGTTGTAAGTTTCCAACAGTAAGATAAAGAAAATTTCCCATGTTTATTTAACTAAAGTACTCTTACATTGTGGAGGGTCTCCTGGGACCAATGAATAATGGAGGTCAGTTTATGAAATGCTGTTATCAGTTAACAAAATTATGTAATATCAAAATTGTATTCCTGCCAGCAGTGGTGCAGAAAAATATACAAAAACAAGCAAACAGAAAAGAAATTTTATAGTTACACTGCTTTTAGCTTCAAAACCAGGTGTGAATAAAAGTCTATAACCCAGAATATTAGAAATCACATATCGGAATGTAAATAATAGTTTACTGAGATTACTTGATGATCCTTTTGGGAACAAATAAAATAACCTAGTTTTGAGTAATGTTTTTATTTTGCATATTTATTGTATACTGAAATCAGATCTGTATCAACGACATTCCTTTTCATTAGAGAGCAAAAATCACACTGGGTGTGAATGAAAATTTCAAATCTATCATATTTTAGGGAAGTGTTGTCCGTGCATAAGTAGTTAATCGTTTTGCGTGTAGGAGAGTTTGGGTTGCCATATCTTTATAATAGTCTCCATGGAACCCATCTGACATGTGCTAGCACTGCCTTTCTTAAGGAGTATGGCCTTGAACAGTTTCATATCCCTGCGCTTCAGTTTACTCAAGGGTGAAATGAATGACGTAGGAATGCTCTGAGAATAAAATCTGTTGACATATCTGGTAAAGCACTCGAAACAATGCTTTGCAAATTTTAAGTACTAATAGTACTAAAAATGGAGAAAGGTTTTTAAAAAGTTTCTTTTAACTTCTACCCATTTTCTCTAATAAATTTTTATATTGTTTTCATTCTTTTCAGCATATTCCCCGAATCAAAGTCCATGATATTTCAAAACATCATATTGCATGTTATTTTCAAAACTTGACTCCAGGGGTAAAAAGTAAGCAACAACTTTTATTCTTATAATTCACCTGAATTATTAGAGCTGTGTAAATCCCAGAAACTATAAAGGTGATAAGATACTTATGCTTATAACCAGCTGCAGCCTTGGCCTTTCATAGCATATTCTTTCCTGACTGATTGTAGCTGGGCACAATATGATGACTGAAGAAACGCATTCTTATCAGTGGCACCCTTCCTACCCCTGCAGCCTTTTGATTAAGTTGCTGAGGTATAAACACCATCTATAATTGTATTCTTGTAACTGAAGATAGATGACCAAATTTGTCATCAGGGTGCAAGAGTTATTAACTGGACTTGTGCTCATAATTTCCAATGCCATATTAAAGAAGTAAAAAGAAAAAAAAAATCCACCTTCAGCTAGTTGCGGGAGGGTATGAAAGAGACGTGAAATGAAAGAGCCAGATGTCAGGAAAGAGATGAGTTGGTCTCCTTTGCCAGTGAACAGCTGTAGATCTAGGCAGGAAGAGGAGAAAAGAATACATTTATGCTCTGGATGAAATTAATATAAATCTACAGTTATATCCAGATGGTGTGATGTCACAATTTGGATTTTATAACACTTGGTTTGGTGGTAAAATGGTCAATTTCTGTACCGGATCATACTTGTAAATTCTCTAGCAAAGTGTCATATTTTTCATGTAAATACTTCCAAAACAAAACTTATTTTTAGCATCAACTATAGGAAAGAACTCATGAGCATCCTCTTTTGGAGTTGCTTATGTAACTGTTTTCTATAAGAACTGTGAAAGAAAAAGAAATTAAAAGAAACAGTCAAAGATGTAAATAAGGAACATTCAGTTAAGATGATTGAATTAGTTTGAAGCTAGGATAAAATCCTCAGTGGATGCTTCGAAATTTTGACTTGGGTTTAAAATGTGACTCCTTAAAGATGCTGTCAGGTGCAGATTTCTTTCATTAAGCAAATGTTTACTCGGTGTCATCAATATAGCAGGCACCATTATAGGCCCCAGTGAAATGGCTATGAACATCACAGAGATGAGGTTTTATAAGAAAGACAGAAAAATATCAAATAAAACAATGATATGTTGTTGCTAATGAGAAGCAAGTTACAGGTTTTGAGAGAGCCAGAGGACTGGGGCTTATGGTGGTTTTAAATAAAGTGATGAAATGTCACCCACAGGTAGACATTTGAGCAGAGACCAGAAGTAACTTAATAAGCAATTCATGAGGTATCAGCTATATTTTAATACCAAATTTAATCACTGAAAAAATACATGTGTTAAAGTGAGTTAACTGACCTCCATCACCATTTGTATAGTGAATATGAATGGTGGTGAGCAGGCTGGGATTATACAGATTGGTTTGGCCAATCTAAGCCTAACACTTGAACCAAGAGTGGGTTCATTTCCAAATGATCAACCAGACGTAATTGGTGCTATTCAATGTATTTGATGCTACTCAATGTATTTGACGTACTCAAACGTATTTGATGCTGCTCAATGAATGAAAGATGAAAGCATCTAGGGAGACAGCCACCACTGTTTATTAAAACTATTAGGGTGGTTTTAACATACTAGCAATATAAATATTTAGTTGATCAATGCTAGTTGCATTCGTCACAGTTCTCCAGAGAAACAATTCCAATATGGTATGTGTGTGCATATTTACATATGCACACACACATATATATGGCTGTGAACATTACAAAGATGATGTTTTATGTGAAAGACAGAAAAATATCAAATAAAAAAAGGTATGTTGTTGCTAATGAGAAGCATATATGTATATATACACAAATACCTATACAAATATGTGTATATATACACACACTCACATATATACATATATATAAAACGCATGTATATGTATACACACACACACACACACACACACACACACACACAGAGTTTTTTTGTTTTGCTTTGTTTTTTTTTGAAGGAATTCACTCACGGGATTGTGAAGACTGGCAAGTAGCCTCTAGGGGAGGCCTACAGGCTGGAAACTCGGGCAGCAGTTAGTGCTGTATTATTGAAGCAGAATTTTTCTTTCTTCTACAGGAAACTTTAGAATTTGCTGTTAAGGTTTTGAACTGATTTGACAAGGCCCCCCCACATTATCAAACATATTCTTAAAGTCAGCTGATTTTAGAGTTAGTCACATTTACAAGAGACCTTCACAGCAACACCTAGATCAATGTTTGATTAAATAACTGGTACTACAGTCTTACCAAGTTGACACATAATGCTATCACAGATCAGCCTCTTTTACAGATGCATGTGTGTTTATTAGAAATGTGTATCAATTTTAAAGACAGGTATGTTGTGTACATGTTGTGGCTAAATCTAATGTAATGAATAGTATCACTTTAAAAAGTTATGTTTATTTATTTATTTATTTACTTTTGAGACAGGGTTTTACTCTCACTCATGCTGGACTGCAGTGACATGACCACAGCTCACTGAAGTATTGACTCCCTAGGCTCAGGTGATTCCCCCACCTCAGCCTCCTGAGTAGCTGGTACTACAGGTGTGCATCACCATGCTTGGCTAGTTTTTAAAATTTCTTTTAGAGATCAGATCTTGCTATGTTGCTCAGGCTGGTCTTGAACACCTGGGCTCAAGCAATCCACCTGCTCGGTCTCTCAAGGTGTTGGGATTACAGACATGAGTCACCAAACCTGGCCCATGAGTAATATCTAAGATATTATCTAGTTGCCATAATTTACAGCCACTAAGAGTAATAATACTATCATGTGAGAGGAGAGAATAAAAATTCTGAAAAGAGCAACAAATAATTGTTTACAGAAAAAGGTAAGTATTAGCATATATAAGCATCACTATTATATGCTATTTTAATTGGAATAAGAAAATCAAGTGAGATAGCATATCCATTCCAGTAACTTAGAAATCTCTCTTGGTGTGAAAGACTACAAATTCATGTTGAGTAGGAAGTAGTTTGGATAAATTTCTAGTAAGTTACATGCTTCACTCTCAGGAGAACACTTATCTTGAAAGAAGAAAAATGGAAAAGAGTCAACAAATTTTTAGAAACCATAAGACAAATTATTGAAAGCAAAGTAGCATACTCTCAGATGTAATGTGATATGCTATGATAGCAATACATAAATCATTAATAGCAATCTATAGCTGTCTACAAAATAAAGTGGTAATTATACCAGTATATTCAAGAGATTCATCTTTAGTAGGAGTAGTTTTTTACTTTTGCAGATCTATATCTCTTTGGCTTTTTACTTTGGTTGCCAGGTTATGATTGTAGTGATATGAATTTGAGAAGCAAGATCTGGTAGACACTTTGATTTAGTATTTCTAAATATAAAAATGAAGTCAGCATATATTTTCTATTAGTGTATTATAAACTTTGCAGTTGAGTGACTATGAGGACCATCACATCCATAGATAAGACTATTAATTGTCACTAAATAATGTCTTAAGTGAGTAGGCAGCAAAAGCTATTTGATTTCTTGTTTATATGATCAACACACTCCACTAATAACTTTTTGTTCAAACTTCATATTTTTGTAAGACACAGAATTTTTCCAGCGTGTAAATGCAGAGTCAGTCAGAGACTTAGGGAACTGCTTACATGGTAGTTCTAGAGGAGTTACAAAATTAGATATGCACTTTATAAATATACTGTAAAAGTTAAATTAGAGAGACTGGAAGTCTAGAGTCAGAAATAACTGCAATAACGCTGTCAGCACAAAAGGTGACAGGTTGGAGAGGAAAGTATACCTGTGTTGATGCAACTATTTAGTGATACCTTTACTGTGGTGGTAGATACATGAACCCACGTATTAAAATTTTATAGACCTAAATACTCTCTCTCAGAGAGAGAGAGAGAGAGAGAACAAATAAAACTGAGGGAACATCAATAAGATCCGTGGACTGTTTCAACATCGATCAATATCCTGGTTGTAGTATTATATTATAATTTTGCAAATTATTACCATTGGAAGCAACTAAGTAAAATGTACCCAGGAGCTCACTGTATCCACTGTATTACTTCTTAAAACTATGCCTGTGAATCTATAATTATCTCAATAAACATTTCAATTAAAAAAAGAGAACTTGGTAATTGATGAACTATTGAAGCAAGATAAATGGAAAGTTTAGGCTGACACTCAGATGTAGGCTGACACTTTGGGCAAATGGAGATGCCATTCATTAGGATAAGAAGTTGGAGAGAGGATCAAATTTGAGAAAAGTCATTGTGCCTGTGGAGGCTGTCCATTGGTCAGTTAAATAAATAAATCGACCTGTAGCTAAAGGGAGAGGCTTCATCTGGTGATACAGGGCTTACGTTCATCAGAAAAAGTTAGTGTTTGCAGACATGAGAATGCATAAGATTGCCTGCTATTTATTGTTTTCTAATATTTTAGGGTTTTAGCCCTATCTGGAAGATAATGAAAATACAAACTATGAAAACTCATAGAGCTCAGAACAGTGACATAAAATATTGCTTTAGTATTCTTATTGAATCCCCCATTGTCCATAATAAGATTATCTGTGAAAGATGACACTTGCTCTGCTCTTTTTCGCCAAGAGCCTCTTGGGATGAGTTCTTTCTACAAAACTCAATCCTCAGGAACTGGTCTCCAAAATTGAGGGCTGAAAAATTTACATTGTAAACATTGATGCAGAATTTCTGAATTTAAAACATTTCTTTATAACTACTATTTTACTATGCAAAAAAAAAATTTGAGTATTTAAAGACCAAAGGAAGATGTAATTGAAAATAAACTATAATAATGAGAAATGGTTTATAGATTTAAATTTAAGAGTTCAATCGAAAATCACAGAGAATACTATTTTACTCTTTCTCTCGGTTTTATAAGATATTTAAAGATGCCTGTTGTATAGACAATTCTCATGCAGTTAAAAGCAACTTCCTGGAATAATAGTATTAATCACTTTCCCACGTTATTTAGGTTGAGATCAACAACAATAAAATGAATCAGTAGTAGATCTTATAAAAGGACACAATTAAAAAAAAACCACACTAAGCTTTTTGAATATGTACTGTAGTTAGCAAATATTTCAGATACTTTCTTATAGATATTTGTATCATATGGTATGAGTTGCTATTATATGAAAAAGACTTACCCTGAGCCAGGTGCAGTGGTTCACGCCTGTAACCCCAGCACTTTGAGGGATGAAGGTAGGAGGATCCCTTGAAGTCAGGAGTTCAAGATTAGCCTGGGCAACAAAGTGAGACCTCCTCTCTGATAAAAATGAAAAATAATAATAAAAAATGTCCAGGCATGTTGATGTACACTTGTAGTCCCAGCTGCTAGGGAGGCTGAGGCTGAAGGATTCCTTGAGCTCAGGAAGTCAGGGATGCAGTGAGCTGTGATTGTGCCACTGCACTGCAGCCTGGGTGACAGAGTGAGTCTCTCTCTCTCTCTCTCTCTCTCTCTCTCTCTCTCTCTCTCTCTCTCTCTCTCACATACACACACACACACACACACGCAAGGTATGGTTGAGTTCTCTAAGATTAAATTGTATTAATTAGTTAGGCCAGGTGCAATGGCTCACACCTGTAATCCCAGCACTTTGGGAGGCCAAGGAAGATGGATCACTGGAGCCCAGAAATTCCAGACCAGCCTGGGCAATATGGCGAAATCCTGTCTCTACAAAAAATAAAAGCAAAAATTAGTCAGGCTTGATGATAGTGGTCTGTAGTTCTAGCTACTAGGGAGGCTGAGGTGGGAGGACCACTAGATCCCAGGATGCTGAGGCTGCAGTGAACCATGATCATGCCACTGTACTCCAGGTTGGGTGACATAGTAAAGTTAACTTTTGTGTTAGGCCACTCTTGCATTGCTATAAAGAAACACCCGAGACTGGGTAATTTATAAGAAAAAGAGATTTAATTGGCTCATGGTTCTGCAGGCTTCATAGGAAGCATGGCCCTGACATCTGCTCAGCTTCTAGAAAGACCTCAGGGAGCTTTTACTCATGGCAGAAGTCCAAGGGAGCACAGGCATCTCACATGGTAAGAAGGGGAGCAAGAGAGAGAGTGGGGCGGGGAGGGACCACACACATAAAACAAGCAGATATCTCAAGAACTCACTCACTACCGAGAGGACAGCATGAAGTCATGAGAGATCTGTCCCCACGACCCAAGCCCCTCGGCCCAGCCCCCACCTCTAACATTAGGGATTACAACTCATAACATTAGGGATTACAGCTCACAACATTAGGGATTACAACTCATAACATTAGGCATTATAACTCACAACATTAGGGATTACAACTCAACATGAGACTTGGCCAGAATATACAATGAAACTGTATCAGTTTGTTAACCAAAATATGCAATTGATCAGAATACCTTTAATTCCTTCTTAAATCAAAGTTTCTTCTATGTGTGCACACACGTGCATATGTGTGTGTGTGTGTGAACACCTCATAAAATTTAGAAATAACTTATATGTATTCTTATGATGGTCATTTCTTAGGTTTATTTTCTATAATATCTACTTGGCCCTAAACTTTGTGCCAAGGAGACAGAGATATAAATGCATTGACTAAATAGAGAATAAGAGAATGGCAGGCACATTATTATATGATGTTTACCTAATTGATTCTCCCAAATTGTGAGGATTCCAAGGAAATTGCCACCAAATGCATAGTTATTTCTGTACTCTCCATATTGTATGTGCTGATCGCTATTGTATAGTGTATTTCATAGTGCACAATTCCTTTCTCTCACTGCATACAGTTATTTCTGTACTCTCCATATTATATGTGCTGATCGCTATTGTATAGTGTATTTCATAGTGCACAATTCCTTTCTCTCACTGCATACAGTTATTTCTGTACTCTCCATATTGTATGTGCTGATCGCTATTGTATAGTGTATTTCATAGTGCACAATTCCTTTCTCTCACTTATTATATCAGTGCATCCTCCATATGTTCATAAGTCATCAAATAAAGGGTTATGGGGTGGGGGAAAGATAGAACAATGTGTTTGAAAGAAATTTTTCATTTTAAATTTATGCCTGTGCCATTGGAAAACAGACAAAAACGCTTCACATATTTCAGCACTTGGTATATTTTATTGAGTCTCTTGAAAATTTTTTGGAAAGTCATATTTTCTGTTTTTTTCTCTCATCATCCACTAATCTGTTAGCCTAGAGAAACTCAGATTTACACCCTTTTAGTTTTTTTTATCCTAACATACAACTACAGCAAAAGTTGCCTCTTCTTTTGTATTAAGCGTCTTATCAAAACTAAACACTTTTTTTTTCCAACATAAAAGTTTCTCCATTTTATGGTGTCTTTGTAAGATATATGCATGATTTTGATTTGAATCAATTTTAATATTCTTTAATCTGTATATTTGATATTTGATGTTCACATTAATGCTTATTCTAAGTTCTTATTTTTTCTGCATCACTAATCCTCAATAGCAATACATTTTTATCCAACTTTATATTAAAAGGTAACTGTTTTAAAGAAATTTCAGTTTCAGAAAGCAAAGCAATCTTACATTCTTACATTTTAAAAATCAATGTAAATGTGACATTTACCGAGTACCAGCACATTATTTAAACTTTTACGTAACTTATAATACTTTATAAAAGTCACCTTAACAAAAGAAAATATTGTTAAGAATCACAAATGTGAAATATAGCTATCTGTGGTTATTCATAATGTTATTTGTAAATATCTGGTTTCTTTCATGGTTCTGTTGTTATTGTATCTAATTTTACTCTGTTCATTGATCATTTCTTCATCTCCTTTTTTAAATTTTCAGATATTTTTCTAAAATGTGTAGCTTATTTTAGTTCTCTTGTTTGATTCGTCTTCCTCACCACAGATTATTCTCAACATATAACTGAATATAGTCTCAAAAAATTATTTTTCTAAACAGCTCTACCTAATTCAGATGACCTGCTTTAATTTATTTCTCCCTTATTTTTTTCTACTAATAGATGTTTGACTGTAATTGAGTGTAAGCTATAATGTAGGCTTGGAATTTTTCAGCAATGACTATTGTTTCCTTTATTTTGGAGAGAAAAGTCATCACATTTTATCAACTTTTCTTGGCCCCAATGGTTATCATTTAGTTAAAAAGACTAGGAACATCATTTCAGACACATTTATTTCTCTGTTGACTAAGACTGAGTATTATTTTTGTAAAAGTTAAATAGTTCTTATTTTAGACACAGTTAGGGTGACCTAATCTCACTATGCTTTGTTTTTTAGGCTGCTGGTGTTTTTTGTTTTGTTTTGTTTTGTTTTGCTTTTTGTTTTTTAAATATATTCTTATTTCAGGAAAAATAGGAGAGAAAGTATGACATCAGATCCAACTAAAAGAACTTGGGATCAGAAATTACAGTAAATTAAATCTAATCTCCACCTCCTCATCAATGTTAGTCATTAACAATTTATTTAATTCTCTACACTTAGTTCCTTATTTATGAAGTGTAAAGTTTATTCACTGCATGCTTCTGGGCAGATACAAGACTAAAGAAATAAGATGGGGGACCAGTTACAGAAAGCTCACAAATGTTTATTCAAATCCAAATACTTATTTGGATTTATCTGTTTGAGAGTCAGTTCTATATAGATTCTCATGTGTCCATACATCTTGTAAGCAGAGGCCCTGGTGACAATTGCTATAGACTACATTTTTAAGACAGACTGCCTAGAAAGTTAGAGATAGTGTTTTCCTCCTGAACAGAAGAAGTACATTTGTTTACTGTTCAGTATAGTAAAGATAATGTCCCTCTCTGAGACAAATGTAGAGAAGCTTTGCTTTCAGTCCTTATAAGAAGTGGTGGTTTCCTAAGCTTTGGGCTCCTTAGCTGTGATGCAGATTCACTGTGCGCAAGGCATCCCCCTGGGCCCATGTTCACACCTCCTCCCACGTGACTTGGTCAACAAGAAAGACCCGAGTGAACAGGAAGCTTATGCTGCCTGCTAAACCTGGGTAATAACATCCCTTGTTTCTGACCCAGGAGTCTTGTGTCTGCTGGCAGCATCAGTGAATCTGTCAGGCTAACTTACAAACTCATAAGCAGGGTAAAACCTAGACTTTTCATAGTTTATGACAATCTGGTATGAAATTGAAATGGTAG